>NC_000023.11:71212542-72462542 GCF_000001405.40 Homo sapiens
CAATTCTAGCAACAATATATTTTATACAGCTACGGAGTATCCAAATAGACTTCCTATAGTTTAGAACTATAAGCACCACAAAGAAATCCTGCCAGAACTCCAAGGAACAATGAGTACACACTAATATTAACCTGTAGTTTCCCTTCCTAGGAACTCCGCTATATATAGGAGCTCTCTCTTCTGGTCAAACAGGTCTGCCTACCGTTCCCCAAACACAGCTCACAGCTTCCTGTCACCTGAAATGTTTGTCCCTCCATCTCCTTTATGACCCACGTCCAACTCTGCCTTTCTGTTAAACCTACCCTTTTCTTCTGCGTCTGAACTTCTGGCATCTCATATCTGCATATGGCATTTAGGAGAAACTCCCTTGTAGTTACTCAGGTGAGTGTCTCTATCTGTCCTGTTAGCTTAGAATCTTCTGGAGTCAGGGACCACCTCTAACTCAGATTATCAGTGGGACCTTGTAGAGTTCATCAGCTGTGATATAGTGGCCAAGTGAACAAGTTCTGGAACCAGACTGCCTGGGTTCAAATCCAGCTTTGTTATTTACCAGTAGCCGGCTAACCTCAATTATGTCACTTAACCTCTGTGTGCCTTAATTCCCCTGTAACATGAGAATATTAATAGTGCCTACTTTGTAGGGTTATTTTGAAGATCAAACAAAGTAATACAAAACAATTTGAACATTGCCTTTAATGCATTAAGTACACGGGAAACGGTAGTCCTCTCTATCCATTACAACTTGTACTCTCAGCGGGAAGAATGGTGTTCAGCCTGTCCCCCACCCACCATGATGTCCAGCTCAGTTTTGCCTTTTACCAAGTTTACCAGGCACAACTAAAGGATTCCCTATCTGGCTTTAAATGTCCTCCATACTCTAAGCCTCTTAACTGACTGACAGTTTCCTCCACAGCCCCTCAACACAGTCCTGCCTCCTTACTGGCTCCCAGATATGCCTTGCTCGTTCCTACTCTGTGCCTTCACTCACACTGTTCCTCCTCCCTGGAATGCTAACCCGGTCCTTCCCCTTCCAGCTCCTACCTGTCTTTTACTTCTCCACTCAAACCTCACTTCCTCTAGGAAGCCTTCCCTGATTACTTCAGTTTATTCTCATCATTCCCTTCTCTGGACTCTCTCAGGAATCAAAGTTAGTGAATACGCACTGATATTTTTCACAACAATTTATTGGGTCTTGGTCCCCTCTCCTCCAGAAGTTCGGCAGGGCATGATAGCTCACACCTGTAATCCCAGTGCTTTGGGAGGCTGAGGCGGGCAGATCACTTGAGGTCAGGAGTTCGAGACCAGCCTGGCCAACGTGGTGAAACCCCATCTCTACTAAAAATACAAAAATTAGCTAGGCGCCTGTAATCCCAGCTACTCGTGAGGCTGAGGCAGAAGAATCGCTTGAACCCGGGAGGCGGAGGTTGCAGTGAGCCAAGATTGCGCCACTGCACTCTAGCCTGGGTGACAGAGTGAGACTGAGTCTCAAAAAAAAGAAGTTGATAAATCTCTTATGAACAGTTGGGATGTTTTCACCTCCTTTGCCACCTGCACCCAGCACGTAGCCCTATGCTGGGTTCCTAGTAGGTGTCCAATACTCATGGATTGATGTATCCATATGCCCAGGTTTGGCTAAGGGAAGCTGAGGCCCTGGCTCCCTTTCTAGCAGTGAGCTCAAGCTGGAGTGAAGAACAGAAGGCAGGGGGCCAGTTTCTCTGCTAACTTCCCTTGTTTCTCCACTGCCATTCAGGCCACAGAACACAGCAGGGTCTTCAGGTAAGCCGTCAGTGGTGCAGACCTTGAAACTAGACTGATCCCTCAGTTAATGGTTGACAGTCTCTGTTTACCTTAATGATTGCCAAGATTCATTACTGAACATGATACACTTTGCAGTTCAACTGCCTTGGCCTTGAGGGTAGAAAGCAATTTCTGAGGTTTTAGGGTTCTGGGATAGGATTAGAAATACTTGGGTCCATCCCCAGCCACTCAGGATGTGGACAATAAGCAAGTGGCCGGAGGGCACCCTGGTACTGCCATATGGGTGGGAAGCACTGCCAGCTCCCACCTTGACCTCAGGTGCCAGCAGGCATCACCCATGGCTTTTTCCTCCCCATTGTCATCTAATGTGTTTATTTATTTATACTTTTTGTAGAGATGGGGTCTTACTATGTTGCCCAGGCTGGTCTCAAACTCCTGGCTTCAAGTGATCCTCCCGCCTTGGCCAAAGTGCTGGGATTACAGGCATGAGCCACCATGCCCGGCCCTGTCATACAGTTTTAGAGGCTGGGAGCTAGAAGGGTTGACCAGGATGGCAGCCTGTACAGGATCCCTCTCTGCAGCTTGCCCGCACTGTGGATCTGCCTAAGGCCAGGGCATGGGGGAAGCCTGAGGGATGCTGAGGAGCACAGGTCCAGCTCAGTCTCCCAGAGAGACTAAACATGGGTGGGTGACAATGATGCCTCTCTTCCTCTGGGACAAGGCAGTGACTCCAGGCTATGTGATCTGTCTCTCCAAACCCATAGGGAGCTCAGAGGATCAATCTTGTTTAATGATTGTATGTGGGAGGAGGTGGGGCTGGTTAATGTTTGTCTGGTTCCTCTTGGGCTGTGGGCCATTTCTGGCTCTGGCCCTGGGTTCGTTGTCCCTCCCCTGGGCTGGGCTGACAGTACCTGGTGGCATAGGGCAGACACGCCTGCAGACATTCTCTGGGAAAGGGCAGCAGCAGCCAGGTGTGGCAGTGACAGGGAGGTGAGGAGACTGGGGGCTGAGGGAGGTGGGCCAGGGAGGGCTGATGTGGCACAGTGGGCCGGAAATAGGGGCCGGGTCTTGCCTTCTACTGACCTCCGCCTTCAGCCACTTAGGTCCCTTCCATGCTTCCCTCTGAAGCTGGGGTGAGGCCCCTCCTGCCAGGTGCCAGACTTGCTTAGCCTCTCTCTGCAGCCTCTTTCCAGGTTCAACATTGCTTTTCCTCTCACTTTTTTTCCTCTGGCCAAAGATTCCCCTTATTCCCATAGGGCCAGATTCTCAGGAAGACTTGAGGGACCCCCTAGGTGCAAGGTGGCCAAGTTTGTCTCTCTGAGACATTTCCTGCCACACAGGGTTAGGGTTTAGTGGGAATGTTGGGCACTGCCAGGTGCTGTTTTCCTTCCTTGATTACAAGGCAAGCCAGGCATGCACCCAACACGGGGCTGCGAGTGGATGAATAAAGCGTGCTCAGCGGGCTGCAGAGGGCTAGCCAACAGGGCCAAGGATTTGGGAGCGTGTGTTTCCACTTTCTTGAAGGAGGCAGACTGACTCAAGCTGAACTTGGAGTAATTGATGGTTCGGAGATTTTTTTTTTTTTTTTGAGACGGACTTTCACTCTTGTTGCCCTGGCTGGGGTGCAATGGCGCAATCTCGGCTCACTGCAACCTCTGCCTCCCGGGTTCAAGCGATTCTCCTGCCTCAGCCTCCCGAGTAGCTGGGATTACAGGCATGCACCACCATGCCTGGCTAATTTTGTATTTTTAGTAGAGACGGGGTTTCTCCATGTTGGTCAGGCTGGTCTCAAACTCCCAACCTCAGGTGATCTGCCCGCTTCGGCCTCCCAAAGTGCTGGGATTACAGGCATGAGCCACCACGCCCGGCCGGTTTGGAGATCTAAAGGAGGGGTGTTCCCCAGCTGTTTGAAAGTTGTTGCAGCTGTTGGGAATGGCACAGCAGAATGTGTAAACTTAGAAAATGAAATGAGGAGAGGAGAATACAGACAAGAGGGGTTTTAATGGAGAGAAGTATAGATTAGAATGCAGCCTGGCAATGGAAAAGGGACCCAGGCTTGGGTGAGGGGCCAATACGATTCCTACTCTGAGCTCCAGCACTTGCTTACCACCTGTGTAGTAAGTTACTCAGCTTCTGTTAGCCTTCATTGCCTCACCTGTGAGTTGAAGACAATAGCTCCTGGCTCACGGGGTTGTTGTGAGCGTGAGAGTCTGTGAATATACACACAGGGGGCACTCCATAAATGGCAGCTGTTATAATAACCCAAGCAGAGAGCAACAGGAAGTCAGGTGGGTGATGGAGGAGTAAGGGAGTAGCGTCCAAACAATGGGGAAGGGAGCTGGCATAAGCAGAAGCTCTCTGAAAAGACCGCAGCAGAGAGGGGGAAAGAACAAATCGGAATGAGCTAGACTGGACCTGACCCAAGCCTGGCCACGGAATATGTATGGCAGGGTGGAGAGGCTAAGTCCAGTGACTGAGATATTGCAGAACTGCAGGGTGGAGGCAAGAGAGAGAAGCAGGGGAAGGGGAAGAGAGCTGGAGGAGTTTGGCCTTAGCCACACCAAACTGATGAAGGCAGCCAGAAATTCCTAAGGAAATCTCAAAGAAAGCCCCATGTCCCTTCCTGACCAGTGACTGCCTGCGAAATGGGGGAGGGAGCATGGAGTCCGAGGCTGAATGTAACCTCATCCATCCCAGCCCACCCCTCTTCCCCAAACCCCAAATCACAAGGATTTTCCTGTAGTTGGAAGGATAGGGAGGAGGTGGGGGCAGAAACAGAGAGAGACAGAGACAGACTAGACGAATGTGTGTGTGTGTGTGTGTGTGTGTGTGTGTGTGTGCGTGTGCCAGCACACGCAGGAAAGTGTATAGGTTTTTGAATAGTAGGCCTGGTCTCAGAATGCAAACTCCTTAAAGGAAGAGAGGCCGCCATAAGCAGCGCCATATACAAAGACTTTGAGGTAAGAAAATAAACTTGGAACTTGATTCTACCATTTAGCAGCAGTGCAATTGCCGTTGAGGCAAGTTTCTTAACCTCTCTGAGCCTCAACTTCCTTGTCTGAAAAATGGGGATAATATTACAGGACTGCTGTAAGGACTAAGTGAGATCACCTGATTTTGCACTGTGCTTGAGTGCTAGGGCAAATCTAAATCTGGGGACAGGGCCAGAGCCTGACAAGGCCAGAGAAGTCCTGTCTAATTAAACATGAGAGCAAAACACGCGTGCAGCAACACCGAGGATATCAATACGGGGACTTTAACCCGAAGTCACAAAAACAGTTTGGATTTCAAAATCAGGTCACTCCCCTGGATGTTTTTAGAATGAAATCCTTGAGGCATTGATATTGACATAGGGATCAGTTCTCCTTCCAAAGGTAACAGCAAAAATTGAGATCACAGCACCCAGACAAGGGTCCTTAGAGGCCCCACAGGGAGCTACTGGCTATGTCCCAGAAGACTCAAGAAGAAAAAAGGCGGGGAGTTACAAGAACCTAGAAACTCAGGGGTGGCCAGGATGTCTGTGGCACACCCCTGAAGGGCAGAGAAGAGAACAGCTAAGGTTTGCTTTGCAGTTTGAGGAAGCAGCCCAAGAAAGGTAAGGAAAGGAAAAGCAGACCAAATCAAGAGGCAGCAGAAAATCCTGGGACAGAAGGAGAGGGAAAGAGTTGTCAATTGCTACAACAAAAGTACCTTAGAAAAAAAAGAGCTGGGCCAGGCACAGTGGCTCACGCCTGTAATCCCAGCACTTTGGGAGGCTGAGGCAGCAGGATTACCTGAGGTCAGGACTTCGAGACCAGCCTGGCCAACATGGTAAAACACCATCTCTACTAAAAATGCAAAAATTAGCCAGGTGTGGTGACACGCACCTGTAATCCCAGCTACTCGGGAGGCTGAGGCAGGAGAATCATTTGAACCCAGGAGGCGGAGGTTGCAGTGAGCAGAGAGCGTGCCACTGTACTCCAGCCTGGGTGACAGAGCAAGACTCCATCTCAAAAAAAAAGAAAAGAAAGAGTTGTCAATTGATAGGAAAGGGGAGAAGGGGCTAAAAGAAAATAAGACATAGCAGTTTTGAATCTCCCTGTTCCTTTTTTTTTTTTTTTTCAATCTCCCTGTTCCTAAAAAGTACCCACAGAAAGAAAAGTTATACCTGTAGCCAAGTAGAGCTTATGGGAAAGAGTATGTGCTCTGCGAGAATCACTTGAACCCGGGAGGCGGAGGTTGCAGTGAGCCGAGATCGCGCCACTGCACTTCAGCCTGGGCTACAGAGTGAGACCCTGTCTCAAAAGAAAAAAAAAGTGTGTGGCCAGGCACGGTGGCTCACGCCTGTAATTCCAGCACTTTCGGAGGCCGAGGCGGGCGGATCACGAGGTCAGGAGATCAAGACCATCCTGGCTAACACGGTGAAACCCCATCTCTACTAAAAATACAAAAAAATTAGCCGGGCGTGGTTGCGGGGGCGCCTGTAGTCCCAGCTACTCAAGAGTCTGAGGCAGAAGAATGGCGTGAACCCAGGGGGCGGAGCTTGCAGTGAGCCGAGATCGCGCCACTGCACTCCAGCCTGGGTGACTGAGCTAGACTCCGTCTCAAAAAAAAAAAAAAAGTGTGTGTTCTGGAGTCAGCTTGACCTGGTTCAAATCCCAGCTCTATCACTTACTGACTATGTGACTCTTAGATAAGTCCTTTCACCTTTCTTTGCCTCTGTTTGCTCATCTGTGATATGAGGATAAAGCAACACTTACCTCAAAAAGTTCTTTTAAGGATTAAATGACAGTGCATGTGCAGGGGCCTGGCATATAACAGGTACTCAGTAAATTTTTTTTTAATAAAAATGCTACAATGTTGAGGTGGTCTTATTATTATTATTATTATTATTATTATTATTATTATTTTCTGAGACAGGCTGGAGTGCAGTTGGCGCAATTGAAGCTCACTGCAGCCTCGACCTCTTGGACTCAAGAGATCTGCCTGCCACAGCCTCTTAAGTAGCTAGGACTATGGGTGAATGGCACCAGCCACCATGCCTGGATAATTTTTGTGTTTCTTTTTTTGTAGAGATGGGGTCTCACTATGTTGCCTATGGCTGGTCTTGAACTCCTAGACTCAAGCGATACTCCTACCTCTGCCTCCTTTTAATTTTTTTTTTAAGAGACGGGGGTCTCCATATGTTGCCTAAGAATAACCTGGCCAGGGGCCAGGCGCGGTGGCTCACGCCTATAATCCCAGCACTTAGGGAGGCTGAGGCAGGTGGATCACGAGGTCAGGAGATCGAGACCATCCTGGCTAACGTGGTGAAACCCCGTCTCTACTAAAAATACAAAAAAAAATTAGCCAGGCGTGGTGGCGGGCGCCTGTAGTCCCAGCTACTCGGGAGGCTGAGGCAGGAGAATGGCGTGAACCTGGGAGGCGGAGCTTGCAGTGAGCTGAGATCGCGCCACTGCAGTCCAGCCTGGGCGACAGAGCGAGACTCCCTCTCAAAAAAAAAAAAAAAAAAAAAAGAATAACCTGGCCAGGTTATTCTTTTATTATTATTATTATTTCTTTTATTCTTTTTTTTTTTTAAGAGGCAGAGTCTCGTTCTGTCGCCCAGCCTGGAGTGCAGTGGTGGGATCTCAGCTCACTACAACATCTGCCTCCCGGGTTCAAGCGATTCTCCTGCCTCAGCCTCCTGAGTAGCTGGAACTACAGGCATGCGCCACCACGCCCAGCTAATTGTTGTATTTTTAGTAGAGACATGGTTTCACCACGTTGGTCAGGCTGGTCTCGAACTCCTGACCTCAGGTAATCCACCAGCCTCTGCCTCCCAAAGTGCTGGGATTACAGGCGTGAGCCACTGTGCCTGGCCTTTTTTTTTTTTTTTTTTTTTTGAGACAGCCGGCTAATTTGAGACACCTGGCTAATTTTTTGTATATTTAGTAGAGACGGGGTTTCACCATGTTAGCCAGGATGGTCTCGATCTCCTGACCTCGTGATCCACCTGCCTCTGCCTCCCAAAGTGCTGGGATTACAGGCGTGAGCCACTGTGCCCGGCCTTTTTTTTTTTTTTTAAATATAATAGAGACGAGGGTCATGCTATGTTGCCCATGATGGTCTCAAACTCCTGGGCTCAAGCAATCCACCCACCTCAGCCTCCCAAAGTGCTGGGATTCGAGGCGTGAGCCACTGCGCCTGGCCTAGGTTTTGTTTGTTTGTTTGTTTGTTTGTTTGTTTGTTTGTTCGTCTTTTCCGAGACGGAGTCTCACTCTTTCCCCCAGGCTGGAGTGCAGTGACGGGATCTCCACTCACTGCAACCTCTGCCTCCTGGGTTCTAACAATTCTCCTGCCTCAGCCTCCTGAGTAGCTGGGATTACGGGTGCCCGCCACCACACCCAGCTAATTTTTGTATTTTTAGTACAGACGGGGTTTCACCATGTTGGTCAGGCTGGACTTGAACCCCTCAGTGATCTGCCCGCCTAAGCCTCCCAAAGTGCTGGGATTGCAGGCGTGAGCCCCTGCACCCAGCCGGTTATTCTTAATAATTCTCTGGCCACCTGTTCTAGAGTGTAACACATCTCACCACCTGAAGCATTTCTTTTCTTTCTTTGTTTCTTTCCTTTTTTTTTTTTTTTTTTTTTTTTTGAGACAGAGTCTCGCTCTGTCACCAGGCTGGAGTGCAGTGGCGCAATCTCGGCTCACTGCAATCTCCGCCTCCTGGGTTCAAGCAATTCTCCTGCCTCAGCCTCCCAAGTAGCTGGGATTACAGGTGCATGCCACTACACCCAGCTAATTTTTGTAATTTTAGTAGAGACGAGGTTTCACCATGTTGGCCTCGATCTGCTGACCTCGTGATCCGCCCGCCTTGGCCTCCCAAAGTGTTGGGATTACAGGCGTGAGCCACCTTGCCCAGCCCCTGAAGCATTTCTTTATGGCTAACTGTGGTGCCTAGTGCAGCAGCTTTGCATATAGAATCCCAGGCTTGGGAGAAAGGGCACCCATAGCCCTGCTTCCCCATGCTGGTTGGCACATGACATGAACTCACTAAGGCTTTTTATTTATTTATTTATTTATTTATTTATTTATTTATTTATTTAGCTAAATGAAGAAACCTTGTTCTGAGAAGTAACCTATGTCCTGTGGACTGTCCTTCTTTCCCCAGATTCTTTCATCCCATTTCCCAACTTTTGCAGTTGCTGTTACCCCACCCCTTTCCTCTACAGCATAGAGGACCACCCAGGGCTGAATATGAGGCTTCTTCCACAACCAGTTGCTCTGCTGTGGAGCATGCACTGGGGTCAGGAAATGACTCCAGGGATCACTGCACCTCCTATGGTCCAGGGCTGCATGTCCTCCTCACATTCAGTTTCCTGCTGCTAGTATGATCTCCTTGCAACTTAATGGCAGAAGTGGCAAGAGGTGGGAGAAGCCTTCTTAGCCTGCCTAAGGGATAGAGGAGAATTTCCTCCCTAGAGCAACTGGCAAGCTCCTGAAACCACGAGGTTGCAATATGCACTTGGGGTTGGGGGCTGGGCAGCAATGGGGTCTCAGACAGACCCTATAGGTCAACAACAGCATTGGGGACTGCTCAAGGTGGCTCACACCTGTAAACCCAACACTTTGGGAGGCAAAAGTGGGAAGATCGCTTGAGCCCAGGAGTTCAAGACCAGCCTGGGCAACATAGCAAGCCCCCCATCTCTACAAAAAAAAAAAATTGAAAAATTAGCTGGGCATGGTGACACATACCTGTGGTCCCAGCTAATTGAGAGGCTGAGGTGGGAGGATCGCTGGAGCCCAGGAGGTCAAGGCTGCAGTGAGCAGTGATTGTGCCACTGCACTCTAGCCTTAGTGATATAGCCAGACCTTGTCCCCACCCTCTAATAAAAAACAACCCACAGCATTAGGGAGAAAAAGGAGAGATCTTGGGTTTGACAGACCATTTATTCCCCCAAAGCAACTTTGTTATCTTTTCCTGAGAAGATTTTTTTTTTTTTTTGAGACGGAGTCTTGCTCTGTCGCCCGGACTGGAGTGCAGTGGTGCAATCTTGGCCCACTGCAACCTCTGCCTCCTGGGTTCCAGTGATTCTCCCACCCAGCAGCTGGGATTACAGGCATGCGCCACCACACACGGCTAATTTTTTGTATTTTTAGTAGAGATGGGGTTTCACATTGTTAGCCAGGATGGTCTTGATCTCCTGACCTCAAGTGATCTGCCCACTTCAGCCTCCTAAAGTGCTGGGATTACAGGCGTGAGCAACGGCGCCCAGCCTTTTTTTTTTTTTTTTTTTAATGGTTAGCCTTTGCTTTCTACAGACACTATCTGCAGAAGCACAGGGAGCCTGCTGTAGAAAGACTTCTGTCTCAGATACATTGTTTCATCCTACCTATCCTACCGCTTTGGAACGGTGTGACCTTGAGGAGTTACTTATCTGAGCTTCAGCTTCTTCATCTGGAAAATGGGATAACAGGCTTCCTAAATGGGTCGAAAGAAAAAATGTATGGAACAACGCTCAGCACAGTTTGTGGCTTCATAAATGAGCTCTCTTTCCTGTCCTCTTTCCTCTCCATATTCCGGAGAGGATCTAAGCCTCAGGGAAAATCCTGGTGACCTTAAGCTTCTGACGGGGCCATGGGGGAGGGCCTCAGCCCAGAGCCTCTGGGTCCCCTGGGGTCCCCTCTTCACATCCACCTGCCTGTGTTTTATCTCCCTCCCCCCGCCCCCCCGTGGCCATTCTTCTGGTGGGGCTATGGGGCGGGTGCGGCGATGGACCGGGCGGGCACAGAACAGGTGGGTGCAGGCTGGGTGTCCGGCGCTGGGACACAAGTGCTCTGTGTGTAGGGTGGGCGGAAGTCAGGGCGTTTGATCTGAATTCTAAAGGGCGTTGTTCAGAGCCCCACAAAGGTCTCATTGTGCAGACACTGGGTATAAAGCAGCATATGACTCCCCAGCACCGGGCGGTGATGAATTGGGACGCAGGCGCGGAGCCCAGGGACCACTCCCCCTGCACAGACATGAGACCATAGGGGACCTGTCTGGGTGGCCTCAGGGATAGGCGCTCCCCAAGGTAAGAGGGCTTTGTTGAGTTTGCCCCAGGTCTGGAGTTAAGGAGCTAGGGGACAGGGAGCCATAGGGGATGGCTGATATCGGAACAAGATGGGCTTGGCAAAGAAAGGGGCTGGCGGGAAAAGAATGTTGGATGAAAGCGAAGAAGGGGGATGGGGCTCAGGGAGGTCAAGTCAAGTGAGTGAGGAGGAGGAGAAGCTGGCAAGGGAGATGGGGTGACGAGGAAAGACATGACCATCCTTCCTTTCCTGCTACTGGCTCTTGGAAGAGTTGAGGGGGGGTGCGCAGGCAGTGCTATGGCGCCCGACTTTCCACCCCAGCTTTCTGACAGCTTGCTTCATGGCTGGTGTTTTGCAGGTGTGAATGAGGCAGGATGAACTGGACAGGTTTGTACACCTTGCTCAGTGGCGTGAACCGGCATTCTACTGCCATTGGCCGAGTATGGCTCTCGGTCATCTTCATCTTCAGAATCATGGTGCTGGTGGTGGCTGCAGAGAGTGTGTGGGGTGATGAGAAATCTTCCTTCATCTGCAACACACTCCAGCCTGGCTGCAACAGCGTTTGCTATGACCAATTCTTCCCCATCTCCCATGTGCGGCTGTGGTCCCTGCAGCTCATCCTAGTTTCCACCCCAGCTCTCCTCGTGGCCATGCACGTGGCTCACCAGCAACACATAGAGAAGAAAATGCTACGGCTTGAGGGCCATGGGGACCCCCTACACCTGGAGGAGGTGAAGAGGCACAAGGTCCACATCTCAGGGACACTGTGGTGGACCTATGTCATCAGCGTGGTGTTCCGGCTGTTGTTTGAGGCCGTCTTCATGTATGTCTTTTATCTGCTCTACCCTGGCTATGCCATGGTGCGGCTGGTCAAGTGCGACGTCTACCCCTGCCCCAACACAGTGGACTGCTTCGTGTCCCGCCCCACCGAGAAAACCGTCTTCACCGTCTTCATGCTAGCTGCCTCTGGCATCTGCATCATCCTCAATGTGGCCGAGGTGGTGTACCTCATCATCCGGGCCTGTGCCCGCCGAGCCCAGCGCCGCTCCAATCCACCTTCCCGCAAGGGCTCGGGCTTCGGCCACCGCCTCTCACCTGAATACAAGCAGAATGAGATCAACAAGCTGCTGAGTGAGCAGGATGGCTCCCTGAAAGACATACTGCGCCGCAGCCCTGGCACCGGGGCTGGGCTGGCTGAAAAGAGCGACCGCTGCTCGGCCTGCTGATGCCACATACCAGGCAACCTCCCATCCCACCCCCGACCCTGCCCTGGGCGAGCCCCTCCTTCTCCCCTGCCGGTGCACAGGCCTCTGCCTGCTGGGGATTACTCGATCAAAACCTTCCTTCCCTGGCTACTTCCCTTCCTCCCGGGGCCTTCCTTTTGAGGAGCTGGAGGGGTGGGGAGCTAGAGGCCACCTATGCCAGTGCTCAAGGTTACTGGGAGTGTGGGCTGCCCTTGTTGCCTGCACCCTTCCCTCTTCCCTCTCCCTCTCTCTGGGACCACTGGGTACAAGAGATGGGATGCTCCGACAGCGTCTCCAATTATGAAACTAATCTTAACCCTGTGCTGTCAGATACCCTGTTTCTGGAGTCACATCAGTGAGGAGGGATGTGGGTAAGAGGAGCAGAGGGCAGGGGTGCTGTGGACATGTGGGTGGAGAAGGGAGGGTGGCCAGCACTAGTAAAGGAGGAATAGTGCTTGCTGGCCACAAGGAAAAGGAGGAGGTGTCTGGGGTGAGGGAGTTAGGGAGAGAGAAGCAGGCAGATAAGTTGGAGCAGGGGTTGGTCAAGGCCACCTCTGCCTCTAGTCCCCAAGGCCTCTCTCTGCCTGAAATGTTACACATTAAACAGGATTTTACAGTAAATGAAGAGGTGGCTTGTGTGTTTGTCAAGTTCTTTCTCCTGCAACCTCTGACCTCCCCCAGGATGAGCTGGCCTTGGTTTTTTACTGATTAAGAAAGGAACAGGGCAAAAGAAGTAGTTACTTGAGTAGCTGAAGCTGCAAATGAGGAAATCACTGTACTTCTGGGCCGCAGAGCCAGCCCCGGAGCCATTCCTCCCTGTTGCTTTTGTTGTTGTGGTTCTTGTCTTTTTCATTGTCTAATAACAGCTTTATTGGGATTTAGTTTACATACCTCCTTCCTCTGATTTTGAAAAGATTAAAAATGACAACTCCCTCTGAAGAGACAAGAAATGATTGGGAAATTTCTCCTGCCCCAGAGAGTGGCACAATTCCCTGGGTACCTCGGTGAGAGCCCCTCCCCCGCACATCTGGAGACCTATCTCCTTACTCCCTCCAAACTCAGCATCCCCTACAAGCTGATGTCCCACAGTCCACCTGTTGGGTTGCACGATGACCCTGACCCCTTTCAGCTGGACAGAGCCCCTAATTTCATCCTCTTTCCCAGTTTCCTTCTCTCAGGAATCAATGCTTCCCACTCCAGAGATGCCTCCACACAGGTCAAACATTTCATAGCAGCAGTTTCCTCACCAGCATCACCCTCCCCTGTCAGCTGTGGTAGGAAATGCCCCAGGCTGAGACTTGGAAAAGCTGCGCTGGAGTCCTGATGCTGTCACTTAGTAGCGGGGCATTCCCTTCCCCGAACCTCAGCTTCCTTATGAGCAAACGAGAACTGGCCCAGCACATCTCTCAGCTCCCTTCAACACTCTGTGCTTCTGGGATTCCTGAAAGATTTCCCCAAGTAACAGTGCATTATCTTCCCCCAGCCTCACAGGGGTTTCCTTAGAGTCACTGCCCCCACAAATAGCCTCTCAGAGTAAAAGTTTCCCCCATGGCAAGTTTGCCTCCTCAGCTTCCTTACCTCCGAACAGGAGAAATTATTTGCCACTCCCTCTCAGAGTATGTGGACTCCATGTAGGAAGTGCTGGATATCAGAAAGGGAGAGAAAATCAGACACAATCTCATGTGAATTGTTCTCCCTTGAGACAGTTTTTCCTCTTTGGAGAGAAAGCATGGAAGTTTTCTTTATTTGAGATTTCTCCTTTAGAAAAAAAAAAAAGGAAGACTGGATGTGGTGGCTCATGCCTGTAGTCCCAGCACTTTGGAAGGCCAAGGGGAGAGAATCACTTGAGCCCATGAGTTTGAGACCAGTCTGAGCAACATAGAGAGACCCCATCTCTACAAAAAAAATAAAATAAAACAATTAGTCAGGTGTGGTGGCATGTGCCTGTAGTCCCAAGCTATTTCGGATGCTGAGGTGGGAGGATAACTCGAGCCCAGGAGGAGGTTGAGGCTGCAGTCAGCTGTGATCACGCCACTGCACTCCAGCCCGGGCCAGAGAGTGAGACCTTGTCAAGAAAGAAACAAAGAAAGAAAAGGAAGGAAGGAAGGAAGGGAGGGAGGGAGAGAGGGAGGGAGGGAGGGAAGGAAATGAGACCTTTAGAGGCCGAAGCAAGAGGATTGCATGAGGCCAGGAGTTCAAGACTAGCCTGGACAGCATAGCAAGATCCTATCTCTATTTTTTTTTTTTTTGAGACGGAGTCTCGCTCTGTCACCCAGGCTGGAGTACAGTGGCGCGATCTCGGCTCACTGCAAGCTCCACCTCCCGGGTTCACGCTGTTCTCCTGCCTCAGCCTCCCGAGTAGCTGGGACAATAGGCGCCCGCCACCACGCCCGGCTAATTTTTTTTTGTATTTTTAGTAGAGACGGGGTTTCACTGTGTTAGCCAGGATGGTCTCAATCTCCTGACCTCGTGATCTGCCCGCCTCGGCCTCCCAAAGAGCTGGGATTACAGGTGTGAGCAACCGCGCCCGGCCTCCCATCTCTATTTTTAAAAAATTGAAAGAAAGAAAGGAGAGAGTAAGTATTCCTTTCCACCACACTTAGTAATCCCTGAGAGAGAGCTTCCTCTCCCTTAAAAGAGGAACATTCCTTTCCTACAAGAAATTTCCTTTCCCCTTAGAAACTGACATTATGTTCCATCAGAGGAGAGGTCCCCACCCCCTCACGGTGAGAGAGATTCCTTTTCTTATCGAAATCCATCCTTTTCACCCACAACAATACAACAAACACATCCCCTCTCCATACAACATGCCATCAGGAGAAAGATTTTCTTTTTAAAATTCCATCCTGGTCCTGGTCGGAAGCAGGGAACCTCATGCCCTCTCCACATTGAGAAATGCTAACCCCCACCATCACATCAGAAATGTAGTTTCTCTTCAAAGATTCTACCAATCCCCCTTGGAAAGAGGCTCCAACTCTATATCAAGGCTTTCCTCTCCAGGGGGCAGTGGTGGGACAATAAAGCTATCAGGCTGGGTGTTACAGCCCAAGTGGGGGACACAGGATTCTTGGGTCCCATGAACCAGGTAGGAACAGGCCCAAGGAACCTTGAGGGGAGCTGGTGGACACAATGTCTCAGGGAGGTAGGAGGCAGAGTTAGACTGACTCCAAGACTGACTTTTCAAATCAGGCTCTGTCACAAGAGTATAAGAGAGAGACACAGAGGCAAATGAGGCATGCTCTCTGCCACGCAGTAGAAATTCAATGTGCTGAGTGACCTGGGTTATGAAGAGGACACTGGAATTAGGAGACCTCGTTCTCCACTGATGAGCTCTGTCCCCTTGGACACGTGATATTTACCCTCTCCAGGTCTGTTTCCTCATCTCCAATAGAGAGTTAATAATAACCTCTCTACCTCTTTCACAGAACTTTTTTGAGAATCAGACAAGATGTGTTCAAAAGCTGGTTATGAACTAACGGTAAAGTAAGGTAAGATAGTATCATAAGCACTGAGACCATGGCCTTACGACATGCTAGAATTCTCAA
Organism: Homo sapiens; assembly: GCF_000001405.40. NCBI lineage: Eukaryota > Metazoa > Chordata > Mammalia > Primates > Hominidae > Homo > Homo sapiens. Next base: position 71,228,123 of record NC_000023.11, read on the forward strand.
TGAGCCAGAAAGGAGTGAGGCTGGTTCAGGTAGGCTGAAGCTAGTTAAAACAATTTGGCAATAATAGTGTTGGCTCCCCCAGGGAGTGGACACCAGTCCAAACAGCAAAGTCCAAGAGAGGTTGCAAACCTGAGCATGATTCATTTAAGGGTCAATATTCAAGGGGTCTGATCAGGGGGCAGAAAAGGCATAGTAACAGGAAGCTCTTGCATGCTGTATCTCATGGAACTGGTCCTTTTAGGAATGTCTATGATCTTTTAGAGGTGTCTATGCACAGAGATGCCAGGAGCTGGGGGGCAAAGGAACAGAGGCAGATGAACTAGGAGAGTAATCAAGGCCTCCAGCCAGCTGAGTTGGGGTTTGAAAGCAAGCTGTGGTATCCATAGAGAATTGGCATGGCAACCACAAACTGGTTCAGATGTTCAATCAGATAGCCTGGGTGCACACAGTGGGGGCTAGAGGGGAATGCTTGCTCCATTTACTGATTCCAAAGTACTTAAATGCCAGACCTGGCCTATGGTGCAGAAGGGGCTACACAATCGTACCAAGCTAAGCTCCTGTTGATTCCTGGAGTAGGCCAGGGAGAATGTACAGGGTCAAATGGAAAATGGATTGGGACATTCCAGCAAGGGGCAAATAAAACAGACAAAAAATACCCTACAGATATGACAGGAATTGGCTGGGCACAGTGGCTGTTGCCTGTAATCCCAGCAATTTGGGAAGCCAAAGCAGGCAGATCACTTGAAGCCAGGAGTTCGAGACCATCCTGGCCAACATGGTGAAACACTGTCTCTACTAAAAATACAAAAATTAGCCAGGCGTGGTGGCACATGCCCATAGTCCCAGCTACTCAGGAGGCTGAGGTGGGAGAATTGCTTGAATCCGGGAGGTGGAGGTTGCAGTGAGCCGAGATCGCGCCACTGCACTCCAGCCTGAGTGACAGAGTGAGTGAGACTCCATCACAAAAAAAAAAAAAAAAAAAAAAAAAAGCCAGGCACGGTGGCTCACGCCTGTAATCCCAGCACTTTGGGAGGCCGAGGCAGGTGGATCACTTGAGGTCAGGAGTTTGAGACCAGCCTGGCCAACATGGTGAAACCCCGTCTCTACCAAAAATACAAAAATTAGCCCCGTGTGGTGGCGCACGCCTGTAATCTCAGCTACTTGGGAGGCTGAGGCATAAGAATCGCTTGAACCTGGGAGGCAGAGGTTGCAATGAGCCGAGATCATGCCACTGCACTCCAGCCTGGGTGACAGAGCGACTCTGTCTCAAAAAAAAAAAAAAGGTATGACGGGGGTGATACCTTCAAACTTGTGTGTTTGGAAGGTCAGCCAGCAGCTGCATGGAGACTGGATTGGGGATTGAAGACTGAGACAGATTGACCAGGTACTGCCAGGTGCAGTGGCACACCTGTGGTCCCACCTACTTGGGAGGCTGAGGTGGAAGGATTCCTTGAACCCAAGACTTTGAGACCAGTCTGGTCAACATAGTGAGACCCTGTCTCTAAAAAAAAAGACCAGTTATGGAGCTGTTGCAATAGCCCAAGTGGCGCCTGTAGGACTAGGACAGTGGCAGAGGAATATGAAGAGGAGACAGGTGTGAGAGACATTTTGGATGTAGAACCTACAACAGGACTTCATGTCTGAGTTGTGGGGTGTGGAAGAGCCAAAGGTAATTTGAGGTTTCCTTTCCCTCCTTTGACTGGAAAGCTCCTAATCATTCAAAACTCATCTCAAACGTCGTTTCCTCTGTGAAGCCATCAACTCTTCTTTCCCCGCTGATCAAGTCCCTTGGAGAGACTCTCCAATTCAGACCTCCACTCTGAATTCCCACAATATGACTGTGGTGTATGTGATAAGAGCGCTTATCACATTATATGGTGCCAGGTGCGGTGACTCACACTTGTAATCCTAGCTGCTCAAGAAGATGAGGTGGGAGGATTGCTTGGAGACCAGCCTGGACTACACAGTGAGACCCCATCTCTAAAAAATACCACCACCACCACCACCACCACACACACACAAAAAAGAAAAGCACACAGGCCAGGCACAGTGGCTCACGCCTGTAATCCCAGCACTTTGGGAGGCTGAAGCAGGCGGATCTGTTGAGGCCAGGAGTTCAAGACCAGCCTGGTCAATATGGCAAAACCCTGTCTCTATTAAAAATACAAAAATCAGGCAGGCGTGGTGGTGGGCGCCTGTAGTCCCACCTACTCAGGAGGCTGAGGCAGGAGAATCAGTTGAACCTGGGAGGCAGAGGCTGCAGTAAGCCGAGATCGTGCCACTGTACTCCAGCCTGGGTGACAGAGTGAGACTCTGAAAAAAAGGAAGGAAGGAAGGAAGGAGGGAGGGAGGGAGGGAGGGAGGAAGGAAAGAAAGATTAGCTCATAAAATCTGTCTTAAAAAAAGAAAGAGGCCAGGTGCGGTGGCTCACGTCTGTAATCCCAGCACTTTGGGAGGCCTAGGCAGGTGGATCTCTTGAGGCCAGGAATTGGAGACCAGCCTGGCCAACATGGCGAAACCCTGTCTCTATTAAAAATAGAAAAATCAGCTGGGCCTGGTGGCACTCGCCTGTCATCCCAGCTACTTGGGAGGCTGAAGCAGGAGAATTGCTTGAACCCAGGAGGGGGAGGTTGCAGTGAACTGAGATCATGCTATTGTGCTCCAGCCTGGCTGACAGAGCAAGACTCCATCAGAAAGAAAGAAAGAAAGAAAGAGAGGAAGGAAGGAAGGAAGGAAGGAAGGAAGGAAGGAAGGAAGGAAGGAAGGAGAAGGGGAAGGGGAAGGGGAAGGAAGAGGGGGAAGGGGGAAGGGGGGAAGGGAGGGAGGAAAAGAAAGAAACTATTGTGTGGTAATCACTTGCATAAGCTTAACACATAGTAGGTGCTTAGTAGCCTGTGGGATTCAGGGCAGCGGGGAGGAAGACATATGCATGTGCAAAGATTCAGAGTCGTGAGAGAGTAGAATGTGTTCACTGTGACTAGAGCAGAAAATGCATGGGATGGGGAGTGGGGTGGTTGCAGTAGGAGGTGAGACTGGCAAAGCAGGTCGGGGCTGGTCAGTGAAAAGTCTCATAGAAATGCATGCAGGTTTGCACAGGAGTCTGGACTCCAGTATCACGTGTAGAAGCCCTTCTGACATAAAAGTTAAGCCCCTACTAGACTAACAGGCAATTCTGTACTCATGATCATGGATGGACTGTAGAGGTCTTCAGGAGATCCAGATCAGGGCAGACCTTTGCACAAACAGATGTGTTAAAGTTGACAGTGAACTATGGAAGAAAGACCAGAATTATTTGAAAGTGGACTTCAAGGAGAAAGCGTAATTTACACAGGATGGTGACCAACTGTTCTCCATTTTTTTCACCACAACTGAAGCCCCTGTGAAAAGTTAGTGTCACATAGTGATTAAGACCAATGTTGGCCAGGTGCAGTGGCTCACGCCTGTAATCCCAGCACTTTGGGAGGCTGAGGTGGGCAGATCGCCTGAGGTCGGGAGTTCGAGACCAGCCTGACCAACATGGAGAAACTCTGTCTCTGCTAAAAATACAAAATTAGCCAGGCGTGGTGGCGCATGCCTGTAATCCCAGCTACTCAGGAAGGCTGAGGCAGGAGAATAGCTTGAGCCCGGGAGGCGGAAGTTGCAGTGAGGCGAGATCGCACCATTGCATTCTAGCCTGGGTAACAAGAGTGAAACTGTCTCCAAAAAAAAAAAAAAGCATTGTTTACTTCCTACTTTTGTGAGTTTGACCATGTTACTTGGCCACTCTAGGCCTTAGTTTCCTCATCTATAAAGCATGAGTACCTGTGTCACAGGGCTGTAGTGAGGATTAAATGTGTCCATTATATATAAAGCACTTCAAACAAGGCCTGGTCGATAGTAAGCCCTACACAAGGGTGTGCTGTTATTATTTCATCTCACCATCTTCGCTGTTTCTCCAGCTATTCACCAATTCTCTCAAACACTGAGTTAAACTCTGTCTCACCTAATTAACATGCTTGCTTTTTTTTTTTTTTAGACAGGGTCTCACTCTGTTGCCCAGGCTGTAATGCAGTGGTGCCATCATAGCTCACTGCAACCCCAAACTCCTAGCTCCAGTGATCCTCCCTCCTCAGCCTCCCAAAGGGCTGGGATTACAGGCGTGAGCCACTGTGCCTGGCTTAACATGTTTTCTTGACTGTCTAACTGTCCATAGTCATGTGCGTGTGCTTAAGCAAGCAAGTCTGTATGTTTGCATGCATATGATATATCATTGTATTGATACATATGACCACATTAACATGTATGTGGGAGGATGGCTGTGAGGGGAGTGCCTTTTTTTTTTTTTTGAGATGGAGTCTTGCTCTGTCGCTCAGGCTGGAGTGCAATGGCGCAATCTTGGCTCACTGCAACCTCCGCCTCCTGGTTTCAAGGGATTCTCCTGCCTCAACCTCCTGAGTAGCTGGGATTACAGGCGTGTCCCACCAACCTGGCTAATTTTTGTATTTTTTTTGTAGAGATGGGGTTTCACCATGTTGGCCAGGCTGGTCTCCAACTCCTGACCTCAGGTAATCCGCCTGCCTTGGCCTCCCAAAGTGCTGGGATTACAGGCGTGATCCACTGCGCTCTGCCAAGTGCCTTAACTCTTAATGTAGTTTTAATGAAAAGGATGTGTCCCAATCATAATATGGTCTGCAACTTTATTACCAGACTTAGAAATGACTTAGGTGGGCCAGGCGCACCATACTATGGAGCACCTAATATGTGCCAGATTTGGTGCTACATTAAGCACTGACATGTATAATCTCAGTACTGGCAAGGTAGCTATTATTATCCCCATACTTGTAGATGAGGAAATGGAGACTCAGAGAAGTTAAGTAATATGTCCAAAGGTTGCACTGCAGAGCTAGAATTAAAACCTAGTCCCATTCTAATCCAAAACCTGCACTGTTTCCTCTATTCCAAAGTAACCACTCTGGCTGGGCACGGTGGCTCACGCCTGTAATCCCCACACTTTGGGAGGCCGAGGCGGGTGGATCGCTTGAGGGCAGGAGTTCCAGACCAGCCTGGCCAACATGGCAAAACCCTGTCCCTATGAGAAATATAACAATTAGCCAGGTGTGATGGCACATGCCTGTAATCCCAGCTACTCGGGAGGCTGAGACAGAAGAATCGCTTGAACCTGGGAGGCGGAGGTTGCAGTGAGCCGAGATCGCGCCACTGCACTCCAGCCTGGGTGACAGAGACTCCCTCTCAAAAAAAAAGCAAACACAAAAACAAACAAACGAAAAGCCAAAGTAACCACTCAATGCTGCTTTAGGAAGTGTTTCAGGATATGTTGGGTGGGGTGGGGGTGGGGAGCTCAGTATGATATGAAAATATCCCTAAGTACTAATGTGCTGGAAAACAACATGTTTGTACAGGATCCCTAAGGTTAAGAGAGAGAAATGGTGAAAGTTGAGGAAGGGGCTGCCCTGCACTCAGGCAGGGAAGGGCAGTTTTGTGGGGAGAGGGCCCTTCCCAGGATGTCTACCTGGAGCAGGATCCAGAAATTGTCCATCCCTGGGAAGGGAGGCAACCTGGGGAGTGCAGGGAAGATGTGGAGAGACAGTTATTCAGAACCCCTTAACCTTCTTTGGCCTAAGTCAAGATAAGCTGTTGAAACTGTCACCCTTTCTCTCCCTTCACCTTAGGGATCCCAAACACACTTTATTTTCCCACAGTCTCCCCTAACCCCTTTCTGTTTCTGCTCCAGCTTTCTTCAAAGGACAAAGCCTTTCATTCCTCAGTTAGAGATAATTGTCTTGAAATGCAGATACCTGGGAGAACTCATTCACACTAAAATATAATCAATTAACAGACAAACAAGTTCTGGTAATTCTGCTTTTCAAATCTTTCTCAAATCCCTTTTCTCCTCAGCATCCCCATTGTCACTGCTACTTTCCTTCAAGGCCTTGCCAGAATCTAACTGATAATGTGGACGAGACTGAACTTGGATTAAAACACTTGCTCCATGCCGGGCACTGTGCTAAACATTACCTCCTTTAATCCTCACTATCACTGAGGCAAGCTCCGTCTTGTTCGCGTTTTACAGATGAGGAAACCAAGGCTCAAGTAGGTTAAGTAACTTGCCTTGGTCACACAGGAAAGAAAGGGCGGAGCTGGGGAACTGGAATTCACATCTGGTGGATGCCAAAGGCAAAGCACTAACCATTTCTTTTTCTTTCTCTTTCTTTCTTTCTCTTTTTCTTTCTTTCTTTCTTTTCTTTCTTTCTTTCTTTCTTTCTTTCTTTCTTTCTTTCTTTCTTTCTTTCTTTCTTTCTTTCTGAGATGGAGTCTCGCTCTGTCGCTCAGGCTGGGGTGCATTGGCATGATCTCTGTTCACTGCAACCTCCACCTCCCAGGTTCAAGTGATTCTCCTGCCTCAGCCTCCCGAGGAGCTGGGATTACAGGTGCTTGCCACCACACCCGACTAATTTTTTTTAAATTTTTTAGTAGAGACAGGGTTTCACCATGTTGGCCAGGATGGTCTTGAACTCCTGACCTCAGGTGATCCACCAGCCTCAGCCTCCCAAAGTTCTGGGATTACAGGCGTGAGCCACCTCACCCAGCCAGCACTAACAATTTCTATACCATACTTCCTCCCTGTAACTGGCCCCTGGAGTTTCTTCAGTACCCAGTTCTACATCTCCCCCAGACATACTAGAGTCACCTTAAAACATGAAGCATACCCTGCCAATTCTTAGTGAAAGTTTTTTCATGGCTTTCCACTGCTTGTAGGAAAAAGTATAACAGGAAGACAGACTAGGATAAAGTATGACCATCCCAGCTTGCCAGAACTGAGGGATTCTCAGGATGCTGAACTTTCTTTCTTTCTTTCTTTCTTTCTTTTTTTTTTTTTTTTGAGACGGAGTCTCGCTCTGTCGCCCAGGCTGGAGTGCAGTGGTGCTATCTCGGATAACTGCAAACTCCGCCTCCCGGGTTCACGCCATTCTCCTGCCTCAGCCTCCTGAGTAGCTGGGATTACAGGCGCCCGCCACCACGCCCGGCTAATTTTTCTATTTTTTTAGTAGAGATGGGGTTTCACCATGTTAGCCAGGATGGTCTCAATCTCCTGACCTTGTGATCCACCCACCTCGGCCTCCCAAAGTGCTGGGATTACAGGCGTGAGCCACCACGCCTCGCCAGGATGCTGAACTTTCATTGCTGAAACTGGGGGAGTCCTGGGCAAACTGAGATGGTTGGTCACTCTAGCAGGGTGTGGCATGGCATAGCATTCAATGCCTTTCACAACCTGACCTCTATTTATTTTCCCAGCAACACCTCCCACCACCCTCAGCCTTTCCACTACGTCCTCTCCACCTTCTTTGCAGCCCAGCCACCCTTTCCTGCAGACACTCGGTGCTGTGTTATGCCTCCATGCCTTTGTTCACACTGATCCCTGCACCTCTACTCTGCCTGACAAGCTATTGCCCACTCTTCATGAAACCCCAGCTCCCATGTCACCTCTGTAATCTTTCTTTCTTTCTTTCTCTTTCTTTCTTTCTTTTCTTCCTTCCTTCCTTCTTTCCTTTCTCTCTCTCTCCCTTCCTCCCTGCCTGTCTCCCTTCTTTCTCTTTTCTCTTTCTTTGTTTTCCCTTCCTTTCTTTCTTCCTTCCTTCCTTCCTTCCTTCCTTCCTTCCTTCCTTCCTTCTTTTATTTCTTTCTTTTTGAAACGGAGTTTCACACTGCCACCCAGGCTGGAGTGCAGTGGTGCGATCTAGGCTCACTGACACCTCTGCCTCCCGGGCTCAAGCGATTCTCCTGCCTCAGCCTCCTGAGTAGCTGGGATTACAGGTGCCCGCCAGCACGCCTGGCTAATTTTTTGTATTTTTAGTAGAGACGGGGTTTCACTATTTTGGCCAGGCTGGTCTCGAACTCCTGATCTCATGATCTGCCTGCCTCGGCCTCTCAAAGTGTTGGGATTACAGGCATGAGCCACTGTGCCCGGCCTCTTTTTTTTTTTTTTTCGATGGAGTCACATTCTGTCGCCCAGGCTGGAGTGAGTGGCAACCTCCACCTCCCGGGTTCAAGTGATTCTCCTGCCTCAGCCTCCCAAGTAGCTGAGATTACAGGTGCCCACCAAGTTGAGCTAATTTTTGTATTTTTAGTAGAGAAGAGTTTCACCTTGTTGGCCAGGCTGGTCTCAATTACAGGCATGAGCCACTGCACCCGGCCACCTCTAACCTTTCTTGATTTCCTGGGAGAGAGTGAGAAACAATTACATTCTACCTTGGCTATTTTATTGACATGTGAGTCTTTCCCAGGGTCAGGACTGGGGTGAGGCAGTCGAGGCACCTAGAAGGCAAATGTAAGGAGGCACTCCCTCTTGGGGTCATACAAATGCCAACCCTGTACGTATGTAACCCTGAGAACAAGTGCCCTTACATTTTTCACCCTAGGTGCCTCAATTGCCTCACCCAGTCCCAGCCCTGGTCTTCCCTATCAGACTAGGAACTTCTCAAGAGTAGACCCCAGGTTTTTGTTGTTGTTGTTGTTGTTGTTTGTTTGTTTGTTTGTTTTGGAGACAGAGTCTCGCTCTGTCACCCAGGCTGGAGTGCAGTGGTGCGATCTCAACTCACTGTAACCTCTGCCTCACGGGTTCAAGCGATTCCCCTGCCTCAGCCTCTGGAGTAGCTGGGACTACAGGGGCCAGCCACCATGCCCAGCTAATTTTTGTATTTTTAGTAGAGGCGGGGTTTCACCATGTTGACCAGGCTGGTCTCGAACTCCTGACCTCAAATGATCCACCCACCTTGGCCTCCCAAAATGCTGGGATTACAGGCATGAGCCACTGTGCCAGCTGACCCTAGGTTCTTATTCATGTTTGTATTCATAGTAACATGAGGCTCAGAACAGAGTAGATATCTAGTTGAACAAATGACATCAGGCCCTTCTCTGTTTCAACAAGGGAAGAAGGTAAGAGGAAGTGGATAGTTTGGCACCCTTCTCTCATTGTGAATGGGAGAAGGAGAAGGTCTATTTAAGACTTCATCCTGGCCTGGACTGCAAGGACAGTTTTTCATCAGGTGGTTATGTCTTTGGCATCTGTCAGATTTGGGGTTCCTCCTACTTCTCTGGTCTCTCCCTCTCAGTGCCTTTCTCTGGTTAACTGGAGACATTCTCCAAAGTACTGTGTTTGGGTTTTTTGTCCTCTTCTGTCTTCACTCTATGTTCCCAAGTGACCTTGTGTACTCCCAGAGCTTCAGCGAGAAGCTCTGCAGATGACTTCTAAATTAACACCTCATCTCTCTCCTAAGCCTCCGACTTGAATTTCTAACTGCCTACTACATACGGTAACGTGTAGCATCAATATTTGTTCTTTTGGGTCTGTTGTCTCATCTGACCTTCTCAACACTTCTGTGAGAAAGTCAGGGCAGAATATGAACTCATTTTTTAGGTGAGGCTCGAAAAGGTTGTCTTGCCCAAGATTTTATGGCAGACCTATGATTAGAAACTCAAGTCTGGGTGTTCTCTCTGCTGTGCCATGTTGCATGGTGCACCACAAGGGTGTTTCAATGGAGTCTTGAAACCAATGTGATAAAAATCTCAACTTATTAGCAACATTCTCCTATCCCTGACAGCACACACACACACACACACACACACACACACACACACACACCCCCCGAAAAAAAAAAAAAAAAAAAACTTGGCTGGGCATGGTGGCTCATGCCTGTAATCCCACCACTTTGGGAGGCCGAGGCGGGCAGATCACGAGGTCAAGAGATCAAGACCATCCTGGCCAACATGGTGAAACCCCGTCTCTACTAAAAATACAAAAATTAGCTGGGCATGGTGGTGCGTGCCTGTAGTCGCAGCTACTCGGGAGGCTGAGGCAGGAGAATTGCTTGAACCTGGGAAATGGAGGTTGCAGTGAGCCGAGATCGCGCCACTGCACTCCAGCCTGGCAACAGAGTGAGACTCCGTCTGAAAAAAAACAAAAACAAAAAAAAACTTGTCCCTGTGCTACCCATCTTGGTTAAAGGCATCTCACTCTCCCAGTCATCAAGGCTAGAAGCCTGGGGTTCATGCTCAATTCTTCCCTTTCCCCTAACCTTTATAACCTTTACCTTTTATTATTATTATTATTATTTTTGAGACGGAGTCTCACTCACTCTGTCACCCAGGATGGAGTGCAGTGGTATGGTCTCGGCTCACTACAACCTCCGCCTCCCACGTTCAAGCAATTCTGCCTCAGTCTCCTGAGTAGCTGGGATTACAGACACCTGCCACCATGCCTGGCTAATTTTTGTGTTTTTGGTAGAGATGGGGTCTCGCCATGTTGGCCAGGCTGGTCTCGAACTCCTGACCTCAAATGATTCACCAGCTCTGCCTCTCAAAGTGCTGGGATTACAGGCATGAGCCACCCCCCCAGAACCTTTACTTCTAATGATTCATCAGATCCTGCAGACTTGACCTTCAAAATGCCTGAAATTTACTTTGAATCTATCTTTTTTTCCCTTCCCTATCCCCACAGTCCCCATTGAGGTCCACAGAACCTCTTAGCCATACTCCTTCCACCAATCTCCAGGCTTTCAGGCCTACTCCCACTCGCTATTCTTCATATTGTTCTGGGGATTGTCTCCCTAAAGAAATAGATCTGAGCCTACCACCCCTTGGTTGGAAAAATCTCAGCCTTGCACTTCCCACCTCTACATCTGTGGCCTCCCAACCCTTTCCACTTTGTGTTTGAGGCCCAGGTCTAATGCCACCTCCCTTGGTAAACCCTCACATAGCCTCCCTATAAACGTGTGTTGTCTGTTTTCTAGACAAAGTTTCACTCTGTCACCCAGAATGGGTGCGGTGGGGTGGTCTGGGCTCATTGCAACCTCGCCTCCCAGGCTCAAACGATCCTCCTCAGCCTCAGCTTCCTCAATAGCTGTGATTACTGGTGTGCGTCACCATGCCCAGTTAATTCTTGTATTTTTGTTAGAGATGGGGTTTTGCCATGTTGCCCAGGCTAGTCTTGAACTCCTGGGTTCAAGGAATCCTCCCACCTTGGCCTCCCAAAGTACTGGGATTACAGACGCAAGCCACTGCACCCAGCCTCCCTGTAAACCTGAAGTGAGTTATTTATTCCTCTGTCCTCCCATAGCACTATTCATTTTATTCTGCCTGTATTATGACTAATTGTGTACTATTTGGTCTCCCCTATAGCCTGGGAGCCTGCTGGGGATTGGATCCTGGTCTAACCAGTCTTTTTGTATTTTTTGAAGCACGTAATCTAGGTCTTTAAACATAATAGGTCCTTAATACATAGCTAGTGAGTGAGTATTTTTTTTTCCTTAAGTGTTTGGAAACTTGTTATAAAAAAAAAACAAAAACAAAAACAAAAAAAACAAAAAAAACACCACATTCCCAGTAGATCCAAAGTAAGACAGTAAAGTAAGAACGATTCTCAAACACCTGACTTGTTTACACTTGGAGAGATTTGAAGTTATCCAGTGTTGCTCCTCTATATCCATCACCCAGAAAAGACAAAAGACAATTTTAACTCTTTATTTGAAACAAACAATTTCAGAGACAGAAGGTTAGTCGTGACAACAGCTTCTCACTACAACACAAGGGTGGGCATGGCTCACTGAAGGGACAGGCCAGGCGCCTCAGAACAATATATACAATTTAAACAGTGGCTAACTGGTGACAGTTATAAAAACACAAAAAGGAGCCTGGGAAACAGCAAAGTCAACAGGGAAAGAAGTGGGTACCCCCTTTGCCAGAAGCTAATTGTTTTCTGGGACCTCCAATGCAAGATGGGGAAGAGAGAAGATGTAGGCAGTGGCGGCAGGCCCTGCGCCCACAGCTCCTCGCCTGTCCTTTGACCACAGATCCCATCCTGCATGACTCAAGGTCCCATAGGCTTGGCCTAGCTCTTATGATAGGGGAACAATAGAGGGGAACCCAGCCTCAACCCAAGTCAGAAGGTAGTTTTTGCCTTGGGAGGTCTGTCCATTGAACTAAAGGGAGGCAGTTACAGAGGGGGCTAAGCATGTTGACACCATGGCTCATGGCAACCTAAGATGGCAGAGAGACAAACACAGAAACCAAGGGGACAGGAGTCTGCACAACAGGAGTCTGCTCCCCGTACTTAGTCATTCTCTGCCTCTGAGGAAAAAAAGGCATTTGGAAGATTTTAAAAACGGCAGCACCAAGGATTGGTGCTTGCCGAGGGGGTGAGGGATATGCGGTGGTGAGATGGTGCCAACAACCAATTATTTCATAGGAGGGGAAGAGTGTCTAAGCTCTGTGTTTTATGTAAATGGTCCCCTCATCGCTTTCATTGTTTATTTCTTACCTTTCAGATAAGACCTTTTGGCATGGTGCTGGGGAAGAGTAGAGAAGGGAGTGGGCACAGGGCAGAGAAGGCAGCTGGGTTTTTCCCTAGGTCATGCCTAGGAACAAGAGGCTCTACCTATGCGGGATGGGTCAGGAAACCCAAAGCCAACAGGATCACCAGAGCTATTAACACTCCACCCAGAGTCTGGACCCAGAAGGAGGGGTTTACTCTGAAGCATAAAGAAAACGGGCAAGCTGGCTTTTGCCCATCACTGGGAGACCAGCCCCTGAGTACAGAAGACCAGGGCCCCATGGTTGTCAAGTGGTACGGAAGAAGATAAAAGCCAGGGTTCCTAGAGAAGGCAGGGAATGGGTGAGCGGAAAGGAGCAGTCAGGGCCCTTCAGAATGAGTAGCATTGGTTCCTGGGCCTGTCACCCTGAGGGACATGGCCACAGGACAGACATTGATGTGAAAGATGGATATGGATGGCACACGAGCTCAGTCCAGGTCTTCCTCCCCAGGACGACCCAGTTCCTCATAAATCTCGCGCACAGCCAGGATGCGATTGAGCATGCTCTCCAACATGCTGCGGTCCATGGGGATCACAGAATACCAGAGAGGTGACTCGGCGATGCAGGACCGTTCAGGTTGCAGGTAGAACACATCGTTGCGAGTCCGGAGGCTTTCAGGACTGCAACATCGGGGGTGGGAGTGGGAGTGGGGGTGGCAGGACAGAAGATCAGTACCAAGGCAAAGTAGATCCCTCGGGTCCCCATGCTAACGCTTTTCCTGCCAACCCACCAACTCACCATTTTGAGAGATAGAATTCATAGAACTTGACAGGGCAGCGGAGGGGATTCATGCGGTTCTCACGCTGCTCTAAGATAGGGGCTTCATCTTCTCTCTTCCGTTTTCCAGGACCCGTGTCTATAGGGGAGGGAAATGATTCAGACTCATTAAGAACACAGGCTCCATGAGCCACATCCAAGAGCACAGTTCAGGGCACAGGGAGAAGGCGTCACGACACAAATTACAGTCTCATCAAGATGGAGAGGTGGAAGAAGAGGTCAGTCTCCCTCTCCCACGCCAACCCAACATCCTGTCGGGCTGTTGTTATGCAACCCTCCCCAGTTCCCACTGCCAAAGACTCTCTTTAAAATCTCCCCCAAGTTGCTATCTTGAAGAGGTGATCTCAGAAGTTATTCAAAAGACCTGATAAAACAGACCCTACTGCAAGGGTGGGCTTGCCTTCTGGGATAGAGAAACAGCAATGACCCCAACCCCTTGTGCATTAGTCCAGGTAGAAGCATGGGTCCAGAGAAAGGACCTTGGAAACTTCACTCAGACAGGACAGAAGTCCAGGGACAGAAAAAATGGAAACCAAGGTGCAGTTGTTGTTAGACCCGATAGCAAAGAATCACAGAAAGCCTGTCATTCTACCCTCCCCGACAGCCAAACACACCCAATGGTTTCCTACCTGTCCACCACCCAGAAAAAGCAGGCAAGCAAGTAAACTGTCTTAAATGAGGAAAGAGGGGAAACAGGCCAGAGGGTGACCTCTTATTTATGCAACAGCTACTGCCTATCAGGTAGGAGGACTGGCTGTTTCTACCCTTTCTGCACACAGGAACAGGAGAGGGAAGCTAGGCGCCAAGGAGAGGGCCGACCTGGCAGGTATGGTGGGTTATGGCAGGGCATGGAAGGGGAAGGCAGAGAAGGGGCAAAAGCACAGGGGAGGGGGCAGCCTCGTACCTCGCCCTTTCCTCTGGCGGACTGGGGCATAGTAGCGGATGCTCACCACCTTGGTGGTGCCCCGAGGGGTGGTACACTTGCGGGACTGCCGCACCACATTGGTGAAGGAGAGTTGCATGTGTTCCTCAGCTGTCTGCAGCCCAAAAAACTTAGTGTTGAAGAACATGAGGGTGTTGAGGAGGACAAAGGGCGAGTAGACCCCCAGTTGCTTACACTCCCAGAGGTGCTCCTCCTCCACTCGAGAGAACACCGTATCTACAATGGTCAAGGGGGAGAGGCCAGTCAGGAGGGAGTGGCTACCCAAACCCAACCACTTCCCATCCCATGTGCCCTGCTCATTTCCCACACAATTCTCATTTGGTGAGTAACCTTTGTATATAAAACACTGTCACTTCGCTACACTTGCTACACTACACAGTGGGACTGGGCTTTAAAAAATATATACTTTCCACACCTGCATTTGGAACGCCTCTCACCACCCTCAAGTTGTAGACAAGTAAATGTAAACCTTGAGGAGTCCCACGATTTCTTGCTTTCTTTCTTTACTTACCACCCAAACCCAGGCCATCTTTTTCTGGTCCTAGAGATAGCTCTTCAGACCTAAGTCTTGATCCCCATCTCACGTTCAAGAACAGGCGCTCCTGTGCTCCTTTAACTCTAAACCCTGAGGCATCCAGCTACACGCTCCTGCCCTCGGGCCCTTTGTGAAGAGTGGCAGACCAAACAGCACAGGACTCTCGGGATGGTGGATTGGAAGAATGGAGAAAGCGGGTAGGGGTTGCTACGTCCCTGTTCCTTACTGTTGGGGAGGAGTGTGGGCTGCCAGGTACTCAGAGACTTGTTGAGTTCTTGAACAAAAGTCAGGTAGTAAAGGTCCGTGAAAATGTTCACCATCCGGTTATTTTCCAGCAAGTACTGGGGAAAGAAAAACAGACACACCTAAGGCTAGACTGTAGGTCCTAGAAGAAAGATAATGATGCTGAAGCCCCCAGGTATGGTGTCCTTGATCATTAGGAGACGATGGGAAACAGTTGCTTGATTAGGTGGCCTCGAGTGCTTTCCCCCAGGTATACCCACAGCTCTGCGCTACTCAGGCTTTGCTCGAAGAGGAGGAGGCTTGGAGGAGATGTTCTTTAGAAGCCCACACCTCCTTCTCAGGTAATACATGGTTGACTTCTCCCAGGGGGAACTAAACATTACCCCAGCACTCAAGGATCCCAGCTCCACCCATCCCTCCCCTCCTAGAATGGGCTTAAAGATTACAAAGGGGACCTGGATAGCAATGAAGACTGCTCCTTGGCCAACGGTCCTGGAATGCAGTTTTGATTTTAGAAGAGTATTGATATCTCATGTTCTATTTGGAGTAGGAGATTAAAGGCAAGCTGCCTGCTTCAGGTAGGGGACAAGATGAGGAACAGGGAGTGCAACAGAATAACTGCTTTTTTTTTTCATTAAAAAAATATTTTTTGGGTAGATGGGTATCACTTTGTTGCCCAGGCTGGTCTCAAACTCCTGGCTTGAAGCGATCCTCCTGCCTCAGCCTCCCAAAGTGTTGGGATTACAGGCGTGAGCCACCGTGCCTAACCCAGAATCATTTCTGTTTAGACCCTGCCTGCTGTGTTAAGAGTGACAGGAAGTGAGGTGGTGCACAAGAGGTACCTGCTGGATGCCAAGACACAAATAGTAGATACTGTCAGGTTCATATCGTTCACCATTGGGCCGAGTGATTTCTCTCACAAACTGGGCCAGACCGTAGTTGAGCTCAGCAGCTGAGCAGGCGAGAATATCCTCTTTGATACGCATGGGTTTGGCTGCAGTGATATGTTGTGCAGGGACAGGATTAAGAAAAACTCTACATGGAGAATTTCACTTAGCTCCATCACCATTAACCCCTCCATCCCTTAGTCATGCCTAGCTCCTGAACAATTACAGAAAGAGCCCCTAACCTGGAACCTAGACAGCATTTCCCTTTAATCTACAACTCCTCCCCATCTTCACAGGGCATCCTTAAGGGATCACACCCTTATCACTTCTAGACATCTTCAGCTGAATCACAGGCCCAGCCCCTTCTCCCCTTTCCCCTCCTCCTCCCTGTCCCTGCCTCCCCACACCCCCCATCCCCAAGTACTTACGGCCAAAGCGCAGCTCATCACCCTTGCTGGTTTCTCCATTGGCATATTTTGACTGCACCCAGCACTTCCAAGCATTGACACCATATGAATAGTTGAGCCCGGTACAACTAGGCTGACTGCTCATGGAGTCCCGGGAGCAGCTTTCGGAAAGCACCAGCCGCTTTTGACCCTGGAGGGGAAGAGAAAGCAGGGGCATGGCAGAGGTAAGGCCAGAGGCAAGGTGAAAGCTAGTCAGCACCATATTTACTGCTGGCCGGGGCAGGGGCTGATGTAAGCACACAGCAAGCTTCCATAGCACAGAGCCCCAGGAACAGCTTTGATGACCTTGTGAGATGGGGGGAGAGCAAAGTTTGGCTTTATCTCAGTACTTCTAGTGTTGGAGAAAGGAGGTTAGGGAAGGTCAAACTATGGTTGCTGGCTTGGCTCTCGCATCATCTCCCCTTTGGGCCTCCATTCTTCTTTTGTACATACAGTAGCCCCAGCCCTACCTTCCTCATGGTTCGGGGAAGGTCTTGTTCAGTAGACACATCCTCAGGCCCTACCAGGCCACAATCAAAGAGGAAGTCTACACTGGGATTAATGTCCAGAGGATCTAATGAAAAGGAAAGAAAGAAGAAATCAATTTCTTAAGATCTCAACCCTGCAGCCCTCCTGCCCCACCCCTGCTACTTGCCCACTTGACACTAGATGAGCCAAAGGAACCAGTAAAGCTATACCAAAAAGCATGCTCAGAGGCACAGAAACGCAAAACACAGCAATGTGAACTACTGAACCGTAAACATGTTGAACATGGTAAAATTTTATGTTTTTTTTCAGCTTAAAAATTAAAAAAAAAAAAAAAAAAAAAAAAGCATGACTCAGAAGTCTAAAAGAGTGCACCTGTCCTGGTGTCTCTGGCACTGCTCCCTGTGAGAACCTTCCGTCTTAGAATCACAATGAACACTTTTCAGGGTCATGCTCAGGGACACAAGGGACACTCCCTTCCTGATGGCACAAATGCTACCATACTCAGTGGGCATGGCTCCAATCTTACTCACTCTTAGGGAAGTCTGCCTCCAAGTCTTGCCCAGGCTCATCCAAGACATTGGCCATCTTGACTGCCATGGCCAGGACATCATCTCGAGCAGGCCCAAACAGGTCACAGTCTTCCAGGAGTCCCTCTGCACTCTGGTTGCTCACAAGATCTGGGAAGCAGAGAAGTTGGCTCAGTGGTTACAAGCTCCTGCTAGCACCCTCACAAGCTTTCAGGGACTGATCCCAACTATCCTCCCATTCTACTAGGCACCAAGATCACCAATACCACCCCCTCGGGCAGAGACATGCTGGTAGCACCCTGTCTCCCTCGTCGCCACCATCTATGGCATACCACAAAGGTCAGATGAGGCCTTGTCTAACTCCTCAGCCTCTGCAATCATTTCTGCCATAGCCAGGATGTCGGCCTCCAAGGGGTTGGAAGGGATCTTCACCTTCAGCTCCTCAATGGTCTCTACAATCTTGTCTGTGCTCTCCAAGGTAGTGGGCAAGAACATGGGCACAGGCACCTGGAGGCACGAATCCCAACTAAATGCCAAGAACCACACCAGCAGTTGGGGGGAAGTTGGGGGGACAGATGATGAGTGAAGGGGGACAGTTGATGAGAGTAAGGGGAAAGGAGGACCCAGCCAGGAAGGGCAGGGAAACTCACCGGGATAGGCATCGAGAAAGGCACCGGGACTTTCTGGCAGTACAGATGCATAGGCACTGGCACGAAGATGGGCACTGGGATGGGCAGCACGATCACCTGTGGCTTCCACTCTTCTGTGGATAAGAAAGGGGTCTTCTCAGAGACCCTGCTGGACTGGTCACATCTGACCCACCAAAAGCTCTAACATGCTCAGTGTCACAAAACTGCCCTTGAATCAAAGGCTGAAAGACACCTCTATGATTCTAGGACAACCATATGAATGAGGCTTCAGCTACCTAAGAAATCCCCTTGTCCAGCTCACGGACATAGGGCTGGCAGGCCTAGGACTCTGGAATACAGCCTGTGGCATCGAGGTACCCTGGCTCACCTGTTTGACTTCCTTTGGACTTCATCTCCACCTTGCAGGAGACGCCCCGATTCTGCATCAGTGGCTTACACATGGCAGCCTTGTTTTTGCGGGGTGTTGCTGGGGGTGGTGGGGGTGGAGGGGTGGGAGCAGTGGGAGCTGATCGGGTCTTCACAGGGATCTGCAAAGACAGAGGAACATTTGTGCCACCAACCGCCGTACCCTCCTCTGAGATTATCCTCCCCCTTGGCTTTTGCCCCGACCTTGCCCAAATTCCCATTTTCCTCTGGGGTCCTCACTGTGTTGCTGTTCTCCACTTTGGTTTGAGAGGGTGTCTGGGGTTTTGACTCAGGAGACTGACCTGTAGATCAAAACAAATGAATGCTCTCATCCAAGGGACTAGCTCTCCATTTTCCTTACCCCTGTTCCAGGAGAGCTTCATTAACAGGTACACCAAATACAGATGGGAACTTCTAGGATTTGACCCCCTTGCCATCCCAGATCTAGTCTCCTCTATGCCCCAGCAATAGCAGCCTAAAAGATTATTTGTTCCTGGAGAATGAAACATTACATTTTCCCCCAAAACCCACATTTGAGACCTTCCACTTAGATAGCCTGAAGAGTCTGTTATCCCTGGAGTTGTGGAGGGGCAGGGGTAACATTCTAGAAATAGCAGTCTTCAGTCTCACTAAATGTAGAGTTTATGCTGAGATTTCCTTATCTCAGAAACGTAACCATAACCCCTATATGCTCCATCCTACCAGGAAAGGCACCCACTCCCTAACAATATATATTTCATAGACAATCAGTAGATGCTAACTCCAAGAAGCTTTAAATAAGACTCCCCCGGTACCTGCAGGGTTCGGAAGCTAAAAGAGAATACAGTTCACAGTACTAGCACCCTATCTGGCCAGGGGTGAGCTGAACGCAAGAGGAAGGAGAAAGGGGCTAGGCTTAGGATTAGGAGAGTCCAGGCTCCCTCTAACAGAGTGTACCCCCTGCCTGGGACTCACTGTTCAGGAGGCTCTCGGGCCCACTCTGGGTATCCAGGTTGGGTTGGTTCTGCTGGCTATAGAAACGCAGAAGACACTGCTGGTTGCAGAAATGACGGATCTGCCCACGCCAGTGGATGGTCTCCAGCAGCTTCCCCTGGCGCTTACACGCATGGCACCGGGCAGCCTGAGGATGTCAAAAGGATGGTCAGACCTGCCTCCCTAAAATGCGTTGGGCCCTTTCTTTCCCCCGGGATAAGCCATGCTCCTCCCCTTGGAGATCGGGCCAGCTTAGAGATGGAAGGCTGGCTGCCCTCCCTGGAGATCTGTCCACACCCCGAGCTCAGTACCACAGCCCGTGCTCCCCACTGCCCTCTTTCCCGCCTCGCTCGCATGCTGACCCTCCTTACCTTGCAGTACCACAGCAGGTACTTGCTCTTACAGTCCTCACTGCAGAAGTCCCAGGTGCTGCC
This sequence comes from Homo sapiens, assembly GCF_000001405.40. Taxonomy (NCBI): domain Eukaryota; kingdom Metazoa; phylum Chordata; class Mammalia; order Primates; family Hominidae; genus Homo; species Homo sapiens. The sequence continues at coordinate 71,247,797 of NC_000023.11, forward strand.
ATCCAGTTGCTCGGTGACTCCGCGCTGGCAGGTCTGGGAGCAGTAAGTACAAGTGATACAGCACAAGCCCAGCTTCTTAGTGAAGTCCTGTTTGTACAGCAGCACACAGCCTGGAAAGAGGAGAAGAGGAAAGAGAGTCCAGAGACACAGATACCCAAGGGCAAGAGACCCAACCTTTTCAAGGTGCTATACCTGAAACCTCTCTCTAAGCAGCCCCTTGTGCCCAAAACTTTAGGGGAGATGGGGGTAGAACATCCCGGGCAGAAGGCCCTGCCTCATGGACCACTTTCCCGGCCTCCCTCCCTTCTCCTCCATTCTCCCTGGCTGGGAGTTATAGTGTCTTCTGCCCTTCCCCATCTCCTTACCTTCGCTGCAGAAGCTTTTCTCCACTCCGCTGAATCGGAGTTTCTCATGCAAGAGTTTCTCCTGCCGACAGTGCTCACACTGGGACACCACACCCCGAAGCCGCTTGAAGTCCTCACAGCAATCACGGCAGCAGAACTGGAACACTTGGTCCTGAGGTGGGGGCACAGGGCAGGGAGGACAAGCTGTAACATCTGGCCCCAGCAGGGGCCAAGTGGAAGGACCCCTTCAGACAGTCTGGTCGTGTGGCAAGACGTGGGTGGGGGTGGGGCTCTTACCTGCCAGTCCAAGACCTCAGGCTTGCCACTGAAGAGGCTGTGACAGTAGTGACAGCTCAGGTGAATGCCCCCCTCAGGGCTTGTGCGCTGGAGGGAAGGAAGACAAGTAAGGGAGGGGCAAGATGTGTGCAGCGGTGGGGAAGGGGAGTCAGGCTTGTTCTTTGCTCTGCCCAGGCCTGCCTACCCCAATTCTCCAACCCTCTTTATGTTGCCAAACCCTTCTATCCCTGGTCCAGGGTCTGGAGTACCTGGAACTTGGTCCAGCAGCTGGGGCTGCAGAACTGGTAGACTGTGCGGTCAACCTTGTTGTAGTAACAGGGGTCAGAGAGGCTGCGGCGGCAGAAGCTGCAGGGTCGGGGAGGGCCTGGGGCATAGAGAGAAAGAGAGAGAGGAAAAGAGAAAGAGAGAGGGAGAGAGAGAGCACACAGAAGGTGTAAGGCAGTGTAAGAGACGAACAGAAAATCCATGGGGAGATGTGGTTGGGACTGAGGTCGGGCAGCAAGGATTACTCTGGAAGAGGGGAGTATGGGAGGTAGAGAGAAGGCCAGCAGGGGACTCAGAGAAGAGGGCTTTGCACCTACCAGTGAGCCCTGCCTGCTTCACTTTGTAAGAAGTGGTACAGCACAGGGAACAGAACAAGCTGGTCTTGCCATTACGATCCACATGTGATAGCATCTCAAAGTTCTTACACAGGGTCTTGCACCAGACACATGGGTACACACGTGTGTTTTTCTGTGAGGATGGGGAAGGAGAGGCTGAGGCTGGATTTGTCCCTTCACTTTTATTTTTTAAATGTTTTAAACATGAAATATTTCAGGCATACAAAAAAAGTATAGATGATGATGTAACAAAGACCTGTGTATCCACCAGCCAGCTTCAAAAATAAAACATAACGGATACAATTGAAACCCCCTTTATTTGTTTTATTTCTCCCAGCCCTTGACCCATCAGCCACCTTTATTTATAACCCAAGAACCACACCCCCTTCCACAGCCCTCTAATGCACTACTCCCTCGGCCCCACCTTCTTGTACGCCCCCAAGCAGGTTGTGTTGCAGAACCGCTTTTGTTGGCCCTCGTGGAAGAGGAGCTCAGGGCCAGGACTCCCGGTCTTGGTGTAGATGTAAGCCCCACACTGGTCACAACAGTTGGTTTTCAGTCCCTTGTTGGCCCGGAATTTGGAGAAGCAAGAATCGCTGCAGAGCCGGTGTACCACGCTGCCATTGCTGACCTCGTGCAGGACCTGCCACACACATACACGCACCCTGAGCTAGGGCCTGGCCACCACCGCCCACCCCAATGCAAGGTCAGCCCCCCACCTCACCCTAGACCTTCACAGCAGACAGTGGGCCCAGGGACCCCCCAACCTGCGCCGCAGGCTGCCGACTTGATGGTGAGGTCCTGGGAGGTAAGGAAGGCCAGCTGTGCACATCCTGGAGAAGCTCTGTCCTTGAATACGCTCCCTCATGATGGCCGCCTTTCCTCCCCACTCCCCTTTCCACAGGGCCTGGACCCTGCAGCCCCAGGATGGGAGGGGCAGGTCAGGGCTGGCCAGGCTCTGTAAATCAGCCCCCACTGAGTGTCCTCACCTCTCCAGTCTTCTGGCATATGCTGCAGCGAGTAGCGTCGGCGGGATCCCCAGACTGGGGGATCGGGCGCTGCTGCTGGGCCTCATACAGGGAGAGACAGACGGATGTGCAGAACTCATGGAAGGAGCCTCCAGAACCAGTCTGCGCCACAACCGAGTCCTTGGTGTTCCAGATCTCCCTAGAGGTGGGAACAGGTTTGAATATTCACTCAAGACCACCCTCTCATTTCCTCAGCTTCCGCCCCTCCTCCAGGATCAATGACCACAGAGCCAAATACTCTGACTCTCTCCCTACATCACTCTCTCGCCCAGCTCCATCCTGCTAGGTTCTTACCAACAGTCTCTGTCTTACTCATACTCCTGCCCAGATCCCTGCCCTCTGCATAGCCCCCAAGACCCTCACGCACTTCTTGCAGAAGGTACAGGTCTTTTTGCCCGAGGGCTTCTTGGAGAAAGTGGTGAGGCAGGATGACGAGCAGAAGAGCTGAGGCAGCCCCTTGCGCTGATAGGCAGTCTGCCCCTTCTGCAGTGGTGTCCGGCAATGTGCACAAGTCATCTTGGTGCCCACTGCAGAGCGCCCGGCCCTTTGTGACACACTTGAGCGTAGGGACATGCGAGGAGAGCGCCGGGGCCGGAATGGCACAAAGTCCTCATCATTGGGGTCATCTACCATGGCATCAGAATCCTCATCTGACACTGGAACTGAGAAAGTGGGGGGATGGACATGAGAAAGGCCACCAAACCAGGTCTCCAACCATCCCCTGACCAACAGTTCAGTCCCTCTCCTGGGATCCCTGTTGTTCCGGCCTTTACACCCTGGCCCTTGTTACATCAGTATCTTAAGACCTTGGTGTCTCTCTCCCTTGGTTACTCTGTAACCTCCCAGGGAGGGAAAGGGAGAGGCTCTAAATGAGAAGATTCGGAGACAGAGATGGCATAGCTGAAACAGGAAACTCGCCATTCTCACTGCTCTTGTTTTCAATTTCCCCCACTGCCCCTGGTTCCCATGCCAACCCATAGCAGAGACAGGCACTTCATGCGCTTCATGGAGCAGGACGGCAGGAGCTAGAAGATCCATGCCCTGCCGCATGCCACTTTCGGACCTTTTCCACACCCAGAACTCCCAGGTCACACTTCCTCAAATCCTACTTACTGCTCTCAGTGGAATCTACAACCTCAGGTTTTGGAGGTTCTGCTCTCCTAACGCGCTCGCTTCTCTTCTGTACCTCGGAAAGATGGGAGGGGAGGAAAACTGACACCCTGGCCAGGCTAACACTAGTACAGGGTTTGGGGGGGGATAGAAGATGGGAGGGGGAAGGGAGAGTGGGGACCCTTGGCCCAGCCCTTAGGAGGAGGGAAGAAAAGGAGGTTGGACTTTCTCCCCAACAAGCAGTAGACACTAGTGCTCCCTCCCTCCTCCTAACTCTCCTTACACACACTCTCTACAGAACAACATCTGGGAGGGAAAATGAAGGGTCTGTCCTTCCCAGAGCTAAGGGGGAACCAGACTCCTTCCAATCCCCTCCCCCTCACCCGTTCAGGCGGCTTCTCACTCGCCTTCGCAGTCAGGCCATCTCCTGCAAAGGAAGCAGAAGGCAGCCTAAATGTTGAGCCTGCCCTCACCACCCTCTCCCCGGCCCAACCCCCGCCTCCATTCCTGGGGAAGAACTTACTCAAAACTGAAAGGGAAAACTCGAGTGCCTGTGGCTTCTTGGGGCCCCTCTCAGGGTTACCTCAGGCTCTGTACTAAGGGTGGGGGGGTGCACGTGCAGCTATTCCATGAAAAAAAAAAAATCTATCCTTCCCACCAGCTTTCTGTCCCAATCCTTGGGGGTTAAGGAAACACAGGTAATATACCTTTCATTAAGAATTTATATTTTACCAATGAAAAACACACACAACCACCCAAAGGTAGCAAAAGGAAAAGGAAGCATCAGTGTATGGGTAGCTTCCCCTGGATTCAGGTGGTTATATAAGCCCTAAGACCCTCGTCACAGCCTGATAGAGGCACACCACTAGGCAGAAGAGGGGAGACACTAGAGCCTCTCAAGTCAAGGTTGTCCCTCCCCTATCAGAGACGCAATCCTAGACCCTGCATTTCTATCGCTCTGCTGAAATCCTTATGCTGTTAGGGGCTCCAGAACCTAGTTACCATTCATCAAACCCAGAAATCCCACTCCCATCTAGAACCAAAAAGCTGTAAAGGTCTTAGAACCAAGAAGCCTGGTGTACTCCCCCAAATCCTGAAGGAAGGACTCTGGCACCAAAAGCCCACTGGGGTAGGAAAAAGGGAACCCTTCCCACCAAATTCACTCCTCCCAACCTACGCTCCCTGAAACCTTACCCCATTCCTCCCCCACAGCCTGTGCCCACCCCTACTTTCCTTAATCTTCCTCTACACACCACCCCACTCCTCCCTCGTAAACCCCAAGTCCTTCCCCACACACATCCCTACACTTATCTCTCCACCCTCCTCCTCCCCACTACTTCCCAAAGCACATAGCCACCCCTCCTTACCACCACCCTCTCCCAGCCCTGATTCTCCAGATAATTAGGCAACCTACCTGGCAAGGAAGGATGTGCAGGGGGGCTAGAGCCCCCAGGTTTGGTCTGAGAACTGTTGATTCCATCCCCCAGAGTCTCTCCCACTGAAGGGCTAGGCGGGGCATTTGGGCTCTGTGGCTGCCCTTGGGGAAGCTCCTCCTCCTGCCCAGGGGAGCCCCTTCTTGCAGTAGCTATGGAGGTGGTCTCCTCCTCTTCAATATGTGGGGACTGCAGTGTTATTGGAGAATCTGGAGCCAAAGGCTCTAGTAGCCCCTCAGGTGAACAGGAATTTGCCCCAGCCCCTGGATCAGGTGGTACCACCTCAGGGGTCTGGCCCCCTGGTCCAGGCTCTAGGGTCTGATCTCCTGCATCCCATGCCAGGGTTCCCTCAGGACCGTGGTCCACCTCCGGGGGAGAGGGGGCTTTATAGAGCAGCCCCCCCAGCCCCAGCAACTCAGTGGCTCCATCCAGGACTCCAGGGTCTTTTTCCAGGCCAGCAGGGGTATCAAGCAGGTCCAGGGCTCCCGAGGATGGAGAAGGGCCAGGGGGGGCCCATCCTCGAGTTGGGGCAGTCTGGGATTCCAGTAGATCCTCTCCAAATTCCATGTCTACTGGTAGGTCTCCAGCCAGGGGCTTCTCTGGCAGGGTCAATGGGTCAAATGGACTGGGGAAATCACTGGGGTCCATGAGTATGGCTGGATATGTACTGCAGATTAGGAGTAGAAGAGGGGGCAGTAGAGGTGGTCTTAGCCTGAATTCCTTCTTATATAGGCTCTGAGACACACCCCATCATCCACTTGGATTTCTCATGAGCAGCCCCCACCACCACAATCTACAAGCATTTCCGAAGGCTTTAGTCCTAATGACCACTCCCCCCAATACAGCGCCCCCAGTGGGGAGAGGCGTTCCCCGCCCTGGCCCCGTGCCCACACTGGCCAGGCAGTCGGTCGTTCTACCCGCCCACCCCCCTACTCGACTGCAACTCCCATTCCCTTCCCCCCTTACCTTTTACCCCCCGCAACTCAGGCTGAACGCCCCCTTAGAGTCTCCTAAGGCCGTCGCCACCAGGAGCCTTTCCCGCCCCCGCGATCTCAGTTTCTATTCCCTCCCCACTCTGCAGGAGCCCCCCAGCTCCCCAGTCTTTACCCACCCTGTCTGGCCCCACCCCCCCTCCCCGCGTTGCTAGGTCCTCCCTCGGCCCTTCCCCCGCCCCCACAAACTGCCCTTCGCAACCCCTTCCCCCCAGTTACCTTTCAGGTCGCCCACTTCCTCAGCCCCGTCCCCCTTTCCCATTGCTCCTCCAGTCCTCCCTTCTCCTGTTGCCCACCCCCAACCTCAGGCATTTACAGGAAGACATTTTGGAGCTACGATCTCTCCTTAGACCCCCCCACCACCGCCTCCCGGCTACTGCAAGATCCCGCTTGCAGGTTCGGTTCGGCTTGAGCAGGCCCGACCCCTACCTGCGGCAGGGTTAGTGCAAAGGCTACAAGCCTAGAACTGCAGACAGCGACGGCCCCGCGCTCCTTCTCTACCTCCCTCCCTAGCAGCCGGGACAGGGGTCGCGGCCCCTTTAAATGGCAGCGCCGCTCGCAGCGCCCAGCGCTCTGCACCAGGCGGGCGGGCGGTGCCAGCAACCAACCCCATTGGCTGGCTCGAGGAGGGGGCTCGCGAGACAGCGCCGGCCCCCGGCGCGAGACTCCCAGTCCAGTGGCCGCCTGGAAATTGCGGAGTGGAATGCAGCCACTAGAGACGGCGCCTGAGCCCCCGCCCGGGGCCCCGTTAGTTGAGAAGGAAAAGATAGCCTCTGGAGCTTTGAAGCCGGCCCCCCGGGAAAGGCGGCGTCCCCTTTCCACCCAAGGGCCGAGTGCGCTCACCCACAAAAAACACAGATCTACGCACCTGCTCCCCTTACCTGGCTCAAGAGTCTGGCCCCCGTCACACCCTGCTCGCCCTACCTCCTGGAGCCCACTCTACCCGTGATCCCCTCCTCTCATTCAAATGGTTCCCGGTCCCCTCCCCCTCCCCGTGTCTCTCTTAGCTTCCCACTCGTGTTCACCCCCTCGGCGTCCGCCCCCCTCAATAGTCCCTACCTACGCCATGCAGCAGGCGCCTGCCAAGATTACCCTCCCCCATCCCCACCTCTCCGGGTCCCGCCCCCTGGGCGACTGTTGGGGTAGTGAGTGACAGCGGAGGACGGGGGGAGGCAGGGACCCAGCCCTCACGTGCCCCTCCTTCCCTTGTCTGCAGCCACGGGGCCCCCAAAACAGTCTGAGAGTCAGAGTTATGGGGTATCTGAAGCTTGATCCCCAGCCACACAGGTCGGGTTAAATGGCTCTGGCTCAGTGGCAACGCCTGTGCAGTAACCGTTACTGCTTGATGACCCCCAAACCAGGTCCTGCAAAGCTACCCCCTACTCTCTCAACAGTCTTAGGGTAAGTTCTGGGATCTTCTCCCTGAGTCTTCCTGCAGGAGCTCCCTGTATTATCTATGGAGTTTTCCTCCCTCACCAGGGCTGATCTCTCTCTCTCTCTCTCTCTCTCTCTCTCTCTCTCTCTCTCTCTCTCTCTCTCTCTCTCTCTCTGTATCTCTCTCTCTCTTTCTCCTCCAGCCCCCTTTCTGTCCTTGTCTGTCTCTCTCTTCTCGCTCTCTCTCTCTCTCTCCCCCTATCTCTTTTTGTCTCCTTCTCTGCCTCTCTGCTTCTCGTGCGCACGAGCACGCAGGCGCGCTACACGCTCCCCCCTCCTGGATGGTCCTTAGCATGTGGGTGTGGCTGAGGTTAGGCTAGAGAAGTGGAGTAGGGGTAGGTGGCACTAGCGTTAAGCCTACTGCCTTTAAAAAATTGTGCCAGCATCCATTCTCAGTCCGCATTATATTAATAGTTAGAGCACTTTACAATCCCCGCTCCCCACTTCCCACCACAGCCCCTAAGGGCTGAGAGCATTTAGTAGCCGAACTACTAGAGGAGGCTCAGGCTGGAAGGAAGTCTCCTTAGGAACAGGAAGGTTTGGTATCCAGTGCCTATTCTAGCCTGCCTCGTTGACTTCTGGCCTCTCCTCCTGGCCACACAAAGCCTCTCCTGCTCTTGTAGTCCTCGGGAGTTTACCCTCCCTTTTCTCATTCCTTTTCCCAGAAACCTTATCCTTGCTAGCTCCCCACATGGCCTTGAGGTTATCTTTGCTCCCTCCTACATACAGAGATAAAAGCCAGAGTTTCTTACTTTTAGATTTCCCAAATCCAGCTTTCTCTTTGTCTTAACCAGCATTCTGTGTACCCATCTCCTACCTCCTGTTTATTTCTATTCCTGGACCTCCCCTTTGCATTTTCTGCTTGTTCCATCTCAGTTGAGCCACCTAGTTTTTTCTGTATTGCCTGCCTTCCTCAACATATACTTGAATCCTTGGCTGCTCTGCTTGTGGAGGTGCCTGGTCACTATCTTTCAAGTTGAGGGGAGCTGATCTAACGGGGTTAAGTGGTGTGTTATTAATTCTAGACGCAGTGTGGTGGCCTAAGAATGGGTTCTGGAGTCAGACCAGATTTCTAATATCAGTTCTGCCTACTTTTTAGCCAGGTGACTTTGGACAAGTGACTTGTCAAGTGAAGGGCCTTAGTTTTCTCCTCTTTAAAACAGATAAGGAAACAATCTAAATGCCCAATAATAGGGGATTTTGGTTATGCAACAGACGTAGTCATTAACAACCACATTTTAAGTCTGGCGCAGTGACTCACGCCTGTAATCCTGGCACTTTGGGATGCCAAGACGGTTGGATCCTTTGAGCCCGGGAGTTCCAAACCAGCCTGAGCAACATGGTGAAACCCCTTCTCTACAAAAAATACAAAAAATTAGCAAGGTGTGCTGGTGTGCACCTGTAGTCCCAGCTACTCAGGAGGCGGAGGTGTGAGGATCACTTGAGCTGGGAGGCAGAAATTGCAGCGAGCTCAGATGGCGCCACTGCACTCCAGCCCGGGGCGACAGACGAGGGCTCTGTCTCAAACCAAACAAAACAAAACCCCACATTAAAAAAACAAAAACAAAAAACAACTAATGGCAGACAGCACAGAGGATTTTTACGGTAGCGAAAATACTCTCATGATACTGTAATAGTGGATACTTGTAAGTATACATTTGTTCAAAGATACAGAATGTAAACACCAAGGGTGAACTAACTCTAATGTAAACCGCAGGCTTTGGTTAGTAATGATGTGTTAATGTAGGTTCATCGATTTTAACAAATTTACCACTCTGATAGGGATGTTGGTAGTCAGGGGAGCCGTGACTGCATGGGGGAAGGAGGTATATGGGACTCTCCGGACCTACCTGTCAGTTTTGCTGTGAAACTAAAATTGCTCTTAAAAAATAAAATCTTTATTTAAAAAAATTAAAACCCATAGAATGTACAACACCAAAAGGAAGCCCTTATGTAAACTATGGCCTTTGGTTGATAATGTGTCACTGTATATTCATCACTGCAAGAAATTTACCACTCTGGACAGGATGTTGATAGGGAGGCTGTGTCTGTGTGTGGAGAGGGGTACAAAGGACTCTTGATACTTTCAGCTCAATTTTGCAGTGATGCCAAAACTGCTCTAAAAAATAAAGTGGGCCTGGTGCAGTAACTCCTGTAATCCCAGCACTTTGGGAGTCAGGAGAATCGCTTGAACCCGGGAGGCGGAGGTTGTGGTAAGCTGAGACTGAGCCACTGCACTCCAGCCTGGGCCACAGAGCGAGACTTCATCTCTCAAATATATATATATATATGTTTTGTTTTGTTTTGTTTTGTTTTTGAGACGGAGTCTTGCTCTGTCGCCCAGGCTGGAGTGCAGTGGCCCAATCTCAGCTCACCGCAAGCTCCACCTCCCGGGTTCACGTCATTCTCCTGCCTCAGGCTCCCGAGTAGCTGGGACTACAGGCGCCCGCCACCACGCCCGGCTAATTTTTTGTATTTTTAGTAGAGATGGGGTTTCACCGTGTTAGCCAGGATGGTCTCAATCTCCTGACCTCGTGATCCACCCGCCTCGGCCTCCCAAAGTGCTGGGATCACAGGCGTGAGCCACCGCGCCTGACCGTAAATAAAATTTTTATTTAAAAAAATTTAGGCCGAGCGCAGAGGCTCACGCCTGTGATCCCAGCACTTTGGGAGGTCGAGGTGGGTGGATTGCTTGAGCTCAGGAGTTGGAGACCAGACTGGGCAACACGGTGAAACCCCATCTCTACCAAAAGCACAAAAAATTATCCAGGCGTAGTGGTGCACGCCTGTGGTCCCAGCTACTCAAGAGGGTAAGGCTGGAGGTTGCAGTAAGCCGAGATTGTGCCACTGTCCCCAGCCTGGGCGATAGAGCAAGACTCTGTCTCAAAAAAATAAATAAATATATAAATAAAAATAATTTTCTGCATTTTGTATTTACTAAACTTTTTTTTTTTTTTTTTGAGACAGAGTCTCACTCTGTCTCCCAGGCTGGAGTGCAGTGGCATGGTCTCGGCTCACTGCAACCTCTGCTTCTCAGGTTCAAGCGATCCTTATGCCTCAGCCTCCCGAGTAGCTGGAACTACAGGCGTGTGCCACCACACCAGCTAATTTTTGTATTTTTTTTAGTACAGATGGGTTCCACCATGTTGGCTATGGTTGGTCTCGAACTCCTGACCTCAAGTGATCCACCCACCTCGGCCTCCCAAAGTGCTGGGATTGCTAAAGGCGTGAGCCACCACTCCCAGCCTTGTATTTTCTAAACTGTTCTACTGAGCACATATTGTTTTTATAATCATGAAAAAATGTTAGCACCTAAAAATAAGGGCTGGCCAGGCACGGTGGGAGGCCGCACTTTGGGAGGCCGAGGCGGATGGATCATTTGAGGTCAGGACTTCAAGACCAGCTTGACCAACGTGGTGAAACCCGTCTCTACTAAAAAATACAAAAATTAGCTGGCGTGGTGGCAGCTCAGGAGTTCGAGACAAGCCTGGGCAACATGGTGAAACCCTGTCTCTACCAAAAATACAAAAAATTATCTGAGGGCAGTGGTGCATGCATGTGGTCCCAGCTACTCGGGAGGGTAAGGCTGGAGGTTGCAGTGAGCCAGGATTGTGCCACTGCCCTCCAGCCTGGGTGATAGAGCAAGACCCTGTCTCAAAAAATATATATATATAAATAAAAATAATTTTCTGCATTTTGTATTTCCTTTTTTTTTTTTTTTGAGATGGAGTCTCGCTCTTGTTGCCCAGGTTGGAGTGCAGTGGCGCGATCTTGGCTCACTACAACCTCCACCTCCCAGGTTCAAGCGATTCTCCTGACAGGCTTAATTTTTTTGTTTTTGTTTTTGTTTTTGAGACGGAGTCTCGCTCTGTTGCTCAGGCTAGAGTGCAGTGGCACAATCTTGGCTCACTGCAAGCTCCGCCTCCCAGGTTCACACCATTCTCCTGCCTCAGCCTCCCTGTAGCTGGGACTACAGGCACCCGCCACCATGCCCAGCTAATTTTTTGTATTTTTAGTAGAAACGGGGTTTCACCGTGTTAGCCAGGATGGTCTCGATCTCCTGACCTCATGATCTGCCCGCCTCAGCCTCCCAAAGTGCTGGGATTATAGGCGTGAGCCACCGTGCCTTGCCAACATTTTGTTTTTTAAGGAGTCGATGTGCATAGAAAGAGGCTGGCTTTTACAGTCAGAAAGATGAGGATCCAAATCCTGATTCTACCATTGAGTATTTATACAGCCACTTTGAACCTCAGTGTCCACAAATGTAAAATGGAGATAATACCTCATAGAGATGCTATTAAGTGAAATGTACACCTGCCTGACCACAGGTGCTCAATAGATACTGGTTATTGTTATTATTTTATTTTATTATTATTGAGATGAAATTTCGCTTTTGTCTCCCAGTCTGGAGTACAATGGCGTGATCTTGGCTCACTGCAACCTCTGCCACCCAGGTTCAAGCGACTCGCCTGCCTCAGCCTCCCAAGTAGCTGGGATTACAGGCATGGTCCACCATGCCCAGCTAATTTTTGTATTTTTAATAGAGATGGGATTTCACCATGTTGGCCAGGCTGGTTTTGAACTCCTGACCTCGGATGATCCACCTGCCTTGGCCTCCCAAAGTGCTGGGATTACACACGTGAGCCACTGCACCCAGCCTCGTTACTGTTATTATAAGAGAAATACATCTGGTTCCATGGAAGGTCTAGGATTTCCCAAACTGGAGCTTTTGTATCCTTAAAATGAATATATATTTTGTCTTTGACTAGGCCAAGAGTGGCCACAGTTGGTAAGTTTGAGTATATATCTGCCACATGTGAAAGGCTCTAACATAGAATGGGCTAATATTTCGGGGGAAGAGGATAGCCTGCAATTCATCTCTCATTTTCATCCTTGTTACAGTTATCATATACTTCAGCCTTGTTACAGTTATTGTATACTACTTTATACTCAGTGGTAGTATACTACTATACTCAATTCTTTTATTTTATTTTTTATTTTTTTTAAGACGGAGTCTTGCTCTGTGGCCAGGCTGGAGTGCAGTGGTGCGATCTTGGCTCACTGCAATCTCCACCTCCTGGGTTCAAGCGATTCTCATGCCTCAGCCTCCCGAGTAGCTGGGATTACAGGCACACGCCACCACACGCAGCTAATTTTTGTATTTTTAGTAGAGACAGAGTTTCACCATGTTGGCCAGGATGGTCTTGATCTCCTGACCTCGTGATCCACCCACCTCGGCCTCCCAAGGTGCTGGGATTACAGGCGTGAGCCACCATGCCCAGCCTACTCAATTCTACTACTTGTTATTTACCATTTATAAATCACTCTTAAAGTGCTGTAAGCACTATAAAACATGTAAAAATGCAGTCCTGGCCAGGCGCGGTGGCTCACGCCTGTAATCCCAACACTTTGGGAAGCCGAGGTGCAAATCACCTGAGGCCAGGAGTTTGAGATCAGCCTGGCCAACACGGTGAAACCCCGTCTCTACTAAAAATACCAAAAATTAGCCAGGTGTAGTGGTGGGCACCTGTAATCCCAGCTACTCAGGAGGCTGAGGCAGGAGAATCACTTGAATCCAGGAGGTGGAGGCTGTAGTGAGCCGAGATAGCGCCATTGCACTCCAGCCTGGGCAAAAAGAGTGAAACTCTGTCTCAAAAAAAAAAAAAAAAAAATTGCAGTCCCTGTGCTTATGAGGACTCTTTCATTTTAAGTGTACATTATTTTGTTTCTGATTACAAAAATATAAATAAATGTTTACTGTAAAAATTTTGGAAAGCACAGAAAGTCTGACAAAGTAAGCAATAATTGTTTATATTCTACCACAGGGAGTTTTTTTTTGTTTGTTTTGTTTTTGAGACTGAGTCTCACTCTGTTGCCCAGGCTGGAGTGCAGTGGCATGATCTTGGCTTACTGCAATCCCTGACTTCCGGGTTCAAGTGACTCTCCTGCCTCAGCCTCCTGAGTAGCTGGGATTACAGGCGAGTACCACCACACCTGGCTAATTTGTATATTTTTAGTAGAGACAGGGTTTCACCAGGTTGGCCAGGCTGGTCTCGAACTCCTGACCTCAGGTGATCTGCCTGCCTCAGCCTCGGCCTCCAAAAGTGCTGGGATCACAGGTGTGAGCCACTTCGCCCAGCCACCACTGTACTTTTTGATGTATATCATTCCAGTCCTTTTTTTCAATGCATACACATTTTTACGAAATTGGAATAATCTTGTACCACATGTTTTACAACATAATTGTAATGGCTGTGTATTATTCCATTATTTGGATGTGCCATGCTTTATTTAACTAATTACTGATGGATGTCAAACTTTATTACTATTATTATTATTTTTGTGGAGTCTCGCACTGTTGCCCAGGCTGGAGTGCAGTGGTGCAATCTCAGCTCACTGCAACCTCCGCCTCCCGGGTTCACTAGATTCTTGTGCCTCAGCCTCCCTGGTAGCTGGAATTATAGGTGCACACGACCATGCCTGGCTAATTTCTTTTTGTATTTTTAGTAGAGAAGGGTTTCACTATGTTGGCCAGGCTGGTCTCGAACCCCTGACCTCGTGATCTGCCCACCTCGGCCTCCCAAAGTGCTAGGATTACAGGCATGAGGCACCGTGCCAGGCCCAAACTTTATTTTTTCACAACAGGCAAACTCACATATAATTTGATCAAACAAATGGAGGTATAATGTTTTCTGAATTCAAGGATTTCCATGGACATCAACAGGGACTCTGTAGAACCCCAAGTAAACATCTGAATGGGAATGGTTAACTCTGAAGAAGCATTACACTGCAGACTCTTTAGTGGTCATTTGATTAGGGTGAAGTTCACTCTGTAGAACCAACTATGGAACCACATGGATTCTGTTGTGTTTTTTGTTTGCTTGTTTTTTGTTTGTTTTTGTTGTTGTTGTTGTTTGTTTTGAGACAGGGTCTCACTCCGTCCTCTGTCGCCCAGGCTGGAGTGCAGTGGCGCGATCTCAGCTCACTGCAACCTCCGCCTCCCGGGTTCAAGCCATTCTCCTACCTCAGCCTCCCAGGTAGCTGGGACTACAGGCACACGCCACCATGCCAAGCAAATTTTTGCATTTTTAGTGGAGATGGTGTTTCACCATGTTGGTCAGGCTGGTTTCAAACACCTGACCTCAAGTGATCCACCAGCCTCAGCTTCCCAGAGTGCTGGGATTACAGGAGTGAGCCACCGCACCTGGCCCTGTTTGTTTTTGAGACAGGGTCTCACTCTGTCACCCAGGCTGGAATGCAGTGGCATGATCATGTCTGACTTCAGCCTTGACCTCCCATGCTCAAGCCATCCTCTCACCTCAGCCTTCTAAGTAGTTGGGAGGACAGGTACATGTTACTATTCCAAGCTAATTTTTGTTTTTTATTTTGTAGAGACAGAGTCACTATATCCTGCCTCGGCCTCCCAAGGATTTGGGATTACAGGTGTGAGCCACTGCTCCTGGCCATGGATTCTTTTTTTTTTTTTTTTTTTTTTTTGAGATGGAGTCTTGCTCTGTCACCCAGGCTGGAGTGCAGTGGCACCATCTCGGCTCACTGCAACCTCAGCCTCCCAGGTTCAAGCAATTCTCCAGCCTCAGCCTCCCGAGTGCCTGGATTACAGGCGTGCACAACTATGCCCGGGTAATTTTTGTATTTTTTGTAGAGACAGTGTTTCACTATGTTGGCCAGGCTGGTCTTGAACTCCTGACCTCAGGTTATCTGCCCACCTTGGCCTCCCAAAGTGCTGGGATTATAGGCATGAGCCACCGTGCCCATCTGTATTCTTACTCTTATCCTTTTTAATTTTTTTTTTTTGAGACAGAGTTTCAATCTTGTTGCCCAGGCTGGAGTGCAGTGGCGTGATGTCGGCTCACTGCAACCTGTTACTCCCAGGTTCAAGCAATTCTCCTGCCTCAGCCTCCCTAGTAGTTGGGATTACAGCCATGTGCCACTATGCCCAGCTAATTTTGTATTTTTAGTAGAGATGGGGGTCTCTCTATGTTGGTCAGGCTGGTCTTGATCTTCTGACCTCAGGTGATCTGCCTGCCTGGGCCTCCCAAAGTGCTGGGATTACAGGCGTGAGCCACAGCGCCCAACCATTCTTATTCTCATGGTTAGTGTTTTGTAGCATTCTAAAGTACCCAGTGGGGGCTGGGCATGGTGGCTCACACCTGTAATCCTTGCTCTTTGGGCCGCTGAGGCGGGCGGATTGCCTGAGCTCAGGAGTTCGAGACCAGCCTGGGCATCGTGGTGAAACCCCGTCTCTACTAAAACTACAAAAATTAGTCCAGGTGTGGTGGCTCACGCCTGTAATCCCAGCACTTTGGGAGGCCGAGGCAGGCAGATCATGAGGTCAGGAGATGGAGACCATCCTGGCTAACATGTGAAACCCCGTCTCTACTAAAAATACAAAAAAATTAGCCGGGCGTGGTGGCGGGCACCTGTAGTCCCAGCTACTCAGAAGGCTGAGGCAGGAGAATGGCGTGAACCCAGGAGGCAGAGCTTGCAGTGAGCCGAGATCGCACCACTGCACTCCAGCCTGAGCAATAGAGCAAGACTCTGTCTCCAAAAAAAAAAAAAAAAATACAAAAATTAGTTGGGCATGGTGGCGCTTGCCCGTAGTCCCAGCTACTTGGGAAGCTGAGGCAGGAGAATTGGTTGAACCCAAGAGGCGGCGGTTGCAGTGTGCTGAGATCACGCCACTGCACTCCAGCCTGGGCAACAGAGCAAGACTCTTGTCTCAAAAAAAAAAAAAAAGGATAAATAAAATGATGAAATGTAATGAAAAGATACTTCATTCTCCTTATCATCAGTAAGTTCAATGGTGGTAGTCAGGCTTCATGGTGTGCTTCTAACTATACTCCACTCATTAACGTTTACTCTGTACTGTTTCAAACATCTCTCCCAACTTTGGAGGCAACATTTCCTAGCTTATTCCCAGAAAGTCTACTGATTTTCCTGGAGATTTTGTGGGTCCCAATGTCCCTACAGGATTTTCTGCTATGGCACTGTCCCTTGGGAAATCAAGTTAGGTTAATATTATTTCTTCAATTCATACTTATGGTTATTTACTTAAAATAAAAGCTTTATTGAGATAGAATTCATATACCATGCAACTTGCCCATTTAAAGTATACAATTCTGCCAGCACAGTGGCTCATGCCTGTAATCCCAGCACTTTGGCCAAGGCAGGAGGATCACTTGAGCCCAGGAGTTCGAGACCATCCTGGCCAACATAGGGAGACCTCATCTCTATTTAAAAAACAAAAAAAATGCTGGGCTTGGTGGCTCACATGTGTAATCCCAGCACTTTGGGAGGCCAAGGTGGGCGGATCACTTGAGGTCAGTGTCAGGCCTCTGAGCCCAAGCTAAGCCATCATATCCCCTGTGACCTGCACGTATACATCCATATGGCCTGAAGCAACTGAAGATCCACAAAAGAAGTGAAAATAGCCAATTCCTGCCTTAACTGATGACATCCCACCATTCCTGCCCCACCCTAACTAATCAATTGACTTTGTGACAATACTACCTCCCCGCCCTTGTGATAATGTACTTTGTGATATTCCCCCACCCTTGTGAATGTACTTTGTACGATATACCCTCCCCACCCTTGAGAAGGTACTTTGTAATATGCTCCCCTGCCCTTAAGAAGGTACTTTGTAATATTCTCCCCACCCTTGAGAATATACTTTGTAAGATCCACCCCCTACCTGCAAAAAATTGCTCCTAACTCCACTGCCTATCCCAAACCTATAAGAACTAATGATAATCCCACCACCCTTTGCTGACTCCTTTTTCCGACTCAGCCCACCTGCACCCAGGTGAAATAAACAGCCTTGTTGCTCACACAAAGCGTGTTGCTGGACTCTCTTCACATGGACGTGCGTGACATTTGGTGCCGAAACCTGGGACAGGAGGACTCCTTCGGGAGACCAGTCCCCTGTCCTCACCCTCTGTGAGGAGATCCACCTATGACCTCAGGTCCTCAGACCAACTAACCCAAGGAACATCTCACCAAATTCAAATCGGGTAAGCGGTCTTTTCACTCTCTTCTCCAACCTCTCTCGCTATCCCTCCACCCTTCAATCTCTCCCTTCCTTAATTTCGGTTCCTTTCCCTTTCTGGTAGAGACAGGAGATGCGTTTTATCCATGAACTCAAAACTCCGGCGCCGGTCACGGACTCGGGAAGACAGTCTTCCCTTGGTGTTTAATCACTGCGGGGATGCCTGCCTGATTATTCACCCACATTTCAGAGGTGTCTGATCACTGCAGGGATGCCTGCCTTGATCCTCCACCTTGGTGGCAAGCACCACCTCCCCTGGGTGGCAAGTACCACCCCCCCACTCTGTGTCTCTACCCTCTCTTTTCTCTCGGCTTGCTGCCTTCACTATGGGCAACCTTCCACCCTCCATTCCTCCTTCTTCTCCCTTAGCCTGTGTTCTTAAAAACTTAAAACCTCTTCAACTCACACCTGACCTAAAACCTAAATGCCTTATTTTATGCTGCAATACTGCTTGACCCCAATACAAACTCAGCAACGGTTCCAAATAGCCAGAAAACAGCACTTTCGATTTCTCCATCCCACAAGATCTAGATAATGCTTGTCGTAATATGGGCAAATGGTCTGAGGTGTCTGATGTCCAGGCATTCTTTTGCACATCAGTCCCTCCCTAGTCTCTGCTCCCAATGCGACTCGTCCCAAATCTTTCTTTTTTCTCTCCTGTCTGTTCCTTCAGTCTCCACCCCAAGCTCTGAGTCCTTTGAATCCTCCTTTTCTACAAACCCGTCTGACCTCTCCCCTCCTCCCCAGGCTGCTCCTTGCCAGGCCGAGCCAGGTCCCAATTCTCCCTCAGCCTCCACTCCTCTACCCTATAACCCTTCTGTCACCTCCCCTCCTCACACCCAGTCCAGCTTACAGTTTTGTTCCGCTACTAGCCCTCCCCCATCTGCCCAAAAATCTCCTCTTAGAGAGGTGACTGGAGCTGAAGGCATAGTCAAGGTTAATGCTTCTTTTTCTTTATCTGACCTCTCCCAAATCAGTTAGGGTTTAGGCTCTTTTTCATTAAATATAAAAACCCAGCCCAGTCCATGGCCCGTTTGGCAACAACCCTTAGACAGTTTACCACCCTAGACCCAGAGGGGCCAGAAGGCCGTATTATTCTTGATATACATTTTATTACCCAATCTGCTCCCCCAACATTAGAAAAAGCTCCAAAAATTAGATTCTGGCCCTCAAACCCCACAACGGGACTTAATTAACCTCGCCTTCAAGGTGTACAATAATAGAAAAGAGTTGCAATTACTTGCCTCCACTGTGAGAAAAACCCAAGCCACATCTCCGGTACATAAGAACTTCAAAATGCCTGAAACGCAGCGGCCAGGAGTTCCTCCAGGACTTCCTCCCCCAGAATCTTGCTTCATGTGCTGAAAACCTGGCCACTGGACCAAGGAATGCCAGCAGACTGGGATTTCTCCTAAGCCATGTCCCATCTGTGCAGGACCCCACTGGAAATCAGACTGTCCAACTTGCCTGGCAGCCACTCCTAGAGTCCCTGGAACTCTGGCCCAAGGCTGTCTGACTGACTTCTTTCCAGATCTTCTCGGCTTAGCGGCTGAAGACTGACGCTGTCCGATCGCCTCAAAAACCTCCTGGACCATCCCGGATGCTTTGGGTAACTCTTACAGTGGAGGGTAAGTTCGTCCCCTTCTTAATCAATACAGAGGCTACCCACTCCACATTACCTTCTTTTCAAGGGCCTGTTTCCCTTGCCTCCATAACTGTTGTGGGTAGTGACAGCCAGGCTTCTAAACCTCTTAAAACTCCCCAACTCTGGTGCCAACTTGGACAACATTTTTTTTTTTTTTTGAGATGGAGTCTTGGTCTGTTGCCCAGGCTGGAGTGCAGTGGCGTGATCTCAGCGCACTGCAAGCTCTGCCTCCCGGGTTCACACCATTCTCTTGCCTCAGCATCCCGTGTAGCTGGGACTACAGGCATCTGCCACCGCGCCCGGCTAATTTTTTGTATTTTTAGTAGAGACGGGGGTTTCACTGTGTTAGCCAGGATGGTCTCGATCTCCTGACCTCGTGATCCACCTGCCTTGGCCTCCCAAAGTGCTGGGATTACAGGCGTGAGCCACTGCGCCCAGCTGACAACATTCTTTTATGCACTCTTTTTAGTTATCCCCACCTGCCCAGTTCCCTTATTAGGTCGAGGCATTTTAACTAAATTACCTGCTTCCCTGACTATTCCCAGGCTACAGCCACACTTCATTGCAGCCCTTTTCCCCAGTTCAAAGCCTCCTTCGCATCCTCCCCTTGTATCTCCTCACCTTAATCCACAAGTATGGAACACCTCTACTCCCTCCTTGGTGACCTATCATGCACCCCTTACCATTCCATTAAAACCTAATCACCCTTACCCCACTCAATGCCAATATCCCATCCCACAGCATGCTTTAAAAGGATTAAAGCCTGTTATCATTCGCCTGCTACAGCATGGCCTTCTAAAGCCTATAAACTCTCCTTACAATTCCCCCATTTTACCTGTCCAAAAACCAGACAAGTCTTACAGGTTAGTTCAGGATCTGCATCTTATCAACCAAATTGTCTTGCCTATTCACCCCGTGGTTCTAAACCCATATACTCTCCTATCCTCAGTACTTCCCTCCACAACTCCTCCACAACCCATTATTCTGTTCTAGATCTCAAACTTGCTTTATTTACTATTAATTTGCACCCTTCATCCCAGCCTCTCTTCGCTTTCACTTGGACTGACCCTGACACCCATCAGTCTCGGCAACTTACCTAGAGTGTACTGCCGCAAGGCTTCATGGACAGTCCCCATTACTTCAGTCAAGCTCTTTCTCATAATTTACTTTCTTTCCATCCATCTGCTTCTCAACTTATTAAATATTTTGATGACCTTCTACTTTATAGCCCCTCCTACAAATCTTCCCAACAGAACACCCTCCTGCTCCTCCAACATCTATTCTCAAAAGGACATCGCACATCCCCCTCCAAAGCTCAAATTTCTTCCCCATCTGTTACCTACCTGGGCATAATTCTTCATGAAAACTTCCGTGTTCTCCCTGCCAATCATGTCCAGCTGATCTCTCAAACCCCAACCCCTTCTACAGAACAACAACTCCTTTCCTTCCTAGGCAGGATTGGATACTTTCACCTTTGGATACCTGGTTTTGCCATCCTGACTAAACTCACAAAAGGAAACCTAGCTGACCCCGTAGATCCTAAATCCTTTCCCCACTCCTCTTTCCATTCCTTAAAAACAGCCTGAGAAGCTGCTCCCACACTAGCTCTCCCTAACTCATCCCAACCTTTTTTCATTAGACACAGCCAAAGTGCAGGGCTGTGCAGTTGGAATTCTTACACAAGAGCCAGGACAATGCCCTGTAGCCTTTCTGTCCAAACAACTTGACCTTACTGTTTTAGGCTGGCCCCCACATTATTCCTGATACCACACCTGACCCCCATGACTGTATCTCTCTGATCCACCTGGCATTCACTGCATTTCCCCATATTTCCTTCTTTCCTGTCCCTCACCCTGATCACACTTGGTTTATTGATGGTAGTTCTTCCAGGCCCAATCACCAATCACCATCAAAGGCAGGCTATGCTATAGTGTCTTCCACATCTATCACTGAGACTACTGCTCTGCCCCCCTCCACTACCTCTCAGCAAGCCAAACTCATTGCCTTAACTCAGGCCCTCACTCTTGCAAAGGGACTACATGTCAATATTTATACTGACTCTAAATATGTCTTCCATATCCTGCACCACCATGCTGTTATATGGGCTGAAAGAGGTTTCCTTGCTATGCAGGGGTCCTCCATCATTAATGCCTCTTTAATAAAAACTCTTCTCAAGGCCACTTTACTTCCAAAGGAAGCTAGAGTCATTCACTGCAAAGGCCATCAAAGGGCCTCAGACCCCATTGCTCAAGGCAACAATTATGCTGATAAGACAGCTAAAGAAGCAGCCAGTATACCTACTTCTGTCCCTCACTGCCAGGTTTTCTCTTTCTCATCAGTCACTCCTACTTACTCTCCCACTGAAGTTTCCACCTATCAATCCCTCCCCACTCAAGGCAAATGGTTCTTGGACCAAGGAAAATACCTCCTTCCAGCCTCACAGGCCCATTCTATTCTGTCGTCATTTCATAACCTCCTCCATGTAGGTTACAAGCCGCTAACCTGTCTCTTAGAACCTCTCATTTCCTTTCCATCGTGCAAATCTATTCTCAAGGAAATCACTTCTCAGTATTCCATCTGCTATTCTACTACTCCTCAGGGATATCTCAGGCCCCCTCCCTTTCCTACACATCAAGCTCAGGGATTTGCCCCTGCCCAGGACTGGCAAATTGACTTTACTCACATGCCCTGAGTCAGGAAACTAAAATACCTCTTTGTCTGGGTAGACACTTTCACTGGATGGGTAGAGGCCTTTCCCACAGGGTCTGAGAAGGCCACCACAGTCATTTCTTCCCTTCTGTCAGACATAATTCCTTGGTTTGGCCTTCCCACCTCTATACAGTCCAATAACGGACCGGCCTTTTCTTTTTTCCTCCAATTTAAAACCTTTAATTGAAAAGTAAACTTTAATATCGAAAATGCAAACATGGGGAAGGCAGAAAGATCACACACACAAGGCTGTCACTTCACACTTGGAGGGTTGCACAGTGGCCAGGCAGAGGCACTCCTCACTTCCCAGATGGTGGGCAGCCAGGCAGAGGTGCTCCTCACTTCCCAGTCAGTTGGGTGGCCGGGCAGATGGGCTCCTAGCTTCCCAGAAGGTTGGCGGCCAGGAAGAGGTGCTCCTCTCTTCCCAGACAGGGCGGCGACCAGAGAGAGGCACTCCTCACTTGCCAGACAGCGTGGTAGCCAGGCAGAGGCGCTCCTCACATCCCAGACGGTGGGGGTGGGGAGCCTGGGCAGAGGCGCTCCTCATTTGCTAGACAGGGCGGCAGCCGGGCAGAGGTGCTCCTCACTTTCCAGATGGGTGGCAGCTGGGCGGCAGCTGGGCAGAGGTGCTCCTCACTTCCCAGACAGTGGGGCAGCCAGGCAGAGGTGCTCCGCCCTTCCCAGATGGTGGGCAGCCGGGCAGAGGCGCTTCTCACATCCTAGACAGGGCGGTGGCTGGTCAGAGGCACTCCTCACTTCCCAGATGGCGGGCAGCTGGGCAGAGGTGCTTCTCATATCCCAGACGGTGGGCAGCCCGGACCGGCCTTTATTAGTCAAATCAACCAAGCAGTTTGCCAGGCTCTTGGTATTCAGTGGAACCTTCATACCCCTTACCATCCTCAATCTTCAGGAAAGGTAGAACAGACTAATGGTCTTCTAAAGACACACCTCACCAAACTCAGCCTTCAACTTAAAAAGGACTGGACAGTACTTTCACTACTTGCCCTTCTCAGAATTCAGGCCTGTCCTCGGGATGCTGCAGGGTGCAGCCCATTTGAGCTCCTGTATGGATGCTCCTTTTTATTAGGCCCCAGTCTCATTCTAGACACCAGCCCTCTAGTTGATTATCTTCCAGTCCTCCAGCAGACTAGACAGGAAATTCGCCAGGCTGCTAATCTTCTCTTGCCTACTCCAGATTCCCAGCCATATGAAGACACCCTAGCTGGACGATCAGTTCTTGTTAAGAATCTGACCCCTTAAACTCTACAACCTTGATGGACTGGACCCTACTTAGTCATCTATAGTACCCCAACTGCCGTCCACCTGCAGGACCCTCCCCTTGGGTTCACTGTTCCAGAATAAAGCTGTGTCCGTTGGACAGCCTGATCTCTCCTCTTCCTCCTGGAAGTTGCAAGTACTCTCCTCTACTTCCCTTAAACTCACATTTCTGAAGAACAGTAATAACCCTGATAAGCCTAATACATCCTTTCATTTTTATTAGGTCTCTTCTTCCTTACCCTACTCTTTACAATAGGGCTTTACGCAGTCACCCCCCACTAATTGGACTGCACCACAAAAACTTGTCATCCCTACTATCTTCTGGCTAGTCATACTCCTATTCACCATTCTAAACTACTCGTAAATGCCCTGCCCTTGTTTACACTGCCAGTTTACACTTTTCCTCCAAACCATCGTAGCGGATATCTCCTGGTACTATCCCCAATCCTCCACTCTTGACTCCCTCTTGGAGTGGATGGATGATCTTTGCTGACAGGGCACACTCCAATACTTCCACCCTGATGAAGTCCTATTCTTTACTTTTATACTCACTTTTTTTTTTTTTTTTGAGATGGAGTCTCGCTCTGTTGCCCAGGCTGGAGTGCAGTGGTGCGATCTCGGCTCACTGCAAGCTCTGCCTCCCGGGTTCATGCCATTCTCCTGCCTGAGCCTCCTGAGTAGCTGGGACTATAGGCGCCTGCCACCACGCCTGGCTAATTCTTTGTATTTTTTTAGTAGAGATGGGGTTTCATCATGTTAGCCAAGATGGTCTTGATCTCCTGACCTCGTGATCCACCCACCTCAGCCTCCCAAAGTGCTGGGATTACAGGCATGAGCCACCGCGCCCAGCCTACTTTTATACTCACTTATTCTCATTCCTGTTCTTATGCCACCCTCTACTCTCCCCAGCTATCTCTACCACACTATCAATATCACTCACTCTCTCCTAGCCGTTTCTAATCCTTCTTTAACAAACAATTGCTGGCTTTGCCTTTCTCTTTCCTCCAAAATCACCGAGGCCTCGACTTACTCATTGCTAAAAAAAGGGGACTCTGTATATTTTTAAATGAAGAGTGTTGTTTTTACCTAAATCAATCTGGCCTGGTGTATGACAACATAAAAAAACTCAAGGATAGAGCCCAAAAACTCACCAACCAAGCAAATAATTACACTGAACCCCCTTGGGCACTCTCTAATTGGATGTCCTGGGTCCTCCCAATTCTTAGTCCTTTAATACCTGTTTTTCGCCTTCTCTTATTCAGACCTTGTGTCTTCCGTTCAGTTTCTCAGTTCATACAAAATTGCATCCAGGCCATCACCAATCATTCTATATGACAAATGCTCCTTCCAACAATCCCACAATATCACCCCTTACCCCAAAATCTTTCTTCAGTTTAATCTCTCCCACTCTAGGTTCCCATGCCACCCCTAATCCCATTCGAAGCAGCCCTGAGAAACATTGCCCATTATCTCTCCATACCACCCCCAAAAAACGTTCGCCACCCCAACACTTCAACACCATTTTGTTGTGTTTTTCTTATTAATATAAGAAGACAGGAATGTCAGGCCTCTGAGCCCAACTAAGCCATCATATCCCCTGTGACCTGCACGTATACATCCATATGGCCTGAAGCAACTGAAGATCCACAAAAGAAGTGAAAATAGCCAATTCCTGCCTTAACTGATGACATTCCACCATTCCTGCCCCACCCTAACTGATCAATTGACTTTGTGACAATACACCCTCCCCGCCCTTGTGATAATGTACTTTGTGATATTCCCCCACCCTTGTGAATGTACTTTGTACAATACACCCTCCCCACCCTTGAGAAGGTACTTTGTAATATGCTCCCCCACCCTTAAGAAGGTACTTTGTAATGTTCTCCCCACCCTTTGTACTTTGTAAGATCCACCCCCTGCCTGCAAAAAATTGCTCCTAACTCCACTGCCTATCCCAAACCTATAAGAACTAATGATAATCCCACCACCCTTTGCTGACTGCCTTTTGGACTCAGCTTGCCTACACCCAGGTGAAATAAACAGCCTTGTTGCTCACACAAAGCCTGTTTGTGGACTCTCTTCACACAGACGCATGTGACAGTCAAGAGTTTGAGACTAGCCTGGCCAACACGGTGAAACCCCCTCTCTACTAAAATACAAAAATTAGCCGGGCGTAGTGGCATGTGCCTGTAATCCCAGCTACCTGGGAGGCTGAGGCAGGAGAATCACTGGAACCTGGGAGGCAGGGGCTGCAGTGAGCCAGGGTCGCACCACTGCACTCCAGCCTCAGAGACAGAGCAAGACTCCAGCCTCAGTGACAGAGCAAGACTCCATCTCAAAAAAAAAAAAAAAAAAAAACAAGAGAGAGAGAAAATATATAATTTTTCTTGGGATGACAGTAATAGTACTAACATGATCATATTAACTTTTCAGGCCAGGTGCGGTGGCTCACGCCTGTAATCCCAGCACTTTGGGAGTCCGAAGTG
The DNA here is from genome assembly GCF_000001405.40 of Homo sapiens. Classification (NCBI taxonomy): domain Eukaryota; kingdom Metazoa; phylum Chordata; class Mammalia; order Primates; family Hominidae; genus Homo; species Homo sapiens. Next base: position 71,273,218 of record NC_000023.11, read on the forward strand.
GGCAGATCACGAGGTCAATAGATTGAGACCATCCTGGCTAACACGGTGAAACCCCATCTCTACTAAAAATACAGAAAATTAGCCGGGCGTGGTGGCAGACGCCTGTATTCCCAGCTACTCTGGAGGTTGAGGCAGGAGAATCTCTTGAACCTAGGAGGCGGAGGTTGCAGTGAGCTGAGATCACGCCACTGCACCCCAGCCTGGGCAGCCTGGGTGACAGAGTGAGACTCCTTCTCAAAAAAAAAAAAAAAAAAAAAAAAAGCCGGGCACGGTGGCTCACGCCTGTAATCCCATCACTTCGGGAGGCCGAGGTGGGTGGGTGGCTTGAAACCAGGAGTTCAAAACCAGCCTGGCCAACATGGTGTAACCCCGTCTCTACAAAAAATACAAAAATCAGCCAGGTGTGGTCGTGCATGCCTGTAATCCCGGCTACTTGGGAGGCTGGGGCAGAGAATCACTTGAACCTGGTAGGCGGAGGTTGCAGTTAGCAATTGTGCCACTGCACTCCAGCCTGGGTGACAGAGCAAGATTCTGCCTCAAAAAAAACCGGGCTGGGCACAGTGGCTCACGCCTGTAATCTCAGCACTTTGAGAGGCCGAGGTGGGCAAATCATGAGGTCAGGAGTTCAAGACCAGCCTGGCTAACATGGTGAAACCCCTGTCTACAAAAATACAAAAAAAAAAAAAAAAAAAATTAGCTGGGCATGGTGGCTCGCGCCTGTAGTCCCAGCTTCTCGGAGGGCTGAGGTAGGAAAGTCACTTGAACCCGGGAGGCAGAGGTTGCCGTGAGCCGAGATGGCACCACTGCACTCCAGCCAGGTGACAGAGCGAGACTCCATCTCAAAAAAGAAAAAAAAATCACCTGAGAAGAGGATAATATTTATTTTAGAAAAAAGAAATTAAAAAATAGGCCAGGTGCAGTGGCTTACACCTGTAATCCCAGCACGTTGGGAGGCCAAGGCAGGCGGCTCACGAGGTCAGGAGTTCGAGACCAGCCTGACCAACATCGTGAAACCCCATCTCTACTAAAAATACAAAAATTAGCCAGGTGTGGTGGCCTGCACCTGTAATCCCAGCTACTCAGGAGGCTGAGGCAGGAGAATTGCTTGAACCCAGGAGCCACAGGTTGCAGTGAGCCAAGATCATGCCATTGCACTCCAGCCTGGGCGACAGCGAGACTCCATCTCAAAAAAAAAGAAATTAAAAAATAATAACGTGTACAATTCAGTGGATTTTAGTATATTCACAGATATGTTTAACCATTACCAGTCAATGCTACATTTTCATTACCTCAGAAAGAAGCCCTGTACCCTTTAGCTATCACCCCCATTTCCCATCCTCCCAGCCTTTTTCTTTTCTTTTTTGTTTTTTGTTTGTTTGTTTTGCCAATTGGGAAGTCTTTCGAGTCACAGTAGGCTCAGATACTTATTTTTATTTATTTTTAAAATTTCACGTATTTATTTATTTTCCTCCCAGCCTTAAACAACCACCATGCTACTTTCTATCTCCATAGATTTGCTTATTTGGGACATTTCATATAAATAGAATCATATAATATGTGGTCTTTTGTGGTTGCCTTTGTTCACTTAGCATATTTTCAAGGTTCATCCACATTGTAGACTGTACCATTAGTTCATTCTTTTTGTGGCTGAATTATAGTGCATTGTATGGATAGACCATATTTTATTTATGCATTTATCAGTTGTACATCTGGGTTGTTTCCACCTTTTGGCTATTATTAATAATGCTGCTATAAACATTTGTGTACAAGTTTTTGTGTGAACATATATTTTCAGTTTTCTTGGGTAGACAACTGAGAGTGGAAATGCTGGGTCACATGCTATATTTAATTGTTTGAGGAACCGCCAGACTGTCTTCCAAAATAGCTGTACCATTTTACATTCCCACTAGGAAGGTTTCAATTTCTTCACATCCTCATCCACACTTGTTATTATCTGACTTTGATTCTAGCCATCCTAGTGGTTGTGAAGTAGTATCTCATTGTAGGTTTGATTTGCATTTCTCTGATGACTAATAATGTTGAGCATCTTTTCATGTACCTTGAACCTTTTGTATATCTTCCTTGGAGAAATGTATATTTAAAATTTTGTCCATTTTTGAATTGGGCTAGTTGTCTTTTTTTTTGAGATGGAGTTTCACTCGTCACCCAGGCTGGAGTGCAATGGCGCAATCTTGGCTCACCGCAACCTCCACCTCCCAGGTTTGAGCGATTCTCCTGCCTCAGCCTCCCAAGTAGCTGGGACTACAGGTGCACGCCACCATGCCCGGCTAATTTTTGTGTTTTTAGTAGAGACGGGGTTTCACCATGTTGGCCAGGCTAGTCTCGAACTCCTGACCTCAGGTGATCCGCCCGCCTTGGCCTCCCAAAGTGCTGGGATTACAGGCATGAGCCACCAGGCCCAGTTTATTTGTCTTTTTATTATTGAGTTGTAAGAGTTCTTTGTATATCCTGGATACAAGCCCCTTATCAGATGTATGATTTACAAATATTTTTTCCCATTCAGTGTTGAAATTTTCATTTTCTTAATAATGTAATTTGAAGCATAAAAGTTTTAATTTTTTTAGGACACCCCCCCCAAAAGTTTTCATTTTGATGTGGTCCAAGTTATCTATTTTTTCTTTTGATGTCTTTGCTTTGGGTGTTATATTTAAGAATTCATTGCCAAATTCAAGGTCATGAAGATTTATCTTTATGTTTTCTTCTAACAGTTTTATAGTCCAGGCGCAGTGGCTCACGCCTGTAATCCCAGCACTTTGGGAGGCAGAGGTGGGTGGATCACTTGAGGTCAAGAGTTCGAGACCAGCCTGGCCAACATGGTGAAACCCCATCTCTACTAAAAATACAAAAATTAGCCGGGCGTTGTGGTGCATGCCTGTAATCCCAGCTACTCAGGACTCCATCTCAAAAAAAAAAAAAATTAGAAAATGTGAGTCCTCGGCCTGACAAGAGCTTGTTAAAAAAAAAAAAAGAGAGAGAGAGAGCGAAAGAGAAAAAAAAAAAAGAAGTGTGAGTCCTCCAATTTTGCTCTTGTTTTATCAAAGTTGTTTTGGCTAATCTAGGTCCCTGGGAATTCCATATGAATTTTAGAATCAGCTTGTCAAATTCTACAAATAACTTAGGATTCTGATAGGGATTGCATTGAATTTGTTGGTTAACTTGGGGAAGATTGTCATTTTAACAACATTAGGCCTTGTGATCCACAATCATCAGGTGTTCTCCCTTTTACTTAGATCCTTTTTTTTTTTTTTTTGAGACGGAGTTTTGCTACCCAGGCTGGAGTGCAATGGCGCGATCTCAACTCACTGCAAGCTCCATTTCCCGGGTTCAAGTAATTCTCCGGCCTCAGGCTCCTGAGCAGCTGGGATTACAGGCATCTGCCACCACGCCCAGCTAATTTTTTGTATTTTTAGTAGAGATGGGGTTTCACCATGTTGGCCAAGCTGGTCTCAAACTCCTGACATCAGGTAATCCACCCGCCTCGGCAAAACCTGGCCAACATGGTGCAACCCTGTCTCTACTAAAAATACAAAAAAAAAAAAAAAAATTAGCCAGGCGTGGTGGTGTGCGCCTATAATTCTAGCTACTTCGGAGGCTGAGGCAGGAGAATCGCTTGAACCTGGGAGGCGGAGGTTGCAGTGAGCCGAGATCAAGCCACTGCACTCTAGCCTGGGTAACACAGTGAGACCGTCTCAACAACTAAACAAAACAAAACGATATTTTGTAGTATTCAGAGTATAAGTTTTGTACTTCTGCTGTTACATTTATTTCTAAGCATTTTATTCTTTCTGATGCTATTATAAATGGAACAGTTTCCTTATTTTTTTTCTTTTTTTCTTTTTGTAGTACATGTCGTGGCTGTGGTGTTTCCTTAATTTCATTTTCAAATTGTTCATTGCAAGTGTACAGAAATATATTTGATTGTCATATATTGACTTTTGTATATCCTGCAGCTTTGCTGAATTCATTTCTTTGTTCTAATAGGTTTTTTTTTTTTTAGTAGATTCCCTAGGATTTTCTATATACAACATCATGTCATCTGCAAATAGATACAGTTTGACTTCCTTTACATTCTGGATGCCTTTTCTTTTTCTTGCCAATTGCTCTGGCTAGAATCTCTAAGTACAATATTGAATACAAGTGTCATTCACTTATAGTCCTTAAAGCAGAGTGTTGCAGACTGGGCCATTCACTTTTTCTTGATTGATATTTCTTATGTATCTAGTTACTCATTATTTATTGAGGACAGAAATCCTTAGTATTGATAAAACCCAATTATCATGTTCGAAAGTATTCAAATAGTATGTAATTGATAATGATACTTAGAAAAAATGGCCCCTTGGCCAGGCGTGGTGGCTCATGCCTGTAATCCCAGCACTTTGGGAGGCTGAGGCGGGTGGATCACGAGGTCAAGAGTTCAAAACCAGCCTGGCCAATATGGTGAAACCCCGTCTCTACTAAAAATACAAAAATTAGCCAAGCGTGGTGGCATGCGCCTGTAGTCCCAGCTACTATGGGGGCTGAGGCAGAAGAATCGCTTGAACCCGGGAGGCGGAGGTTGCAGTGAGCTGAGATCACGCCACTGCACTCCAGCCTGGGCGACAGAGTGAGACTCTGTCTCAAAACACACAAACAAACACACAAACAAACAAAATTAGTCAGGTGTGGTGGCAGACGCCTGTAATCCCAGCTACTTGGGAGGCTGAGATGAGAGAATGGCTTCAACCCGGGAGGTGGAGGTTGCAGTGAGCCAAGATCGTGCCATTGCACTCCAGCCTGGGTGACAGAGCCAGTTTCTTGAGACTCTGTCTCAAAAAAAAAAAAAAAAAAAAAAGACCAGGCGCGGTGGCTCACGCCTGTAATCCCAGCACTTTGGGAGGCCAAGGGGGCAGATCACAAGGTCAGGAGTTCAAGACCAGCCTGGCCAACATCGTGAAACCTTGTCTCTACTAAAAATACAAAAATTAGCTGGGCGTGGTGGTGCATGCCTGTAATCCCAGCTACTTGGGAGGCTGAGGCAGGAGAATTGCTTGAACCCGGGAGGTGGAGGTTGCAGGGAGGTGGAGGTTGCAGTGAGCTGAGATTACGCCACTGCTCTCTAGCCTGGGCAACAGAGCAAGACTCTGACTCCGGCGGAAAATTAAAGAAAAGAAAAAAATGGCCTCTCAAAGCCTTGCTCGGACCTTCTTTCTCTGTTGCTTTGGCTGGCTCCTCTCCATCACCTGCCTCTTAACTGTAGATGTTTTTCAGGCTTCTGTCCTAGGTTGTTTTTTTTTTTTTTGAGACGGAGTCTCGCTCTCACCCAGGCTGGAGTGCAGTGGCGGGATCTCGGCTCACTGCAAGCTCCACCTCCCAGGTTCACGCTATTCTCCTGCCTCAGCCTCCCGAGTAGCTGGGACTACAGGCACCTGCTACCATGCCCGGCTAATTTTTTTGTATTTTTAGTAGAGACGGGGTTTCACCATGTTAGCCAGGATGGTCTCAATCTCCTGACCTCATGATCTGCCCGCCTCAGCCTCCCAAAGTGCTGGGATTTCAGGCGTGAGCCACGGCGCCCGGCCGTCTTTTTTTTTTTTTTTTTTAACTTTAGTTTTCTCATTCCCTTATGCCCTCAGCTTCCACTACCAACGTTAGGTTGACAACTCACACATTGTCTATGTCGACAATCCAGACCTCTATTTTGACATTTAGACCTACATTTCAATGGGCTTATAGCCAATTACATGTTATCTCCACCCGGACATTCTGCATACACTTAAACTCAACATGACCAAAACTGCACTGATTGACTTTCACCAAATCTTGCTCTTCTGCCTCTATTTACTATCCTGGTTAGTGGCACAACCAGACTTCCAGGCACCCAAATCAGAAACCTGGGAATCATTCTAGTCTTCTTCCATTCCTTACCCCCTACATTTAACTGGTTATTAAGTTCCCTTGATCCTACCTTCTAAATATCTGAATCTGGTTTCCTTTTCTTTACCCCTAAAACCACTGCCGTAGTTCAGTACTTCCTGGTCTCTTACCTGAATTATCATCATTGTATCCTAATTGGTGTCCCTATCTCCTAGCATATCTCCTCCAATCTATTCTACACTCTGTTCCCAGGGTTATATCCATGTCCTCTTCCCTGGAACCTATCAGTGTTAATTTATATGGCAGAAAAGAAGGACTTTGCAGATATGATTAAGTTAAAGATCTTGAGATAGAGAGATTATCCAGGTGGGCCCTAAATGCAATGACAAATGTCCTGATAACAGAGAGAGAAATTTGACACACAGAGACGAGGAGAGGGCCATGTGATGATGGAGGCAGAGACTGGAGTGAAAGGGCCACAAGCCAAGGAATGCCGGCAGCCACCAGAAGCCAGAAGAGACAAGAAACAGATTCTCCCCTAGAGCCTCTAGAAGGAATATGCCCCTACCAACACCTTGATTTCATCTCAGTGATAATGATTTCAGACTTCTGTCCTCCAGAACTGTGAGAAAATATATTTCTCTTGTTTTAAGCCACCAAATTTGTGGTAATTTGTTACAACAGCCTCAGGAAACGAACACAGTGATTTTCTAAAATTCAATCCTATCACAGATGGAAAAAATGATTTTCTCTGTCTCTGTGTCTCTGTCTCTATATATCTATCATTCCATCTATATATTTATGTATCTATATATGTATGTATGTATGTATGTATCTATCTATCTATCTATCTATGTGTGTGTATACCTGGAAGAAAAAAATACCAAAATATTAAAAATTATTTCTGGACAGTGGGATTATGATGATTTTTATTCTTCTGTGCATTTTCCAATTTTTCCCTCAAAGAGCATATATTACTTTTATAATCAGAAAAAGCAATATAAATTATTTTTTAAAACCCTTCAATGGCTCCCCATCACTGACAGATTAAAGTACAAACTTCTAAGCATAGCACAGGGCCTTAATTTTTTGGTCTTTGCCTATGTCTCTAGCCTAACTTCCTATCACTCAGCACCCCCACTTCTCTTCAGCCATGAAAAACTACCCAAAACATGTATCATTCTGCCTCTGACACTTTGCACATTGACCTTTTTGACTTCATCCTCTTGGTCAAGAACCAATTCAGATCAGGCAAGGTGGTTCATGCCTGTAATCCCAGCACTTTGGGAGGCTGAGGCAGGAGGATGGCTTGAGCTCAGGAGTTTAAGACCAGCCTGGGCAACATGGCAAAACCACGTTTCTACAAACAAACAAACAAATTAGCCGAGTGTGGTCGTGAGTGTCTGTAGTCCCAGCCACTTGGAGGCTGAGGTAGGAGGATTGCTTGAGCCCAGGAGGTCAAGGCTGCAGTGAATTGTGTTCATGCCACTGCTCTCCAGCCTGGGTGACAGCCAGATCTTGTGTCAAAATAAATAAATAAATATATAAACCAATTCAAGGGTGTTCTTTCCTGCGAAGCCATTCCTGATCTACTCAAGCAGATCCATGTTACCCTTTACTGCTACTGTACCTCCAATATGCTACTATTATTTTATTTGTGTAAGGTATTGCAATTATTGGTTTACATGAACATCTTTACACTTATTTGATTAACAACGTATAAATTCATTAAAATTTTATTGAATCCATAGTGGTTTTTTGTAATTATGGATTTTCTCACTCAGCAGATACTAAAAACTATCATGTGGCAATCTGTAAAATGTTTGATATTAAAAAGTAGTCCTGGCCAGGCACAGTGGCTCACGCTTGTAATCCTAGCACTTTAGGAGGCCGAGGTGGGCGGATCACTTGAGGTAGGAGCTTGCGACCAGCCTGGCCAACATGGTGAAACCCTGTCTGTACTAAAAATACAAAAGTTAGCCGGGCGTGGTGGCAGGTGCCTGTAGACCCAGCTACTCGGGAGGCTGAGGCAGGAGAATGGCGTGAACCCGGGAGGCGGAGCTTGCAGTGAGCTGAGATCGCGCCACTGCACTCCAGCCTGGGCGACAGAGCAAGACTCTGTCTCAAAAAAAAAAAATTGGCTGGGCATAGGCACGGTGGCAGGCACCTGTAATCCCAGCTACTCGGGAACTGAGGCAGGAGAATCGCTTGAACCTGGGAGGCAGAGGCTGCAGCGAGCCGAGATCACACCACTGCACTCCAGTCTGGGCGACAGAGCGAGACTCCGTCCCGCCGCCAAAAAAAAAGTGGTCCTCCACTGGGTGCCCTGGCTCATGCCTGTAATCCCAGCACTTTGCCAAGTGGAGGCGGGATTCCTTACACCCAGGAGTTTAAGACCAGTTTGGGCAATATGGTGAAACCCTGTCTCTACAAAACATACAAACCCACCGTGGGCGTAGTTGTGCACTCCTGTAGTCCCAGCTACTGAGGAAGCTGAGGTGGGAGAATCGCTAGAACCTGAAAGGCAGAGGTTGCAGTGAGCTGTGTTTGTGCCACTGCACTCCAGCCTGGGTGACAGAGCAAGACTGTCTCTAAGTAAATAAATATAAACAGTACATACATAGAAAATAGAAACGCAAGAAAGTGGTCATAATTGCTATCTCTAGAGAATGAATGGGGGGGAGACTTTTTTTTTGAGACGGAGTCTCACTCATTGCCCAGGCTGGAGTGCAGTGGCGCAATCTTGGCTCACTGCTAGCTCCGCCTCCTGGGTTCACACCGTTCTCCTGCCTCAGCCTCCCGAGTAGCTGGGACTACAGGCACCCGCCACCACGCCGGCTAATTTTTTTTTTGTATTTTTAGTAGAGACGGGGTTTCACCATGTTAGCTAGGATGGTCTCGATCTCCTAACCTCGTGATCCTCCCGCCTCGGCCTCCCAAAGTGCTAGGATTACAGGCGTGAGCCACCACACCCGGCCAAGACTTTTCTCTTTATACTGTTGGGTATTGTTTGATTTTTCTTTTTTTTTCTATGAGTAAGTATTAGTTTTCTTCTTCTTCTTTTTAATTGAGACGGGGTCTCACTCTGTCACGCAGGCTGGAGTGCAGTGGCGCGATCTCCACTCATTGCAGCCTCTGCTTCCCGAGCTCAAGCTATCCTCCCACCTTAACCTTAACCTCCTGAGTAGGTGGGACTACAGGGACACTCCACCACGACAGGCTAATTTTTGCTTTTTTTCGGAGATGGAGTTTCGCCATGTTACCCAGGCTGGTCTCGAACTCCTAGGCTTAAGCGATCCTCCCGTCTCGGCCTCTCAAAGTACTGGGATTATAGGCATGAGCACTGCACCTAGCCGGAATTAAAAATTCAGGTTCTCAGTTGCATTAGTCATATTTCAATGGCCACTTATAGTTAGTAGCTGCCATATTGAACACAGCAGACATAGGACCTTTCCATCATTGCACACAGTTCTATTGAACAGCCCAAGTCTAGATCATTGTGTCCCCACATAAGGTGGTGCCCATTGGGATACCCTGCAACCCTGAGTGTGAATTAATTAATGGGAATTAACAACACATACTTATCAATTGATCCTTGTAGTCCTTGGTTAACCACGGGGGCGGGGCGAGTTAGGCATTACTGAAACAATGAAGGTTAGTTACTGATAGGCCTCCTATGGAATATACAGTCTGATCTAGAGGCCTACAATATATCCATGGCAATGATGACACCTGTTGAATCTCTCAGTAAATCATAGGAACAATAGTGATGTTTGGACTGCTAGGTTTTCTGGTTACCATGGAAATGAGGGTGCTGGTTACAATTCTGTGTAATCACGCAGAGCCTAAGGTATGATGCACCCCCTCCTCCCCCACCCCGTCTGTAACCATGACCAAAGAGTTGACTATTTCAGTTGCGTTTCCCGAGTAGCCCCAGCAACAGGAGAAGCATCTAGAAATATGATTAAGTATGGGGTGTCAGGATGCAAGCCCTAACAAGGAAGTGTGAAAAAAGAAACATGGCGGGGCATTTTTTTCAGTAGGAAAAGGCCAAATCTATTCCATTGAATACAATGACATTGTTACTCTTGCTTCTTGCACAGGCGCAGTGCAGGACTGCTCCGAGCACGCCTACGCGCGCATTTTCTCCCCTTCCTCTCCCTCTTTCCACTTTCCTCTCCCTTTTTCTCCTCTCCTTTCCCCCTCCCACCACTTGGTCTTTCAGTCTTTCAGTCAGTTCGTTTAGGTCTCTCCTTCCGACCCCCACCCCCAGCTCCTCTCCCTTTCCTTTTCCCCCTCCCCCTTTCCTTTCCCGTCTCACGCGCCAGGCCGCTTGCACATGCGCATTAGGTACAAAGCCTCGCTCTTTGTCCCCATCTGTCGTTCACACGAACTCAAGCCTTTGGCATTCGGCAGCCAATAGAATCTAAGAAATGGCGGAAAAATGATTCCGCCTCGGGAGCTAAACCTTGATTGGCAGTTTAGCTAACCAATCGAGAACGCCATTTTGTACCCCTTGGCAGGCACCGAGCTCCGTCGTCTCGTTTCCGGCGGTCGCGCGCTCTTTTCTCGGGACGGGAGAGGCCGTGTAGCGTCGCCGTTACTCCGAGGAGATACCAGTCGGTAGAGGGTGAGTTTTGGGACGTCTTGGTTCTTGTTTGGGAGGGTAGTGGGATTTCTTGGAACAATCAGCGAAGGAAGAGGCTAGGGCGAAGCTAGGTTTGGAGGGTGGATGGCGCTTCCGAGGCCCCTTGAGGCCTTGTCTCTGCCGCCACACTGCCTTCTCAGCCCACCCGCGGGGGGCCACCTTTCTCAACTCGCTTCGCTTCGGGCTTTCCCCATTTTCGTTCCTGCCCTGTTTCTTTGTGCAACTCATCTCCGAATCTTACCCGTGTCAGTAAGTTGCCGGCCTCTGAGCCGCCCTGGGCCCGACGGTGTGGGGTCTATTATGAGAGATCGCTGAAGTCGTGGTTGGTTAGAGGAGGAGGCGCTTTGTCGGGCGCTCCTCCTCTCGGCCCCGCGAGGCCATTAATTCAGAATGGGCAAGTGGGGCCCCTCAAGCGATATTTCTTTGTCAAAACTCTTAGCTGGAAAGTTCCTCTGCATATCCAGAGCCCGCCGCTTTCGTAGTCAGATTTCTGTATGCCCTTTTTCTAAAGTCCTAACCGCCTAGCTCCTTGACGCATTTATATAGCATCACTTTTTAAAATGAAACTTAAATTTATGGATTTCGCATCGAGTATTTTATTTTCCAGTTTGAGAAACTCTTACCATAACCTGACACGTTTCTTTGTGTTTTTAACAGAGAAGTCGAGGTTAGAGGGAACTGGGAGGCACTTTGCTGTCTGCAATCGAAGTTGAGGTAGGTGTAAGGAAGGGATAGGGTTGCCAGACAAAACACCGGGCACCCAGTTGAATTAGAATTTCACCTACACAACCAATTATTTTTAAGTATATGTTGCATAGTTTTCAATTAAATTTCAAATTTAATTGTGGGTTGTGTATTTTATTTGCTAAATCTGGCAACTCTAGTGGGGGGGCCCTGGTTATATTTATACTGTGTCCTTGTCCACCTTCCTTGTTATTAAATGAAAAGTCCTAAGAAACTCTTAGAGAAGGACCTTAGTTCATTTTACAGCTTTCAGGCTGGCCATCCAGGCAGCCATCTCAGTCTTGTAAATTTATACCAGATTTAGATTTCAGATATGTGTGATGTAGTGTTTGGTCCTCTACCTAAACATTTGTTTAACTGTAGCATGCCCAGTGGTTAGAGTCTTTCTCAACCAGCAATACGTGTTTTCTCTCAAAATTCTTCATCAGGATTATTAGTCTCAGGGACACAAGTAGACAGTAATCTTTGCTGCTGATCTTCGTGCTGTGTTCTCTTTTCAGAGGCCCAGTATTTAGGCGACAGTGAATTTATTACTCTGAAGAGGGTTCTGCACATATTTCCAAATTATATTGGTGGTCATCAGAAGTAGGTGATAGGAAGAAATACTTCTCAAGGTACTTGCTACTTGGTGGGCACTGTTATAGGTGCTTTATTATGATAGTCTTCACTAGTGCATTCCATCCTGGGCCTCTCCGGGGCCAGGGGAAGAGAGATGTTTAACACCTGGAACCCAAGTAGGAAAAGATTTGATTCTGATGCCCACCTTGCCCCATCCCCAACTATTTCCAGGGTGGACTTTAGATTTTGTATGTTTTAACTTCCTGCTTTTATATCTTATTTTTTAAAACACTATTTTCTTTTTTTGTTGTTTTTTTTTAAAGGTATCTCATTTGCCATGAAACTGCTACACCTGCTCATGGCGTTTAAAATCCTTACAACTTTTTGAGAAAACGACGTTGCACTATGTGGCAAGAGTCACAGGATAGATTCTATTTTTAAGAATTTATCCTATGGAAATAATTAAATGGAAATAAAGCTGAAAGCCAGAAGACATTTACTGCAGCGTTATAATAGGAAAAGCCAAAAACAACCACCTAAATGTCTTATAGTAGGGAGTAGTTTAGTAAAGTAGTACATCCTGGTGAACTTTATATAGTCATTAAAAATTACAATTATGTTGACATTAGCAGAAATGAGGAAACTCTGAATATACAAGGGTGCATTATCAGTTACTGAAATGATAATGTATGTCTAAATAAGCAAGAATGGAAAATTGTGGGAGGAATATTTAATCATGGATATGTCCAAAGATTTAGCTATGAGCATTGATTATAATGGTGAAAAATTAGAAACGACCCAGGTGTCCAACACAATAGGGACTTGGTTGACAACTGAATGCTGTGTCCGTTAACGTAAAAGATTTAATGACATGAAAGCTGTTTATGATACATCATAAAGTGGAAAAAACAGGTTACAAAATAGTATTTATCATATCTCATTTCAAATACATAAATTAATGACTAGAAGGATATACCAACATGTTAACAGTGACTATTTTTAGTGGCAGGTCTATGGATTTTTATATTTGTATTTTTATTTATTTTGGTTTTTCTAAATTTTCTATAATACATTTTGTAATAAGTATCTGATTGTAATTTCTGTTTAAAAATTTTTAAATAAAATTTTAAGTTGTAATTTCTGATACCTTATAACATTAATGAGAAACAAAATTGATTAAATGATATAAATGTGAAAATTTAAATCTTGGCTGAAATGTCAGATGTTGTGAGGTTTACCATCTGCCTCCTTCTCCCTATCCACTTTGCCTTCCTCCCCCATTTTTATTTATTTTCCCATAGCACTTACCTCTTAAGTACTATATAATTTACTTATATATATTGTCTCTCACTAGAAGCAAGTTCTGTAGGCAAGAATCTGCTTTGTTCACTAATCCACTGTAACCATCTAGAATAGTGCCTAGCAAATGGTAGGCATTCACTGAATATTTTTTGAATGAAATCGTGAATTGAAAAATTATCAGTAACCTAAAAGCAATGCAGTTGTTTTCATTTTTGCCTACCTTCTGTTCCCTTGTCTATATTCACATCTTTAAAATTAGAAAAAACCTTTCCCCGTTAGAATATCAGACATACTCGTGTTTATGTGGTCTTCATAATTTTTAAGGCTGTGAACATTCTGTTGTATAGATGTACCGTACTTTCATGAAAACCATTCCCCTAATTTTGGAAATTTAAGTCATTTTTATTGTTTTCTTACCATAAAGGCCATTACAATGAACACTTTCACGGGTGTAGTTTTTAATTTTAAAATTATTAGGATAAATTTCCAGGAGTAGAATTTCCAAATTAAAGACTATGAATTAACATCTTGATAGCTCTTGTTACTTTTTTTCTTACTAAACTTTTGGATACAGAATTTGGTAATTGCATTAATGTTTTCAGTTTTGGTGGGATGTGACATTAAACAGATTAGGAATGTTTTTATACACTTGAAAGTATTCCCGTATACTCATCATCAAAATCAATAGTTACCAAGCCTTTGTCGCATTTCTTTCATCTGAGAAATATAATTTTCTGTGTTTATAATTATTTTTTGAGACAGACTCTCACTTTGTTGCCCAGGCTGGAGTGCAGCGGCACTGTCTTGGCCTACTGCAACCTCCGCCTCTCAGGTTCAAGTGATGCTCCTGCCTCAGCCTCCTGAGTAGCTGGGATTACAGATGCCCACCACCATGCCCAGCTAATTTTTGTGTTTTCGGTAGAGACGGGTTTTCACCATGTTGGTCAGGCTGGTCTTGAACTCCTGACCTCAAGCAATCCACCCTCCTCGGCCTCCCAAAGTGCTGGGATTACCAGTGTGAGCCACCACGCCTGGCCTATTCATTTATTTTTGAGACCAAGTCTCACTCTGCCGCCTAGGCTGGAGTGCAATGGCAGCATCTCTGCTCACTGCAATCTCGTCCTCCTTGGTTCAAGCAATTCTCCTGCCTCAGCCTCCCAAGTAGCTGGGACTACAGGTGCAAGCTACCACACCCGGCTAATTTTTTTGTATTTTTAGTAGAGACAGGGTTTCACCATGTTGGCCAGGCTGGTCTCGAACTCCTGACCTCAGGTGATCTGGCCTGCCTTAGTCCCCCAAAGTGCTGGGATTACAGGCATGAACCACTGCACCCAGCCTATTTTTTTCTCTATTTTTTTTGAGACAGGGTCTCATTCTGTTGCCTAGGCTGGAGTGCAGTGTTATGATTTGCCTCACTGTAACCTCCTCTTCGTGGGTTCAAGTGATTCTCCAGCCTCAGCCTCCCAAGTAGCTGGGACTACAGGCATGAGCCACTGCACCTGGCCTCCCCTCCCCCCTACCCTTTTTTTTTTTTTTTTTTTTAAATAAAGACCGAGTCTTGCTATGTTGCCCAGGCTGGTCTCAAACTCCTGGGGTCAAGCCATCTTCCTGCCTCAGCCTCCCAAAGTGCTGAGATTACAGGCCTGAGCCACCATGCTGGCTTCATTTTTTTTTTTTTTTTTTTATTTCAACGTTTGGGAGCACAGAGCACTTGTTTTCTTTTTAATCTTATGTTGATTTTTAAATGATAGAATTTAACATTTTATTATTTTTATCTTTTTTTTTTTTTTTTTTTTTCTTGAGACAGGGTCTCATTCTCCCTGCCCAGGCTGGAATACAATGGCGTGATCACAGCTCACTGCAGCCTCAGCCTCTCAAGTAGCTGGGACTACATGAGTGTGCTATCATGCCTGTCTAATTTTTTTAATACATATTTTTTGTAGAGGTGGGGCTCACTATGTTGCCCAGGCTGGTCTCTAACTACTGGGCCCAAGCAGTCCTCCTGCCTAGACCTCCCAGATTGCTGGGATTACAGATGTGAGCCACTGTGCCCAGCCTATTTATCTTTTCTTTTTTTTTTGAGATGGAGTTTCACTCTTGTGCAATGGCACAATCTCGGCTCACGGCAACCTCCGCCTCCCAGGTTCAAGTGATTCTCCTGGCTCAGCCTCCTGAGTAACTGGGATTACAGGCATGTGCCACCACACCC
This sequence comes from Homo sapiens, assembly GCF_000001405.40. NCBI lineage: Eukaryota > Metazoa > Chordata > Mammalia > Primates > Hominidae > Homo > Homo sapiens. The sequence goes on from NC_000023.11 coordinate 71,288,553, forward strand.
CGCTAATTTTTGTATTTTTAGTAGAGATGGGGTTTCACCATGTTGGTCAGGCTGTTCTTGCACTCCTGACCTCAGCTAATCCACTGGCCTCAGCCTCCTGAAGTGCTGGGATTACAGGCATGAGCCATCTCGCCTGGCCTATCTTTTTATGTTTGCTTTTATTGCTTTAGTAGTCATTTGTCTTTCCACTGTAATTAATAAATATTTAGAGTGTGTACTGTATGCCAGTAGTGAGCCAGCATTTTCACATGTTTATTCTCATAGCCACTTTGAGAGACAGGTATTTTTATCATCCCCTTTAGAACAGCTGAAGAAACAGGTACAGAGTAATTTACTAGTAAGTAGTACACAATTGAGGAACACAATTCAAACCTAAGGATGCCTAACCTCACAGCCCATACTAGTACCACTGTTATTTCCACGGTATGTACTGTGGGCTAGGATTGGTAGGTACCAGAGAAGATAAGACTTTACTAGTCTTTGTCCTTGTGATAACCAGAATCTATTTCGATCATTTTGTTTTTAAAATATGCTTAAATGTGTGATGGGGCGAGTTTTTAAGAGTAGATTTTTTGGAAAAGTAGTTTTCTATTAATGTGTAGTATTGAACTGGGAAGTTCCTTAAGCGATTCTAGTGCAAACAGTTCTCATCCAGTACTCATTTAGTTTTTATGTGCAGTATAACTGCTGATGCCTCGTTGTTTTTAATTTTATTATTTTTTAAATTTTTTAAAATTTTTTATTTTATTTTATTTTCGAGACAGAGTCTAGCTCTGTTGCCCAGGCTAGAGTGCAGTGGCGCAATCTCGGCTCACTGCCAGCTCCGCCTCCTGAGTTCACGCCATTCTCTTGCCTCAGCCTCCCGAATAGCCAGGACTACAGGCGCCTGCCACCACGCCCGGCTAATTTTTTGTATTTTTAGTAGAGACGGGGTTTCACCATGTTAGGCAGGATGGTCTTGATCTCCTGACCTCGTGATCTGCCTGCCTCAGCCTCCCAAAGTGCTGGGATTACAGGTGTGAGCCACTGTGCCTGGCCAGATTTTTATTTTTATTTTTTATTTTTTTGAGATAGAGTCTTTCTTGGTTGCCCAGGCTGGAGTGCAGTGGCACAGTCATGGCTTATTACAGCCTCTAACTCGTGGGCTCAAGTGAACCTCCAGCTCCAGCCTCCTGAGTAGCTGGGACTACGGCACCACTATGCCTGGGTAGTGTTTTTTTGTTTTGTTTTGTTTTTTGGAGACGGAGTCTCACTCTGTCACCAGGCTGGAGTACAGTGGCACGATCTCAGCTCACTGCAACCTCCACCTCCCAGGTTCAAGCCATTCCCCTGTCTCAGCCTCCCAAGTAGCTGGGATTACAGGCGCCCGCTACCATTCCTGGGTAGTTGTATTTTTAGTATAGATGTGGTTTCACCATGTTGGCCAGGCTTGTCTCGAACCCCTGACCTGGTGATCCACCCACCTTGGCCTCCCAAAGTGCTAGGATTACAGTCTTGAGCCACACGCCCAACCTGCCTGGGTCATTTTTAAATGTTGTTGTAGAGATGGGGGTCTCACGGTGTTGTCTAGGCTGGTCTTGAACTCCTGGGCTCAAGTGATCCTCCCACCTCAGCCTCCCGAGTACCTAGAACCACAGGCGTGCGCCACCACACCCAGCTAATTTTTGTATTTTTTTGGTAGAGGTGAGGTTTCACCATGTTGCCCAGGCTGGTCTCAAACTCCTGGACTCCAGCAGTCCTCCCACCTCCGCCTCCCAAAGTGTTGGGATTACAGGCGTGAGCCACTGCACCCAGCCTTTTTATTTATTTTTTCTTTATTTTTTTCCTTTTTTGTTTGATTTTTACTATATTTTGTAACCTCCAGAACGCAAGATTTTTTTTAACATAGTTTCCATATGCAGCACTGATAGATTTTTGAATTGTTCTTCTTTGTCATGGTTGTTCAAAGTAACAAATTGTTTGCCTCTGACAAAAGCCAGAGCACTTAAGGTGATGAATTACATATAAGTCATCAGGAAGGTGGCTGATTGTGTTATTAGTACTGAATTTATTTATTAGTCTACTTTTTCTTTGTAGGGTGCAAAAATGCAGAGTAATAAAACTTTTAACTTGGAGAAGCAAAACCATACTCCAAGAAAGCATCATCAACATCACCACCAGCAGCAGCACCACCAGCAGCAACAGCAGCAGCCGCCACCACCGCCAATACCTGCAAATGGGCAACAGGCCAGCAGCCAAAGTGTGTATATGCTAGGTGATGGAGTAGAAATGGATTCCCTCTGGGAATGGTTTCTTGGTTTTTAGATTAGTTTCTCGGGCTTATAAGGGAATAGGCCTTTATGGCACACCTTTGTTCTTTTTTCTCTTTACCTCTTAATACTTACGATGGAAAAGGCTGATTCTCCGGAACCAAGGAGCAAACATGTATGACAGCAGTTGAGTACAGGTTGCTCTGCTGTGTTGACACATTCTACTGTTAAACAGATGTCTGCATGTTTTACCTCAGCTTGGTTCTTAGAGGTAGTCATCAGATGACTGGTAGTTAAAAATAATATAGAAAAGTCTTTAAGGCTTAAATGGAGAAGTCTGGTACTGAATACTGTACTTTTAGCCTTGAGCCTGTACCAGCTCATTGTAAAAAGTCTTTAAGTATATGTTCCTGTTTGAGTACCAATTGTGTGCCTCTAAGACTAGAACCAATCCCAACTTTGTTTATTTCCAGAGATTACTATAAAGAGTTGCTCTTTCCTAACTCATTTCATTCTGTTGCCCCCAGCCTGAAAGAATGGGAACTGTTAAGGTTATGAAAATTGGTGAGAGATTAGGAAAATGGAACAGTTACTTTGTTTTTTGTTTTTTTTTTTGTTTGTTTATTCTCATCTGAAGGTACGTTTTGAATGTTAAAATCTGATGCCTTGTAACATAGGGCTGCTTCCTTGAATTGCTTAATTTTTCTCTTTGGCCGGTAACGCCTATATTTTTCTTTCTCTTGCTTAGTCCAGCTTGGCTTCTGGCCCGTCGTAGAGCTGTTCAGATGTCCTCTGCATACTGCTTTCACATTCTAAGGCACAATTTACTCATAAGTGGTTAGGTTGCCTTGGGAAATGGTGTTTACATTCTCTACAACAATTAATGTTTCCTCATTTATCAGTGGTTATAGGTCTTTGAGGATACGACTATAATTCTATTTCCCCAGTCTTTTAAGTGACTGTGTGTCTTCTCTCAGATGAAGGCTTGACTATTGACCTGAAGAATTTTAGAAAACCAGGAGAGAAGACCTTCACCCAACGAAGCCGTCTTTTTGTGGGAAATCTTCCTCCCGACATCACTGAGGAAGAAATGAGGAAACTATTTGAGAAATATGGAAAGGCAGGCGAAGTCTTCATTCATAAGGATAAAGGATTTGGCTTTATCCGCTTGGTGAGCAACTGTTGGCTTTTGAGGCATGTGCTCTAAAGGTGGGGAAGCTGGAGAATAATAGATGTGCAAAAATAGGCAGTGGAAATAATTCTCAGATGATGTGTTCCTTGAAAGCTTGATGAAACAGAACCACAAAAATGGCACATTTTAATTTTTCCTCATAAGTTTTGTTTCAAGGATAACAAGTTTTTTGCCTAGGATACTGGAGCTAAAGTATGCCCTTTGGAACTTTTTTTTTTTTTGAGACGGAGTATCACTCTTGTGGCCCAGGCTGGCGTGCAGTGGCATGGTCTCGGCTCACTGCAACCTCCACCTCCCGGGTTCAAGTGATTCTCCTGCCTCAGCCTCCTGAGTAGCTGGGATTACAGGTGTCTGTCACCACACCCGGCTAATTTTTGTATTTTTGGTAGAGACGGGGTTTCACTGTTTTGGCCAGGCTGGTCTCGAGCTCCTGACCTCAGGAGATCCACCCACCTTGGCCTCCCAAAGTATTGGGGTTACAGATGTGAGCCACTGCACCTGGCTGGAACTTTTTTGTTTTAATTAGGAAATTTCAAACATATAGAAGTAGACAGAATAATAATGAACCTGCACATATGCATTGCATAGCTTCAGTAATTATCAAGTTGTGGTTAATTTTGTTTTATCTGTACCCTTTCCCTATTTTGTCCCCCCATGATCAAGAGATGGGTATCTCACCATGTTGCCTTGGCTAGACTTGAATTCCTGAGCTTAAGCAATTCTCTGTCCTCAGCCTCCTGAGTAGCTGGGACAAAGGCAACGCACCACGGTGCCTGGTTTATTTGTATCTTTAAAAAACTATTTTAAATTGAATTAACCAGGCATGGTATACGTCTGTAGTCTAACTACTCAACTAGGCTAAGCTGATAGGGCTGATTGAGCCTAGGAGTTTGAGGTTACAGTGAGCTATGCTCATAGCACTGCACTTCAGCCTGGGTGATAGAGTGAGACCCAGTCTCTTAAAAAAAAACTAATGATGGTAAAACATACATAACATAAAATTTACTATCTTAACCGTTTGTAAGTGTAGACATTATTTTAAAATCTGGTTCGATTTAGGGAAAGTATATGAGAGGAAAACATTTCTAGACATTATCTACCTCCATAAATGGAAGAGAATAATGTGACAGCAGGATCACTGGATGGGGTGGTCAGAACTGATTTTCATTCCAATCTGCCAAGTCATTTTTCTCTGGGTATCAGGTTTCTCTTTAGTAATATGAAAGGGATCCTGTCAAGGTTCCTGGTTCCAAAGAGGCTTCTTGGAGGATATTCGTGATTCTGGTACATACCTAGCAAAAATTAGACTGAGCATGGTGGCTCATGCCTGTAATCCCAGCACTTTTTGGGAGGCCAAGGTGGGCGGATCACTTGAGGTCAGGAGTTTGAGACCAGCCTGGCCAACATGGTTAAACCCCGTCTCTATTAAAACTACAAAAATTAGCTGGACATGGTGGTAAGCGCCTGTAATCCCACCTGCTCAGGAGGCTGAGGCAGGAGAATCGCCTGAACCTGGGAAGCAGAGGTTGCAGTGAGCTGAGATTGCTCCACTGCACTCCAGTCTGGGCAACACAGCAAGACTCCGTCTCGAAAAAAAAAACTAAAATATTCTAGGTGGTTTTAGGGTGGTCTTTGAGTTTTTGTTTTCGTTTTTTTGAGACGGAGTTTTGCTTTGTTGCCCATGCTGGAGTGCGGTGGCGTGATCTTGGCTCACTGCAACCTCCGCCTCCCGGGTTCAGGCAGTTCTCCTGCCTCAGCCTCTGGAGTAGCTGGAACTACCAGTGCGTGCCACTGCGCCTGGCTAATTTTTTGTATTTTAGTAGAGACCAGGTTTCACCCTGTTGGCCAGGATGATCTCGATCTCCTGACCTCGTTATCCACCCGCCTCGGCCTCCCAAAATTCTGGGATTACAGGCGTGAGCCACCGTACCCGGCCAATGGTCTTTGTTTTCTGGATGATCTGTTGTCATTGGGAGAATAATACCTATGAAATTGATGATCACCTAAGTGTTATTGACTTCTAGAACTACATGTGATTTATTGCAAGGCCATCAGAAGCAAACTAGGGTGGCCAAAGAGCTGAAGCACACAGTTAAGTTCTTTCACTTCTGTTTCTTTGTATGGTTGTTTAGTTTTTCCGGGGAGATATTGAACTATACTGCTTTAGACTGTTGATGGCTGCTAAGGTGTTCTTTGTCAAACTGAGTTATTCTGATTTTCCTCTGCTTCCTAGGAAACCCGAACCCTAGCGGAGATTGCCAAAGTGGAGCTGGACAATATGCCACTCCGTGGAAAGCAGCTGCGTGTGCGCTTTGCCTGCCATAGTGCATCCCTTACAGTTCGAAACCTTCCTCAGTATGTGTCCAACGAACTGCTGGAAGAAGCCTTTTCTGTGTTTGGCCAGGTAGAGAGGGCTGTAGTCATTGTGGATGATCGAGGAAGGCCCTCAGGAAAAGGCATTGTTGAGTTCTCAGGGAAGCCAGCTGCTCGGAAAGCTCTGGACAGATGCAGTGAAGGCTCCTTCCTGCTAACCACGTAAGTGAGGGTCATTTTCAGACGTAGACCTTAGATTGCTAATTCCTTCCATGGTCTGGAGAGTTAGCCTCTAGTAACCACTTTTCTATGTTTAAAGACTTTTGGTCAGCCTGGCATGGTGGCTGACTCCTGTAATCCCAGCACTTTGGGAGGCCGGGGCAGGCGGATCACCTGAGGTCAGGAGTTGGAGACCAGCCTGACCAACATGGTGAAACCCTGTCTCTACTAAAAATACAAAAAATTAGCCAAACATGGTGGCGTGTGCCTGTATTCCCAGCTACTTGGGAGGCTGAGGCAGGAGAATCGCTTGAACCCAGGAGGCAGAGGTTGCAGCGAGCTGAGATCACGCCACTGCACTCCAGCCTGGGCAACAGAGTGAAACTGCCTCAAAAAAATAAATAAAAGACTGGGCAAAACAGCGGCTCACGCCTGTAATCCCAGCAATTTGGGAGGCCGAGGCGGGCAGATCATGAGTTGAGGAGATCAAGACCATCCTGGCCAACATGCTGAAAGCCCGTCTCTACTAAAAATACAAATAAATAAAATAAAAATACCAAAATTAGCGCACATGTAGTCCCAGCAACTTGGGAGGCTGAGGCAGGAGAATCACTTGAACCTGGAAGGCAGAGGTTGCAGTGAGCCGAGATTGTGCCATTGCACTCCAGCCTGGCGATAGAGCAAGACTCTGTCTCAAAAAAAAAAAAAAAAAAAAGACTTTTGGCCCAGGCGGGACAGATCACCAGGTCAGGAGATCGAGACCATCCTGGCTAACACGGTGAAACCCCGTCTCTACTAAAAAATACAACAAATTAGCCGGGTGTGGTGGCGGGCGCCTGTTGTCCCAGCTACTCTGGAGGCTGAGGCAGGAGAATGGCGTGAACCTGGGAGGTGGAGCTTGCAGTGAGCCGAGATTGCGCCACTGCACTCCAGCCTGGGCAAGAGAACAAGACTCCGTCTCCAAAAAAAAAGACTTTTGGTATTAGCCTGGGCATGGTGGCTCATGCCTGTAATACCAACACTTCAGGAGGCTGAGGCGGGTGAATCACGAGGTCCTGAGTTTGAGACCAGCCTGGCCAAGGTGGTGAAACCCCGTCTCTACTAAAAATACAAAAAGTAGCTGGACGCGGTGGTGGGCGCCTGTGATCCCAGCTACTCGGGAGGCTGAGGCAGGAGAATCACTTGAACCCGGGAGGCAGAGGTTGCAGTGAGCCGACATTGCACCACTGCACTCTAGCCTGGGCGACAGAGGAAGACTCCGTTTCCAAAAAAAAAGACTTTTGGTACTAAGCTTTCTCGTATGATTTTTCTGTAATCTTATATTAATAGACGTGGGATGACGATTATGAAAAATAACTTTTTAGTCATTCGGTAGGTTGTCATGTAGTCAGTGTTAAGTCTCTCTTTACTTTGAAGATTTAGAGTTCTGAAAAGTTGATTTGTGCCTGCAGTATCTCTTAGTGTTTACCACAAGTCATTTCTCAGAGTGTCTGTAGATGTTTAGGCTGTACTTAAGTACTGCACCTACCTACTTGGAATATCTTTTTGAGACTGTATTCAGAGATCTAAGTCCTGATTTCGTCCTGTCAACCCCAGATTTTCTTTTTTCTTTTTCTTTTCTTTTTTTTTTTTTTTTTGAGACAGTCTCACTCTGTAGCCCGGGCTAGAGTGGTGCAGTGGCACAATCTCGGCTCATTTCAACCTCTGTCTCCCGGGTCCAAGTGATTCTCCTGCCTCAGCCTCCCAAGTAGCTGGGATTACAGACGTCCGTAGAGTCAGGGTTTCACCATGTTGGCCAGGCTTGTCTTGAACTCCTGACCTCATGATTCACCCGCCTCGTCCTCCCAAAGTGCTGGGATTACAGGCGTGAGCCACCACCCCCAGCCCAACCCCAAATTTTTTATAATGTCATTAGGTATAAAAACTTCAGAAGCCTCCAATCCTGAGCCCTAGCTAATTCATTGTGCCAGTGACATGTGTAGAGAAGAAGCCTGGTGGGGTATGATTTGATTAACACTGAACTTTGTTCTTTCTTCCAGATTTCCTCGTCCTGTGACTGTGGAGCCCATGGACCAGTTAGATGATGAAGAGGGACTTCCAGAGAAGCTGGTTATAAAAAACCAGCAATTTCACAAGTATGCAGTCTTGATAGATTTCCCTATTAGGTGTTTCCTTCTTAAGAAAGCTTATAAAGGGATATGTAAAAGAGGCAGGTCTTTGCTGCACATGTTCACTGGCAGCCATTATCTTGGTCCTCACAAGGAATGCAATTCTTAGCTGGGGTAATTCTGGACAAAGTTAGTAACCTAGGAACCTTGCCTATAGGGAACGAGAGCAGCCACCCAGATTTGCACAGCCTGGCTCCTTTGAGTATGAATATGCCATGCGCTGGAAGGCACTCATTGAGATGGAGAAGCAGCAGCAGGACCAAGTGGACCGCAACATCAAGGAGGCTCGTGAGAAGCTGGAGATGGAGATGGAAGCTGCACGCCATGAGCACCAGGTCATGCTAATGAGACAGGGTGAGTCTAGGCCTGTAAGTCTTAAAGCTGAAAGGACAAAATGACATTTTTAAATGGGTTTCTTTGTATCAATTAACAGAAGGGCCTACATCTCTGCTTTTATACTTAGTTTGCGTTGATTTTGGTAGATAAATAGGCTTGGAGATGTGGCAGAGATACTGGATTCTGTGGAGAAGGAAATGATAGGTATAACTTCATTTTGGAATCTGGACACCACAGGTGGTTCCAAAGGAATTAGATCCTCTTTGCTTTCTGGATCTTTATTTGAAGAAAGTCATTAGATCTATATGAAGACAATGAGGAATATTCTTAGTCTGTTGTTTTTTTAGATTTGATGAGGCGCCAAGAAGAACTTCGGAGGATGGAAGAGCTGCACAACCAAGAGGTGCAAAAACGAAAGCAACTGGAGCTCAGGTAACTTTTCTCGAACACTTTTTCCCTAACAACTCTAAAAGGTAATGTCTCACTCCTCTTTCCTACTGCCATGCTACCTCGTGTATTTATAAATGTGTTGGCAAATATTTCCTGGCTGCTTCTCAGGTTCTTTCTTTGGATTGGAGATGTTTTAGCTGCCCATGGTCCTAGAAGTTACCTGCTAAAAAGAAAGCAGCTGAATGCTGGTCTCATGAGGTTTCTTTGGGGGTTGCCTCAGGGCTGGGCACACTTAACAGTGAGTTTCCTGGTGAACTGATAGTTTTCAGTAGGCCAGTCTCCTTGGTTGAGTCTCCTGTTAATCTGCTCAAGTTCTGAAATGCCTCTGTCTTAAATACATTGGTGACTCTCTGTAGGCAGGAGGAAGAGCGCAGGCGCCGTGAAGAAGAGATGCGGCGGCAGCAAGAAGAAATGATGCGGCGACAGCAGGAAGGATTCAAGGGAACCTTCCCTGATGCGGTATATCTCCCATGTGCCCGTGATGTACCAGACCAGTCCTGATAAACTCACCATGAATTGTCTGCTAGGTTACCGGTTATGACCAATTTTCCCGTGTTGTGAAATAACCCTTTAGAAAAAAGAATTCATAAGAAGGAGAGGTAAGGTTTGAAGAGGAGATCTTGCCTCACAAGCAATATAGGATGAAAAACTGGGTCTGCTGTATTCTGTTTAGACTCAGTGACTATAGGAAGAGATATGCAACCTTGGCTAGTCCTCTGCTGTCCTTGCAATTGTACAAGTTGGAGCTTCAGAAGCAATCTCTTCCCCCTTTCACCTCTCTGTTGCTAATAGGAGGCTCTGGCTTACGTCCTAGTAGCTCTGTGACCTTGAATTTGTTGCACAACTAGCAAGGGTTGTGCTCCTCAGCTTTCTCAGTGCTGTTTGGACGTGTTATCACTCTATCTACTTCCCTTAGTGTGTGGTCCTTGATGGATTGTGGTAGAATGCACTGCTGTCTTGGACTGTCTTGAGTATTTTTTGTTTTTCAGAGAGAGCAGGAGATTCGGATGGGTCAGATGGCTATGGGAGGTAAGGACTTAGGAGGTTAATGGCTCTGATTTCCTTTTTTGTTTGGTCTTGGGTGAACTATGTAGCTTCTGCTGCCTACTTTAAGGGGGTGACATATATGTCTTACTTAGCCCAGAGGTCTTGTTGAATTGTTTCCTTTGGCATAGAAAGAGACTAACAATCTTTATCCCTTGTGCTGATCACACTACTCTGCCTTAGGTGCTATGGGCATAAACAACAGAGGTGCCATGCCCCCTGCTCCTGTGCCAGCTGGTACCCCAGCTCCTCCAGGACCTGCCACTATGATGCCGGATGGAACTTTGGGATTGGTAATAAAACTGCAGTGCCTTAACAGTAATTCTAAATGGTGGTAGGAGGAGAACAGGCATTGCTTTCACAGCCCCTGGGGGCCTACCTCAGTTTGCTATAGATAGCAGTCTTTTTTTTTTTGGAGACAGAGTTTCCCTCTTGTTGCCCAGGCTAGAGTGCAATGGCATGGTCTTGGCTCACTGCAACCTCCACCTCCCGGGTTCAAGCGAGTCTCCTGCCTCAGCCTCCCGAGTAGCTGGGACTACAGGTGCTTGCCACCATGCCCGGCTAATTTTTGTATTTTTAGTAGAGATGGGGTTACACCATGTTGGCCAGGCTGGTCTCGAACTCCTGACCTCAGGTGATCCACCAGCCTCGGCCTCCCAATTTTGTATTTTTATTAGAGACTGAGTTTGACCACGTTGGTCAGGCTGTTCTTGAACTCCTGACCTCAGATAATCTGCCCGCCTCGGTTTCCCAAAGTGCTGGGATTACTGGCGTGAGCCACCAAGCCCGGCCCAGATAGCAATCTTTAGGACTGCTGGTATCCATTAAATGTAACCTCAAGGTCTTTATTTTTGAATCTTGAGCAAACTCAGTCTCTATACTTAATCTAGGAGTTAAGTAAATGCCACCGTCTGACTGGCCAGTCTGATTGACTATGTTTGTTGGAGGGAAGTCAATGAAGGCTAGGCATTATCACATAAAATAGTTGTGAATCCAAATACTTCATGGCTCATGCAATCCTGGGGTTGTTTTGGTTATGGTGTTAAAATGCCAAAACTGGATAGTTTGGTTGTTTCTGTTTTTGTTTTTCTTTTTTTCTTTTTCTTTTTGAGACAGAGTTTTGCTCTTGTCGCCCAGGCTGGAGTGCAGTGGTGCAATCTTGGCTCCCTGCAACCTCCGCCTCCCAGGTTCAAGCGATTCTCCTGCCTCAGCCTCCTGAGTAGCTGGGATTACAGGCATGCGCCACCACTTTTGGGGTTATCCACTAGAGTTCTAAACAGACTTAGTCACCCACTCCTACCTACCATCAGGAGCCTTGAATAGTTGAATGGAAATAGCCTCCAGTGGAGGGACTACAGATGGGTGGGAAGCTTCCAACAATGGCTCTGTTACAGTGTTGCTCTCTTTTTCTCTTTAAGACCCCACCAACAACTGAACGCTTTGGTCAGGCTGCTACAATGGAAGGAATTGGGGCAATTGGTGGAACTCCTCCTGCATTCAACCGTGCAGCTCCTGGAGCTGAATTTGCCCCAAACAAACGTCGCCGATACTAATAAGTTGCAGTGTCTAGTTTCTCAAAACCCTTAAAAGAAGGACCCTTTTTGGACTAGCCAGAATTCTACCCTGGAAAAGTGTTAGGGATTCCTTCCAATAGTTAGATCTACCCTGCCTGTACTACTCTAGGGAGTATGCTGGAGGCAGAGGGCAAGGGAGGGGTGGTATTAAACAAGTCAATTCTGTGTGGTATATTGTTTAATCAGTTCTGTGTGGTGCATTCCTGAAGTCTCTAATGTGACTGTTGAGGGCCTGGGGAAACCATGGCAAAGTGGATCCAGTTAGAGCCCATTAATCTTGATCATTCCGGTTTTTTTTTTTTTTGTCCATCTTGTTTCATTTGCTTGCCCCGCCCCCGAGACGGAGTCTTACTCTGTCGCCCAGGCTGGAGTGTAGTGGCATGATCTCGGCTCACTGCAATCTCTGCCTCCCGGGTTCAAGCTTGTCCAGGTTGATCTTGAACTCCTGACCTCGTGATCTACCCACCTCGGCCTCCCAAAATGCTGGGATTACAGGGGTGAGCCACCGTGCCCAACCTCACTTGCTTCTTATCCTTACACTCCCCCAGCCCCAGAGAAACTGCCACATACACCACAAAAACCAAACATCCCCCAATGACCTTAGCCCCATTGCTCCATTCACTCCCAGGTGAGAATTCAGGCAAACGTCCACAAAGGTCACAGGCAGCGTACATACGGTTCTGTTATACCCCATATATTACCCCTTCATGTCCTAAAGAAGACATTTTCTCTTAGAGATTTTCATTTTAGTGTATCTTTAAAAAAAAATCTTGTGTTAACTTGCCTCCATCTTTTTCTTGGGTGAGGACACCCAGGAATGACCCTTTTGTGTCTATGATGTTGCTGTTCACAGCTTTTCTTGATAGGCCTAGTACAATCTTGGGAACAGGGTTACTGTATACTGAAGGTCTGACAGTAGCTCTTAGACTCGCCTATCTTAGGTAGTCATGCTGTGCATTTTTTTTTTCATTGGTGTACTGTGTTTGATTTGTCTCATATATTTGGAGTTTTTCTGAAAAATGGAGCAGTAATGCAGCATCAACCTATTAAAATACATTTTAAGCCTTTTAATTTTCTGTGGTGTTTTTGAAGGGGAAAGGAGGGAGGGGAGTTATCTTAGGAGATGAGCAGTAGACTCTATAAAGGTAATCCTTTATGACCTTTGGATTACAGTATTGATCTAGACAAACATGGGGAGGAGGTGGGGATGAGGTGCATCAAATGGCTGGAGGGGTTGGCAAGGATTAGCGCTATTGATACTACATGGAAGTAATGATGGAGGAAAGCTGCCCCTCTGAAAGAGGAAGAAAATGGGCTTAATCCTCATCGAGCTGGGGGCGCGGGGGGGGTCTCAAAATTGGTATTTGTTTCTTAGCAGCTGCTGCTGTGTCCAAGGCTTGGAATTGCTGTGGTGAATCTAAAACTGTCTCAGTAGTGGTGAGCTGACCTCACCCAAGTTCAAAGCCCTACTCTGCCTGATCCTTTTTTCCTGAGCCTCAGAGCTAAAATGCCCCCGAGCTCTTTCCTATTGGCTGGAAAGACGAATTGAAGTTCCCTTGCCCATGTTAGGAGGTGTACGCCTCCTGAACTAAAGATAGAAACAGCTGGCCCTTCCAGGCAGCTAAAAGCCTCCAGACTAAGAGGTGTTCCCCATTCGGCAGCCAGACTCCTTGAAATACCCTTTCAGTAATCATTCAACCAACGCTTCCATGTCTCTACTCTGTCGTAACAAAGGCTGTGGGCAGCACTTTGACCCTAATACCAACCTTCCTGGTGAGTAAAGAATCCTGACCTGGCCAGGGGCTCTGTGTGGGTGTTGGGGACTGGTCAGCTGGGGGGCAGTGTGTTTGAGGAGCGGGGAAAGAAACTACCTGCCCTAGTTTAATTGGTCTGAGTGATCTTACAGCCTTTGCTGGCTTTTTTTTTTTTCTTCACATTATATGGGAAGAAACCATAAATAGAAACCCGGGGAAGAGGTGAAAAATGATACTTGGTATAGTTATCTTCCCTTCCTTGATAACTTCTACTGATGTCCACAGATTCCTGTTGCCATCACCCTGGGGTCCCAATCTTCCATGATGCACTTAAGGTGAGGAGTAGGTGAGGGGGGTTAGCAAGAGCATTTCCCAGAAGAGATAATACCCAGGAAGCTAAGCTGATCTGGGTCTCTTGTTATCAGGGTTGGTCCTGCTGCCGAAAGCGAACTGTAGATTTCTCTGAGTTCTTAAACATCAAGGTAAATTATTTATGTACTTGGATTCTGCCCCCAATAGAAGGATTCTATCCCTAATCCTATCTCCTTATCTATACTAGGGCTGTACTATGGGACCACACTGTGCTGAGAAGCTTCCTGAGGCCCCTCAACCTGAAGGCCCTGCTACAAGCAGTTCACTTCAGGAGCAAAAACCTCTGAATGTGATTCCAAAGTCAGCAGAGACCTTGCGCCGGGAGAGGCCCAAGTAAAGAGGAGGAGGCCCCTGGACTTTTCTTATTTTCATGTAGCTTCCTAGGAGTGATTAATGGGTCATTGAGGACTGGGAACTAGGGACCAGGGATGTGAGGAGGGCCAGATGTCAGGGTTTGGATGGTGTATATCCTGTGCCTTAGGGGAAATTTGTGTCTGGAAATAACGCCCTTTCCTCTAAGGTGGTGTGGGATGATGGGATAGATACCTGAATCAACAGAGTAGATAGCCCCTCACAAATACATCCTTAGTGTATAACACAAAAGGGATTGTTGAGAATGACTTCTCTTTCTAGAAAAGAACTTTAAGATAAATCTCATATCAAGAAAAGGATGTATTGTATTATTGGCAGCCAGGAGACTTCCCAAATTTTGTGGGAATAATAAGAGCAACAGAAGGAAGTCATATTAGGTCCACGATTAGATAAAGAGGAAGAGGATATGACTCAGTTCTGCAGAGAAAAGTGGTTAGGTTTAGAGCAACTGAGTAGATGGGTAAGAGAAGTGCTGGGGATTTCTCTAGGGTTCAGGTATTTGGGATGTCCACAGAGATGAAAATTGGCAATGGGGTTGCTACCCAACCTCTCCAACTCTGCCTCACTTTCACCAGGCTTCTTTAATTCCATTACCATCGGTGGGAGTGTTGGAGCTAGCAATCATAGCTAATGGGTCAGAACTAAATCACCACCCTTAACCCCTAGGTCAGAGTTGCCTCTGAAGCTGCTGCCGCTAAATATATCCCAAGCCCTGGAAATGGCATTGGAACAGAAGGAATTAGACCAGGAACCTGGGGCAGGTAGGTGGGTCTTTAGTAGGATCAACTTCATAGACTGGAATTTAGTGGAAGTGGCAATTGAGTGGGGGGATGGATAAGTTCCTGACTCTGTTTCCCTTGCCCAGGACTTGACAGTCTGATCCGGACTGGTTCCAGCTGCCAGAACCCAGGATGTGATGCTGTGAGTGAGAGTTTTGAGGGGCTCAAGCATATGGCTGAGGGATGACTGGGTATAGATAGGCTGAGTAGGATATACCTTAGAATGACCTGGTTCTACTTTATCCTTCTTAGGTTTACCAAGGCCCTGAGAGTGATGCTACTCCATGTACCTACCACCCAGGAGCACCCCGATTCCATGAGGGGTGAGGGAGGGGACTGGGTGGGCTATGAGGCTATGAGACAGGTTTCTCCTAATATTTGGTCATAAGATAATATTGGGGGTGAGAGAATTCAGTTGAATTATCTTCCTACTTCAGGATGAAGTCTTGGAGCTGTTGTGGCATCCAGACCCTGGATTTTGGGGCATTCTTGGCACAACCAGGGTGCAGAGTCGGTAGACATGACTGGGGGAAGCAGGTAAGCCCCAGCTTTCCTGAACTCTTGATTAGAACCCAATCTCAGAGGTAAATTCTCCTCCCTCTCTGTACCACATAGCCAAGCTCCCTGTCTTCTCCCTTTAGTATAGACCAAATAAGATTCTGCTCCTTATCCCTCAACAGCCCAGAGGTTTTGCAATATGAGGTTGTGTTAATCTTTTTGAGACTCTCTGTCTCTTCTCCACGTGCATCATGAGAACTCCCCTTCAGTTAAGAATTTATTCTTACCACCTGCATTTCACATCTTCTCTTTAGCTCCCAGCATCTTGCCGCCATGATTGGCACCAGACAGATTCCTTAGTAGTGGTGACTGTATATGGCCAGATTCCACTTCCTGCGTTTAACTGGGTGAAGGCCAGTCAAACTGAGGTGAGCAATGATCTGATGTTGGATGGGAGGATAGTCAATTGGGTGATACTACAATCTCACAGGCAGAGTTGCCATTTGCTGTTAACCTGTAGGCTCCATAGTACCCTTAGAGGAAAGGAGAGTTATTAGGTCAGGGCTGTCTGGCCAACCTGTGGATCATACCTCTGACCTGGTTATCTGTCGTAATGACCTATTCTGACCTTCTGGGTTTGTTACTACCCCTGTAATTCTTTTCTCTCAGCTTCATGTCCACATTGTCTTTGATGGTAACCGTGTGTTCCAAGCACAGATGAAGCTCTGGGGGGTAAGTGAAGACCAGGGGACACAAGAGTGGGAGGCAGATGGGTGAAAGAGCGGCTAGACTGGAATAGAGGGTGTCTTGAGGGAAGGAGTTGTACTAGGAAAATGGAGGTTTTCTCTTCATTTGCTTTCATTTTCTCTCTCTCTCCTACTCTTCCTATTTCCCTCTTTCCCTCCCCTCTTCCTTCTCCCTTTTCATCTCTCATTTCTTTCCTCTCTCTCCCTTATTGTCTTATTCCTCCCTTACCTTTTTTCTTACCTTATTAAAAATTTCTCTCTCTCATTTGTCACCACTCCACCCTGACCCCAATGCCTTTGATTTCCTCATTCTCTCTTTCTTCTGTTTTCCTTTGCTCCTCCTCAGGTCATAAACGTGGAGCAGAGCTCTGTCTTCTTGATGCCATCTCGGGTTGAAATCTCCCTGGTCAAGGCTGACCCAGGATCCTGGGCCCAGCTGGAGCACCCTGATGCACTAGCTAAGAAGGCTAGGGCAGGGGTTGTGTTAGAGATGGATGAGGAAGAATCTGACGATTCAGATGATGATCTGAGCTGGACAGAGGAGGAGGAAGAGGAGGAAGCAATGGGGGAATAGTGACACCAGACAGTTGATGTCTAGATAGGACCTCAATGATTCCCTTAGAATCTTAGATACCAGGATATTGTTGGCCATGTGGCATCATTGAGCAGCAGGAGGCTGAAGGAGGGGAGAACAAAATTGTCCAAACCATGCTGTTTTTTTCCCTTAAATAAATCTTGTATTCTTCAGTTTCACATAGTGTCATTCTCTCACCTCACTATCTAAGATTGTATTTATTACCCCCAACTGTGTGTTCAACACACATTGTGAAAACAAGCACATGCACATTCAATCTATTCCTCATAAACACCAGGTATTTACTGAGTACTCCCTATGTGCCCAGTTATGTGTTAGGTGGTTTAGAAATATCTGAGAAACAGAAGACTTACTCATTTCTCTCAACAAAGTAACAACCTGGCTGACAAGTCAAGACCAATCTACATGAAATAATAATAAACATTATCAGGTAGTTTAACTGAGTGCCAAATTGTGCAGTACAGTTTTTAAGAGCTGTAGTTGAAAGAATGGAAAAGTTAATGTGGACAGTAGCAAAAGGGAAGACTCCGTGGTGGAAGAAGTCCTTTTTTTTTTTTTTTTTTTTTTTTTAGACGGAGTCTTGCTTTGTCGCCCAGGCTGGAGTGCAGTGGTGCGATCTCGGCTCACTGCATCCTCTGCCTCCTGGGTTCAAGCGATTCTCCTGCCGAGTAGCTAAAACTACAGGCGCTTGCCACCATGCCCAGCTAATTTGAAATACAGTTTATTTTTTTCTTTGGTTGCTTATGCTTTTGATGTCATATCTAAGAAACCATTACCTAATCCAAGGTCATGAACATTTGTCCCTACCTTTTCTTCTTTTTTTTTTTTCTTTTTTTTTTGAGACGGAGTCTTGCTCTGTTGCGCAGGCTGGAGTGCAGTGGCGCAATCTTGGCTCACTGCAAGCTCCACCTCCGAGGTTCACGCCATTCTCCTGCCTCAGTCTCTTGAGTAGGTGGGACTACAGGCGCCCGCCACCTCGCCTGGCTAATTTTTTGTATTTTTAGTAGAGACGGGTTTCAGCGTGTTAACCAGGATGGTCTTGATCTCCTGACCTCGTGATCTGCCCGTCTTGGCCTCCCAAAGTGTTGGGATTACAGGTGTGAGCCACCACGCCCGGCCCCTATGTTTTCTTCTAAGAGTTATACAGGGCTGGGCGCGGTGGCTCACGCCTGTAATCCCTGCACTTTAGGAGGCTGAGGCACATGGATCACCTGAGGTAGGGAGTTCGAGACCAGCCTGGCCAACATGATGAAACCCCGTCTCTACTAAAAATACAAAAAATTAGTTGAGTGTTGTGGCACATGCCTGTAATCCCAGCTACTCAGGAGGCTGAGGCAGGAGAATCACTTGAACCTGGGAGGCGGAGATTGCAGTGAGCCGAGATTGCGCCACTGCACTCCAGCCTGGGCAACAAGAGCAAAAACTCCATCTCCAAAAAAAAAAGAGTGATATAGTTTTTTAGCTCTTACATTTAGGTCATTGATTCATTTTCAATTAATTTTTGTATGTGATGTGAAGTAGGGGTCCAACCTTATGCTATTGCATGTGGATGTCCAGTTGTCTCAGTACCATTTGTTGAAAAGACTATTCTTTTTCCCATTGAACTGTCTTGGTTCCCTAGTTGAAAATTAACTAACCATAAATGTGAAGGTTAAGAAGTCCAGTTGACCCTTGAACAATGCAAGGTTGGGGCACTGACTCCCCACACATTTGACTTCTTTTTTAAAATTTTTATTTATTTATTTATTTATTGAGACAGAGTCTCACTCTGTTGCCCAGGCTGGAATGCAGTGGCATGATCTTCGCTCACTGAAACCTCCACCTCCTAAGTTCCAGCGATTCTCATGCCTCAGCCTCCTAAGTAGCTGGGATTACAGGCATGCGCCACCACACCTGGCTAATTTTTTTTATTTTTAGTAGAGACGGGATTCCACTATGTTTCCCAGGCTGGTCTCAAACTCCTGATCTCAAGTGATCCTCCCACTTCTGCCTGCCAAAGTGCTGGGATTACAGGTGTGAGCTACCACACCCAGCTACCACATAGTGGACTTTTTTTTTTTTTTTTTTTTTTTTTTTGAGACAAGAGTCTAGCTCTGTAGCCCAGGCTGGAGTGCAGTGGGGCAATCTCGGCTCACTGCAACCTCCGCCTCCCGGTTTCAAGCGATTCTCCTGCCTCAGCCTTCTGAGTAGCTGGGATTACAGGTGCCTGCCATCACGCCCAGCTAATTTTTGTAGTTTTAGTAGAGACGGGGTTTCACTGTGTTGGCCAGGTTGGTCTTGAACTCCTGACCTCGTGATCTGCCCACCTTGGTCTCCCAAAGTGTTGGGATTACATGCGTGAGCCACTGCCCCCAACCCATAGTCAACTTTTGACTTCCCAAAAACTTAACTACTAATAGCCTACTGTTGACCAGAAGCCTTACTGATAACATATAGAGTCAATTAACACATATGTTGAATGTTATATGTATTATATACTACATTCTTACAATAAAGTAGGCTAGAGAAAAGAAAATGTTATTAAGAAAATCGGCCGGGCATGGTTGCTCACGCCTGTAATCCCAGCACTTTGGGAGGCCAAGACGGGCGGATCACGAGGTCAGGAGATCGAGACCATCCTGGCTAACACGGTGAAACCCCGTCTCTACTAAAAATACAAAAAAAACACAAATTAGCTGGGCGTAGTGGCAGGCGCCTGTAGTCCCAGCTACTCGGGAGGCTGAGGCAGGAGAATGGTGTGAACCCGGGAGGCGGAGCTTGCAGTGAGCCGAGATTGTGCCACTGCACTCCAGCCTGGGCGACAGAACAAGACTGCGTCTCAAAAAAAAAAAAAAAAAGGAAAATCATAAGGGGCTGGGTGAGGTGGCTCATGCGTGTAATCCTAGCACTTTGGGTGGCCGAGGTGGGCAGATTACTTGTGTCCAGTTCAAGACCAGCCTGTACAACATGACAAAACCCCCTCTCTACAAAAACATACAAAAAAATTAGCCAGTCATAGTAGCGCACACCTGTAGTCCCAGCTACTTGGGAAGGTAAGGTGGGAGGATCACCTGAGCCCAGGAGATCGAAGCTGCAGTAAGCCATGATTGTCGCAATGCACTCCAGCCTAGGCAACAGAGTGAGACCTTGTCTAAAAATAAAATAAAATAAAATAAGGAAGGGAAAATATATGCATTATTCATTAAGCGGAAGTGGATTATCATAAAGTTCTTCATCACTGTCTTCATATTGAGTAGGCTGAGGAGGAGGAGGAGGAAGATGAGGGGTTGGTCTTGCTATCTCAGGGGTAGCAGAGGCAGAAGAAAATCCACATATAAGTGGACCCATGCAGTTAAAACCCTTGTTCAAGTGTCACCTGTACATTTGAATGGAAATCTGAATAATGAGAAATTAATTTTGATGGGTATGAAAGATTAGGGAGAGTGATACTAGGGCAAAAGTTGTTTTAATTTATTTATTGTGTTTCATTTTAAATTCCAAATGTAGTACATTATCACTGTAAAAAAATTAAATGCAGAAGTATGTAGAGTAAAAAGTAAATGCTTCTCTTCAGAGTCTCTCCAAGCTTAGTCCTCTTTCTATTTGTAAGCAGTGGTAACATGTCAGAGGTTATGTTGAAGAAAGAAGATGAAAAAGTTAAATGGAGTGTGGCTAGATTAACAGGAACCTAAAATTCTAGGTCAAGGATTTTGAAAATGATTTAAAAAGAGAGTTAAAAGGGCATTATAGGCCTTTAAATAAAAAAAAAAAGAATGTAGATTCTCTTTTTTGTTTTTTTTTTAAAGACAGGGTCTCGCTCTGTCTCCCAGGCACACAGCGGCCGCAGTCTTGGCTCACTGCAACCTCTGTCTCCCAGGTTCAAGCGATTCTCTGCCTTACCCTCACGATTAGCTGGGACTACAGGCATGCACCACCATGCCCGGCTAATTTTTATATTTTTAGTAGAGACGGGGTTTTGCCATGTTGGTCAGGCTAGTCTCAAACTCCTAGCCTCAAGTGATCTGCCCACCTCGGTCTCCCAAAGTGTTGGGATTATAGGTGTGAGCCACCATGCCCAGCCAATTCTTTTTTTTTTTTTTTTTTTTTGAAGCAGAGTTTTACTCTGTCACCCAGGCTGGAGTGCAGTAGCATGATCATGGCTCACTGCAGCTGTGACCTCCCCGGCTCAAGCAATCCTCCCACCTCAGCCTCCTGAGAAGCTGGGACTACAGGCGTGCGCCACCATGCCTGGCTAATTTTTTGTATTTTTAGTAGAGGCCGGATTTTGCTGTTTCCCAGGCTGGTCTCAAACTTCTGGCCTCAAGCAATCCTCCCAGCTCAGCCTCCCAAAGTGTTGGGATTACAGGTGTGAGCCATTGCACCCGGCCAAATGTAGATTCTATCTATCTATCTATCTATCTATCTATCTATCTATCTATCTATTTATCTATCTATCTAACTATCTATCTATCTATGAGACGGAGTTTCACTCTTGTTGCCCAGGCTGGAGTGCAATGGTGCAATCTCAGCTCACCGCAACCTCTGCCTCCCGGGTTCAAGTGATTCTCCTACCTCAGTCTCCCGAGTAGCTGGGATTACAGGCACCCGCCACCAAACCCGAGTAATTTTTTGTATTTTTAGTAGAGACGGGGTTTCACCAGCTTGGCCGGACTGCTCTTGAACTCCTGACCTTGTGATCCACCCGCCTTGGCCCCCTAAAGTGCTGGGATTACAAGTGTGAGCCACAGCACCCAGCCTCAAATGTAGATTCTTAATCAGAGGAGGAGGGAGGAGTGAGGAGTGATCTCTCTC
This sequence comes from Homo sapiens, assembly GCF_000001405.40. NCBI lineage: Eukaryota > Metazoa > Chordata > Mammalia > Primates > Hominidae > Homo > Homo sapiens. The sequence goes on from NC_000023.11 coordinate 71,310,005, forward strand.
TCTCTTTTTTTTTTTTTTTTTTTTTTTGTTGTTGTTGTTGAAATGGTGTCTTGCTCTATCATCCAGTCTGGAGTGCAGTGGTGCCATCTTGGCTCACTGCAACATTCATCTCCCAGACTCAAGTGATCCTCTCACCTCAGCCTCCCGAGTAGCTGGGACCACAGGCACACGCCACCACAACTGCCTAATTTTTGTATTTTTTGTAGAGATGGGGTTTTGCCATGTTGGCCAGACTGGTCTTGAACTCCTGGACTCAAGCGATCTGCCCGCCTCAGCATCCCAAAGTGCTGGGTTACAGACACACGCAACAACGACCGGCTAATTTTTGTATTTTTAGTAGAGATGAAGTTTCACCATGTTGGCCAGACTGGTCTTGAACTCCTGACCTCAAGTAATTCGCCTGCCTTGGCCTCCCAAAGTGCTGGGGTTACATGTGTGACCCACTGCACCCAGCCCATTAATCTTAAATGTACAACTTTTTTCTTCTTATCAAAATCAGGGAACCAGCAAATATCCAGAAGTTCTGAAGAGAACAGAGGTGAGGAATCAAAAGTTCAAGTAACCCTCGGCCAGGTGTGGTGACTCACGCCTATAATCCCAGCACTTTGGGAGGCTGAGGCAGGTGGATCACGAGGTCAGGAAATCGTGACCATCCTGGCTAACACGGTGAAACCCCATCTCTACTAAAAATACAAAAACAAAAATTAGTTGGGCGTGGTGGTGGGTACCTGTAGTCCCAGCTACTCGGGGAGGCTGAGGCAGGAGAATGGCGTGAACCTGGGAGGCGGAGCTTGCAGTGAGCCGAGATCATGCCACTGCACTCCAGCCTGGGCGACAGAGTGAGACTCCGTCTCCAAAAATAAAAATAAAAATAAAACAAAACAAAACAAAAGTTCAAGTAACCCTCGTTGTATATAAATTCAATATAGAAAATTTGAAAGTCAAGTGCGGTGGCTCTCACCTGTAATCCCAGCACTTTGGGAGGCCAAGGTGGGCAGATCACTTGAGGCCAGGAGTTCGAGACCAGCCTGGCCAACGTGGTGAAACCTCTCCTCTAGTAAAAATACAAAATTTAGCCGGGCATAATGGTGGGCACCTGTAATCCCAGCTACTCAGGAGGCTGAGGCAGGAGAATCACCTGAAACCGGGAAGTGGAGGTTGCAGTGAGCCAAGATCATGCCACTGCACTCCAGCCTGGGCAACAGAGCTAGACTCTGTCTCAAAAAAATAAAAATTGAAATTTATAGCATTAATAAAGTAGGGTACTAGCTCATTTCACATGGACAAAGCCTAAAAGGTGAGAAATTTTCAAGCAGGTGTATGACATGAAAAACAACAATAGCCATAGTTACCATTTCTGATACAAACTAACTGTGCCAGGCACTATGCTAAGTGCTTTGCATGCATTATCTCATTTAATCCCCCATTTCCCACCATCAAATCTACATATTTGCTCACATTAGAACAAATCCTCTCCCTACCTCCTTTTATACTTCTCATTTCTTCCTACTGTATGCTATCCCCTCACACCTTCCCAGAAACCTTCCACTATTAATTATCCCTTCTCTCTCCTGTTTATTCAACAATTCCCGCTCATTGAGTTTTTTTTTTTTTTTTTTTTTTTTGAGACGGAGTTTTTCTCTTGTTGCCCAGGCTGGAGTGCAATGGCAGGATCTTGGCTCACTGCAACCTCCACCTCCTGGGTTCAAGCGATTCTCCTGCCTCAGCCTCCCGAGTAGCTGGGATTACAGGTGCCCGCCACCATACCCAGCTAATTTTTGTATTTTTAGTAGAGACGAGGTTTCACCACGTTGGCCAGGCTGTTCTTGAACTCCTGACCTCAGGTGATCCACCCGCCCAAAGTGCTGGGATTACAGGCGTGAGCCACTGCATCTGGCCTCATTGACATGTTTTTATTGACATTTAAATATGCTCTAGTTTCTCCAGTCTTACAAAAATAATTTCCCTTGAGTTCACATCCCTCTCTAGCTACCACCTAACACCCTTCTATCTGTTGTAGCCAAACTTCTTGACATAACTATTCTTTTTCCATTTCCTTCTTCTTACTCCCTTATTAATATAACACACTCTAATCTGACTTCCTCAGTTTGTGGTGATAAGGTCACCAATGACTATCAAATCACTAAATCCAATGGATACTTTTAGTCCTCATCTCACTTGACCTGTCAAGCAAAATATGACAAGAAATACTCCTTGAAATACTTCGATACATTGACTTCTGTGACCCATCATGCCTCTTCTTTGTCTTACTTCTCTGGCCATTCCTTTCAATCTCATTTTTATTTTTATTTATTTATTTTTTCAAATAAATATTTTTAATATATTTTTTTCTTGGAATGACAACAATAGTATTACTATGATAGTATTAACTTTTCTTATTTTTATTGCTTTTACTAGTTAAAAGGTAATAAATGGGTGTTCTTTCAAAGTTAATATAGAAATATACAAAGTAGAAAATTAAAGACTCTCGGCCGGGCGCGGTGGCTCATGCCTGTAATCCCAGCACTTTGGGAGGCGGAGGCGGGCGGATCACGAGGTCAGGAGATTGAGACCATCCTGGCTAACACGGTGAAACCCCGTCTCTACTAAAAATACAAAAAATTAGCCGGGTGTGGTGGTGGGTGCCTGTAGTCCCAGCTATTCGGGAGCCTGAGGCATGAGAATGGCGGGAGCCTGGGAGGCGGAGCTTGCAGTGAGCCGAGATTGCGCCACTGCACTCCAGCCTCGGCGACAGAGCGAGACTCCGTCTCAAAAAAAGAAAAAAAAAGAAAAAGATTCTCTAATCCCATTCCCATATAACTACCTGCAGACAGAATGGGAAGATTTAGTCATAAATACAAAGAAGATACATGGAAAAAAATAGACAATTATTAACTCTAGAAAAAATATAATCATAGCATACTCCTCAGCTCAGAAGTGAAAAGTATTTACATGGTCATTAAAAAAAATACATATGCATTTTCCCCCAATTATTTATTTATTTATTTATTTTTATTTTTTTATTTTTTTGAGAAGGAGTCTTGCTCTGTCCCCCAGGCTGGAGTGAAGTGGCGCGATCTTGGCTCACTGCAAGCTCCACCTTCCGGGTTCAGGCCATTCTCCCACCTCAGCCTCCCGAGTAGCTGGGACTACAGGCGCCTGCCACCACACCTGGCTAATTTTGTTTTTGTGTTTTTAGTAGAGACGGGGTTTCACCCTGTTAGCCAGGATGGTCTCGATCTCCTTATCTCATGATCCACCCGCCTTCGCTTCCCAAAGTGCTGGGATTACAGCGTGAGCCACCGTTCCCGGCCATAATTTTTTTTTTTTCTTTGAGACAGAGTCTTGCTCTGTCGCCCAGGCTGGAGTGCAATGGTGCGATCTCGGCTCACTGCAATGTCCGCCTCCCAGGTTCAAGCGATTCTCTTGCCTCAGCCTCCCAAGTAGCTGGGATTACAGGTGCCTGCCACCATGCCCTGCTAATTTTTGTATTTTTTAGTAGATACCAGGTTTCACCATGTTGGTCAGGCTGGTCTCGAACTCCTGACCTCAGGTGATCCACCCACCTCGGCCTCACAAAGTGCTGGGACCCAAAATTTTTAACACAGCCACATTGGGAAGATTGAGGAAGGTAGGAGAAGTATAAGAGATTGAATAATCCCCTTTATTCTTTTATTAAGTGACAGAAATATATGTATTTTATTTAGCGACATGCATGCACATATGAGTAGTTTCTTCTAGGGAATGGAATTTGGTGCTATGGGTAGGGCAGACAAATAACACCTGTGTTTGATTTTAAGCCTTTTAGAGCTATGTTACTTTATATTTTATTAGGTATTTACAATTTATTTTATAGGTATTTACAATTTATCCAGATTGGGATAAAGCTACAAGAAATATGACAAAACACCCATATTTAAAGACAAAATTTTCATGAAAAGTGTATTAACATAAATAACAATAAATCATTCAACTTTTCGGTCTTCAGGAAGTTTGTGTTTTTGTTGTTGTTGTTGTTGTTTTTTTTGAGGCGGAGTCTCACTCTGTCGCCCAGGCTGGAGTGCAGTGGCGTGATCTCAGCTCACTGCAAGCTCCGCCTCCCGGGTTCACGCCATTCTCCTGCCTCAGCCTCCCGAGTAGCTGGGACTATAGGCGCCTGCCACCATGCCCGGCTAATTTTTTTCTATTTTTAGTAGAAACATGGTTTCACCGTGTTGGCCAGGATGGTCTCGATCTCCTGACCTCGTGATCTGCCTGCCTCGGCCTCCAAAAGTGCTGGGATTACAGGCATGAGCCACCGCTCCCAGCCAATTTTTTGTATTTTTAGTAGAGACGGTGTTTCACTATGTTGGCCAGGCTGGTCTCGAACTCCTGACCTCGTGATCTGCCCACCTCGGCCTTCCAAAGTGCTGGGATTATGGGCGTGAGCCACTGCTCCCGGCCTCAAATAAAATTTTAAAATATCTTTTTTCAGCCAGGCACGATGGCTCACGCCTGTAATCCTAGCACTTTGGGAGGCTGAGGCAGGCAGATCACCTGAAGTCAGGAGTTCCAAGACCAGCCTGGTCAACATGGTGAAAGCCTGTCTCTACTAAAAATACAAAAATTTGCCGGGTGTAGTGGCATGTGCCTGTAGTCCCAGCTACCTGGGAGGCTGAGGCAGGAGAATCCCTGGAACCTGGGAGGAGGCAGAGGCTGCAGTGAGCCGGGGTCACACCACTGTACTCCAGCCTGGGGGACAGAGTGAGACTCCATCTCAAAAAAAAAAAAAGAGAAAATATATCATTTTTCTTGGGATGACAGTAATAGTATTAACATGATAGTATTCTTATTTTTATTAAAATTAGATCGTCAAGATTGTTACTAACAAATCTTGATTTTTATTACTGTGCTAGGGCAAGATTTTAATCACTAAGTTCTTCCTCATCACGGAAATATGTGCTGTTCTTTATCCTTGGGGGTCTTGACTCACCTGATGTTGAGGGGCCTCCTGAACTGGGTTTCCATTTTTTTTGTTCTTCAATTTTGGCTTGCTGGAATGCTATGGCCTGACTGAGGCTGTCAAGAGCAGGATTCTCCCCTTCATCTTCACTTTCTACTACTTCCTCAATTTCTTCTGGTTCAGGAGCTTTCTTTTTTTTTCTTTTTTTCTTTCTTCTTTGGAGGCTCACGTTCTCCAAGCATATTTTTCGGACAGGCATAACTTAAGTGTCCATTTTCCCCACATTCATAACACTTGGATTTATCAAAGTAGTTTCGCCTTCAGATGAACACAGCTGCTCTTCCATTGTCAATAGCAATGCTTCCTCTTTTTTTGTTTTTTGTTTTGTTTTGTTTTGTTTTTTTTGAGACGGAGTCTTGCTCTGTCGCCCAGGCTGGAGTGCAGTGGCATGATCTCCGCTCACTGCAACCTCTGCCTTCCAGGTTCAAGTGATTCTCCTGTCTCACCTCCCTAGTAGCTGGGATTACAGGCGTGCCACCACACCCAACTAGTTTTTGTATTTTTAGTAGAGATGGAGTCTCATCATGTTGGCCAGGCTGGTCTTGAACTCCTGGGCTCAAGTGATCCGTCCGCCTCGGCCTCCCAAAGTGCTGGGATTACAGGCCTGAGCCACCGCACCCAGCCAATGCTTGCTTTTATCACTCTACCAAATAACTGTTTGTTGTTTATTGCCCTGGTACAGTTTTGTTCAGTCTTTATCCAAAAATACAATAAATGCAACCCCTTTACTCTTCCTGATATCTTTATCTTTCATTATGGTAACCTTTACAACTTTGCCATAGTTGGAAAATATCCGGTACAAGTCATTGTCAGGGAAAAGGGCAAGCTGGATACATACACTGTGCTCTTACTTGGAGCCAATCCACCACTCATTTCTTCAGGTGTGACGGTCCTGGGAGACCAGAAGAGTGCGAGCCCTCGGCTCAGCTGGGGCTCAACCCCGACTCTTCATAGCTGCTCGCAGCGGCCTTGGCATCACGAGTCCTGGGACTCATTTTTACACTCCTCCTTTTCTTCCTGGCCATTCAGTGATTCAGTTCCTTAGGACTCAGTCCTAGGATTGCACTCTTCTCATATAACTCTTCCAGACACCCTCAGTTATGTACATGACTTCAAATATCACCCCCATGCAGATGACTCACATTTTAATCTCTAGGCCATATCATTCCACTGAGGCTCAAATCCAGTAAGCATGTGTTTGCTATTATTATTACTGCTGCTACTATTCTTTTTCTTCACTGGAAGTTTTTTACCTCAGCATGTTAGGAAAGTTAGATGATTTTTTTATGGAAGGGGTGCGGACACATCTCCAATATCCAATTTTATAATGTTTCATTAAGAAAATAGGATTTTCGTGACAGGTTTTACACCTCTATAAAGTGATAGCATATTTACCACACAATTGCATCAGCTTCAGGATTAAGGGAGACTGTATTCACCTGATGAGGGAGTACAGTATTTTGTATAGAATGCCACTGTGCTAGGCACTTCTACCCACATTATTTTATTTAATCCTCACACTTGCTCTGTGAGGTAGGTATTATTATCACAACTTCTTATAGATGAGGAAACTAGGGAACAAAATAGAAAATAGCTTGCCTGGGATCATACAGCTACTGAAGAGCTGTCCTAGAGTCATTTGAAAACATCTACAACCTAAAAACCTAAAAGGGATCTTGGAAGAGGATCTTGATATGATGACCCTCTAGCCTAGCAGAGTCCCTTTGACAAGACTAACTGGGGAACAGGGAGGCTCTTGGTTGATCAGTGATATCTTACATTGATGTAAGGCTTTTCCAAATAACTTTTACATCTCTGATCACCTGCTCTCTAACCTCACTGAGATGCCTAGGTACTCTACCTCTCAATTCATCCAGATGAAGTAATTATCTCCCAGTTATAGTAGTTTTCTCTCCTACACTCCATGAACTGCCACTCCAATGTTACTGTCTCTGAGACCTCTGCCTCCATTATCCTCTTTCTTCCTTTCTGCTCCCAAAGTCCCAGAAACTGCTAGAGGGAGAACGAAGTAGACAAATATAAATTCATGCTGTCCAATTTCAACTTGGCCCTTGCAGCTGCTCAGCAACCCTTTTATTTGTCTCATACATTCCCTGGCACTCTCCCACAGAGGCTGTTCCAGACCTTCCTCTTCTTAAATTCCAACTCCTCCTGTTCCACTCCTTCAGACTAATCTGTGCACTTTCATCAGATGCTTGAGAATTCAATAACATTGTTTTAAAACTTTTTAATAAAGAATTTATAACATGTATAAAAGTAGACAGACTAGTATAATGAAAGTATTTCAGTATATATCTCTAAAAAGTAAGAATTATTTTTTAAAAAATCATATTAGCACACATAAACAATAATTCCTTCATATCAGATACCAAGAAGATACCTTCATATCATCAAATACCAAGTATTTTTATATATATATATATATATATATATATATTTTTTTTTTTTTTTGAGACGGAGTCCCACTGTATCACCCAGGCTGGAGCTCACTGCAACCTCCACCTCCCGGGTTCAAGCCATTCTCCTGCCTCAGCCTCCCAAGTAGCTGGGATTACAGGTGCCCACCACCACGCCCAGCTACTTTTTGTATTTTTAGTAGAGACGGAGTTTCACCACGTTGGCTAGGCTGGTCTCGAACTCCTGACCTCAGGTGATCCACCCGCCTCGGCCTCTCAAAGTGCTGGGATTACAGGCATGAGCCACCACGCCCATTCTCTCTCTCTCTCTATATGTGTATATATATGTGTATGTGTATATATATGTGTGTGTATGTATATATATGTGTGTGTGTGAGTGTGTGTGTGTATATATATATATATATTTAGACAGAGTTTCGCTCTTGTCTCCCAGACTGGAGTGCAGTGGCACAATCTCGGCTTACTGCAACTGCCGCCTCCTGGGGTCAAGCGATTCTCCTGCCTCAGCCTCCCAAGTAGCTGGGATTACAGGCGCCCGTCAGCATGCCCAGCTAACTTTTGTATTTTTAGTAGAGACGAGGTTTCACCATGTTGGCCAGGCTGGTCTCAAACTCATGACCTCACGTGAGCCACCACGCCCAGCATTTTTTTTCTTTTTTTTTTTTTTTATACAGAGCCTCACTCTGTCACCCAGGCTGGAGTGCACTAGCATGGTCTCTGCTTACTGCAACCTCCACCTCCCGTGTTCAAGTGATTCTCGTGCCTCAGCCTCCCAAGTAGCTGGGACTACAGGTGCACACCCCCACATCCAGCTAATTTTTTTTTTTTTGACACTGAGTATCGCTCTGTCGCCCAGTCTGGAGTACAGTGGCAGAATCTCATCTCACTGCAACCTTCGCCTCCCGGGTTCAAGCAATTCGCCTGCCTCAGCCTCCTGAGTAGCTGGGATTATAGACGGGTGCCACCACGCCCAGCTAATTTTTGTATTTTTAGAAAGACGGGGTTTCATCATGTTGGCCAGGCTGGTCTTGAACTCCTGACCTCAAATGATCTGCCTGCCTCGGCCTCCAAAAGTGCTGGGATTACTGGCATAAGCCAGCATGCCCAATTTTTGTATTTTTAGTAGAGACGGGGATTCACCATGTTAGTCAGGCTGGTCTCAAACTCATGACCTCAAGTGATCCGCCCACCTTGGCCTCCCAAAGTGCTGGGATTACAGGTGTGAGCCACCATGCCCAGCACAGGAACCCTTAATTTAAAAGTGACATATACTGGGGCTGGGCGCAGTGGCTCAGGTCTGTAATCCCAGCACTTTGGGAGGCCCAGGCGGGCAGATCACTTGAGGTCAGGAGTTCAAGACCAGCCCAACCAACATGGTGAAACACTGTCTCCACTAAAATCACAAAAATTAGCTGGGTGTGGTGGTGGGCGCCTGTAGTTCCAGCTACTTGGGAGCCTGAGGCAGGAGAATCGCTTGAACCCAGGGTGGGGGGGCATGGGGGGAGGTTGCAGTGAGCCGATATCATACCACTGCACTCCAGCCTGGGTGACAGAGTGAGATCTCCCTCTGAAAAAAAATAAAAATTAAAATTAAAAATTAAAGGTTATCTTTATCTCATTTTTTCCTTGCAATGTTTTCATTGAAGGAATTGGATTATTTTTCAGTAGAGTTTCACACAATCTGGGTTTTGCTGATTGCAATTTTGTCACATAATTTGTTTCCTTGACCTGTATGTTGTATATATTGATATAAAATCAATAACATCTTGGCTGGACGCGGTGGCTCACACCTGTAATCCCAGCACTTTGGGAGGCTGAGGCGGGCGGATCACAACATCAGGAGTTCCATACCAGCCTGGCCAATATGGTGAAACCCCATCTCTACAAAAAAATACAAAAATTAGCCGGGCGTGGTGGCGGGCACCTATAGTCCCAGCTACTCGGGAGGCTGAGGCAGGAGAATCACTTGAACCTGGAAGGCAGAGGTTGCAGTGAGCTGCACTCCAGCCTGGGCCGTAGAGTAAGACTCCCTCTCAAAAAAAAAAAAAAAAAATCAATAACATCTTTTTTTTTTTTTTTTTTTTTTGAGACAGAGCCTGGAGTAGAGTGGCACAATCTCGGCTAACTGCAACCTCTGCCTCCCAGGTTCAAGCGATTCTCCTGCCTCAGCCTCCCAAGTAGCTGGGACTGCAGGCGCCCGCCACCACACCCGGCTAATTTTTGTATTTTTAGTAGAGACGGGGTTTCACCATGTTGGCCAGGCTTGTCTCAAACTCCTGACCTCAAGTGATCCGCCCGCCTCGGCCTCCCAAAGTGTTGGGATTATTGGCGTAAGCCACCGTGCCTGGCCTACATTGCGTCTTTTATATTAATTGTCCCAGGTTTTTTTGTTTTTTTTTTTTTTGAGATGGAGTTTCGCTCTTGTTGCCCAGGCTGGAGTGTGGTAGAAAAATCTCAGCTCACTACAACCTCCGCCTTCCCTTTTCAAACGATTCTCCTGCCTCAGCCTCCCGAGTAGCTGGGATTACAGGTGCCCACTACCACGCCCGGCTAATTTTTGCATTTTTAGTAGATACTGGGTTTCACCATGTTGGCCAGACTGGTCTCAAACTCCTGACCGTGTGATCCCCCACCTCAAGCCCTCAAAGTGATGAGATTACAGGCATGACCTACTGCTTCTGGCCTCATTGTCCTGTTTTTAATGGTGACCAAGGAAATGGAAGATGTCTGGCTTGGAAAGTGACTTAGGAAGGAGCTGGGACCTCTTTAATAAGACTGAAACACATGGTTGGCGTGAAAGCTTAATAAATAGTAACAAAGGTCCAGGCAAGATAGGATGGGTGAGGGGCCATGTAGTGTCATATTTCTACTCAGCTGGTATGTAGAACATGTCAGGCAGGGAAGCAATTGGGCTAAAGACAGAACTGGAAAAGGAGAAGTAGCAGTTGAGGAAGCAGCTGGGATTATTTCTCAGGGGATTACTCTAAACTATACCCTGTTTTCTAAATATATCTTATTAATTCCCACCTCTGTGCCTTTGTCCAGGATGTTTGTCCTGGTTGGAATATCATCTCCTTTCTCTTCACCTATCCAAATCCTACTTATCTTCTTTTTTTTTTTTTTTTTTGGAGACAGAGTCTAGCTCTGTCGCCCAGGCTGGAGTATAGTGGCGCAATCTCAGCTCACTGCAACCTCCACCTCCTGCATTCAAGTGATTCTCTGTCTCAGCCTCCCGAGTAACTGAGATTACAGGTGTGTGCCACCACGCCCAGCTAATTTTTTGTCTTTTTAGTAGAGATGGGGTTTCACCATGTTGGCCAGGCTGGTCTCGAACTCCTGACCTCAAGTGATCCACCCACCTCGGCCTCCCAAAGTGTTGGAATTACAGGCGTGAGCCACCGTGCCCGGCTTTTTTTTTTTTTTTTTTTTTTTTGAGACAGAGAGTCTGCTCTGTCATCCAGGCTGGAGTGCAGTGGCGTGACCATGGCTCACCACAGCCTCAACCTCCTGGGCTCAAGTGATCCTCCCATCTCAGCCTCTTGGGTACCTGGTACTACAGGCATGCACCACCATGCCCAACTAATTTTTAAATTTTTTGTAGAGACAAGGTCTTACTATGTTGTCCACGCTGGTCTCAAACTCCTAGACTCAAGCGATTCTCCCATCTTAGCCTCCCAAAGTGCTGGGATTACAGGCTAGAGCCACTCCACCTGGCCTCCAAATCCTACTTATCTGTTGTAAAATTTATTTTTGTAATTTTTTTTTGAGATAGGATCTTCCTCTGTTGCCCAAGCTGGAGGGTAATGGTAGGATCATGGCTCACTGCAACCTCGACCTCCTGGACTCAAGTGATCCTCTCAGCTCAGCCTCCCAAGTAGCTGGGACCACAGGCTTGTGCCACCAGGCCTGGCTAATTTTTAATTTTTTTTTTTTTTTTTTTTGAGGCGGAATCTTGCTCTGTCACCCAGGCTGGAGTGCAGTGGCACGATCTCAGCTCACTGGAAGCTCTGCCTCCCGGGTTCAAGCAATTCTCCTGCCTCAGCCTCCCCAGTAGCTGGGACTACAGGCGCCCGCCACCACGCCCGACTAATTTTTTTGTATTTTTAGTAGAGACAGAGTTTCACCATGTTAGCCAGGATGTCTCAATCTCCTGACCTCGCGATCCACCTGCCTGGGCCTCCAAAAGTGCTGGGATTACAGATGTGAGCCACCACGCCCGGCCTAATTTTTAATTTTTATAGAGACGTGGTCTTGCCATGTTGTCCAGGCTTATCTTGAACTCCTGAGCTCAAGTGATCCTCCCACCTTGGCTTCCCAAAGTGCTGGAATTACAGGTTTGAGCCACCACACCCGCCCAATCCTACTTATCTTTAACAGGCAGTGCAAATTCCTTCTTTTCCATATTTTTGCTTATAGAGTCATAAAATATCTCTGGAAAGATAAATAAGAGATAAATAACATTTATTGCTTTCCCAGGAATGGAACTGGATGTCTAGAGGATTGAGCTGGGAGGGAGAAAGATACTGATTTGTTGCAGGAGGGATAGTTAATGTAATGAAACTGTCTAATATGAAGTTTTTAGAAGTAGAAGGAGGGAGACTGGAATTTGTAGTTTGAAGAGAAAGAGGAAGGTCTGGAACAGCCTCTGTGGGAGAGTGCCAGGGAATGTATGAGACAAATAAAAGGGTTGCTGAGCAGCTGCAAGGGCCAAGTTGAAATTGGACAGCATGAATTTATATTTGTCTACTTCGTTCTCCCTCTAGCAGTTTCTGGGACTTTGGGAGCAGAAAGGAAGAAAGAGGATAATGGAGGCAGAGGTCTCAGAGACAGTAACATTGGAGTGGCAGTTCATGGAGTGTAGGAGAGAAAACTACTACAACTGGGAGATAATTACTTCATCTGGATGAATTGAGAGGTGGATTACCTAGGCATCTCAGTGAGGTTAGAGAGCAGGTGATCAGAGATGCAAAAGTTATTTGGGGCCCAGTGTGGTGGTTCACACCTATAATCCCAGCACTTTGGGAGGCTGAAGCAGGCAGATCACCTGAGGTCAGGAGTTCAAAAACAGCCTGGCCAACATGGCAAAACCTCGTCTCTACTAAAAATACAAAAATTAGCCAGACGTGGTGGCATGCACCTGTGGTTCCAGCTACTCGGGAGGCTGAGGCAGGAGAATCACTTGAACCCAGGACGTGGAGGTTGCAGTGAGCCACGATCATTGCACCACTGCACTCCAGCCTGGGCAACAGAGTGAGACTCCGTCTCAATAAATAAATAAATAAATAAAAGTTATTTGGAAAAGGCTTATATCAATGTAAGATATCTCGGGATAGCCTGGGAGTCTCGCTCTGTCTCCCAGGCAGGATTGTGGTAGCATGACATCAGCTCACTGCAGTCTCTACTCCCGGGCTCAAGCAATTCTCCTGCCTCAGCCTCCCGAATAGCTGGAACTACAGGCATGTGCCACCATGACTGGCTAATTTTTGTATTTTTTAGTAGAGATGGGGTTTCCCCATGTTGGCCAGGCTGGTCTTGAACTCCTGACCTCAGGTGATCCACCTACCTCAGTCTCCCAAAGTGCTGGGATTACAGGCGTGAGCCACCACGCCTGGCCTATTACTATTTTTTTTAATAGATGAGGAAACAATCCCTGGGATGTTATATGATTTTCCTTAGGTCACACAGCTGGCAAGTGTCAGAGCAGGGACTTAAATCCAGGTCTGACTACAAAACCCATATTCTTTTTTTTTTTTTTTACTGCATGTCATGAAATTCAAAGCCTATATTCTTTGATGTCCAGCAATACTTTTTCAGCAAACACTCCCCTCTATTAAATGAATCTTATTTTGCCAGTGACATCTGTTGTAAAATTATAAATGCATTCTCACCAAAGAAACTATACAGAGTTAAAAGCTTTCAGTGACCAAGGGGTTAACTGGGTAGGGTGAGAGAGAAGCTTGGAGGCACTGAAATGAGTTGAAGGTAATTGCAGTGGTCCAAGGGAGAAAGATGAGACTCCAGATTAACGGTATGGTAGGAAAAATGGAACAGGGGGTAATGGATTTAAGAGATAGTTCCAAAGGTAGGAGTGAAAGTAATGTGGCCATGCTGGTCTTCTGTATTCCCTGAACGTATACAGCTCACTCCTTCCTCAGTTCGTCTGCACTATCTGATACTCCTGCCTGGAATTCTCTCTCTCTCTCTTTTTTTGTTTTTTTGACAGGTTCGCGCTCTGTTACCCTGGCTGGAGTGCAGTGGTGATCTTAGCTCACTGTAGCCTCCACCTCCCGGACACAGGTGATCCTCCCACCTCAGCCTCCCAAGTAGCTGAGACCACAGATGCACGCCACCATGCCCAGCTAATTTTTTTGTAGAGACATGGTTTCGCCATGTTGGCCAAGCTGGTCTTGGAACTCCTGGGCTCAAGCAATTTGCCTACCTCAGCCTCTCAGTGTTGGGATTACAGTCGTGAGCCACTGCGCCCAGCTGGAATTCTCTATTTTTTTTTTTGAGATGGAGTTTTGCTCTTGTTGCCCAGGCTAGAGTGCAATGGTGCGATCTTGGCTCACTGCAACCTCCACCTCCTGGGTTCAAGCTACTCTCCTGTCTCAGCCTCCTGAGTAGCTGGGATTACAGGCAAGCACCACCATGCCCGACTAATTTTGTATTTTTAGTAGAAACAGAGTTTCTCCATGTTGGTCAGGCTGGTCTCGAAATCTTGATCTCAGGTGATCTGCCCGCCTCGGCCTCCCAAAGTGCTGGGATTATAGGCATGAGCCACCGTGCCCGGCCTTCCAGCTGGAATTCTCTTACTCCAGATCTTTTTTTTTTGAGAAGGAGTTTTGCTCTGTCCCCCAGGCTGGAGTGCAGTGGTACAATCCCAGCTCACTGCAACCTCCACCTCCCTGGTTCAAGTGATTCTCCTGCCTCATCCTCCCAAGTAGCTGGGATTACAGGTGCCTGCCACCACACCCAGCTAATTTTTGTATTTTTAGTAGAGACAGGGTTTCACCATATTGTCCAGGCAGGTCTCGAGCGCCTAACCTCAAATGATCCACCCACCTCAGGCTCCCAAGGTGCTAGAATTACAGGCGATTACAGGCGTGAGCCACTGCGCCTGTTTTTTTTTTTTTTTTTTTTGAGACAGGGTCTCACTGTGTTGCCCCGGCTGGAGTGCTGTGGTGTGATCACAGCTCACTGCAGTCTCAAACTGCCAGGTTCAAGCGATCCTCCCGCCTCAGCTCTCCAAGCAGCTGAGACTATAGGCATGCACCACCATGCCCAGCTAATTTTTGTATTTTTTGTAGAGACAGAGTTTCGCCACATTGCCCAGGCTGGTCTCAAACTCCTGAGCTCAAGCGATCTGCCCACCTCCCAAAGTGCTAGGATTACAGGCACGAGCCACCACCCCTGGCCTCTTCCTCCAGATATTTGAATAGCTGGCTCTTCATTCAGGTCTTAGCTCAAACATCATCTCTCATGATGGGAACTGATTAATTATCTTGAAAACTGGTCAATGAAGGGGAAAAAAAATCAAACATTTATCCTGCCTTTCCTAGGTGAACTGGGTAACAAAATAGTAGATGAGAGGACATGTTGTTACACAACTATTCCAATGAATAAAAAGAAAAATAATAGAATATAACAATTTTTAATTCTCAACAAATAGATATAGGTAGTGAGCATTAACAACTTTTTGTTTTGTTTTGTTTTGTTTTGTTTTGTTTTGAGATGGATTATCGCTCTGTCGCCCAGGCTGGAGTTCAGTGGTGCGATCTCAGCTCACTGCAACCTCCGCCTCCCGGGTTCAAGCAATTCTGCCTCAGCCTCCCAAGTACCTGGGACTACAGGCATGTGCCACCATGCCTGGCTAATTTTTGTATTTTTAGTAGAGATGGGGTTTCACCATGTTGGCCAGGCTGGTGTTGAACTCCTGACCTCAAGTGATCTGCCCACCTTGGCCTCCCAAAGTGCTGGGATTACAGGCATGAGCCACCATGCCCAGCCTAAAATGATTTTTTTTTTTTTGAGATGGAGTTTCGCTCTTGTTGTCCAGGCTGGAGTGCAGTGGCCTGATCTTGGCTCACTGCAACCTCTGCCTCCTGGGTTCAAGTGATTCTCCTGCCTCAACCTCCTGAGTAGCTGGGATTACAGGCGCCCGCCACCATGCCCAGCTAATTTTTTGTATTTTTAGTAGAGATGGGGTTTCACCATGTTGGCCAGGCTGGTCTTGAACTCTTGACTTCAGGTGATCCACCTACCTCGGCCTCCCAAAGTGCTGGGATTACAGACGTGAGCCACCGCCTCTGGCCATTATTTTTTAAAATTAAAAAAAAAAAAAAGGCCAGGTGTGGTAGCACACACCTGTAATTTCAACACTTTATGAGGCTGAGGCAGGAGGATCCCTTGAGTCCAGGAGTTTGAGACCAGCCTGAGGAACATGGCAAAAACTTGTCTCTACAAAAAAATACAAAAATTAGCCAGGTATGATAGTGTGCACCTGTAGTCCCAGCTACTCAGGGGGCTGAGGCAGGAGGATCACTTGAGCCCAGGGCATGGAAGCTGTAGGGAGCCAAGATGGCACCACTGCACTACAGTCTGGGCAACAGAGTGAGAACCTGTCTGTAAATAAATAGGGCTGGGCGTGATGGCTCACGCCTGTAATCCCAGCACTTTGGGAGGCCAAGGTGGGCAGATCACCTGAGGTTGGAATTTCGAGACCAGCCTGACCAACATGGAGAAACCCCGTCTCTACTAAAAATACAAAATGAGCCAGGCATGGTGGTGCATGCCTGTAATCCCAGCTACTCAGGAGGCTGAGGCAGGATAATCTCTTGAACCACAGAGGTGGAGGTTGCAGTCAACCAAGACTGTGTCATTGCACTCCAGCCTGGGCAACAAGAGTGAAACTCCGTCTCAAAAAAATATGTAATAATAATAAATAAAACCTCTCAGAAATGCCTTTTTTGACCATCTTCTTGTTATAAGTAAAATGTTTATTCAGAAACAGAATGCTTGTTCCTCGGTACCACAAGGAAAAATTAGCATTCAGACAAAAAGTTTTCTCAGCAAGGCAATTTTACTTTCTGCAGAAAGTAAAATTTCTGCATTGTTCCATCTGTGAGGAGCACCCTTTCTGTAGAAAGTAAAATTGCCTTGCTGCGAAAACTTTTTGTCTGAATGCTGATTTTTCCTTGCAGTACCGAGGAATAAGCATTCTGTTTCTGAATAAATATTTTACTTATAAGATTCTCTAAATTAGCACCTACTGTCTCAGTGACTATCACATTACCCTGTTTGATTTTTTCCATAGCCCTTATTGACTGAAGTTTCCTTACATGAGAAGCAATAGAACATGATTGTTGAAAGGGCAAACTATAGCAGCAGGATGCCTGGATTTAAATTTTGTCTCTCTACTTACTAGCTATATGATCTTCAACTACTTAAGAGCTCTATGCTTCAGTTTCCCCAATTGTAAAATGGGGATGATAACAGTGCTTATATCATGGAGTCATTAGGAGTATTAAATGAGTTAACACATCCAAAGCCCCTAGCCCAGTGCCTGGTACAGGGTAAACATATGTTAGCAATTGTATTGCATAATTACTTGTTTACATGTACATTGTTTCTCTTTCACTAGAATATAAGTCTATCTTAGTGCACTCTTCCCAGCAACTAAAATTGCCTAGCATGTGTGATTAATAAATATTTGTTGAATGCAGGACCTAAACTGGAATGGCAAAGAACAGATAGGAGAGAGGCTGGGTGCAGTGGCTCACACCTGTAATCTCAGCACTTCGGGAGGCCGAGTCAGGTGGATTGCCTGAGCTCAGGAGTTTGAGACCAGCCTGGCCAACATGGGGAATCCCCATCTGTACTAAAAATACAAAAAATTAGCTGGACGTGGTGGTGAGTGCCTGTAGTTTCAGCTACTCGGGAGGCTGAGGCAAGAGAATCACTTGAACTCAGCAGGTGGAGGTTGCAGTGAGCCGAGATCGTGCCACTGTACTCCAGCTTGGGTGACAGAGCAAGACTTTGTCTGAAAAAAAAAAACAAACAAACACCAACAAACAAACAAACAAAAAATAGGAGAGAGACATGTAAAATATTATTAAAAAGAAGAAGAAAACCCTGAACTTAATTTTTTTTTTTCTGATGAGGAGGGAAGGGTATAAGATGACTCCAAGGCTTCAAGCTTAAGTAACAACTGGAAAGCTAGTGCTTTTAACAAAAATAGGAAAACCATGAACTGGAACTAATATTATTTGAATATTATTCTGATAATTAATTTTATTTTAGGTATGAGTTTGAAGTAATGGCAAAACATGTCAGTGGACATGCTAGCAGGCAGTTAATTGTAAATGCAGCATAGGAGTTCATGAGAAAAGTCCGCACTGAAGATAGGTTTGAATATCACCTGTGTCATTGTGACACTTAAATATTCAACATTCTGATATGAGCTTCCATCATCTCTAAAAAGCAACAAACTTGCAGAAGTGAATACAATGGAAAGTAAAAGACTTGAACCCTCCAATTTATTCTTCAGAGAAAGTCACTATTAGCAGTAGTGAGCCGAGATCACGCCACTGCACTCCAGCCTGGGCGACAGAGCGAGACTCCGTCTCAAAAAAAAAAGAAAAAAAAAAAATTAGCCGGGTATGGTGGCACATGCCTGTAGTCATGGCTTCCCAGGAGACTGAAGCAGAAAGATTGCTTGAGCTCAGGAGTTCAAGGATATGGTGAGCTATGATGGTGCCACTGCACTCCAGCTTGGGTGATAGCGAGACCCTGTCTCAAAAAAATAATAATAAGGCCGGGTGCGGTGGCTCACGCCTGTAATCTCAGCACTTTGGGAGGCCAAGGCGGGTGGATCACCTGAGGTCAGGAGTTCGAGACCAGCCTGACCAAAATGGTGAAACCCTGGCTCTACTAAAAATGCAAAAAATTAGCCGGGCATGGTGGCAGGCGCCTGTAATCCCAGCTACTCGGGAGGCTGAGGCAGGAGAATCCCTTGAACCCTAGAGGAGGATGTTGCAGTGAGCTGAGGTCGCGCCATTGCACTCCAGCCTGGGCAACAAGAGCACAACTCCATCTCAAAAAAAAAAAAAAAGTCTTCATACTTATAGCCTTCAGTAAAATTTTGTCATTTTACTCATATAAATGTTTTGTATATTTCTTGTTAGGTTTATTCCCCTATCATTTTTTTTCCATCACTGGAATGGCATATGGGATTTTTTTTTTTTTGAGACAGAGTCTCACTCTGTCGCTCAGGCTGGAGTGCAGTGGCGCAATCTTGGCTCACTGCAAGCTCCGCCTCCTGGTTTCACGCCATTCTCCTGCCTCAGCCTCCCAAGTAGCTGGGACCACAGGCGCCCGCCACCATGCCTGGCTAATTTTTTTTGTATTTTTAGTAGAGACGGGGTTTCACCGTGTTAGCCAGGATGATCTAGATCTCCTGACCTTGTGATCTGCCCCCCTCGGCCTCCCAAAGTGCTGGGATTACAGGCATGAGCCACCGCGCCGTGCCTTTTTTTTTTTTTTCTTAAGAGATGGGATCTCACTATTTTGACCAGGCTGGTCTTGAACTCCTGGTCTCTAATGATCCTTCTACCTCAGCCTCTCAAATTGCTGGCATTAAAATGTAAGCTACCACGCCTGGCCTCTCATATTTTCTAACTGAATGTTGTTTTTAAATAGGGGAAGTTATTCCCATAATGTGGGAGCAGGTAAAAAATTTTAAAAGGATAAAAAGAGAAAAGAAATAAATAGGGAAGTTACTGATTTAAAACTTATCAAACTTTTTTCTGTTTAATTCTAATAGGATCTCTTGATTCTCTTAGAGTGTTTATGTATCATATATAAACAGGGACATATAACTCTCTTTACAATATTTCTTTTTTTTTTTTTTTTTTGAGATGGAGTCTCGCTCTGTCACCCAGGATGGAGTGCAGTGGCGCAATCTTGGCTCACTGCAAGCTCCGCCTCCCGGGTTCACGCCATTCTCCTGCCTCAGCCTCCCGAGTAGCTGGGACCACAGGCGCCCACCACCGCACCCAGCTAATTTTTTTGTATTCTTTTAGTAGACACGGGGTTTCACCGTGTTAGCCAGGATGGTCTCCATCTCCTCACCTCATGATCCACCCGCTTTGGCCTCCCAAAGTGTTGGGATTACAGGCGTGAGCCACCACACCCAGCCTCTCTTTACAATATTTCTAACGTTTATCTTCTTTTTTTAATTTTTTTTTGTTTTTTTAAGAAATGGGTTTTTGCCATGTTGCCCAGGCTGGTCTCGAAATCCTGAGCTCAAGTGATCCACCCACCGCACCCTCCTAAAGTGCTGGGATTACAAGCGTGAGTCACTGTGCCCAGCTATAACTTTTATCTTCTTTTGTCTTAATGTTTTCACTAGAATCTGCAGAGCAATACTTACTAATATTTGTAAGACAGGTGAATATTCTTGTCTTGTTCTGACTTTGAAGGATGACACTAGTATTTCACTATTTTTGTTTGTTTGTTTTGAGATGGAGTCTCGCTCAGTTGCCCAGGCTGGAGTGCAGTGGCGCAATCTTGGCTCACTGCAAGCTCCGCCTCCCGGGTTTACGCCATTTTCCTGCCTCAGCCTCCCGAGTAGCTGGGACCACAGGCACCCGCCACCATGCCTGGCTAATTTTTTTTTGTATTTTTAGTAGAGATGGGGTTTCACCATGTTAGCCAGGATGGTCTAGATCTCCTGACCTCATGATCTGCCCGCCTCGGCCTCCCAAAGTGCTGGGATTACAGGCGTGAGCAACCGCGCCTGGCCATATTTCACTATTGAGTATGATGATTGAAATTGTTTTCTCATAGATAACTCTTTATCAAGTTGTGAATTTCTACAGTTTCTAGCCTATTGAG
The DNA here is from genome assembly GCF_000001405.40 of Homo sapiens. Classification (NCBI taxonomy): domain Eukaryota; kingdom Metazoa; phylum Chordata; class Mammalia; order Primates; family Hominidae; genus Homo; species Homo sapiens. The sequence goes on from NC_000023.11 coordinate 71,330,339, forward strand.
AATTTTTTTGTTTGGTTGGTTTTTTTTTTTTTTTTGAAACAGGGTCTTGCTCTGTCATCCAGTGCAGCGGGGCAATCATGGCTCACTGCAGCTTTGACCTCCTGGACTCAAGTGATCCTCTCACCTCAGCCTCCCAAGTAGATGGGACTACCAGCAGACACCACCACACTCAACTAATTTATTCTTATTGTTTGTAGAGATGGAGTCTCCCTATGTTGCCTAGGCTGGTCTCGAACTCCTAGGCTCAAGCAGTCCTACTGCCTTGGCCTCCCAAAGTGGTGGGATTATAGGCATGAGCCACAGCGCCTGGCTGAGAACATATTTTTAAGATACTATAAGAACAAAGTAAATAATTCAAATAGTAGAAAAAGGTATGTGAAGAGTTGTCCATCTCTGTTCCCCTGTTCCCAAATTTCCTTGCTGACAGGCAATTCCTGTTCATTTTTATATCTCCTACCAGAGATCAATTGATCCAAATATAAGCACATATATGAATGCTATTTTTTACACAAATAATAGAATAATATATACACTGTTCTAAGCCCTGATTTTTTTTTTTTTTTTTGAGACAGAGCCTCTCTCTGTCTCCCAGGCTGGAGTGCAGTGGCGTGATCTCGGCTCACTGCAACCTCCACCTCCTGGGTTCAAGCAGTTCTCTGCCACAACCTCCCGAGTAGCTGACATTACAGGCGCCTGCCACCATGCCCAGCTAATTTTTTGTATTTTTAGTAGAGATGAGGTTTCACCATCTTGGCCAGGCTAGTCTTGAACTCCTGACCTTGTGATCCACCCACCTCAGCCTCCCAAACTGCTGGGATTACAGGCGTGAGCCACTACACCCAGCCTAAGCCCTGATTTTTTAAGTCGAGCTGTGAGTCATTTCTTTTCTTTCTTTCTTTTTTTTTTTTTTTTGAGTCAGAGTCTTATTCTGTTGCCCAGGCTGGAGTGCAGTGGCGTGATCTAGGTTCACTGCAACCTCCGCCTCCTGGGTTCAAGCGATTTGCCTGCCTCAGCCTCCTGAGTAGCTGGGACTACAGGTGCTCGCCACCACGCCCGGCTAATTTTTGTATTTTTAGTAGAGACAGGGTTACTCCATGTTGGCCAGGCTGGTCACCAAACAAACAAAAAAACAAAAATTAGCCGGGCATGGTGGCACATACCTGTAATCCCAGCTACTTGGATGGCTGAGGCAGGAGAATCGCCTGAACCCAGGAGGCGGAGGTTGTAGTGAGCCGAGATGGTGTCACTGCACTCCAGTCTGGGCAACAGAGCAAGACTCTGTCTCAAAAAAAAAAAAAAAAAAAAAGTGTAAGGTAAAGTAAGGGTTCAACTGCATTCTGTAGCATCTCGATATACAGTTTTCTCTGCACCATTTGTTGAAGAGACTCTCTTTTTCCCCATTGAATATTGTTGGTACCCCCTTGTCAAAATCAATTGAGAATACGTAGTGTTTGCCTTTCCATGCCTGGCTTATTTCACTTGGCCTCATGTTCTCCAGTTCCATCTATGTTATCACAAATGACAAAATTTCCTTGTTTTTTATGGATGAATAGTATTCAGTTGCATATATATACCACATTTTCTTTATTCAGTCATCTGTTGATGGACACTTAGGGTGATTCCATAACAGGGCTATTGTGAATAGTGCTGCAAATACTGTTCTCTACTCATACGTGGAATCTAAAACAATTAAACTCAAAGAAGCAGAAAATAGAATGGTGTTTAACAGAGGCTGAGGGGTGGAGGAAATGGGGAGATGATGGTCAAAGGGTACAAAGCCTCAATTAGGAGGGATACCTTTCTTGTAAATTTGAGATATAAGGATGGGTGCGGTGACTTACGCCTGTAATCCCAGCCCTTCGGGAGGCTGAGGCAGGTGGATCACCTGAGGTTAGGAGTTCCAGACCAGCCTGGCCAACATGGCGAAACCCCGTCTCTACTAAAAATACAAAAATTAGCCGGGCATGGTGGCATGCGCCTGCAATCCCAGCTATTCAGGAGGCTGAGGCAGGAGAATCGCTTGAACCCGGGAGGCGGAGGTTGCAGTGAGCTGAGATCACGCCACTGCACTCCAGCCTGGGCAACAAGAGCAAAACTCTATCTCAAAAAAAAAAAAAAAAAATTTGAGATATATTGCACAGTGTAGTGAATATAGTAAATAATAATGCATTGCACATTTCAAAATTGCTAAGAGAAGCCAAGTGTGCTGGCTCACACCTGTAATCTCAACACTTTGGAAGGCTGAAGTGGGAGGAGGATCGCTTTAGGCCAGGAGTTTGAGGTTTGAGACCAGCCTGGGCAACATAGAGAGATTACGTCTCTACAAAACATAATAAAACAAAATGAAACAAAACAAAAATCACTAAGAGAGTAAATTTCAAATGTTCTTACCACAAAAATGGTGAGTATCTGAGGTGCTGAATGTGTTCATTAGCCTGATTTAATTATTCTGCTTGTATTCATGAGTCATAGCATCACTTTGTACCCCATAAATATTTACAACTATAACTTGTCAATTTATAATTTAAAATATAAAAACTAAAAAAGATCAATTGACCATATATGTGAGGATTTATTTCTGGGCTCTCTAGTCTATTCCATTGGTCCATATGTGTGTCTTTATGCCAGTATCACACTCTTTTGATTACTGTAGCTTTTGTAGTAAGTTTTCAAATCTGGAAGTGTAAGTCCTCCAACTTTTTTTTCTTCTTTTTAAAGACTGTTTTAGATAATTGAAGTCCCTTCAGATTCTACATGATTTTTTTTTTTTTTTGAGACTGAGTCTCACTCTGTTGCCCATGCTGGAGTGCAGTGGTGTGATCTCAGCTCACTGCAACTCTGCCTCCCGTGTTCAAGCGATTCTCCTGCCACAGCCTCCCAAGTAGCTGGGATAACAGGCACGGGTCACCACGCCTGGCTAAATTTTTTTTTTTTGTATTTTTATTACAGACAGGGTAATGTTGGTCCGGCCATGTTGGTCAGGCTGATCTCAAACTCCTGACCTCGTGATCCGCCCGCCTAGGCCTCCCAAAGTGCTGGGATTGCAGGCATGAGCCACAGTGCCTGGCCGATTCCACATGAATTTGAGGGTGCGTTTTCTATTTCTGCCAAAAATTGCATTGGGATTTTGATATGGATTGCATTGAATCTGTATATCATTTTGAAGTGGGTTTTTTTTTTTTTTTGAGACTAAGTCTTGCTCTATCGCCCAAGTTGGAGTGCAATGGCACAATCTCGGCTCACTGCAACCTCCACCTCCTGGGTTTAAGTGATTCTCCTGCCTCAGCCTCCTGAATACCTGGGATTACAGGCATTCACCATCATGCCCGGCTAATTTTTGTATTTTTGTCAAGATGGGGTTTCGCCATGTTGTCCAGGCTGTTCTTGAATTCCTGACCTCAGGTGATCTGCCTGCCTCGGCCTCCCAACGTGCTGGGATTACAGGCGTAAGCCACTGCGCCCAGACCAGAAGAGTATTTTTATCATAACAATATGAGGAGTAATTCATCATATAATGTCTTCCAATCCATGAAGACAGGATATCTTTCCATTTATTTATGTCTTCTTTAATTTCACTCAGCAATGTTTTGTAGTTTTCATTGCTAGCGTATGGAAATTCAATTAATTTTTGTGTGCTGATTTTGTATACTACAGCTTTGCTCAATTCACTTATTAGCTATAATCATTTTTTTTGTGTAACCTTTAGGGTTTTGTACATATATACCATCATGTCATCTGTAAAAAGAGACAATCTTACTTCTCCCTTTCCAATCTAGTTAACTTTTATTTCTTTTTCTTGCTTAATTACTGGCTAAAACTTCTGCTACTATATTTAATAGGAGTGGTGAAGGTAGCCGGACACGGTGGTTCACGTCTGTAATCCCAGCACTTTGGGAGGCTGAGGCGGGCAGATCACCTGAGGTCAGGAGTTCAAGACCAGCCTGACCAACATGGAGAAACCCCGTCTCTATTAAAAATACGAAATTAGCTGGACATGGTGGTGCATGCCTGTAATCCCAGCTACTCAGGAGGCTGAGGCAGGAGAATTGCTTGAACCTGGGAGGCGGAGGTTGCAGTGAGCCGAGATTGCAACATGGCACTCCAGCCTGGCAACAAGAGCGAAACTCCATCGCAAAAAAAGAAAAAAAGAAGTGGTGAAGGCAGTATCTTACCTTATGAAGAAAGCTTTCAATCTTTCACCATTGTGTATGATGTTACGTATGAGTTTTTCATATAGGTACTTTTTATCATGTTGAGGAAGTTCTCTTCTATTCCTAGTTTACTGTTTGCTTTTTATCATGACAGGATGTTGGATTTTGTCAAATACTTTTTCTACATCAACTGAGATGATCATGTGGTTTTTTCCTTCATTCTATTAATGTAGTTATATTCATTGATTGATTTTCCAATGTTTAACCATTCTTGCATTCTAGGAATAAATCCCAGTTGGTTATGGTCTATTACCTTTTAATATGCTGCTGAATTTGGTTTGCTAGCATTTTGTTAAGGTTTTTGCATCAATATTCATAAAGGATATTGGTCTGTAGTTTTCTTTTCACATAGTGTCTTTCTCTGGCTTTGATATCAGTGTAATGCTGACCTCATAGAATGAGCTAGGAAGTGTTCTTTCCTCTTCAAATTTTCAGAAGACTATCAGAAAGATTAGTGTTAATTCTTGGCCAGGCACAGTGGCTCACACCTGTAATCCCAGCACTTTGGGAGGCCGAGGCGGGTGGATCACGCAGTAAAGAGTTCAAGACCAGCCTGGCCGACATGGTGAAACCCATCTCTACTAAAAATAGAAAAATTAGCTGGGTGTGGTGGTGCGCGCCTGTAATTCCAGCTACTTGGGAGGCTGAAGCAGGAGAATTGCTTGAACCCGGGAGGTAGAGGTTGCAGTGAGCCGAGATCTCACCACTGCACTCCAACCTGGGAGACAGAGCAAGAGTCTTGTCTCCATAAAAAGAAAAAAAAAGGCCAGGCGCAGTGGCTCACACCTGTGATCCCAGCACTTTGGGAGGCCGAGGCAAGTGGATCACAAGGTCAGGAGATGGGGACCATCCTGGCTAACACGGTGAAACCCCGTCTCTACTAAAAAATAGAAAAAATTAGCCAGGCGTGATGGTGGGTGCCTGTAGTCCCAGCTACTTGGGAGGCTGAGGCAGGAGAATGGTGTGAACCCGGGAGGCGGAGCTTGCAATGAGCCAAGATCGTGCCACTGCACTCCAGCCTGGGCAACAGAGCGAGACTCCGTCTCAAAAAAAAAAAAATGATTAGTATTAATTCTTCATTAAATTTTTGGTAGAATTCACCAGTGAATCAATATGATCCTGGGCTTTTCTTTGTTGGGAGGTTTTTTATTACTGATTCAATCTCCTTACTAATTATAGAGCTTTTCAGGATTTCTAGTTCTTTATGGGTTGGTCTGGATAGATTATGTGTTTTTAGGAATTTACACATTTCAACTAGGTTATACAATTTGTTGGTGTACAGTTGTTGATAGTATTCTGTTATAATACTTTACAGTTATTATTATTTATTTTTGAGATAGGGTCTCACACTGTCGCCCAGGCTGGAGTGCAGTGGGGTGATCTCAGCTCACTGCAACTTCTACCTCCTGGGTTACAGCAATTCTCCTGCCCCAGCCTCCTGAGTAGCTGGGATTACTGGCACACACCACCATGCCTGGCTAATTTTTGTATTTTTAGTAGAGACAGCATTTCACCATGTTGGCCAGGCGGTCTCAAACTCCTGACCTCAAGTAATCCGCCCCGTGTTGGCTTCCCACAGTGTTGGGATTACAGGCGTGAGACACCACACCTGGCTTACTTTACAGTTCTTTACAATTGTAACTGCCCAAGAGGTTTACCTTGCCAGCTGCCTAGACAGAGCCGATTTATCAAGACAGGGGGATTGCAATAGAGAAAGAGTAATTCTTGCAGAGCCAGCTGTGGAGGAGACCGGAGTTTTATTATTACTCAAATCAGTCTCCCAGAGCATCCTGGGAGCAGGGTTTTTTTTTTTTTTTTTTGAGACAGAGTCTTGCTCTGTCACCTAGGCTGGAGTGCAGTGGCGCCATCTTGGCTCACTGCAAGCTCCGCCTCCCGGGTTCACGCCATTCAGCTAATTTTTTGCATTTTTAGTAGAGACAGGGTTTCACCGTGTTAGCCAGGATGGTCTCCATCTCCTGACTCCGTGATCCGCCCACCTCGGCCTCCCAAAGTGCTGGGATTACAGGCATGACAAGCACAGATTTTAGGAGCAGTTTAGGTGGGTCAGAATCTTGTAGCCTCCAGCTGCATGACTCCTAAACTGTAAATTCTAATCTTGTAGCTAATGTTAGTCTCACAAAGGCAATCTAGTCCCCAGGCAAAAAGGAGGTCTGCTTTGGGAAAGGGCTGTTACCGTCTTTGTTTAAACTATAAACTATAAACTAAGTTTTTCCCAAAGTTAGTTCAGCCTGCGCCCAGGAATGAACAAGGACAGCTTGGAGGTTAGAAGCAAGATGAAGTCAGTTAAGTTAGATCTCTTTCATTGTCTCAGTTATAATTTTGCAAAGGCGGTTTCAATCCCTCCCTCTGGGTTTTTAAACACCTTAATCTTAAGATGTAGGCTATGAAAAGTCGGTTTGGTAATAATGTTCCCATCTTCATTTCTGATTTTAATTATTTGGGTCTTTTCTATTTTTCTTTTTCTTTTCTCTTTTCTTTCTTTTTTTAACAGACAGGGTCTTACTCTGTTACCGAAGCTGGTCTTGAACTCCTGGACTCAAGCAGTCCTCCTGCCTCTGTTTCCCAAAGGTTGCTCTTTTTTTTCTTATTCCTTAAGGTATATATTTAGGTTATTAATTGGAGACTTTTTTTTTTTGAGATGGAGTGTCGCTCTGTCGCCTAGGCTGGAGTGCAGTCCCACAATCTCGGCTCATTGCAACCTCTACCCCCCTGCTTCAAGCCTCCTACTTCCTACCTCAGCCTCCCGAGTAGCTAGGATTACAGGCACTCACCACCACGCCCAGCTAATTTTTTGTATTTTTAATAGAGACAGCGTTTCATCCTGTTGGCCAGGCTGGTCTTGAACTCCTGACCTCAAGTGATCTGCCCATCTCGGCCTCCCAAAGTGCTGGGATTAGAGGCATGAGCCACTGCACCTGGCTGAGACATTTCTTTTTTAATGTATGTATTTACAACTACAAATTTCCCTGTTCCCACTGCTTTCACTGCATCCGGTAAGTTTTAGTATTTTGTGTTTTCATTTTAATTTGTCTCAAAGTATTTTCTCATTTCACTTGTGATTTCTTCTATTACCCACTGATTGTTTTAGAATGTGTTGTTTAATTTCCACATACTTGTGAATTTTCCAGTTTAATTATGTTGCTTTCTAGTTTCATTTCATTGTGATCAGATCACAAAAGATTATTTCAATCTGTTTCAATTTATTGAGGCTTGTTTTGTGGCCTAACATATGGTCTTTCCTCAAAATATTCCATGTACACTTGTGAAGAATTTGTATTCTGCTATTGTTCTGCATATGTCTGTTAGGTCTAATTGGTTTATAGTTTTGTTCAAATCTTCCATTTCTACATTGACCCTTTGTCTGGTTGTATTGGCCATTATTGAAAGTGGGGTATTGAGGTCTCCAACTATTATTGTAGAAGTATTTTTCCCCTTCATTTCTGTCAATTTTTGGCTTATATATTTTGGAACTCTGTTATTAGGTGCTGCTATGATTTGGTCCCCACCAACACTCATGTTGAAATTTGATCATCAGTGTGGCCATGTTGGGAGGTGGGGCCTAGTGTTTGGCTCATGGAGGGGGATGGAGATCCCTCTTGAATGGCTTAGTATCATTCTTATGGTAGTGAGTGAGTTCCTGCTCTGGTGAGACTGGATTAGTTCTTGCTGGAATGGATTAATTTCCATGAAAATGGATTGTTATAAAATCAGGATGCCCCTCAACTTTTGTTTGTTCACAGGTGTCTGTTTCCACTTTGACCTTCTCTGCCATGTTATGATGTAGCATGAAACCCCTTGCCAGAAGCCAGGGCCATGCCCTTAAACTTCCCAGCCTACAAAACTGTGAGCTAAATACCTTTTTTGTTTATAAATTACTCAGTCTTGAGTATTCTGTTATAGCAACTCAAAATGGACTAAGACAGGTGTATACATGTTTATAATTGTTATATCTTCTTGCTGTATAAACCTTTTATCAATATTTAATGTCCTTTGTCTAAACTTTTTTGGTGTAAAGCCTATTTTGTCTGACAATAATGTAGTCACCACAGCTCTCTTTTGATTACTATTTGCATGCAGTATCTTTCCCAATCTTTTTACTTTCAATCTCTTTGTGTCCTTATATCTAACATGAGACTCTTATGGACAGTATATAGATGGATCTTTTTAAAAATCTAACCTGCTAATTTCTGCCTTTTACTAGGAGAGTTTAATCCATGTATACATAATGTGAATACTGATAAAGAGGGATTTACTTTTGCCATTTATCTATTTGTTTCTTTTTTTTTTTTTGAGATGGAGTCTCGCTCTGTCACCCAGGCTGGAGTGCAGTGGTGTGGTCTCGGCTCACTGCAAGCTCCACCTCCTGGGTTCACGCCATTCTCCTGCCTCAGCCTCCCGAGTAGCTGGGACCACAGGCACCCGCCACCACGCCCGGCTAATTTTTTGTATTTTTAGTAGAGATGGGGTTTCACCATGTTAGTCAGGATGGTCTCTATCTCCTGACCTCGTGATCCGCCCGCCTCAGCCTCCCAAAGTGCTGGGATTACAGGTGTGAGCCACCGTGCCCGGCCATCTATTTGTTTCTTTATGTCTTGTATGGGTTTCGTTCCTCAGTTCTTCCATTACTGCCTTTTAAAAATTTAGTTGTTTTTTTGGTGGTGTACCATTTTGATTCCCTTCTTCTTTCCTTCTCTATATGTTAAGGTTTTTTTCTTAGTGGTATTTCCAGTCTAGTGGCTCACACTCAATAATCTCAGCACTTTGGGAGGCTGAGGTGGGAGAATCAATTGAGGCCAGCAGTTTAAGACCAGCCTGGGCAATATCATAGTGAGACCTGTCTCTAAAAAAAAAAAAAAAAATATCCCTTTGTCTTTGGCTTTCAACAATTTGACTGTAATGTGTCTTGATGTGGATCTCTTTGTTTATCCTGCTTGGAGTTTAACTGTTGAACATGTATATTCGTGTCTTTTCTCAGATTTGAGAAGTTTTTGGCCATTATTTCTTCGAGTATTTTTTCTGGCTAGGTGTGGTGGTTCATGCCTATAATCCCAACACTTTGGGAGGCCAATGCAGGAGGATTGCTTGAGGTCAGGAATTCAAGACCAGCCTGGCCAACATAGTAAGGCCCTATCCCTACAAAAAATTTAAAAATTATGGCCGGGCATGGTGGCTCATGCTTGTAATCACAGCACTTTGGGAGGCTGAGGCAGGTGGATCACCTGAGGTCAGGAGTTCACGACCAGCCTGGCCAACATGGTAAAACCCCGTCTCTACTAAAAATACACACACACACAAAAATTATCCGGGCGTAGTGGCAGGTGCCTGTAATCACAGCTGCTCAGGAGGCTGAGGTAGGAGAATTGCTTGAACCTGGGAGGCGGAGGTTGCAGTGAGCCAAGATTGTGCCATTGCACTCCAGCCTGGGTAACAAGAGCAAAACTCCATCTCAAAAAAAAAAAAAAATTAAAAAATTAGATATGGTGGCATATGCCTGTAGTCCCAGCTACTCAGGAGGCTGAGGCAGGAGGATCATTTTGAGCCACGGAGTTCGAGGCTGCAGTGAGCTATGATTGCACCACCACACTCCAGCCTGGGTGACAGAGTGAGACCCTGTCTCTAAAACTATATACATACACCTTCCTTCTTTTGAAACTGTATACCTATATACATATACCTATCTTCTTTTGAAACTATATACGTATATATAGTTTTAGATATAATTAAATATATGTATATATATTTCTTTTTTTTTTTTCTTTTTGAGATGGAGTCTCACTCTGTCACCCAGGCTGGAGTGCAGTGGCATGATCTCGGCTCACTGCAACCTCCGCCCTCCAAATTCAAGCGATTCTCCTGCCTCAGCCTCCCAAGTAGCTGGGATTACAGGCGCCTGCCACCGTGCCCAGCTAATTTTTTGTATTTTTAGTAGAGACAGGGTTTCACCATCTTGGCCAGGCTGGTCTTGAACTCCTGACCTCGTGATCCACCCGCCTTGGCCTCCCAAAGTGCTGGGATTGTAGGCACGAGCCACCACGCCCGCCCTGTATATGTATATTTCTATACATACAAATAAATATTTGTATATGTATTTCTTTTTTATTTTTATTTTTATTTTTATTTTTTTTTATTGATCATTCTTGGGTGTTTCTCGCAGAGGGGGATTTGGCAGGGTCATAGGACAATAGTGGAGGGAAGGTCAGCAGATAAACAAGTGAACAAAGGTCTCTGGTTTTCCTAGGCAGAGGACCCTGAGGCCTTCCGCAGTGTTTGTGTCCCTGGGTACTTGAGATTAGGGAGTGGTGATGACTCTTAACGAGCATGCTGCCTTCAAGCATCTGTTTAACAAAGCACATCTTGCACCGCCCTTAATCCATTTAACCCTGAGTGGACACAGCACATGTTTCAGAGAGCACAGGGTTGGGGGTAAGGTCATAGATCAACAGGATCCCAAGGCAGAAGAATTTTTCTTAGTACAGAACAAAATGAAAAGTCTCCCATGTCTACTTCTTTCTACACAGACACGGCAACCATCCGATTTCTCAATCTTTTCCCCACCTTTCCCCCCTTTCTGTTCCACAAAACTGCCACTGTCATCATGGCCCGTTCTCAATGAGCCGCTGGGCACACCTCCCAGACGGGGTGGTGGCCGGGCAGAGGGGCTCCTCACTTCCCAGCAGGGGCGGCCAGGCAGAGGCGCCCCTCACCTCCCGGACGGGGCGGCTGGCCGGGCGGGGGGCTGACCCCCCACCTCCCTCCCGCACGGGGTGGCTGGCCGGGCAGAGGGGCTCCTCACTTCCCAGTAGGGGCGGCCGGGCAGAGACGCCCCTCACCTCCTGGACGGGGCGGCTGGCCGGGCGGGGGGCTGACACCCCCCACCTCCTTCCCGGACGGGGCGGCTGGCTGGGTGGGGGGCTGACCCCCCCACCTCCCTCCCGGACGGGGCGGCTGGCCGGGCAGAGGGGCTCCTCACTTCCAGTAGGGGAGGCCGGGCAGAGGCGCCCCTCACCTCCCGGACCGGGCGGCTGGCCGGGCGGGGGGCTGACTCCCCCACCTCCCTCCCGGACGGGGCGGCTGGCCGGCTGGGGGGCTGACCCCCCCCACCTCCCTCCCGGACGGGGCGGCTGGCCTGGCGGGGGCTGACCCCCACCTCCCTCCCGGACGGGGTGGCTGCCGGGCGGAGACGCTCCTCACTTCCCAGACGGGGCGGCTGCCGGGTGGAGGGGCTCCTCACTTCTCAGACGGGGCGGTTGCCAGGCAGAGGGTCTCCTCACTTCTCAGATGGGGCGGCCAGGCAGAGACGCTCCTCACCTCCCAGATGGGGTCGCGGCCGGGCAGAGGCGCTCCCCACATCTCAGACGATGGGCGGCCGGGCAGAGACGCTCCTCACTTCCTAGATGGGATGGCGGCCAGGAAGAGGCGCTCCTCACTTCCTAGATGGGATGGCGGCCGGGCAGAGACGCTCCTCAATTTCCAGACTGGGCAGCCAGGCAGAGGGGCTCCTCACATCCCAGACGATGGGCGGCCAGGCAGAGACGCTCCTCACTTCCCAGACGGGGTGGCGGCCGGGCCGAGGCTGCAATCTCGGCACTTTGGGAGGCCAAGGCAGGCGGCTGGGAGGTAAAGGTTGTAGCGAGCCGAGATCACGCCACTGCACTCCAGCCTGGGCACCATTGAGCACTGAGTGAACAAGACTCCGTCTGCAATCCCGGCACCTCGGGAGGCCGAGGCTGGCGGATCACTCGCGGTTAGGAGCTGGAGACAAGCCCGGCCAACACAGCGAAACCCCGTCTCCACCAAAAAAATACGAAAACCAGTCAGGCGTGGTGGCGTGCGCCTGCAATCGCAGGCACTCGGCAGGCTGAGGCAGGAGAATCAGGCAGGGAGATTGCAGTGAGCCGAGATGGCAGCAGTACAGTCCAGCTTCAGCTCGGCATCAGAGGGAGACCATGGAAAGAGAGGGAGACCGTGGGGAGAGGGAGACCGTGGGGAGAGGGAGAGGGGGAGGGGGAGGGGGAGGGGGAGCGGAGGGAGAGGGAGAGGGAGAGGGAGCTTGTATATGTATTTCTGTCTTTTTCTTTCTCTCTTCTCCTTTTGATACTCCTAAAATGCATATGTTGGTATGTCTGATGATGTCCTATAGGTCGCTCAGGTTCTGTTTATTTTTCTTCATTCTTTTGCCTCGATCTTTAGAATGGATAATTTCAATTGACTCATCTTCAAGTCTGTGATCCTTTCTTCTGCCTGCTCTAATTTCTATCTCTTTATCAATATTCTCATTTTTTCATACATTATTTCACTGATTTACTTTAATTTTTTGTACATGGTTTCCTTTAGCTCACTGAACATATTTAAGACAGGTGATTAGGCCGGGTGCGGTGGCTCACGCCTGTAATCCCAGCACTTTGGGAGGCCGAGGCGGGCGGATCACGAGGTCAGGAGATTGAGACCATCCTGGCTAACACGGTGAAACCCCATCTCTACTAAAAATACAAAAAATTAGCCAGGCGTGGTGGTGGGCACCGGTAGTCCCAGGTACTCGGGAGGCTGAGGCAGGAGAATGGCATGAACCTGGGAGGCGGAGCTTGCAGTGAGCCGAGATTGCGACTCCAGCCTGGGCGACAGAGTGAGACTCTGTCTCAAAAAAAAAAAAAAAAAAAAGACAGGTGATTAATATCTTTGACTAGTAATTCCAATTTCTGAGCCTCCTCTGGGATGGTTTCTGTCAAATTCTGTTTTTCCTGTGGTTGGGCCATACTTTCTTTTTTCTTTTTTTTTTCTTTGAGACGGAGTCTTGCTCTGTAGCCCAGGCTGGAGTGCAGTGGCACGATCTTGGCTCACTGCAGCCTCTGCCTCCCAGGCTCAAGCAATTCTTCTGCCTCAGCCTCCTGAGTAGCTGGGATTACAGGCATGCGCCACCATGTCCGGCTAATTTTTGTATTTTTAGTAGAGACGGGGTTTCACCATGTTGGTCAGGCTGGTCTCAAACTTCTGACCTCGTGATCCACCCACCTCGGCCTCCCAAAGTGCTGGGATCACAGGCGTGAGCCACCGCGCCCAGCCTTACTTTCTTGTTTATTTGTATGTTTTATAATTCATTTGAGAACTGGACATTTTAAGTATTATTTTGTAGTAACTCTGGAGATCTAAATCTCCTCCTCAGGGATTGCTGAATCTTGCTTGTTGAAGGCCAGAGCTATCTGTTTGTGACTTCCACAAACTAATTTTTGCAAATTGTATATTCCTTGTTGTGTGTCGCCACTAAAGTTTCTGTTCTGTTATCTCTGAGGTCAGTCGATGACCTGACAAAGATTTCCTTAAATTTCTGGCTCTCCTTATAAGGCTACCTTCTTTTGAAAAAAGAAAAGAAAAAAAATAAATAAAATTTCTGGCTTCTCAAAAGGGAAATGGCTATCAAGCTATGAAAAGACATGAAGGAAGCTTAAATGCAATTACTAACTGAAAGAAGCCAATCTGAAAAGGCTACATACTGGATGATTTCAACTATATGACATTCTGGAAAGGGCAAAACTATGGAGATGGTAGAAAGATCTGTGGTTGCCAGGGGTTGGGGGGAAGAGGGATGAATACGTGGAGTACAGAGGATTTTTAAGACAGGGAAACTATTCTGTATGATACCATAATAGTGAAAACATGTCATTATACATTTGTCAAAACCCATAGAATGTATAATACCAAGAGTGAACCTTAAAATAAACTACGGACTTTTGAATGATAGTAATGTGTCAGTGTAGGCTCAACAATTATTTATTCACTTACTTATTTTAATTTAATTTAATTTTATTTTATTTTCTGAGACAGAGTCTTGCTATGTCACCCAGGCTGGAGTTCAGTGGCGCGATCTCAGCTCACTGCAAGCTCCGCCTCCCGGGTTCACGCCATTCTGCTGCCTCAGCCTCCCCAGCAGCTGGGACTACAGGTGCCTGCCGCCACGCCCAGCTAATTTTTTTGTATTTTTAGTAGAGACGGGGTTTCACCGTGTTAGCCAGGATGGTCTCAATCTCCTGACCTCGTGATCCGCCCACCTCGGCCTCCCAAAGTGCTGGGATTACAGGTGTGAGCCACCGCGCCCAGCCTCATTTTATTTTTGAGACTGAGTTTCGCTCTTGTTGCCCAGGCTGGAGTGCAATGGCGCAATCTCGGCTAACAGCAACCTCTGCCTCTGGGTTCAAGCGATTCTCCTGCCTTAGCCTCCCGAGTAGCTGGGATTACAGGCATGCGCCACCACGCTCAGCCAATTTTGTATTTTTATTAGAGACGGGGTTTCTCCATGTTGGTCAGGCTGGTCTCGAACTCCCGACCTCAGGTGATCTGCCTGCCTCGGCCTCCCAAAGTGCTGGGATTATAGTCATGAGTCACCGCACCCGGCCAACAATTATTTATTTATTTATTTTTCCGATGGAGTCTCACTCTGTCACCCAGGCTGGAGTGCAGTGGCATGATCTTGGCTCACTGCAACCTCCAACTCCTGGGTTCAAGCGATTCTCGTGCCTTAGCCTCCCGAGTAGCTGGGATTACAGGTGCGTGCCACCATGCCCGGCTAATTTTTGTATTTTTAATGGAGACAGGGTTTACACCATGTTGGCCAGGCTAGTCTTGAACTCCTGACCTCAAGTGATCCACCCACCTCGGCTTCTAAAAGTGCTGGGATTACAGGCATGAGCCACCATGCCCAGTCAGCTCAACAATAGCACACTGTTCTTTGTTCTCTTTTTCCATTCTGATGCTAGAGTTTGATAGTAGGGGAGGTTGTGGGGTGCAGCACGGAATATATGGGAACTCTCTGTACTTTCCACTTGATTTTACTGTGAACTTAAAATTGCTCTAAAAAATAAAGTCTATTTTTGGTAGAAACAGGGTTTCATCGTGTTGCCCAGGCTAGTCTCAAACTCCTGAGCTCATGCAATCTGCCCACTTCAGCCTTGCAAAGTGCTGGAATTATTAGGCATGGGCCACTGTGCCCAACCTGGAAATATATTAATGTAAGGTTTGTTTTTTTTTTGAGGGAGTCTCGCTCTATTGCCCAGGCTGGAGTGCAGTGGCATGATCTCGGCTCACTGTAATCTCCACCTCCCAGGTTCAAGCGATTCTCCTGCCCCAGCCTCCCGAGTAGCTGGGACTACAGGCATGCACCACCACACCTGGCCAATTTTTGTATTTTTAGTAGAGATGGGGTTTTGCCATGTTGGCCAGGCTGGTCTCGCACTCCTGACCTCAGATGATCTGCCTGCCTCAGCCTACCAGTGTGCTGAGATTACAGGCGTGAGCAACCGCACCTGGCCTATTAATGTAAGGCTGTTACACTCTCTGTGAAATAGTATAATATTTGAAGGTAGATGGAGATAGGTTAAAAATGTCTCTATAAACCTGTAAGCAACCACTAAAACAAGGAGGAATAGCTAATAACCCAATATAGGAGATATAATGGAATAAAAGTAATATTGACTAATCCAAAAGAAGTCAGAAAAAGAGAACAAAGAGATGGGACGAATAAAAACAAGATGATAGACCCAAATCTAATTATATTAACAATCATTAAACTTAGATGTTCTTAACACCCTAATTACAGGGTAGAGATGATCAGATTGGGTAGAAAAGCAAGATTTGCCAGGTGCAGTGGTTCACACCTATAATTTCAGCACTTTGGGAGCTGAAGGCAGGTGTATTGCTTGAGCCCAGGAGTTCAAGACCAGCCTGGGCAACACAGAGACCTGTCTCTGCAAAAAGTAAAACTAGACAGGTGGCTGGGCACGGTGGCTCACGCCTGTAATCCTAGCACTTTGGGAGGCCGAGAAGAGCAGATCACCTGAGGTCAGGAATTTGAGACCAACCTGGCCAACATGGCGAAGCCCCCTCTCTACTAAAAATACAAACATTAGCCAGGTGTGGTGGCGCGTGCCTGTAGTCTCAGCTACTTAGGAGGCTGAGGCAGGAGAATCGCTTGAACCCGGGAGGTGGAGGTTGCAGTGAGCCGAGATTGCACCACTGCACTCCAGCCTGGATAACAGAGCGAGACTCTGTCTCAACAAAACAAAACAAAACATAACAAAACAAAACAGCAAAGACACAGGCCGCATGCATAATTCTAACACTTTGGGAGGCTGAGGTGGGCAGATCACTTGAGCCCAAGAGTTCGAGACCAGCCTGGGCAACATGGTGAAACCCTGTCTCTACAAAAAATACAAAAATTAGCTGGGCATGGTGGTGCTCGCCTGTAGTGGAGAGGCTGTGGTGGGAGGATCACCTGAGCCCAGGAGGTGGAGGCTGGGGTGAGCTGTGGTCATATCACTGCACTCCAGCCTAGGGACAGAGTGAGATTCTGTCTCAAAAAATAAATGAATAAAGAAATAAAATTAATTAAAAATTTTAAATTTATTTTAAAATTATAAAAACAATAAATAAAAATTAAAAATGTAATATACCAAAAACCACTGAATTGTAAATTTTAAATGGTGTATGAATTTATATCTCAGTAAAGCTGTACGATTCCATTTATATAAAACTCTTGGAAATTCAAACTAATGTACACTGATAGAAAGGAACTGTAATTCTCGCACTACCTCATTGTCTTTTTTTTTTTTTAAGATTATATTTGTTTTGGAGACTGGGCTCTCGCGATGTTGCCTAGGCTGGACTTGAACTCCTGGGCTCAAGCGATCCTCTCCCACTCAGCCTCCAGAGTAGCTGGGACTACAGGCGGGCACCACCACACTCGGTTTGTGTTTTTGTTTATCTTTTTAAGAATTATTTTATTAAAAAAAATTATTTTTTGGTTTGTTTGTTGAGACAGAGTTTCGTTCTTGTTGCCCAAGCTGGAGCGCAATGGTGCGATTTTGGCTCATTGCAAGTTCAAGTGATTCGCGTGCCTCAGTCTCCTGAGTAGCTGGGATTACAGGCATGCACCGCCACGCCTGGCTAATTTTGTATTTTTAGTACAGATGGGGTTTCACCATGTTGGTCAGGCTGGTCTCGAACTCCTGACCTCAGGTCATCGCACCTCTGTCTCCCAAAGTGTTGGGATTACAGGCGTGAGCCACCGCACCTGGCCTTTTTTTTTTTTTTTTTTTTTGAGATGGAGTTTTGCTCTTGTCACCCAGGCTGGAGTGCAATGGCATGATCTTGGCTCACTGCAACCTCGGCCTCCCGAGTTCAAGCGATTCTCCTGCCTCAGCCTCCCGAGCAGCTGGGATTATAGGCGCATGCCACTATACCCGGCTAATTTTTGTATTTTTAGTAGAGATGGGGTTTCATCATGTTGGTCAGGCTGGTCTCGAACTCCTGACCTCAGTTGATCCCCTCCCCCTCCCCCCATCGCCACCTCGGCCTCCCAAAGTGCTGAGATTACAGGCGTGAGCCATCGCGCCCACCCAAATTTTTTTTTTTTACCTCATTGTCTTTACTTACTTTTTTTTTTTCTCTCAAATACTTTCTCATGTCCGTGTCTCTTTAAGTTCATATTAGTCCAAAGGAGAAAATAGGACTTGGGGATCTGGGGAACACGGGGTGGTCTCACTTTGCCAAGGGAAAGATGAGGTTTGGGGGTTCCTGGGCTGAGTAACTCGTACTGAGGTCGCGATCTAAGTAGTCCTCGATTACCTGAAGATGTAGTGTAGAAGCCTGTGACTTACAGTGAGGCTGGCCCTAGAACTTCACTTCCCAGGAGGTTTCAGGCATCGAGTGGAGACTGTGTCCGACAGCGGAGTGGGACTTGGTCGCAGTTCGCAGAACCTGCCCAGCCCAACTCAAGACGCCCGGGAGGCTCTGGCGTTCGAATGGCTCTGGAGAACGATCGGATTGAGAACCCCCGAGCCAATCCCTAACTGCGATCTTCTCTCTCCGAGTCTCCCTATCCCCCAGGAGCTTGTTTTAGAGACGGTTGTCTTATGAGCCACTCCCTGGATGGAAGGGATTTGAGGATGGGGTGAGGTGTGTGTACGTCAGGGAGACTGAGCCAGCTTTCCTGTATGTGAATCTGATGGAGGGTACCTCTCTGTCCCAGCCTCACACGTCCATGTGAAGCCCCGGAATCAACTACCCTTGGTGGAGAAGGATGTGTGTGAAGTGTCAAACGGGCTTGTGGTGTAAGTTGATGGATCACTAGGCTTGCCTGTCCTTCATTTAAATTTCCAAGTGCAAGATAGTCTCCTCTGGCTCAGGGCTGGGGAGGGTTCAAGTGGCTTGCTTCATCTCGGAGTGTCCTAGAGTCTCTTTTAACCTGTCTTGAACCAAATAAGTCAGTCTCCCCTGATTCAGTAGATAAACTAAGTTGCAGAAAGTAGAGTAGATTAAAAATGGGGTCTTCTATTGAATTATTTGGGTTTCAGAAAGTTAGAGCCATTCAAGTGGATGTAAACTCAGACTTGTGGGAAGACGGTTGACACATGGAGAATGTGTTAGGAACAGTACCACTTTGAGCTGGACTCTTGTCTTGACTGTTGTTAGGACTTTCATATTGTGTGTCTAGCCCAGGAGACAGTTGACTGCCAGGCAGACTGTACCTGTGGAGAAGGATGCTTTAGGACAAGCTTGTCCAACCCGTGGCCCAACACAAATTTGTAAACTCTCTTAAAACAATATTTTTTTTGCAATTTTTTGTTTTTTTTAGCACATCAGAATCGTTAGTGTATTTTATGTTTGGCCCAAGACAATTCTTTTTCTTCCAATGTGCAGGAAAGCCAAAAGATATGGACACCACTGCTTTAGTAGATGAGGTTGGAAGACTTTTAAGACATTGTAATACCAGGGTTAGGAGTGAATGACTCACTCAGGGGCCTTCTGGGGTGCTGTCTCGACAGCTCCAGGCCTCTCCCAGTTTCCAATCCTTTAAGCATACCTAAAGATCTCTGATTTATTTGTTTGATTTATTTATTTATTTATTTATTTATTTATTTATTTATTTATTTCAGACAGGGTCTGGCTCTGTCACTCAGGTTGGAGTGTTGGCCAGGCTGGTCTTGAACTCCTGACTTCAAGTGATCTGCCCTCCTCAGCTTCCCAAACTGCTGGGATTACAGGCGTGAGCCACCGTGCCCGGCCTGTCCCTAAGAGTTTTACTCTGGTTCAGCAACTGCCTAAGTTGCACTGTTGTTCTGGAAGCAGTCACTTTGAGCAGAGGTGTTGGACACTGGATGATACCTAGAGGAAGCTGGGAAAATGAGTTGCACAGACAGTAATTGTTGTAGGAATTCAGAGGGGAAATACATTTATCCAGATCAGGAAAGTCAAAGAAGGCTATTCTCGAGGAAGGTGGTGATGACTGTGCCCCTCTTCTATCGACCTTGTGTGTTTGATCCTTATGCCTATTCCTAGATGGAAAAAGAACCGGCTGATGGTCAGTGAATACCCTGGGGTGGTTTCCTACCAGAGTTAAATTATGCTCTGGACTTATTTTAGCTGTGGAACCTGTGCTAAAGAAGACTTCTAGGTGGGAGGCCTCGCCACTCAGAATTGGCTCTGTGTGGGCAGAGAGCAACCCCTAGTGGGCTTGTGGAAAGCATACTCTGAAAGCCACGTTTCTTCTTTTTCTTTTTGAGACAGGGTCTCCATCTGTCATCCAGGCTGGAGTCCAATGGTGTGATCATAGCTCACTGCAGCCTCGATCTCCCAGGCTCAAGCAATCCTCCCACCTCAGCATCCCAAGTAGCTGGGACTACAGGTACGTGCCACCACGCCTGGCTAATTTTTTTTTATTTTTAGTGAGACAAAGTCTCACTATATTGCCCAGGCTGGCCTCAAACTTCTGAGCTCAAGGAATCCTCCCACCTCAGCCTCCCAAAATGCTGGGATTACAGGCATGAGCCACACACCCGGCTCACTTTTCTTTATTCTGACCAAAATGAGGTGTTGTGTTTGTTTTTGCCTATGATATGGGCCTAATGTAGACCTTAGCTAATGAGACAACAGAATGGGGGATGTCTCTATTTCCCCAAATCCTCAAGGTGAGAAATAAATTGATTCTCAATTTTTTTTCTGTAACCAAATATATATGATTATTTAATGCCCTTTCCTCTGTGCTCTGACACTTAAAGAAGTCACTGCTATAAGAATTAGGTCTGAAATTAGGGCAGTAGTTAAGAACCTACAGAAAGTAGAGTACTTCGGGACCTAAATTGAGGGCAAGGCATTGATGGGGTATTAATATGGGGGTATAAATATAGGAACTCATAATAAACAAGCTTCTTGGAGATCATCTCTGCCATATCATTTACTGTGAAATACTGATTCATGAAGAAATGGATGAGTATGGTGGCATTAAGACCTGTAGTTTTACTCACATAAGGTTGAAGGGGATGAGACTCCTGGTTTATCTAGCATTGTAACCATATTACAGAATTTTTGCCTTCTCCAGTAGTAGAATAGTAGAATTATTAAGAAGACATAGTAGCTTCTAACACTTAATGAGTACTGGCTATGTGAGAGAGACTAATAAGTACTACGCATGCCTTCTTTCATTTAACCCTCAGGTTAAAAATTTTCTCTGGCTGGGTGCGGTGGCTCATGCCTGTGATCCCAGCACTTTGAGAGGCAGAGGCGGGTGGATCACTTGAGGCTAGGAGTTCAAGACCAGCCTGGTCAACATGGTGAAACCCTGTCTCTACTAAAAATGCAAAAATTAGCTGGGCGTGGTGGCACATGCCTATAATTCCAGCTACTCGGGAGGCTGAGGCACAAAAATCGTTTGAACCCAGGAGGCAGAGGCTGCAGTAAGCTGAGATGCACCCCTGCACTCTAGCCCGGGTGACAGAGCAAGACTCTGCCAAAAAAAAAAAAAAAAAAAAAAAAAAAACGACAAAACTTTCCCAAGTTCACAAAGATTAGAGGGAGAACTGGGTTTTGCCTCCTGACTTCAGAGCCCAGACTCTTAACCATTTCTTTTTTCTTTCTTTCTTTTTTTTTGAGACAAGAGTCTTGCTCTGTCACCCAGGCTGGAATGCAATGGTGTGACCTTGGCTCAATGCAACCTCTGCCTCCTGGGCTCAAGCAATTCTCCTGCCTCAGCCTCCTGAGTAGCTGGAATTACAGGTATGTGCCACCGCGTATGGC
Source organism: Homo sapiens (assembly GCF_000001405.40). NCBI lineage: Eukaryota > Metazoa > Chordata > Mammalia > Primates > Hominidae > Homo > Homo sapiens. The sequence goes on from NC_000023.11 coordinate 71,351,632, forward strand.
TAATTTTTGTATTTTTAGTAGAGATGGGGTTTTGCCATGTTGGCCAGGCCGGCCTCGAACTCCTGACCTCAGGTGATCTGCCCGCCTCCGCCTCCTAAAGTGCTGGGAATACAGGCGTGAGCCACCGCGCCTAGCCCTCTTAACCATTTCTCTAGCTGAGTGTGACTTGTCTGCCTTTCTCTCCAGTATTGTGATGTCTCTGTTTTTCAGGAATGGAGGTTCCTCTGCTGGCTCTATAGCCAGAGACCCAAAGTGACAGCCATGTTTCTTGATTCAACCCTGGAAACCTTCTATGATAATTTTTAAAAATTACTAACCATTTATTGAGCACCTACAATATTTTAGTACCTTTGATACAGTAGATCCAGACCTTATGATAACGGTGTAACACAAATACCTATGTGGATGAATGGTTTTTAATCTTTTTGAGCTCACCCAAAGATTAAAAAGCCTTCTGTGAGATACTGGTGACAGCTCTGGACCTTCTTTCCAGAAAAATTCACTTATGCACATATACATAGTATTGTACACAACTTCAGAAGAGGCTTCTAGGACCTACCGAAGCCCATCCTCTAGTAGTCCACAGACTCCAGGGTAAGAACTCTTGACTTATACAACCCTTTGTAGCTGACTCTTGTATGGCATTAAGGGTATAGAGAGTGTGGGGGGCATCTTATCTTCCTCATCTTCTCCTCAGAGAGAAATGTTTAGAATAGCTCCCTACATTAACCAAGCATCTCTGAATATTCTTTCTGTCTCTCTTGTACATAGGACTACAAGGGAAGAATGCAGACAATCAAATGTGTGGTTGTAGGAGATGAGGCTATAGGTAAAACCTGCCTCCTCATCAGTTATACAACAAATGTCTTTCCTGAGGAGTATATCCCCCCACTGTCTTTGACAACTATAGCGTCCAGACATCCGTGGATGGGCAAATCATTAGCCTGAACACGTGGGACACTGCTGGCCAAGAGGAGTATGATGACTGCGAACACTCTCCTAACCCCAGACCAGTATCTTTGTTATTTGTTTTTCCACTGGGAACCCATCCTCTTATGCCAATGTGAGGCATAAGTGGCACCCAGAGGTCTCCCATCATTGCCCCAATGTGCCTGTTCTGCTGGTAGGCACCAAGAGGGACCTGTGGAGTAACCTTGAGACAGTGAAGAAGCTGAAGGAGCAGAGCCTAGTACCCACGACTCCCCAGCAAGGCACTTCCCTGGCTAAGCAGTTGGGGGCTGTGAAGTATCTGGAATATTCGGCCCTGATGCAGGATGGGGTGCATGAGGTATTTTTAGAAGCTGTCCGGGCTGTGCTTTACCCTGCTACAAAGAACACCAAGAAGTACATCCTCTTATAGCTTCTAGGTGCTACTTGGGGACTGCAACTAAGAAGTATAAGGGTGATATTCCTTTGTCAGCAGTTAAAGAGTGCCAGCATGGGCTATTGCAGAAACCCTAGACTGCAGGATATTCAGCTCTTGGAGGAACAAAGACAGACTTGTTTGTACATGGCTGCTTTGAAGTTTGGTCTGACCTTTTGGAGGAAGGTGTGTGTGTGTGTGTGTGTGTGTGTGTGTGTGTGTGTGTGTGTGTGTGTGTGTGTGTGTCTCCCTTGTCAAAGTGGTAAGAGGAGGTGCCACTCAGTGCTGTTCTTTTCTCTCCTGGCCAGGCAATGACTAAGCAGAGCAGCTTAGGACTGTTCATTGTAGACTTTTGCTTGTCTGCTTTTAAATCTAATTGGAGCTTTCCTTGCTATATTTACCACTGAGCAAGTGCCTCATGGAAGGACAAGTTTATCCGGTTTTATTTATTATTATTATTATTGTTATTATTATTTTTTTGAGATGGAGTTTCTTTCTTGTCACCCAGGCTGGAGTGCAATGACGCCATCTCGGCTCACTGCAACCTCCACCTCCCAGGTTCAAGCGATTTTCCTGCCTCAGTCTCCTGAGTAGCTGGGATTACAGGCGCCCGCCACCATGCCCGGCTAATTCTTTTGTATTTTTAGTAGAGACAGGGTTTCACCATGTTGGCCAGGCTGGTCTTGAACTCCTGACCTCAGGTGATCCACCCACCTCAGCCTCCCAAAGTGCTGGGATTACAGGTGTAAGCCACCGTGCCCAGCTTATTTTTACTATTTTTTTGAGAGAGAATCTCACTCTGTCACCCAGGCTGGAGTGCAGTGGCACGATCTTGGCTGACTGCAACCTCCGCCTCCTAAGTTTCAAGCAATTCTCCTGCCTCCTGCCTCAGCCTCCTGAGTATCTGGGACCATAGGCACGCACTACCACACCTGGCTAATTTTTGTATTTTTAGTAGAGACGGAGTCTCACCATGTTGGCCAGGCTGGTCTCAAATTCCTGACCTCAGGTGATCCGCCTGCCTCTGCCTCCCAAAGTGCTGGGATTATAGGTGTGAGCCACCATGCCCGGCCGGTTATCCAGTTTTTAAATCTCATTGCTTTAAACTTTCTCATATATGAATTTTTTTTTTCGGTTATTGAGACAGAGTCTCGCTTTGTCATCCATGGAGGCTGGACTGCAGTGGCAGTGGCATGAACATGGCTCACTGCCATCTTGACCTCCCAGGCTCAAGGGATCCTCTTGCCTCAGCCCCCCAAGTAGCTGGGACCATGAGTGCGTGTCACCATGTCTGGTTAATTTTTGTATTTTTGTAGAGATGGTGTTTCACCATGTTGCCCAGGCTGGTCTTGAACTCCTGAGCTCAAGTGATCCTCCCATCTTGGCCTCCCAAAGTACTGGGATTACAGGTGTGAGCTACCGTGCCTGGCCGACTAATTTTTGAAAACCATATTATGGGCCAGGTGCAGTGGCTCACGCAGGTAATCCCAGCACTTTGGGAGGCCAAGGCAGGCAGATCACGAGGTCAGGAGATCGAGACCATCCTAATACGGTGAAACCCCGTCTCTACTGAAAATACAAAAAAAATTAGCTGGGCGTGGTGGCGGGTGCCTGTAGTCCCAGCTACTCCAGAGGCTGAGGCAGGAGAATGGCGTGAGCCTGGGAGGCGGAGCTTGCAGTGAGCTGAGATAGCGCCACTGCACTCCAGCCTGGGCAACAGAGTGACACTCTGTGTCAAAAAAATAAATAAATAAATAAATAAATAAATAAAACCATATTATGTGTAATTCCTGGGTGTTCCCAGTGTTGACATGTTTCTCCCATTCTTGAGATGAGACATGTTCACAAAAATGGTTTAGGAGCATTTTTTAAAGTTCTGTGAGTTGGTAATAGATGTTCCTTATAAGAGTTCTGTGAGAAGAACAGAACTCTGTTCTTCCTACTGGGGATTAAAAAAAAAAAAAAAGGAAAAAACGGTTCTGTCATCAAATAAGCTCAAGAACCAGCAATTTAAAATAGTGCTGAGCGCGGTTGCTCATGCCTATAATCCCAGCACTTCGAGATGCCAAAGCGTGTGGATGGCTTGAGCTCAGGAGTTTTAGACCAACCTGGGCAACATGGCGAAACTGTCTCTACAAAATATGTGAATATTAGCCAGGTGTGGTGGTGTGCGCCTGTAGTCCCAGCTACTGGAGGGGCTGAGGTGGGAGGATCACTTGATCCCGGGAGGTTGAGGCTGCTGTGAGCTGGGTTTGTACCACTGTACTCCAGCCTGGGTGACAAAGAGAGGCTCTATCTCAAAAATAAACAAATAAATAAATAAAACTGAACAGGTTCTTTAATGGCAAGATTTTATAACTTAATATGATGTATGTAACATTTCTCAAACTTATTTCACCACTGAATTTTTTTGTTGGTCCCATGCAACACCTATTAATATGTTTGGTGACAATATTTCTTTTTTTTTTTTTTGAGATGGAGTCTCGCTCTGTCGCCCAGGCTGGAGTGCAGTGGCGTGATCTCGGCTCACTGCAACCTCCGCCTCCCGGGTTCAAGCAATTCTCTGCCTCAGACTCCTAAGTAGCTGGGATTACAGGCACCCACCACTGCGCCGGGCTACTTTTTGTATTTTTAGTAGAAACAGGGTTTCACCACCTTGGCTAGGCTGGTCTTGAACTCATGACCTTGTGATCCACCCGCCTCAGCCTCCCAAAGTGCTGGGATTACAGGCGTGAGCCACTGCACCTGGCTGATACCATTTCAAAGAATGGGTTAATGGGAACTAGGAATTTCCAAGGAAGAGGCTGTAAAACCAAAAAGCATAATGTAGTCTTGTTCTTTTTGATGCTTTCCTCTTCATGCCTTTGAGACAAATGTTTATCAGCATGATCTTGTTATTTGTTCCTCTGCTTCGGGAGATGGGTCTGGCACTTAGTCATGATAGTAGTGCATTGGAGGTGGGATCTGACAGTGAGATCTGCTATCACATCCTGATAACACTATGGGCCTTGTGATGTGGAATTACCAATCCCTCTGAAAAAAAGCTTGTGTCTAAGTCTTCCGTGTGGCCCCTCTGTCACTTTCAGCTTTAAGGATAGACCACTCAAGGTTAACCCACAACAGGGTGCAGTGGCTCACTCCTGTAATCCCAGCTACTCACGAGGCTGAGGCAGGAGGATCGCTTGAGGCCAGGAGTTTCAGAGCAGCCTGGGCAACATAGGGAGACCCCCATCTCTATTAAACATTAAAAGAAAAAGGAGAAAAAAATAAGTTAACCCCCTAAATAAAACTAACAAATAAAATACTGTCCTGCCAGTCATTGTTGGAGTTCTGTACTTTTTCTGAGACTTCTCTTCTGCCCTTGTGTCTGGGTTTAGCTGTTCTGAGTCTACACAGGCTGCCTTGCTTGCTTCCTGTCCTTCCCTGCTTGGAACATCTCCCTGTGTGTTTATTCAGCTCTGTGTGTCTTTTGAGGTCTTTTAGTTGCTCCAAGAGAGTTTTAGCATGTTTGATCCATATCTTTTTTTTTCTTTTTTGAGACGGAGTCTCACTTTGTCACCCAGACTGGAGTGCAGTGGTGCTATCTCAGCTCACTGCAACCTCCACCTCCTGGGCTCAAGCGATTTTCCTGCCTCAGCCTCCCAAGTAGCCAGGGTTACAGGCGCCCGCCACCACACTCAGCTAATTTTTGTATTTTCAGTAGAGACAGCGTTTCACCATGTTGGCCAGGCTGGTCTCGAACTCCTGACCCCTGGTGATCCACCCGCCTGTGCTTCCCAAAGTGCTGGGATTACAGGTGTGAGCCACCGAGTCTGGCCCAGATCTATATCTCTAGCCACTGAGGTCGTTCCCCTTGTGGTTATAAAGCAGTTCAAGTTTTGCTGGAGTTGCTAAGCTTGCTCCAGGGCAATAAGAGTCAGATTTCGACTGGGCGCGGTGGCTCACGCCTGTAATCCCAGCACTTTGGGAGGCCGAGGCGGGTGGATCACGAGGTCAAGAGATTGAGACCATCCTGGCTAACACGGTGAAACCCCGTCTCTACTAAAAATACAAAAAATTAGCCGGGCATGGTGGCGGGCGCCTGTAGTCCCAGCTACTCGGGAGGCAGAGGCAGGAGAATGGCGTGAACCCGGGAGGCGGAGCTTGCAGTAAGCAGAGATCAGGCCACTGCACTCCAGCCTGGGCGACAGAGCGAGACTCCATCTCAAAAAAAAAAAAGTCAGATTCCATGTCCTAGTGGGCCTGCTTCTCTTCCCTGCTTGTATTTTTGACCTTTTTCATTTGATCTGGAAGGAAAACTTACTTCTTCACCTAGCGCACAGTGGTTGATAACTCCACTGTGCACACATGCTCCCTGCCAAATAGCATTGGGTTTTTGAGAGTTTGGGAAATGAAGCTAAAGGATTGCCTGGTCCCCACCCCCTGCAGTGGGTAAGGTGTCTGTGCTTTGTTCTGTGGTAGCCTCCCTGTTGCTCTTTGACAAGGTTTGGTCAGCATAGCCTCCTGGATAGGGGTGACAGATAAAATACACGATGCCCTGTTAAATTTGAACCTCAAATAAACAGATAATTTTCTAGAATTTTTTTAAATCCCCAAACTGTATTTTTTTCAACAGAAATTTTTTAGTGTATATACCATGCAGTATTTGGAACATACACTAAAACATTATTGTTTATCTGAAATTCAAATTTAATGGGCCATCTTGTGTTTTTATTTGATACATCTGTCAAGCCTACTCTTGGAGAATCTGGAACCTGAAAGTCAAGCAGATATCAAGTATTGATAGAAGATAAAAGGTTACATAAGCTCCCTATTCTCTTTCCTTTTCTTCTGGTTTCCCTTTTCTCTCACCATGGGCTAAAGTGCATGGGCTAAAGTGGTTTTTTTTTTTTTTTTTTTTTTTTTTTTTTGCTTTTCTTTCATCACTGCACCCTTAACTTTGGATAGCTCTTCACTGTTGACACCATTGGTTGTCTAATGGCTGTGGAGAGTCCAGGTTGGGCATGTGAACCCTGACAATTTGAGACAAATCTCAGTTAATTTAGAAAGTTTTATTTTGCCAAGATTGAGGATGTGAGCCCATGACACAGCCTCTGGAAGTCCCGATGACATGTGCCCAAGGTGGTCAGAGCAGTTTCATTTTATACATTTTAGGGAGACATGAGACATCAGTTAACATATGTCAGATGAACATTGGTTCGGTCTGGAAAGGTGGGACAACTCCAAGCAGAGAGGGTGCTTTCAGGTCATAGGTAAATAAGAGACAAATGGTTGTATTCTTTTGAGTTTCTGATTAGCCTCTCCAAAGAAGGCAATCAGATATGCATTTATCTCAGTGAGCAGAGGGATAACTTTGAATAGAATGGGAGGCAGATTTGCTCTAAGCAGCTCCCAGTTTGACTTTTCCCTTTAGCTTAGTGATTTGGGGGACCCAAGATATTTTCCTTTCACATTTCCCTCCTTTTTATTTATTTAATTATTATTATTATTATTATTTTTTGAGACGGAGTCTCGCTCTGTTGCCCAGGCTGGAGTGCAGTGGCGTGATCTCTGCTCACTGCAAGCTCCTCCTCCCAGGTTCACGCTATTCTCCTGCCTCAGCCTCCCGAGTAGCTGGGACTATAGGCGCCCGCCACCACGCACAGCTAATTTTTTGTAGTTTTAGTAAAGATGGGGTTTCACCGTGTTAGCCAGGATGGTCTCAATCTCCTGACCTCGTGATCCGCCTGCCTTGGCCTCCTAAAGTGCTGGGATTACAGGTGTGAGCCACCACACCTGGCCCCTCCTTTTTATTTTTAAATTTTTTTTGGAGAAAGCACTTTAGAAGAAAATTAGTCTCTGGTTCCAGGTTTTGTCTGATCTCTCATGGCTAGGATGGTTTATTCCTAGACAGGTAGGTCCTGAGTTATTAGGAAAGCTAATTTTTATTATTTATGTATTAATATTTAAGACAGTCTCATTCTGTCACCCAGGTTGGAGTGCAGTGGTGCAATCTCAGCTCACTGCAACCTCTGCCTCCCGGGTTCAAGTGATTCTCCTGTCTCAGCCTCCCAAGTAGCTGGGATTACAGGTATGCGCCACCACACCCGGCTAATTTTTGTGTTTTTAGTAGAGACGGGGTCTCACCATGTTGTCCAGGCTGGTCTCGAACTCCTGACCTCAGGTGATCTGCCTGTCTGGATCTCCCAAAGTGCTGGGATTACAGGCATGAGCCACCGTGCCCGGCCAACACGCTTTCATAAGCAATGATACCAGCAATTTAGTCCATCCTGAAAGAACTGAGGGTCCTGAGAATTTAACCACGTTAAACGCAGTTTTTTTACATAATGAACTGAGGAAAGGCCGGGTATGATGGCTCATGCCTGTAATCCCAGCACTTTGGGAGGCCGAGGTGGGCTGGAGCTCAAGAGTTAGAGACCAGCCTGGGCAATATGGTGAAACCCTGTTTCTACAAAAAATACAAAAATTAGCTGGGCATTGTGGTGTGTGCCTGTAATCCCAGTAATTGGGAGGCTGAGGTGGGAGGATGGCTTGAGCCCCAGAGGCAGAGGTTGCAGTGAGCTGAGATTGGACCACTGCACTCCGGCCTGGGGGACAGGAGTCAGACCCTGTCTCAGGGCTGGGCGTGGTAGCCCGCACCTGTAATCCCAGCACTTTGGGAGGCTGAGGTGGGCGGATCACTTGAAGCCAGGAGTTCAAGACCAGCCTGGCCAACATGGCAAAACCCTGTCTCTACTAAAAAAAAAGAAAAATTTAAAAAATTAGCCGGGCATGGTGGTGTGTGCCTAGTCACAGCTACTCAGGAGGCTGAAGCAGGAGAATTGCTTGAACCCAGGAGGCAGAGGTTGCAGTGAGCCGAGATTGTGCCACTGCACTCCAGCCTAGGCAACAGAGCAAGACTCCATCTCAAAAACAAAAACAAAAAGAGCCAGACCCTGTCTCAAAAAAGAAAAGAAAAAAATAGATGGTCTGCGGCTGTCAGCTTCATCTTCAATATTGTCTTGTCTCTTCTTACAATGAGTTATCTATTTGTAAACCGCTTTCTTTTTGTTGTTGTTTTTTTCGAGACAGAGTCTCGCTCTGTCACCCAGGGTGGAGTGCAGTGGCGCAATCTTGACTCACTGCAACCTCTGCCTCCTGGGTTCAAGCGATTCTCTTGCCTCAGCCACCCAAGAAGCTGGGATTACAGGCCTGCGCCACCACGCCCGGATAATTTTTGTATTTTTAGTAGAAGCGGGGTTTCACCATGTTGGCCAGGCTGATCTCGAACTCCTGGCCTCAAGAAATTCACCCGCTTTGGCCTCCTAAAGTGATGGGATTACAGGCGTGAGCCACCTCACCCAGCCAACTGCTGATTTCTTTATGGCATTGTCCCCATAAACTTTTCATGAAGCACCAATGATTTCACCATTCTTTCATCCAAACTTGAACATAAATTTGATGTTCTTGCTTCAATTTTAGCAGAATTCATATTGCTCTGATAGGGGCTCTTTTCAAACTGATGTGTTATCCTTTTTAGTGCCTGCAACTAGATCCTGTTTAGACATTTTTTTTTTTTTTTTTTGAGACGGAGTCTCACTCTGTAGCCCAAGCTGGAGTGCAGTGGTGTGATCTCGGCTCACTGCAACTTCCGCCTCCTGGGCTCAAGCGATTCTCGTGCCTCAGCCTCAGGAGTAGCTGGGACTAAGGTATGTGCCACCATGCCCGGCTAATTTTTGTATTTTAGTAGAGACGGGGTTTCACCATGTTGCCCAGCTGGGTCTCGAACTCCTGAGCTCAGGTGATCCGCCTGCCTAGGCCTCCCAAAGTGCTGGGATTACAGGCATGAACCATTGCGCCCGGCCTCAGCAAATAATTATTAAGCTCCTACTATGTTACAAGCATTACCATACTAGGGGCTGCAGTTGTAAAGATAAGACATCATTTAACGTGCTTTGCCTCTTCCAGTCATCTTAGCAAAATATCCTTCTGTTTGTTATAAAAATTGACTAATTCTGGCTGGTAATTGTGTAGCGCTGGTGCACTTGTAAGGAAAGAACCATGTATTTGTATTCAAACCCAGCTTTATTGAGGTATAATTTACATAACATAAAATCCACCCATTTCAAGTGTACAATTTAATAATTTTTAATACATTTACTTAGTTGTGCAGCCATCCCCAAGATCCAGTTTTAGAACATTTCTATCACCCCAAAAAGATGCCTCATTCAGTAAATCCCTGTTCCCACCTCTAGCCCTAGACAAACTAGTCTACTTTCTTTTACAGATGTCTTCTCTGGGTATTTCATATAAATGAAATAATATGACATATGGTCTTTTGTAACTTACTTACTTCATTTTGGATGTTTTCAATGCACATTCATTTTGTAGCATGCATTAGTACTTCATTTCTTTCTTTTTTTTTTTTTAGAGATGGGGTCTAGCTGTGTTGCCCAGGCTGAAGTCCAGTGGCTTTTCACAGGCACAGTCATACCACACTGAATCTTGAACTCCTGAGATCAAGCAATCCTCCTGCCTCAGCTTCCAAAGTAGCTGGAATTACAAGTGCTGGCCACTCTGCCTGGTTACAATTCTTTTTATTGCTGAATAATATTCCATTATGTGGATATCCTATACTTTGCTTATCTATTCATCAGTTGATGGACATTTGGGTTGTTTCTACTGTTTGGCTATTATTAACACTGCTGTGAACATGTACAAAGTTTCGTGTGGACATATGTTTTAATTCTCGTGGGTAGAAAACTATGAGTGAAATTGTTGGGTCACAAGGTAAATTTATGTAAAACCATTTTTTAAAAATTTTTTTGAGATGGAGTCTCACTCTGTTGCCCAGGCTGAAGTGCGGTGGCATGATCTCCACTCACTGCAACCTCTGCCTCCCGGGTTCAAGCTATTCTCCTTCCCTAGCCTTCCAAGTAACTGGAATTACAGGCATGTGCCACCACGCCCAGCTAATTTTTTTGCATTTTTAGTAGAGATGGGGTTTCACCATGTTGGTCAGGCTGGTCTTGAACTCCTGACCTCCAGTGATCCACCTGCCTTGGCCTCCCAAAGTGCTGGGATTAAAGGCGTGAGCCACTGTGCCCGGCCTATTTTTAAAAACATTTCTTTTTGAGATAGAGTCTTGCTTTGTTGCCCAGGCTGGAGTGCAGTGGCGTGATCTCGGTTCACTGCCAACCGCGATTCTCTTGCCTTAGCCTCCCGAGTCGCTGGGATTACAGGCGCCCGCCACCGCATCCAGCTAATTTTTCTATTTTTAGTAGAGATGGGGTTTCACCATGTTGGCCAGGCTGGTCCCAACTCCTGACTTCAGGTGATCTGCCCACCTGGGCCTCCCAAAGTGCTGGGATTACAGAAGTGAGCCATCGTGCCCAGCCTATTTTTATTTTTTAAAAAATTTTTATTTTACTTTCTGGACAGAACAGTGTGAATATATAAAACCATGTTTTGAATCAAGAATGGTATCTTTAGGTTAGGTGTGGTGGCTCATGCCTGTAATCCCAACACTTTGGGAGGCCAAGGCGGGAGGACTGCTTGAGCTCAGGAGCCCACCCTGGGCTACATAATGAGACCCTGTCTCTACCAAAAAAAAAAAAGAATATTATGTTATCTTTTATATTTATAGGACCTGAAGTCTCCTTCCACATCCTACAAGCCTCTACCTCTCATTGAATCTGCTTTTTCTCAAGCACAAGCATCCAAGAGACAATATGTTGTACTAAATAACTTTTTTTGAGGCAGAGTCTCGCTCTGTTGCCCAGGCTGGAGTGTGGTGGTGCGATCTCAGTTCACTGCCAACCTCCATCTCTTGGGTTCAAGCGATTCTCTTGCCTCAGCCTCCCGAGTCGCTGGGATTACAGGCGCCCACCACCGCATCCGGCTAATTTTTGTATTTTCAGTAGAGACGAGGTTTCACCATGTTGGCTAGGCTGGTCTCAAACTCCTGACTTCAGGTGATCTGCCCGCCTGGACCTCCCAAAGTGCTGGGATTACAGGAGTGAGCCACCGTGCCCAGCCTATTTTTATTTTTTAAAAACTTTTTATTTTACTGTTTGGACCGAACAATGTGAATATATGAAACCATGTTTTGAATCAAGAATGGTATCTTTCGGCTGGGAGCAGGCTGGGAGATAAAAAAAAAAGAATTGTATCTTTAGGTTAGGTGTGGTGGCTCATACCTGTAATCCCAACACTTTGGGAGGCCAAGGCGGGAGGATTGCTTGGGCTCAGGAGTTCAAGACCACCCTGGGCTACAATAGTGAGACCCTGTCTCTACAAAAAAAAAAAAGTTATCTTTTATATTTATAGGACCTGAAGTCTCCTTCCACATCCTACAAGCCTCTACCTTTATTCAGTCTGCTTTTCCTCAAGCACAAGCATCCAAGAGACAATATCGTACTAAATAACTTTTTTTTTTTTTTTTTTGAGACAGAGTCTCGCTCTGTTGCCCAGGCTGGAGTACAGTAGCGCGATCTCGGCTCACTGCAACCTCCACCTCCCGGGTTCAAGCGATTCTCCAGCCTCAGCCTCCCAAGTAGCTGGGGCTACAGATGTGCGCCACCGTGTTGGCTAATTTTTTTGTATTTTTAGTAAAGATACGGTTTCACCATGTTGGCCAGCTTGGTCTCAAACTCCTGACCTCAGGTGATCTGTCCGCCTCGGCCTCCCAAAGTGCTGGGATTACAGCCGTGAGCCACTGTGCGCGCTGCTACGTAACTATCATAAACTACATTAAAAAGCATTCCAAGCTGGGCGCGGTGGCTCACGCCTGTAATCCCAGCACTTTGGGAGGCCAAGGCGGGTGGATCACCTGAGGTCAGGAGTTTGAGACCAGCCTGGTTAACACGGTGAAACCCCGTGTCTACTAAAAATACAAAAATTCGGGTGTGGTGGTATGCTCCTATAGTCCCAGCTACTCAAGAGGCTGAGACTGGAGAATCGCTTGAACCCGGGAGAAGGAGGTCGGCAGTGCACTCCACCCTGGGCAACAGAGTGAGACTTTCTCAAAAAAAAAATAAGAAAAAGAAAGAAAGATCATCCTTTCGCATTCTCCCAATATAACTGATTTAGGCAAGGGACATCAATGAATGCTAAAACCACATTGGGTGCAAGGTCAATGGGGAAAAGAATATTCACAATTTATTCTGCAGAAGGATGGGCTCAGTACCAAAAGACTGAAAAAAAAAAAAGAATATTCACACAATCTCTAAGTACCTGTGGATTACTTAGTAATTACACAGGGTTGTACCTTTGTGATGGAGCAATCTGGTGGTGACTACTTTATCAAGGTGATGAAATTTAGCATCACCAATACTAGGACAACACTGTATTTGACAGTGTACCTTCTGATGGCTGATAAAATATTTAACCTGGGCCGGGCGCGGAGGCTCACTCCTGTAATTTCCAGCACTTGAGGCGGGCGGATCACGAGGTCAGGAGTTTGAGATCAGTGTGGCCAATATGGTGAAACCCCGGCTCTACTAATCATACAAAAATTAGCCAGGGGTGGTGGCGCCGAGATCGCACCACAGCACTTTATCCTGGGAGACAGAGCAAGAGACTCCGTCTCAAAAAAAGAAAAAAAAAAAAAGGCCGGGCGTGTGGTGGCTCACGCCTGTAATCCCAGCATTTTGGGAGGCCGAGGTGGGCGGATCACGAGGTCAGGAAATCAAGACCATCCTGGCTAACACAGTGAAACCCCGTCTCCACCAAAAATACAAAAATTAGCCGGGCTTGGTGGCGGGCGCCTGTAGTCCCAGATACTTGGGAGGCTGAAGCAGGAGAATGGTGTGAACCCAGGAGGTGGAGCTTGCAATGAGCCGAGATAGCACCACTGCACTCCACCCTGGGCAACAGAGCGAGACTACGTCTCAAAAAAAAAAAGGAAACAAGAGAAATTCGGATCATGGAATGTTTTCAAGACAACTTGCCTGGATTCTTCCAAATATTTAGTGTCATGAAAAACAAACAAGAAGGCAGGTGATTCTGGACTAAAGGAAGATGACCAAATACAATGCATGAAACGTGAATGGATCCTAGTATTGGAAAAAAGGGAGAATGAGGAAGAGTGCTATGATGTGGTAAAGAAATTATTTCAGTCTATATTATCATAATATGTGAAAAAAGCAAGGTGAAAGCCGGGGTGTTGGCTCATGGCTGCAATCCCAGCACTTTGGGAGGCTGAAACGGGCAGATTGCTTGAGCCCAGGAGTCTGAGACCAGCCTGTGCAACATGACGAAACCCCGTAAAATGTTCCAACTAGGACAACTGGGGAAATTTAAGTGCGGACTCTTCCTTAAATAATATTGACTTACTTCCTAAAGTTGTGATAAAGGTACTTTGGTTCCATAGTTAAGATGCTTATTTTTAGGAGTGAAGAACAAGATGCCCATAAATGGTTTAGAAAAACAAAAATCCTAGCAAAATGTTAACCATTGTGAGTCTAGGTGAGGGGTCAGCTGTTCATTTTACTAAACTTTCACATTTTCCGAAATAAAACGTTGGGGGAACAAGTATTTTTTTTGAGGCGGGCTGGAGTGCAGTGGCCCGATCACAGGTCACTGCAGACTCCAACTCCTGGCTCCCACCTCAGACCCCCCAACAGCTGGGACTACAGGCACTGGCCACCACATCTGGCTAATTTTTTTGATTTTGTGTATGGATGGAGTCTCGCTTTCTTGTCCAGGCTGGCCTCATACTCGTGGGCTCAAGCGATCCTCCCACCTCGGCCTCTCAAAGTGCTGGAATTACAGGCGTAAGCCACCGCGTCCGGTCAAAAAATCAATTTCTAGGGAAAAATGTCAACTCAAAACAAGTAACCTGCATAGCTCGGGAATGCCTGTATAATTTACGTCAAGTCTCTCCTTGGGACGGACCGGTGAAATTGCACGCAGCACAAAGACCGGCTCTTACCCTTACTTCCGGGTATTGTGGTACAGGAACCCGAGGTTGCCTGCGCGTAAGCCACGTGACTCGAGCAGCTCCTTCTGATTGGAGGAAGAGCCACTGCTCTAATTCGGTGCCGTGAGAAAGCTCGCGCGCGGAGCAGTGGGAGCGGGCGGGACTGAATATTTTCTTTGACCAACCGCTTTCCACATATCCATCCTCCTGATCCCGTAGCGTCGAATCAAAAGCCGTTAGTAAAGTAGTTACTTCTTTCTCTTAGGATAGCCGGTCTTTCCGGGTTTTCCCCCCCTTCCCCCTCCCCTCTCCCCACTTCCCCCTCCCTTTCCCCTCTGTTTTGAGCTTCCGGTAGAGGCTGGTAGGGTAAGGGAGCTCAGTAAGTCACTTCTGGGCGACTGTTGTTTTATTTCCGGTCTATGGGACCCGGCTGCGATTTGCTGCTGCGGACAGCAGCTACCATCACTGCTGCCGCCATCATGTCAGACACGGACAGCGACGAAGATTCCGCTGGAGGCGGCCCATTTTCTTTAGCGGGTTTCCTTTTCGGCAACATCAATGGAGCCGGGCAGCTGGAGGGGGAAAGCGTCTTGGATGATGTGAGGGGGTGGGCGTGGGGGTAGGGCTCGGGGGGTGGGGCTAAGCAGAGGAAGGAGGTGCGGGGAGGAAAGGAGAGGGTGCTCAGGCAGCGAGAACAGGGCGCAGCTAACGCCGGGGAGGAGGATCCCGTCCTCATGGGTGCGGGAGCAACGTGGCGTGGGAGTGATCGTTCTGGGGGAGAGTGGGCAGAAGAGAGCGCGAGGCGAGCCCGGGGCCAGGGGCGCAGGGAATAGTGGCTTTGGAGCTAGCGCTCTGCCGACCAGACAGTAGGACACATGCTGGTTTCGCCTACTGAGATGGCTTCCCACCCGTAACCTGCTTGGAGATTCTTGACACTGCCTGCCCCTCTGACATCGCTGCCCTGAGATGGCTCTATAGAGCCAGAGGACTGGACAGGACCTGCCTCCCGCTCGTTTGGTTCCGGCCTCAGGCTTAGGACAATGGGGTGTTCCTAGCACCCGAGCGGGCCTCCTGGTCACAGTGCGCCTTTTAGGTGGCTCTCCCAGCGTCTTCACTGACTTTCGTGAAATAGTGTCCTGCGCCCTAGTGAAACTACCCTGCCTTCACTTAGGCCCGTTTTCTTGAGGAGTGAAGCTGTCGGCCGCTGTGGCCCCTCCTGTGCCGCAGGCGCATGCGAAACAGGGACCGAACGAGCCCCGCCTCGACGCCTCCAATCCCACTGATCCCCCTGCCTCGGCCCTCGTTCCGAGAACGACCGTTCCATTCATTCAGTCTTGGCAGTAGTTATTTGATTCGTCTTCTCTTGTAGTATACTTTAAAGTGTGGGCGATGCAGTTGGCTGTGGTGCTTTAATAAAGATCTGATCGATGCGGAGTTTGGTAGATGTATATTACAGTTCTCGAACGTGTTGCTTGTTTTGGCACACTGCACAGTCATTTTTCATGTGGATTTGTGACTTTGTCGTGGACCAGGGAAATAAGTCCTGTGGTGTGGGAGTCGTAGGTTTAGTTGTTATCTTCGACTCGTGCTGTCCCTTTTTCAGGAATGTAAGAAGCACTTGGCAGGCTTGGGGGCTTTGGGGCTGGGCAGCCTGATCACTGAACTCACGGCAAATGAAGAATTGACCGGGACTGACGGTGCCTTGGTAAATGATGAAGGTGAAGTCTGGGTTGTGGGGAGTAGGCGGGGGAGGAGGCTAGCCACCTACTATGTATGTACTTTTTTGTGTGTGTAAGACGGAGTTTCGCTCTGTCTCCGAGGTTGGAGTGCAGTGGGGCGATCTGGGCTGACTGCAGCCTCCGCCACCCGGGTTCAAGCATTTCTCCTGTCTCAGCCTCCTGAGTAGCTGGGACTACAGGCACGCACCACCACGCCCGGCTAATTTTTGTATTTTTAGTAGAGACAGGGTTTCATCATATTGGTCAGACTGGTCTTGAACTCCTGGCCTGAGGTGATCCGTCTGGCTTGGCCTTCCAAAGTGCTGGGATTACAGGCGTGAGCCACCGCATCCAGCCTGTACATGTACTTTTAAATGGGAATTATCTGAGGGAGTGAGGGTCGCTTACTGTTGTTGCGATTCTCCCTGCTTTTTTCATAGGGTGGGTTAGGAGTACAGAAGATGCTGTGGACTATTCAGACATCAATGAGGTGGCAGAAGATGAAAGCCGAAGATACCAGCAGACGATGGGGAGCTTGCAGCCCCTTTGCCACTCAGGTGATTCTTTGGTGTATTGGCTTGAACATTCCAGTGCATTATCCTGCTGTATAGTCCAGTTTGGGCTCTGGTTTCTATACCCGCTGTCTGCCATTGTTTCTGCTCTCTATGCCTTTGCTTTGGCTCCTCCACTCCCTTTGTCAGGTCAGTTCCAAGTAGCTGCTATCTTTTTTTGTGTTCTGGCCAGTCTTAACCGTATTCATGTGGTTATTCCTCACACTGTTCAGTCATGAATTCTTAGTTAATGACAAGTAGCTTTCTTGTCACCTGGTATTTGAATACCTACAGGGTTTGTGAGATACACTTCAAAGTTGGAAACTATGAAACAAATTCAGTTTTTGCCCTTAAGGAATGGATAGTTCAAGAAGGATACAACGTCATACATAAGCAATGAACTAAGGCAGGACGTGGTGGCTCACCAGATTACCTGAGGTCGGGAGCTTGAGACAGCCTGACCAATATGGAGAAATCCCGTTTACTAAAAATAAAAAATTAGCCAGGCGTGGTGGCGCATGACTGTAATCCCAGGTACTCGGGAGGCTGAGGCAGGAGAATTGCTTCAAACCGGCAGGTGGAGGTTGCAGTGAGCCGAGATCGTGCCACTGCACTCCAGCCTGGGCAGCAAGAGTGAGACACTCCGTCTCAAAAAAAAAAAAAAAAACCCAATATAAAACAACTGTTTTTTTTTTTTTTTCCGAGACGGAGTGTCTCACTTTCTTGCCCAGGTTGGAGTGCGGTGACACGATCTCGGCTCACTGCAATCTCCACCTCCCGGTTTGAAGCAATTCTCCTGCCTGAGCCTCCCAAGTAGCTGGGACTACAGGGGCCCGCCACCAAGCCCGGCTATTTTTTTGTATTTTTAGTAGAGACAGGGTTTCACCGTGTTAGCCAGGATGGTCTCGATCTCCTGACCTCGTGATCCGCCTGCCTCGGCTTCCCAAAGTGCTGGGATTACAGGCGTGAGCCACCACGCCCGGCCACATCTGGCCAATTTTTTTGTATTTTTAGTAGAGAAGGGGTTTCACCATGTTGGCCAGATTGGTTTCGAACTCCTTACCTCAAGTGACCCTGCTCCCCTCGGTCTCCATAAGTGTTAGGATTACAGGTGTGAGCCACCGCACCCTGCCTAAAACAATGAACTTGATACCTGCTTGCAAATATGTTTTTTTCCTCTCTGGTATAGGGTGCTACATTGTAGAATCAAAACATCAGACTTAGAAGGTAGAGTCAGTGAGTGGAAGGAGTCTTAGGAATTATTTATTCGTAATCTCTAGTAGAAAAGGAAAACTTGAACTTTAGAGAACTTTATAATAAAATGTGGGATTTTATCAAAAGTAATACAATTAGCTAGTAGTAGACTGACTAATTTAGCTCAGTTCGTTAGACATTGTTTGAGCACTTGTTATGTACTCTAAACTGATAGGCAGTGTGTTTCTTTTTTTTTTTTTTTTTTGAGACGGAGTCTCGCTCTATTGCCCAGGCTGGAGTGCAGTGGTGCAATCTTGGCTCACTGCAAGCTCTGCCTCCCAGGTTCATGCCATTCTCTTGCCTCAGCCTCCCGAGTAGCTGGGACTACAGGCGCCCACCACCACGCCTGGCTAATTTTTTTTTTTTTTGTATTTTTAGTAGAGATGGGGTTTCACTGTGTTAGCCAGGATGGTCTCGATATCCTGACCTCGTGATCCACCCGCCTCGGCCTCCCAAAGTGCTGGGATTACAGGCATGAGCCACCGTGCCTGGCCTAGGCAGTGTGTTTCAAAGATAATGAAGTCCGCTGGGTGTGGTGGCTCAGGCCTGTAAACCCAGCACTTTGGGGGGCCCAGGTGGGCAGATCACGTGAGGCCAGGAGTTCGAGACCAGCCTAGGCAACATGGAGAAACCCCGTCTCTACTAAAAATAAAAAAATTAGCTGGACATGATGTCGTGTGCCTGTAGTCGCAGCTACTCAGGAGGCTGAGGCGTGAGAATGGCTGGAACCCAGGAGGGGCAGGTTGCAGTGAGCCGAAATGATGCTGCTGCATTCCAGCCTGGGCGGCAAGAGCTAAATGCTGTCTCAAAAGATAATGAAGTCCATTTTCTGATCTTGAGAAGTTCAATTTAGTGGTCTGGAATCTAGAGGTATTGGTCCATAGTTCATTTTTGGCACTGCCCTGTTCTACCTCTCACTGCTTGAGACTCCCCCACCCCACCCCACCTGACAGAGTCTCTCTCTGTCACCAGGGCTGGAGTGCAGTGGTGTGATCTCAGCTCACTGCAACTTCCACCTACCGGGTTCAAGTGATTCTTCCACCTCAGCCTCCCCAGTAGCTGGGACTACAGGCATGTGCCACCACTCCCGGCTAATTTTTTTTGTATTTTTAGTAGAGATGAGGTTTCGCCATCTTGGCCAGGCTGGTCTCGAACTCCTGACCTCAGGTAATCCGCCCACCTTTGCCTCCCAAAGTGTTGGGATTACAGGTGTGAGCCACCCCGCCTGGCCTGCTTGAAACTTTTATGTGAAGTTGCTCGTTATTTATTCATCGTCCACCTCTTCGAACTAGATTTCAGGCTTCTGATAAATGTAGATAAAACCTTGGTAAATACTTGAACTTAGTTTTTTCGGGACAGCTTATGGATTTGAGTGCTACTTATATGAAAAGAATTAACTGTGTTGCATATACAAAAAGTAACCCACGAAAAATAGAAGATATAAGCCCTGCCTTTAAGGATATTGTTATCTTTTGGGGAAGATGATGTGAACAAATGCAGAACAATTATTCATAGTAAGACAAACCACCTATGAGATCATGTTTCTGTATATAGAGTGTTACATTTAGTTTTGATGGGCTGCAAGAATAGGTAAGTCAATAGCTGTCATTTTTGGGCACCCTGACTGGGGGGACATGGTGGCAGTTATTTTCAGTAGAAGTTATAATTTCCAGGTTTGTGTTTGTTGTCTTGACTAGGGATGGTAAGGAAAAGGCTGGGAGTTTCCCTAGGTGAGTTTTATGAGCTAACTTCCTATAAAAGGAGGATGCTACATTTGACAGAATCTCAGTACTCTGGGATGCTCATTTCTAAGTTCTCTTGTCCTCTAGGGGTGCCTTCACCTATACCCTTAGTTTTTTCCTTCCTTGGCATTGGCTCCTTTGCATGGCTTGGTTTACAAGGGTGCTTCTTTGGAATAATTGGAAGTGGGTGTAGATTGCTAATAAAGCTTTCATGGAGGTGAATTTTGAGTAAAATTTTGAAAGTGAGGCAAGGTTTGGTGGAGAAGGAGCAGCAGGGGATTTTGGTTTGGAAACACGGCTTGTCTAAAGGTTTGGAGATATTTAGAAATAAGCAAGTAGTGTGTGTGGAGGGGGAATTAGCCAGTAGGTTTTCTTGAAAGGAGTAGAAAACATGCTGCCAAATAGCAAGAACCAAGGATAGAGCAATTTCACAGTACCTTTATGTATGCATTACTTGGGATTTGATGACATAAGGAATTGCAAACCAACATAGACTGTTGAGTGAGAGGCAGGATGGTATAATGAAAAGAAAAGGATTTTGGAGTCAGTGTCCTAGGCTTAGAGTGTCATAGATTCAAATTCCAACTCCATATTTAGTGTGACCCTGAGCAGGTTGCTGAATCTCTGAGGCTTGGATTTCTCATTTGTAATAATCCCCCAGTTTTCTTGTCTGTAGTAAAGGTGATAATATTCACACTTTTGTGAGAATTGAAGTTCATTATCACATGATGTAAAAGCACATAGTATAATATTATGGTAAATGCTCTGTAAATATTAGTTGGCTTTCCTTTTTTTCTGCTTTGCTAGTTTACAGTCTTAGAGGCTTCCCTTTCTGAGGCTTTAGAAGAGTGATACTTGTCGCTCTGGGGTTTTGATTAGTAAAAGAGTGAATGTCACACCAACTTGCAGGCTGTTCTTGCAGGCTAGAGATGTAAAGTTATTAAGGTCCGAAGTAGGGTGACAGTTGTAGAAAATGATACCTAGGGTCAGGCTGGGCGTGGTGGCTCACGCCTGTAATCCCAGCACTTTGGGAGGCTGAGGTGGACGGATAACTTGAGGTCAGGAGTTCGAGTCCAGCCTGACCAACATGGTGAAATGCTGTCTGTACTAAAAATGCAGAAATTAGCTGGGTGTGTTGGCACACATCTGTAGTCCCAGCTACTCGGGAAGCTGAGGCAGGAGAATCGCTTGAACCCGGGAGGCAGAGGTTGCAGTGAGCTGAGATCATGCCACGGCACTCCAGCCTGGGTGACAAGAGTGAAACTCTGCCTCAAAAAAAAAAAAAAAAAAAAAAAAAAGATAGCTAGGGTCAAACTTAGAAGATACTGATAAAGTATCGTAGGACTTGGTTGCCTATAGTCCCAGCTACTCAGGAGGCTGTGGCGGGAAGATAACTTGAGCCCAGGAGTTGGAGGTTGCAGTGAGCTATGATTGAGCTTCTGTGCTCTAGCCTGGGCAACAGAGCAAGACCCCTGTCTCAAAAAAAAAAAAATACAGGGCTTGGTGAGTGAGGAATTGTGTTGGAAAGAGTGTAGGCTTTGTTGTTAAACCAGGCTTGCATTCTGATTTTGTCACTTAAAATTCAGTCTCTTCCGTATCTCAGGATAATTCCTGTTTTGAAGTGTTATTGGGAGGATTATACATAAAACAGCTAGAAATGCCTGGCACATAATGGAAGTTTAGTAGTAGGAAGTTGCTATACTTACTTTTTTGTTTGTTTGTTTGAGACAGAGTCTCGCTCTGTCACCCAGGCTGGAGTGCAGTGGCGCGATCTCAGCTCACTGCAAGCTCCGCCTCCCAGGTTTACGCCATTATCCGGCCTCAGTCTCCGGAGTAGCTGGGACTACAGGCACCCACCACCAGGCCAGGCTAATTTTTT
The DNA here is from genome assembly GCF_000001405.40 of Homo sapiens. NCBI lineage: Eukaryota > Metazoa > Chordata > Mammalia > Primates > Hominidae > Homo > Homo sapiens. The sequence goes on from NC_000023.11 coordinate 71,373,040, forward strand.
GTATTTTTAGTAGAGACGGGGTTTCACAGTGTTAGCCAGGGTGGTCTCGATCTCCTGACCTCGTGATCCACCCACCTCAGCCTCCCAAAGTGCTGGGATTACAGGCGTGAGCCTCTGTGCCTGGCCACTTTTTTTTTTTTTTTTTTGAGACAGAATCTTACTGTGTTGCCCAGGCTGGAGTGCAGTGGCGCAATCTCGGTTCACTGTAACCTCTGCCTCCCCGGTTCAAGCATTTCTCCTGCCTCAGCCTCCTGAGTAGCTGGGACTACAGGCCCGTGCCACCTCTCCCAGCTAATTTTTTGAATTTTAGTGGAGACTGAGTTGCACCATGTTGCCTAGGCTGGTCTTGAACTCCTGAGCTCAGGCAATCCGCTCGCCTCAGCCTCCCAAAGTGCTGGGATTACAGGTGTGAGCCACCTCACTGGCCCTATACTTACTATTTGTAATGATCAATTGGATAAATGTATATTGGGGGTTATGAGATTGATGAAGGAGACAGTGGACTAAAGCCATAAGCTGGGAAAATGCATATGGATGTGATGTTGATAGGGAATTTAAAAGAGATAAAGGATATTTCAGTGTTTTATAAGGTACAGCTGTTAAATATCTGAGTAGAAAGTTTCCTTAGGAAGCAGAAGAGTCGTGGAGTTGTAGAGGAGGTAAATTAGGGCCGCATATGTAGATTTGGGTTTAATCTAGGTGAAGGTGATTCTTGAGAGAGGGAATAGGGAACGTATAGGGGAATAAAAGCAGAGTCTTTAGGACGAATTCTTGAGTGATGCCAATGGTTAAGGGGCAGTGAAAAGAGTAATAAACTGCAGATGACAGATAGAAAAAGTGTGTCATCTCTCATTTGAGAGATGAAAGACCAGTCTTAAGGGAAACTGACAGAGGGAGAAGATTCCCAAAGTGCTGGGATTACAGGTGCGAGCCACTGTGCCTGGCCCAGTATGAAAATTCTAAAAAAGATATGGTCAGGAAAGGAGCAAATGTTTCAAGCAGCTCTTGGAAACGCTTTCATATGTTGTATGATTTTTTCTTTTCTTTCTTTCTTTTTTTTTTTTGAGACAGTTTCACTGTGTCGCCCAGGCTGGAGTGCAGTGGCGCAATCTCGGCTTACTGCAACCTTCACCTCCCGGTTCAAGTGCTTCTTGTGCCTCAGCCTCCCAAGTAGCTGGGATTACAGGCACATGCCACCACTCCTGGCTAGTTTTTGTATTTTTGACAGAGATGGGGTTTTGTCATGTTGGCCAGGCTGGTCTCTGAACTCCTGACCTCAGGTGATCTGCCCGCCTCAGCCTCCCAGAGTGCTGGCGTGAGCCACCATGCCCAGCCATCATATCTTGTGTGAGATATTATATATGTTATAGCAATTGACTTGCACCGTGATGTCATCTCTTTCTGAAGGCTAAAGCTATGTTTCAGATAGATATGTAAAATATTTTGAGGCATGGTCTTGCTCTGTCACACGATTACTGCTCATCAAAGCCTTGACCTCCTGGGCTCAAACTGTCTCCCGACCTCAGCCTCCTGAGTAGCTGGTACTACAGGCGTGTGCCACCACGCCTAGCTAATTTTTGTATTTTTTGTAGAGATGGGGTTTCTCCATGTTGTTTAGGCTGGTCTTGAAATTCTGGGCTCAAGTGATCTGCCCATCTTGGCCTCCCAAAGTGCTGGGATTACAGGCGTGAGCCATCATGCCTGGCCCTCACCTTGCTTTTTTCACTTGTGTGTTCTTAAGGGATATGCATAGTGTTTCATGTGGTGCTTTAAATTATTGAGTGGCCCTGTAATCCCAGTACTTTGGGAGGCTGAGGCAGGTGGATCACAAGGTCAGGAGTTCGAGACCAGCCCGACCGACATGGAGAAACCCCGTCTCTACTAAAAATACAAAAATTAGCTGGGCGTGGTGGCACATTCCTGTAATCCCAGCTACTCAGGAGGCTGAGGCAGGAGAACTCGGGAGGTGGAGGTTGCAGTCAGCTGAGATTGCACCGCTGCACTCCAGCCTGGGCGACAGAGCAAGACTCTGTCTCAAAAAAAAAAAAAAAATTGAGTGGCAAGGAAGCTTAAGGCGGTTGTATAATATTTTGGATATTGAGGAGATCACCTTCTTGGTTTTATTAGATTATGATGAAGATGACTATGATGCTGATTGTGAAGACATTGATTGCAAGTTGATGCCTCCTCCACCTCCACCCCCGGGACCAATGAAGAAGGATAAGGACCAGGATTCTATTACTGGTGGTAAGTAGAGATTGTCTACTTTTGTCTGAGGAGCAAGTTTTCATTCCTAAGTCCAGGCTTGTGGCACACACATAAGGGACAAACTTAAGCTTATATGAAGGGACAAAACTTCTAGAAATAATTCATACAATCGCAAATTTTAGTATTAAAGGGAAGTTTTACTTTTAAAACATTTGGCAACAGTATTTTAACATGTGCTCAAGAAATAGTAGTTTAGTCAGTGGTTCTCAAATCTGGCTACCCATCAGAATCACTTAGAATCTTTAAAAAAAAAAAACAAATACCTGACTTTCACCCCTTGAGCCTGATTCAGAAGATCTTGGGTAGAGTCCAGGAATTTAATTAAATTAATTAAAATTTTTTTGAGAAAGAGTCTTGCTGTGTTGTGCAGGTTGGAGTGCAGTAGCACGATCTTGGCTCACTGCAACCTCCGCCTCCCGGGTTCAAGTGATTCTCATGCCTCAGCCTCCAGAGTAGGGGCTGGAACTCCTGACCTCAAGTGATCCGCTCGCCTTGGTCTTCCAAAGTGCTGGGATTACAGGCGTGAGCCACTGCTCCCTGCCGAACCCGGGAATCTTAAAGAGTTTCTTAAGTAATTTATGATACAACTGATCTGTATACTGGTATTTGGAAACTACTTGTTTAGATGGCTTTATTTTAAATGAAGTGGTTAAATTAGGAAGGTGCCCTGGAATGTTGATAAATCAGATAGTGTCAACTACCAGATATTCAGAGATTTCAAAGGCTAGTAGAGTCTTCAGTGTTTATCTTACCTATTCCTATAACAGTAACTGTCCTAGGCTTGAAAACTGGGGAAGAGCAGTGTTTTTGACCTCCTGTATTTTGAGGCTTGTATTAACCTAAATTCTTCCTGTTGGAGTTTTAAGCCATTTCTTTTAACAGTCTGCTAAATGTCAGCTGTTAACTTTGTTTTATAGATCTTATTTATGCCAAAGAACCTTAATGTTGTCCCGTGGGCTTAAAAAAATTCTCCAGCTCATGAGTCTCTGAACTAGGACTACCTGAGTGGTATAAAGTATTACATAGTTTTGCTATTGGTCACAACATTGGTTACAATATTGGTTACTTATCAGAAAGTAGGGCCAGGTGTGGTGGCTCACACCTGTAATCCGAGCACTTTGGGAGGTGGAGGCAGATGATTTGAGGTCAGGAGTTCAAGACCAGACTGGCCAAGATGGTGAAACCCCGTCTCTACTAAAAATGCAAAAATTTAGCCAGCTGTCGTGGCGCATGACTGTAATCCCAGCTACTCAGGAGGTTGAGGCAGGAGAATCACTTGAACCCGAGAGAGAGAGGTTTCAGTGAGCTAAGATCTCACCACTGCACTCCAGCCTGTGCGACAGAGCAAGACTCTGTCTCAAAAAAAAAAAAACAACAAAAAATCGGAAAGTAGTAAATGTAGTAATAGTGTTTGTTTTCTCATCACAACCCTAGGGTACCAGGTACGTGGTGAGTTGGGGGACGATGGGAGATAACGAGTTAGAATGAGTTTTCTGGGTTGCATACTAGTATTATGATTTGGGTGCTTGGGCCTATATCTCCTGGCATTGAGCCATGTGTATAGCCTAAAGTGGGTGTTTGCGGAATTCGAGGAAATATGTTCACAGTTACATGCCAAAGGGGTTTCTCTTCCTTGTTGCAGTGTCTGAAAATGGAGAAGGCATCATCTTGCCCTCCATCATTGCCCCTTCCTCTTTGGCCTCAGAGAAAGTGGACTTCAGTAGTTCCTCTGACTCAGAATCTGAGATGGGACCTCAGGAAGCAACACAGGCAGAATCTGAAGATGGAAAGCTGACCCTTCCATTGGCTGGGATTATGCAGCATGATGCCACCAAGCTGTTGCCAAGTGTCACAGAACTTTTTCCAGAATTTCGACCTGGAAAGGTACATTCTGTGGAGAATGCTCAGATTGCAAACCACTGACCTCTTCCAAATAATGAGTTTTGTTGTTAAGATGCTGAGTATGGAATGGGGTTTCCTTACTCAGTGACATATTATTGGCTACATAAGAGCTCTTCACACTGTATTAGGTCTTTTTTTTAAAGTTGTATGTATTGATAGTAAATGTGATTTATGCTGTTCTCATTGGAAATTTCTCTGTTATCTTAAAAGAACTAGCCCAAATTATTAAGGAACGCTTCTTTACTTTCTTAGACGTTACAAGTCTGAATGCGACACTCCTTTGTTTCTCCCCCACATTTGAAGAGATCTCTCAAGGGAGTTTTCAGGCCCAGATGCTGCTGTTTTCCCATCTGACTTTGAGTCTGTGTCATAGTAATGTATTCTGTGTTCTAGGTGTTACGTTTTCTACGTCTTTTTGGACCAGGGAAGAATGTCCCATCTGTTTGGCGGAGTGCTCGGAGAAAGAGGAAGAAGAAGCACCGTGAGCTGATACAGGAAGAGCAGATCCAGGAGGTGGAGTGCTCAGTAGAATCAGAAGTCAGCCAGAAGTCTTTGTGGAACTACGACTACGCTCCACCACCACCTCCAGAGCAGTGTCTCTCTGATGATGAAGTAGGCAAAATAGAGACCTGAGATTAAGGCCTATGAGAGGAACAAATGAATTCAATGAGTTCTCCCTAATTTATGTCTAAATTGTAAATAATACCATAGCAGATAGAATCTGTGCTAATTTTCAATGAGTAATCATGGGTTCAATCTCAGTGGCTGCCCCTTCCCTATTGTAAAAGAAAAATGTTTGGTGGGGTAGGCGGGGATGAGAGGGGTAGATGGTGATATGCTGCTGAATAAGAAGGTTTGATTGATAGGTGGAATGTGCTATGATACATCTCCATTGTTTACATTCTAACTCCAGGTAAATCATCCTCAGTTTCTCTAAGTTCCCCTCCTGACTGTTAACTCTCTATAGCCTTAGGACATCTGGGATCAGGAAATTCTCCCTGCTCTACTTCTTTCTTCTGTTACAGATCACGATGATGGCTCCTGTGGAGTCCAAATTTTCCCAATCAACTGGAGATATAGATAAAGTGACAGATACCAAACCAAGAGTGGCTGAGTGGCGTTATGGGCCTGCCCGACTGTGGTATGATATGCTGGGTGTCCCTGAAGATGGCAGTGGGTTTGACTATGGCTTCAAACTGAGAAAGACAGAACATGAACCTGTGATAAAATCTAGAATGATAGAGGTGAGCAACACTGGTATGTAAGAAAGGAATCAATGTACTCAGGTCCTATTACTTTTACTAACTTTACTCTTTAATTGGGGAGATACTGGGTGGTAGGGTTTCTTTGGTGGGAGATTGAGGTGTCTCAGCCTTTTATTTGGTATGGTGTATCACCCTGGTAGCTAGGTCCTATTCTAAGGATTCTGTTTGTGAAATGAATGCTGTGCCAGACTAGGAGTGGGAAGAGGCAAATATTCCTCCGTTATCAGGTGGTTGTTTCAAGTAAAGGACCACTTACAATGTGTCTGATGTATCTTTAATGTGGAATTTGGAGTGGAAACCTTGACCAGTGACCAATCAAGGATGTGTTTTTTCTTCCCTACTTACACAGGAATTTAGGAAACTTGAGGAAAACAATGGCACTGATCTTCTGGCTGATGAAAACTTCCTGATGGTGACACAGCTGCATTGGGAGGATGATATCATCTGGGATGGGGAGGATGTCAAACACAAAGGGACAAAACCTCAGCGTGCAAGCCTGGCAGGCTGGCTTCCTTCTAGCATGACTAGGAATGCGATGGCTTACAATGTTCAGCAAGGTGTGCTTCTGTGCCAGCTGTGTCTAGCAGATACTGCCCTTAATCTTAGTCACCATAAGTGGGCTCAGCTGTGATTTTTTTTTTTTTTTTTTTTTTTCGGTGAGACAGAGTTTCGCTCTTGTTGCCCAGGATGGAGTGCAATGGTGCAGTCTCGGCTCACTGCAACCTCCGCCTCCCCAGTTCAAGCGGTTCTTCTGCCTCAGCCTCTGGAGTGGCTAGGATTACAGGCGTGCACCACGATGTCTGACTAATTTTTGTATTTTTAGTAGAGATGGGGTTTCTCCATGTTGGTCAGGCAGGTCTCGAACTCCCGACCTCAGGTGATCACCCGCCTCAGCCTCCCAAAGTGCTGGGATTACAGGTGTGAGCCACCACGCCCGGCTGGCTGTGATGTTCTGAGCTGCCAAGAGATAGTGAAATTTTTAGGATCTGAGGCCTAATTCTAGTCCCTGTAATTTTTATTTTATTTTTATGCTCAACCTGGAGGAAGATAGTCCATGTAATTTTTTGCCCTGTTAAGAAGCTAGGCCAGACTCAGGTTTCTTAAAAACATGTGATAAAGATCTTTTTTTTTTTTTTTTTTTTGAGACGGAGTCTTGCTTGCTCTGTTGCCTGGGCCGGAGTGTAGTGGCGCAATCTCAGCTCACTGCAATCTCTCCCTCCTGGGCTCAGGCGATTCTCCTGCCTCAGCCTCCCGGGTAGCTGGGATTACAGGCATGCGCCACCATGCCCATCTAATTTTGTATTTTTAGTAGCGATGGGGTTTCTCCATGTTGGTCAGGCTGGTCTCGAACTCCCGACCTTAGGTGATCTACCTGCCTCAGCCTCCCAAAGTGCTGGGATTACAGGCATGAGCCACCACGCCTGGCCTGAAGTTAAAGATCTTTCTGAACTATAACAGTACTTTATAGTATATTTTTGTTCCCAAGTCCCTTTGTATTTAGAATTCTAGTTTCCTATTTTTCTCCTTAAATAGGTTTTTTTTTTTAAGGTATGCCATGATTAATGTAAAAAACTTTGAAAATACAGTATAGTGTTAAAGTCACTGGTAATCTATCTGGAGATTATCAACTGTTAAGTTTTGGTGTATTTTCAGTGTTCTGTGTGTGTATGTAGTTGAGCTCATTTCCGTATGTACAGTTTTGCATACTGTGCTTTTCACTTACTAAATATTTTTCTCTCTTTCATTTTTTATTTTTCATTGTTGAGACAGGGCCTCACTTTGTTGCCCAGACTGGTTTCAAACTCCTAGACTCAAGTGATCTTCCTGCCTCGGTCTCCCAAAGTGCTGAGATTACAAGCAAGAGCCACCCCACCCAGCCACATAAATATTTTTGTGTCATTTAGAGTTCTTTATAAAAATGTTTAATGACATGGGAAACTCGTTCATTTTATTTTAATTAAATTATTATTTTTTGTAGAGGTAGAGTCTTGCTATTGTTGGTCAGGCTGGACTCCTGGGCTCAGGTGATCCTCCTGCCTCAGCCTCCCGAGTAGCCAAGACTTCAGGGGCATGCCACCACGTCTGGCTTGAGAAACTCATTTTAAATGGAAATAAAGAAGATATGAAACAACATATATGATATCCTATTAGTGTAAATGAAAAAAAGCAGACTATATAAACATAGAAAGCTGGATTACTTTTATATTTTGGAGGAAAAACAAAATTTTTTCTTTTTTGAGACAAGAGTCTCTGTCGCCCAGGGTGGAATGTGTTGGCGCGATCTTGGCTCACTGCAACATCTGCCTCCCAGGTTGAAGTGATTCTTGTGCTTCAGCCTCCCGAGTAGCTGGGATTATAGGCGTGCACCGCTGTGCCCAGCTAATTTTTGTATTTTTAGTAGAGACGGGGTTTCACCAGGTTGGCCAGGCTGGTCTTGAACTCCTGACCTCAAGTGATCTGCCTGCCTTGGTCTCCCAAAATGCTGGGATTACAGGCGTGAGCCACCACACCCGGATACAAAAATGTCTGATTTTTAAAACCTAAGAAATAGGTTTTTTCCCTTCCATTCTGCCCACTTTATGGGTTATATATTACTATTACGAATGTTTCATAATTTACCGATAACATGTTGCATTTGTTAATACAATTTATTACCATTTATTGTTAGCATACTTTACCATATCATTTATTGTCATAATTTAACCAATTCCTTCTTAAACATTTAGGCTATTTAAATTTCAACTATTATAAACAGTATTGCAGTGGACATTTTTGACTGCAACATTATTTTTATTTATTTATTTTTTGAGACAGAATTTCACTCTTGTTGCCCAGGTTGGAGTGCAATGGCACGATCTCAGCTCACTGCAATCTCTGCCTCCTGGGCTCAGGTGATTCTCCTGCCTCAGCCTCCTGAGTAGCTGGGATTACAGGCATGTGCCACCACACCCAGCTAATTTTTGTATTTTTTGTAAAGATGGGGCTTCTCAATGTTGGTCAGGTTGGTCTTGAACTCCTGACCTGAAGTGATCCACCTGCCTCGGCCTCCCAAAATGCTGTGATTACAGGTGTGAGCCACCGTGCTGAGCCTGCAACATTATTTTAAAGTGAGAAATACACTGTGTAGGTTCCTTTTCAGTGGACACATGAATAACTCCACTAACTCGCTCTACTAACATGAGTAACTCTTTTTATCTTTGCCAGAATCTTGATTGAAAGGGGCATAAATGTTTTCTCTGTTACTATTTCCTCCTTGCACTTTGACTAGGTTTTGCAGCCACTCTTGATGATGACAAACCTTGGTACTCCATTTTTCCCATTGACAATGAGGATCTGGTATATGGACGCTGGGAGGACAATATCATTTGGGATGCTCAGGCCATGCCCCGGCTGTTGGAACCTCCTGTTTTGACACTTGATCCCAATGATGAGAACCTCATTTTGGGTATATTACTGGCAGAGGCCAGTGTTTCTTCTCCTTTGAAAACTTGCTGTTAATGTCAACGGGCAGGAGGAAATCAGAAGGGTTGGAGATGATTAGGACTAGAAACCTGTAGGTAGCGGCTTGAGAGAGCGAAGTTTTGGCTGTTAGTTTATATTATTTGTGTATATGCTTAGGGAACACTCACGTAGGAATGTTGGAAAGTTGCAACTTTGAGATGTCAAGAGCATAGTTTGTTCCGTTAGTGAATCATGGACTCGAAACTTCTAGGTAGCAGTTTGAGAGAGCAAAATTGTGGCAGTTAGTTTTTATTATTTGTGTATTCCCTAGGGAAAACTCATGTAGGACTGTCGGAAAGTAGTACCTTTGAGATGTCAAGCGTGTAGTTCACTTAGTGAATCATGTACTAGAAGTGATTTGGGATGGGATGAAAAGATACAGGTGTAGTTCAGTTAGTAAATCGTGGACTAGAAGTTACCTGGGGGGGGGTGGGATGAAAGGTCTAGTTAAGACCTTCACTGGAACATCCGTCACCTTAAAGAAGAAAACTGGATACTTGTCTGTAGGAAAGGTGAATCTTCAGGGAGAGCAACTCAAGTGATTTTTGTTTTATTCTCAGAAATTCCTGATGAGAAGGAAGAGGCCACCTCTAACTCCCCCTCCAAGGAGAGTAAGAAGGAATCATCTCTGAAGAAGAGTCGAATTCTCTTAGGGAAAACAGGAGTCATCAAGGAGGAACCACAGCAGGTGTGTGAAGAAAAAAGGGGCTTGGTGTTTAGAAGAACAAAGAAAGGTAATAGAGAAGGATAGTCTGACCGAGATTTGTTTGATTATCTATCATTAGAACATGTCTCAGCCAGAAGTGAAAGATCCATGGAATCTCTCCAATGATGAGTATTATTATCCCAAGCAACAGGGTCTTCGAGGCACCTTTGGAGGGAATATTATCCAGGTACAAATAGTGTCTTTTCTGTGATAGAGGAGAACCCCATGGCTTTGTTCTGACGGAGGATATGGGAAAATCTTGCTTAGGATGGAATTAGCTAATTTTAACCCTTCTATTTCCTGTTTTAGCATTCAATTCCTGCTGTGGAATTACGGCAGCCCTTCTTTCCCACCCACATGGGGCCCATCAAACTCCGGCAGTTCCATCGCCCACCTCTGAAAAAGTACTCATTTGGTGCACTTTCTCAGCCAGGTCCCCACTCAGTCCAACCTTTGCTAAAGCACATCAAAAAAAAGGCCAAGGTATAATTGAATTCTGGTTAGAAAACAGCTATAAAGGATATTGGGGTATAAATTAAGGGAATGTACCAGGTATTAGATTGTATTAGGGAATTGGTTATTTTCTCAGATGTGATAGAATGTTATTTTGGTTATTTAGGAGAATGTCTTTATTGTTAGGTGATGCATGTGAAAATATTTAAAGGTGAGGTGTCAGAATGACTGCATCTTTCAAAAACTGTCCAGCAAAGTCTATAGAAAGATAAAAGTTTAAAAAAATGGCGAAATATAAACAGCGACGTGGGATAATAAGTGTTCATAGTACAGTCGTCCTTCGTTATCTCTGGGAGATTGGTTCTAGGACCTTCTCTGGATACCAAAATCTTTAGATGTTCCAGTTTCTGATAAAATAGCATAATATTTGCACATAACCTATGCACATCCTCTCCTATAGTTTAAATCACCTCTAGATTACTTATAATACCTACTCCAATGTAAATGCTATGTGAATAGTTGTTAACACTGTTATTGGTTAGGGAATAATGACAAGAAAAGTCTGTACCTGTTCAGCACAGATGCACTTGTATTTTCTGAATATTTTCTATCTATGGTTGGTTGAAATCACGGATGCAGAACCCATACATGGATATGGAGGGCCGACTGTACTATTCTTTGAACTTTACAGTATGTTTGAAAATTTTGATTATGAAATTGGAAAATAGGTAAAATGTTTTTGGTGTGTTTGTCTCAGATTGAACAACGTCATTGTGTGTAGTAGTGTCCTGTCAGGAGCTAGATGGTATTTTCTTTGTTCTGGACAGATGAGAGAACAAGAGAGGCAAGCTTCAGGTGGTGGAGAGATGTTTTTTATGCGCACACCTCAGGACCTCACAGGCAAAGATGGTGATCTTATTCTTGCAGAATATAGTGAGGAAAATGGACCCTTAATGATGCAGGTTGGCATGGCAACCAAGATAAAGAACTATTATAAACGGGTGAGTCTCTGCTCAGAAAATTTTTTTCCCATACATAATTCTGCTTATGCTTCCATAAACTTTTATGTACAAACTTTTTGTTATTAACATAGCTGTAGTGAGACAAACTGCAAACTTACATACAAATTTTTTATTATTAACGTAGCTGTAGTTAGAGATCTACTGGTAATCTGTGAACATATACCATAAATTTCTTGGGAGAAAGGAGTGGTACCTTTTTTTGTAGTTATAACATGTTGAGCATCTCAAATCTCAAAATTCGAAATCAAAATCCAAAACTTTTTTTTTTTTTTTGAGACTGAATCTTGCTCTTTTGCCAGGCTGGAGTGCAGTGGCATGATCTCCACTCACTGCAACCTCCACCTCCTGGGTTTGGGCAATTCTTCTGCCTCAGCCTCCTGAGTAGCTGGACTACAGGCGTGTGCCACCACACCCAGCTAATTTTTGTATTTTTAGTAGAGACAGGGTTTCATCATGTTGGCCAGGATGGTCTCGATCTCTTAACCTCGTGATCTGCCCGTCTTGGCCTTCCAAAGTGCTGAGATACAGGTATGAGCCACCATGCCCGGCCAATCCTAAACTTTTTGAGCACTATGATGATACTCAAATGCTCATTGGAGCATTTTGGATTTCCAGATTTGGGATGCCCAACTGGTAAGTATAATGCAACTATTCCAAAATCCGAAACACTTCTGGTCACAAGCATTTTGGATGAGGGATACTCAACCTGTATTAGTAAAGTGCTATGGTCATATTGTGTAGGATTATTGATATATTCTAAATAACTGGGTCTTCTGTGTTCCTTATAGAAACCTGGAAAAGATCCTGGAGCACCAGATTGTAAATATGGGGAAACTGTTTACTGCCATACATCTCCTTTCCTGGGTTCTCTCCATCCTGGCCAATTGCTGCAAGTGAGGAATTCTTTCCTGTTTTTACTGTTAACTAAGGAAATTGATAAATGAGGAACCAGTCAGCTCAGAAAGAACTATTATAATTCTAGTTGATTGAGATGCTTTAATTTTAAGTACAAAGAAAATAAGTATAATCCAAAAATGTTTTAAAGAAATCTTTTTCTTAAAACTGGCTGTGAATTGTGTTATTCTCAGGCTAAATGTAAAATAGGTTTTTAAAAATACACACTGGTAAGCTCAGTAACATCTGGGAAGCATAAGGAAGTCAACCTAGGATGAATTTACTATAAATTTACTATAATTTATGAATATTTAATTTTTGTGTATAAAATTGATAACATTTTGATCACATTAGCTGTGGTTATTGTGAATATTGAACCACACCTGAACTGTGCCATCTACAGTCCCCAGCCATAGTGAAATGCTTTTTTTTTCCCTCCTTTGTTCTAATGGGTGTAAAGAGGCTCTCTTATAACAGCTTTTATATATTCAAGGGGGGAAGTATGATGGTCCACAAATGATGTGGAAAATCTCTAGCACTCTCCCATCTTGTTTTTTTTCTCCATTTCATTTCTCTTGGCAATCTTAACCATTTGTCCTACTCTTATACCTAGTTTATTCTACTGTTGTTGTTGTTTATTCTCCTAAAGCATCTGCAAAGCTCAGTTTTTTTCTTTATCCTTTACATTCATAGTCTATTGCTAACCGGATGTTTAGTATCATCTTTGTATTGTTCTTCTCCTTTCCCTGGAACTTTCTGTTGAGGTTTTCTACCAATTCAGCCTCTTCTTTTGTGGCTACTTTTGTAGTCTCTTAAAGATCTTTTTCTGGCCGAGCGTGGTGGCTCACGCCTGTTAATCCCAGCACTTTGGGAGGCCGAGGTGGGCGAATCACCTGAGGTCAGGAGTTCGAGACCAGTCTGACCAACATGGAGAAACTCTGCCTCTACTCAAAATACAAAATTAGCCGGGCATGGTGGCACATGCCTGTAATCCCAGCTACTCGGGAGGCCGAGGCAGGAGAATCACTTGAACCCGGGAGGTGGAGGTTGCAGTGAGCCGAGATCGCGCCATTGCACTCCAGCCTGGGCAACAAGAGCGAAACTCCATCTCAAAAAAAAAAAAAAAAGATCTTTTTCTGTATTCTTCTGTAATTCTTTTTCTGCCTATATTTCACATGTAGAATTTTCTTTCCACACTCAGTGATGGTCTTCCCTCTTTCTGTCTACTCTTCTGATTTTCGGGGAAGGCTTTCCTTAGACTCAGGCTTCTTGTGACAGTTTATCCCTATCTTGCCTCTACTTAAACTGGCTCAAATGTTTCTGTTCAGCTGTCCTCTGTCCTACTGTCTTGTGTTTTCCTTTTGTTTTTTCCCAGCCTATTCTGTCTAGCACTCTTTCTACCTCATTGGTTGTTTTATGATTTATTTGTTTGGAGATAGGGTCTGGCTCTGTGACCCAGGCTGGAGTGCAGTGGCACGATCTTGGCTCACTGCAACTTCTGCCTCCTGGGCTCAAGCCATCCTCCTACCTCAGCCTCCCAAGTAGATGGGACAATAGGCGCACGCCACCACATCCAGCTAATTATTGTATTTTCTGTAGAGATGGGGTTTTGTCATGTTGCCGAGGCTGGTCTTGAACTCCTGAGGTAAAGTGATCTACCTGCCTCGGCTTCCCAAAGTGCTGAGATTACAGGCATGAGTCACTGTGCCCGGCGTTGTTTTGTTTTTTAATTAGTTTAATAATTTATTCAACAAATGTTGCTCTCACACGTTGTGTGTTGGGCTACACTGGGGTCTAGGGTAGTAGTATAGTACTTGGTACATTATGAAGTGATTTTCATATGTAATCTTCATAGCAGTCCTGTGAGGTATAGGCATTTTTAAGTATCTCTGTTTTGTAGATGAGGAAAACTAAACTTAGACATGTTAAATAGCTTAAATAGACATGTTAAATCATAGAGGTAATGGCAGAGCTAGCATCATCTGAATTCACATCCTGTATTTTCTCCCCTACTGACTCTGAAAGATAGTGGATGAAAAATTGTTTAGTCACATTTGATAATCTATATTTTAATTTATTTGTATTACTGGATAGACCTTAGATGGCGTAATTAAGATGGAGAGCAATAAGCTTGGTATTTCTTTCTCAGCAGTTGACTGAATTTCCTAGGGCTACTCTGTATATAATTTTTGTGTTTTTACTTTTGTTAGGCATTTGAGAACAACCTTTTTCGTGCTCCAATTTATCTTCATAAGATGCCAGAAACTGATTTCTTGATCATTCGGACAAGACAGGGTTACTATATTCGGGAATTAGTGGATATTTTTGTGGTTGGCCAGCAGTGTCCCTTGTTTGAAGTTCCTGGGCCTAACTCCAAAAGGGCCAATACGCATATTCGAGACTTTCTACAGGTAAGAATGGGAGGATAGGGAGGGGATTGGGTTGTATACAGAAAGGGTATGTTGGGGCCGGGCATGGCGGCTCATGGCTGTAATCCCAGCACTTTGGGAGGCCGCGGTGAATGGATCACTTGAGGTCAGGAGTTCGAGACCAGCCTGACCATCATGGTGAAACCCTGTCTCTACTAAAAATACAAAAATTAGCTGGGCGTGGTGGCTCACGCCTGTGATCCCAGCACTTTGGAAGGCCGAGGTGGGCGGATCACCTGAGGTTGGGAGTTTGAGACCAGCCTGACCAACATGGAGAAACCCCGTCTCTACTAAAAATACAAAATTAGCCAGGCGTGGTGGCACATGCCTGTAATCCCAGCTACTCAGGAGGCTGAGGCAGGAGAATCGCTTGAACCTAGGAGGCGGAGGTTGCAGTGAGCCGAGATCGCACCACTGCACTCCAGCCTGGGCAACAAGAGTGAAACTCAGTCTCAAAAAAAAAAAAAAAATTTAGCCAGGCATGGTGGCGCACGCCTATGGTCCCAGCTACTCTGGAGGCTGAGGCAGGAAAATCACTGGAGCCCGGGAGGCAGAGGTTGCAGTGAGCTGAGATCAAGGCACTGCACTCTACTCTGGGTGACAGAGCGAGACTCCGTCTCAGAAAAAGTAGGCTGTGTGGGTTTGGGAGCACATCGGGAAAGATGAAAATACATTAGAGCTTAGCAAAGGAAGAGGCCCTAGTGAGGACTTTTATCCTTTTCTTTGCCAAATAAAATACACTTGGTTTGTTGGGCAGGTTTTTATTTACCGCCTTTTCTGGAAAAGTAAAGATCGGCCACGGAGGATACGAATGGAAGATATAAAAAAAGCCTTTCCTTCCCATTCAGAAAGCAGCATCCGGAAGAGGCTAAAGCTCTGCGCTGACTTCAAACGCACAGGTCGTCTGTTGTGACTAGTTATTTGTCTGCCTTTTTCCAAGAAAAGAATTTTGATGGCTTTGAGTTAAAGGATAAGCATATAGTTAATAAAATAGAAATTGATGGCTGTTGAAAGGAGGTAGCAGATCTTCTAACACTCTGGTTGCTTTTTTGAATTTGGCTGCCAGGAAGTTTAATGTGATTGTTGGATATCTTCTATGAGTTGTAGGAAACTTAGCAGCTGGGGTTTTCTTGGCCAGTCATGCCAACTGTGGCTAGGCCTGTTACAGTTTTGGTTTGCTGTCCCTGTTGCTGTCAATAAATATCAGGGCCTTTGGAATTCAGAATGGTCTCATTCTCTATGTATATGTCTTTTCCAGGGATGGACTCAAACTGGTGGGTGCTTAAGTCTGATTTTCGTTTACCAACGGAAGAAGAGATCAGAGCTATGGTGTCACCAGAGCAGTGCTGTGCTTATTATAGCATGATAGCTGCAGAGCAACGACTGAAGGTGAACACCTTCCTCTTAGACACCACTTATGCCTGTGGTTTTTTGTTTTTTTTTTTCTTCCCCCCAGAGAGATGAGAGAGAAGATTCTTTCTCTGACTGGCTTAGGGAGGATGGTTTACTAGATTATTACCAATTACTAAAAAGTTCAATTTGTATAAAGTACTTCTACGTACATCAGTTCTGGAGAAAAACTATAGTGTAGCTAAGTATCAGTGGGAAGGCATAATGAGGAACTTTGGGCATATTGTTTTGCTTTGAAAATGGTGACTGGGTGACTTTAATCTCTTCTTTGCAAGATAAGCATATAAGCAGGGAAAGTACTTGTCAGCCTCTCAGGTAGGCAGAGATGATGATGGTGCTGAATGTGTGGTTTAGAGAAGCACAGAATTCTTATAAGGCCAAAAGAGAAAAGGTCCAGCTGAGGTGTGACAGCACAGCTCTGTCCCACTGAGTTAATGAGACTCAGTTATTGAGCATCTCTGTTCAGCTTGCTTATGGGCTGTAACTATCTGTATATCAGCTAGTAAGCTCCTTGGCATGTTGTAATGTATCTTATAGCTTAAGGATGTGCCGTGGTGTTAGATATAGTGAAGACTTTATGGAATCCATCTATGCAAAATAGACTTTGGTATTCTGTACTTGTATTCAGTAAAAAAAAAACTTGTGCTTTGTGTTTTTTAACTGACTGATTTATGCATGGATCTGTCCTCTTCCAGGATGCTGGCTATGGTGAGAAATCCTTTTTTGCTCCAGAAGAAGAAAATGAGGAAGATTTCCAGATGAAGATTGATGATGAAGTAAGGCTTTATACTAGTTTGTATTAGTCATTAATACATCTCATTTATCCTTTTAAAAGAGACAGCTTTATTGAGATAACATAAAATAAACTGTACACATTTAAAGTATACTGTTAGATGTTCTTGCTTTATTCATGCCAGAAAAAATGATGCGATATATCAAATATTATATTTTATATGATATGGGTTTGTTTTTTTTTGTTTGTTTTGTTTTTTGACAGAATCTTGCTCTGTCACCCAGGCTGGAGTGCAGTGGTGGCATGACCTCGACTCACTGCAACCTTCACCTACCGGGGTTCCTGCAATTCTCGCGATTCTCCTGCCTCAGCCTCCCGAGTAGCTGAAATTACAGTTGCACGCCACCATGCCCAGCTAATTTTTTGTATTTTTAGTAGAGATGGTGTTTCACCATGTTGGCCAGACTGGTCTTGAGCTCCTGACCTCAAGTGATCCTCGTGCCTTGGCCTCCCAAAGGGCTGGGATTACAGGCATGAGTCACTGCACCTGGCAGGATTTTCATTTCTTCTAGAAAAAAGACTTTGACCTGATTTATAAGACTTCACATGATTTGGGCCTTGCATATTAATCTGACCTCCTTTCATCTCCTGTCACTGCCTGTCTTATATTCTAAGCTCCAACCATACCGAAGTTCATTCAGTTTCCTAAATTTCTCTTCCCTTTCAGAATTTTTCAGTTATGTCTTCTACTGAGATATTTTTTCTCCACTCCTCTGCCATTTGACTCTCATCTACAAGTTATTTTCTCTGGGAAGCTTTCCTGGACTTTTCCCCTCATTCCACCCTGGATTTCGATTGGATGATAATTCTCCTTTCATTATGTACATATAGTACCCCTTTACTTTTTTCTTTCCCAAGATAGGGTCTTGCTCTGTTACCCAGGCTGTACCGTGGTGAGATCACAGCTCACTGTAGCCTTGAACTCCTGGGCTCAAGCAGTCCTTCTATCTCAGCCTCCCGAGTAGCTGGGACAACAAGCACACACCACCACACCCAGCTAATAGTTTAAATTTTTTGTAGAAATGTCTCACGGCCGGGCGCGGTGGCTCATGCCTGTAGTCCCAACACTTTGGGAGGCCGAGGCGGGCAGATCACCTGAGGTCAGGAGTTCGAGACCAGCCTGGCCAACATGGTGAAACCCTGACTCTACTAAAAATACAAAATGAGCCGGGCGTGGTGGCGTGCGCCTGTAATCCCAGCTACTTGGGAGGCTGAGGCAGGAGAATCACTTGAACCTGGGAGGTGGAGGTTGCCGGGAGCTGAGACCACGCCATTGTAGTCCAGCCTGGACTAAAAGAACGAATCTCCATCTCAAAAAAAAAAAAGAAAGAAAGAAATGGGATCTTACTGTGTTGCCCAGGCTGATTTTGAACTCCTAGGCTCAAACGATCGTCCTGCCTTGGCCTTCTAAAGTGTTGGGATGATAGGCATGAACCACTGTGCCTGGCCTCTACTTTCTTCCCGTGGCACTGATCACATAGTACTGAACTTGGTTGGCTGTTTTTCCCTCACTAACTTGAGGTTCATGAAAAAGTAGTATGGAGGAGTAGTGTGTAGTTGGTATTCAATAAATATTTGTTAAATGAATTAAGTGATTATAAAATGAAGCAGAAAATGAGGCCACACAGAGTGAGTAAAGAATCGTTGTACTACTCTCTTGAGGTTGGAATGAAAAATGAGTGGATATCTAAGAATTTCAGAAATTAAGAATTCTTTTGAGGCCAGGCGCAGTGGCTCAGGCCTGTAATCATAGCATTTGGGGAGGCCAAGGTGGGAGGGTTACTTGAGGCCAAGGGTTCAAGACCAACCTGGCCAACATAGTGAGACCCTGTCTCTAAAAAAGAAAAACAATTTTTTTTAAATTAAAAATAAAAAAAGAATTCTGTTGAATGGCTTTCCAGATTGAACCTTAGAGAATGGCCATTTTCTTGCTAATCATATATACTCTTTTTTTTTTTTTTTTTGAGACAGAGTCTCACTCTGTCTCCCAGGCTGGAGTGCAGTGGTGCAGTCTGCTGACTGCAACCTCTGCCTGCTGGGTTCAAGCCATTCTCGTGCCTCAGCCTTCTGAGTAGCTGGGACTATAGGTGTGCGCCACCACGCCTGGCTAATTTTTGTACTTTTAGTAGAGATGGGGTTTCACCATGTTGGCCAGGCTGGTCTTGAACTCCTGGCCTCAAGAGATCTGCCCGCCTCAGCCTCCCAGAGTGTTGGGATTACAGGTGTGAGTCACCACACCTGGCCTCATGTACTCCTGACTGGTCTGTGTGGGCAGGCACATTCACCCCTTGGCTTAATTCTTTAAGAATCTTGCAGGGGTTGGTAAACACTATTCAGGGTCCCAGGAGAGGACAGACCTTTTTGACCAAACCAGTGGCAGAAATAGAATGGACTTTGGTTTAGTGTCACTGGAAAAGGGGCCAATGCTTTGAAAGCAAGCATGTCAAGTATTTCGAGAAAATAGGTTTCATTCTAAAACAGCTGTTTGAGCAATTGGACAATCAAATGTAGTCATTAGTCTAATTTTGAGCATCATGAGGGTGAGGGAAACACTGTCCTTAAGAATGTTTATTGAAGCCCAAGGGATAAGGGGCTGAAGGGATACCACTGTTCTTTATTTTTCTCCTTATCCTGCCTGAGCTCTTGACCTCTATTTAATATCATGTTGTAAGTATTGTACCATAGGATAGAAGAGAACTGAGTACTAGGTAGCTATATTTAACTGTTGATTTTTGTGGACAGTTTAAGAGAGCATGAACCCACAGAAATTAAAAATTAGAAAAAAAGAACATGAAAATAGTTTGTAATTATTCTACTCTTGTAGATATTGGCTAGACATAGAACAAATGTTTCCCACTGCCCTGAGAATCTTTTTCTTTATCTCAGGTTCGCACTGCCCCTTGGAACACCACAAGGGCCTTCATTGCTGCCATGAAGGGCAAGTGTCTGCTAGAGGTGACTGGGGTGGCAGATCCCACGGGGTGTGGTGAAGGATTCTCCTATGTGAAGATTCCAAACAAACCAACACAGCAGAAGGTGAGATTGTGTTTATTTCTAGAATGAAAAAGTCAAGGGAGAAAGAAATGGGTGAGTGGAGGACTTGGAATGTAGTTAAGGTAGCAGAATGACTTAGATGCCTACTTAAAAGGAATTCAGGTTTTTAGGAGTCTCACTTTTTTTTGTTTGAGGTAGGATGATAAAGAACCGCAGCCAGTGAAGAAGACAGTGACAGGAACAGATGCAGACCTTCGTCGCCTTTCCCTGAAAAATGCCAAGCAACTTCTACGTAAATTTGGTGTGCCTGAGGAAGAGGTGAGTGTGGAAGTGGAAAATTTAGAGTATACTAGGGGCTTTGTATAGAGTTGGAATTGCTAGGAGGCAGATGTAAAGAACTATCTGGGGAACTTTATTGTAGGGTATAGTAAGCTAAGTCTTAGATATTGTTTTAGGAGTTATCTTTCTATGTAATCTGCTTTGGGGTGATTTTTCTTTTTTGGTCTAACTGTGTACATTGGCTTGTCCTTTGAAATCCCTGAATGATTTGTGTGTGTGTGTGTGTGTGTGTGTGTGTGTGTGTGTGTGTATATTTATATTTGTGTGTGGCTATTTGTCTCGTAGATTAAAAAGTTGTCCCGCTGGGAAGTGATTGATGTGGTGCGCACAATGTCAACAGAACAGGCTCGTTCTGGAGAGGGGCCCATGAGTAAATTTGCCCGTGGATCAAGGTTTTCTGTGGCTGAGCATCAAGAGCGTTACAAAGAGGAATGTCAGCGCATCTTTGACCTACAGAACAAGTGGGTCGTTTTAGTGCTGCAGAAAATCCAAGCTGGAAAGGGGGAGGAGTTCCAGGCACTATTTCATAATAAAGAGGAGGTCACCTAAAAGTTTGACTACCTAGGTAGTCAGATATCTGACATGTCAGGGTAGTATATGTTTGTAATCCCACCACCAGATTACCTATTCCCTTCAACCCAACTTGGCAAAATTTTTGAACAGAAGGAAACGCTAGTCTTGTGTTCTAGGTTCCATGACAACTTTTATGGCCTACTTGGGCCTAACAAATAGCACAATGGTAGCAGGTGACAGGTAGGGCTTTTTTCTAAAGGTTTAGTTGTGAGAGGATGTTAATACACTATTAAAAATGACCAGTGTGCTGATTTATTTATCAAGTTGTCTCCAGGAATTCTGAAAGAGTTACTACAATTTTTCAAACTTATCTTGTTGACCAAATGTCTAGGAAAACTTTGTAAAGCTTTTCTGTTAAGGGCCCCATGTCTTAGTGGATTTTGAGTATGCCTTTTTAAGGTTGATTTCCCAATTTTTTACTTTTGCCTGCAACCATATTTCTTTAGTTCTTTCTGCACATTGCTTTTTCTCTTTTTAGGGTTCTGTCATCAACTGAAGTCTTATCAACTGACACAGACAGCAGCTCAGCTGAAGATAGTGACTTTGAAGAAATGGGAAAGAACATTGAGAACATGTTGCAGAACAAGAAAACCAGCTCTCAGCTTTCACGTGAACGGGAGGAACAGGAGCGGAAGGAACTACAGCGAATGCTACTGGGTGAGGATCTTGGCTTCACAGACAGATAAAAAAGAGAAGGGTTAAAAAAGGAGCCTACGTAACTGCAGACTGTAATTGAGGGAGATCTGGAGGCAGAAGATGTAAGGGATGCATGTAGAAAAGTCTGTGAATGAAGTAGAAAGCTTTTTACAAACTGGACTCTAGGATTGTCTGTGGAGGACCAATTGCAGAGATGATGCCACTCCACTAACTGCCTCTGTATCAGGTGCCTGGCCAAGCCTGGGCTATTAGTGCTGTACTTCAAATGAGCTTTTTGTGCATTTATCCTAGAGGGTAAGAGTTTTTAATACAGAATTTGTAAATGAATTTAGGGAGTTATCTTTGAAACTTCTGAAATTACATGTAAAATATGTAAATGTGCATTTTATTATTTTTTTATTTTGGAGACAGGGTTTCATTCTGTCACCCAGGCTGGAGTGCACTGGTGTGATCTTAGCTTACTGCAGCCCCCGCCTCCCAGGCTCAAACGATCCTCCTGCCTCAGCCTCCTGAGTAGCTGGGACTATAGGTGCATGCCACCATGCCTGGCTAATTTTTGTATTTTGTATTCCTCCTGCCTCAGCCTCCTGAGTAGCTGGGACTATAGGTGCGTGCCACCATGTCTGGCTAATTTTTGTATTTTATAGAAAATGTTGCCCAGGATGGTGTCGAACTCCTGAGCTCAAAGTGATCCGCCTGCCTCAGCCTCCCAAAGTGTTGGCATTACAGGCGTGAGCCACTGCGCCTGGCCTTAAATGTGCATTTTCTGAGAACATTCATGGCTTTCAGAAGACCCTCAGAAGGAGTCTTAGACCATAAAAAGAGTTTTAAAATTGTAGAAATTGAGGGTGGGAATAATAAAGACCTGAATTGGGTTGGGATATGGAGGGCATTAAGGATGAAAATCAAGGCAACCTTAAGATTTCACTCTGGGATTACTAGAAAGATGTTGGTACCATTGATTAAAGTAGTGAATTTCAAGGTCTGACATGCTGGCTCATGCCTGTAATGCTAGCACTTTGGGAGGTCGAAGTGAGAGGATCATATGAGCCCCGGAGTTTGAGACCAGCCTGGGCAACATGGTGAAACCCTGTTTCTACAGAAAATACAAAAATTAGATGTGGTGGCAGGCACCTATAATTCCAGCTACTCGGGAGGCTGAGGTGGGAGGATCGCTTGAGCCTGGGAGGCAGAGGTTGCAGTGAGCTGAGATTGCGCCACTGCATTCCAGCCTGGGTGACAGGGTGAGACCCTGTCTCAAAAGAAGTTAGGAAGGGAATGTGTAATATGTGGAGTTTGAGGTCCCTTTGACACCCTTGAAGTATACATGTTAAAGAGGCAGTTGAAAACTTGGTTGTTGATACTGCGAGAGAGGATAAAGGCTGATGATGAAGATTTATATGGCTTCTCAGTCACAGTAGTCTTCCCTTTGTTTCCTCTTTTCTGTAAAAGTTTTGTGTAATTTCATTGTTTTGGGTCCTTTGTAAAAATGTGATATAGCCCTTCCACCAATGTGGTCATCTATGTTTTCTAGTATAGTCCTGGAACACAGTATCTGTATCATTTGGGAATTAGAAATGTGGAATCTCAGGCCTCACTCCACATCTACTAAATTAGAACCTACATTTGCAGCCGGGTGTGGTGGCTCACACCTGTAATCCCAGCACTTTGGGAGGCTGAGGCAGGCGGATCACCTGAGGTCAGGAGTTTAAAACCATCTTGGCCAACATGGTGAAACCCCATTTGTACAAAAATTAGCCGGGCATGATGGTGGGTGCCTGTAATCCCAGCTACTTGTGAGGCTGAGGCAGGAGAATCGCTTGAACCCGGGAAGCAGAGGTTGCAGTGAGCTGAGAGTACGCCATTGAACTTTACCCTGGGCGACAGAGTGAAACTCCGTCTCAAAAAAAAAAAAAATAACCTACATTTGAACAAGATCCTCAGGTGATTCCTATTCATATTAATGTTTGAGAAGCTTATGTTAGGCTTTAAGACTCGGAACTTGTTTTTTGTAGTGCCATTTTCCCCCCCGAGTTGCGTGCTTGGGTACTTTTTTTTTTTTTTTTTGAAACAGGACCTCATTCTGTTGCCCAGGCTGGAGGGCAGTGGTGCAACCATGGCTTGTTTACTGCAGCCTCAACCTCCTGGGCTCAAGGGATCCTCCCACCTCAGCCTCCTGAGTAGCTGGGACCACAGGTGTGTACCACCACACCTGGCTAGTTAAATTTGTAGAGACAGTGTCTTCTCTGTTGACCAGGCTGGTCTCAAACTCCTGGGCTCAAGTGATCCTCCCACCTTAGCCTCCCCAAATGCTGGGATTATAGGCATGAGCCACTGTACTCGGCCTTGTGTGCTTTTATCTGTAATGTGATCATCACCCACTTCCTACATGGTCTTTTCTCTTGCACTGTTGTTCAGAGGAATCTGCTTCTCTATCTCCTATAGCAAACATGTAGTTCTTTGAGGTTTTTTCAGAACTTTTTGTACTTACAAAAGTTGGGAAATTGGCCAGGCGTGTGGCTTAGGCCTGTAATCCCAGCATGTTGGGAGGCCAAGGCTGGCCTATCTCTTGAGCCCAGGAGTTAGAGACCAGCCTAGGCAATGTGACAAGACCCCGTCTCTACAAAAATTTAGCTGGGTGTGGTGGTACACGCCTGTAGTCCCAGCTACTCAGAAGGCTGAGCTGGGAGGATGGATTGAGCCTGGGAGGTGGAGGTTGCAGTGAGCCGAGATTGCACCACTGTACTCCAGCCTGGGCAACAGAGCGAGAGAGATCCTGTCTCAAAAAAAAAAAAAAAAAAAAAAAAGTGGGGAAATTGGCAGTGCCTAAAATGAAGTCAGGAAAGGACAAATCAGCATATTCTTGGGGCTGATGATGACTTTGATGCTTTTTGTAGAACCATAGTTTTGTGGCATGTTGAACTTTGATAGCTCCACTCAATCCCAAGAAAATGATCATTTGGGAGATAAGGGGAACGTTTGGAAATCTTTTCTACCTACCTTGCAGCAGCAGGCTCAGCAGCATCCGGAAACAATCACAGAGATGATGACACAGCTTCCGTGACTAGCCTTAACTCTTCTGCCACTGGACGCTGTCTCAAGATTTATCGCACGTTTCGAGATGAAGAGGGGAAAGAGTATGTTCGCTGTGAGACAGTCCGAAAACCAGCTGTCATTGATGCCTATGTGCGCATACGGACTACAAAAGATGAGGAATTCATGTGAGTTTGATTTACCACTTCCTTTTTTTTCTTTGAGGACAGAGTCTTGCTCTGCGGCCCAGGTGGAGTGCAGCGGCGTGATCTTGGCTCATTGCAACCTCCATCTCTCAGGTTCAAGTGATTCTCATGCCTCAACTTCCAGAGTAGCTGGGATTACAGACATGCACCACCATGCCCAGCTAATTTTTGTATTTTTGGTAGAGATGGGGTTTTGCCATGTTGACCAGGCTGGTGTTGAACTCCTGGGCTCTAGCAATCTGCGTGCCTCAGCCTCCCAAAGTGCTGGGATTACAGGCATGAACCACGGCACCTGGCCTGATTCACCACTTTCGAGTGTGATAGGGAGAATAGTAATAATGGTGGGGAATGGTGATTGGGGTGGGTGCTTGAATTTTAGTGACAGGATTCTTCACAGTTATTTCTAGAACTCTGCTGTAATTGAGAACTATCTTGCCTTTAGATTGGGTTTGAATAGAGCCAAATTACAGGGAAAATTCTATTCGGTATTTGCCACGAGATGAAGGCATGTTTTGTTCCATTTTGGTCCTTTGCATTTTGATTGGTTGGTTTGCAAAAATCTTAGAGATTACTGGCCGGGCGCGGTGGCTCACGCCTGTAATCCCAGCACTTGGGGAGGCTGAGGCGGGCGGATCACGAGGTCAGGAGTTCGAGACCAGCCTGACCAACATGGTGAAACCCTGTCTCTACTGAAAGTACAAAAATTAGCTGGGTGTGGTGGCATGCACCTGTAATCCCAGCTACTCAGGAGGCTGAGGCAGGAGAATCGCTTGAACCTGGGAGGCAGAGGCTGCAGTGAGCCAAGATCTCGCCACTGCACTCCAGCCTGGGCGACAGAGGGAGACTCCGTCTCAAGAAAGAAAAAAAAAAAAAAACCTTAGAGATTACTCAGGACTTATTCTAAGAGAGTTACCTCTGCAAATGGAGGGCTGACTAGGGAGGGAGATGGGAATGGCATGTAGCCCCTTTTATCTTAGCCTGGATGGATTACTTTAGTCCTGAGATGTTAGCTATCACGATAGTCTTCTTGGTTAAGGTTTGCTTATGGTCCTGTGATTTTTCTTCCTCTGCTGCTCACACTGTTCAGTCGAAAATTTGCCCTTTTTGATGAACAACATCGGGAAGAGATGCGAAAAGAACGGCGGAGGATTCAAGAGCAACTGAGGCGGCTTAAGAGGAACCAGGAAAAGGAGAAGCTTAAGGGTCCTCCTGAGAAGAAGCCCAAGAAAATGAAGGAGCGTCCTGACCTAAAAGTAAGTATAATGTGGTGTGATTACAGCTAACGGAGCAAAGGAAGAATGTATACCTTTTCCTTTAGCTTTTGATATCCTCCTTTACTGGGAATGAGGGAAGTATATTGTGGAAAGCTGGTTTGAATTGATGTGACTACTTGGGGGTGTTCTCAATACTAATGTGAGTGGTATTGACAATTCCACACCAAATCTGGTGCTATTGTTCTCTCTCTCTTTTTTTTAGACAGGGTCTGGCTCTGTTGCCCAGGCTGGAGTGCACTGGCATGATCTCGGCTCACTGCAGCCTCTGCCTCCTGGGCTCAAGCCATCCTCCTACCTCTGCTTCCCAAGTAGCTGGGACTACAGGCACGTGCCACCACACCCAGATAATTTTTGTATTTTTTGTAGAGACCGGGTTTTGCCATGTTGCCCAGGCTAGTCTCAAACTCCTGAGCTCAAGTGATCCTCCCACCTTGGCTTCCCAAAGTGCTGGGATTGCAGGCGTGAGCCACCATGCCCGGCTTGTCATTTATTCTCTTTTTTTTTTTTTTTTTTTTTGAAACAGAGTCTCACTCTGTTGCCCAGGCTGGAGTGCAATGGCGCGATCTCAGCTCATTGCAGCCTCCGCCTCCTGGGTTCAAGCGATTTTCCTGCCAGAGCCTCTCGAATAGCTGGGATTACAGATGTCTGCCACCATGCCTGGCTAATTTTTTGTATTTTTAGTAGAGACGAGGTTTCACCATTTTGGCCAGGCTGGTCTCGAACTCCTGACCTGGTGATCTACCAGCCTCCACCTCCCAAAGTGCTGGGATTACAGGCATAAGCCACCACGCCTGGCTTGTTATTTATTCTTTTTTTTTTTTTTTTTTTTTTGAGACAGTGTCTCACTCTGTTACCCAGGCTGGAGTGCAATGGCGCAATCTCAGCTCATTGCAACCTCCACCTCCTGGGTTCCAGCGATTCTTGCGCCTCAGCCTCCCAAGTAGCTGTGCTACCAGGCATGTGCTACCATGCCCAGCTAATTTTTTTTTTGAGACAGAGTTTCGCTCTTGTTGCTCAGGCTGGAGTGCAGTGGCGCCATCTCAGCTCCCTGCAACCTCCACCTTCCCGTTTCAAGCGGCAATCCTGCCTCAGCCTCCCGAGTAGCTGGGATTACAGGCGCCCGCCACCACGCCCAGCTAATTTTTGTATTTTTAGTAGAGATGGGGTTTCACCATGTTGGCCAGGCTGGACTTGAACTCCTGACCTCAGGTGATCTGCCCACCTCGGCCTCCCAAAGTGCTGGGATTACAGGCATGAGCCACCATGCCTGGCCTTATTCTTTATCTGAAATATTTTCTAGGAGTTGAGATAGGTTTGGTAGGTTTTTTTTTGTTTGTTTGGTTTTTTTAGAGACAGAGTCTTGCTTAATCGCTCAGGCTGGAGTGCAATGGTGTGATCTCCACTTACTGCAACCTCCGGCTTCCAGGTTGAAGAGATTTTCGTGCCTCAGCCTCCCGAGTAGCTGGGATTACAGGCGTGCACCACCATGCCTGGCTAATTTTTTGTATTTTTAGTAAAGACAGGGTTTTACTATGTTGGCCAGGCTAATCTCAAACTCCTGGCTTCAAGTGATCCTCCCACCTTGGCCTCCCAAAGTTCTGGGATTACACGCATGAGCCACTGCTTTTGGCCCAAGTTTGGTAGGTTTTTTAACATGTACTTTCATGTCTGTTGTCTGTGTGTATATATTTTTAAATATGTACCTTTAAAATATTGTACATATTAAAAGAAGCAACAAAAGTAAAACATACAAGTTGTTTTCCATAACTTAGGATCACAGATACTACTGTGATTGTAATAAGCATCCTAAGATGAGGCAGTTGTGGTACAGTGGAAAGAGCCATGAGCTTGGAAACGGAAGATCTGAATTCAGGTTCTGTTTCTGCCATTTAATAGGTCTGTGACCTTAACCTCTCCAAACTTGTTTTCTCTAATATCAAATGATATGTCCACAGTGTTGTTGTATTAAATGATATAATTCAGGGGAAGCACTTTATAAACTATAAAATATTCAACAAATGAAACTGTTCTTAATGCATACTGAGGTCATTAAGTGTTTTAATGTTCCTTTTTGTATGTGGCATTAGATAAGTGTGATACAGTATTGGCCCCATTTTACAGATGAAACTGAGGTCTAGGATACCAGAGCTACTCATTTGCAAAACTGAGATGGAGACTTGGTGTCATCGAACCTTTTTCTTGTTTTGACTAGAGAATGGGAATACACCCAGCAGGCTGATGATGCTGCTGAATGTAGATGGGCTTCCAACAGCTTGTCTCCTGCATATTTAATATTTTCATAGTTTACAACTTAAATTGGGAGTGGAAATCTTCTCTTTATTCTTCTTACCTGATTTTTAAAGCAATGTTTAGTCTCTGGATTTCATTTTTTTTCTATGTGTCATTTCCATACATGCAGATTTGTCTAGTGGCTTCTGGTTGATCAGTGCATAACAATTCTATTAGAGCAAAAGTTCTGAAGCTGACTTTGTTTTTCCCATCTTGTATGTACAGTTGAGCTTTGAACAACATAGGTTTGAACTGCATGGTTCCACTTATGCGTGGATCGTGGTACGTGGAGCCTGTGTATATGGAGGGCTGGCTTTTTGTATATATGGGCTTCACTATGTGTGGATTTTGGTATACTTGGGGGTCCTGGAACCAATCCCCTGCATATACTGAGGGATGACTTTATTTCTTACCTGCTTATCTCTGATATGTGTTTCAGCCTACTTACCTCTGACGTGTTTGATACTTTTCCTTTTGCAGCTGAAATGTGGGGCATGTGGTGCCATTGGACACATGAGGACTAACAAATTCTGCCCCCTCTATTATCAAACAAATGCGCCACCTTCCAACCCTGTTGCCATGACAGAAGAACAGGAGGAGGAGTTGGAAAAGACAGTCATTCATAATGATAATGAAGAACTTATCAAGGTTGAAGGGACCAAAATTGTCTTGGGGAAACAGCTAATTGAGAGGTAAGAGATACCAGGCAGGAAGTGCTATGGGACAGATTTATTTGAGGTTGGTTATATTGGTGGCTGGCAGGGGTAGATGTGATGTGTTCTCTGAAGTGGAACTGAAGGAACAGGAATTTTGATGGCGTTTCCTCAGTTATTGTTGCCAGTAATGAAAATTATAGCGCTGATTAGGTTGTACCACTTGTTTTGGAGCATGCTGCCTAACTTCTGAGTCTGTTTCCTTAGTTACAAAATAAAACCACCTTTACCAGGATAGTTAAGAAGATAAAATGAGACAGACTACAAAGCATACAGTACAGTGCCTGACATATAGTAGATGTCAGTTATCTCTTCTTGTTCTACTTCTAGACACTTATAATATTTGCAAGGTCCCTAATCTTGTTGTGTTTTTTTTGAGACAAAGTGTTGCTCTGTTTTCCAGGCTGGAGTGCAGTGGCTCACTGCCACCTCTGCCTCCTGGGTTCAAGCGATTCTCACGCCTCAGCCTCCCGAGTAGCTGGGATTACAGGCGCACGCCACCACGCCCGGCTAATTTTTGTATTTTTGTAGAGATGGGGTTTCGTTATGTTGGCCAGGCTGGACTCAAAACTCCTGACCTCAAGTGATCCGCCTGCCTAGGCCTCCCAGAGTGCTGGGATTACAGGCGTGCTGGGATTACCATGCCCGGCCTAATTTTTGTATTTTTAGTAGAGACAGGGTTTCGCCATGCTGGTCTCAAACTCTTGTCCTCAAGTGATTCTCCCACCTCGGCCTCCCCAAGCGTTGGGATTACAGGCGTGAGCCATCACTCCCGGCCTCGTAGTGTTCTAATAAAGGACCATCCCAAAAGATGGATGAGACATAGAAACTGTGCTTATACTTGTGTCTTGCCCTCAGAGAGTTTAATAGATAATAAAATGGAGAAGTTGTAAAGTTCTTTCCCCTAACTTTTTAGTTTGAAAATGGCAAAACCTACAGAAAAGTTGAAAGAATATAATATATAATTCCTCTAAATTCACTAATTGTTAACGTTTTGTCACATTTGCTTCATCTTTATATACCTAAAACTTTTTTTTCCTAAATCATTTGGAACTAAGTTGCAGGCATCATATTTCACTCCTAAGAAAGTTAACATTAATGTAATAATATATAATATTCAGGTCTCATTTAGTCTTCCCTAGTTGTCTCAGTGTCTTTTATTGCTTCCGTCCCCAGTTCTGGATTCAATCCCAGTTCAAACATTAAATATATTTTGAATCTCTCTTAATCTAGAATGATTTTCCCTACCTTTTATGTTTTCCTTTTCTTTTCTTTCTTTTTTTTTTGAGATAGGGTCTGGTTCTATTACCCAGGCTGGAGTGCAGGGGCATGATCTCAGCTCACTGCAACCTGCGCCTCCCAGGTTTAAGTTATCCTCTCACCTCAGCATCCGGAGTAGTTGGGACTACAGGTGTGCAGTACCACACCTGGCTAATTTTTGTATTTTTTGTAGAGACAGGATTTTGCCATGTTGCCCAGGCTGGTCTCAATCTCCTGGGCTCAAGCAGTCCTCCTGCCTCAGCTTCCCAAAGTGCTGTGACTACAGGCATCAGCCACTGCACCCAGCCCCATTTATGTTTTTCATGACATTGAATTTTTTGAAGATTCCAGGCCAATTGCCTCAAAATATTCCATATTCTGGAATTGTCTGTTCTCTCATTGATCAGATTCCAATTAAATGTTGTTGGCAAGACATTTAATGTCATATTTAGGTGATATGCTTACTGTACTATATCAGCAAGCACATAATGTCAGGTTTTCCCACTGTTTTGATCATCTTGTTAAAGTGGTGATCCTCAGATCCTATAATAAAATATGTTTTTTCTTTATAATTAACATGTTGATGAATATCCTGTTCCCTGACAATCTTTTAATAGTTTTAGCATCGGTTGATGACCATTGCTTTATTCAGTTATTTCAGTGGGGGTTCCAAAATGGTAATTTTTCTAATTCTAGCATTTCTTCAACATTAGCTAACATTTTTCTATAAAAAAGAGCTTTCTACTCTCCCTTTCCAAGTATTACTATGGATTCTGAAATTCTTTCCTTTGGAAATTTAATGTTTTATAATTCCTTAACATAATTAATTTTGATGCTCACATAGTGTCCCAAATTTGACTCCCTCAAGCCAGATCCTGTGTTTTTTTTTTCTTTTTTTTTTTTTTAATGACCCTATAAATATTTGAGAACTTCCTTGCTTTCTGGCACAAGATGTTTTTGTGTTTTTTCTCGAGACAGAGTCTTCCTCCTTTGCCCAGGCTGGAGTGCGGTGGCGCAATCTCGGCTCACTGAAACCTTTGCCTCCCGGGTTCAAGGGATTCTCCTGCCTCAGCCTCCCGAGTAGCTGGGATTACAGACCTGTGCCACCACACCTGGCTAATTTTTGTGTTTTTAGTAGAGATGGGTTTTCACCATGTTGGCCAGGCTGGTCTTGAACTTCTGACCTCGTGATCCACCTGCCTGGGCCTCCCAAAGTGCTGGGATTACAGGCGTGAGCCACCGCGCCCAGCCTTCTGGCACAAGATGTTAAAAGCTCTCTTTCAAATTTTCCTATCCTATATACCTAGAGTCGGCCATTTCTCCAAAAGCCCAGGTTCCTTTTTCTTTTTGAGACGGAGTCTTGCTCTGTCACCCAGGCTGGAGTGTGGCACACTGTAACCTCCACCTCCCCAGTTCAAGCAGTTCTCCTGCCTCAGCCTCCCGAGTAACTGGGACTACAGGCACGTGCCACCTTGCCCTGCTAATTTTGTATTTTTAGTAGAGACAGGGTTTCTCCATGTTGGTCAGGCTGGTCTCGAACTCCCGACCTCAGGTGATCTGCCCGCCTCCACCTCCCAAAGTGCTGAGATTATAGACATGAGCTACCACGCTCAGCTGGTATACATATATTTTAAATTACAACTTTATACTGATACCTCCAATTTAGTTTATAGATCTTTTTTTCTCATCTTCCCTTATTTCATATTTGTATCCATTCTCAAGAAATAACTTAATTTCTGTATGTATTTACTTAGAAATCAATATATTTATTGAGAAATTTGCTCTGTCCTATGATATGTACAAAATAGTTTCAGAATTACTATAATAATACCACTACCACCAACAAACCCATAAAGTAGGTTCAAGATGGTTTTTGTAGTTTATTTTTCTTGGACTACATGCCACTGAGGTATAGTTAGGTTATTCCAAACTTTTTTTTTTTTTTTTTTTTTTTGAGACAGAGTCTCGCTCTGTCACCCAGGCTGGAGTGCAGTGGCGCAATCCCAGCTCACTGCAACCTCCGCCTCCCAGGTTCAAGAGATTCTCTTGCCTCAGCCTCCCGAGTAGCTGGGATTACAGGTGCCCGCCACCATGCCCAGCTAAGTTTTTTGTATTTTTAATAGAGACGGGGCTTCACCAGGTTACCCAGGCTGGTCTCGAACCCCTGACCTCAGGTGATCCACCTGCCTCGGCCTCCCAAAGTGCTGGGATTACAGGCGTGAGCCACCATGCCCGGCCTTCCAAACATATTTGAATCACTTCTTTTTTTGTGTGTAATTTAAGAAATCAATTTGATACAGTTACAGTCATTTATGTGTTTGTTTTCAGTTTTGGGTTCCTTTTCCCATCCTTGTTGATTTATTTTATATGCCCAGGCTGGAGTGCAGTGGTGCAATCTCAGTTGACTGCAACCTCTGCCTCCTGGGTTCACGTGATTCTCCTGCCTTAGCCTCCCAAGTAGCTGGTACTACAGGCACGTGCTGCCACGCCAGGCTAATTTTTGTATTTTTAGTAGAGATGGGGTTTCACCATGTTGGTCAGGCTGGTCTCGAACTTCTGAGCTCAGGCAATCCGCCTGCCTGGGCCTTCCAAAGTGCTGAAATTACAGGCGTGAGCCACTACACCCAGCCTCCATCCTTGTTGATTTAATTACTAATATCCGTAATAGTCATTGTTTTTTGAAACACATTAGAAGAGGAAGATGGGCCGGACGTGGTGGCTCATGCCTATAATCCCAGCACTTTGGGAGGCTGAGGTGGGAGGATCACTTGAGCTCAGGAGTTTGAGACCAGCTTAGGCAATATAGTGAGACCCTGTCTCTATTACTGAAAAAACAGTTTTTAAATTTAAAAAATGAAGAAGAAAAAATGTGATACCATGGTCCCTTATAGTGGAAAAGAAGAAGGTGAATGAGCTTTAATGATTGAGGGAAGCCCAAACTAGTTTGTTTTCTGTTTTCAAACCAGTTTTTAATTTCTTGTTTCCATTCTGAACCTAGCCTTTTAACATTTAAGATAGAATGTTGGGGCTGGGTTCGATGGCTCACACCTGTAATCCCAGCACTTTGGGATGCCAAGGTGGGTGGATCACTTGAGGTCAGGAGTTCGAGACCCGCCTGACCAACATGGTGAGACCCTGTCTCTACTAAAAATACGAAAATTAGCTGTGCGTGGTGGTGGGCTTCTGTAATCCCAGCTACTTGGGAGGCTGAGGCAGGAGAATCACTTGAACCTGGGAGGTGGAGGTTGCAGTGAGCTGACATTGCGCCATTGCACTCCAGCCTGGGTAACGAGCGAACTACATCTCAAAAAAAAAAAAAAAAAAAAGAGAATGTTGGAACTAGAAGGATTCTTAAAATTCTTTAGTCTGGTTTCCTTATCTTCCCAATAGGAAACTGAGGTAAAATTGTGACTTGCCTAGTTATTTATTAACTTGGAGAGCCTATGAGGGCTTGCCTGATCTGAACCTTAGAAGGTGGATGTTTGGCCTTTGGTTTGGCTTTTTCCTCGCTAGGCTCGTGCTTAGGTACCTTGGACTTTTTTTTAATTATAGTTGCTTTTTTTCCCCCTGGGAACTAGAAATAGGGGCTGTATCTAACTAAAGTGTTTTGATTTTAGTGCGGATGAGGTTCGCAGAAAATCTCTGGTTCTCAAGTTTCCTAAACAGCAGCTTCCTCCAAAGAAGAAACGGCGAGTTGGAACCACTGTTCACTGTGACTATTTGAATGTGAGTATGTGCATTGCTTCCTTCTGATTAGGTAGGTTATCATTGATTCCCCAGCCCTGTATGCCACAGCTCTGACAGCCTTAGATTCTCCAGTTGCCTTGCCCTGAGAATTATTTGTACTGTTCATTATAAGATTTCTAAAATATGTTTGTCTAGTTAGAGAAAGTGGATTTTTTTTTTTTTTTTTGAGACGGAATCTCACTCTGTCGCCCAGGCTGAAGTGCAGTGGCACAGTCTCGGCTCACTGCAACCTCCACCTCCCAGGTTCAAGCAATTCTCCTGCCCCAGCCTCCCAAGTAGCTGGGATTACAGGTGCACACCACCACACCCAGCTAATTTTTGTATTTTTAGTAGAGATGGGGTTTTGCCTTATTGACCAGGCTGGTCTTGAACTCCTGACCTCAGGTAATCCACTCGCTTTGGCCTCCCAAAGTGCTGGGATTACAGTGAGCCACCGTGCTCGGCAGATTTTTTTTTTTTTTTTTTTTTGAGACAGAGTCTCGCTCTGTTACCCAGGCTGGAGTGCAATGGTGTGATCTTGGCTCACTGCACCCTTTGCCTCCCAGGTTCAAGTGATCCTCCTACCTCAGCCTCCTGAGTAGTTCAGATTACAGGCACATGCCACCACACCCAGCTAATTTTTGTATTTTTAGTAGAGACGGGGCTTCACCATGTTGCCCAGGCTGGTGTTGAACTCTTGGCCTCAAGTGGTCCACCCACCTCAGCCTCCCAAAGTGCTGGGATTACAGGTGTGAGCTACTGTGCCTGGACAGAATGTGGATTTTTTTTGGTCTGAGGAAGCATTCTGATTTCACATTTCTCCTTAGAGACCTCATAAGTCCATCCACCGGCGCCGCACAGACCCTATGGTGACGCTGTCGTCCATCTTGGAGTCTATCATCAATGACATGAGAGATCTTCCAAATGTGAGTTCATTGCATTGGATATCTATAGTAGGGATGTCAAGGCCTTTTGTTCTGTCTGTGATTTCCAATAGAGGGCAGTAATCTGTAGATTTAGGTAACTGGAATGCCTAATTTTTAGGGAGTTAGTTTTTTTTGTTTGTTTGTTTTTTTAAGCAGTTTAGTAGAGGAAACAGACGTGCTCCATCTAGAAAGATTCCTTTCAGTGTTGATAGCCAGGTAGATAGGTAAGATGTGAAAGTCTTCAGGAATTGGCTCTGGCAACTGTTATTTGCTGATGTATGGTTCTGGCCCTTGTTTGCAGACATACCCTTTCCACACTCCAGTCAATGCAAAGGTTGTAAAGGACTACTACAAAATCATCACTCGGCCAATGGACCTACAAACACTCCGCGAAAACGTGCGTAAACGCCTCTACCCATCTCGGGAAGAGTTCAGAGAGCATCTGGAGCTAATTGTGAAAAATAGTGCAACCTACAATGGTAAGAATCAAATGTTCCGTGATTGCAAAGGTCACTGTTCAGATCCTTATTCCTTACTGGCCCTAAATTCAGACTAGATTGGACTGAGAGGACTACAGTGTATTTGTGCATTCATTTGTGGGTATGAAAATCAGGTAATGTACATTTTCAGTCATTTAATAAATATCACTTCTTTTTTTTTAAGGAGGGGGTTGGAGTCTCTGTCATCCAGGCTGGAGTGCAGTGGCGCAATCTTGGCTCACTGCAACCTCCGCCTCTCGGTTCAAGCGATTCTCCTGCCTCAGCCTCCCGAGTAGCTGGGATTACAGGCATGCGCCACCATGCCTGGCTAATTTTTGTATTTTTAGTAGAGACTGGGTTTCACCATGTTGGTCAGGCTTGTCTCTAACTCCTGACTTCGTCATCCACCCGCCTCAGCCTCCCAGGATTACAGGTGTGAGCCACTGCGCCCGGCCTAATGTCACTTCTTTTTATTCCCACTGTTTAATTCTTATATCCTTTGGAGAATTTGGAGTCTATTCGTTGCAATGAAACAGTTCCATGGAAAGTAGTGGAAGACGTGGTCCTAGGTTAGTACAAAAGAGAGACATTCGGCTGGGCGCGGTGGCTCACGCCTGTAATCCCAGCACTTTGGGAGGCCAAGGCAGGCGGATCACAAAGTCAGGAGATTGAGACCATGGTGAAACCCCCATCTCTACTAAAAATACAAAAAGTTATCTGGGCGTAGTGGCGGGCGCCTGTAGTCCCAGCCACTCGGGAGGCTGAGGCAGGAGAATGGCGTGAACCCAGGAGGCGGAGCTTGTAGTGAGCCGAGATCGTGCCACTGCACTCCAGTCTGGGCAACACAGCAAGACTCCGTCTCAAAAAAAAAAAAAAAAGAGAGAGAGACGTTCAGTGTGGATGGAACCTGTGTAGAGTATGCGCTTGTGACCATATTTGCTGTGTCTGAATCTTCGATTTGGTCTACAAATTTGTTAGAGGTGCTGTTACATGTTCACTTTGCTCAAAAGCTGAGAAGACAAAGAGGAAGAAATCTGTTTGTCTTTTTTTTTTTTCCCTTGTGAGACAGGATTTCATTCCTGTTGCCCAGTAGCCTCCTGAGTAGCTGGGACTACAGGTGCTTTCCATCACACCCTGTTAATTTTTGTACTTTTTTGGTAGAGATGGGGTTTTGCCATGTTGCCCAGGCTGGTCTCAAACTCTTGAGCTCAACCGATCTTGCCCACCTCGGCCTCCCAAAGTGCTAGGATTACAGGCATGAGCCATTGCGCCTGGCCTGTTGCTGTGTCTTAAAAAGAGGAAACAGTATAGCTTCTGCATGTAAAGGATAAGGTTTTCTGGTTTCCATTTGCATCCTTGAGCACAGATTCACAGATATAAATGTAGGGATTCGGAGTACAGATAGAGTGTAAATCATGGCTCTGGCACTTACTAATTGAGTTACCATAGACAAGTTATTTAACTTCTCATACCCTCCTCAGTTTTCTCATCTGTAAACATGGGATAGTAGTACTACGTGAATTTTAAAACCTTTCACAAGCAGGCCCAACCCATTTATCTACTTTCCATCTCCAATAACTGGCTCCCATACCCACTATCGACCCCTGCCACACTCAGCATTATATTTCACAAAATATCCCTTATCATTTCTTCATGACTTTGCAGTCTTTGCTCTCTCAGTCTTTGCTCTCTTTCTGGGATGCCTTTCTTCCCTATATTTCCAGACCAACTCATATTACCTCTTTTTATTTTTTTTTTTGAGATGGAATCTTGCTCTGTCGCCCAGGCTGGAGTGCAGTGGCGCCATCTTGTCTCACTGCAACCTCCTCCTCCCAGGTTCCAGTGATTTTCCTGCCTCAGCCTCCCGAGTAGCTGGGATCACAGGCGCCCACCACCACACCTGGCTAATTTTTGTATTTTCAGTAGAGACGGGATTTCTCCATGTTGGCCAGGCTGGTCTTGAACTCCTGACCTTGTGATCCACCCACCTTGGCCTCCCAAAATGCTAGGATTACAGGCATGAACCACCGCGCCCGGCCGCATTCTTTTCTTTATTTCACCATAAGAAATCTTTAAAATGGATACTGTTATAACCCTCATTTTCCAGATGAACATACAGGCCCGTAGTGTTTAAATAGCTTAAAAAAATTTATTTTTTTTATGATGAGGTGATGGGTTGATGTGTGCAGCAAACCACCATGGCACACGTTTACCTATGTAACAAATCTGCACATCCTGCACATGTACTAAAAAAAAAAATAAAAGAGGAAGATGACTTTACCTTTAGGGGCATTTCTTTTTTCTTTTTTTTTTTTTTTTTTTTTGAGACGGAGTCTTGCTCTTTGACCCAGGCTGGAGTGCAGTGGCGCTGTCTTGGCTCACTGCAAGCTCCGCCTCTCAGGTTCATGCTATTCTGCTGCTTCAGCCTCCCGAGTAGCTGGGACTACAGGCGCCAGCCACCACGCCTGGCTAATTTTTTGTATTTTTAGTAGAGACAGGGTTTCACCGTGTTAGCCAGGATGGTCTAGATCTCCTGACCTCGTGATCCACTCGCCTCGGCCTCCCAAAGTGCTGGGATTACAGGCATGAGACACTGCACCCGGCCTTTTAGGGGCATTTCTAATCTACATTTGTGATTTTCTTTTTTTGGAGATGGAGTCTTGCTGTGTCGCCCAGGCTGGAATGCAGTGCTGCGATCTTGGTTCACTGCAATCTCTGTCTCCTGTGTTCAAGCGATTCTCCTGCCTCACCCTCCTGAGTAACTGGGATTATAGGCATGCACCACCACACCGGGCTAATTTTTTTATTTTTAGTAGAGATGAGGTTTTGCCATGTTGGCCAGGCTGGTCTCGGACTCCTGACTTCAGGTGATCTGCCCTCCTCAGCCTCCCAAAGTGCTGGGATTACAGGCGTGAGCCACTACACCCGGCTGATTTTCTCTTTTGAAGCAGTCTCACTCTGTCACCCAGGCTGGAGGAGTGTGGTGGTACAATCTTGGCTCACTGCAACTTCCTCCTTTTCTGGGATTCAAGCGATTCTCCTGCCTCAGCCTCCTAAGTAGCTGGAACTACAGCTGCGCCCCACCACGCCTGGCTAATTTTTGTATTTTTAGTAGAGACAGGGTTTCACCATGTTGGCCAGGCTGGTCTTGAACTCCTGGCCTCAAGCGATTCACTGACCTTGGCTTTTCAAAGTGGCGGGATTACAGGCATGAGCCACCACTAGGCTTAGGCATGAGAATCACTTGAATCTGGGAGGTGGAGGTTGAAGTGAACCAAGATCGCACCATGGCACTCCAGCCTGTGCGAGAGAGCGAGACTCTGTCTCAAAAAAAAGAAAAAAAAAGATAAAGTAGAGATGTTAATCCAGTTATATCTAACGTCAGAGCCTGTACTCTTAACCACCATGCTCCATATACTGTTCTCCACTTTTTCACTTACTGTTTATGCCTCACAACCCTGCACTTGTCTTCTGCTGAAGTACCAGCTACATCCTAATTGCTGGATCCACTGGCCACCTTTCAGAAGTAACCTTTTATTTAAACACCTTTATTGAAATATAATTCACGTACCATGCAGTTTAACCATTTAAAGTGGTCAGGTTTTTTGTTTGTTTGTTTGTTTGAGATGGTGTTTCGCTTTTGTTGCCCAGGCTGGAATGCGATAGCGTGATCTCAGCTCACCGCAACCTCCACCTCCTGGGTTCAAGCGATTCTCCTGCCTCACCCTCCCAAGTACCTGGGATTATAGGCATGCGCCACCACTCCCGGCTAATTTTGTATTTTTAGTAGAGACGGGGTTTCTCCATGTTGTTGGGCTGGTCTTGAACTCCCAACCTCAGGTGATCTGCCCGCCTCGGCCTCCCAAAGTGCTGGGATTAAATCAGGCATGAGCCACCACGCCCGGCTGGCTAAAGTGGTCAGTTTTAACATGTCATCCATATTGTAACATGTATCAGTACTTCATTCCTGGTTTTTTTTTTTTTTTTTTTTGAGACAGGGTCTCACTGTGTTTTCCAGGCTAGAGTACAGTGGTACAGTCATAGCTCACTGCAGCCTCACCCTCTCGGGCTCAAGGAATCCTCCCGTCTTAGCATCTCAAGTAGCTGGAACCACAGGCGCATGCCACCATGCCTGGCTAATTTTTATTTTTTATTTTGTAGAGACAAGAGTCTCACTATGTTGCCCAGGCTGGCCTCAAACTCCTGGGCTCAAGCGATCTTCCTGACTTGGCCTCCCAAAGTGCTGGGATTACAGGCATGAGCCATTGTGCCCAACCTCATTTTTTTTTAATCATGTAATACTCCATTGTATGGATGCCCCACATTTTGTCTGTCAATTGATGGACCTTTAGATTGTTTATAATTTTGGCTAATGCAAATAATGCATCTGTGAACATTTTGTGAACATTTTTGTACAGACTTGTGTGTGGACATTTGGGGTTTTTTTTGTTTTGGAGACAGAGTCTTGCTCTGTTGCCCAGGCCGGAGTGCAGTGGCACGATCTCCGCTCACTGCAACCTCCACCTCCTGGGTTCAGGCGATTCTCCTGCCTCAGCCTGCCAAGTAGCTAGGGCTATAGGCGCGTGCCACCCACGCCTGGCTAATTTTTTGTATTTTAAGTAGAGACGGTTTCACTGTGTTAGCCAGGTTGGTCTTGATCTCCTGGCCTTGTGATCCACCCGCTTGGGCTTCCCAAAGTTCCGCGATTACAGGCATGAACCACGCATTTGCTTTTTTTAATTTTAATTTTTTTTATTTGTCAGGCAAGTAAGACAGTTAAGGGACACTTGTTTTTATTTCTCTTGGGTATATAAAGATCGAGCATCCCAAATCCAAAAACTTGACATGCTCAAATCTTAAACTTTTTGAATGCCTGCTTGATGCTCTAAGGAAATCCTCATTGGAGCATTTGGATTTCTAATTTTCGGATTAGGGATGTTCACATATTTGCAGATATTCCAAAATATTTCAGATTCTTAAAAAACCTGAAATCTGAAACACTTGCGGTCCCAAGCATTTCAGATAAGGGATACTCAGTCTGTACCTAGGAGCCGAATTGCTGAGTCCACATGGTAACTCTTATGTTTAATTAACTTTTTGAGGAACTGCCAAACTGTTTGCCAGAGCAGCTGCACCATTTTGTAATCCCACCAGCAGTGTATAAGGGTTCCAGTTTCTTCATATCCTTATCAACACTTGTTATTGTCTATCTTTTTCCTTCTAACCATCCTAGTGGGTGTAAAGTGGTATTTCATTGTAATTTTGATTTGCATTTCCCTATTGACTAATTATGCTGAAAATTTTTGCATATGGTTAGAAATACCATTCTTGAACTTTTGTGCATTTGCCACTATTGACCACTTTTTCCTCCTTGATACTGTCTTCTCCCTTTTCCAGAAATACTTTCTCGAATCATTTCCTTGCCTTTTCATTCTCATTACTTCAGCCATAATATATCTGTTAACATCACTATCTCCAGCCCCATACCTCTCTTCAGGGCTCCATACCTGTGCTTCTAGTTGTCTGCCAGACATGTCCATTTTTCATTGCCCAACTGGCAACTTATTGTCTGATTGTCTATCTAGTTGTACATCCTAGAAATCATAGTCATAATTTATTCCATCTTCACTTCCCCATACTCATAGATAACCAAGTCCCATAAATTGGAAATTCTAAGTTGCCAATGGAAAAACAAATAACAAAGATACTGGTCTGGGGTTAGGAGAGTGTTCGCAGTCATCATACTCCTCTTGGCCAGCAGTGTCCCACGTGTTCAGGCTAACGATTTGCCCATCCACGGATGTCTGGACGCTATAATTGTCAAAGACAGTGGGGGGATATACTCCTCAGGAAAGACATTTGTTGTATAACTGATGAGGAGGCAGGTTTTACCTATAGCCTCATCTCCTACAACCACACATTTGATTGTCTGCATTCTTCCCTTGTAGTCCTATGTACAAGAGAGACAGAAAGAATATTCAGAGATGCTTGGTTAATGTAGGGAGCTATTCTAAACATTTCTCTCTGAGGAGAAGATGAGGAAGATAAGATGCCCCCCACACTCTCTATACCCTTAATGCCATACAAGAGTCAGCTACAAAGGGTTGTATAAGTCAAGAGTTCTTACCCTGGAGTCTGTGGACTACTAGAGGATGGGCTTCGGTAGGTCCTAGAAGCCTCTTCTGAAGTTGTGTACAATACTATGTATATGTGCATAAGTGAATTTTTCTGGAAAGAAGGTCCAGAGCTGTCACCAGTATCTCACAGAAGGCTTTTTAATCTTTGGGTGAGCTCAAAAAGATTAAAAACCATTCATCCACATAGGTATTTGTGTTACACCGTTATCATAAGGTCTGGATCTACTGTATCAAAGGTACTAAAATATTGTAGGTGCTTAATAAATGGTTAGTAATTTTTAAAAATTATCATAGAAGGTTTCCAGGGTTGAATCAAGAAACATGGCTGTCACTTTGGGTCTCTGGCTATAGAGCCAGCAGAGGAACCTCCATTCCTGAAAAACAGAGACATCACAATACTGGAGAGAAAGGCAGACAAGTCACACTCAGCTAGAGAAATGGTTAAGAGGGCTAGGCGCGGTGGCTCACGCCTGTATTCCCAGCACTTTAGGAGGCGGAGGCGGGCAGATCACCTGAGGTCAGGAGTTCGAGGCCGGCCTGGCCAACATGGCAAAACCCCATCTCTACTAAAAATACAAAAATTAGCCATACGCGGTGGCACATACCTGTAATTCCAGCTACTCAGGAGGCTGAGGCAGGAGAATTGCTTGAGCCCAGGAGGCAGAGGTTGCATTGAGCCAAGGTCACACCATTGCATTCCAGCCTGGGTGACAGAGCAAGACTCTTGTCTCAAAAAAAAAGAAAGAAAGAAAAAAGAAATGGTTAAGAGTCTGGGCTCTGAAGTCAGGAGGCAAAACCCAGTTCTCCCTCTAATCTTTGTGAACTTGGGAAAGTTTTGTCTTTTTTTTTTTTTTTTTTTTTTTTTTTTTGGCAGAGTCTTGCTCTGTCACCCGGGCTAGAGTGCAGGGGTGCATCTCAGCTTACTGCAGCCTCTGCCTCCTGGGTTCAAACGATTTTTGTGCCTCAGCCTCCCGAGTAGCTGGAATTATAGGCATGTGCCACCACGCCCAGCTAATTTTTGCATTTTTAGTAGAGACAGGGTTTCACCATGTTGACCAGGCTGGTCTTGAACTCCTAGCCTCAAGTGATCCACCCGCCTCTGCCTCTCAAAGTGCTGGGATCACAGGCATGAGCCACCGCACCCAGCCAGAGAAAATTTTTAACCTGAGGGTTAAATGAAAGAAGGCATGCGTAGTACTTATTAGTCTCTCTCACATAGCCAGTACTCATTAAGTGTTAGAAGCTACTATGTCTTCTTAATAATTCTACTATTCTACTACTGGAGAAGGCAAAAATTCTGTAATATGGTTACAATGCTAGATAAACCAGGAGTCTCATCCCCTTCAACCTTATGTGAGTAAAACTACAGGTCTTAATGCCACCATACTCATCCATTTCTTCATGAATCAGTATTTCACAGTAAATGATATGGCAGAGATGATCTCCAAGAAGCTTGTTTATTATGAGTTCCTATATTTATACCCCCATATTAATACCCCATCAATGCCTTGCCCTCAATTTAGGTCCCGAAGTACTCTACTTTCTGTAGGTTCTTAACTACTGCCCTAATTTCAGACCTAATTCTTATAGCAGTGACTTCTTTAAGTGTCAGAGCACAGAGGAAAGGGCATTAAATAATCATATATATTTGGTTACAGAAAAAAAATTGAGAATCAATTTATTTCTCACCTTGAGGATTTGGGGAAATAGAGACATCCCCCATTCTGTTGTCTCATTAGCTAAGGTCTACATTAGGCCCATATCATAGGCAAAAACAAACACAACACCTCATTTTGGTCAGAATAAAGAAAAGTGAGCCGGGTGTGTGGCTCATGCCTGTAATCCCAGCATTTTGGGAGGCTGAGGTGGGAGGATTCCTTGAGCTCAGAAGTTTGAGGCCAGCCTGGGCAATATAGTGAGACTTTGTCTCACTAAAAATAAAAAAAAATTAGCCAGGCGTGGTGGCACGTACCTGTAGTCCCAGCTACTTGGGATGCTGAGGTGGGAGGATTGCTTGAGCCTGGGAGATCGAGGCTGCAGTGAGCTATGATCACACCATTGGACTCCAGCCTGGATGACAGATGGAGACCCTGTCTCAAAAAGAAAAAAAAAGAAGAAGAAACGTGGCTTTCAGAGTATGCTTTCCACAAGCCCACTAGGGGTTGCTCTCTGCCCACACAGAGCCAATTCTGAGTGGCGAGGCCTCCCACCTAGAAGTCTTCTTTAGCACAGGTTCCACAGCTAAAATAAGTCCAGAGCATAATTTAACTCTGGTAGGAAACCACCCCAGGGTATTCACTGACCATCAGCCGGTTCTTTTTCCATCTAGGAATAGGCATAAGGATCAAACACACAAGGTCGATAGAAAAGGGGCACAGTCATCACCACCTTCCTCGAGAATAGCCTTCTTTGACTTTCCTGATCTGGATAAATGTATTTCCCCTCTGAATTCCTACAACAATTACTGTCTGTGCAACTCATTTTCCCAGCTTCCTCTAGGTATCATCCAGTGTCCAACACCTCTGCTCAAAGTGACTGCTTCCAGAACAACAGTGCAACTTAGGCAGTTGCTGAACCAGAGTAAAACTCTTAGGGACAGGCCGGGCACGGTGGCTCACGCC
Organism: Homo sapiens; assembly: GCF_000001405.40. Lineage (NCBI taxonomy): Eukaryota > Metazoa > Chordata > Mammalia > Primates > Hominidae > Homo > Homo sapiens. The sequence goes on from NC_000023.11 coordinate 71,416,910, forward strand.
TGTAATCCCAGCAGTTTGGGAAGCTGAGGAGGGCAGATCACTTGAAGTCAGGAGTTCAAGACCAGCCTGGCCAACACTCCAACCTGAGTGACAGAGCCAGACCCTGTCTCAAAAAAAAAAAAAAAAAAAATTTCATATTGAAACTTAATGCCCAAATGTGGCAGTATTGAGAGGTGGAGTTTTCAAGAAGTGACTGGATCTTGAGGACCCTGTCCTCATGAATGAATTAATCCATTCATGGATTAATAGATTAATGGGTTAATATGGGAGTGGAACTAGTGGCTTCATAAGAAGAGGAAAAGGGACCTGAGCAAGCATGCTCAGCCCCCTCACCATGGGATTCTCTGAGCCACCTCGGGACTCTGCAGAGTTTCCACTAGCAAAAAGGCTCTTACTAATTGTGGCCCCTCAACCATGGACTGTTCAGCCTCCATAATTATAAGAAATTTCTTGTTTTTTGTTTTTGAGACAGAGTCTCACTCTGTTGCCCAGGCTGGAGTACAGTGGCATAATCACAGCGTAATGCAGTCTCAGTATCCCTGGGCTCGATGATTCTCCCACCTCAGCCTCCCGAGTAGCTGGGACCACAGGTGTGCTTCAGCACACCCAGCTAGTTTTTGTATTTTTTTTTTCTTGTAGAGACAGGGTTTCGTCACATTGCCCAGGCTGGTCTCGAACTCCTGGGCTCAAGCGATCTGTCCACCTCAGCATCCCAAAGTGCTGGGATTACAGGCGTGAGCAACCACCCCCGGCCCCAGTAAGCAGATACAGTTGTTGTAAAACAACTTATAGCATACTGTGTTGTGCTGTCAGCAGTAAATGCATTTATGATGTTTTCCACTCATTATGTGTTTATTGGGATGTAACCCTATCATAAGTCAAGGAGCATCTGTATCTCATATGCAGCTCCTCCATAATTCATGGCAACCAATATATTCCTCTATTTATACTAATACTCTATTTTTAAAAAAAATTATGGAAATTGTTAGACACATACAGAAATAAAAGAGGAAGTAAACTTCAGTGCTATTCAGTCAGTTCAACACTTTGTTAGCATATGGTCAATCTAGTATATATTTTCAGCTTTTGTATTATTTCATCCATAAATACTTAAAGCATTTATACTCTGTCTTGCAATAATTTATTTTCAAGTCATTTCTTTGACTAGACCAGCAACTATCTTTATTTTTTTGTTCTATTTTTTGAGATGGGGTCTCACTGTCACCTAGGCTGGAGTGCAGTGGCACAATCTTGGCTCACTGCAGCCTTGACCTCCTGGGCCGAAGCAATCCTCCTGTGTCAGCCTGCCGAGTAGCTGGGACTACAGGTGCATGCCATCACATCCAGCTAATTTTTGAATTTTTTTTTGTAGAGGTGAGGTCTTACTATGTTGCCCAGGCTGGTCTCAAACTCCTAGGCTGAAGCAATCCTCCTGCCTCAGTCTCACAAAGTGTTGAGTTTACAGGCGTGAGCCACTGTGTCTGGCCTAAGCCAATAAGTCTCATAGGCAGGAAGTCTGTCTTATTTTTCCTTATATTCCCATCATTGAACACATTGTACACAGTCATTAAACATTTGTTAAATGAATAAACAAGTGAATGCTGAATTAAATAATAAGTGAGAATAGAACTGACGTTTTGGCTCTGGGGAGCACTAACACAAAAGGATAGACAGAGGAATACAATCTAGCAAAGGATATGTAAAAGAAGTAATTGGAATTACTTGCTAGATGAAAATATTTTAGCTGCTTTATGATGAGCTTAAATTAGGGCATTCATAAGCAGGGAGTGTAGGAGATAGGTCAGATAGTTCAAGGATTTTCTGAAGCTTCTGATAGGGATCAGTATGGAGATTTTTTTTTTTTTTTTTTTTTTTTGAGATGGAGTTTCACTCTTGTTGCCCAGGCTGGGGTGCAATGGCACAGTCTTGGCTCACGCAACCTCCACCTCCCGGGTTCAAGTGATTCTCCTGCCTCAGCTTCCTGAGTAGCTGGGATTACAGGCATGCGCCACCATACCCAGCTAATTTTGTATTTTTAGTAGAGACGGGGTTTCTCCATGTTGGTCAGGCTGGTCTTGAGCTCCCAACCTCAGGTGATCCGCCTGCCTCGGCCTCCCAAAGTGCTAGGATTACAGGCGTGAGCCACCACGCCCAGCCCAGAGATTCTTTTTTAACATAGGCTTGTATTAACCCGATGTTATTAGAACACCACAAACCGTAAATTCTACAAACAAAAGTTGCAATCACAAATTTTATATGTTAAGTGTGGGAAAATTACAAGTCACCCATCGGTCTATTTAGGCATTCTTTTTCTTTTTATTGTATTTTCAAAAACAACTTTATTCATCGCACGTATTAAAAAAAAATTCCCACCCCTGGAAATGAGCTAAAAAAGTAAACAAAATCCACCTCCCACCTCCCTGTTCCCACTTCCTCCAATTCCCACCAAATAAAAGGGAAAAAAGGCAAAGGAAAAAAAAACAAAAACAAAAACACCCCTAAACCCCCAAAATCAAGGTAGTGCATTTCCCCAGGGAGAAGGGGAATTTACACTGGAGCTGCTAGGGGCGGAACGGAGATCTTCCGGCTACAGAAACCTGCAAAGAAAGACACTCAAAACAGAAAAAGAAACACAAAAGGAAACAAAATAGATCACCAGGCAATCTGGAGGGGCAGGGAGCCGGAGAAGAGGGGTGGGGTGGGTGGTAGACCTGACTGGACAGGAGCTGGCAGGAGAGGACTGTGAAAGGTTAGAAGACGGAGGGAAGGTGACAAGCAGAACAGTTTGGTGTCCTTCCAGAGCCCTGGCTAAAAAATAAAAAAACCTCCTACCACCCACACCCACCTACCCTTGAGCAGCCCCCAGGGGGGTGAAATGGGGCAGGGAAACATGGGGAGCAGCTTGCTAGTTGAGACGTGTCCATGGCGAATCCCCAGAGTGAATAAGCAGCCTCCTGCCCCACTCCCTGGGCCTTCCCCTGCTCCCTAAAGCAGGTCCCTCCTCAGCAGTTAGTTATGGGATTCTCCCCCCCTTCCACAGTATATCTTTTTAAAAAAATACTTTTTTCCCATCAAGGTCATCTTCTGTTTTTTGTTTGTATTTTTTTTAATTCTTTTTTTTTTTCCCCTTCTGTCCTCTTTTTTTCTTCTCTTTCCTCCTCATACTTTTTTTAGTAAGGGGAGTACCATGATGTCGCTCTAGCCTGGCCTCTGTAGACGTGACCCCGGGGCCTGCTGTTAAAACCACTGTGGAATCGAGAGAGGGAACTGCTGTAGTTGGTGGTCCGGGCATGGTAGCGGGCTCCTGGAAAACCCCGATCTGTTGTGCTGATTCCTGGTCTGTTGGTTCATTTTGGGATCACCTTGATTTGCCTTCCTCTAAATAGGGAGTCATCTAAGGCCAGGGAAGTCCTCACTGACTCTTTGTCTGAGAACTCTATATATGCAAACCCTTTGGAATGGCCACTAAATTTGTCACAGAGTATGGTAACACGGTTGACTGAACCACAGCCATGAAAGTGAGCTTCCAGCTCTTCTGCTGTTGCACCATAGTCAACATTGCCAACATAGATGGAACGGGCATCGGCCTCCATCTTCTCCTCAATGACATGATCACTGGGCCAGCATTTCCTGGAGGTGGACTCATACTCATCTGCTTCTCTACCTCGTTCTGTAGCTCCTTTAGCTTCTCAGCTTCTTCCTCCATCTCCCTAACTCGAGCTTTGATAGCTTCCAGCTCCGGATCCTCAATGGCGCTGTCTTCCGGGTCACCCTCGACCAGTCATGGCTCCTCCTCCTCCTCTTGGCTGCCAGGGGCTCCCGAACCAGGCCTGGAGCTCCCGTGGGGGTGGGGGGCGCAAGGCCAGGGCGGCTCCTCTTCAGGCTTGGGCTCCGGCTCGGGGTCCAGCGGCAGCTCCTCAGGCTACAGTTCCTCAGACTCCAGGCCGTTCCCGTAGTCCCCTACGCCCCCCGGGGCCCCCTCCCCGGCCTCCCCACCGGCCCCAGGCACAAGATGGCGCCACCGCCCTGACCCGGAGGCCTGACCGCCTGCAGCCCCAGCCGCCCGCTGCCGCCTGCTCACTCTTTAGGCATTCTTAAAGAAATTATTGCTCCCCTTCCATAGTATTATGTTTGAGGTATTAAAAGCAGCAGTAGTACTACTGTGTGTAGATACACACAAGGAAAGAGTTAAAGTTAGTTTATTCATTCATATTGTGTAACTGCTATGTTTTAGGTGCTGGAAAATGGACATAAGTCTGGTGTATCTGTCTAACCCATCAGTTAGCCTGGTGCCTGACACATTTTAGGTTCTTAAGTAAGTGCATTAAAAGGATAAAGAAGTGTTGGCAGCTTTTGCCTCCCGTTATTAGTGGTTTCATCTCTTTCTGTTCCTCTACAGGGCCAAAACACTCATTGACTCAGATCTCTCAATCCATGCTGGATCTCTGTGATGAAAAACTCAAAGAGGTAAGACAGTTAGAATGAGAGAAAGGCAGTGGAATTTGAAGGTGGGGGTGGGATATCAGGGTTTAGGAAGTAGGGAATTTAACAGAAGGAAAAATATATGCGGGAGTAGCAGATCTTTAGTATATGTGAAGGCTGGAAGGGACTTATAGAACTCATAGGCCAGTCCCTTTTGTAGATGGAAAAACTGGGCCCGTAGAAGAAAAGTATTTGCTCTGGACATCTTGACTATTAACAAAGTTAGAATTAAGATCCAGCACCTACATAACTCATTAGAAAGGGCAAAGGAAAGTGAGTTTCCAGGAAGTCAGCTGTAGCTAAGAGACCAGTCAATGTTTTAGGAAGAATTTTCATTTTTTCTTCATATTTTTAACCAACCAAGCAGCAAGTGCTAGAAGTTTTAATTTTTAAATGATAATCTATCTATATTCCCTCTTCTTACTGAAAACAATTAATGGTACTTTATAAACCTACAAAAGTGTAAGTATGAAGTAGACATTTCACAAAAGAGGACAACTAGCCAGTAAACACGGAAAGATTCTCAACTTGATTGATTATTGAGGAGATGCAAATTTAAACCACGATGTCACTACATACCCACTGCAAAGGCTAAAATTAAAAAGACTGACAATACTAAATGTTGATGAGGATTTGGAGCAATAGGAATACAAACTTTTTCCTACTAGAGTCTAAAATGAATTTATTGGGTTAGGTCCCATTACGCAAAAGTCACTAATCAGTAATAATGTTTAGTGTTTCCAGCAGTAGTTTTACAGCAAAAACAGAGAGCATGATCTTAAAGCCTAAATTGCTAAAGATGTTTTTTTGTGTGTGTGGGGAGCTATGATGTTGACACTCAGGGAAGTATAAATTTTGGTGAACCAGAAGAATAGAATGTAGAGTACCTAAAGAAGTTGTTGACACATCCTTTTTGACCCTTTTACTGGAATTTTTTTTTTTTTTTTTTGAGACAGGGTCTGGCTCTGTCACCTGGGCTGGAGTGCAGTGGGATGACCTTGGCTCACTGCAACCTCCGCCTCCTGGGTTTAAGTGATTCTTGGCCTCCCGAGTAGCTGGGACCACAGGCGTGTGCCACCACGCCCAGCTAATTTTTTTTTTTTTTTGTATTCTTAGTAGAGATGGGGTTTTGCCATGTTGGCCAGGCTGGTCTCGAGTTCCTGGCCTCATATGATCCACCTGCTCGGCCTCCCAGATTGCTGGGATTACAGGTGTGAGCCACTGTGCCCAGCCTGGAATATCATTTATCTTGACTTTTTGTCATTCCATAGGCAATTCAAAGTTACACTTTCTGGGGCAAGGGTAATAGATAGCTAGCTGAACTTAAATTATCCTTAATTTATTTTTTATTTATTTATTTTTTTTGAGATAGAGCTTCGCTCTGTCCACCCAGGCTGGAGTGCAGTGGTGCAATCTCGGCTTACTGCAAGCTCCACCTCCCAGATTCACGCCATTCTCCTGCCTCAGCCTCCTGAGTAGCTGGGACTATAGGCGCCCGCCACCACGCCCAGCTAGTTTTTTTTTGTATTTTTAGTAGAGACGGGGTTTCACCGTGTTAGCCAGGATGGTCTTGATCTCTTGACCTTGTGATCCGCCCGCCTCAGCCTCCCAAAGTGCTGGGATTACAGGCGTGAGCCACCACGCCCGGCAAATTGTCCTTAACTTTTCTATGGTGATCACACCTTAGGGAAACCTCTGTCTTGGCTTTGCTTTGTTTAATTTCAGAAAGAAGACAAATTAGCTCGCTTAGAGAAAGCTATCAACCCCTTGCTGGATGATGATGACCAAGTGGCGTTTTCTTTCATTCTGGACAACATTGTCACCCAGAAAATGATGGCAGTTCCAGATGTAAGCTGTCTCTGTGCCAAATACTGTGAGGATCGTGCAGGGGAAAGGAAAAATGTTTAGGGTGTACACGTGTGTGTATTTTGGAGAGTCTGAGTGGTGGTGTATGTCAGTTGTGACTGGTATGTGATTTTAAATATTGACCTTTTTGCTATATGGGTACATTATCTTTTTTTTTTAAGAGTACATTATCATTGAAATCAAAGAGGCCAGGAATCTTTGGATGTAGGGAGGTTTTTGCTTCCTGTTGTTGACATTCAGTATATGAATGCTCCTGAATAGCCCTGTAGAGAGAGGATGCTAGCGAATGTGAGGCTTTTGATTTAGAGGTGCTTCTAAGCAAATGATGCTTTGATAATTAGACACCATTGGTTGTCTTTTATTTCATTTTTATATTGTTACAGTGATCCTCCCCAGGAATTCTCAACAGAGTTTCCTTTTGTACTATAGGAATGTGTTCTATATGTGTAATGCTATAAAACTTCTCGTTGGGACTAGGGAATAAGGAATTTTAATTATGACTATACAGCAAGTGTTTTTATCCTATCATGGCATAGAAATCCTTAAAGGAATCTATGAACCCCTTACATTATAAACAGAAGTTTTGTATGATTATGTGTTTTTCTAGGAAAAGAGTCCATAGCTTTTTTTAGGAATATTTGTAACCCAACAAAGGTGGTGAAATTCTCGTATGAAGAGTGGTTTCCATTTAATTTCTTATGCTTTCTATTTACTAGTCTTGGCCATTTCATCACCCAGTTAATAAGAAATTTGTTCCAGATTATTACAAAGTGATTGTCAATCCAATGGATTTAGAGACCATACGTAAGGTGAGTGAGTGATTTGATCTAAATGCCTTTTTGTAATCAAGTGACTGTGTGTGTGTGTATCTGAGTGCCTGATTCTTTTCATCACAGAACATCTCCAAGCACAAGTATCAGAGTCGGGAGAGCTTTCTGGATGATGTAAACCTTATTCTGGCCAACAGTGTTAAGTATAATGGTGGGTATTTCTCATTATTTTCTTTCCATGAATCCGTCCATCTTCTATCCATCTAACATTACTTAGCATTATTAAAAAATTTTTTTTTGAGACAGGATCTTGCTCTCTTACCCAGGCTGGATGCTGTGGTGTGATCATAGTTCACTGAACCAGGCACACGCCACCGTGCCAGGCTCTTTTTTTTTTTTTTTTTTTTTTTTTTGGTAGAGACAGGGTTTTACTATTTTGCCCAGGCTGAGCTCAAGCAATCCTCCCACCTCGGCTTCCCAAAATGCTGGGATTACAGGTGTGAGCCAACACGCCTAACCAGTATTATTAAAATTTATGTGCGTAAAGCAACCTTGAGCAGTGATAGCAGAATCAATTGAGTGACCTAGTCTTTCTATTTATTTATTTATTTTGAGATGGAGTTTCACTCTTGTTGCCCAGGCAGGAGTGCAATGGCACGATCTCGGCTCACTGCAACCTCCACCTCTCCCAGGTTCAAGCAATTTTCTTGCCTCAGCCTCCTGAGTAGCTGGGATTGCAGGTGCCTGCCACCATGCCCAGCTAATTTTTGTATTTTTAGTAGAAACGGGGTTTCACTATGTTGGCCAGGCTGGTCTCGAATTCCTGACCTCAGGTGATCCACCTGCCTCAGCCTCCCAAAGTGCTGGGATTACAGGCGTGAGCCACTGCTCCCAGCCAGTCTTTTTTTTTAAAGCAAGCATATATTTTAGTGTGTATGTTCTATAAAGATTGCTATTAGCCGTTAATGATGAAAAAGTAGTATACGCTTACTTTTGGAATCTTGGAAAGCACAGAAAAATGAGGTGAGCATAAAAATCAAATGGATTTTTATCCATTTGGGCTCTGAGCTATCACTGCTTTTTCCTGGAATGTGAAAACTCACCTATGTCCCAGGCCCTTACATGGAGCTTAGGGAAATGGGTAGCTATAGACCATGGTGAGCTTCCTTGGTGCATGGAGTTTTGCTCAGTACATGAGTTGATTGAATAACATATGCCAGGCCCTGTGCTAGCTGCTTAATCTACTGATAAGAAAGACAGTCACTGTCCTCAAGTAATTCACAATCCAGTTGGCAGAAAGAGACAATTAAAATGCAGCTTGGAACCAGGCATGGTGGCTCATACCTGTAATCTCAACACTTTGGTAGGCTGAGGTGGGAGGATTGCTTGAGGCCAGGAGTTTGAGACCAGCCTGGGCACACATAGCAAGACCTTCCTTGTCTGTATAAAAAACTTATAAACAAAAGCTTAGCTAGGTGTGGTGGTGAGTGCCTGAAGTCTTAAGATATTTGGGAGGCTAAGGCAAGAGGATCACTTGAACTCAGGATTTCAAGACTGCAGTGAGCTATGATCACGCCCCTGCACTACATCCTGGGCAACAGCAAGACCCTGTCTCTATAAATAAATAAAATAAATAAGTAAAGTGCAGCTTGACAAGAGCTATAATAGAAGTATGTGCAGATTGCATCAGACGAGAGCAAGGAATAACCTGAGAGTTAGGGAAGGCTTCATAAACGAGCTAATATAGTTCAGTTTTTAATGACTCAATTTTTAAACATTGAGTACTTACATGCGCTGGCACTGATAGATGTTACTAATATCAAATTAGATATGGTCTCTGCTCCAAGTTAGTTTAGTTGGAGAAACAGAAAAGAAAAATTATAGTACTTAAATTTTATTACTATAAGCATGCACAGAGTGTCACAGGACAGTATATCTAAATTAGAGTGGGGCTGGGTGCGGTAGCTCACACCTGTGATCCTAGTACCTTGGGAGGCCAAGGCGGGCGGATCATTTGAGCTCAGGAGTGCAAGACCAGCCTGGGCAACATAGTGAGACCCCATCTCAGAAAAAAAAAAAAAGTGGGGTTAGAGGAAGCTTTCTGGAAGAGGGTTTTCTTTCTTCTTTTTCTTTTTTGTAAATAGAGATGGGGGTCTTGCTGTGTTGCCCAGTCTGGTCTGGAACTCCAGGGCTCAAGCCATCCTCCCATCTTGGCCTCCCAAAGTGTTAGGATTACAGGCATGAGCCACCACACCCATCCAGAAGAGAGTTTTCTTAAGCTGAGTTCTGAAAGATCAATGGTGTTTACTTGGCAAAGAATGTGGAGGAGAAAATGTTCTAGGGTAGAGAGAACAGCGATATGTAAAGGCACAGAGGCCTGAAATTGCATGATAGGTTTAGGAAACAGGCTGGGTGTGGTGGCTCACGCCTGTAATCCCAGCGCTTTGGGAGGCCGAGGCCGGCGGATCACCTGAAATCGGGAGTTTGAGACCAGGCTGACCAACATGGAGAAACCCCGTCTCTACTAAAAGTACAAAATTAGCTGGGCATGGTGGTGCATGCCTGTGATCCCAGCTAGTCGGGAGGCTGAGGCAGGAGAATCGCTTGTACCCTGGAGGTGGAGGTTGCAGGGAGCCGAGATGCCGCCATTGCACTCCAGCCTGGGCAACAAGAGTGAAACTCCATCTCAAAAAAAAAAAAACAAAGAGACAGTGTTGGGGTTGCAGTTCAAGTGTACATACTGGTAAATAACTGTTTTGAGAGGCAGGCAAGAGTCAAATCATAGAGGATTTTGTGTGCTATACTTGAGTTTGTACTTGATCCTAAATGGGAAAACATTGAAGGAATGAAGCAGGGAAACAATTTCTTATAATTCCTTAAACAAATAGAAGAGGGAGCTAAGGACGTTTGAGAGAATTATCTGGCGTACTGAGGTTCTCAATTAAGAATCCACATGATTATAAGACTTTTCTCCTGTAATTTTTAGCAGTAAGTAGTACGGCTGTTAAGTTTGTCAGAAGGGGCAGAGAACTGGAGAGAAAAGGTGAAGGATTGGACAGTCAGAAAGACTGATGAAGAAATAAGCATTCTGGGCAGAGAACACAATGTTCAATATCATGGAAGAATGAAAGAGCAGGGCAAGTTCAGGGAACTATACGTAACTAGAACATGCATATATCATTAAGGAGATGAGATTTTCATTTTTGTTCATTCTGGTTTGGGTTGAAAGAATGTACTTTCTCAGTTTGCTGTGCTTATTACACATTGGAAAGTGGAGAGTGGAAATGTCCCTTGTTGGGTCAATTATCCATTATTGTTTTATGAAAACACCTAATCACCCAGAATTCTGGCAGTAGAAGTGTTGGTAAGCTCACAGATGTCTAAAAAAGACTATGTATAGCAAGTGATAAGCAAGAGTGTTACAGAAAGGTACTTGACCTGGTGATGGCTGACTTAGGACATAGGGCAGACTTAACAAGGAGCTTATGTAAAACAGTAAGAAAAACCCAGAAGATACTAATAAAAAAGTAAGCAGAGGGCAGATGGACAAATCACAAAAGAGAAAAATTAAATAGCTAACAAACATGAATAAATATTCTGTTGCACTAGTAATCCAAGAAATGCAATTGGGCCAGGCATGGTGGCTCATGCCTGTAATCCCAGCACTTTGGGAGGCTGAGGCAGATAGATCACCTTAGGTCGGCAGTTTGAGATCAGCCTGGCCAAGATGGTGAAATCCCATCTTTCCTAAAAATACAAAAATTAGCTGGGCGTGGAGGCGGGTGCCTGTAATCCCAGCTACTCAGGAGGCTGAGGCATGAGAATTGCTTGAACCTGGGAGGTAGAGGTTGCGGTGAGCCGAGATAGTGCCACTGCACTCCAGCCTGGGTGATAGAGTGAGACTTAGTCTAAGAAGGAAGAAAAAAAAAAAAGCAATTGAAAGAAAGAGATACTTTTTTTTTTAAACCTATTAGATTAGCTCAATTTTTTTTTTTTTTTTTTTTCTGAGATGGAGTCTTGCTCTGTCGCCCAGGCTAGAGTGCAGTGGCGCGATCTTGGCTCACTGCACCCTCCGCCTCCCGGGTTCAAGCAATTCTCCTGCCTCAGCCTCCCAAGTAGCTGAGATTACAGGCTCCCGCCACCGTGCCTGGCTAATTTTTGTATTTTTAGTAGAGATGGGGTTTCACCATCTTGGCCAGGCTGGTCTCGAACTTCTGACCTTGTGAGCCACTGCGCTTGGCCAACTCAATTTTTTAGTAGACATAATGGTAGTGAGACAGGTGCTCTCACGTATTGCTGTTGGCAGTATAAAATTGTGTGAGATTTCTGGAAAGCTATTTGGCAACATTGAGAGACTAAAATAAATTGTTGAGTGAACAGACTTTATTGTCAAGTAGACTTGGATTTGAACATTGGCCCCACCACTTAATAGCAATGTGACTTTGAGCAAATAACTTAGTCTCTGCTTCTCCTATCTGTAAAATAAGAATAATAGTACCCCCCTTCAAGAGGGTTGTTTTGAGGATTAAATAAAATAGTGCATGTAAGTACTTACCATGTGGTAAGATTATAATCCTAATCAGAGATGTAGTTAAAGGTATTCATGATATTGTTACTTATATTAGCAAGGATTTATTTAACCTGAATAGTTGACATAAAGGGGATGATGTTATAGTGCCATCTGTATAATTAATTATTAGGTACAGATTTACCTAATAAGCTCTTTTTTGGAAAACTTAATGACCAAAAAATGCTCACAATGTTAAGTGAGAAAAGCAGAGCACAAAGATGTTTATTTTATCTCAGTCATGCTTTTTTAAAAAAGATGTATATACGTACAAAAAAGGCTGGAAGGAAACACACCAGAGTGATAATAGTGGTTATTTCTGTGACATGGGGTTAGGATTGTCTTTGTTTTCATCTTTTATATGTTTTCCGTGGTTTTTCCTCATATAGGAAGCAGGGAGGCCGGGCGCGGTGGCTCACGCCTGTAATCCCAGCACTTTGGGAGGCTGAGGTGGGCGGATCACAAGGTCAGGAGATCGAAACCATTCTGGCTGACACAGTGAAACCCCGTCTCTACTAAAAATACAAAAAATTAGCCGGGCGTGGTGGCGGGCGCCTGTAGTCCCAGCTACTCGGGAGGCTGAGGCAGGAGAATGGTGTGAACCTGGGAGGCGGAGCTTGCAGTGAGCTGAGATCGCATCACTGCACTCCAGCCTGGGCGACAGAGCAAGACTCTGTCTCAAAAAAAAAAGCAGAAGGAAGCAGGGAACTCTCCTAAGAAGAAGTGACTTTTGAACTGAGTTTTGAAGAATGATGATGATAATAACTACTTATTGAGCACCTACTGTGCCAAGGAAATAGTCAAGTGGAAAATGGTGGGGGAGAAGTTCCTGGCAGATAGCACAAATGCAAAAGTAGATGAAGGTGCCTTGGATAGGGAAGTGTGCTGGTAGTTAAATATGACTAGGATGCATGGTGGAATTACGTTTGGTAGTGAGATACGAGATTTTAAAGGTAGAGGGGCCAAATCATGAAACGCCTAGTATGTTAACACCAAACCTTTAGAAGGAGAAAGGGACATATCAGGTACTAGTACCTGAATGTATCATTCTGAAACCCATCTGAAGAATGGATTGGAGGAGGAGAATAAGACAGAGACCGGTAAAGAAACTATTGACAGCATTCCCAGTTAAAAATACTGACGGCCTGAACTAAGGTCAGTATCAATAAGAGTAAAAAAATGAAGATGGGGTGTAGAGATACTTAGGAGGTAGAATTGATATTTCATAAATGGTTAGAAGTTGGGGGCACGGGTAAAGGATAGAGATTTTAAGGTGGTATCAAGCACTCATGCTCTTGGTGGAAACATAAATTAGTACAAACGTTTTAGAGGACTATAAATGTTCATTTCCATTGGCTAAGAAACTTCACTTCTAGGGACTACTCCACACAAGTTTATAAAGGTACATGTACAAATGTTCTTTGCAGCATTGCTTGTAATTGCAAAAACATGGAGTATTCTAAATATCCAACAATAGGAAATTGTTTAAAAAATGGCACATCTAGGCCGGGCACGGTGGCTCACGCCTGTAATCCCAGCACTTTGGGAGGCTGAGGTGGGCGGATCACGAGGTCAGGAGATTGAGATCATCCTGGCTAACACAGGTGAAACCCCGTCTCTACTAAAAATATAAAAAATTAGCCGGGCGTGGTGGCGAGCACCTGTAGTCCCAGCTACTCGGGAGGCTGAGGCAGGACAATGGCGGGAGGAACCCGGGAGGCCGAGCTTGCTGTGAGCCGAGATCGTGCTACTGCACTCCAGCCTGGGCAACAGAGCGAGACTCCGTCTCACAAAAAAAAAAAAAAAAAAAAGGCACATCTATATGATGAAATACTGCTAAGCTATCAAAATGGTAGACTTAGCTAACAAATTAGGTGTATCTGTATATGCTCATATGAAAAGATACTCAAATTGCATTATTGAGAACCATATTACTCAACAGTATTTAAAAAAGAGGGTCACAAATTTGGATTCTAAGGACAGGTAATATAAATGAGTGAAATGGGCTATGTTGTGGGGGCCAATGAACTGGTGAGCATGTATCCCATCTAGGAGTCAGTCACTATTTAGCTCAGTTGTTGCCATGGAATTGAATTACCAAAGGGAGAAATGGAGAATAGTTTTTACTTTAGACTTGTTTGTACTTAGGTATTTGAATTTTTTAGTGAGCACATAGTACTTTTGAAATTAAGAGAAATTTCCGTTTTTGGAAGGATGAATAAATCAAATGACCTCCAAAATTCTGACTTGGGCAACAGGTGGTGCCATTGACTAATATGGGAAATACAGGAAGAGTGGTTTGGAGAAAAGATAGCAGAGTTCAACTTGCTATGTTGTATTGGGGTGGGACATCTAAGTGAAGACTTTTAATAGGTAGTTAGCTGTGTACAGGTCCAAAGCTCAGAAGAATTTTTTTTTTTTTTTTTTTTTTTTTTTTTGAGACAGAATCTTGCTCTGTCGCCCAGGCTGGAGTGCAGTGGTGCGATCTCAGCCCATGGCAACCTTCGCCGCCCAGGTTCAAGTGATTTGCCTATCTCAGCCCATGGCAACCTTCGCCGCCCAGGTTCAAGTGATTTGCCTGCCTCAGCCTCCCAAGTAGCTGGGATTACAGGCACATGTCACCACACCCAGCTAATTTTTGTATTTTTAGCAGAGACGGGGTTTCACCGTGTTGGCCAGGCTGGTCTCAAACTCCTGACCTCAAATGCTCCACCTCCCTCGGCTTCTCAAAGTGCTGGGATTATAGGCGTGAGCTTTTGCACCTGGCCTCAGAAGAGAATTTATACTATAAATATGGTTACTTTTCAGATTATCAGCATATAAAAATATAAGTAGATGAGCTCAAATAGGGAGTAGGGTACATTCCTTGAACCCTCTGATGTTGTATGTAAAATATGATTGTATATTTTACTGAGTAGAAAGACCATAGATTTTATCAGATTGTCAAAGTGTGTGACCCCAAAAAACATAAGAGTCACTGTTTAGAGGATGTGGGATAAGAATAGACCTGACAAATTCCAATATTTAAGATAACAGGTGAGGCCTGGGATGGTGGCTCACGCCTGTAATCCCAGCACTTTGGGAGGCCGAGGCTGGTGGATCATGAGGTCAAGAGATCGAGACCATCCTGGCCAACATAGTGAAACGCTGCCTCTATTAAAAATACAAAAAATTAGCTGGGCATGGTGGCATGCACCGGTAGTCCCAGCTACTCCGGAGGCTGAGGCAGGAGAATCACTTGAATCCGGGAGGTGGAGGTTGCAGTGAGCCGAGATTGCACTGCTGTACTCCAGTCTGGTGACAGAGTGAGACTCCGTCTCAAAAAAAAAAAAAAAAAATATGAAGGAGTGGCCAGAATGAAAGAAGAAAAACTAGGAGAGAATAATATACTGCAAACCAAGAGAAGAGGACTTCAAAGAGGGAAAATTACCAACAGGTCAGGTGTTAGAGAGAAGACCAAAGAGGATGGTTATTAGAAGTTATTAGAGGATGGTTATTGAAGTGGTAGGATAAAAAGCCAGACTGTAGGGGTTGTGAATGAATGGGAAGTAAGAAAGTAGAGATTGAGAGTTGATTGTGAAGGGAGGAAGGAAGTAGACAATATGTTGAGGGGATGAAGGCAGTTGGGCAGAGGAGAACTTCGTATAGGTCAAAGAGAAGAAAATTAAGGATATGAAATGCCTATGGAGGTGGGAAGATAGACATTGAGAAAGTTTTAACATCTTATTTCTCTGTAAAGTAGGAAACAGCATATTTTTTTGCTGAGATTAAAGTGGGAGAAGGAATTTGAAGAAAAATATCAATAAGCGAATTATTTTTGTGGGAAATTGGAAAAGGAGCTGATTAGGGACATTTCAGAAGAACGCTGTTGAGCAACTTTTGAAGGTCCAGCTGAAGATGGAGACTTTTTTTTTTTTTTGGCAGTATCAGTTGGCACAGTTCTGTAATTTTTGTCAGTGCTCATCAAATCAAGTTAGGAAACTGAGAAGGCAGGTGATAAAATTGATTCAGGATTGAGATTTTGTTTTGTGGATGTGCTGGAAAGATTGGGAATTGAGGGTATTAGCAAAAAAAAAAATTATTGAAGTTCGGGCATCTCAAACCTTGTCACTCTTTAGTGACGCTTTATTGCAGAGGATTGTGACTATATAGTCTCCAGTTTGGGGGAATATCTCAGAGCAGCTCCACAAAAGTTTGAAATTTCTTTGGCAATTTGTGTTTTATCTTAAAAATGTGTGCAAATTTTCCGTTAGGCTTATCTGTACTTTAACTTGCTTCAAATTTCTTACCAAATTACTTTATATCCCCTCTCCAATCTTCAAGTAAAATTGCTGATTCAGGAAGTTATACAACAATGATCCCATAGCTTAGTTTGGTATATCCTTCTGCATTACCTAGTTTTTAAAACATGGGGCTGATTATACATTAAAGTAATGCCAGGAGAGGCTTAATATGTTGAGAGATAGAAATTAATGGGCCTGGCAGTTTTCTTGAAGTAAAAGAAAGAGAATGAAAAAACTGGACAGATACAAGGCTGTGATAAGAAAGTAGAATATTTGGAGTTGAAAGTTCCAGAGGTGAAGCAGTTTTCAGTAGATAGCATTCTGGGTATAGCCATGGATGTGTTTGGCTGGAGCAAAGGTGCAAACTATTGGCACAAAGATTTGCAGGGATTTGGATAGGTTGTACATGTGAACAATAAGGTAACTCACTATGATGGGAAAGATTTGGAGCCGAGAGAATGATTGTGCCAGGTGCATAAGTCTTTGTGAATGAGAATCAGTTAATAATGGTGACTAAAGGTGAAGAACACAGATTTCAAACTCAAGTGTCCTGCAGGGGCCAGGCAAGTAATGTAAATGACTAAGGTGGGCTAGGTGGGATTGTGCTAAACTAGAAAAGTGCATATTCCATCTAAAGCAGCATGTCCTTCTTCTGATTGTTGTCCTAAGGAAATGAGTATCCAGTGTTGCTAGATAACTGAATTTTTCAAGAGAAGCTGAAAATCTGGACTTTTTATGTGATTTCTCAAATTTTTACGTATTTGCAAAGAGTTTAAATATTTTTTTACTCCTTTGGCCAAATAAAAACATCTATCTGCAGGCCAAATCTGGCTCCAAGTCTTCAACCTCTGGCATAGTAAAAAACAGGCCTTAGAGTAGGAGAGATTTTTTTTTTTCTCCCCAAGAAGAAGTAAATAATGTCTGGGTAGTAGCAGTGGACAGCCTAGAAGGCTGACTTTCCCCCCTCCTTAACCAGTGGATGAGAGAATAGGAAACTTCTGAATAGGGTTATAAGGGTTAGTGGTGCCATGTGATATGAAATGGTGACATCTAGAAAGACACCATAAAGACATTGAGGAGTGAAAGGCACATGAAATATTTCCTACTATCAGGCGATATACACGAAATAATATTTCTGTTTAAAACGTTGTTGGTTCAGCCATATAATATGATCCTGCCTCTGTTTTTAATTAATAGTAACAAAGTCCAGGCTGGGTGCAGCGGCTCACTCCTGTAATCCTAATGCTTTGGGAGGCCAAGGCAGGAGGATCTCTTGAGGCCAGAAGTTCAAGATCAGCCCCGGCAAGAGACCCTGTCTCTAAAAAAATTTTTTAAATTAGCTGGGCATGGCAGTGTGTGCCTGTTGCTGAGCCTGTCTCAAAAAACAAAAAATAAAAATAGTAACAAAGTCCATGTGGACTTTATTCTCTACTTTAAAATTTTTATTTTGTAAAATTTTGTTAGTATTAAAGTTAATCTAAATTAGTAGAATGATATCTCTAGTTAACATTATTTTGACTCTGCATATTCAGATCCTTCACACATAATATACTGCATATGAGCATATTTCTATAACATTTTACACTGACTTCTTTGACTTACCCTTTATTAGTCACATATTTAGCCCGTGAACTATATTGTATATAGCCAGAATACTTAGCACTAAGATTAGGGTCATTAGGCAAAAACCAGAAGATAAGTAACACTCCATATAAAACACATCTGGACATAAACGGCATGTATCAGAGGAATTAGTCTTGTCCTTAAGTGATGACAGTGGACTGTACGCTAATTATAGAGTTATGCCATTGTACCTTCCAGCTGCCACGTAAGTACTAGATCAGTCTCAGAACCTCTGTTCATGTTTAAATAGCATTTGAAAAGAACATTAATAATCAGGAAAGCCCACAACTTTAAGTGGTTGGAGTTATTTGCACCAGTCCCAAAAGGACCGCAACAGTTAAAGGAGAGAGTCATACAGATAAGTCCCTTCTGAAAAATACAACCCAAACTTTTTGCCAGACTTAACAAAATTGGCAGAGGCCTTACTACTTAATGTTTAGTTAAATTTGAAATGAGCTACACAATCTGTGGCTATATCACCCTAAATGTGCCTGATCTCATTTGAAATGAGCTACATAGTCTGAACCAATAGGTGATGCTGAGCTAGTCATGATGAGATTCCTCTTTCCCAAAGATTTCATAGCAAGTTTCTCCTCTAGTGCTCTTAAAACCAAAATCAACTCCAGTAAGAAGCCATCTTTGGGATGGACATAGGTAGAACATGTGTCATGAAACCTGAGAGCCCGAAGTTTTAGAATGCTCAGTTGGACCCCACAATCTAGATATAAATTTACAAAGAAAAACAGAAATCTCCCCTTGTCCCCAACTTTTGAGTATCTCCCAACCTTTTGTGGGCTCTGATAGTTGTTCAGGTTATAGGACCTTTGCCTGACATTCTGGAGTCTCATCCTATGCCTGTGCAGCTTAGTAGTTATTCAGCCAAAGACTAAAGGGAACCCTTGCAGATCTTGTTATTTTTCTATGGAGCACCCTCTTCTCCAGTTGTGCCTTGCAATTTCCAGCTGTCTTAACCTCCTCAGACTCCAGTATGTCTCCAGAGCTCAGGAAGACTGCTATAATTGGCTTGCCTTCAGCAGAAAGCCAGGGACAATTGTAGGGCTCACTTCATTTCCCTTTCCTTCTTACAAGGATCATACAATCTTATACTACTAGTTGCTCAGTGTCTGAAAACAGTTGTTTCATTTGTTTTTTTCTAGTTTTCTGGTTATAGTAGGAGGACTAATCCAATAGCATTTATTCTATCATGCCCAGAAAGTCTTTTAATGTTTAGTTTTATGGTATTTCTGACATACGGAAACTTCATATGCATACATTTGTATTTATCAGTCTTTTCCTATATGATTCTTATTTTTGGTATTATAACTGTTCAAAAGATCTTCCCTACCCCCAAGATAGCAAACCATATTTTCTTCTAATACATACAATATTTTAAATATCTAAATGTTTATCTACTTTTTAGAATAAAATCTGAAGTAGAAGGTAAATATTTAACTTTCTTTCCCAAATGACTAGCCAAAGTGCCCAAGTCCCATTTATGGAACAGTCTAACCTTTCCTACTAATTGAAATGCTACCTCCTTTTTTTTTTTTTTTTTTTTTTTTTTTGAAACAAGGTCTTGCTCTGTTGCCCAGGCTGGAGTACAGTAGTGTGATCATGGGTCATTGCAGCCTCCACCTCCTGGGCTCAAGCTGTCCTCCCACCTCAGCCTCCCAAGAAGCTGGGACTACAGGCACACATCTCCAAGCCCGGCTAATTTTTTTTTTTTTTTTTTTGAGACAGAGTCTTGCTCTGTCACCCAGGCTGGAGTGCAGTGGCGCGATCTCGGCTCACTGCAAGCTCCACCTCCCAGTTTCATGCCATTCTCCTGCCTCAGCCTCCCAAGTAGCTGGGACTACAGGTGACCGCCACAACGCCCGGCTAATTTTTTATATTTTTAGTAGAGACGGGGTTTCACCATGTTAGCCAGGATGGTCTCTATCTCCTGACCTCGTGATCCGCCTGCCTCGGCCTCCCAAAGTGTTTACAGGCATGAGCCACCGCGCCTGGCCTAATTTTTGTGTTTTTTTGTAGAGATGGGGTTTCACCATGTTGCCCAGGCTGGTCTCGGACTCCTGGGCTCAAATGGTCCACCTGCCTCAGCCTCCTTAAGTGCTGGGATTACAGGCATAAGCCAATGCACCTGGCCAAAATGCTACCTTTATAATATACTAAATTCTTATATATTCTTGAACCTATTTGAGAGCTTTCTATTCTGCTTCATTGATCTATTTGTCTAGTCTGGTGCTATTATCACCAGATAATTGTTTTATCACAAAGGCTTTAAAATTTTAAATTCCTTGACTGTGCTTGCCTAATTATCCTAAATAAACTCTAAGGTCATTTTTGTTAGATTCTACCTTGTCCTCGAATAAATAAACATGATTGAGACCTTATTTAATTTATAGATTAATTTGGAGAAACTGTATATCTTTATAATTCTCCATTTTTCCTCCTGGGAGCTTATGTTTCTTCATTTATTCACATTTTCTTTTATGTCCCCCAATAATGGCTTCTAGTTTTCTTCATACAGTTTCTAGGCATGTTTTGTTTAATTTATTTAATTTGATAGTTTTTGTTGCTTTTGAATTTCTCATTGTCGAGTTTATTCCTAGGTAATTTAAAAGTTTTTATTTTGTTTATTTATTTTTCATTGTCGATATTCAATATAAAATTTAAAAGCTTTGCTGCCATTGTGCTTGTACTCTTTTTTTCCTAACTGGTTATTAAGTCTAAAGGTTTCAATTTGAAGAATATGAATAGATGATTCAGTATTGTTCATAGGTTAAATATAATGCTTAAAGTATTTCCATAATACTAGTTTCTAAGTCTTTGTTATGAGGGTACTACTCTGTAAGTTTGGCCACTCATGAATAATAAGGGTCTTTTTTTTCCATCAGTGATTGGGACCCAAGGTATAAGTATTTCTGACCAGGCTTGGTGGCTCACAACAGTAATCCCAGCACTTTGGGAGGCTGAGGCGGGTGGATCACTTGAGGCCAGGAGTTCAAGACCAGCCTGGCCAACATGGTGAAACCCCATCTCTACTAAAAATACAAAAATTAGCCGGGACTGGTGCTGGTGACATGCACCTGGAGCTGAGATCGTGCCACTGTACCCCAGCCTGGGCGACAGAATGAGACTCTGTCTCCAAAAAAAAAAAAAAGAAAAAGAGAAATATTTCCATATGAAAGTTAAGTCCTTCATGTCATTGAAGAGAAGAAAAACTTCCCCCGATCCTGCTTGGGTCTCTTGCTGCCATCTTGTCTCTTTCTCTTTCCATACAGACTTTTTTATTATGGAAAATATACATAATATAAAAATTTGTCATTTTAACTTTTTTTTTTTTTTTTTTTGAGACGGAGTCTCATTCTGTTTCCTAGGCTGGAGTGCAGTGGCGCGATCTTGGCTTACTGCAACCTCCGCTTCCTGGATTCAAACGTTTCTCCTGCCTCAGCCTCCAGAGTAGCTGGGATTACAGGCGTGCACCACCACGCCCGGGTAATTTTTGTATTTTTAGTAGAGACGGGGTTTCACCAAGTTGGCCAGGTTGGTCTCAAACTCCTGACCTCAGGTGATCCACCTCCCCTCAGCCTTCCAAAGTGCTGGGATTACAGGTATGAGCCATCATGCCCAGCCGTCATTTTAACTATTTTTAAGTGTACAAATCAGTGGCATTAAGTTCAATCACAGTGTAGTGCAACCATTACCACTGTGTATTTCCAGAACTTTCTTATTATTCCAAACAGAAACTCTATACCCCTTACATGGTAACTCCCCTTCTTCCCAGCTCCTGGTAACCTCTATTCTAGTTTCTATCTCTATGAAATTGCCTATTCTAGGTATGTCATATAAGTAAATCATACATTATATACAATATTCTTCCTTTTGTGTCTGGTTTGTTTTACTTACCATGTTTTCAAGGTTCATCCATGTTGTAGCATGTATCAGAGTTTCATTCTTTTTTATGACAGCCAGACTTCTTTTATGAATATGTAACGTCTCTCACTATTTTCTTTGTCTTCCAGTAATGCCTCGCTTAGCTTTAAGCTGGCTTCCACCCTGTCCAGTCTACCAAGTAAACAGGATCACATAATTATCAGATATAGTGGGCACTTTTCTGTCCTTATCTTGACCTCACCCTAGTATTTGACATCATTGACCATTCTTTCCTCACAACAGTATTGTGATTGGCTTCCATGACAATTTTTAGCTCTGGCCGGGGGAGGCCGAGATGGGTGGATCACCTGAGGTCAGGAGTTCGAGAGCAGCCTGGCCAACATGGTGAAACCCCGTCTTCACTAAAAATACAAAAAAATTAGCCAGGCGTGGTGGCACGTGGTATGAGAATGCACTCAGCGTTCTTGGGAGGCTGAGGCAGGAGAATCACTTGAACCTGGGAGGCAGAGGTTGCAGTGAGCCAAGATCATGACACGGCACTTCAGCCTGGGTGACAGAGCAAGACTCCAAAAATAAAAAAGCCCTTATTTTCCTCCCACCTCTTAAACTATTCCTTTTTAATCTCCTTTGCTGAATGTTCTGCCCACTCCTGTAACTTCAGTTGCCACCTCTTTTCCTGATGACTCTATTGTAGACAAAGCCACTTGCCAAACATTTCCTCTTGGATGTCTCAATGGAACTTAAAACATACCTCAAGCTGAATGTATTATTGTTTCCTCCTATCCTTCCTTATTCCAACTTTCTCCCTCTCTCCTTCTTTACTTGAATCACTCATTTACAATTTCCAATCTGGGTTTAATGGGGCATTAACATTACCCAGTAGCTACGTCTAGGAAACTCTTTTTTTTTAATTCTTCACTTTGAATAAGTTCCAACATCCAGTATGTCACTAAAGTTCACATTACATTTTGCCTAGTCGCCTGGTGAATGTCCCAGCCTTTACATTTATCTCCTTCTAACCTATCATCTACATTTCTGTCAGGTAGACCTTTTAAAAAACAAAAAAGCAAAATCTCTTATAAAAAGATCAAATAATCTAGAAATACATAAAATTAAAAGTTAAAGCCTCTGCCTGCCCTCCCACTCCTGTCTCCCATATTTTCATTTCCCCAGAGATAACAGCTTGGTCTATAGTCTTAGGTACTTTTTTCTATGCTTAGACAAAACGTGTTTACTTATTACGCTGCTCTCAGCACACTGCCTATAGGGTAGCCCTGTTCCGCAAGAGCAGTCAAAAAGAAAATTACATGTAGGTTTTCAAGTTTTTGTTTTATTCTGTAATTTGCTCTTTTTTGCTCATGAATGTATTCTGATCCTTTTTATTTTGAGATAATTATAGATTCAGGAAGTTGCAAGAAATGGTACAGAGTCCTGTGGGCTTCTCACTCAGCTTCCTTCAATGGCAATATCTTACATAGCTGTACTTCAGTATCAAAACCAGGAAATTTATATTGGTACATTACTTTTAAATAAATTACAAAACTTAGTTTTCACCATTTTAAAAATCTATTCATTTGTGCATAAGTGTGTGCAATTTCGTGCCATATATATGTTCCTGTAACCACCACCACAATCAAGACTTAGAACTGTTACCATAAAGGAACTCCCTGTTCTTTGTATCTGCACCCCCCACACACACATGCCCACCACCACACCCACCACTGTTCCTGTTCCACTTATCCGTTCTCCATCTCTATAGTTTTGACATTTGAGCATGTTATATAAATGGAATAGTATAATATGTAACCATTTGAGATTGACTTTTTTCGCAAAGCATAATTCCCTTGAGGTCCATCTAAATTGTTGTATCAGTAGTTCATTTTTTAAATTGTTGAGTGTTCCATTGTGTGGTTGTACCAGCGTTTGTTCAAACATTTACTCATTGAAGGACATTCAGATTTTCACTATTTTGCCATTGTGAGTAAAGCTGCTGTGAGCAATCATAGACAGGGTTTTGGATGAGTTTAATTTTTCATTTCTTTGGGATAAATGCCCAAGAATAGAATGGTATATGTTTAGTTTTACAAGACACGGCACTATTTCATTTTTTTTTTTTCCACATCAGATGTGGAAAAAAAATGTACTGGCATTGTAATAAGGCTTGAGGGAGGCACATCTCACACATGAACGTGAAAACCCAATGTCGTCACACTTACGTCATCATAAGCTTATGAACTACAAAAAGATTGTGCCACACTTTTGGAGTGTCTGTACCATTTTACATTCCCACCAGCAATGTATGTGATCCAGTTTCTCTGCAGCATTCACTGTTACCACTTTTTAAAATTTTAGCTGTTCTTCTATTGTGATTTTACTTGGCATTTTTCTTTTTTTAAATTAAAAACATTTTCTTGCTCTCGGTCTTAAAATTATTTCCTCAAATACATTGTGTTTTTCTAATGGCTAATGATGTTGGGCATCTTTTCATGTGCCATCTGTGTCTTCTCCTCCTCCCTTCTTCTTTCTCCTTCTTTCTCCCTTCTTCCTTCTTTCTTCTTCTTCTTGTTATCTTTGCTCACTGCAACCTCCCCTTCCTGGGTTCAAGCAATTCTTGTGCCTCAGCCTCCTGAGTAGCAGGGATTACAGGCACGCAACATCATGCCCGGCTAATTTTTGTATTTTTAATAGAGACAGGGTTTCATGATGTTGGCCAGGTTGGTCTCGAACTCCTGGCTTCAAGTGATCCTCCCACCTCAGCCTCCCAAAGCCATGGTGCCAAGCCCCATCTGTATATTTTCTTTGGTGAAGTGACTGTTCATTTCTTTGGCCCAGTTTTTTTTTTATTTTTTATTTTTATTGTTTGGAATTCAGTGCAAATTTTATTAGACTACAAAAACATATCATAGTTATTTTAGATATATTTATATGAAGTCATAAAAGCTATGATTTTTGAAAAACAGCATAAGAAATTTTTTTAATTTCTTATATAAATTAACTTTAGTGTCTTAAGGATTCAATGATACAGTTTTTAAATTTTTTAAATTGATAGCAATTGTACATATTCTTGAGGGCACATAATTATATTTCCATACATATAATTTATAGTTATCAGATCAGGGTAATTAGCACGTCCACCATCTCAAATGTTTATCATTTTTTTGTGTTGAGAATGTGCAACATCCTTCTAGCTATTTGAAACTATATATTGTATTATTATTAACTATAGTCATTCTACGGCGCTATAGAACACTAGAACTGATTTCTCCTATCTAGCTATAATTTTGTATCTTTTTTTTTTCTAGGGTACATGTGCACAACGTGCAGGTTTGTTAAATATATATACATGTGCCATGTTGGTGTGCTGCATCCATTAACTTGTCATTTACATTAGATATTTCTCCTAATGCTATCCCTCCCCCAGCCCCCCACCCCACAACAGGCCCCAGTATGTGATGTTCCCCACCTTGTGTCCAGGTGTTCTCATTGATCAATTCCCACCTATGAGTGAGAACATGCAGTGTTTGGTTTTCTGTCCTTGTGATAGTTTGCTCAGAATGATGGTTTCCAGCTTCATCCATGTCCCTACAAAGGACATGAACTCATCCTTTTTTATGGCTGCATAGTATTCCATGGTGTATATGTGCCACATTTTCTTAATCCAGTCTATCATCGATGGACATTTGGGTTGGTTCCAAGTCTTTGCTATTGTGAATAGTGCCGCAATAAACATGTGTGCATGTGTCTTTATAGCAGCATGATTTATAATCCTTTGAGTATATACCCAGTAATGGGATGGCTAGGTCAAATGGTATTTCTAGTTCTAGATCCTTGAGGAATCACCACACTGTCTTCCACAATGATTGAACTGGTTTACATTCCCACCAACAGTGTAAAAGTGTTCCTATTTCTCCACATCCTTTCCAGCACCTGTTGTTTCCTGACTTCTTAACGATTGCCATTCTAACTGGTATGAGATAGTATCTCATTGTGGTTTTGATTTGCATTTCTCTGATGGCCAGTGATGATGAGCATTTTTTCATGTGTCTGTTGGCTGCATGAATTTCTTCTTTTGAAAGTGTCTGTTCATATCATTTGCCCACTTTTTGATGGGGTTGTTTGATTTTTTCTTGTAAATGTAAGTTTTTTGTAGATTCTGGATATTAGCTCTTTGTCAGATGGGTAGATTGCAAAAATTTTCTCCCATTCTGTAGGTTGCCTGTTCACTCTGATGGTAGTTTCTTTTGCTGTGCAGAAGCTCTTAAGTTTAATTAGATCTCATTTGTCAATTTTGGCTTTTGTTGCCATTGGTTTTGGTGTTTTAGTCATGAAGTCCTTGCCCATGCCTATGTCCTGAATGGTAATGCCTAGGTTTTCTTCTAGGGTTTTTATGGTTTTAGGTCTAACATTTAAGTCTTTAATCCATCTTGAATTAATTTTTGTATAAGGTGTAAGGAAGGGATCCAGTTTCAGCTTTCTACATACGGCTAGACAGTTTTCCCAGCACCATTTATTAAATTAGGGAATCCTTTCCCCATTTCTTGTTTTTGTTAGGTTTGTCAAAGGTCAAATGGTTGTAGATGTGTGGTATTATTTCTGAGGCCTCTGTTCTGTTCCATTGGTCTGTATCTGTTTTGGTACCAGTACCATGCTGTTTTGGTTACTGTAGCCTTGTATTATAGTTTGAGGTCAGGTGGCATGATGCCTCCAGCTTTGTTCTCTTGGCTTAGGATTGTCTTGGCAATGTGGGCTCTTTTTTGGTTCCATATGAACTTCGAAGTAGTTTTTTCCAATTCTGTGAAGAAAGTCATTAGTAGCTTGATGGGGATGGCATTGAATCTGTAAATTACCTTGGGCACTATGGCCATTTTCACGATATTGATTCTTCCTATCCATGAGCATGGAATCTTCTTCCATTTGTTTGTGTCCTCTTTTATTTCGTTGAGCAGTGGTTTGTAGTTCTCCTTGAAGAGGTCCTTCACATCGCTTGTAAGTTGGATTCCTAGGTATTTTATTATCTTTGTAGTAATTGTGAATGGGAGTTCACTCATGATTTGGCTCTCTGTTGGTCTGTTATTGGTGTATAGGAATGCTTGTGATTTTTGCACATTGATTTTTATATCCTGAGACTTTGCTGAAGTTGCTTATCAGCTTAAGGAGATTTTGGGCTGAGATGATGGGGTTTTCTAGATATACAATCATGTCATCTGCAAACAGGAACAATTTGACTTCCTCTTTTCCTAATTGAATATCCTTTATTTCTTTCTCTGGCCTGAGTGCCCTGTCTTTGGCCTAGTTTTAATTGTGTGTTTTTTTGTTTGTTTTGTTTTGTTTTGTTTTTGAGACAGAGTCTCACACTGTCACCCAGGCTGAGCGCGATCTCAGCTCACTGCAGTCTCTGCCTCCCAGGTTCAAGTGATTCTCCTGCTGCGGCCTCCTGAGAATCTGGGATTATAGGCGTCCGCCCCAATGCCCGGCTAATTTTTTTGTATTTTTAGTAGAGACGGGGTTTCACCATGTTGGCCAGGCTGGTTTCGAATGCCTGAATTCCAGTGATCTGCCTGCCTCAGCCTCCCAAAGTGTTGAGATTACAGGCCATGACCCACCACGCCCAGCCTGTGTTTTCTTTTTGAGACGGAGTCTTGCTCTGTCGCCCAGGCTGGAGTACAGTGGCGCAATCTCGGCTCACTGTAACCTTCGCCTCCCGGGTTTGAGTGATTTTCCTGCCTCAGCCTCCCAAGTAGCCGGGATTACAGGTGCCTGCTATTACGCCTGGCTAATTTTTGTGTTTTTAGTAGAGACGGGGTTTTGCCATGTTGGCCAGACTGGTCTCGAACTTCTGACCTCAAGTGATCTGCCTTCCTCAGCCTCCCAAAGTGTTAGGACTACAGTCGTGAGCCACCTCGCTCGGCCTGTTTTCTTAATGGGTTTTGAGGGTTGTTTATGTATTCTAGGTATAAGACCTTTATTACATATATGATTTGCAGAGATTTTCTCCCCAGTCTGTGCCTTACTTTTTCAGTCCCTTAATAGTATCTTTCAGGCTAGGCACAGTGGCTCACACCTGTAATCCCAGTGCTTTCAGAGGCCAAGGTGGGAAGACTGCTTGAACCCAGCAGTTTGAGACCAGCCTACGCAATATAGTGAGATCCCATCTCTACAAAAAATTTCTAAAATTTGTGTTTGGGTGTGCATGCCCGTAGTCCCAGCTACTTGGGAGGCTGAGATGGGAGGATTGCTTGAGCCCGGGAGGTCAAGGCTTTGGTCAAGGCTGACCCAGGAGGTCAAGGCGAAGTCCTGGGATTACAGGTGTTTGAGTCCCCAGGTGTGGCCAGTGTTTGTATCTCTCTCTCTTTTTTTTTCTTTTTTTGAGACAAGGAGTCTCCGCTCTGTCGCCCAGGCTGGAACAGCTCACTGCCAGCTCCGCCTCCCGAGTTCATGCCATTCTCCTGCCTCAGCCTCCTGAGTAGCTGGGACTACAGTTGCCCGCCACCACACCCGGCTAATTTTTTCTATTTTTAGTAGAGATGGGATCACCATAGCCAGGATGGTCTCAATCTCCTGACCTCGTGATCTGCCCGCCTCAGCCTCCCAATGTGCTGGGATTACAGGCATGAGCCACTGCGCCCAGCCCAGTGTTTGTATCTCTTTAAGAAGTTGGCAGAACGAGACGGGTGGGTTGCTTCAGGTCAGGAGTTTGAGACCAGCCTGGTCAACATGGTGAAACCCGTCTCTACTAAAAATACAAAAAAAAAATTAGGTGGGTGTGGTGGTGCACATTTGTAATCCTAGCTACTCAGGAGGCTGAGGCACGAGAATTGGTTGAACCTGGGAGGTGGAGGTTGCAGTGAGTTGAGATCACGCCACTGCACTCCAACCTGGACGACAGAGTGAGACTCATCTCAAAAAAAAAAAAAAAAAAAAGTCTTTCCCAGTTCAGATCACAAAGGTTTTCTCTTATGTTTTTTCCTAAAATTTTACAGTTGTAGCCTTTTACACTTAAGTCCATGATCCGTTGTTAATTACTTTTTGTGCACAGTTTGAAGTATAGGTTGAAGTACTTTTTTTGCCTATGGATGTCCAGTTTTTCGTCATTTATTGAAAAAACTGTCCTTCCTCCATTGAATTGCCCTGTATGTACACCTTTATCAAAAATCAGTTGAGTGTGTTGGCTTATTTCTAGAAGTCTTACTATCAGGTAGAGTGATTCCTCTCACTCTTTTTCAAAACTGTTTTATTTTCTAGTTCTTTTACCATTCCACTAAATTTAGAAGGGGCTTGTCTATATGTACAAAAACATCTTACTGGGATTTGGGTTCTTGTGTTAAAACCCATAGATCAATTTGGAGAGAATTGACATATTTACTGATTCTCTTTTCATGTTAGTACATATAGATTTCTACATTCTTTTAAACTTATTTCTTAGCATGGATGTATGTATCATAATTTATTTAACCATTCTCCTATTGATAGGCATTTAAAGTATTTCCATAATGCTGGCTTGCAGACAGTTGTTCACTATTTTTTTTTTTTTTTTGGAGACCAAGTCTGTGTCACCCAGGTTGGAGTGTAGTGGCATGATCTCGGCTCACTGTAACCTCTGCCTCCCGGATTGAAGCAATTCTTGTGCCTCAGCCTCCCAAGTAACTGGGATTACAGGTGTGCGTCACCATGCCTGGCCAATTTTTGTATTTTTAGTAGAGATGGGGTTTCCCCATGTTTCCCAGGCTGGTCCCGAACTCCTGACCTCAGGTGACCCACCTGCCTCAGGCTCCCAAAGTGCTGGGATTACAGGTGTGAGCCACTGTGCCCGGCCTAGTTGTTCACTATTTTATATTTTATTGATGTGTGCTTGTGCAAAATTTCTGTAGGAAATCTTGATATTTTGAAATTGTGTTCCAAAAGGCTATACCTGTTTGTAGTCAAAATAACAGTGAAGGAAAATATCTGTTTCCCTACAACCTCTTTAACGCTGGGAATAATCAATGCTTTAAAAATTATTCCTGTAAAATTAGAGTATATAACTTAAAATTTTATAAAAATTACATACATGTTCATTGAAGAAATGAAACAGCATAGAATTGTATAAAGTGAAAAGGAAAAATCTTGTTCTTCCCTTCCTACCATCCCATTAGTAGCCAGTATTAGATTTGGTGTGAAGTATTATAAATTTTACTATATAGGAAAAGGTGTTTTGAAGTGTTTATTTTTCTAGTTGTAGAGATAATGAGGATATATTTTTAGCCAAAGCTATCTGTTCATTTATATATTTTTAAGTTGCTAAATGGAATGGTGTTTCATTTTTGAGAAAAAATAAAAACATTTTCAGGGTCTTTGGGCTTTTCATCAAATAGGCCCTTGACCAGTGAGATTTATTACCCCAGTTCCCTCTGGATGGTTTCTGCCTTCTTGAATTTCTAGTTTAGATTCTGAGTGAGATTATGTTACTCTGGTTTAAGAGACTGAACCTCTTAATCTTGGAAACTAAACATCCTAATTTACATTTGATCCTCATTCTACATAAGGTAAGGAGCCTAGCTATATTGTGAAAGATTAGATTCACTTCTCTTTAATTTTCACTTGTTTTGGATCTAGTTTGAAGATAAATATCTAAGAATTGCAAAGTCAGAGCTCATCTCTTTGGGATCTGGACTATGTGTAGTTGCATTTAGTAATTCTAATTTCTTTAGGAATTTAGTATGCAGATTTTTCTTTTTATATCTGGCACTGATCTTTTTTTTTAAACTTTCTACTTCTACTGAGCTTTTATTTTTTAATTTTAATGGTTCACATTGGAACAAATGCATATCCTCACACCATCCACTGTCAAGATAATAATTTATGCTGTTTTGACAGAGTACTCATTTTCTTAGGGAGGAATTATTTTTAGTATTTGTGGAAGAGTTCTCAAGGGAAACATGAGCCTAGGAGTGATCACAAATCCCCTCTTCTCCTTGGTGCCCAGGGGTGCTTGCCAACTTGACTGGTGTTTTTCTCTGAATCTTTTCAGAAAGTTAGCAGCAATAGGTTGGGCGTGGTGGCTCACGCCTGTAATCCCAGCACTTTGGGAGGCCGAGGCAGGTAGATCACTGGAGGTCAGGAGTTCGAGACCAGCCTGGCCAACATCGTGAAACTCTGTCTCTGCTAAAAAATTAGATGGGTGTGGTGGTGCACACCTGTAATTCCAGCTACTTGGGGAGGCTGAGGCAGGAGAAGTACTTGAACCTGGGAGACGGGGGTTGCAATGAGCAGAGATCGCGCCACTGTACTCCAGCCTGGGTGACAGAGCGAGACACTGTGTCAAAAAAAAAAAAAAAATAGCAATAATGCTTGCTTTCCCCCCTTACTGGAACCATGAAGCTTGTGACTTGCGTTTCTTCTCACATCACCATACAGAAGGAAATTAACTTATAAACCAGAAAAGGAATTTTCTTGGTGGAATATCAACTTTCCAAAGCTGTCATTGGCATTATCTCTATTTAAGGACATTTGAATTCGAATTGTATGTGATTCTGTAGACCCTACCGCTCCTTATTTGGTATGAGGCAAAGTATAAATAAATAACGTTTCTCCAACGTGACATGTAGAGTTGCTTCAGCCATGATTTAACAAGAAGAGAAAAAGCAAAATATACTCAGAAAAAACATTCCTTTTCGTGAGTGGGTAGCTTATTCTTATAGTGACAAGTCACAGATTATCTTTCATTCATTTTGGTGTCATTCTAGAAATTCTTTATAACTGAATTCTGGTTTTCTGTGTAGTAACCCTTTAGGGACTGGGAATTGGAGTTCAATTCTGTTTAATCTTCTTCCCAGCCCCCCTACAGTAGCTTCAGCAACTTTACTATTCCTGTAGAGGCTCTATTGTCTTTGTCTCTTTACTTGGATTCCTCATTTCTTCCTAAGCTACAAAACCTATAGCTGATCATCCTACTTTTAGTAAGCTCCTGATTGCTCCAGAATGTAGAACGATATTTTTAGATTTTTGGAGATGGTTATGGATCTCTGTGAAAATCCGATGAAAAACTAAGGCTGTTCTGCTCTCAAAAATGTATATTACATACAGAATTTTGTTTATAGTTCTAAGGGATTCATAGCTCTGTCTCTCATAAGAACTCCTGGTATAGGTAGGGATAAGAAAACATCACAGTGGATATTTTTATCCACAATTTAACAGTGGTTTGCCAGTTCCACCAGCATATTTCATTAGAAAGACTTAAATGCTCCTTTGCTTATAATAGTGTAATAGAGTCTAATAGCTGAAGCTCTTGTAACTATTGAGAACATGGACTGTCTAAAACTGACACAAACAGCTAATATCAAACACATAAGTGTATCAGCTATGCAAGTAAGTGTGGGTTTTTTTTTTAAATATTCTAGAGGTATTAGTGGATATTTCTTTTGTTTTCTTTTTCTTTTTCTTTTTCTTTTTTTTTTTTTTTGAGACGGAGTTTCGCTCTTGTTGCCCAGGCTAGAGTACAATGGTGTGATCTCGGCTCACCACAACCTCTGCCTCCTGGGTTCAAGTGATTCTCCTGCCTCAGCCTCCCGAGTAGCTGGGACTACAGGCATGTGCCACCACGCCTGGCTAATTTGTATTTTTATTTATTTTTTTGTTTTGTTTTGAGAGCTCTTGTTGCCCAGGCTGGAGTTCAATGGCGCGATCTCGGCTCACCGCAACCTCTGCCTCCCGGGTTCAAGCAATTCTCCTGCCTCAGCCTCCCGAGTAGCTGGGATTACAGGCATGTGCCACCACGCCTGGCTAATTTTGTACTTTTAGCAGAGACGGGGTTTCTCCATGTTGGTCAGGCTGGTCTCGAACTCCCAATCAGGTGATCCGTCCACCTGGGCCTCCCAAAGTGCTGGAATTACAGGCGTGAGCCACCGTGCCCGGCCTAATTTTGTATTTTTAGTAGAGACGGGGTTTCTCCATGTTGGTCAGGCTGGTCTCAAACTCCTGACCTCAGGTGATTGCCTGCCTCAGCCTCCCAAAATGCTGGGATTACAGGCATGAGCCACTGCACCCAGCCATTAGTGGATATTTCTTAGAGTGATGTGTTGCAAAGAAAATGGGTAAGGAAGAGGTCCCATTTTCAAAATGGATTAAAGTAAGAGAGAAACTTCACGAATGTATAAAACTAATTTTTCCTTGTATTATAAAGTGAGGGAATTGAGATATTGAGAGGTTGGTTCATGTTTAAGTTTCGAAACTAAAGTAGAATAAAGGCTGAATTCCTAATTTATAGGCTGGGGTTTTAGCCATGAGGCAGGTCCCTATAGGTAGAAGAGCCTATACTGTAAGGAACTACCGTTGTACAGGCTTGGTGAAGGAGGCCTGTAACCTGTATGCAGCCTATTTTCTCCAGCAACATTTCTGTTTTCTTTTTTTGTTTTTTTGAGATGAAGTCTTGCTGTGTCACTGAGGCTGGAGTGCAGTGGCGTGATCATGGCTCACTGCAGCCTCAACCTCCTGGGCTCAACCGATCCCCTCGCCTCAGTCTCCTGAGTAGCTGGGACTACAGGTGCACACCACAACGCCCAGCTAATTTTTACGTTATTTGTATAGACAGAGTTTCGCCATATTGCCCAGGCTGGTCTTGAACTACTGAGCTCAAGTGATCATCCTGCCCAGCCTCCCAAAGTGCTGGGATTACAGGCGTGAGCCACCACACCCGGCTCTAAATATCTTGACAATTGACTTTTCTTTTTTGTTTGTGTTTGGCACAGGCAGTTTCTGTGAGGATACAACTTTATTTTACATATTTTAAAGAATAAATGACCTATACTTGTAAGACGTTTTACCTGGAAGAGACTTTTTTTTTTTTTTGAGACAGAGTCTTGCTCTGTCACCCAGGCTGGAGTGCAGTGGCATGATCTTGCCTCACTGCAACCTCTGCCTCCCGGGTTCAAGTGATTCTCATGCCTCAGCCACCCGAGTAGCTGGGATTACAGGTATGCACCACCATGCCCAGCTAATTTTTATATTATTAGTAGAGACGGGGTTTTGCCATGCTGGCCAGGCTGGTCTCAAACTTCTGGCCTCAAATGATCTCCCCACCTCGGCCTCCCAAAGTACTGAGATTACAGGCTTGAGCCACTGCGCCTGGCCTGTGGTATATTTTTTATCCTTTATATCCTGATAAAACAGTAGGTTCAATTTAGGGATCACCTCTTGTGAAGGCTTTCTTAATTCCTCTTCCCCTCTTACCTCCCAGAATCAGCCACTTCCTTCTTTGTGCCACTATTTTTCCATTGCATTGTATTGCCCTATTTGTTTACAGTCTATTTCACTGTACTAGACTATAAACTTCTTGAGGATATGACCTATATCTCACTCATTTCTATCATCTCCAATGCCTGGCACACAAAAAGTATTAAGAAAATGTCTTATGAATAAATAAGTGAATGATCAGTATATTAAAAGAACATTTTAAGTATTTAAGGCAGGGATTGAAAACTCAAATGCCTTCAGTGTCTAGGCAGAAGATAAGCAGACTTGGGAGGGACTTTGATAACCTGGAGAACACATACTTTATCTAAGAGGAACAGCTGCTACTAAGCCCCAGCCCATTGGTGCCTTGTGGGAAAGCTGACTCTGTCTTGGCCACATCTTTAAATTTTCTAAAAGAAGCCAGACAATTTAGGTTTTTATGTGAAATCTCCCATCTGTTAAATGTTATCAACTAAGTTTTTTTCAAAAAAGCCTTCTATTGAAATATAACTTAGATACAGAAAAGTGTTTTATGTATTATGGGTATATAGCTCAATCCATTTTTACAAACTGAACTAATTTTTTATGTGAGCCAAACAAACTACAAGCCACCAGTTTGCAACTTGTAACTAAGGCCATATGGGGACCCATATAGTTAAGAATCATCTTATAGGTAAAAATGTCTTAAGGAGACACATCAGCCAGATACAATGTATGGACCTTTCTTGGGTTATGATTCAAAGAAATAAATGTAAAAGAGTGTTTATAAAGTAATTTGGGAAATTTGACTCTTGGCCGGCTATTTGATAATATTAAATAATTATTGTTCATTATTTTAGATGTGATATAGTTGGTTTGTTTTTATTTTTTATTTTTTTTTCCTTTTTTTTTTTTTATTGATCATTCTTGGGTGTTTCTCGTAGAGGGGGATTTGGCAGGGTCATAGGACAATGGTGGAGGGAAGGTCAGCAGAGAAGTGAACAAAGGTCTCTGGTTTTCCTAGGCAGAGGACCCTGCGGCCTTCCGCAGTGTTTGTGTCCCTGGGTACTTGAGATTAGGGAGTGGTGATGACTCTTAAGGAGCATGCTGCCTTCAAGCGTCTGTTTAACAAAGCACATCTTGCACCGCCCTTAATCCATTTAACCCTGAGTGGACACAGCACATGTTTCAGAGAGCACAGGGTTGGGGGTAAGGTCATAGATCAACAGGATCCCAAGGCAGAAGAATTTTTCTTAGTACAGAACAAAATGAAAAGTCTCCCATGTCTACTTCTTACTACACAGACACAGCAACCATCCGATTTCTCAATCTTTTCCCCACCTTTCCCCTTTTTCTATTCCACAAAACTGCCATTGTCATCATGGCCCGTTCTCAATGAGCTGTTGGGTACACCTCCCAGACGGGGTGGTGGCCGGGCAGAGGGGCTCCTCACTTCCCAGTAGGGGCGGCCGGGCAGAGGCACCCCTCACCTCCCGGACGGGGCGGCTGGCCGGGCGGGGGGCTGACCCCCCCCCCCACCTCCCTCCCAGACGGGGCGGCTGGCCGGGCGGGGGGCTGACCCCCCCACCTCCCTCCTGGACGGGGTGGCTGCCAGGCGGAGATGCTCCTCACTTCCCAGACGGGGCGGCTGCCGGGCGGAGGGGCTCCTCACTTCTCAGACGGGGCGGCTGCCGGGCGGAGGGGCTCCTCACTTCTCAGACGGGGCGGTTGCCGGGCGGAGGGTCTCCTCACTTCTCAGACGGGGCAGCCGGGCAGAGACGCTCCTCACCTCCCAGACTGGGTCGCGGCCGGGCAGAGGTGCTCCTCACATCCCAGACGGGGTGGCGGGGCAGAGGCGCTCTCCACATCTCAGACGATGGGCGGCTGGGCAGAGACGCTCCTCACTTCCTAGATGGGATGGCGGCCGGGAAGAAGCGCTCCTCACTTCCTAGGTGGGATGGCGGCCGGGTAGAGACGCTCCTCACTTTCCAGTCTGGGCAGCCAGGCAGAGGGGCTCCTCAGATCCCAGACGATGGGCGGCCAGGCAGAGATGCTCCTCACTTCCCAGACGAGGTGGCGGCCGGGCAGAGGCTGCAATCTTGGCACTTTGGGGGGCCAAGGCAGGCAGCTGGGAGGTGGAGGTTGTAGCGAGCCGAGATCACGCCACTGCACTCCAGCCTGGGCACCATTGAGCACTGAGTTAACGAGGCTCCGTCTGCAATCCCGGCACCTCGTGAGGCCGAGGCTGGCGGATCACTCGCGGTTAGGAGCTGGAGACCAGCCCGGCCAACACAGCGAAACCCGGTCTCCACCAAAAAAATACGAAAACCAGTCAGGCGTGGTGGCGCGCGCCTGCAATCGCAGGCACTCGGCAGGCTGAGGCAGGAGAATCAGGCAGGCAGGTTGCAGTGAGCCGAGATGGCAGCAGCACAGTCCAGCTTCGGCTCGGCATCAGAGGGAGACCGTGGAAAGAGAGGGAGAGGGAGACCGTGGGGAGACGGGAGAGAGAGAGGGAGAGGAGGGAGAGGGAGAGGGAGAGGGAGAGGAGGAATTCTGTCTTACTCCAGACCAGTTGGTTTGTTTTTAGAGCAGCTTTAGTTCATGGCAAAATTGAGCAGAAGTTACAGAGAGTTCCCATATACTCCCTGCCCTCACATACATACAGCCTCCCCAGTTATCAACATCTTGCACCAGGCTGGGCGTTGTGGCTCACGCCTGTAATCCCAGCACTTTGGGAAGCCAAGGTAAGAGGATCTCTTTAGGCCAGGAGTTCAAGACCAGCCTGTGCAACATAGTGAGACCCCCCCCCCACCCCCAATCTCTACAA
The DNA here is from genome assembly GCF_000001405.40 of Homo sapiens. Classification (NCBI taxonomy): domain Eukaryota; kingdom Metazoa; phylum Chordata; class Mammalia; order Primates; family Hominidae; genus Homo; species Homo sapiens. The sequence goes on from NC_000023.11 coordinate 71,453,411, forward strand.
ACAAAGAAAAATGGGCATGGTGGTGCATGCCTGCACCCAGGAGTTCAGGGCTGCAGTGAGCCATGATCATGTCACTGCATTCCAGCCTGGGTGACGGAGCGAAACTCTGTCTCAAAATAAAAACAACAGCCTGCACCAGAGTGTTATATTAATTGTGTTAGTTGGTGAACCTACAATGACATATCATTATCACCCCAAGTCCATGGTTCATTCTTGGTGGTGGTATACATTGTATGGGTTTTGAAAAATGTATAATGACATGTATCCACCATTATATTATCAGACATAATTGTTTGTTAAAAGCATCCTTAGGATGGGCACAGTGGCTCATGTCTGTAATCCCAGCACTTGGGGAGGCTGAGGGGGGCGGATCACTTAAGGCCAGGAGTTCAAGAGTAGCCTGGCCAACATGGTGAAACCTAGCAACACATACTGAACAATTTTTAGAGGAAAATTGTTATGATGCTGGAATTTGCTTCAAAACAATTTGAGAAGAGTCTGAAAATTGAAGTAAATGAAACAAGATTGACTGTGTGTTAATCATTGAATCTGGCTAGTGAGTACATGGGAGTCCATTATGTTAGTGTTGTATTGCATATGTTTGGAATTTTCTGCCTCTGAAAGTAGAACAAGAGTCCAAGTTAAAGCTGAGGCATGGTTTTTCTAGGTCTAGGATAATGGGACACACTGCTGATGACAGAATGTAAAATTCTGGAACAAGTCTGCAAAGATAATGGCACTTTCTTATTTTATTTATAGGACCTGAGAGTCAGTATACTAAGACTGCCCAGGAGATTGTGAACGTCTGTTACCAGACATTGACTGAGGTAGGTGGTAAAGATGGAGGTCCTAAGCCTGGGCAACATAAGGAGACCCCATCTTTACAAAAAAAGATTTAAAAATTAGTGGGGTCTGGTGGTACACAGCTGGGACGTGTGGTCCCAGCTACTCGTCTGAGGTAGGAGAATCATTTGAGCCTGGGAGGTCAAGGCTGCAGTGAGTCATGACCATATCTCTGCATTCCAGCCTGGGCAACAGCAAAACCCTGTCTCAAAAAATAAAAGAGGTCTCCTTGGGATCTAGCTTTTTGAAATCCTGTTCCCTTGAATGAGGAGCTTTCCCTGATTATCCTATTTTAAAATGTAGTATTCCCTACCCCCCAACTCCGCATCCCCTGTTTCCTTCCCTGCTTAATTTATTTTGATTATTATCTGTGTCCTGCCACTAGAATATAAGCTCCATGAAGATAGATATTTTTGTCTTTTGTTTACTTTTGTATCCCCAGTACTTAAAATACATGTTGAATGAATTTATTTTCTTTGTTTCTCAGTATGATGAACATTTGACTCAACTTGAGAAGGATATTTGTACTGCTAAAGAAGCAGCTTTGGAGGAAGCAGAATTAGAAAGCCTGGACCCAATGACCCCAGGGCCCTACACGCCTCAGGTGAGTCTGAGGACTAAGTACTTCCTCATATAGTTTTCTTATTGGTTTGGGAAATTGGGAGCATGTTAACAAATCCGTTTACTGAGATACCATTCTTCTCTGTCCTTCCTCTTCATATGCCTTTCGTGTGCTTTCTTGTCTTCTCAAAGGCTAAGGTGAGTGAGGGCCATGGGTCTTGGTGGCCTTGAATCCAGAAAAGGCAGCTGTGGGATGAATGAATGGGGTGGGGCCTTAGTTGTTTAGGCAGTGTTTGGGAATATCAGATCCCTGACCCAGCCATCCTCTGGGTCTCGGGAATTTTCTTGTCCATGAATTTTGGGACTCTAGAACATCCCTAGAGTGTAGACTTCTCAGTTACAGACATGGGCCATATTGTTCCTGTGCCTTACAGACACTTGATTACTCATTCCCTCAGAGATATCTCAGTGTAGCTCAGAAGTCACCCATTTTCCTGGATTGACTCCTAGTAAATGAAGAAAGGTAGTATTAATAATGTTCTTAAATGTTCATGTCAAAAGAATGAGAGAGCAGGATAAATAAGAAATTTTTAGTCTTCCTGGTCTAACTGAACCCTTGAAATACACTAAGAGTATATTTCCTCCATACTGTACTCTTAGAGGGTTGGCATATTTGAAGAATAGGACTTAACAGAATATCACTGGTGCTTGGTTTCTGTATTGGAGGCACTATGGTAGGGTGGAAAGTACATAAGAATTGACATAAAGCAGGCCTGGGTTTGAGTCTTAGTTCTCCTGCTGTCTAGCTTTGTAATCTTGGAAAGTTAACCTCTCTCACTTAGTTTCCTTTTCTCTGAAATCTTTTCAAGATTGTTGTAAACATTAAATGAATTAATTTAATTTGCCTGACACATCTTTATCTGTTCTCTGAGACCCTTTCAAATTTAATCAAATATTTTAATGCAGAACTCTGCCAATTCCCACAGGAAAATTTTTTTTCATTCTATCCAGGTTTCCCTCTGAACTGATAATGCAACCTATGTGACCTCTGTTGGATTATTGCTGTCTCTATATCTCGTTCATGCACTATCCCTATCTATCTTTTACTCTCTCTTTCATCTCACAACCTAGGTTACTGAGGGGCCAGGTATAAAAGAACCCTCAGATACTTCTTCAAGGTCCAGAACAAGGAAAGGCTCTTGGAGTGTGTGGGCAGATTGGGTCAAGGGGGCTTGGGTGAGTGATGTTGCCCAGGAAGGCCCTATTTGCTAATAGGCCCACAGCTTCCACAAGGTACTTTCTGGTAAGTTAAAGCCTGGGTATTAGCCATCATTCCCCAGGAGAGTCTAGCCATTGAATGGCACATGGTTTGCTCATTTCTAGGACAGCCTAAGCCTAGTCCTTTGGTGAGTCAAAGCCTTAGACCCCAAAGTCACCTTCCTTTCTTCACTACGTCTCCCAGACTACCTCAAATGGCTAAGGACAACCTGTTAGCTATTTCTCTCTTGAGCATTAGCTGTCATTTGGTGCAGTTAGAGGGTTTCCTATGAAGAGTAGGATTAGATAGTACTGCTTCATTATTCCAGTTCACCTTTTCATCATTCCCTTCACTCACAAACAGTTTAAGATAGTAACCAACTCATTATCTCTTAACCTGAGGAAGGTGTACATGAGTGACTGTCCTTACTTTACTTACATTACTACTGTCAAACTCAAATGTTATTAGAGTGTGTTTGCAAAAGTGTAACCTGCCTTAATACAATGTTGGTTGTAAGAAGCATGATAGTAATCATACCTTTCAACTTCTAAATGGTGGTGGTCAATAATGTATTTTCTTTTTTTTTTTTTTTTTTTTTTTTTTTTTTTTTTTTTTTTTTTGAGACCGAGTTTTGCTCTTGTCACCCAGGCTGGAGTGCAATGGCGCAATCTCGGCTCACTGCAACCTTCGCCTCCCGGGTTCAAGTGATTCTCCTGCCTCAGCCTCCCGAGTAGCTGGTTTTACAGGCATGGGCCATTACGCCTGGCTAATTTTGTATTTTTAGTAGAGACAGGGTTTCTCCATGTTGGTCAGGCTGGTCTCGTACTCCCGACCTCAGGCCCACCTCGGCCTCCCAAAGTGCTGGGATTACAGGCGTGAGCCACCGCGCCCGGCCCAATAATGTATTTTCACTCAACTGTTTCCACCTAACTTGGATTGCATCATCTGTTCAGCTTAACACCTTATCTAAAACTGTTGACTTTGCAGTTTTCTGCACTGTGCCGTAGGGTTTTGCAGAAATTTCATCCCCTTATTTTTCCTTTCTTCTGTTCCACATTGATTTACCTGCTCTGTAATGCTTTGAATTTTGTTTTGCCTCTGTTTCTCCAAAACCCTCTTCTGAATCAGTTTTGTTTCCTTTTTTAAAAAACACAATGTAACACATATCTGTTCTATCTGTTGATAAAAGTAACATGTTTGTTAGAGAAAACTGGAAAATAAAAACAAGAAATAAGTTACCTCTTGTAATCACTTCCACCACTCAGAAGCAACATCAGCCAGTGTGAATATTTTTATTTCTTTCATATCTGTAGCGTATGTATTTGTGTTTATAGACACACTTTTAAAATGAAATTGATCAATATGGTTTTGTGTCTTAACTCTTTTCACTTTACATTATTTTGTGAGCACTTTATCTAGTCCTTCTTGCCCTCCTGTCACAGAATAGTCCATTTGCTGAATCCCTGTTCTTTCCAGGGCAGAAAACAGGGAAGGGATCTATAATATATTGAGTACCAGGCATGGGTAAGGAACTTACACATCTCTTAATTCTCACAACAACCCTGTGAGGTAGACATTATCATCCATGTTTTATAGTTGAGTTAATCAAGGCTTAGAGATGTTAAGTAATTTGTTACTCACTAGCAAGTGTTGGGGCCAGGACTCAAACCCAGGACATTTTACTCCAAGGCCTATGATTTTTCACCATGCCATTTTGCTTCGTAGCATCCTCTGATGGGCTCATAAACTATCAAAGCATTCTATGCTCTTGTTGGAATTGAAATTCCTTTATCTCATTTCCTCTGTCTCCAAATCAAGCAATCAAAATAGCACTGATATGAAGCCTTGGGCCTAAAAACCGAAAGACAAGGCTTAGAAAAAAACTAGGTTATTGACCAGAAAGGCTGTTAGGACATAAAATTGTCCCATAGCTTTGGTGCATTTCTGCTTCAGGCTTCTGATTACGTGCATCAGGCACCTGTCTACTAGAATAGGCAACATTTATAAGAGTCCCAAAAACTTGTCTGTAAAGCTGTGTCAAACTATGTTTCTCTTTAACTGAATTGCTCTGCATGATCTTTTTCTCCAGTAAATGCCTTAAAGGGGAGTTATCTGTATTTATTTTCCCTTTCCTAGATAGAAGCTAAGTTGTATGTTTTGTGCCACAGCCTCCTGATTTGTATGATACCAACACATCCCTCAGTATGTCTCGAGATGCCTCTGTATTTCAAGATGAGAGCAATATGTCTGTCTTGGATATTCCCAGTGCCACTCCAGAAAAGCAGGTAACACAGGTAGGATGTTCTTTTTCTCTTTATAAGATTGTTATTGTGCCTGCAAGTGGGGCTAGGGGAATGGTGATGGTGATGGTGATATGTGACATATGTCAAGAATGACTGGGCCCTTTGGCCCTGGGAATGAAAGCTTAGAAATGGGATTTCAAGTTGGGATGGCAGCAGGTCGTGTGACTGGTGTTATATTCTCTCTGTCCCCATGGGTAGAGTCAGGCACAGCAGAACTTCAGGGAAGACACAAGTATGAAAAAAGGGTGTGAAGCATCAGAGTAGCCTGACGGGTGACTAGAGCGACCAACTGCACTCAGACAGTTCAAAATAATTGGCCTACTTTATGTGTATTATAATTTAAATTAAAATTATTTATAAAATTAAATTTTAAAAATTGGCCTTTTCTAGAGGTATCAGAAATATCTACAGCTTTTCTACAGCTATTCTCAGTCAGGGTTCCACTGGAAAGTGTAAAACCCAGGAGGGTTTTTCTATCCCAAAGAGTTCAACACAAGCTATAAGGAAAGTTTGGGTTAGAAAGGAAGAGTCTCTTTGTAATAATACAGTAAGAGTAGACTAAGAGCCTTTCCTGTTCTTTGGGTTTTTTACTCCGGCTGTGATTTCCAAAGAATGGGGGAAAATGCGCATGCCTTGAGCTGTCTAAACAGCCCCCACTAGCAGTGGGATTGGCTGGGATATCAGGGAGGAGCATCCACCCTGGGTGAGAGCCCTTGGTTAACTCCTCCTACAGGCACGTCCCTCAATGATGTGCTATTTGTGTTCCTTACTCAGATGCGCCAGGGCCGAGGTAGGCTGGGCGAGGAAGACTCTGATGTAGATATTGAAGGGTATGATGATGAGGAGGAGGATGGGAAACCTAAGACTCCAGCCCCAGTGAGTATGCTTATAGAAAGCTTATGGTTACGTTATGCCCTTATATGATAGGAGCCCCATCAGTACAGGCCAGGCCAAATCCTAAGATGATATCAGGGGGTCTCCTTAGTGAGCCCCAATCTGACTTTAATCCTTGGGACCAACTAAACAGTCTATCCACCAAAAATAATTACTTAACTTCTTGTGAGGCAGCAAGTGGAGGGATGGGCGGGGCGGGGAGGGGGGGTGTGCCTGGTGGTGGCTTCTGGTCTCTTATGTGGTCAGTTGATAGGACTTTGACCCCCAACTGGTCTCATTCAGGAAGGTGAAGATGGAGATGGTGATCTTGCAGATGAAGAGGAAGGAACTGTACAACAGCCTCAAGCCAGTGTCCTGTATGAGGATTTGCTTATGTCTGAAGGAGAAGATGATGAGGAAGATGCTGGGAGTGATGAAGAAGGAGACAATCCTTTCTCTGGTAGGCCTCAACCATTGCTTCTATTCCTTTATAACTCACTACAGCACCCTCAGAACTGGACTGGATAGGCGCTCTTGGCCACATATGCTTTTATTGGAAGCTGCCTCTTTTATTGAATTCCTATTAATAGACCTGAGAGTACTGAGCACTCAGGCGTAGGATGATCATATTCATTAGCAGGAGGTACAAAAGACAACAGTGGAAAAGACAGTGCCTAAGTAACAGCTTTGATCTGGATACTTGTTAAAGGCTGGGCACAGTGGCTCATGCCTGTAATCCCAGCACTTTGGGAAGCCAAGGTAGGAGGAACACTTGAGACCAGGAGTTTGAGACCAGCCTAGGCAACATAGCGAGACCCTGTCTCTACAAAAAGTAAATAAATAAAAATTAGCTGGGTGTGGTGGCGAGTGCTTGTAGTTCTAGTTAGGAGGCTGAGGCAGGAGGATCGCTTGAGCCCAGGACTTCAAGGCTGTAGTGAGCCATGATCATACCATTGCACTACAGCTTAGGCAACATAGTGAGACTCTGTCTCCAAAGAAAAAGAAAAAAAGATGAGAACAGAATGATCAAGTGTTATATGTGGCAACAGGGAAGGAAAATTAAGAAAAATCCTGTTTGGGGATATTTTGTGGATTAATGGCAATGGCCGAGGAAAAGTATGGGAGTAGATGGTAGAAAAAATACAGATAGGTTGGCATGAGATGGAAAAGGAAATTGTTATTTGGATTCAGATTCTAAACTACAAACCTTGCTGCTGTTGACCCTAGGCAGTTATAAGAGGCATTTGAGGAGAGGCGTATAGGCAAGATACCTGTGTAGATGTGTGAGAGTTACTAGTTTGGGAAGATCAAGCCAAAGATCAAGTTAAATCTGTCAAGCTTAACTCTTGATGACCCAGAATCTGTCTCTTTTTACAGCTATCCAGCTGAGTGAAAGTGGAAGTGACTCTGATGTGGGATCTGGTGGAATAAGACCCAAACAACCCCGCATGCTTCAGGAGAACACAAGGATGGACATGGAAAATGAAGAAAGCATGATGTCCTATGAGGGAGACGGTGGGGAGGCTTCCCATGGTTTGGAGGATAGCAACATCAGGTAATCGACAGCAACATGCTACAGGGCTGTGGCATCAGTGCCCAGCTATGATGTTGAGGGGCCCAACATCAGATTACTTTTCATCCATCAAACATTTCCTGGGCACCTACTAGGGCCAGGCACTGTGCTAGGCTCTGGGGATACACAGAGGAGCAAAACATATCCTGCCCTTGAGGAGCCCACAGCCTAGTGGAAAAGACTGACACAAACAAATCATTACAAATACAATGTGATAAGTGCTATAGCGTAAGTAAGACAAAGTGCCAAAGCACCACTGAGAAGGGAGTGTCTCAGTCTGCTTGGAGTTATCAGGGAAAGTTTCACAGACAAGGGAACATTTGAATTGGGCCTTAAAAGATTAATAGGAGTTTACTAAGTAGGTACTATGGCAGGGGGTGGGGAGAACTTTATAGGTGGAACAATGTGTTCAAAGACACAGAAGTAGAACACAAAGTATGTTCCAGAGCAAATGGAAGTTGTTGGGGAGTTGAGGCTCCAGAAGTGTAGCAAGGGGGATTATATTGTGAAGGACTTTAAAAGGCATGCTAAGACCTTTGGACCTTAACCTGCGGGTAATAGGAGTCATCAGTTTAAGGAAAAGGAAGTAACATCAAATTTGTATAACTTAGGACAATGTGGGACACATGATGAGGATATCAACAGGGACTTGTCAGGAGTGGGGAAAATAAAGGGACATAAAGAGGTAAGGAGGTTAGATGAATAATGAATGGAGATGTCTGGTAGAGGAAAGAGGAAGAATACATATTAGATGGGGCAGGAAAGGAGGAAAAAATGGATTTGGATTTGGCTTTGGACAAGTTAAATTTAATGTATCTATGATACATCTAACCAGCAAGCAGATAATATGCAATAACATTGTAAACAAATTAATTTTTTACTTCAGCAAATATTTATCATAAGTACAAAAACAACTAAGATATGGTCCCTTCCTTCAAGGAGATCAGTCTAGTAGGAAACCTAAAACAGGTAAAACAGGCAATCATAGTGTAATATGAAAAGTGCTATGCTAGGCAACCGCAGGGTTTTTCTAGGACTTGGGTAGAGGTGGGGAGGGAGGAGAGCTGGCTAGAGAAGGAAATTGAGCCTAATATGAATAGGAATTAGCTAAACGAATAAGAAAGCAATGGGCATTCCAGAGACTAGGAAGAGCCTATATGAAGACACAGGCATGAAACACTTCACAGGCATGAAACGCTTTCAGAGAACACACGTAGCTCAGTGTGACTGGAGATTTTTTGATTGATCCATGTAAGATCTATAATTCATGTGATAGAAATGACTTAAAGAGGTAGGTAAATACCAAATCATGAAGGGCCTGAAAGTTCTGGGCGGTCATTGAATGAGAATAGTATGACCAGATTTACATTTTAGAAAGATTGTCCTGTGCCCCAAAAGAAAAATGGGCAAAGGCATGAACTAATTTACAAAAGAAATGTAAATGGCCAATATATCATATGAAAAAATAACTTCCAGCCGGGCGCGGTGGCTCATGCCTAAAATCCCAGCACTTTGGGAGGCCGAGGCAGGCAGATCACAAGGTCAAGAGATCTAGACCATCCTGGCCAACATGGTGAAACCCTGTCTCTACTAAAAATACAAAAATTAGCTGGGCCTGGTCACACCTGTAGTCCCAGCTACTCAGGAGGCTGAGGCAGGAGAATCGCTTGAACCCAGGAGGCAGAGGTTGCAGTGAGCCGAGATCGTGCCACTGTACTCCAGCCTGGTGACAGAGCAAGACTCAGTCTCAAAATGATAATAAAAATAATAACAACAATAATAGTAACTCCCCTAATAAACGCAGTAAAACCACGAAGTGCAATTTTTTTACCTATCATATTGGTGATTAAAGTGAATGATAATGCCTAGTGTTTGGAAAGGCTATGAGGAAAAAGACATTCTCAAACTACTGGTGGTAATGTCGATTGATAGAAATGGGGTGGTTTGGAGAGAGGCTTATTTATTTATCATCATAAATAAAAACATTTAAAAACGTGCATCCCCTTTGGCCCAAAAAATCCACATCTAGGAAATTATTTTATGGGAATAATTAACACACCATCAAGATGTTTGTGTAAGGATGTTTTATGACAGCATTGTTTCTAATAGTGGAATAATTGGAGACAGCTTAAATGTCCTAGTGAGAGACTGTTAAGTCATGTTACAGCCATGTGTGGAATACCATGTAGCTATTAAAATTATGCTATAGACGTTATGTTTATTGACATGGAAAGATGTTCATTATAATCATTAGTGAAGAGGGCAGATTTCCTGGAGAGTATGTAGAGTATCCCAATTTTGTAAATTAAAAAAAATGTTTAAGCATCTAAAGTTCACAAAAAATTTTGGAAGGTAATATACCAAAAGATTATCTCTGGATGATGGAGTTATTGATTTTTTTAAATTTTTTTCTGGTGTATATTCTAATTTTTTTAACCAGTGAACGTGCATTACTTGTGTGATTTTTTTTTCAAGTAAAATTAAGAATAAACAAACAAACAAAAAAATAAAGAGCACTCTGGCAGAAGTGTGAAGAAGTAATTGGAGGAGAGCAAGACTGGCGGCATGACGACTTATTTCAGTAGTGCAGGCCAGAGATAACAAAGGACTAAGCCAAGGTAGGCAGAGTAGGGATGGAAAGGAGGGGATAGAGACAAGATATATTGAAGAGAGAATCTTCAGGACTATTGACTAATTGGATACTGTAAGTGGTAGATGAAACCATGAGGCTGTCAGAGCATTTATGGTCATGTAAGATGGCAGTGTGTTGTTCAGGTGTAAGGGAGTTTCTTCCATTCAGGTTCTTGTGTATATGACGTTGGCAAGTTGATGTTTTTGAACAGGGTCATTTTTCTCTCAGGGACATGTAGAATAGTCCAGAACCAGTCACTTTAGTGTCCAGGGGAGGTGAGATGGGCTGATCCTTTGGTGGCACTGAGAATGGGAATGGTCAGGTAGAGGATGGTGTCCGAGCTTGAGAGATGACATGTTTCTCTTCTCAGTTATGGGAGCTATGAGGAGCCTGATCCCAAGTCGAACACCCAAGACACAAGCTTCAGCAGCATCGGTGGGTATGAGGTATCAGAGGAGGAAGAAGATGAGGAGGAGGAAGAGCAGCGCTCTGGGCCGAGCGTACTAAGCCAGGTCCACCTGTCAGAGGACGAGGAGGACAGTGAGGATTTCCACTCCATTGCTGGGGACAGTGACTTGGACTCTGATGAATGAGGCTTCCTTTGGGCCTCCTTGGTCAGCCTTCCCTGTTCTCCAGCCTAGGTGGTTCACCTTTCCCCAATTTGTTCATATTTGTACAGTATCTGATCCTGAAATCATGAAATTAACTAACACCTTAGCCTTTTTAAAAGTAGTAAGTAAATGATAATAAATCACCTCTCCTAATCTTCCTGGGGCAATGTCACCCTTTGATTTAAAACAAAGCAACCCCCTTTCCCCTACCACTACGGAAAAGAGCAAGCTCATTTTTCCGTGTCCTCCTTTATTTAACTCCATTTATTGCTTTTGGTATAATTTTTCCCTGGGGAAGGAGGGGAAATTATGAAAGAACTAGTAACTTTATGTCCTCTTGATGTATTAGGAAATTTCCGGCCAGGCGTGGTGGCTCACACCTGTAATCTCAGCACTCTGGGAGGCCGAGGCGGGCAGATCACCTGAGGTCAGAAGTTCGAGACCAGCTTGGCCAACATGGCGAAACCGCATCTCTACTAAAAATACAAAAATTAGCCAGGTGTGGTGGCGTATGCCTGTTAATCCTAGCTACTCGGGAGGCTGAGGCAGGAGAATTACTTGAACCCGGGAGGCAGAGGTTGCAGTGAGTGGAGGTCACGCCACTGCACTCCAGCCTGGGCGAAAGAGTGAGATTCAGTCTCAAAAAAAAAAAAATTTCCAAGCATGGTATCATCTCACTTTTCTAATTTACAGGCTGGAGCAGATGAGAGCCCTCCTGCTGGGACAGAGAATTGGGTTCTAGTGGACTCTGTGCTACACTTAAACCTGTGAGACAAACCGCCCATTATTTTATTATTTAATTATGCAATGCCTAGTTCCTAAATGGATTGGAGGCAAATTACCGTAAATTTTGAAACAGCCTATATGTCAGAAATGATAATGTTGCCACCTAAATGTTTTCTGTCCCCCCCACCCTCCCCAGGGGAAATGGTAGGAAAATGGTAAGTTTCTTAGGGCAAAGACTGTGTCTTCTGTTTCTTTTCATGCTTAGGATATGGTTCTGTGCATAGTAGGTACTCAGTAAATGTTCCTAGAATCATAAAATCCTCAACAGATATGTTACTGAGCATCTGCTTTTCATGATAAGCACTCTATCAGATCCTTGGGATGCAAAGGTAAATAAGACAAATCCCTTTTACCCAAAGAGCTCACCATCAAGTTGGGGGAGGGAAAGTGGAATTCAAAACATGTTAATAAATCATCATAGTACTGTGAGATAAGTGCAATTAAGAAGCTAGTTATAAAGTATAGGGGAAATAGAGGAGTAATCATGTCTGAAAAGTCAGGAAAGTCTTCCTAGAGGTAATTTTTAAGCTGATTGTTTTAGAATTAGTAGAAGCTTGCCAGATGGAAAAGTCCAGGCAAAGTGTAACATGAATGGGAAAGGCCACAGTCTAGAAATGGCAGAGTGTGTTCCTAGTTTGTTTGTTTGTTTGTTTGTACCTGCCTTGTTCCAGGAAGGATTTAATGTGGTTTATATTCCAGTCCTTTAATGCTGGAAGGGCTGAGATGAGACTGAAAGATGGGCAGGAAGTATATCATCACAAGCTTTGTGTTTGATGTTAATGTGTATGATTTTTATATTATGGGAAATAAGCTCTTAGAGGAGTGATATAATCAGGTTTGTGTTTTAGAAATCTGTGTAATGAATGAATGAAGAAAGAAATTGAAGAATCATGTAACATATGTGATCGCATTTTTGTAAAAGAACCATGTGTGTTTATATGTGTTTATATATATACTTGTGTATGCAAAGGTAAAAGTCTGAAAGGATATATGCTAACTGTTCACAATGATAACCCCCCAGGAATGGGATTGGAGGGGAGGGGGCTTCTGTGTTTGTTATGTATGCTGGGTGGGATATTGTGCTTTTATTTCTATATTGTTTGAATTTTTTTACAGTATGTATTATTTTTGTAATAAAAATTTTAAAAAATTCCAGCAGTAGTGTGGAGAATGGTTTGGATGGATCTAGTTCAAGTAAGAGAGAATGGAGCCCAAACTGGTGCTATGGCATTGGGATGGGGAGGAGGGGGATGGATTTGAGAGATCTTTAGGGAGTAGGACTTGGCATTTGTGGGTAGAGAAGGAGGAATGGAAGGTGGCTTCCAGAATTTTGGTTGGGGGGATTGGGTGAGTACATGGTATTCATTGGTTCATTTTAACATTTATCATGCCACCTATTTTTGTTTTGTTTTTTTAGATGGAGTCTCCCTCTGTTGCCCAGGCTAGAGTGCAGTGGTGTGATCTCGGCTCACTGCAACCTCCACCTCCCGGGTTCAAGCGATTTTCCTGCTTCAGCCTCCTGAGTAACTGGGATTACAGGCACGCATCACCACACCGGGCTGATTTTTGTAGGCTGGAGTGCAGTGGTACGATCTCAGCTCACTGCAACATCCGCCTCCCGGGTTCAAGCGATTCTTGTGCCTCAGCCTCCTCAGTAGCTGGGATTACAGGCGCCTGCCATCATGCCCAGCTAATTTTTGTATTTTTAGTAGAGACGGAGTTTCGCCATGTTGGCCAGGCTGGTTTCAAACTCCTGACCTCAGAGGATCCGCCCGCCTTGGCCTCTCAAAGTGCTGGGATTACAGGCGTGAGCCACCGCGCCCAGCCAAGACGGGGCTTTACCATGTTGGCCAGGCTGGTCTAGAACTCTTGACCTCAAGCGATCCACCTACCTTGTCTTCCCAAAGTGCTGGGATTACAGGCATGAGCCACTGTGCCTGGCCAAGCCACTTGTTTTTATAAGCAGCCTGCCAGATGCTGATAGAGAAGTAAGATATAGTTCCTGATTGCAAGGAACTTAAGGTCTAGAATGAGAGGTAGATATGTAAATAAACAAGTTTAATAAAAAGTGATCATTGCAATAAATATTTACAAGAATCCGTGGTGAGAGGAAAAAGTTCTTGACTCTTTACGAAGTAGGAACAAGAATGCTTCACAGAGGAGACCCTTAAAAAAAACCATGAAGAGTGGAAAGGAATTTACCAGATATTCATAGGGGTGGGATGGGAGGGCATTCTTTTTTTTTTTTTTTTTTTTAATTTATTGATGATTCTTGGGTGTTTCTCGGAGAGGGGGATGTGGCAGGGTCATAGGATAATAGTGGAGAGAAGGTGGGCAGATAAACACGTGAACAAAGGTCTCTGGTTTTCCTAGGCAGAGGACCCTGCGGCCTTCCACAGTGTTTGTGTCCCTGGGTACTTGAGATTAGGGAGTGGTGATGACTCAACGAGCATGCTGCCTTCAAGCATAATAACCCAGAACTTCTGGGCTCAAGCAATCTTCCCACCTCAGCTTCCCAAGTAGTAGGGACTACAGGTGCATGCTACCACTCCTGGCTTCCAATCCTTTTCTAAAGAGGCCAGTTTTTCTTGAGTTTATCTGTGCTTATTTCTTCTAAGTTTGGGAGGTTTCAGTAAGGATGCCATTCACTTTTATCATCCCACTTCCATGATAATAATTTCTATATCTACAATTTATTGATCACATAATATTCCAGATCACATAACATGCTTTATGTATTAGGTTTAACCATATGAAAAACATTTTTGTAGGTCAAAAAGAATAAATATTGGCAATTTCACATGTTTCAATCTAGTTTGTAGTCTCCCTTAATCCTCACAATAACCTTGAGGGTAGGTGGTAGTATGCCTATTTTTACAGATGACAAAATCTGAAGATTAGAAGGATTAAGTGACATTCGTAACATCACTAAGTGGTAGAGCCAGGATTTGAACATGGGACTACCTGTTTTCAAAACATGTTTTTAAACACAGTATACCTTTAAAGAAAATATTATGATGAGAATGTGGTAAACCAGGCCCTGAAACACTGCTTGGGAGTGTAACTCAGTACAACTTTGCTGAAAGCTATTTGACACCGTGCATCAAGAGCATTAAGTTTTCAGGCTGGGCACAGTGGCTCGCACCTGTAATTCCAGCACTTTTGAGAGGTCAAGGTGGGTGAATCGCTTGAGCCTGGGAGTTCAAGACCAGCCTGGGCAACATGGTGAAAACCCATCTTTACTAAAAATATAAAAATTAGCCGGGCATGGTGGCACACACCTGTAGTCCCAGCTACTTAGGAGGCTGAGGTGGGAGGATCGCTTGAGCCCAGGAGATCGAGGCTGCAGTGAGCCATGATAGTGCCACTGCACTCCAGCCTGGGCAACAGAGACCCTGTCAAAAAAAAGAGAAAAAAGAATTTTCATACCCTTGCATCTAGTAATGTCATTTCTAGAAAATTATCCTAAGGAAATAATCAGAGATGAACATGAAGATCCATGTAAAATATGCCCATCAAAGCATTATATTTTTAATATTAAAAATTGGAAACAGAGGCCGGGTGCTGTGGCTCACGCCTGTAATCCCAGCACTTTGGGAGGCTGGCGTGGGCGGATCACAAGGTCAGGAGTTTGAGACCAGCCTGGCCAACATGGTGAAACCCCGTCTCTACTAAAAATACAAAAATTAGCTGGGCGTGGTGGCAGGCGCCTGTAATCCCAGCTACTCAGGAGGCTGAGGCAGGAGAATCGCTTGAACCGGGAGGCGAAGGTTGCAGTGAGCCGAGATCACGCCACTGCACTCCAGCCTGGGCGACAAAGTGAGACTCCCTCTCAAAAAAAAAAAAAAAAAATTGAAACAGCCTGGGTCTGCTGGCTCACACCTTTAATCCCAGCATTTTGGGAGGCCAAGGTGGGCAGGTCATTTGAGCCCAGGAGTTCAAGACCAGTCTGGGCAGCATGGTAAAACCCTGTCTCTACGAAAAAAAAAAGGGAGCAAGCATAGTGGTGCAAGCCTATGGTCCCAGCTACTTGGGAGGCTGAGGCAGGAGGAACGCTTGGGACTGAGGTCAAGGCTACGGTGAGCCATGAGTGTGCCACTGCACTCCAGCCTGGGCAACAGAGGGAGACCCTATGTCAAAACAAAACAAAACAAAGCAAAACAAAATGGAGGCTGGGTGCGGTGGCTCACGCCTGTAATCCCAGCAATTTGGAAGGCCAAGGCGGGAGGATGGCTTGAGCCCAGGAGTTTGAGGTCAGCCTGAGCAACATAGCAAGACCTTGTCTCTACTAAAATAAAAAAACAATTAGCTGGGTGTGGTGGCATGTGCTTGTAGTCCCAGCTACTCAGGAGGATCCCTTGAGCCCAGGAGTTTAAGGCTGCAGTGAGCTATGGTCACACCACTGTACTCCAGCTTGGGTGACAAAGAAAAAGGGTATGGCCACAAGATGAACATGGGAAATGGGGAAAAGCTCATAACATAATAAGTGAGACAATATACAAAATTAAGTATGACCACTTTTTTTGTTAAGTGTAGAAAAGGTCTGGAAAATAATAATGGTGGCTGGGCACAGTGACTCATACCTGTAATCCCAACACTTTGAGCGGCCGAGGAGGGAGGCTTGATTGAGTCCAGGAGTTCAAGACCAGCCTAGCAACATAGGGAGACCTCCTCTCTACAAATAATGAAAAAATTAGTAGCCAGGCATGGTGGTGCACACCTGTAGTCCCACCTACTCGGGAGGCTCGGGTGGGAGGATCATTTGAGCCTGAGGTGTTGAGGCTCAAGTGATCCTCCCACCTCAAGTGTCTCCGGAACAAATACATTAATAATACAGTTTTATTTTTTATTTTATTTTATTTTATTTTGAGACGGAGTTTCGCTCTTGTTGTCCAGGCTGGAGTGCAATGGAGTGATCTTGGCTCACCGCAACCTCTACCTCCCCAGTTCAAGCGATTCTCCTGCCTCAGCTTCCTGAGTACCTGGGACTAAAGGCATGTGCCACCATGCCCGGCTAATTTTGTATTTCTAGTAGAGATGGGATTTCTCCATGTTGGTCAGGCTGGTCTTGAACTCCCAACCTCAGGTGATCCGCCCTCCTTGGCCTCCCAAAATGCTGGGATTACAGGCGTGAGCCACCGTGCCTGGCCTAAAGTTTTAAAATAAAGCATTATATAAAGTGTTACGTGCAACTATGTTCTAGTTTTGAAAAATTATATACATTATATACACACAGCTGTGTAAGAACAAACCTGGAAGCTAGCTATAGACAAACAGGTTAACAGAGGTTCTCTCTAGACTGTGGGATTACAGGTTTATATCACTTCTTTTTGTTTATATTGTCTAATTTCCTATAAAGAGTAATAATATTGTAAAATAATAATTTATAAAAGTTTAAAAAACATGTTTTGTGCACCATGACTGCTATCAGGTAATATTACACAATTGAGGGAACAAAGATGGAGAGGTGATATTCAAAAATGAAAATTGTTTCAGTAATGAGATTATAGGTGACATTTCTTTTACCACAATATTTTCTGTGTGTATATATATATGTATACACATGTATTATGCGCATATATATATATGTCTGTGTTAGCCAGGATGGTCTCGATCTCCTGACCTCATGATCTGCCTGCCTTGGCCTCCCAAAGTGCTGGGATTACAGGTGTGAGCCACCAAGCCCGGCCCAATTTTTGTATTTTTAGTAGAGACGGGGTTTCTCCATGTTGGCCAGGCTGGTCTTGAACTCCTGACCTCAAGTGATCCGCCCACCTCAGCCCCCCAAAGTGCTTGGATTACACGCTTGAGCCACTGTGCCCAAGCCCTTCCATTCATATTTTAAAAAAAGAATGTATAGGCCAGGTGTGGTGGCTCATGCCTGTAATCCCAGCACTTTGGGAGGCTGAGGTGAGAGGATCACTTGAGGCCAGGAGTTAGAGATCAGCCTGGCAACAAAGGGAGAACCAGTGTCTAAAAATAACACAAAATAAAATAAAATAAAATAAATAAAATAGAATAAATAAAAACAGGTGGCATGAACCTGTGGTTCCAATTCCTGGGGAGGCTGAGGTGGGAGGATTGCTTAAGCCCAGGAGCTCGAAGCTACAGTGAGTGGTGATCATTGCTACTGCAGTCCGGCCTGGACAACAGAGAAAGACCATGTCTCAAAAATATATATACATGGCCAGGTGCTGTGGCTCACACCTATAATCCTAGCACTTTGGGAGGCCGAGGCGGGAGAATCACGATGTCAAGAGATTGAGAGCATCCTGGCCAACATGGTGAAACCCCGTCTCTACTAAAAATACAAAAAAATTAGCTGGGCATGGTGACACATGCCTGTAGTCCCAGCTACTCGGGAGGCTGAGGCAGGAGAATCACTTGAACCCAGGAGGCAGGGGTTGCAGTGAACCGAGATCACACCACTGCACTCCACCAGCCTGGTGACAGAGCGAGACTCCGTCTAAAAAAAAAAAAAAATATATATATATATACACACACACACACACACACACACACATGAATGGAACCCAGATATATATTATGCTTTCTAAACATTATGTCATAAATTGTCTTCCATGTTTCTACATAGTTTATGAAATGGTCACTTTTTTTTTTTTTTTTTTTTGGTGACAGGGTCTCCCTCTGTCGCCCAGGCTGGAGTGCAGTGGTGCAATCATGGCTCACCAAAACCTTGACTTCCTGGGCTCAGGTGATCCTCCCACCTTGTTACTGGTGGAGGGTGTCCAGGTTCTTGGCATTTGGAACAAAGAATTGGACAAAAGGCACAAACAAAGCAAGGAAAGAATGAAGCAACAGCACAGCAGAGATTTATTGAAAACGAAAGTACACTCCACAGGGTGGGAAGCGGGCCTGAGCAGCCGCTCAAGGGCCCCAACACAGAATCTTCTCAGGTCCAAATACCCCCTAGACGTTTCCCATTGGCTACTTGGTGTTCACCCCATGTAAATGAAGTGGTGGCCCACAATCAGTCTGATTGGTTGTGGACAGCAACCAATCTGAGGCTGAAGTGACATTACAAAGTTACACTCCTATGCAAACCTCTGATTAGTTGAGGTACTTTCAATTTCCCAACTGCCAGGCAGAAAAGGAGGGGGTTTGCAAAGGGCATAGCCTCTGGTCCTTTTGTTACTTAGACATGGAAACTTAGAGTTTTCCTTTCAATTTAGTTCTAGGAAGTCAGCGTGAAACGGCCTTAGGTTCCCTACCTCCAGACCCTATTCTCCTGCCTCAACCTCAGCCTCCCAAGTAGCTGGGACTACAGGCATGTGCCACCACGCCTGGCTAACTTTTTGTATTTTTTTAATAGATAAAAGGTTTTGCACAGGCTAGTCTCGAACTCCTGGGCTCAAGCAATCTGCCCACCTTGGCTTAATAGTTTATTGAATTAATTTATCCTTATTTACTTAGCCATTTCCCTATTATTAGTTTGTTCTAAGATTTCAGAATTTTCGATAATACAATGAACATTTCATCCATATAGCTTTTACTTCTGTCTCATTGCTTCTCTTGCATCAGTTCTTGAGTATAGAATTATTAAGCCAAAGGTCAAAAACAGTTCTTTGAAATTGTTATTGGCCAGGTGTGGTGGCTCACGCCTGTAATCCCAGCACAGGGGAGGCCGAGGTGGGCGAATCTCTTGAGGTCAGGAGTTTGAGACCAGCCTGGCCAACATGGTGAAACCCTGTCTCTACTAAAAATACAAAAACCAGCCGGGCGTGGTGGCGCACACCTGTAATCCCAGCTACTTGGGGAGGCTGAGGTAGAAGAATCGCTTGAACTTGGGAGGCAGAGGTTGCAGTGAGCTGAGATCTCGCCATTGCACTCCAGCCTGGGCGACAGTGAGACTGCATCTCAAAAAAATAAATAAAATAAAATAAAATAGTTATCTATGTAAAACACAGTTAAAAATCAGAACAGCTCAGAATGAATAGCAAGTTCCCTTCCCTACCCCTTCCCTTTTCTCTTCTGCTCACTTTCTCCAGAGGTGACCACTTTTATCTGTTACAAAGATATTTATGAGTTTTGATATGTAGTGTCATATTGCTTTTCAAAAGTTTGTATTTGTTTATCTTGCCAGAAGTCCTATGTAAACATACGAACTTCACTACAACTTTGACAACTTTAGATATTATTTAGAAAGGGTTTTTTTTGTTGCTCATTTTCACTTGTTCAATAAACATTCCAGCACTTAGTACATGTGACAACTGAGAATATGAAGAATGAGATACAGCATTTGCCCTCAAGTGTCACAGGTAGTCAGATAGACACAATAAGCACAAACCTGAGAGTAGGGTGTGGCTGATGCAGCAGAAGTACATGAGAGGAAGGGGGAAATTTGGGAGGAAAAGGAAATCAACTTTGCAGGGTATAGGCAGGTTGGGTGAGTGTGAGGAAAAGCTTTACAGTACAAAAGACCTTTAAGCTGAATCTGAATGGATAACAGGGGGTTGGCAGGTGAGGTGGGGTGAGGATATTCCAGACAGATAGTACCATATCCAAAAGCCAGAGCCATGGCCAGGTGCAGTGACTCTTGCCTGTAATACCGGGGATTTAGAGGCTGAGGCGGGATGATCACTTAAGGCCGTGAGTTTGAGACGTTGCCATAGTGAGAATACATCTCTTAAAAAAAATTTTTTTTTTAAATTTTTTAATTAGTCGGGCATGGTGGTGTGCACCTCTAGTCCTAGCTACTTGGGAGGCTGAAGTGGGAGAATCACTTTACCCTAGGAGTTCGAGAAGGCTACAGTGAGCCGTGAGCCACTACATGGAGCCACTACATTCCAGCCTGGGCAACAGAGCATGATACCCCCGACTCTTAAAAACAACAATAACAACAACAACAACAAAACCAGAGACATGAATTACCATGAAATGTTTGGACAGCTACGAGTAGCCCAGTATAATTGGAGCATTGGGTATATAGGGAAGGAAGGTGAGGGTTGGGGAAAGGTGAAGAAGGCAGGGCAGATTATGAAACAGGTCCTCTGGCTGGGCGCGGTGGCTCATGCCTATAATCCCACTAGTTTGGGAGGCCAAGGAGGGTGATCACCTGAAGTCAAGAGTTCGAGACCAGTGTAGGCAACATGGTGAAACTACGTCTCTATTAAAAGTACAAAAATTAGCTGGGCGTGGTGTCGGGCGCCTGTAATCCCAGCTACTCAGGAGGCTGAGGTATGAGAATCGCTTGAAACCGGGAAGCAGAGGTTGTAGTGAGCCAAGATTGCACCACTGCACTCCAGTCTGGGTGACAAGAGCAAAACTCTGAAAAAAGAAAGAAAGAGAGAGAGAGAGAGCAAGCAAGCAAGCAAGAGTCCTCAAAGGATTTATGGGCCATGGTAAGGAGTTTGGACTTGATCGTGATTGACAATGCAGAATTTTACGCAGGTGAAGGATGTGATTAGATTTAGTTTGGTCGCAGAGAGATTAGCCCTGGTTTCAGAGTATGTATATATTTAATGTAGTGAATGTATTAGGGAAGGAGCCAGGCTTGGGGAAAAAGCACCTGTTATAAGACTATAAGGTGAGAGGTGATGAGTGCTTCAATTAAAGCAATGACTGGGTTGGAGAATATGGGCTAGATTTGGGAGATGTTTAGGAGGTAGACTCAACTGCATTTGGTGACTGACTATTATTGGCAGACAAGGAATAAGGAGGCATATAGGATTCATTCATCCAGTCAATAAATATAGTGTACCCACCATGCACCTGACACTGTTCTAGGCTCTGGCAGTATAGCATGGAAAACATGGATATAAATCCTATTCTCACGGAGCTTGCATTCCAGTGGAAAAGAACAGACAATAAACAAGTAAACACAAACTGTGAGAAGTAAAAGAAGGTGATGCATTGAAGTAATTGTGGCTGGGTTGGAGTAGAGGCCATCCTACTTTAGATAGGTAGACAGAGAAGGTGTCTAATAATGAGGTGGCATTTTAGCTGAGACTTGAAGATGAGAAAGAGCCATCCGTGCATTGAGCAAGGGGAAGATCATTCTAGGTAGAAGGAATAGTAAGATCAAAGGCTCTGAGGCAAAAAAGAGGTTGGTGTATTTGAGGAACTGAAATATTGCTAGAGTTTCTGGGAGTGTAATAGGCAAAGGGGAGAGTGGAATTCTTCCAGGTTTTTGTCTTAGGAAATCAGGGATGGGGGTGGGACATGATTGTGGAAGAACTTAAGGAATAGGTTTTGGGTTGAAGATGGTAATGAATTAAGTGTCAAATTTGGTGAATGAGATGTCTGGGAGACATCCAAGTGGAGATGTTCAGTAAGTAGCTGGAAATAGTGGAGCTCAGGAGAAAGGCTGGGTTGTTATGTCATTAGCTAATGGACAGAATGTAAAGTTACGGAGATGAGATCAGGCCCAAGGGGAGAACTTGGGAAAAGACCCAATGTTCAATGGGAGGGCAAAGGTAGAAGAAGCTAGAGGCGTCAGGCGCAGTGGCTCACGCCTGTAATCCCAGCACTTTGGGAGGCTGAGGCGGGCGGATCACGAGATCAGGAGTTTGAGACCAGCCTGGCCAATATGGTGAAACTCCGTCTCTACTAAAAATACAAAAAATTAGCCAGGCATGGTGGCGGGAGCCTGTAGTCCCAGTTACTCAGGAGGCTGAGGCAGGAGAATCACTTGAGCCCGGGAGGTAGAGGTTACAGTGAGCCGAGATCGTGCCACTGCACTCCAGCCTGGGTGACAGAGCGAGACTCCGTTTCAAAAAAAAAAAAAAAAGAAAAAGAAAAAGGATAAATCTAAATAAAAGATTTTCAAGACTTTTATGAAGAAAATAATGAAATTTTACTGAAAGATATTAAAGACTTAAATAAGTGGAGAGACAGTCTAGATTCATGAATAGCAAGACTCAATATAGTAAACATGTTGATATGGTTTGATGTTTGTCCTCTACAAGTCTCACGTTGAAAGGTGATCCCCAATGTTGGAAGTGAGGCATGGTGCGAGGTGTTTGGGTCATGGGGGCAGATCCCTCATGAATGGCTTAGCATCATCCCCTTGGTGATGAGTGAGTTCTCTATTAGTTCACTGAGATCTGGTTGTTTGAAAGAATGTGGCACCTCCCCCTTCTCTGTCTTGCTCCCGCTTTCACCATGTAACATGCTGGCTCCCCTTCAGCTTCTGCCATGATTGTAAGCTTCCTGAGACCTGCTCAGAAGCAGATGCCAGCACCACGCTTCCTGTACAGCCTACAGAGAACCGTGAGCCAATTAAACCTCTTTTCTTTATAAATTATCTAGCCTCACATATTTCTTTATAGTGACACAAACGGACTAACACAGATGAAAAGATATCTTAAATTGATCTATGAATTCCAAGGCAGTTTCATCAAAATTCCAATAAGGTTTTTCATAGAATTTGACAAAATGATTCGACACTTTATATGGAAGAGGAACTGACCAAAAATAACTAAGGAGACAAACAGGGTGAGGGAACTGGAACTTGCCCTTTCGGATATCAAGGCTTATTTTAGGCTGGGTGTGGTGGCTCATGCCTGTAATTTTAGCAGTTTGGGAAGGGGAGGTGGGAGGATTGCTTGAGTCCAGGGGTTCAAGATCAGCCTGGGCAACATGATGAAACCCCATCTCTACAAAAAACACATACAAAAAAATTTAGCCAGGCATGGTGGTACACGCCTGTGGTCCCAGCTACTTGAGAGGCTGAGGTTGGAGGATTGCTTGAGCCCAGGAGTTTGAGGTTGTAGTGAGCCATGATTATGCCACTGCACTCCAGCCTGGGCAACAGAGTGAGACCCTCTCTCTCTTTCTCTCTCCCTCAAAAAAAAAAAAAGACATTTTAAAGCAACAGTTAAGAGTTTGGGATTGGCACAGGAATAGGCAAATGTAGCAATGGAATAGAGTAGAGAACTTAGAAGCGGACCTGAACACATATGGAAACTTGGTAAATATCAAGGTAGCATTGCAGATTATTCAATAAACAGTGCTAGATCAGTTGGTTATCTATATAGGAAAAAAATGAAATGGGATCCCTACCTCGTACATCACGCAAAAATCAATCTAGATGGATAAAAGACTTAGATGTGCAAGGCAAAAATTTTAGACTTTTTTTTTTTTTGAGACTGAGTCTTGCTCTGTTGCCCAAGCTGGAGTGCAGTAGTGTAATCTTGGCTCCCTACAACCTCCACCTCCCAGGTTCAAGTGATTCTCCTGTCTCAGCCTCCCGAGTAGCTGGGATTACCGGTGCCTGCCACCATGCCTAGCTAATTTTTGTATTTTTAGTACAGATGGGATTTCACCATGTTGGCTAGGCTGGTCTTGAACTCCTGACCTCAAGTGATCTACCTGCCTCAGCCTCCCAAAGTGCTGGGATTACAGGCATGATCCACTGTGCCTGGCCAAAATTTTAGATCTTTTAGGAGAAATAAAAGATAATTTAAAAAATTTTTTTAATTTTAATTTTTTTTTTTGAGACAGAGTCTCACTCTGTCACCCAGGCTGCATTGCAATAGTGCAATCACAGCTCACTGCAGCCTCAACCTTCTGGGCCCAATTGATCCTCCCATCTCAGCCTCCTGAATAGCTGGGTCTACAGGCACATGACACCTGCCTGGCTAATTTTTGTACTTTTTATGGAGACAGGGTCTCACTATGTTGCCTAGGCCAGTCCCAAACTCCTGGCCTCAATCGATGCTCCTACCTCAGCCTTCCAAAGTGCTAAGTGCTGGGATCATAGGTGTGAGTCACTGTGCCCACTAAGAATATTTCTATAGCCTTGGTATACAAAAGGATTTCTTAGACAATAACATAAAGGGCAAATCATAAAATAAAATTTGGATGCATTTAACTGTGTTAAAAAATATAAACTTTTGAAGCCGGGCACGGTGGCATACGCCTGTAATTCCAGCACTTTGGGAGGCCGAGGCAGGTGGATCACTCGAGGTCAGGAGTTCGAGACCAGCCTGACCAACATGGTGAAACCCCATCTCTACTAAAAATACAAAAATTAGCTGGGCATGGTAGCACATACATGTAATCCCAGCTTCTCGGGAGGCTAAGGCAGGAGACTCACTTGAGCGCAGGAGGCAAAGGCTGCAGTGAGCCGAGATCACACCATTGCCCTCCAGCCTGGGTGATAGAGCAAGACTCTGTTTCTAAATAAATAAATAAACTTTTGTTCATCATAAGACATCATTTTAAAAGGTGATGGGCTGGCAGAAGATGTTTCCAATTCATATAACTGATAAAGAATAACTATCCTGGGCCAGGCATGGTGGCTGAGGCCGGCAGATCACCTGAGGTCAGGAGTTCGAGACTAGCCCAGCCAACATGGTGAAACCCTATCTCTACAAAAAATACAAAAAAATTAGCTGGGCGTGGTGGTGGGTGCCTGTAATCCCAGCTACTTGGGAGGCTGAGGCAGGAGAATTGCTTGAATTCGGGAGGTGGAGGTTGCAGTGAGCCAAGATCACGCCACTGCACTCCAGCCTGGGCAACAAGAGTGAACCCCCTTCTCAAAAAAAGAATAACTATCCTGGCCAACTGCGGTGGCTCATGCCTGTAATCTCAATGCTTTGGGGGCCGAGGTAGGAGGATCACTTGAGCCCAGGAGTTCGAGGCTGCAGTGAGCTATGATCATACCACTGCACTCCTCCAGCCTAGGTGATAGAGCAAGACCTTGTCTCAAACAAACAAACAAACAAACAAACAAAAACAAGAGAATCCTGGCCAAGTGCGATGGCTCACACCTGTAATCTCAGCATCCCAGAACTTTGACAGGCAGAGATGGGAGGATTGCTTGAGTCCACGAGTTTGAGACCAGACTGGGTAACATAGGGAGGTCTATCTTTAGCAAAAATTCTTTTTAAATTCTGAAAAAAAATATGTAAGACAATATATCGGTAAGAAAAAGACAAGCCATCCAATGAAAACTGACCAAAAAACATAAAGCAGCATTTCACAGAAGAGAAAACAGGAATAGCCAATAAACGTGAAAATGTTGGCCAGGCTGGTCTTGAACTCCTGACCTCAGGTGATCCGCCCGCCTTGGCCTCCCAAAGTGCTGGGATTACAGGCGTGAGCCACTGCACCTAGCTGACTTAATCAGCAATTCTACCCCTAGGTATATATGCTAGAAAAATTCTTGCACCACCGTACCAGAAGACATGTACAAGAATTCAAGAGTGTTAATAGCTGCACTGATCTTTATAGCAAAAAGTTGAAAATAGCTCAAATGTTCTTCAATAAGAGAATGGTTTAGTAAATTATGGTATTATTATAAAAGGGAAAACTATACATTGGTAAAAATACCTACAGATACAAATATCAACATAGATGAGTCCCACGAACATAATGTGGAAGGAAAGTTCAGAAAAATTCATATGATATGATTCTATGTATATAAGGTTCAAAAACACGGGTGAGAAAGCCATAAAGAAAAGTATAATTACTGGCCAGACATGATGGCTCATGCCTGTAATCCCAGCACTTTGGAAGGCCAAGGCAGGAGGATCACTTGAGGCCAGGAGTTCAAGATCAGCCTGGGCAATATGGCAAAGCCCAATTGCTACTAAAAATACAAAAATTAGCCGGGCGTGGTGGCGCATGCCTGCAGTCCTAGCTACTTGGGAGGCTGAGACAGGAGAATCTCTTGAACCCGGGAGGTGGAGGTTGCAGTGAACTGAGATCACGCCACTCCACTCCAGTCTGGGTGATGGAGTGAGACTCTGTCTCAAAAAATAAATAAACAAAAAGAAAAAAAAGTACAATTCCTAATAGCAGTTATATCTTGCAGGGAAGGAAAGGAATGCAATTCAGAAGGGTATCCAGAGAGCTTCAGAGGCTCTGGTAATGTTCTGGTTTGTAAGCTGATTGGTGGGCACTTAGATGTTCATTTTCTTATTCTTTAAATTATATATGAGATTTTTATCTACCATAAATGTCAGATATACTTTTGTATTTGTGATATATTTCATAAAAGTTTTTAAGCTGAAAAAAAAGTGACTGGAAGGTGAGAAAGCAGCTAGGCTATCAGGGGAAGGAGAATGATAGTAATAGCTAAAGGGAGAAATGGGATAACCAGAAAATTTTTAAAAGACCTATGAGGCCGGCTGTGGTGGCTCATGCCTGTAATCCCAGCACTTTGGGAGGCCCAGGTGGGAGGATCTCTTGAGCCCAGGAATTTTAGACCAGCCTGGGCAACATAGCGAGACCATGTCTCTGTGAAAAATCAAAAAATTATCTGGGCATGGTGGTGTGCACCTGCAGTCCTAGCTACTTGGGAGGCTGATGTGGGAGGATCACTTGAGCCCAGGAGTTTGAGGCTGCAGTGAACCATGACTGTATCACTGCACTCCAGCCTGGGCAACAGACTGAGACTGTCTCAAAAAACAAAACCAAAAACAAAACTAGCCAGACATGGTGGCATATACCTGTAGTCCCAGCTACTCGGGAGGCTGAGGCAAGAGGATCCCTTGAGCCCAGGAGTTTGAGGTTGCAGTGGGCTATGATCGCACCACTGCACCCCACCATGGATCCTGTCTCTTAAAAAAAGAGAAAGACTTATGAGCATGTTTACAGCCTTGATTCATTCAACAAACATTTATTGAATTCCCACTATGTACCCGGTAGTATGCTGGGCCTTGGGGTACAGAGATATATTTATTCAATTATGTAGTTACCCATTCTTCTAAAAGCCAGAAATAATTCATATATTCATTCAATAAATATTTATTAAGTGAATACTACGTACCAAGATTAATCTAAGTGCTGGAAATACAGCATTGAACAAAAGTCCTTTCATGGAGGTGGAGAGAGGCAATAAATATCTGTGAGGTGGTGATAAGTACTATAAAGAACACTAAAGTAATATAATGGTATAAAGAGAATGTGTATGTGTTAAGGAGGAGAGAGTTGCTATTTTAGATAAGGTGATCAGGAAAGGCCTTTCAGAGAAGGTGACATCTGAACAGAGAAATTAATGAAGTGAAGGAATAAATTATGTGGCTATCTGGGGGAAGATCATTCCAGGCAAAGAGAAAACACATGCAAGGGGTACTTAGGAGGCTATTGTAGTAATCTAGGCAGGAGATGATGGTGGCTTGGTTGAGGTTGATAGTAATGGAGATGGTGAAAAGTGTTTAGAGAAGGGACAGGATGGGCTGGGCGCGGTGGCTCACGCCTGTAATCCCAGCATTTTGGGAGGCCGAGGCGGGCGGATCACCTGAGGTCAGGAGTTCAAGACCAGCCTGGCCAACATGGCGAAACCCCATCTCTACTAAAAATACAAAAAGTAGCCAGACGTGGTGGTGCATGCCTGTGATCCCAGCTACTCGGGAGGCTGAGGCAGGAGAATCACTTGAACCCGGGAGGGGGAGGTTGCAGTGAGCCGAGATCGTGCCATTGCACTCCAGCCTGGGCAACAAGAGTGAAACTCCATCTCTCACACACACACATACACACACAAAAAGTAACCATTGGACTGATATTTGACAGATAAAAAGAGTTATTTAATTGTACAAATCATGAAGGCATTCCACAGAAAACCACATATCTATAGGTATGGATGCTTAAGAATATATTTCATAATGGATCTTTGATTTGGAATATCTGAGATAATGGTAGAAGATGCAGCTGGAAAGGAGACCAGAGTCAAATCTTGATGGAAACTATATGTCATTCCGTGAGGAATGGGCTCTACCCTGAAATTGATGTTTTTTGTTTTCGTTTTTGTTTTTTGAGACAGAGTCTCGCTCTGTTGCCCAGGCTGGAGTGCAGTGGCACGATCTCGGCTCACTGCAACCTCCGCCTCCCAGGTTCAAGTGATTCTCCTGCCTCAGCCTCCTGAGTAGCTGGGAATACAGGTGCATGCCACCATGCCCGGCTAATTTTTTGTATTTTTAGTAGAGGCGGGGTCTCACCGTGTTAGCCAGGATGGTCTCGATCTCCTGACCCCATGATCCGCCTGCCTCGGCCTCCCAAAGTGCTGGGATTACAGGCATGAGCCACTGCGCCCGGCCTATTGATGGGTTTTAAGTAGGAAAATGACATGATGCCATTTGTGTGGTTATAAGTAACAAAAAACTTGACTTAAATAAGTAGGTATTTGTTTTTCTCATATAAGAAGTCCAGAGATAGGTAGTTGTTGGCTTTGGTTCAAAGGCTTAGCAATGGCATCAAGAATTCAATCTCCATCTGTCTGCTTAACCCTCCTTAGCAGGTTGGCTTTCGGCCTTCGTGCTTGTTGCCTTATGATCACAGGATGGCTGCTTTAGTTCTAGTAATCACATTCATGTTTGGGGAAGGAAACTGGAGAAAGTAGTGGCACTATGGCTGTCCCTTATATCATGAAAGCACAAGCTTTCTCCCACTATCAACACACTTCCCTTTATCTCATGGCCAATACTGGACAATATGGCAACTTGCAGCTTTAAGGTTGTACAATTGTGAATCTCACAAATGGAAACAGGTTTAGACAAAGCATGATTCATATTGGGGTTGGGCATATTTCTTCCCTGCACATATATGGGTTATTTTGGCAAATAAGAAGTGGAGGGGGTGGCTCTTGAGTGGACAATTAACAACACAAGCATACCTCAGAGATATTGTGGGTTCAGTTCCAGACCACTGCAATAAAGTACATATCACAATAAAGTGAGTCACAGGGATTTTTTTGTTTCCCAGTGCATATAAGTTATGTTTACACTATATTGTAGTCTATTAAATGTGCAATAGCACGTCTAAAAATACTTTATCGCTAAAAAAATGCTAATGATCATCTGAGCCTTCAGTGAGTGGTAATATTTTTGCTGGTGGAGGGTCTTGGCTTGATATTGATGGCTGATGACTGATCAGGGTGGTGGTTGCTGAAGGTTGGGGTGGCTGTGGCAATATTTAAAAAGAAGACAGAAGTGAAATTTGCTGCATCAATTCACTCTTCCTTTCACAAAGGATTTCTCTGTAGCATGTGATGCTGTTTGACAGCATTTTACCCACAGTAGAACTTCTTTCAAAATGGGAGTCAATCCTCGCCAGCTCTGCCAGTGTGTTATCAACTAGGTTTATGTAATATTTTAAACGCTTGTTGTCATTTCCATATTGCTCATAGCATCTTCACCAGGAGTAGATTTCACCTCAAGAAGCACTTTTTTTTCCTCTTTTGAGACAGGGTCTCGCTCTGTCACCCAGGCTGGAGTGCAGTGTCATGATCATGGCTCATGCCACCTGGGCTCAAGTGATTCTCCCAACTCAGCCTCTCTAGCAGCTGGGACTATAAACATGTGCCACCATGACTGGCTTTTTTTTTTTTCTTTTCTTTTTTTTTTTTTTTTTGTAGAGATGGGGTCTCACTGTGTTGCCCAGGGTGATCTTGAACTCCTGGGCTCAAGTGATCTTCCTGCCTCAGCCTCCCAAAGTGCTGGGACTACAGGTGTGAGCCACCACGCCTGGCCAAGAAACCACTTTTCTTTGCTCATCCATAAGAAGCAACTACTCATCCATTCAAATTTTACTATGAGATTATAGCAATTCAGCCACATCTTCAGGATTCACTTCTAATTCCAGTTCTCTTGCTATTTCCATAACATCTTTTTTTTTTTTTCCCTTTGAAAAAAATTAACTGGGCGTGGTGGTCCCAGCTACTCAGGAGGCGGAGGTGGGAGGATCCCCTGAGAGCAGGAGGTTGAGGCTGCAGTGAGCCGTGATTGTGCCACTGCACTCCAGCCTGGGTAACAGAGTGAGACTCTGTCTCAAACAAACAAACAAACAAATAAATAAATACATAAATAAAGAGCTGTGTGGCTCTTCCTTTCACTTGGACACTTAGAGGTGGATAAGGGAAACCTCGGATAAAGGGGACTACTGTATTTTCCAACTTGCTTTTTACACATAATATATTGTGAACATCTCTCTCTCTCTCTCTCTCTCTCTCTCTCTCTCTCTCTCTATATATATATATATATATATATACACACACATCCCTCATTATTTTTTTTCTTCTGCAGTGACTTGGAACCCATTTTTTAATTGAAAATTTTATTGAGATATTTATAAGAAATAATAGAGATTCCTTGTACACTTTGCCTAGTTTCTCCCAATGGCAACATTTTGCAAATATCACAACCAGGATATTGACATTGATATGATTCACCAATCTTTATTCAGGTTTCCCCAGTTTGCCTCATTCTTTTCTTTTTCTTTTTTCTTTTATTTTTTGTAGAAATGAGGTCTCACTATGTTGCTGAGGCCAGTCTCAATCTCCTGGCATCAAGTGATCCTTTGGCCTCAGCCTCCCAAAGTGCTGGGATTATAGGCGTGAGCCAGCACATCCAGCCCTCATTCTTTTAAAACATCCTATGGATAGACATTTAATTTTCCAATTTTTTGCTTTAACAATGTTTGAGTCTCCTGGACTCTATTGAGTTCCACTTAATCTTTTTCTTTCTGGACCACTATAATATTAATTACTATGCATTTAATTGTATCTGGTGGGTCAAATTACTTTTTTTTTTTTTTGAGACGGGGTCTTGCTCTGTCACCCAAGCTGGAGTGCAGTGGTGTGATCTCAGCTCACTGCAGCCTCCGACTCCCGGGTTCAAGTGATTCTCCTGCCTCAGCCTCCCAAGTAACTGAGATTACAAGTGCCTGCCACCACACCCAGATAATTTTTGTATTTTCAGTAGAGACAGGTTTCACCATATTGGCCAGGCTGGTCTCGAACTCCTGACCTCAGGTGATCCGCCTGCCTTGGCTTTCCAAAGTGCTGGGATTACAGGTGTGAGCCACCGCGCCTGGCCAAAATTAACTTATTATTCATCCTTTAAGTGTTTTATTTGGCTACTGAGGTAGACTGCTAGTCCCCAGTGATCCCCAACTCCTGGTATTTATGCTTTTGTATAAGTCCCTCCTCTTGTGTGTGGGCTGGGCCCGATGATATAACAAATGGAATACAGTAAAGGTGATGGAGCTATTACTTGCAAGACTAGGTTACAAAAGACCATGACTTCTGTCTTGCTGGTATGCTCTTGCTTTCTTTTGCTTGCTTCAAGGTGATGAACTTCAATACCCTGATGAAACCAGCTGCTGTGTTGTTGTGAGCTCCCCTGTGGAGAAGCCAACATGTCAAGGAACTGAGACCCTCAGTCCAACAGTCCACAAGGTACTTTATACCCTGCTAACAACCACAAAGTGAATGTGGAAGTAGATCTTGCTCCAGTTGAACCTTGACATGAATTCAGTCCTGGCCAACACTTTGACTGCAACCTTGTGAGAAACCCTGAACTGTAAGACTATCTAAGCAGTGCCTGGATTCCTGATCCATGGAAACAGTGAGGTCAATGCATGGTTTTGGTTTAACTTTTGATTTTGAAATAACTGTAAATTCACAGACAAATGTAAATAAGTAGTATGGAGATCCCAATACTTTTCACCGAGCTTCCCCAAATGGTAACATCTTGCATAGCTATAGTACATTATTGGTCCCTGTTTTCAATTCATTTGAATATATACCTAGGCGTGGAATTACGGAGTCATATTGTAATTCTATGTTTGACTTTTTGAGGAGCTGCCAAGCTGTCTTCCACAGTGACTGCATTATTTTCCACTCCCACCAGCAATGTATAAGGGCTCTGATTTCCTCACAATCCCACCAACACTTGCTGCTTTCTATGTGTGCACGTGCAGGCGTATGTTTTATAATAGCCTTCCTAATGAGTGTGAAGTGGCATCTCATTGTGGTTTAGATTTGCATTTTTCTCATGACTAGTGATGTTGAGCATCTTTTCATGTGCTTATTGGTCATTTGTATATTCTCTTTGGAGAAGTGTCTGTTCAAATCCTTTGTTCATTTTTAGATTTGGTTGTTTGTTGTTGTTGTCGAGTTGTAGGAATTATTTATATATTCTGGATATTAATGCCTTATCAGATATATGATTTGCAAATATTTCTTCAATCCTATAGGTTGCCTTTTTACTCTGTTGCTATTGTTGTTTAATGCACAAAATTTTTAATTTTGATGAAGTTCAATTGACTTAGTTTTCTTTTGTTACCTGTACTTTTGAGTCATATCCAAGAACTCATTGCCAAATCCAAGGTCATTAATATTTCCCCCTACGTTTTTTCTTTTTATTTATTTATTATTTATTTATTTATTTATTTTTGAGACAGAATCTTGCGTTGTCACCCAGGCTGGAGTGCAGTCGTGTAATCTCTGCTCACTGCACCCTCCACCTCCTGGGTTCAAGCGATTCTCGTGCCTCAGCCTCTCGTGTAGCTGGGTGGCGTGATCATGGCTCGCTGCAGCTTTGACCTTTCGGGCTCAGGTGATTCTCCCACCTCAGCCTGCTGAGTGGCTGAAACTACAGGCATCCCGCTAATTTTTTGATTTTCTGTAGAGGCGCGAAATCTATGTTTCTATGTTGCCCAGGCTGGCCTGGAACTCCTGGGCTCAAAAGATCCCTTCTGCCTCGGCCTCCCAAAGTGCTGGGATTATAGGCATGAGCCACTGTGCTCTGCCTAAAATTATTTTTTTTAATTTGTTTTAGACACAGGATCTTGCTCTGTCACCCACGCTGGGGTGCAGTGGCCTGGTCATAGCTCACTGCAGCACCAACTCCTGGGCTCAAGCAATCCTCCCACCCCAGTCCCAGTAGCTGGGACTACAGGTGCACACCACCACGCCTGGCTATCTTTTTTTTTTTTTTTTTCTGTAGAGACAGGGGTCTCACCATGTTTCCCAGGCAGGTCTCTCAAGAGACCCTCCTGCCTTAGCCTTCCAAAGTGCTGGGATTACCGGCGTGAGCCATCAAGCTTGGCTGGAAATTTTTGATTACTGGTTCAGTCTCTTTACTTGCTGTAAGTCTAGTCAGATTTCCTATTTTTCTTGACTCGGTTTTGGTAGTTTGTGTTTCTAGGAATTTGGTCATTTTATCTAGGTTATCCAATAATTATAGTCTCTTATAATCCTTCTTATTTCTGTAACGTTGGTAGTAATGTTTCCTCTTTCATTTCTGATTTTAGTAATTTGAGCCTTTTTTTCTTAGTCAATCTAGTTAAAGTTCTGTCAATTTTGTTGATCTTGGAATCTCTGTATTATTAGTCTACTTTCTATTTTTGTTTATCTCCTCTCTAATCTTTATTATTTTCTTCTTGGGTTTAGTTTGCTCTTCTTGGTGGTATAATTTTCTTCATAATTACTGTACTTGGAGTATGTTGTGATTCTTGGACCTGTGTTTATGGTATTCATCACATTTGGAAAAATTTCAGCCTTTTTTTTTTTTATCCACCCCTCTTCCTTCAGGGACTCCCATCACATGTATAGAAGGCTGCTTGGGATTGCCCCCCAGCTCATTGATGATCTGTTCTTTCTTTCCGTCTTTTTTTCTCTATGCTTCATTCCAATAGTTTCTATTATTATGCCTTCAAGTTCACTAATCTTTTTTTCTGTAGTACCTAATTTGCTGTTAGTCCCATCTAATGTATGTATTTTTTTTTTTTTTTTTTTTTTTGAGACGGAGTTTCGCTCTTGTCACCTAGGCTGGAGTGCAGTGGCGCGACCTTGGCTCACTGCAAGCTCTGCCTACTGGGTTCAAACGATTCTCCTGCCTTGGCCTCCCGAGTAGCTGGGATTACAGGTGCCCACCACCACACCCAGCTAATTTTTGTATTTTTAGTAGAGACCAGTTTCACCATCTTGGCCAGGCTGGTCTGAAACTCCTGACCTCTGGTGATCCAACTGCCTTGGCCTCCCAAAGTGCTGGAATTACAGGCGTGAGCCACCGCACCTGGCCTCATCTAAAATATTTTTTAAAAACTTAGACATTGCCTTTTTTATCTCTAGAAGTTTATCTTTTTAAATATCTCCTGTATCTCTACTTAACATGCTCAATTTTTCCTCCACCATCTGGAATGTGGTTATAATAACCATTTATTATCCTTGTCTATTAACTTTATCACCTATGTCATCTCTGGTCAGTTCCTATTGATTTTTCTCCTCATGGTGGATTACATTTTCCTGCTTCTTTGCTTGCCTGTTAATTTTCTATTGGAGGCCAGACATTAAAAATTTTACCTTGTTAGGTGCTGGGTATTTCTGTACTACTGTAAATATGTGTAAGCTTTGTTCTGGGAAGTTAAGTTATTTGGAAACAGTTTGACCTTTTTAAATGCTTGCTTTTAAGCTCTTGTTTGTTTAGTTGATTTTTAAGCCAGGATCAAAAAGTAGCCTTTTAATCTAGGACTAGATTTGTTGCTCTACTGGGGAAGTATTCTACCCAGTGTTTTATGAAGTTTTCCCACCCACAATCAGGCTGGTGGGAACACAAACTATTCTGGTCCCTGTGTGATCTTTGAGTATTTTTCTCTCTAATCCCTTCAGGTGGTTCTTCCCTTAGCTTTAGGTGGTTTCTTTTTTTTTTTTTTTTTTTTTTGAGACGGAGTCTCAGTCTTTTGCCCAGGGTGGAGTGCAGTGGCATGATCTCGGCTCACTGCAACCTCCACCTCCCGGGTTCAAGCGATTCTCCTGCCTTGGCCTCCCGAGTAGCTGGGACTACAGTTGTGCGCCACCACACCCAGATCATTTTTGTATTTTTTAGTAGAGATGGGGTTTCACCATATTGGCCAGGCTGGTCTCGAACTCCTGACCTCATGATCCACCCACCTCAGCCTCCCAAAGTGCTGGTAGGTAGTTTCTTTGTGGGCATGCACTGACCAATCCCCAGCTGAAGACTTAAGAGACATCCTCTGCAGATCTCCAGAGCTTTCTCTCTGTGCAGCTATCTTTTCTCCAGTTTTCTGTCCAGTGAACTTTAGCTACCTTGGCCTCCTAGTCTTCCAAGTCTTTCTTCTTAGCTCAGAGAGACTGCTAGGCTCTGCCTATGTTCCTCCTCTCTGCACTGTGGCCTAGAAACTTTCTCCAGGCAGTATGCTAGGGCACTCATACGACTCATCTTGTGCTGGACACGGTGGCTCACACCTGTAATCCCAGCACTTTGGGAGGCCGAGGCAGGTGGATCACCTGAGGTCAGGAGTTCGAGACCAGCCTGGCCAACATGGTGAAACCCTATCTCTACTAAAAATACAAAAATTAGCCAGGCATGGTTGTGCACGCCTGTGATCCTAGCTACTCAGGAGGCTGAGGCAGGAGAATCGCTTGAACCTGGGAGATGGAGGTTGCAGTGAGCCGAGATCGCACCACTGCACTCCAGCCTGAGCAACAGAGCAAGACTCTGTCTGAAAAAAAAAAAAAAACACACACAAAAAATTCATCTAGTTTGTTTCTCTCCTTTCTTTTGTCACTATCATATGCCGCCTGATGTCCAGTGTCTGGAAACCATTGTTTTATATAGTCTGTCCCTTTTGTTGCTATTGTTTTAGGCAGTAGGGTGAATTACTCAATCTTGGCCAAATGTAGAAGTCCCTCTGCCTCTTTGTGATACTGGGGTTTAAGATGTCAGAGGTCAGGTTTTTCTGGTCAGTGAGAGTGTGGCCCTGAGAGAGGGGGCTGAAATGGAATAGAAAATAAAGTTCCTGGAGTGAAGGCAGAATAAGAAATGTAAGGCTAGGCTGGGCGCGGTGGCTCATGCCTGTAATCCTGGCACTTTGGGAGACCGAGGCAGGCGGATCACCCGAGACTGAGAGTTCGAGACCAGCCTGACCAACATGGAGAAACCCCGTCTCTACTGAAAATACAAAATTAGCTGGGCATGGTGGCACATGCCTGTAATCCCAGCTACTTGGGAGGGTGAGGCAGGAGAGTCGCTTGAACCAAGGAGGAGGAGGTTGCGGTGAGCTGAGATCACACCATTGCACTCCAGACTGGGCAACAAGAATGAAACTCCGTTTCAAAAAAAAAAAAAAAATGTAAGCCTAAATTGTTAAGTGAGTCATTCATGGGGATGCTCAACAGGCAAACTAAGTGGGAACAGAGCTGGTATTACAGACAGAGGGATGAGGATGGCAAAGGGCCTGGAGGAATAAATTAGCAGTAGCATCAGAGAATTACAAAATATTTCTTATAGCTGGAATATAAAGTACGTAAGAAGCTGCTATGGTTTGAATGCGTCCCTTCTAAAATTCAGTTGTTGCCTTTATGATAATATCAAGAGATGGGTCTTTTAAGAGGTGATTAGGCCATGAAGGCCTCTCCCTCATGAACAGGATTAAGGCCTTCAGAAAGGAGAAAAGAGGCTTTTTAAAAACTCTTTTCCCTCCTCCTCCACCCCCTCCACTTTCCCCTCCTACTTGTTCCAAAAATAAATAAATAAATAAAAATTTGCCCATAAAAGTTTCTGGATGGGAAAAAAAGAGGCTTCACAGAGCATTCAGTTTGCTTGCCCTGCCACCTCTGTCTTGTGAGGACACAGAATTATTTTCCTTCAGAGGAGGCAGCCCTCACCAACAAACTAACATGCTGGCTCCTTGATCTTGGACTTCCCAGCCTTCAGAACTGTAAGAATACAAATTCCTGTTCTTTAAAAATTACCCAATTTCAGGTATTCCGTTATAGCAGCACAAAACAAAGACAGAAATCATGTCAGGAAATGAAATAGACAGGTGACTATATTTGAAGGATCCTGTCTGTTATACTAAGGAATTGGATTTTTTTTTTTTTGAGACGGAGTCTCTCTCTGTCGCCCAGGCTGGAGTGCAGTGGCGCGATCTCGGCTCACTGCAAGCTCCGCCTCCCGGGTTCATGCCATTCTCCCGCTTCAGCCTCCCAAGGAATTGAATATTTTCTTAAAGGCAGTTGAGAAAGTCAAGAAATTGACAAATTATACTACAAAGCTATGGTAACCAAAACTACATAGTACTGGCATTAAAAACAGACACATAGACCAATGGAACAGAATAGAGAACCCAGAAACAAATCCATGCATCTACAACGAACTTCATTTTCTCTTTTTTTTTTTTTTTGAGACAGAGTCTCACTCTTTCACCAGGCTGGAATGCAGTGGCACGATCTCAGTTCACTGCAACCTCTGCCTCCCGGGTTCAAGTGATTCTCCTGCCTCAGCCTGCCGAGTAGCTGGGAATACAGGCATGTGCCACCATTTTTGTATTTTTAGTAGAGATGGGGTTTCGCCATGTTCGCCAGGCTGGTCTCGATCCCCTGAACTCAAGTGATCTGCCTGCCTCGGCCTCCCAAAGGACTGGGATTATAGGCGTGAGCCACCAAGCTGGGTTTTTTTGTTGTTGTTGTTGTTGTTGTTGTTTTTTTTTTTTTTTTTTTTTTTTTAGATTAGTCAAGTGAAGCAGTGAGAGTGGAGAAGGAACAAAGAAATCTGTAGCTGGTTGTGATCAATTAGTTGTAAACACCACTGCACTCCGATCAGCCAGCCCATCTTTTTCATAGGCAGAATGCGACAGAAGAAGCCTGGAGCAGGCTGTGGGGAAGCGGGAGCCTCGGGAGAGAGCCCAATCCAGTTAAGGCAGGAGGTAGAAGGGAAAGTTCAGTGAAGAAAGCCAGGATGTACGGGAGTTTGTTTCTCACTGAGCAGGGGTTCCAGTGGTTATAGTGGAAAGGGCTCCAAGAAAAGCAAACAGTGGGAAAAACAGGTTCAGGTGTGTGTGGAGGAAAGGGAAGCATCTGGGGCTCTGACATTAGTTCTGACCTCTTTTCCAATCTTGTGAAGGTGGCAGCACCTCCTGTATTGTCATTATTTCTTTAACGGCATTCTTTTTAAACTGTTTAATTCAAACCTATATTTGTAGTTTCTAAAATGTTGATAACAGACCATTTTGTTGTTACACATGTCTGCCAACGAAAACAAAAGGCAAAGAGAATCACTCCCATCCCTATAAAAGGAATGGCTCCTTTTCTAACATTCTTTTTTTTTTTTTTTTTTTGAGATGGAGTCTCGCTCTGTCGCCCAGGCTGGAGTGCAGTGGCGCGACCTTGGCTCACTGCAAGCTCCACCTCCCAGGTTCATGCCATTCTCCTGCCTCAGCCTCCCGAATAGCTGGGACTACAGGCGCCCGCCACCACGCCCAGCTAATTTTTTTTTTGAATTTTTAGTAGAGACGGGGTTTCACCGTGTTAGCCAGGATGGTCTCGATCTCCTGACCTCGTGATCCGACCGCCTCGGCCTCCCAAAGTGCTGGGATTACAGGCGTGAGCCACCGCGCCCGGCCTCTAACAACATTCTTTAAAAATATACATTTTACACTTCCTGCACCTCAGCAAAGGTGGCAATGTAATCAACACACTGGCTTATTTTGTTCTCCTCACTATTAGACGCATGTCCCCAAACTACCTGTTATAAGCCCTGTTTTTTTTCTGGACTTCTCAAGGGCTTTGCCCATCGTTCTTTCCCCGGCATCTGGAACAGTACCACTTGCGCTTTGGTTTATGGTTGAGACTCACACACGAGAAGCGGAACCACTCGATGGGGCATTCGTTGTCGCAGCGGATCATCTCCCAGTAGGAGGGCTCGCTGGGGTCGATGGGGAGGTCTGCGGGGGACGCCTGCCGCTACGCCTTGGCCATGGAGCTCTGCTTCTTCTTAGAGGTCTGGGCTTTCTTCTCCTTGGGCGTGCCCGAGGTGACGTCGTCGTGGTCGCGGTTGCTGGACGCGTTCTCACGGTTCTAGTTGTTGCGCTGCCGCCGAGAACGCTTTGCTGTTGGACTTCTCCGCCTGCGCGTCCGCCTCGCCCCTGGGCCTGTCCGGGCCGACCTTGCCGCCGTCGCGCTGCGTCGCCCTGCTCCTGCTGCGGGTGGAACGGCTCCACGTGGCTGTCTACCTGCCGCGTGAGGCTCTCCACCAGCTCCACCCTCTGGCTCTTGATCTGGATCTTCTGATCGCCCGGCTCCTAGCTGCGGATCAGGGCCCGCTGGGCGCAGGGTGGCACCCGCGGCTTCTGCGCGCAGTCCGTGTCGCGGCGGACCTTCTCATAGCACTTGTCCAGGTCCTTCAGGGTCTCCTCCAGGAAAGTCTCCGTGCCGCAAGCCCGGCTAACTCACGCCTCCCCAGCCATGTGCGGCCGCACCCTCCGGTCTGCAGAGGTGTGGCATGTGACGGTCTGCGAGCCGGTGTCGCGGGACGCCGGGGCGGGGCGGGCCGCCCAAGCTGCAGCCCAGGCCCCCAGCCCCCAGCCCTAGCCTCGGCCCGGCCTCCGGCATTGCTCCGCGGCTGGAAGCGCAATGCCCTTCTCACTGTGCTCCACTGCAAGTATTTTTACTTTCATTTTAACTTTTTTTTTTTTTTTGACAGAGTCTCACTCTGTAGCCTAGGCTGGAGTGCAGTGGCGCGATCTTGGCTCACCACAACCTCCGCCTCCCGGGTTCAAGCGATTCTCCTGCCTCAGCCTCCCAAATAGCTGGGACAATAGGCGCGCCATGCCCGGCTAATTTTTTGTATTTTTAGTAGAGACAGGGTTTCACTATATTGGCCAGGCTGGTCTCGAACTCCTGACCTCGTGATCCGCCCGCCTCGGACTTCCAAAGTGCTAGGATTACAGGCGTGAGCTAACTCTTACTTTGTTTTCTGCTTAAAACTCACGTGATCTGATTGGCATGTCTCCAAGCAAACACGCTCTAGCCCTTATGAAATGTGCTCTCTGTAGCTAAAACCTTGTTACAATGTCTTAAGTCATGGCCCAAAAGGCCAGATTGTTTTCTCAGACACTGTCAAATAGCTCTGCATTCACTGCTGTTGTATCTTTCCTGCTCTTCCAGAATCTCTGCTTTCAGTTGGAAGAAGTAGAAATGTCGCAAGGTTTTCAGCTTTTGCCCAGGCGTTGTTCTGTAGAAGCGCTTTGCTGGTTACTTGTGGAAGTGCTTTTCAACCCTGTGTAAGGCACTAGAGGTCAGAAAGTTTGGTAAATTCTGTGACATACTCCAGATTCATAGTTAAGAAAAACAGCACCTCCACCGGGAGCAGTGGCTCATGCCTGTAATCCTAACACTTTAGGAGGCAGAGGTGGGAGGATCTCTGGAAACTAGGAGCTGGAGACCAGCCTGGGCAACACAGGGAGACCTCCACCTCCACCCCCATCTCTGCAAAAAATTTTAAACATTAGTTAGGCTTGGTGATTCTCCCCTGTAGTCCCAGCTATTTGAGAGCCCAGGAATTTGAGGCCTCAGTAAGCTACAATTGTGCCACTGCACTCCAGCCTGGGTGACAAAGCAAGACCCTGTCTCAAAACAAACAAATTTTAGCATTATATGCCCACCGTTTTGCACCTTGCTTCTTCCACTTGAGGCAAGCTTGTCCAATCCGCAGACCGTGGGCCTCAGGCGGTACAGGACTGCTTTGAATGCGTCTCAACACAAATTTGTAAACTTTCTTAAAACATTATGAGATTTTTGGGCCCAGCGTCGTGGCTCATGCCTGCAATCCCAGCACTTTGGGAGGCCAAGGCAGGCAGATCACCTGAGGTTAGGAGATCGAGACCAGCCTGGCAAACATGGTGAAACCCCATCTCTACTAAAATACAAAAAATTAGCCGGGCGTGGTGGCACACACCTGTAGTCCTAGCTACTTGGAAGGCTGAGGCAGAAGAATCGCTTGAACCTGGGAGGCAGAGGTTGCAGTGAGCCGAGATTGTGCCACTGCACTCCAGCCTGGGCAACAGAGTGAGACTCTGTCTCAAAATAAATAAATAAATAAATAAATAAATAGTTTTTTTGGCAATTTAAAAAAATATAGCTAGCTCATCAGCTACTGTCAGTGTATTTTATGTGTGGCCCAAGACAATTCTTCTTCCAGTGTGGCCCAGGGAAGCCAAAAGATT
Organism: Homo sapiens; assembly: GCF_000001405.40. Lineage (NCBI taxonomy): Eukaryota > Metazoa > Chordata > Mammalia > Primates > Hominidae > Homo > Homo sapiens. The sequence continues at coordinate 71,494,566 of NC_000023.11, forward strand.
GGACATCCCTGAAAGGGTATATCCTGGAAGTATATCTTTCCAAGTGAGTCTACTATATAGAGCTACTCATTGTTTTTGTGACTGCATAGTATTGTGTCCAGAGTTGGTTCCTGCCGGTGGGTTCTTGGTCTCACCAACTTCAAGAATGAAGCCGCGGACTTTCACGGTGAGTGTTACAGCTCTTAAAGGTGGCATGGGCCCAAACAGTGAGCAGCAGCAAGATTTATTGTGAAGAGTGAAAGAACAAAGCTTCCACTGCATGGAAGGGGACCTGAGCGGGTTACTGCCGCTGGCTGGGGTGGCCAGCTTTTATTCCCTTATTTGGCCCTGCCCACGTCCTGCTGATTGGTCCATTTTACAGAGTGCTGATTGGTCCATTTTACACAGTGCTGATTGGTGCATTTACAATCCTTTAGCTACACACAGAGCACTGATTGGTGCATTTACAATCCTCTAGCTAGACAGAAAAGTTCTCCAAGTCCCCACTCGACCCAGGGAGTCCAGCTGGCTTCACCTCTCAATCCCCACTCTAAACAGGACACCCCAACTGCTGTTGGGAATTGGGCAATGACCGCTCTAACTACTTCCTGCTGGATAGAGGCAAAGAAGGGGCCCTGCAGTTGTAGTGTCCTCTTTAGTGAACTCTTTAGGCCAAAGGGCCAGCAGGTTGGTCCAGGGGTCCTCGGTAGAAGTTGTTAGTTGAACTCATTTGGGATTCCATTTGTAAGACCATCTGTAGCTTGATGGCCTCGATCCTAGAGGAAACAAATTTGACAAGGAGGTTAAAAATACAGGCCCCTAAGGAGAGTAATAGCAAGATGGCTGTCATGGGACCTAGAAAGGGGAGAAGCCATGTCGCCCAATTCCAGAGGTTGGTATAAGAGTTTGAAAGGCATTGTCTGATTTCAAAAGCCTTTTCCCGTAAACGCCAGGCAGCATCTCATACTATCCCTGACTGGTTAGTGTAAAAACAACACTCTTCCCCTAAGAAGGTGCAGAGTCCTCCTTTCTCAGCAGTGAGGAGGTCTAGGCCTCGACAGTTTTGGAGAGTCACTGCTGCCAAAGAGTCTATTTGGGATTGTAGGGTAAGGATAGATTCTGTTATTTCTTGTAAGCTGTCTGAGAAATCCTTTGAGAGTGTGTGGTAGTAGGATAATGAAGTAGATAATGAAGTACAGCTATTCCAGTTCCTGTAGCAGTGGCCATTTCTAACCCTATAAGTAGGAGTATTGGTTGTATGGCCCTGTGCTGATGGACTTGAGCTTTGAGGGGCACTGATAGGGTCTGATTTCCATAAGATTAGAAGTTAGGATAATACATGTTACACTGTTAACTTTCAGCAAACTTTACTTTTGTTGAAAACCTTGTAAGTTTGGGATTTTAATTTTTCTTTGCTATTAATAAAACCTCGTTCAGTCCATATTAACTTAGAATTGGTATAGATGGCTCCTTCCTGATTCTGTAAGTACTTTAAGGTTTGGCTGAGTGCAAACAGCTCACATGTTTGAGCAGACCAATTACTGGGCAATTTTCCTAATTCTGCTTCTACAAGAGTTTCTTTATCTCTCACTGAATACCCATTGTGTCTTTTTCCCTTAAACACCCAGGAGGAACCATCTATTGTCCTGTCCTGAAGGGAGTTCCTCCTAGATCTGGTCGGACCTTTGTGTGGTAATTAATTAAGATTCCCTGTTAGGAAACCTGCTGGGTTAAGGATTTTTGATAGGAAGGCTACGGGTTGTCAGTGGCCTCAGTGCTTTCGGGCTACACTCTTGTTTACACTGACAGTAAGGTGGTATTGGAGTGTTGTAGGGTCATGGAGAAGACCTTCAATGATCAATTATAGGTTTTAAATTTACCCTGGCTTTTAAAGGAATAGGGTACACCGTTTTTTCTTTACTACTTCTCTCTCTTTCTCTCTTTCTTTCTCTTTGACTTTCTGTCTCTTTCTCTCTCTTTGACTCTTTCTTTGTCTCTGTCTCTTCCTCTCTCTCTCTTTGACTGCCTCTTTGTCTGTCTCTTCCTCTGCCTGCCTCTCTCTTTGACTCCTTCTTTGTCGGTCTCTTCCTCTCTTTCCTTCTCTCTTTGACTTTCTGTCTCTCTCTCTCTTCCTCTCTCTGACTTGCTCTTTGTCTCTCTGTCTCTTCCTCTCTCTCTTTCTTTCTCGCTCTCTTTCTCTCTGACTTTCTGTCTCTTTCTCTCTTTCTCTTTGACTTGCTGTCTCTCTTTCTTTCTCTGTCTCTCTCTTTCTGTCTCTCCCCCCCAACCCTTTGACTTTCGCTTCAGCAGTGTAAGACTGCCACCTCCTTGGGTTTTTGCACTGTGTGCAATAACTCCATGATTTCCTTGTGATATTTAATGGGGGTTCCTTCAGAGGTTAGGAACTCCCTTTCTTTCCATATTGCAGCATGGGAATGTAGGATTAGATAAGCATACTTGCTATCTGTATACACATTTATTCTTTTTCCCTTTCCCAGTTCTAAGGCTCGGGTAAGTGCCACTAGTTCTGCTAACTGGGTGCTGGTCCCTGGGGGAAGAGGCTTACTTTCAAGTACTGTTAACATCACTAACTATGGCATAACCTGCCTTTCATATCCCATTCTCCACAAATGAACTTCCATCGGTATATAGGTTAAGGTCAGGATTAGCTAAGGGGACTTCTAAGAGATCCTCTCGGGTGGCATAAGTCTGGACTATAATTTATTGGCAGTCATGCTCGATTAGTTCTCCATCCTCTGGGAGAAAAGTGGCAGGGTTTAGGGCCACACATGTGAGTATTTGAAGCACCGGTCCCTCAAGAAGTAGCACCTGGTATCTGAGCAGGTGGTTGTCTGACAGCCATAAACTTCCTTTGGCACCTAGTATGCCATTTACATCATGAGTAATCCAGATGGTGAGATCCTTTCCTTGTATTATTTTGATAGCCTCTGACACTAAGATGGCCACCACCGCTACTACCCATAAACAGTGAGGCCAGCCTTTTGCTACTATATCAATTTCCTTACTTACGTATGCCACTGGTTGTGGGGTTGTCCCACGAGTTTGAGTAAGGACTCCAAGAGCTATTCCTGCTCTCTCTGTGACGTATAAAGAGAAGTTTTGTCCTGTGGGAAGGCTTAAGGATGGAGCTTCTACTAGGGCCTGCTTTAAGGTTTTGAAGGCTGTTTCTGCCTCTGGTTCCCATTCTACTAGATGAGTATTTGCCTTCTGGGTCTCCTTGATTAGAGTATAGAGTGGTCTGGCCATCTCGCTGTATCCAGGGATCCATAGTCAGCAAAAGCCAGTGATTCCAAGGAACCCCACAACTGTTTTAATGTCCTAGGGTGAGGATAAGCCAGTATAGGCTGTATTCATTCCTTGCTGATGGCCCTGGTTCCTCTGGCTAAGATTAGGCCTAGATATTTGACTTGTTGTAGGCAGAGCTGGGCCTTCGATTTAGAGACCTTGTACCCTTGATTAGCTAGAAAGTTCAAGAGATCTAGAGTAGCCTGCTGGCATGACGCTTCCGAACTGGTAGCCAAAAGTAAATCATCCACATACTGAAGGACCAGAGTGCCTGGACTTGAGAAGTGGCCTAGACCTTGCGCCAGTGCCTGACCAAACAGATAAGGTCTATCCCTAAACCCTTGGGGCAAGACCGTCACATAAGTTGGGATGTGTGGTCTGTGGGATCCTCAAAGGCAAAGAGAAACTGGAAGTCAGAATGCAGGGGAATACAGAAGAAGGCATCCTTGAGGTCCAGAACCATGAACCATTCTGCTTCCTCTGGTATTTGAGAGAGCAGGGTATAGGGGTTGGGTACAACTGGATATAGAGGAATTACTGCCTCATTGATGAATCTAAGATCTTGCACTAGTCTCTACTGACCATTCAGCTTTTGTACTCCTAGAATTGGGGTGTTGCAGGGACTGCTGCATTTTCTTACTAAGCCTTAAGCTTTTAAATGTCTAACAATATCCTGTAATCCTTTATGAGATACAGGCCTTAAGGGATATTGCCTTTGATAAGGAAAAGTGGTGGGGTCTTTTAGCCTGATTTGGACTGGGTGGGCATTTTTTGCCCTTCCGAATTGTCCTTCCGATGCCCAGACTTCAGGGTTGATTCTCTCCTCAAGCAGGGGACAACAAATGGATAACTTGTTCCCCATATTCATGTAGATAATACCTCCAGCTTTGGCTAATATGTCCCTCCCTAATAAGGGTGTGGGACTTTCAGGCATAATGAGAAAGGAGTGTGAAAAGAGCAAAGTCTCCCAATTACAACTGAGGAGGTGGGAGAAATACCTGGTTACAGGCTGTCCCAGGATACCTCGGATGGTAATGGACCTTGAGGACAGCTGTCTGGGACAGGAGATTAATACTGAGAAAGCCACGCCAGTGTCCAGGAGGAAGTCAATTTCCTGGCCCTCAATAGTTAAACATACCCGGGGCTCAGTGAGGGTGATGACATGAGCTGGCGTTTGCCCCAGGCACCCTCAGTCCTTTTGCTGGATCATCTGGTTGGGGGCTTCTGGCCCAGAGAAACTTTGCACCTTCCAGTGATTGGCTAGGCATAGTGGACATGGGCGAGGGGGCAGCTTGTTTCTCGTTGGACAATCTTTTTTAAAGTGTCCTTGTACACCACACTGATAACAAGCCCTACCGGGTGATTGGCCTGCTCCATTTTCTGTCCTCTGAACCACCCAGGTTTGTTTGTCTGAGGGCCATGACTAAGGCTGTGGCCTTTCTCCGATCTTGCTTTTCCTTTTCGGCCTGTTCCTCTTGGTCCCTATTATAGAACACCAAGGTTGCCAGGTTTAATAATGCCTCCAGATTTTGTTCAGGGCCCAGGGCTCACTTTTGGAGCTTTCTCCTGATATCTGCAGCTGATTGGGTAATAAACTTATCTTTTAGGATCAATTGACCCTCGAGGGAGTCAGGTGACAGGGGAGTATATTTTCTTAAGGCCTCCCATAGCCACTCAAGGAAGGCAGAAGGATTTTCTTCCTTTCCCTGAGTTATGGTGGAAATCATTGAATAATTCATGGGCTTTTTCCTAATTCTCTTTAGTCCTTCTAGAACGCAGGTCAGCATATGTTTATGACTCCAGTCCCCATGATCTGAGTCTAGGTCCCAGTGGGGATCCATACTGGGGACGGCTTGCTGACTGGTAGGGAATTTGTCCCTTTCTTCGGCTGTCATTCTATCATTCACTTGACTAAGATACCAGGTATCTCCAAGCTCTCGGGCTGCAGCTAAAGCCACATTCTTTTCATTAAAGGCCAGGGTTTGATCTAACAATAGCATGACATCTCTCCAAGTGAGATCGAAGGTTTGCCCTAGACCCTGTAGGACATCTATATACCTATCAGGATCATCTGAAAACTTCCCCAGGTCTGCCTTGATCTGCTTTAAATCAGAGAGGGAGAAGGGGATATGTACCCGGGTTGGGCAAAATTCCCCTCCTCCTACAGCTTGAAGGGGACATAACCGATAGCCCGGGGGTTTTTGTGGTCCCTTGGAGATCTCTTTTCTTGTTTCCTTCTGGGTGGGGGAGATTAGAGGAGGCTTATCATTAATAGGAAGGGGAGCTGTAGGAAGGCTAGGATATGGAGGTAAGCTGAGAGGTCCTCCTGTGGGATGTAAATTGCAAGCTTTGCATAGTTGTGAATTCTCCTTCGATGAAAAGAAAGCTTGGACATAAGGTATTTCACTCCATTTGCCTTCCCTCTTACAGAAAAGGTCAAGCTGCAGGATAGTATTGTAATTTATACTTCCCTCAGGTGGCCATTTTTCCCCATCAGAGAGAGAATATTGGGGCCAGGCCGTAGTGCAGAAAAAAATAAGCCACTTCTTTTTCAGGGTTTGTGGGTCAAATTGGTCTCAATGGCTTAGGATGCATTTCAAGGGTGAGCCTGTTGATGCCTGAGTGTTTCCTATCTGAAAGAAAAAACCACCCATGGTTTTGGTTTGTTTGCTCCCCACCCCCACCCCGCCCCCACCCCCCGCTGGCCCAAGAACCCGCAACGGCCCCTGGACCCTGCTGATTGGAATAGTTGTGCTCACCAACGCAGCAGCAGAAACCTTAGTTTTCCTCTTAGACCACAAAGAGGACCGACGAAGGTCGGATTTAGTGGACCTTACCGACGCATTCTCAAAAACCTATTAGAGTCCTAAGCATCCTCCTGTTAGTATTGGGACCTTACCCCTGTCCTATAAAGATGTTATGCCCCAAAAGGCTGGGCGCGGTGGCTCATGCCTCTAATCCCAGCACTTTGGGAGGCTGAGGTGGGTGGATCACCTGAGGTCAGGAGTTCGAGATCAGCCTGGCCAACATGGTGAAACCCTGTCTCTACTAAAAAATACAAAAAATTGCCAGATGTGGTGGCAGGCGCCTTAATCCCAGCTACTTGGGAGGCAGAGGCAGGAGAATCGTTTGAACCCAGGAGGCACAGGTTGCAGTGAGCCGAGATCGAGCCATTGCACTCAAGCCTGGGGGACAAGAACGAGACTTCTCTCAAAAAAAAAAAAAAAAAAGATGTTATGCCCCAAAAATGAAGTGGAGGGCCATACCCTGAGGGAGGGAAGGGATCTCCAGGGTTGGAAGAGTGATGCCTTTTGTCCTCACTTCTCATCATATGAATAGGAAGGATATCATTTCTGAGGCTCCCCATATCCTAGCTTCAGGAATAGCTTTTGTTAGGCCTGCTAGTCTGAGGAGGGACCCTAAAATTCCAGATAGTGTCCCCCCACTGACAGGGCTTTAGGCAAAAAATATGTCTTTCTGATTGCTGAGCCCGGGTGCCTAAAGAAGGGAACAGAGTCCTGAAGTTTATACTAGAAATCATTCTTATAGGAGAAACTAGAAAAGCACCAGAGACAGGGAGTGGTTTTTAAAAGCAGGACGAGCCTCGGAGAAGAGAGGCAGGAGGAAGTTTGTCTGATAGGCCTTAGGACCCAGGAGGCAAGAGTCAGGATAGATAGGATAGATGGGCGAGTCTTGCTTGGGCGACATGACTTTGAGAGTTCCGCTCATGGCTACAGGGTCAACCAACTTTTTGTCGGGACCCTGGAGCTGAATGGCTTTCCTCTCTGTCGACCCTCGGCTCAGCCTGCAAGTACAGGAAAAGCGGAAGCTGGTTCCAGTAAAACTGACTCTCACAACTCTGAAGAGTTGGGGGTTGTTACAGAGCCCTTTCCCAGAAAGCCTGACACCCATGTCTTTAGTCCAGCAGCTGCACTATTCGCTTTTAACTGGCCAACAGGTGCCTGGTAGTTAGCCCCTGAATTCTAAGGAAAAATAGGACAGAATAGCAAGTGAAAGGGGTCCAGTGGTACTCACTGCTTGACAATAGTCCCATCTGGGTCGCCAGGATGTGTCCGGAGTTGGTTCCTTCTGGTGGGTTCTTGGTCTCGCTGACTTCAAGAATGAAGCCATGGACCTTTGCGGTGTTACAGCTCTTAAAGGTAGCACGGACCCAAAGAGTAAGCAGCAGCAAGATTTATTGTGAAGAGTGAAAGAACAAAGCTTCCACAGTGTGGAAGGGGACCTGAGCAGGTTGCTGCTACTGGCTGGGGTGGCCAGCTTTTATCCCCTTATTTGTCCCTGCCCACGTCCTGCTGATTGGTCCATTTTACAGAGTGCTGATTGGTGCATTTACAGTCCTTTAGCTAGACACACAGTGCTGATTGGTGCATTTTTACAGAGTGCTGATTGGCGCATTTACAATCCTTTAGCTAGACACAGAGCGCTGATTGGTGCGTTTTTACAGAGTGCTGATTGGTGCATTTACAATCCTTTAGCGAGACACAGAGTGCTGACTGGTGCATTTACAATCCTTTAGCTAGACACAGAGTGCTGATTGGTGCACTTTACAGAGTGCTGATTGGTGCATTTACAGTCCTTTAGCTGGACAGAAAAGTTCTCCAAGTCCACACTTGACCCAGGAAGTCCAGCTGGCTTCACCTCTCAGTATGATACTGCTAGTTGTACCACCGCTTATTGAATCAATGTCATACTGGTGGACTTTTACATTACTTTTAATTTTTTGCTGTTGCAGACTGTTTCAGTAAATATTTTTGTATATGTATCATTTAAAATATATACTTATAGTCCTGGTGTGGTGGCTTATGCCTGTAATCCCAGCACTTTGGGAGGCTGAGGCAGGCAGATCTCCTGCGGCCAGGAGTTCAAGACCAGCCTGGCCAATATGGCAAAACCCTGTCTCTACAAGAAGTACAAAAATTAGCCAGACATGGTGGCACATGCCTGTAGTTCCAGCTACCTGGGAGGCTGAGGCAGGAGAATCGCTTGAACCCAGAAGGCAGAGGTTGCAGTGAGCCAAGATCGCACCACTGCACTCCAGCCTAGCAACGGAGTGAGACTCCGTCTCAAAAAAGAAAAAAAAAAGAAAAACAAAAACAAAAAACAAACAAACAAAAAACCAGGCCAGGCGCTGTGACACACCTGTAATCCCAGCACTTTTGGAGGCTGAGGCAGGTGGATCACCTGAGGTCAGAAGTTTGAGACCAGCCTGGCCAACATGGCGAAACGCTGTTTCTACTAAAAATACAAAAATTAGCCGGGTGTGGTGGTGTGTGCCTGTAATCCCAGCTACTCAGGAGGTTGAGGCAGGAGAATTGCTTGAATCTGGGAAGCAGTAGTTGCAGCGAGCCAAGATCCCGACACTACACTCCAGCTGGGGTGACAGAGTGAGACTGTCTCAAAAAAAAAATATATATATATATATATGTGTATATATATATATATATATATATGTGTGTGTATATATATATATATGTGTATATATATATATATACACACACATTTACTTATAGAATATATAGAATAAATTCATAGGCTATATGTAGAATGAATAAATATAGAATACATTCCTTGAGGTAGAATTTCTAGATCAATGAATATGGCACTATCACTTTTGATTGGCCATGAGGAAGCTCTATCCAGTGATCTCTTGAACACTGTGGCTGTGAGCCATCCCCTTCCTCAGAGTCTCTGCTGTTGCTATCAAGGGCAACTGTTTCACTTGCAGAATCCTCCCTCTTGTTTTCTGGAGTATGTGATAAAACATCTTGTCTAGTGGATTTGTATAAATCCTTCACGGAGAATGCTTTGTATATGTGGTGTAATGTGGCTGGTTCAACTTTTTTTTTTCACAATCTTTTACTTGTCATCATAATCCTCTGCTGACTTTCTGGCATCTTCCTTCTTTTCCTCTGTTTCCTTCTCTTCCCTCCTCCTCCTCCACTACCACCAGACTTCATATAATTTCACCCATTAAAAGGACACTTTTTTTTCCTTTTCTTTTTCTTCTCCTCCTCCTCTTCATTTCAACTCCACTAGGCTACAGTTCCCAGTTATTCAATCAAATGAATCTAGGTGTTGCTGTACAGGTATTTTGTAGACGTGATTGAAGTCCACAGCCATTTGACTTTAAATAAGGGAGATTATCCTTGATAATCTGGGTGAGTCTGATTCAATCTGTTGAAAGGCCTTAAGACCAGAGCTGAAGTTTCCCAGATGGAGAAGAAATTCTCCCTGTGAACAGCAGCTTTAGCATGTGCCTGAGTGTTCCAGCCTGCCCTTCTTGATGGCCCACCCTACGGATTTCAGACTCGGATTTCACCCTACAGATTTCACCCCCTACAACGGTGTTAGCCCATTTCTTGCAATGAATCTCTTCATATATATCTTCTACTTGTTCTGTTTCTCTGATTGAACCCTGACTGATACATCCTTCAAGGTATTTCCTCCATCCAGTCTGGGAACTCATTTCATTGATAAGACAAGCATAGGGAGGCACTCCTCAGACCTTTTTATCTGGCCCTCAAGGGGAAAACCAATTTCAGTGAATAATTACAGAGAACTGTCATTGCCTCTGATAGAAAAGAAAACATTCTGCAGGGGCCCAGGAAGAGTTCCCCAATGTCAGGAGCCATGTGCCATGGTAGTCAAGTGGAACCACCCTATTGTTGCTTAATTAGTTGGCTGATGTCAAAATGCTGTTAACTGCATAAAAAAGAGAGTAGGCCAGGCACATTGGCTCATGCCTGCAGTCCCAACTACTAATACTCGGGAGGCTGAGGTGGGAGGCTTCAGCCCAGGAATTCAAGGTTGCAGTGAGCTGTGATTGAGCCACTGCACTCCAGCCTGGGTGACAGAATGAGACCCTGTCTCAAAAAAAAAAAAAAAAAAAAAAAAAAAAAAAAGAAAAGAAAAAAGAAAAAAAGTAAAAATGATTGAGCATAAAAATGAAGGTGGGCAAAGTCTAAAATATCTATGAGGCTGGGCACGGTGGCTCATGCCTGTAATCCCAGCATTCTGGGAGGCCGAGACAGGTGGATCGCTTGAGCTCAGGAGTTTGAGACCAGCCTGGGCAACATAATGAAACCCCATCTCTACCAAAAATACAAAAAATTAGTTGGGCATGGTGGCTTGTGCCTGTGGTCCCAACTACTTGGGAGGCTGAGATGGGAGGACTGCTTGATCCTGGGGGGCTGAGGTTGCAGTGAGCTGTGATCATGCCACTGCACACCAGCCTGGGCAACAGAGCGAGACCCCATATCAAAAAAATATATATGTATATATAATATATGAGTCCATATTGATATAAATAAGTGATTAAATAAATAGATAAATAAATGGGGGAGAATAGACAAATCTTTAATGCAGAAGGATTCCAAGTAATTTATGTAGATATTTTGCCCTCAAGGAGGAGGAGCATTACTCTCTATTCCTTAAGCATGGGCTGGGCTGCAAACAGTGACTTCCTTCCAAAAAGTACGGTGTGGAAAGGGGTGAGAAGAGTAAAAGCAGTGGAGAAACCTCACAAACACTACCTCAGCCAGATGATGAAGATCAACATCAACAGTGGAAAGTCATGTTGATAGTATGTATCCTATGATGTGATGAAAACGGTACCTTACCTCTGTGGTCTTCCTCTCCCAAATGCATACTCCAGTTTAATCATGAGAAAAACATCAGAAAAATCTCAATTGAGGGATATTCTTCAAAATTCCTGGCCAGTGCTCCTCAGAACTATCAAGGTCATCAACAACAAGAAAAGTCTGAAAAGCTGTCACAGCTGAGGAGAAATGACAACTAAATGTTATGTGGTGTCCTGGATGGGATCCTGGAATAGAAAAAGGACAGTAGGTAAAAACTAAAGGAATCTGGCTGGGCAAGGTGGCTCATGCCTGTAATCCCAGCACTTTGGGAGGCCGAGGCAGGTGGATCACCTGAGGTCAGGGGTTCGAGACCAGCCTGACCAAGATGGAGAAACCCCATCTCTACTAAAAATACAGTATTAGCCAGGCATGGTGGCGCATGCCTGTAATCCCAGCTACTCGGGAGGCTGAGGCAGGAGAATTGTTTGAACCCAGGAGGCGGAGGTTGCGGTGAGCCGAGATCACACCACTGCACTCCAGCCCAGGCGACAGAGCAAGACTCTGCCTCAGTAATAATAATAATAATAATTTTTAAAAAATTAGCCAAGCATGGTGGTGTGTGCCTGTAATCCCAGCTACTCGGGAGGCTGAGTCAGAAGAATCCCTTGAACCCGGGAGGTGGAGGTTGCAGTGAGCCGAGACCACGCCATTGTATTCCAGCCTGGACAACAAGAGCGAAACTCCGTCTCAAAATAAATAAATAAATAAAAATAAATAAATAAATAAAAAATCAGCCGGGCATGATGGTGCATGCCTGTAGTCCCAGCTACTTGAGAAGCTGAGGTGAGAGGGTTGCTTGAGCCCAGGAGTTTGAGGCTACAATGTTAGCGCCACTGCACTCCAGCCTGGGCGACAGAGTGAGACCTCATCTAAAAAAAAAAAAAAAAAATTGGCCAGTCGCGGTGGCTCACGCCTGTAATCCCAGCACTTTGGGAGGCCGACATGGGCGGATCATGAGGTCAGGAGATCAAGATCATCCTGGCTAACACAGTGAAACCCCGTCTCTACTATAAATATATATTTTTTTAAAAAAAGTAGCCGGGCATGGTGGCACGCGCCTGTAGTCCCATCTACTCGGGAGGCTGAGGCAGAAGAATGGCGTGAACCCGGGAGGCGGAGCTTGCAGTAAGCCAAGAGCCGAGATCACGCCACTGCACTCCAGCCTGGGCAACAGAGCGAGACCCTGTCTCAAAAAAAAAAAAAAAATGCTATATATTCCAGCAATTCTACTCCTATGTTTCTACCGAAAAGAATTGAAAACAAGTATTCAAATCAAAATTTGTACACAGATGTCCATAGCAGCACTATTCACAATGGCTAAAAGGTGAAAAAACCCAAATGTCCATCAATGGATGAATGGCATATCCTATAGAACTGAATAGTATTTCACCATATTCTGATACATGCTACAACATAGATGAACCTCAAAAACGTGCTATGTAGAAAAAAGACAGACACAAAGGTCACACATTGTATGATTCCATTTGCGTTAAATATCCAGAATAGATAAATCTGTAGACAGAACTGCAGATTAGTGGTTTCTAGAGCCTTGTGGGAGGGAGGACTGGGGAATGACTGCTTGATGGGTACAGGGTTTACATATGGGGTGACGAAGCTGTTATGAAACTATATAGAGGTGATTATTATACAACTTCATGAATATACTAAATGCCACTGAATTATACACTTTCAAATGGTTAATCTTATGTTTTATGTGAATTTTACATCAATTTTTTTTTAGACAGGTCTAGTTCTGTCACTCAAGCTGGAGGGCAGTGACATGATCAGGGCTCACTGCAGCCTCAGCTTTCTGGTCTCAAGAGACCCTTCCACCTCAGCCTCCCAAGTAGCTGGGACTACAGGTGTACCCCACCATACCCAGCTAATTTTTAATTTTTTGTAGAGATGAGATGTCACTATGTTGCCCAAGCTGGTCTTGAACTCCTGGCCTCAAGCAATCCTCTCACCTTTGGACCCCAGATTGCTGGGATTATAGGTGTGAGCCACCACGCTTGGCCACACCAATTTTTTAAAAAGAGGAATGCATCAAATGCATAGAGGAAGCTGACACTACAAGTGTGTGCCACCAAGCCCAGCTAATTTTTGAATTTTTTTGTAGAGTTTCAGGGGAGGGGTTCTGCCTGTGTTGTCCAGGCTGGTGTTGAACTACTGGGCTTAAGTGATCCTCCCACCTCAGCCTCCCAAAGTGCTGGGATTACAGGTGTGAGCCACTGTACTTGGCCAGAAGTGATGTTTGAATTGAGTTGTTAATCAATTTATGAATCACTTAGCAAACATTTATTGTATGAATACTAAATGCTAGTCAGTAGGCATTGAGGTGATATAAATAGATATAGGCCGGGCATGGTGGCTCACACCTGAGGCATGAGAATCACGTGAATCTGGGGTAGAGATTGCAGTGAGCCGAGATGGCACCACTGCACTCCAGCCTGGGTGACAGAGTGAGACTGTGTCTCAAAAAAATTAAATAAAATAATACATAAATAGATAGATATAGTAGATATAGATACTTATATCTATACATATATGAATATTCTCTCTCTCTCTCTCTCTCTATATATATATATATATATATATATATGAATTTAGATCTTATCTTCCCCCTCAGACAGCTCACTATATAGTTGGGAGAGACAAACACATAAATAGGCAATTATAGTGCTTTGTGGTATATGCGATGATAGATGTATATACAAGGTATTATGGAAGTAAGGAGGAGCAGCACCCATCACAGCCTGCGGGTGTTTTAAAGAATTATTAGAAAGTGGCCAAGTGGCCAAGGTGCGGTGGCTCATGCCTGTAATCCCAGCAATTTGGGAGGCTGAGGTGGGAGGATCGCTTGAGCCAAGGAGTTCAAGACCAGCCTCGGCAACATAACAAGACCCTGTCTCTACAAATAATAACAATAATGATAATAACAAAATTAGCTTGGCATGGTGGCATGTGCCTGTAGTCCCAGCTACTCAGGAAGTTGAGGCAGGAGGATTGCTTGAGCCCAGGAGGTTGAGGCTGCAATAAGCCATGATCACACCGCTGCACTCCAGACGGGGTGACAGAGCAAGACCCTGTCTCTGAAAAAAAAAAAAAAAAGAAAAAAAAAAAAGAAAGTAGCCAAGTGAAGACGGGAAGGAAGGTCATTTTAGGCAGAACACAAATAAAGGTGTAGAGCTAAGAGATAGAAGATATATATGGAGAGACAGAGTGAGTGTGTGTGTGTGTGTGTGTGTGTGCGCGCATATGCATAGGAAGTAATTACAAGTGGTTCCATCTTATCTTGAATTTTTTTTTTTTTGAGATGGGGTCTCACTCTGTTGCCGAGCCTGGAGTGCAGTGGCATGATCTTGGCTAACTCCAACTTCCACCTCCTGGGCTCAAGCAGTCCTCCCACCTCAGCCTCCTGAGTAGCTGGGACTATGGGAGCGTGCCACCACAGCCAATTAAATTTTTTTTTTTTTTGTAGAGGTGGGGTCTCGCCATGTCACCCAGGCTGGTCTCAAACTCCTGGACTCAAGTGATCTGCCCGCCTCGGCCTCCCAAAGTGCTGGGATTACAGGCATGAGCCACTGTGCCCGGTCAAGTGGTTCCATCTTGTAAAACAAAAAATTCAAACTAGGAAGTGGCAAGTCATGGGTTTCAAACAAGTGAACAACAGGCTTATGTTTTAGGTAAATTCTTCTATTAACAGTGTGAAGTCTAAGATTAGAAGAGGAACAAGACTGGAGGCAGGGAGACTAATAAGAAGGCTGTTAAAATAATCCAAATGAAAAATTATCAGGGTCTTAGCCAGGCAGGGAAGTGGTAATTGTGATAAAAAGGAAAGGTCAGAATCAAGAAATGCTTAGATGGTAAAATTAGTAGGACTTGAGGATTGATTGGATATTGGTGGTGAGAGAGTGTTAAAGATAACTCCAGTTTCCTGTTTTGTGTGATGGAGTGTGTATTTGTCAGAGATGTTAGTTGATAGCAACAAAGCCTGACTCAGCATAAAGGGTATTATTATTATTATTTTTGAAGGATATTAGGGGCTGGGCATGGTGGCTCACACCTGTAATCTCAGCACTTTGGGAGACCAAGGCTGGAAGATCATTTCAGCCCAAGAGTTCGAGATCATTCCTGGGCAACTTAGTGAGACCCTGTCTCTAAAAAACAAAAATAATAGGCTGGGTGTGGTGGCTCATGCCTTAATCCCAGTACTTTGGGAGGCTGAGGCATGTGGACAACTTGAGGCCAGGAGTTTGAGACCAGCCTGGCCAACACAGTGAAACCCCGTCTCTACTAAAAATACAAAAATTAGCTGGGTGTGGTGGTGCATACCTGTAATCCCAGCTACTCAGGAGGCAGCTGAATGAGGCACGAGAATCTCTTGAACCTGGGAGGCAGAGGTTGCAATGAGCCAAGATTGCACCACTGCACTCTAGCCTGGGTGACAGAGTGAGACTCTGTCTCAAAATAATAATAATAATAATGATAATTTTAAAAATTAGCTGAGTGTGGTGGCACACACCTGTAGTCTCAGCTACTCAGGAGGCTGAGGCAGGAGGATCACTTCAGCCCAGAAATTTGAGGCTACAGTGAACCATGATCATGCCATTGTACTCCAGCCTGGTTGACAGAGCAAGATCCTGTCTCTTAAAAAGAAATAAAGGATATTGGGGAGCTCCCACAATTGTTGGGAGAGCTGGAGAATCAGGTTAGAGGCTAAGCTTTCAGGAACAATGCCTCAAACCATTGCAGAAGTGGCGGGATGATATAGATGCCCCCACTGCTGTGAGAAGTCAACCTTGAAAACACTGGAAATTCCCTAGTAGAAAAAAAAAAAGGAAGAGAAGCTCCACACTCCACATATCCACATAGAGCAGGTTTCCTCACAAGGTCACAAGGGAGACTGGCAAATATCTCTGACTTACACTGCAGAGCTGGGGCTCATAACATGGACATTCTTCCATATATAGAAAAGCTTTTCAAATTCTGAGGGCAGCCACAGTGTGATGCAGATGGTGCCGCTATCAAGCAATGTAGAGAATAGAAGAGTTTGGGGGCAGGAGTGAGAAGTTCCATTTTTAACATGTGGTATTTCAGGTGTCTGTAGAACATTCAGATATAGATGTCTAGCAGGTGGTGGGATATTTAAAGTCCTTAGCATTCAGGTAGCAGTTAAAACAACAAAAATGGGTAGGATGGTCCAGGGAGAGCATGTAGATTGAGATGAGAAGAAGAAAGAAAACAGAATCCTGGGTGTGGGAAAGAAAGCTTGCCTGGATTCTTGGTGCCCCTATAAAAGGCCCTACTTGGCGGGCACGATGGCTCACTCCTGTAATCCCAGCACTTTGGGAGGCTGAGGCTGGTGGATCACCTGAGGTCAGGAGTTGAAGACCAGCCTGACCAACATGGAGAAACCCCGTCTCTACTAAAAATGCAAAATTAGCCGGGCGTGGTGGCGCATGCCTGTAATCCCAGCTACTTGGGAGGCTGAGGCGGGAGAATTGCTTGAACCTGGGAGGCAGAGGTTGCAGTGAGCCAAGATCGCGCCATTGCACTCTAGCCTGGGCAACAAGAGTGAAACTCTGTCTCAAAAATAAAAAAAATAAAAAAAAAAGCCCTAGCCACTTGGGCTACAGGAATATACACAATATAGAGAATGTTTGTTTTTGCTTCCCCTAGACACATTTCACTTTTCACATACCATGAGGATGATATCTGTAGTAGCCATTTGTCTAGCTAATTGCCCTGCTCTAAAAAGAAAAAACTTTTCTCCCCAAGAGATCCAAATGCTTATAGCCAGGGCTAGGTCCCTAGGGGCCAGGACCACTGGATCACTATGTTCCTAGGTATTTGTGCTTCTAAAGGGATGAAACCCAGACCTTGGAGACATCACTAGGCTGTAAAAGCTGGAGACACAAATCTGGCCCTTGGAAAGATGTGTTTACATTATAAAAGGTTAAGGTAAGAACCAGGATCATTTCAATCCCATCTTCAAGGAGTGAAAGGTTTTTTGGAAGGGAGCAAGACAGCTGTCTCTCTTCTATGTATAAATGGAGAAAATCCACTGTTATTCATTCCTTTATGGGGTGAAACTTGTAATTCACCCAGAAAGTTTCCAACAGTTCTCATCGTATCACCTGTAGGTCTAGGTGTAGGGAACCTACATGACAATGTGACTTTGGCTGTTGCTCTGTTCGTGAGTATTAATAAAGAACTTTTGGCTGGGCGCAGTGGCTCATGCCTGTGATCCCGGCACTTTGGGAGGTTGAGGCGGGTGGATTGCTTGAGCTCAGGAGTTCAAGACCAGCCTGGGCAACATGGTGAGATGCTGTCTCTACTAAAATTCAAAAAATTAGCCAGGCATGGTGGCACACGCCTGTAGTCTCAGCTACTCAGGAGGCTGAGGTGGGAGAAACACTTGATCCTGGGAGGCAGAGGTTGCAGTGAGCTGAGATGTGCCACCACACTCCATCCTGGGTGACAGAATGAGACCTTGTCTCAAAAAAAAAAAAAAAGGGGGCTGGGCACTGTGGCTTACACCTGTAATCCCAGCACTTTGGGAGGCTGAGGCAGGCGGATCACAAGGTCAGGAGATCGAGACCATCCTGGCTAACATGGTGAAACCCTGTCTCTACTAAAAAATACAAAAAATTAGCCGAACGTGGTGGCTGGCGCCTGTAGTCTGAGCTACTCAGGAGGCCGAGGCAAGAGAATGGCGTGCACCTGGGAGGCGGAGCTTGCAGTGAGCTGAGATCATGCCACTGCACTCCAGCCTGAGCGACAGTGCGAGACTCTGTCTCAAAAACAAAAAACAAAACAAAACAAAAAACTCTTCTGATCCAGATGCCTCACATTTCTTTAGTATTCACACATACAAAGTACTTCGTTGTGTGAGTATCTCAGACCCTTCACAGTTCTTGACAAAACACTGGGGGACATTAACATCTAAGTGATGGAAAGAGGAAGAGGAGATCAAAAAGGAGACCAAATAGGAATGGTCAGAAGTACATATGGAATAGGCCAGGCGCGGTGGCTCATGCCTGTAATCCCACCAGCATTTTGGGAGGCCGAGGCAGGTGGATCACTTGAGGTCAGGAGTCCGAGACCAATCTGGCCAACATGGTGAAACCCCGTCTGTACTAAAAATACAAAAATTTGCCGGGCATGGTGGCTCATGACTGTAGTCCCAGCTACTTAGGAGGCTGAGGCAGGAGAATTGCTTGAACCTGGGAGGTGGAGGTTGCAGTGAGCCGAGATTGTGCCACTGCACTCCAGCCTGGACAACAGAGCATGACTCAGTCTCAAAAAAAAAAGTACATAGTACATACAGAATAACTAGGAAACTGAATTAATTCAAGGTGATGGAAGTCAATGAATAAGAGCTTTCAACGAGGAAGGAATGATCAGCAGTGTCAAATGCTTAGAGAGGTCCAGCAACATTAAGAGTGAAAAGTAGCTATTGACTTTGGCAGTTTGGAGGTCACTTTGCTAAAAGCAATTTCAGTGGAACCATTTTCCAGTACAGTAGGTAGGGGTATGAATGGATTTCAGGAAGTAGAGACTGCAAATCAGACTATTGCTATTTGGAGAAGCTTAAAGCTGAGAAGGAAAGGAATTGGCACCTGATTAAGATTCAGGATTAAGGGAGAGTTTTGTAATTTTTTTCTTGATGAGTGAGGCCCTAACGTGTTTAAGGCTGAGGAGCAGACACCACAGGTTGAAATCAGAGAATGGATAATTCATGGAGCAGTCTGCTGAAAGAGATGGAAAAAGATGGCATTTGGGACACAGGGGGATGGGTGGACCTTGAACAGGAAGATGGAATGGAGATAGGGATGGATGTAAATGCAGTGTTGCTTGTAGTCGTTCCACTGAGGCTGAAGACCCTGTATTTCTAGTGGCACTGATTTGTATTGTTTTGTAGGGTAGAAACATCCAGATGAAGAAGGGGAGAAGAGTGGTTAGCTGTACCCACCCAACGTTAGAGGTCTGTGGGGCTGGTGTGGTAGACAGGGATGAAAGGGAATTGAGGGTGCTGGTGACAGAGTAGTTCAGAGAGTCAAGCATGGGGTTAAGAAAGGTTGAGGCCAGGCATGGTGGCTCATGCCTATAATTCCAGCACTTTGGGAGGCCAAAGCAGGAGGATGACTTGAAGCCAGGAGTTCGAGACCAGCCTGGGCAACATAGTGAGACCCCATCTATAAAAACTTCTTTTTTTTAAATTAGCCAGGTGAGGTGGTGCATGCCTGTGAGAGGTGAAGCCAGCTGGACTTCCTGGGTTGAGTGGGGACTTGGAGAACTCTTCTATCTAGCTAAAGGATTGTAAATGCACCAATCAGCACTCTGTAAAAATGCACCAATCAGCGCTCTGTGTCTAGCTAAAGGATTGTAAATGCACCAACCAGCACTCTGTAAAATGGACCAATCAGCAGGATGTGGGTGGGGACAAATAAGGGAATAAAAGCTGGCCACACCCAGCCAGCAGCAGCAACCCGCTCAGGTCCCCTTCCATACTGTAGAAGCTTTGATCTTTTGCTCTTCACAATACATCTTGCTGCTGCTCACTCTTTAGGTCCGCACCACCTTTAAGAGCTGTAACACTCACCGTGAAGGTCCACGGCTTCATTCTTGAAGTCAGCGAGACCAAGAACCCACCAGAAGGAACGAATTCCGGACATACCTGTAGTTCTAGCTACCCGGGAAGCTGAAGTGGGAGGATTGCTTGAGCCCAGGAGTTCAAGGCTGCAGTGAGCTAGGATTGTGCCTTTGCACTCTAGCCTGGGTGGTAGAGTGAGATCCCTGTCTCAGAAAAGCAAACAAACAAACAAACAAACAAAACAAAAACCATTGAGAGGGGAAGGAAAAGAGGCCAGGAGGGACTGACAGACTGGGAGAAAAAAGAGGGCTTAAAGGACTAGAGGAGTCCATAAGAGGTTAAAAAACTAAACCAAAAAAAAAAAAAAAAAAAAACCCTCACATGTAGGCGGGGGCCTGAGGGAGCAGAAAGGAGAGGGCGCTGTGGTTCATATGAAACACTGGGGTTATAGATGTTAGAGGTGAGCAGTTCCAGACCACAATAAACTTCAAGATCTGGTGCTTTGTGTGTGGCTGAAGTGCAACAGAGAAGGTAATTGAGAGAGTCAAGGAAATGAGAAGTTGCTGATTGTGTCATCTTCATAGACAATGAGATCCCCTCGTAAAAGAGTCAGGAATTAAGAGTCGGGAGGGAGATGATGGGCCACATGCCAGTATCTTTACTTAAAAAGAGGAGAGTGAAGGATATGTAAGAATTTGCTAGGCAGACTGGGATGGAGGGGATGGCCATTCTAGCTAGAGGGAGGAGACTGGGAAAAGGCATGGTTGGAAGTGTGAAACAGCCTGATCTTTTTAGGGAACTAAAACCAGTATCAGTGACGCTAAGTGTGAGTACAGGAATGTGGCAGCAGATGAGACTGGATTAGTAGGCAGAGCTGACATATGGAGGGCCTTGTGCACTAAACCAAATGATGCAGAGCCACTGAGGGGTTTTAAGCTGAGTATTGACTTAATTCTGGTTTGTATTTTAGATTTTCTAAGGTCAAGTGTGGAAAATTAGATTCAGGTAGGAATAGAGCCCCAGAGACCAGTTACAGGGCTGTTGCAATTGCCCAAGCCAGGATGAGGGGCGTGGCACTGGCAGTGGAGTTGGAGGATGAATTCCAGAGCTATTTTGATATCCCACATGTGTTCTTGCAGCTCTACACCCTTTCACCTATTTTCAGCATGCAATGTGAGGCCTGGTAGGTTTTTCCGTTCAGTTTATGCTCTTTAATGTCCCAGCTCTTCACCCCAGAGGCAGCCTTCAGACCTTTGAGGATGGGGTCCTTATCACTAATATCTCTGCTATGCCCACTCCATAGGGCAGGGGATGAAATTATCCAAAGCTTTTTGGTCTCAGCTAATTTACTTTTCTTTACTTGCTTTTGTTTCTCTCTACCAAATCCTTCAGTTAATCTGAGGCAAGAATTTCATACCTTGAACATTATGGAATCAGGTTATTTCTTTTTCAGTGCTCTGTTGCCTAGAGGTTCGTATGTGACAAATTGAAAGGGCTAATACTATATATGAAAGTTACACTCAGTATATGAAACCGACAGACCCTCTCCCCCATCCCCCACTTAGCACTCTCCCCACTTTTTCAGGGTTACTCATTGCTGTTTGTAGTAGGCAAAATTCTAAGATGATCCCCAATATTCCCTCATCCCGGTGTATACATACTTTCTCCCTGTTACTTAGTCAAACATGAATCTAGAAACTGCTGTGAAGGGATTGTGCAGATGTAATTAAGTCAGCTGATTTTAAGAAATAAAGATTATCTTGGGTAAGCCTGACCTAATCAAGTGAACTCTTAAAAAGGACTGGGCTCTTCAGTCACAAAAAGACAAATACTGTATAATTCCACCTATAGGATGTATCTAAAGTAGTGAAATCCATAGAAACGGAAAGTAGAAGGGTTGTCAACAGGGGTTGGGGGAGGGAGGGAGTTTTTTTAAAATTTATTTTTATTAATTATTATTATTATTTTTGAGACAGAGTCTCACTCCGTCATCCAGGCGGAAGTGCAACGGTGCAATCTCAGCTCACTGCAGCCTCGAATTCTGAGGCTCAGGTGATCCTCCCACCTTAGCCTCCCGAGTAGCTGGAACTATAGGTTCGGGCCACAATGCTCAGCTGATTTTTTGCTTTTTTTTTTTTTTTTGTAGAGTTGGGATTTCTTCATGTTGCCCAGACTGGTCTCAAACTCCTGGGCTCAAGCAATCTGCCAGCCTCGGCCTCCGAAAGTCCTGGGATTAGAGGCATTAGCCACCGTGCCCAGCCTGAGCTGTTTTTGAATGGATAGAGATTCAGTTTTGTAAGATGAAAAAGTTCTGGAGATCCATTGCACAACAATGTGAATCTACTTAACACTACTGAACTGCACACTTAAAAAGGGTTAAGATGGGCCACGTGCAGCGGCTCACGCCTGTAATGCCAATACTTTGGGAGATTGAGGTAGGAGGATCACTTGAGCCCAAGAGTTCAAGGCTACAGTGAGCTGTCATCACGCCACTGCATTCTAGCCTGGGGGACAGAGTGAGACCCCGTCTTAAAAAAAAAAAAAAAAAAAAGTTACGGTGGTAAATTTTATGTTGTGGGATTTTTTGTTGCTGTTGTTGTTGTTGTTGTTTTGAGATGCAGTCTCTCTCTGTCGCCCAGGCTGGAGTGCAGTGGCGCGATCTTGGCTCACTGCAACCTCCACCTCCTGGGCTCAAGTGATTCTCTTGCCTCAGCCTCCCCAGTAGCTGAGACTACAGGCTCCTGCCACCACTCCCAGCTCATTTTTTCTTAATTTCTTTTTTTTTAATTTTTATTTTTAGCAGAGACGTGGTTTCACTATGTTGACCAGGCTGGTCTCAAACTACTGGGCTCAAGCAATCTGCCCGCCTCGGCCTCCCAAAGTGCTGGGATTTACAGGCTGTTGGGTGTTTTTTAACCACAATTTTAAAAGGGCGGGAGGGAACTGGGCTATTTCTTGTGAGATTCAAAGCGTGACAGGAATTTGACACAAGGGAGATTCTCCATTGCTGACTTCGAAGAGGGAGGAGGCCACATCACCAGAATGTGGGGAGTAGAAGGTGGTTACCAGAGGCTGGGAAGGGTAGTGGAGGGGGGAGGAAAGGTGGGATGGTTAATGGATAGAAAAATATAGTTGGATAGAATGAATAAGTTCTAGTATTTTATAGTACAATAGGGCGACTATAGTCAATAATTTATTGTACATTTAAAAATAGCTAAAAGAATATAATCGGATTGTTTGTAACACAAAGGATAAATGCTTGAGGTGACAAATACCCCATTCACCCTGATGTGATTATTATGCATTGTATGCCTGTATCAAAATATTTCATGTACCCCATAATATATACACCTACTATGGTACCCACAAAAATTAAAATTAAAAATTAAAAAACAAAACAAGACAAGGAATATGTGTGGCTTCTAACAGTTGAGAGCACCCACCACCCCAACTGCCAGCAAGAATATGGGAACTTCAGTCCTACAGCCACAAGGAACTAAATTCTGCCACAACTACATGAGTCTGGAAGAAGACCTTTAGCCTCATATGAGTTTGAAGCCTGGCCAACACCTTGACCCTGAGCAGAGGACCCAGTTAACCTGTGCCTGGATTCTTGATCCATGGAAAGTGTAAGAAAATAAATGTGTGTGTATGTGTAGGGGGGTTTATTGTTTTTTAAATGAATTTTTATTTAGAGATAAAGTATTGCTACATTGCCCAGGCTGGAGTGCAGTGGCTGTTCACAGGTGTAATCATATCGCATTACAGCTCCAAACTCCTGGGCTCAAGCAATCCTCCTTCCTGACGCTCCCAAGTACCTGGTACCACAAGTGCACACTACTGTACCCTTAAATAAAAATTAAAAAATTAAGACTGGGCACAGTAGTCCCAGCACCTTGGGAGGCTGAGGCAGGCAGATTGCTTGAGCCCAGAGTTCCAGACCAACCTGGGCAACATGGTGAAACTCCCATCTCCACTTAAAAAATGTATATATATAGACTATATCTAGAAACAGATACATAAATTCTTATACAATTAATTCCCAGAAGTGTATAAGAAATCACTTTGTTTGTTTTTGAGACGGAGTCTTGCTCTATTGCCCAGGCTGGAGTGCGGTGGCATGAACTTGGCTCACTGCAGCCTCTGCCTTCTGGGCTCAAGCCTCTCCCGCCTCAGCCTCCCAAGTAGCTGGGATTACAGGCGAGTGCCACCATGCCCAGCTAATTTTTTTTGTATTTTAGTAGAGACGGGGTTTCACCATGTTGCCCAGGGTGGTTTCCAACTCCTGAGGCTCAGGCAATCTGCCCACCTCAGCCTCCCAAAGTGTTGGGATTACAGGCGTGAGCCACCATGCCAGGCCAAGAAATCACTTTGTTTACAAACCAAAACATGTTGAAATCAATGGAATTGGGATAATTCTGTGGGATTCTAAATACAAATGGTACACACCTGATTTGAAACAGAGAAAAGGTGTTAATTACAGAAGTCTGATTGCAAGTGTTAATTTCATAACACTTCAACATGACTATAAAATTTCTTTAATCCAATGTATACTTATTACAAAATTCTTTTCTTTTCTTTCTTTTTTTTTTTTTTTTTTTTTGAGACGGAGTCTGGCTCTGTCACCTGGGCTGGAGTGCAGTGGCGCAATCTCGGCTCATTGCAACCTTCGCCTCCCGGGTTCAAACAATTCTCCTGCCTCAGCCTCCCGAGTAGGTGGAACTACAGGCGCGTGCCACCATGCCCGGATAATTTTTTGTATTTTTAGTAGAGATGGGATTTCACCATGTTGGTCAGGCTGGTCTCGAACTCCTGACCTCGTGATCTGCCCGCCTCAGCCTCCCAAAATGCTGGGATTACAGATGTGAGCCACTGAGCCACTGAACCCAGCTACTTATTATAAAATTCTATAAGAATTTTTCATTACCCTGGCCGGGCGCGGTGGCTCATGCCTGTAATCCCAGCACTTTGGGAGGCCGAGGCAGACGGATCACGAGGTCAGGAGATCGAGACCATCCTGGCTAGCACGGTGAAATCCCGTCTCTACTAAAAATACAAAAAATCAGCCAGGCGTGGTGGCGGGTGCCTGTGGTCCCAGCTGCTCGGGAGGCTGAGGAAGGAGAATGGCGTGAATCCGGGAGGCGGAGGTTACAGTGAGCCGGTGATCAAGCCACTGCACTCTAGCCTGGGCGACAGAGCGAGACTCCGTCTCAAAAAAAAAAAAAAAGTAATAATAATTTTTCATTACTCCTAAATGTAGAGTTTGGAACACTCTCTTCAGAAACAGTGACTACATATTTTGCCATGTTATAATTGATTAATAAAAAGGATGTTTATCCTGGCTAACATGGTGAAACCCCGTCTCTACTAAAAATACAAAAAATCAGCCAGGCGTGGTGGCGGGCGCCTGTAGTCCCAGCTACTCGGGAGGCTGAGGCAGGAGAATGGCATGAACCCGGGAGGCAGAGCTTGCAGTGAGCCGAGATCGCGCCACTGCACTCCAGCCTGGGAGACAGAGCGAGACTCCATCTCAAAAAAATAAAAATAAAAAAAATAAAAACAAATAAAAAGGATGTTTATAAAAAGGTTAAAGAGTATTATAAAAAACTAAATTTGTGATTGCTAGTGTACCAATACTTTATTTTAGAAATTTATTTATGGAACTGGCAATTGTTCCTTGTTTTATTTATTGTTTGTTTGTTTGTTTGTTTTTGAGCCAGAGTCTAGCTCTGTCACCCAGGCCGGAGTGCAGTGGCTCGATCTAGGCTCACTACAGCCTCTACCTCCTGCGCTCAAGCGATTTTCCTGCCTCAGCCTCCAGAGTAGCTGGGATTACAGGTGCCCACCACCATGCCTGGCTAATTTTTTTGTTGTTGTATTTTTAGTGGAGATGGGGTTTCGCCATGTTGGTCAGGCTGGTCTTGCACTCCTGACCTTAAGTGATCCGCCCACCTCGGCCTCCCAAAGTGTTGGGATTACAGGTGTGAGCCACCGCCCCTGGCCTGAAGGCATTTTATTTTATTTATTTATTTATTTATTTATTTATTTATTGAGATGGAGTCTCGCTCTGTTGCCCAGGCTGGAGTGCAGTGGTGTGATCTCGGCTCACTGCAAGCTCTGCTTCCTGGGTTCACGCCATTATCCTGCCTCAGCCTCCCGAGTAGCTGGAACTACAGGTGCCCGCCACCATGCCCGGCTAATTTTTTGTAACTGAAGGCATTTTAAAGAAAATATTGAGATGTAGCATTAACAGAGAGATTGCTCATAACCCATTTAAGATTTTAGTAACTGGCCGGGCACGGTGGCTCACGCCTGTAATACCAGCACTTTGGGAGGCCGAGGCAGGCTGATCACTAGGTCAGGAGTTCAAGACCAGCCTGGCCAACATGGTGAAACCCCCGTCTCTACTAAAAATACAAAAATTACCTGGGTGTGGGGGTGGGCACCTGTAATCCCAGCTACTCGGGAGGCTGGGGAGGCAGGAGAATTGCCTGAACCTGAGAGGCAGAGGCTGCAGTGAGCTGAGATTGTGCCACTGCACTCCAGCCTGGGCGACAGAGTGAGACTCAGTCTCAAAACAAAAAAAAAAAAAGATTTTAGTAACTTTTATCCTGTTTTAATAATACTGACTCAGAAACTATAATGTGTACTTTATAATTTACTTCCTAGATGACACTTGATTTTCTTCAAGAGCAAGATAGCTGCCCTGTGCAGTTGGTCTCCTTGAAAACTATTTTAGTTCTATCATAATTTCCTGTGATAAATATTTTGACCTTCTAAAATTTCAGAATATTGCACCAAGTAGAAAGAAAATAGGTTTTTTCTCTTTTCTTCTTCTTCCTTTTTTTTTTCTGAGAAAGAGGGAATGAGAACTTTAGTGTTCTTTCAATAGCGTTCTTATTTGTAGAAATGCATAATAGTGTCCTAGTAAGGCTTGACAATAACTCTGGTCTTCATCATATTTTGTGATAAAACTTTTGATTTAAAAAAACCTCTGATCTATTTATCATGGCAAATGGATAGAGCTTTCCTGCCTGTTTTCTTTCTTTTCTTTTTTCTTTCTTTCCTTTTTTTTCCTTTGAGCTTAGATTTTTAGAAGCACATATTTAAAAATCAGGTATAAGACTGGATGCAGTGGCTCACGCCTGTAATCCCAGCACTTTGGGAGGCCGAGGCAGGCTGATCACTAGGTCAGGAGTTCAAGACCAGCCTGGCCAACATGGTGAAACCCCCGTCTCTACTAAAAATACAAAAATTACCTGGGTGTGGGGGTGGGCACCTGTAATCCCAGCTACTCGGGAGGCTGGGGAGGCAGGAGAATTGCCTGAACCTGAGAGGCAGAGGCTGCAGTGAGCTGAGATTGTGCCACTGCACTCCAGCCTGGGCGACAGAGTGAGACTCAGTCTCAAAACAAAAAAAAAAAAAGATTTTAGTAACTTTTATCCTGTTTTAATAATACTGACTCAGAAACTATAATGTGTACTTTATAATTTACTTCCTAGATGACACTTGATTTTCTTCAAGAGCAAGATAGCTGCCCTGTGCAGTTGGTCTCCTTGAAAACTATTTTAGTTCTATCATAATTTCCTGTGATAAATATTTTGACCTTCTAAAATTTCAGAATATTGCACCAAGTAGAAAGAAAATAGGTTTTTTCTCTTTTCTTCTTCTTCCTTTTTTTTTTCTGAGAAAGAGGGAATGAGAACTTTAGTGTTCTTTCAATAGCGTTCTTATTTGTAGAAATGCATAATAGTGTCCTAGTAAGGCTTGACAATAACTCTGGTCTTCATCATATTTTGTGATAAAACTTTTGATTTAAAAAAACCTCTGATCTATTTATCATGGCAAATGGATAGAGCTTTCCTGCCTGTTTTCTTTCTTTTCTTTTTTCTTTCTTTCCTTTTTTTTCCTTTGAGCTTAGATTTTTAGAAGCACATATTTAAAAATCAGGTATAAGACTGGATGCAGTGGCTCACGCCTGTAATCCCAGCACTTTGGGAGGCCGAGGCAGGCTGATCACTAGGTCAGGAGTTCAAGACCAGCCTGGCCAACATGGTGAAACCCCCGTCTCTACTAAAAATACAAAAATTACCTGGGTGTGGGGGTGGGCACCTGTAATCCCAGCTACTCGGGAGGCTGGGGAGGCAGGAGAATTGCCTGAACCTGAGAGGCAGAGGCTGCAGTGAGCTGAGATTGTGCCACTGCACTCCAGCCTGGGCGACAGAGTGAGACTCAGTCTCAAAACAAAAAAAAAAAAAGATTTTAGTAACTTTTATCCTGTTTTAATAATACTGACTCAGAAACTATAATGTGTACTTTATAATTTACTTCCTAGATGACACTTGATTTTCTTCAAGAGCAAGATAGCTGCCCTGTGCAGTTGGTCTCCTTGAAAACTATTTTAGTTCTATCATAATTTCCTGTGATAAATATTTTGACCTTCTAAAATTTCAGAATATTGCACCAAGTAGAAAGAAAATAGGTTTTTTCTCTTTTCTTCTTCTTCCTTTTTTTTTTCTGAGAAAGAGGGAATGAGAACTTTAGTGTTCTTTCAATAGCGTTCTTATTTGTAGAAATGCATAATAGTGTCCTAGTAAGGCTTGACAATAACTCTGGTCTTCATCATATTTTGTGATAAAACTTTTGATTTAAAAAAACCTCTGATCTATTTATCATGGCAAATGGATAGAGCTTTCCTGCCTGTTTTCTTTCTTTTCTTTTTTCTTTCTTTCCTTTTTTTTCCTTTGAGCTTAGATTTTTAGAAGCACATATTTAAAAATCAGGTATAAGACTGGATGCAGTGGCTCACGCCTGTAATCCCAGCACTTTGGGAGGCCGAGGCAAGGAGATCACCTGAGCTCAGGAGTTCAAGACCAGCCTGGGCAACATAGCGAAACACTGTCTCTACAAAAAATACAAAAATTAGCTGCGCATGGTGATGTGCGCCTGTAGTCCCCACCACTCAGGAGGCTGAGGCAGGAGAATCGCTTGAGCCCGGGAGGCAGAGGTTCCAGTGAGCCGAGATCGTACCACTGCGCTCCAGCCTGGAGACAGAGCAAGACTCCCTCTCAAAAAAAAAAAAAAAAAAAAAAAAAAAATCCGTTATAGGTTGTGTCCATATGTCATCTCAGCTACCATCCAAAACTATGATCAAAATGTATTTAGACCAAACTACAGAATGAAGTTTTATTTCTCCTTTTCCTTTCCATTTTTAACCAGACTGTTTTAGTATCATATAAAGTTAATCTTTCACATAATGTTGTGCTACCTATGTCAAATGACTATCTTGCCATACAAAAGCAGAAAATATTGCAATACTCCTTTCTTTCTGTTTGTAAATTCAGTTAATTTCTTGGCAAACACTTTTATTTTCATCAATATGCTATCAGAATTTAACAATTTCAAATTGTATTATGACAGGGTATATTTCTTTAAATATATTATGGCTATACAAAGCACATCAAATATTTACTTTATGACAGAGAACAGTATTTACATTTGTTCTCCAAAACAACATAAAATACAACTTTAAAAACATTTAGATGAAAATTTGAGTAATGTTGACACTAAACAGCCAGATCTTAAACACATAGTATCATAAGGAAAACTCAGGGGACAAGTTATGTTCACATGATACAATGGGATTCAGGACAATTCAAAGATCTCTGTGCACCATGATTTCACAAATAGTACAAGTAAGTGCTTCTCGAAACATGAAGAAGCCATTTCAACATTTACTATTAACATACAGTGGCTCTCTGACAATACCTGCCATCCTAATATAGATGCACAGGAACTTTTAACTCACCCTAGATACATTTTAAATTGTTTACATATAAACAGTTTTGCCAAAAAAGTAGTTTAAATGTCTGCATCAATTTGAGAACAAGTTCACAACTGTAATAGTTCTTTTTTTTTTTTTTTTTTTTTTTAGAGATTCTTGCTCTGTCACCCAGGCCGGAGTGCAGTGGCACAAACACGGCTCAGTGTAGCCTCGACCTCCCAGGCTCAAGTGATCCTCCCACCTCAGCCTCCCGAGTAGCTGGGACTACCAGAGCATGCCACCACACCCAGCTGATTTTTGTATTTTTAATTTTTTTTTGTAGAGACAGGGTTTTGCCATGTTGCCCAGGCTGGTCTTGAACTCTTGAGCTCAGGCAATCTGCCCATCTTGGCCTCCCAAAGTGCTGGGATGACAGATGTGAGCCACCTCACCCAGTCTGTAATAGTTCTTATAGTGTTATAGTGAACACATATTACAACACACTCCATATTGTGTCATATTAGGTGAAAATATATCAGAAAATGAATCTTCATTAACAAGGTACAACCAATGTTTATGCAAAATTAAGTACCTTTTCCCCTTTAAGTCAAAATAGCATAATACCATGATATTATGGCTTTGTGTCTTTTCTGATAATATCTCAGTCTGATCTCAAAAAACAGAGAAAAAGCTGGGTGTGGTGGTGCACACATGTAGTCCCAGCTACTTGGGAGGCTGAGGTGGGAGGGTGGCAGAGCAAGATCCTGTTTCTAAAAAAAAAAAAAATGGCTGGGTGTGGTGGCTCACGCCTGTAATCCCAGCACTTTGGGAGGCCAAGGAGGGCGGATCACGAGGTCAGGAATTCAAGACCAGCCTGGCCAACATGGTGAAACCCCATCTCTACTAAAAATACAAAAATCAGCCAGGTGCAGTGGCGGTTGCCTGTAATCCCAACTACTCCGGAGGCTGAGGCAGGTGAATCACTTGAACCCGGGAGGCAGAGTTTGCAGTGAGCTGAGATCGCACCACTGCACTCTAGCCTAGGTGACAGAGTGAGACTCTGTCTCAAAAAAAAAAAAAAAGGAAAATTAATAAGTGGGGATACAGATATGTTTGAATGACAAAGCCATTAAGTTTGACTTAAGACCTTTACCTCTGTGTTTATTTATTTATTTATTTATTTTTGAGACAGAGTTTCACTCTTGTGGCCCAGGCTGGAGTGCAGTGGTGTGATCTTGGCTCACTGCAACCTCCACCTCCCAGGTTCAAGCAATTCTCCTGCCTCAGCCTCCAGAGTAGCTGGGATTACAGGCACCCGCCACCACACCCGGCTAATTTTTATATTTTTAGTAAAGAGGGGGTTTCACCATGTTGGCCAGGCTGATCTGGAAACCCTGACCTCAGGTGACCCGCCTGCCTCGGCCTCCCAAAGTGCTGGGATTACAGGCGTGAGCCACCACCCCTGGCCCTGCCTCTGTGTTTAAATGAGGGTAGAGATAGGAAAACTGTAAAAGACAAAGGAAGAAACACCTTGAATTACATGTTTTTTGTGAGATGAAAACATTTTCCTTTAAAGCTGTGTAACTGGAAACATCTTCTAAACAAGGCAATACAAAAACACTACATTACAGCATTGTGCAATGAATACACATGCTGCATTTCACAATAACTGAAAACTATTGGGGATAACCACCTCCAATTACTACTGATTCAGAGAATAAAAAGATTAATGGTTCCAAATTACTTGAGACTTAGGTAAAATAAAAATAAACAAACAAAAAACTATTTTTTTTTTTTGAGACAGGGTCTTGCTTGGTCGCCCAGGCTGGAATGCAGTCGTGTGATCTTGGCTCACTGCAACCTCCACCTCCCTGGGCTCAGGTGATTCTCCCATTTCAGCCTCCTGAGTAGCTGGGCCCACAGGCAAGCACCACCACACCCAGCTAATTTTTTTGTATTTTTTTTTTTTTTTGTAGAGATGGGGTTTCACCATGTTGTCCAGGCTGATGTCAAACTCCTAGGCTCAAGCGATCCTCCCACTTTGGCCTCCCAAAGTGCTAGGATTACAGGTGTGAGCCACTGTGCTTCCCCACAAAATAACTATTTTTTAAATGGCAGTATATATGGTATGCAACAAGACTCCCATAAATCTGGCAGAGTCTTTTTTTGTGCAAAGTAGGGAGGGCAGGGGTCAAATGTAGCATATTTAATAGTGACTACATTAAAGAAAAATATAAATCCATCTTCAATGCTTTTTCTTTTTTAAACAATGTTTTCTTTTTATTCAAATCAATTCAAACTTTATAAAAATTTTAATGTTGCAAGATAATACAATCACTTACAAAAACCAATTGTACAATCAAGTTCTAACCAAGATAATGTTTACTAATCTAACAAGATCAAGATAAAACATTTACCAAAGGAAAATATAGATAACACAAAAAATACTATCATAGAAATCTAAGATCATCTAATACTTTAAAAAATAATAGTTCTAGTTGTCTTTATATGTTATGACAATTTATAGCAGAGTTTAATAACAGAAAAAGCAACAATGTCTATATTGGTGGGATAAATTTAAGATTTTTATGTGCAAGGCCACTTAAAAAGAGGACAAACCACAGATGAAAATGAAGGCAACAGAAAAATTCAACTTTTCACAACCAAAAAATTAGTGCAACCTTAAAATAATTTGGAAAACGATGTTCTAAAAGATATGTTGCAGATCTGTGTTCTATTGTCTAAGATTATATCAATGCATAATTCTAAATCTTTCTAAAGTGTAAGATTAAAAATATGTAATCTAATGTACAAGGTATATGTAAATTCTGTGTTTTATCACATACGTATGTCTCTTCAACACTAGCTTTTGAAAATGGGCCATTTGAAGAGACAACAATTTTTAGGCCAGTAATTACAGGCATCCATCATGCCTGTAATCTCCAGCATTTTGAGAGGCCAAGGCAGGAGGATCACGTAAGGCCAGGAGTTCAAGACCAGCCTGGGCAACATAGTGAAACCCAGTCTCTTAAAAAAAAAAAAAAAAAAATTAGCTGGGTGTGGTGGCTCGTGGTGGGAGGATCACTTGAGTCCAGGATCCTCCCACTGCGATCCTCCTACCACACACCACCATGCCCTGTGATCATGCTACTGCACTCCAGCCTGGGTGACAGGGTGAGACCCTGTCTCAAAAATAAAGACAACAATTTTCATTTGAAAAATTTCATTCAGGCAGGGTGAGGTGGCTCACACCTGTAATCCCAGCACTTTGGGAGGCTGAGGCAGGCAGATCACCTGAGGTTAGGACTTTGAGACCAGCTTGGCCAACATAGCGAAACCCCGTCTCTACTAAAAATACAAAAATTAGCTGGGTGTGGTGGCACGTGCCTGTAATCCCAGCTACTCGGGAGTCTGAGGCAGGAGAATTGCTTGAACCTGAGAGGCGGAGGTTGCAGCAAGGTGAGATCGTGCCACTGCACTCCAACCTGGGCAACAGGAGCCAAACTCCGTCTCAAAAAAAAAAAAAAAAAAGAAAAGAAAAATTTCATTCAACTTTACTTTACTTGGGATTGAATACATATGAAATGTGCTTTCAATACATAAAAATCATAGTGGACAGCAGCAAAGGAGTGGGAGTAGCAGTGGAGGAGGAGTTGCGGCAGATTAAGGAGAATCTGAGAATTCCTATTGTAATTATTTTGGAAATTGATAAAGATAATTCACACTTCTAAGAACTCAAGACTTTACTTTTTAAAGGACCAAAATAAACTCAAGACACCTTGCCAACACTTCCCCACCTCTCAACAAATTGATTACTCTTTTACACATAAAACTGAAACAGTTATGGCATCAAAATTGATAGCAACGAAAGTTTGTAAAACTGTATTTCAGTCTCTTTTTCTTGATTCCAAAGTGCAAGATGCAGGGTTTTCATAATCCTTTAGCAATGCTTCTCCTGTAAATAAGCCTTCATTTTGTTTGGCAAAGGCAGTTTTTGAAATAAGTCTATTCTGGTATGCTGACATAAAACAAATGTCATGGGTGCTGCAAAGAACAAAACTGTATGAATTGTAGTATTGGATTGGTCAGTCTTACAGGGTAAATTGCAGATCCAGGTAACCGAGACCTTCAATAAGAAAAAACTCTATTTTCCAGAGTCCCTGGTTGAATGTTCAATTAGATCAACTAATTGTCCTTTCACATCTGGTTGCTCATAAAAGCAAAACCTACCATTCGAGTGTTCAATTCTAGTGTGAAGTGTTTTACCATGGGAGCAAAAGCTTGAGCTTGAAAGATAACAGTCATTATGGCTATCTGGGACAAGAAAAAAACCATCTAGCACATTTGCTCACTTTTCTTCTGCCTGTCAGTGTATGATTGCCCCCAGCACCATTATTATTTTGCAGGTTTTTTCAGCTCCTCTGTAAGGCTTGTCACAACCATAGTGTCACTACTTTGGACAGAATCATCAACTCTTGCAACCCCAGGAGGACAGTCAGGATTAGAATTCAAATGACAGTGGGTACTTTCAGACACACACATAGACAACTGCACCTGTGAGTCCACAGAAGTTCCTTTAGATTCTGTATTGGAGGTAGTAATGATGAAAGTGTCTTCAGGAATGTCTTCATGGCTTGCTCTTGGGCTCTGCATTGTAACTCCTTACAGGTACCAATGAACAAGCCATTCAGAGATGGATCCACAAAGATCTCTGGAGCAACGACCAGGTCCTGCTCTACCCGATTCTCAGCTTTGGGGATAGAATTCCCAGAAACATCTGTGTCCGGAGTTGGTTCCTTCCAGTGGGTTCTTGGTCTTGCTGACTTCAAGAATGAAGCCGTGGACCTTCGCGGTGAGTGTTACAGCTCTTTAAAGGTAGCACAGACCCAAAGAGTGAGCGGCAGCAAGATTTATTGTGAAGAGCAAAAGAACAAAGCTTCCATAGCGTGAAAGGGTACCCAAGCAGGTTGCCAGTGGGGCTGGGGGCGGCCAGCATTTATTCCTTTATTTGTCCCCGCCCACATCCTGCTGATTGGTCCATTTTACAGAGTGCTGATTGGTCCATTTTACAGAGTGCTCTTTGGTGTTTTTACAATTCTTTAGCTAGACACAGAGCGCTAATTGGTGCATTTTACAGAGTGCTGATTGGTGCATTTACAATCCTTTAGCTAGAAACAGAGCGCTGATTGGTGCGTTTTGTTTTTGTTTTTTTTTTTGAGACAGAGTCTCGCTCTGTCGCCCAGGCTGGAGTGCAGTGGTGCAATCTCAGCTCACTGCAACCTCCGCCTCCTGGGTTCATGCCATTCTCATGCCTCAGCCTCCCAAGTAGCTGGGACTACAGGTGCCCGCCACCACGCCTGACTAATTTTTTGTATTTTTAGTAGAGACGGGGTTTCACCATGTTAGCCAGGATGGTCTCCATCTCCTGACCTCATGATCTGCCTGCTTCAGCCTCCCAAAGTGCTGGGATTACAGGTGTGAGCCACTGCACCTGGCTGGTGCATTTTTACAGAGTGCTGATTGGTGCATTTACAATCCTTTAGCTAAACACAGAGTGCTGATTGGTGCGTTTTACAATCTTCTTGTAAGACACAAAAGTTCTCCAAGTCCCCACCCAACCCAGAAGTCCAGCTGGCTTCACCACTCACTTCCATGGGAGAACTGTCCAGACAATAGCATGACACCCTTGCAAAGGATAAAGCCTCTCATCTAAAGGCATAGAATACTGAATATAGTCTTGAGGCATAAGTCCAATAAGTACAGGCACATGTTCCTTGAAGTGAAGATGCAAGTCTCCATTCTGAAATTTTGAACTCTTTACTTTGTTCTTTGTATGCAGCTTCAGGCTGAAGATAGTGAAAATCCGTGCCAGACTTGGATTGGAAGAATGAACCAAGGCTTTGAGTCTCTTCGTCTCATCTCCGTTTTGATACGTGTCTCCTTAGTTTGTAAGCCAAGGAGAGGACTACAGTGAGGATTGTGGAGGGAAGTGGACCTTATTGGTCTTTGAGCTCTCACATCTTTAAAGACTGTTGGTGCTGAGAGAAAAAGTATCCTCATCTGGCAGAACTCCCATAGGGTGTGCTCCCCTTGCTGTTCTGCTTTTGTTTTGCAGAAAGCTGCCTTTTTCAATGTACTCATTAGGCTTTCATTGTTTTTTCCTTTTTTACCTTTTTCATCTTTCACTGTTGATATCACAGGTGGCCATATCTTTACCAGTGCAGCTACCAAATAAGAAATCATCTTTTCCACATTCACTAGTTAGTGATGGTTGTTGTACTACCATGAAATCAGTTTCTTCTTTACTTTTATTCAGGTTACAAGATTTCTGGAAGGTTTTAAGATCAATTTTAATTAGTCTTTGTGACTGGTTACTTCATCCAGGGGACCAATTTCTCTCTGGAATATTAGTCCCGCACCCCTGGAGAGCCTGTGCGGCTGCATCTCCCTCCGGAGGTGGTTCTGGAGTTGGTTCCTTTTGGTGGGTTCCTGGTCTCGCTGACTTCAAGAATGAAGCCACGGACCTTCACGGTGAGTGTTACAGCTCTTAAAGGTGGCACGGACTCAAAGAGTGAGCAGCAGCAAGATTCATTGTGAAGACGGAAAGAACACAGCTTCCACGGTGTGGAAAGAGACCCGAGTGGGTTGCTACTACTGGCCTGGTGGGTGGGTGGGTGGGTGGGTGCGGAATGTGGCCAGCTTTTATTCCCTTATTTGTCCCCACCCATGTCCTGCTGATTGGTCCATTTTACAGAGTGCTGATTGGTCCATTTTACAAGGTGCTAATTGGTCCATTTTACAGAGCGCTGATTGGTCCATTTTACAGACTGCTGATTGGTCCATTTTACAAACCTCTAGCTAGCCACAGAGCACTGATTGGTGTGTTTTTACAGAGCACTGATTGGCGCATTTTACAAACCTCTAGCTAGCCACAGAGCGCTGATTGGTGCGTTTTACAATCCTAGCTACAGAGTGCTGATTGGTGCATTTTACAATCCTCTTGTAAGACAGAAAAGTTCTTTAAGTCCCCACCCAACCCAGGAAGTCCAGCTGGCTTCTCCTCTCACATCTATGTATTTCTTTGGCTTCATTTAACCTTTGGAGCCATTTTTTTTCAGCAGCAGTGCAACAGCAGCCACCAGCCCGGGTCTCATCCAGCGCTGGTGCTACTGCTGTGAAATGTGTGTTGTTCTGAGCAGCTGTATTTGTGATACTTTGTTACACAGCAGCAAAAAAAGTAATGCAACATCAGTGGTGTTACTGGGTGACAAAGTTTGGGATTGGGGTTGAAGACCCAGCTGATTTAATTATAATTGGTTCTAAATTTAAAATTGCACATAAAAAAAACCCAGAAATCAATGTGAACAACAATAAAAAACATACAAAAGCACTTCCTTCAATGTCTAGATCAAGGCTTCTTTCTCACCCCCTCCAACCTTACCTGTTTCCTCCCTAGATATTCATAGAGAGTAATATATTTTATCATCTAAATAGTCTTCTGTATTGCTCTCTAGTAGCTTTTTGTGTCTACCTAACTAGGCTTCAGATTCCTTGAGGGCGAGGATTTCTGTTCATTTTTGTGCCCCCCACAGTGCCTTGCACATAGAGACTCTAGTAAATGTTACTTATTGGCTGAAGAATTAGGAACATGACCTGCATTTAACAACAAAAAGAGTTTTTGTTAATTAGCTAGCACCCGCTCATCAGCAAGGCCTAAACATCTGCCAGTGGAATCTGAGAAGTCTCTTCTAAAAGTTGAAAAGCTGAGTTTACTCATTACAGATAGGGAACTTGTAGTAGGTGTGTGTGTGCGGGGGGGAGGTTTTACCAGTTAAATCAAATTACAAGAGGTTGGTGCTCAATTTTCAGGAGAGTTTGTGTAGTGATTTTTGTCTTTTTCACTGCATGATGTGACTCTTGATTATGGGATGGAAGAAATTAGCATTATGAATTTTCTCTGTGCCATTTCCATAATTAATTGTTTGTTGACTGTTTTGAAGAAATTTAAGCAGAATTTGAGGACTTAGTTTTAAAAAATGTAGTGAAGGGGCTAGGTAGCAAAAACTTTTTGAAGAAATTCATTGACCTGCTTTCTTAGATCAAGGACTTT
Source organism: Homo sapiens (assembly GCF_000001405.40). NCBI lineage: Eukaryota > Metazoa > Chordata > Mammalia > Primates > Hominidae > Homo > Homo sapiens. Next base: position 71,531,984 of record NC_000023.11, read on the forward strand.
TTGAAATAAAAAGGCTCTCAGAGATCCAACTTGTAGCCTCCAGTGGCTTGTAATACTTTCTTGCTGATGTGGCAAGCTACCTTAAGTCGTTTCTAGAACAAGAGGTGAAGTATAAATACCAATGTGACAAAATGTCTGAACAGTAGACTTGAAACTGCAGGAAGATCGTAAGAACCGATTTGTTCAAGGAAGTAGAGGCAATTCATGACTCAATCTAGACGTGTGGTTTAGGCAGATGGCAAGTGAATTCATTTATCATTGTTGATCTGCTTTGAGCTCAGTGGAATCGCCGACTGTGACAATGTGCAGAGCTAGCTGGTGGAAATGAAGTCACAACTCGAGGAGAGTCATGGATTTTGACGAACGTGAATCACCTTTAACATTTTTATGGCTGCCTTCGGAGTGCAAACGCCCAGCATGTCCCTGAGTTATTAAACATTTGCCCTATCACCGTGGGCAGGAGTATTCTGAATACCAAAACGATTTTGAAATTTCAGGCTATACGGCCAACATTGAAGGTGTCTGCATTCAACTGGCCCTGTGAAAGCTTCAGTCTTTTTCATCGAAGTGCTGAAATCGATGGCCGAGTCACAATGAAGACGGGCTCAAATCGGAACCCTCTCGCTCCTCGTTTTGAGCAGCTGTCTTTGAGAGGCAATCTTCTGAATTGACTGGCTCAGAATTGATCCGTGAGAGTCGTAACCATCCGTTTTTGTACGAATACAGTTGATAAACTTTTTTAGACGCCTTTGGCATTTATGTTTAAAACGACACCACCTGCTAAGTAACAAACACTCTTCTTAATCGCGGTGGCAAAAACGTATCCGTCCCGTGTGTGTTTGTTTTTACCCTTCCGCTACACTCTTAAGAAACTTGGCCGCTTCCGCCCCAGAGAGTGCCCTAACCACGAGTCGGGTTGACAGGGCTGCTCGCATGCGCGGTCTCCACCGTGGTGTTTGTCGCAATGGGCGCTGCGCGGAGGACTACATGGAATCTCGACTTTGCAGCTTGAAGTCATTTTGTTGGCGGCGCTGGTTACCGGCTACCTCCGCGCGGGCACTTGATTGTAACAGAAAGTAGTTCCGGCCCATGTTGTTTCGGCCGAGGAGCCGTCGCCGCCATTTCAAGACCGTACTAGGTAGATGGTCAATTAGAGTTCCCAGGGTTTGAAGCCTGTAACTGCTGCCGCCGCTCAAGCCCTCCAGAGCATTGCTACGGCTGCTGCCCTTGTACTACTACCTCCAAATACGTTCTTGCTGGTAGTGGCGGCAGCAGGACCAATTACCTCTTTTTTGCTCTCCCTCGAGAAGCTCCAGATGGCGTCTTCCGTGGGCAACGTGGCCGACAGCACAGGTACCGGTGTCCCGTTCTACCTTGGCAGATGCCCCCTTGGGGTCTCGCGCCGTCCTCTACCTTGTATCACTCCTTCCCTCCCTTCCCTCGAACCATCCCCATTACATCAGTGACATTGCTAAGCTTTTCGTGGTCTACTGGCATCTGATCACATCGGGTTTTCCGCTGTTGTCCGCTTCCCGAACATTTCCTCCTCCTCCCTTGCTTGCTTTTTGCTGCCTTTCTTGCTTTGTTTTTATTTCGTAAATGTTCTAGCATTCCACTCTCTCCAGGCGCTTTTATCACACGTGCGCGCTTAGAATGTCGTGGAATGGACTGCATTGGAATCCCTGCCCTTTCACTCCTTTGCAGCGGTTTTCTCCCCTAATTCCAGCTCATCGCCTCTCCTTTTTCCCCTCCATCTCCTCCTTCATCTCCCCCCCCAGTCTTTTCCCCTTAGCCAGATTTGGTCCTTCTCTGCCAATCTAGGGCGGGGGTGCCGTTCCGATGTAATCATATCCTCACTTTGCATCACCCGAGGACGATCAAAAGCTCGTCGATGGTGCCACAAGTCACCTCGAGAAGAGGGGACATTGAGCAGCACCCTGCTAGGCAGTGCCTTTCTGGTGTTCTTTCGGTTGAGCGGTCCCGGTTTAGATTGGAAATTTCCAGGGGTTTCCTTTGCCATCGCCCAATTCCACCGCTGCCCTCAGCCTGGATTTCCCACCCTGTCCGCGGGGAACCACACCCTTCCCTTCGCGAGGTTGCCAGCCCTGTTCACTTCCTATCCTTGGGGGAGAAACCACCCCGATGCTGCTGCTTTGGCGTTGACCACCCTGCCCGCCCAATTCTCGCTTTGTGTTACTTTCTCGATGTATTCCTCCGCCGCCGCCTCTGGGTCTGCCATCCCCATTCTTCAGCCCAGTATCTCTTTATTCACAGGGTGTAATATTCTTTTAAGTTTCCATCCCTGCTTGAAGAGTTTGTAAAGCAACTGGAGTGTAGCTGCACAAGTACAAGGCGGTTGCCCTTTTAGACACTTCAGTCGCGAGCATTTGGTACTGAAAATACGAAAACAACCAAATTGTAGGAGTGTCCTTCAGCTGCCTTTCCATATTGAGGCGATTTGGGCGGAAGGGGGTGGGGAATTGGGCTGCGCTTCTGAGGTTTCCCGCGAGGTTATTTTTTGGTTGTTTCTCAGTTGAGATGTGTGGAGGGTTTTAGCTACTGTTCCTGGAAGTTGTGCTGTAAGTAGTAGGTGAATCGTCAATAGTGTCTTATCCGTAATTGTAGGGAGTGGGATTAATAATTAGTCCGTGCTCCTCTCCCCACGTCTCCACCGTGATTTTCAAAGGTTTAAGATTCTGTACTGGATTCTGTACTAGCTTGCCCTTTTTAATGTGTTATTTATTTGAGAAAGCTGTCGTTTCAAGTGTTAAAATAGCAGATAAGCGGCATTGAAAAGTGACAAAGTAATGTGTGAAAACAAGGAGCTAGGAAGTTCTAGAGACTTAGCTAAAATGTAATTTTAGTTTCTATTAAAGATATAACCTCTCCCAGATGTGGATGCAAGTCTCAATGCTCTTTGTGTTGGTGGTCAGCTGTGCATTCTGTCAGGAAATTTACTTTGCTTTCCTCAGTATCCGGAACGCTCATCAGCTCTGATGATTGGGGAGCTGGGCTCAAATTTGAACTAGTCACCTTAACCTTGGTAGAATTAAATAATTTGTCCATGGTTTCCCATTTCAACCAGCTAGTGAAGTGCTACGGTCGAATTCCCAGTTTAAGTATTTACAGTTGTGACAAGCAGTTTTTTTTTTTTTTTTTTCCCTCTCTGGGCTTTAGCTATATCCTTTAAAGATCTTTATGTATCTGGATTAAGTCACTTGCAGCGAAGTGCTTTTATTTATTCATTATGTTGCGCTTTATCAAATATATTTTAGCGTCCATCCTCCCTCCCTCCCAACGTTTTGACCATTGCAGTTGCAGGTAACTGCCTGGCTTATATAGGCTTGTTTGCAATGTCTTAATCCTTTAGTCAATACCAGAGCTGTTTGGAAAATGTTAGTGCTAAACCAACGTGGGTGGGATTTAGCCAATTTAGTCTCCTTTTGAGTTTGGGATGGTAGAGGAGCAGTGTAATCTTGGGTCTTTATTTAAAATGTTTGATGACCCCTTTAACTATTTTGGCTGTTGTCAAATGACAAACATCTTGTTTATCAGCTGTTTTAAAAATAGCACTTTGACTTTTTGGTTTTTCCCTTAGGCTCGTTTCTACTTGTCCTTTTAAAGAATTAAATTCTGAAATATACAAAAATTGATATAATTTAAAGAATTAACACATCTGGTGTCCTCACTGAGGTTAAGATTGATAGATTGTTACCAGTACTCCACCTCAACAAATCCAACCTGAAATATGGCACAAAATATTACGTTTCCCAATATGTTATTCTGATATTATTAAGTCTTTGTGACCTTGCAAATCACACGTTTAATATTTTGTTTCTGTATGTTAACTAAGGTATAAGGAATAATGTTCAGTGAATCCTTAGATGCTACCTATGATTTATAATTTAAAAGTACAAAGTATTTTTGGTCATAAAATGTAATCTCATATGGAAGTAAATATTCCTTTCTAGTTTGGGAAAGAAAGTATTAATGGGTGAATTCTAAAAATGCCAATTCTGCACTTGATGTTAACTTGAAGATATACATAACGTGCAGAACACTCTAGTGCTTTACATAGTTTCAAGCATTTCCATTTTTAAGTTAAATATACCATATTTTTACATTTTTTTGGTTTACATTTCTAACTTTTTGTTTTCCCCCCTCCTTCCCTCAAATGTTTTGATGATTCTCCAGAACCAACGAAACGTATGCTTTCCTTCCAAGGGTTAGCTGAGTTGGCACATCGAGAATATCAGGCAGGAGATTTTGAGGCAGCTGAGAGACACTGCATGCAGCTCTGGAGACAAGAGCCAGACAATACTGGTGTGCTTTTATTACTTTCATCTATACACTTCCAGTGTCGAAGGCTGGACAGGTAGGAGATGTTGGGGTACCTGCTCGTGATTGCTGCCTCTGGGTGCTGAGCTTGAAAAATGATACTTAAATATTTGAACTTGAAATTTTTCCAGTACCGGGTTTCAACTGAGCCGCCAACGCACATCTGCTCTCTTGCCCACTTGTGACATGCCCAGCTGCCAGTTTTTCTCCTTCCTTTTGTGGTGGTGGTTATATTATCAGTATGACTAGGGACCTTTTCTAGATTTTTCTATCTGGGTCTGCTGCTTTCTAGACTCTGTTCAGGTAATAAATTATTATCAATGTATATCTGAGCATCCAGTCTCCCTTTCATGAGACCTGTCAGTTTGAGGGACTGAAATGCTCAGAAATGATGGTTATGTATGCTGTGGCAGGAGATGCATACCTGGAGTTTCATTAAGTTGTTATGGTGTGTTGCTTTTAGTTAATCAGTTGAATTAATCAAAAGGGAAGAATTTGTGTTCCTGTCCTTTTAATAATTGTTATTCTGGCATATTTAGACACTTAAAGATGTGCATCATTAAATCTTAAATGGAAAATGAGACTCGTGCACATAGCTTTCCATTTTTTATCTTAATGATCATGATTTCCAATGTGGTGGGTTTTTTTTTTTTTTTTTTTTTTTGAGACGGAGTTTCGCTCTTGTTGCCTAGGCTGGAGTGCAGCGGCGCCATCTCGGCTCACTGCAACTCTGCCTCCTGGGTTCAAGCGATTCTTCTGCCTCAGCCTCCTGAGTAGCTGGGATTACAGGCATGTGCCACCACGCCCAGCTAATTTTTGTATTTTTAGTAGAAACGGGGTTTCTCCATGTTGGTCAGGCTGGTCTCAAACTCCCGACCTCAGGTGATCTGCTCGCATTGGCTTCCCAAAGTGCTGGGATTACAGACATCAGCCACCGCGCCCGGCCAATGTGGTAGTTTTGTAACAAGACTCTAGTTAGAATTTTTTTCTTTTTTTTGAGGTGGAGTTTTGCTCTTGTCACCCAGGCTGGAGTGCAGTGGCGCAATCTCAGCTCACTGCAACCTCCGCCTCCCGGGTTCAAGCGATTCTCCTGCCTCAGCCTCCTGAGTAGTTGAGATTACAGGCGCCTGCCATCATGCGTGGCTAAATTTTTGTATTTTTAGTGGAGACGGGGTTTCACCATATTGGCCAGGCTGGTCTCGAACACCTGACCTCAGGTGATCCTCCCGCCTCAGCCTCCCAAAGTGCTGGGATTACAGGCGTGAGCCACTGCGCCCAGCCAATAATTTTATTTAATAAGAAAAAGCTTTTCATTTTGAAATCTAGAATACCTCCACTTTTGAAAATCTTTGATTTCCCAAATTTTTCTTGCTATGCACTAGTTAAAAGATAAGGTATTATATAATGAGCAATAGCACAGATCTCAAACTGTTTGAGTTGCATATGGGCCATACCTTCTTTTCTGTAACGTGCATACCCATGCATTAACACTTGTCGCCTTTTCCAGATCTGCTCACTTTAGCACTCTGGCAATTAAACAGAACCCCCTTCTGGCAGAAGCTTATTCGAATTTGGGGAATGTGTACAAGGAAAGAGGGCAGTTGCAGGAGGCAATTGAGCATTATCGACATGCATTGCGTCTCAAACCTGATTTCATCGATGGTTATATTAACCTGGCAGCCGCCTTGGTAGCAGCGGGTGACATGGAAGGGGCAGTACAAGCTTACGTCTCTGCTCTTCAGTACAATCCTGTGAGTAAAATTTTAATGGTTACTTTCCCTTCCTAGAAACCCAGAAAGAAACATAGTGTGATATTTCAGACACTAAAGTAGGTTTTCACATGGAATAAAGTCAAAAGTTTAGAAATGCGTATGTACTTAAAATGGTGAAATTGCTTTTAGCTGGTCTGCGTTATGCTAAAATATTTGTTTTATTTAGCAAGTTATATTAAAAAGCATAAAAATTCTTATTGCAAGAAACTACATCAATTTTAAAATAACACGTATAAAGTACAGAGCACATGACTTTTTTCTGTTGTGATTAACTTTGGATAAATTCTGATAAGTGTTTGCAAGTTAATTGATTTTCAAGGAATGGTGGATAATGGGTCTTAATCTGTAAAATCTGTAATATAAAATAGTTTGAAACAAGATGCCACTATATGGAATGATGTGAAAATTAGGCTACAAAATTTCTTCCTCAATATCCTATTCTCTTCTCTTTCAATGTAATTAGAAGTCATAGAATTTAGATGATACTACTTATACTGGGCTTTTGATTAGTTTAAAAATTTTTTTTGTCTAAGTTGCAGATGTGTTCTGGGAACAAGTAAGGCTCAGCTGGCAGACCTTAAATTCATACTGTGTTTAGGATCTCCGAAAGATACAAAAACATAAGACTTTCCCTCAGAACTTATGATGTAGTTAGAGAAAGTAGATGTAAACTTAAGAGGTAAATGATAGTGGGGTTATAGAAATCTAGAAAAAGTTCCCAAGTTACATTGTCAACATTCAGTTTTGTAACCAACCTGGAAATGGCTAATAGTTTATTTTAGCTACCGTTTACTGAAAGTCTGTGTGGTCAGACACTCTACTGACAGCTTTAAATGATTGGTCTTAGTTAATCCTCACAATAATTCTTCAAAATAGATGATATTATTTCTGATTTTTATCAATTAAAAAAAAACCATGGACTCAGGGTTATGTGGCTTTCATGGGGACAAAGCTAGTAATGAAGTATTAATAGATATTAAAACCTGAGTCTGAATATCCTCAAAGCAAATGTTGAAGTGAAAAGAAATAAAAGTGGGATGATGTGCCCAGAGGGCACTCACCCATCAAAGCAGCCCTTGAGCACAGTTAAAAAACCATTGATCATATTTTGCTGTCCCTTATTTTTTGGTTAGGAAACTGAAACTAAATTTAGTAGTTTGTTCAAAGATCCGAAGTCACTTCTCATGATGATATCTATTAACAATTTTTGTAGTTAATTTTGAGAGTTTAAACGTGTCCTTTTTAGAAAATCCATTGCTTTAAAAAACATTTTTTTTTAAGAGATGGAGTCTTGCTATGTTGCCCAGGCTGTACTCATACTCCTGGGCTCAAGCAGTCCTCCTGCCTCAGCCTCCAGAGTAGCTGGGACTATAGGTGTGTGCCACCACACCCAGCTTCTAAATTTATTGGTTTTTGAATGGATACAGTGAATACCTCCAGTTAGCACTCTTGGAGGTAGCAAATGAAACTAATTTCTTGTCTATCTTTTCTGAGACACTCAGTGTATATATATGTACATTTGAGTGACTTTTTGTAAGTTTTATTGCAATACTAATCTAGCTAGTTACCCACATAAAGTTTTAGGGAGCCTGGTATGTACTGCCACTGGGCCTTGGACCCCATTTTTCCCAGGGCTCAGGGCTCACCTCTGTACCCAGTTGTCACAGTAAGTTCTTTACCTTTATTAATCAGGTTGATTCTACTCTTATTGATAGTGTACCCTCTTACACAGCTGTGGTTCTTGCCATCTTTAACTCTAATGCCCTTGGCTCAGGTTTCCAGTTGCCTATGTGTGTAGCAGAGCAGTCATTGCTACTGATAGTGTACCCAAGCAGTAGGACTATGCTGAGAAGGAAAACTAAAGTGAGAGATGGAACCTTGCTATTTAATATCTAACCTGCTGTTAGCAGGAAGCTTATTGTTGTACCCTACCAAGGAAGTGAGATAGTACTAAAATAAATCATGGGATTACCTCTTGAATGCATTGAATGGCCATGTGTTGTCATCTGGTTCTATGTTTCTTCTAGTGGAAGGTGCTGCTTTACTTATTTATTACTGTTTTTACCAATAAGAATGAAAATGGGATTGTGCAAGTTCCCTTGATTTCAACTAAACATGCCATAGTGATCATATTTTAATTTATTTCAGGATATCTAAAGTCTTAACTAGATTTAAACTTACTGTCAAATGCCCGTTGTCAGTTCAGTACTGGTAGAACCTTGCGTCTGTTCCTTATGTTCTTGTTGACAGTGCTTAAATGCATCATTAGTACATTGTGTACCTGAATCATAGATGTAGTTGGCATTCTATGAAAAATGGTTAAAGAAACTCAGGTTATTTTGGTTTTGCAGCAGTGAAAGAGTAGAATGTTAAGGTGGTATCTTTGGTAACCTTGGTAACTGTTTTCAACAGTGTTTATCTTTTTAAGTTAATAGATATGTCAATTTAGAAGTTGTTCTCTGTGACTTGATTATAGAAATTATCTTTGAGACAGCTATCTCATTTTTTTCATTCTGAATTATCTTCTATAATTATAATGTTGGGTGTTTTCATAATTTTGGTAAGATTTTAGTCTGTCATTTTTTTTTTTTTTTTGGAGACGGAGTTTTGCCCTTGTCACCCAGGCTGGAGTGCAGTGGCGCGATCTCGGCTCACTGCAACCTCTGCCTCCTGGGTTCAAACGATTCTTCTGCCTCAGCCTCCGAAGTAGCTGGGATCACAGGTGCCCACCACCATGCCTGGCTAATTTTTTGTATTTTTACAAAAACAGGCTTTCACCATGTTGGCCAGGCTTGTCTTGAACTCCTGGCCTCAACAGATCCGCCTGCTTCAGCCTCCCAAAGTGCTGGGATTACAGGCGTGAACCACTGTGCCTGGCAGTCTGTTGTATTTGAAGGTGTTATTGCAGATAGCACCTTGCAGTGACAGCACATGTTCTTTGACATGGTGACTCACTAGAGTTGCCTATACCTGGCAATTCCTTTTGCAAATTATGTATAAAATTGTCCTTTCTGTAACGGCTATAACCCTGAGTTGTTTTAAACAGGTCTGTTTCTGAATCTATAGGTTGTTGAATTGTTGCTTGTGCTTTGATTGTGGATGCACAGAATGGAGAGCTGCTGGCATCCTGGCCATCATGTGTGTTCCTGTCATGTTATTTGTTACTTGTTACTGCTGAGCCTCTCTTATACAGCTGCACTGTAGAAAACCATATATTTCGATTCTTCTCTGTTCTGCTTTCTGTTGTATATTTCGATTCTTCTCTGTTCTGCTTTTTGTTAAGGTTGCTGTGCAAATGTCACATTTAAATATGTGAGTGCTTATTGTGCATACAATGCTTTGTTAGGAAATGGGGAGATGTGTTGTGGGGGAAGTTGCGGGTTATAATATAAGACAGGACCTGACCCGTAAAGGAAAAAATGGTGTAAGTTCCTTGGATGATAATTGTTGGAGAGTATTAATCAGAAGATTTCCTCGAGTGGGTGCTTATGACCTAAGCATTCTGTAGGAAGGTAAATAGCAAGTAGACTTCCTTGGCTGAAGTGGTGAGTCAAGTAGTAACAAGAAGTGAATGTAGTAGAGGAGAGTCAATTGGAAGATTTATAAAGAATAGAGAGGCTGAGGAGTTTGAATTTAATTTGAGAGGCAATTGAGAATTACTGTAGGTTTTTATCGACCTGATTTTACTTCATATGTATGTACGTGTCTAGATGTTGTGGCTGGTGGGGGTGGGAGGCTCTAGGAGGAAAGGCAGGAAACTGATGCAATCTTAGGAGAAATAGTTCTACAGGAAAATCTTGCTCATTTCTATCTCCTTTTATTCTCACGATTTTCCCTTGTATACAGTGCCCTCCTCCTTTGTCTATTAAAACCCTACTCATCCTTCAAGGCCCAGCTTAAACTTCTCTTATGAGCTCATCATCTAGTTCTCTTAAAATTCTTTACTACTGAGTGGGCATTTAGTGTGTGCCTTGTCTTTTCACATAGATTGTAAGCCCCTTGATGATAAGGATTCTATATCTTTTCCCTATAGTTCCAGGCATGTTATTGAATTGAGTAACAGTTTGCCTGAAATGTATTAACCTGGGATGGATAAAATGGGCTAGTTTTGAGAAATATAATTGTCAAAAACATTTTGATTTGACAGATGAAGCAGAAGTGATGTCTTGGGTTTTGAACTTTTGGGAGAATGGTGGTGCCCGTGCGTTTTCTAGAAATTAGCTGTTCATGCACATAGGTTTGGATCCCCAAACAGGAGAATTGGATTTCACCGTTACATTTAATATGATGTTTTAGCTTTTCCTAAAACTGCCTTATTGATTATCTTATAGTAATCTTGAAGATAATGTATTTTTAACTATGAGCATTGTGTTAACTTGATATAGTATACTGTAATGGATCTAGATGATAACAAAATATAGATATGCTGTCAGGACTTAAGTGGCATCCATCCAAGAGTTCATAGAAACTAGAGGGTAATAAAATTACGCAACAGCTGGCTACTATGTATGGCCATTACAGTCATTGTTGGAGAATTATTGCAAGACTTCTGATTATTATGACTTAGAAAAGGCATAGGAATTGGTAAAAGTCCAAACATGTATAACCACAATTATCAAGTAGTAGAAGGAGCTTGTATGCATGGATTGGATTATGCAGTCATGGTCTGCCAAAACAGGGGTAACCCTTTCAGTTTAGAAAAAAACATAACCATACAAAGTAGATAGCAAGATTATATAATTCATTACTTCTGAGAGTATAGTGTTAAAAAGTGCTCAGGCTAATTAGAGGAGAAGTCAAATAAGATTAATGGTACCTTTGATGTTTTGAGGATTAGTATTAGCCTTTTGTGCTTGAAGTGATGGGAGACAACCTTACTCTCTAGAACATCAGTCATTGCTTGAAGGACAGTATTGAGTCAGGGAGATGATGGAACTGACCCAGTATGGCTGACCGTAAGATTGTTGTGTGGCAGCCTGTACTTTGTTGGCAGACTTTTTGGTTCACCTGATGGATGATACTATACAACCACAAAAGCTGTTTATCAGTAGAATTAAGTGATTTTGGAAACCATAATATAGTTCCAGAGCAAATCATATATATGATGATTTTTCGGCACAGTTGACAAAATTTCACTTTCTAGGACTTAAGTCTCTTTCACCCATGGAACAGTTTGGAATAATAAGCATACTTCCTGTTGTCATTGTTTCTGCCTGTTGACTGGTAGATGTGACTGACAATGGCAAAATAGGGCAAATAAAAATTTAAGCTCACTGTTGTGATGAGTGTCTCATCCAGATGAATGGACTGATGAGTCAGATGACTAGCAGCACAATTGAGCTGCTAATAAAAAGCAGAGTCAACTGCTTTTCATTATTCACCCACTCAACTCTAATGGCACTTAATACTAATGAGTAATCTAGTGGCAGGTGCCAGGATTGAGGCTTTGGTTGGATAATTCTTCTGCCCGATAGTGAAATGAAGTCAGAGTTTCTAAATATGCCTGACAGCCTAAGGGTAGGTTTGCTCATAGGTAGTCATTTGCTAAATATGTTTTTTTCCACTCTGGAAAATTTTCGGTCCTTGATACAGAAGTGATTCATCATAACCTTGAATAACATAGTTGGACAAATATTTGAGATGTGTGTGTGTGTGTGTGTGTGTGTGTGTGTGTATATATATATATATATATATATATATTTCCTTTTTTTTTTGAGACAAGAGTCTCTGTCGCCCAGGCTGGAGTGCAGTGGCACGATCTCGGCTAACTGCAGTCACTGCCTCCTGGGTTCAACCGATTCTCCTGCTTAAGCCTCCCAAATAGCTGGGATTACAGGCACACGCCACCATGCCCAGCTAATTTCATATTTTTAGTAGAGATGGGGTTTCGCCATGTTGGCCAGGTTGATCTCGAACTCCTGACCTCAGGTGATCCTCCCACCTCGCCCTCCCAAAGTGTGGGGATTACAGGCATGAGCCACCACGCCCGGCCTGATATATATATTTTTAATGTGACTGACATTTGGGGAGGAGAGAAAGAAGCTCTAGTAAGGTCCCATAGTATTTTATGTGAAGCTAATGGGGCCAAATGCATTTCAACATTCAGAATTTTTAGGATATTAGAAAGATAATACCATATATAAAACACCCAGAAAAGTCTGGAGCAGCACCTTTTAGTAAAACACATTTATATTTCTGCAGCAAAAGACAGTATTCATACTAAGTGAGATAATTAAATTCTATAAATAGTTTCATGTCACCTCAAGTCAGGTTTAACCCTCAAATGAGTTTTTGGAACTTTTTGGGATTTGGAATTGTGGATGAGGGGTTGTGGTCCTGCACTGAAGTTTGTCAGGCAGTATCTTTAGTTGATAGAATAAAATGGCAGGGAGCTAGATGCTTAAAAGTGATTTCAAGATATTTTTAATTGACAAAGCAGAGTATAATTAATGACAGCGTCTCTGGGTTTCTAGGATTTGTACTGTGTTCGCAGTGACCTGGGGAACCTGCTCAAAGCCCTGGGTCGCTTGGAAGAAGCCAAGGTAGGTGTTTGATAGAACACATTTAAACATCAGTATTATGAAAACTTGTACTTTTTGCCAAGTCTTCAACTCTTCATTGAGCTATCTTCACAAAACAGTCCTTTGAAACTGAGGAAAACTGACGGCACGAATCGCCTCAGAATAGAGCAGGGCCAGGCTTTGGCATATCTGTTCTAAATCTGGGGGTAAAGCAAGAACCTGAACATTTTGGAGCCTTTCTGCTGAGCTAGACCATCTTTATAACACTGGGCTCCGTCATGATCTTATGTGGGAATAAATAACATTCCTTCAAATCTGAGGCTTGCCTGCTGGTGACAAGCAGAGCGCCTGTGATTTGGCTCAAGACTCCTATATGATGCAGGTGCCATTGAAAATGCTGCTCTTCTAAGTCCTTTGTGGCTTGTAAGTGGAGAAGAATTTCATCCAAATGTTACCCTGTAATACTGGCATTTAAAATTCTTATTTAACCTTCCTCCCTTCATCTTCCTCACCCTTTTTACAGTGGAAGAAAGGCTGTTAAAATGATTACAAATTAATAATTGGAACATCCTGTCCCTTGTCCCCACTCCCTTCCCAAGTTCCTTTTTCCTCTTTTCCAATCCTAGTTGTCTACCTTCTTTTCTTCCTCATTTCCTTCTTTTATTCCTCCCCACCCCAACCCCTTAAAAAAAAGGTCAGAAGGACAAAGCTGGTTTGTTTGGGAAATGGACTGATCGAAAGAAAACTTGCCAAAGTGGAAAGGTGGCTTTTAGCATTCTGTGTTTCCAAATAATGAATTTGAACACCAGGTTGGGTTAATTAAAGCTTTTGGTATAATTTAAAATTAAATTTATAAATGCAGTTGTCTTGTTACAAGCCACCTTACGCAACCGCGCTGCAGGGGTGAGGAGTGGGGAGAAACCAGAATGCTTCTGAAACTCCCACCTGTTGCTCTGAGCCCCACGCGCATGCTAATGCGTGGAGTGTATGCGCAGAGTAGCTGTCTGTTTGACTGCTTCATCCAGGGAGGGAGAAGGCTTTTCAGCACCATCTAATGTTTTAAAAGGCACTAGTTTTAAGTGCACAGCTCATAAATTCTGCTGACATTTTGGATTAACCTTATGTAGGTTGCCAGCTAATGAATTGTAATTGATTTCAATCTTAGCTGATAAATCTAATTGGTAATTTATAGAACAAATATTTGATAAGCTCCTATTAATTGTCACCCCACCAAGCGGACAGCTAACATGAATTGCACTTCACTGCAGCTTTAGAGATCGGTTTAGGCTGAGACATTGCGCCTGCCTTAGGTTGCTGACTTCTTTATTTCAGAGCTCTGGAGACACCTAGTTTGAAAAATGTTATTCTGTTTTTTTGTGAGAACTTAGTAAACAAGAAAATACTCTTGAGTGAAATGCAATGTATTTCTTTTGTAATCAGTGCATTTGAAAATTCAAGCCAGCATATTCCTAGTAGATGGAAGCAAAATTAAGTTGTCTTTGTAGAAAATGAAGAGCCTTTCTTCCAGCAAAAATCCCTGCTGTATGCAATAGCCCTGATTAACCCTCTCCCTTCTGCATGTTTCCCATATTACAGACTTGAGACTGTCCTCATTCCCATATGTAATAGACATCCAAAGAATTTCAATTGCTTTGTTGAACTTTTACTAATGATCTTGTTTTTATTTTCTCTCTTGTTTTTGGTTTTTCACCATTGATATTGTATTTAGAAGGTTTCAGGTGGGTGAAACCTCCTATTCCATGCGTAAGGTGCCTCGCTGAAGGGAGCTCGAGGCCTGGATCTAGGGCAGACACACAACCTCCTCCTCCTCTTCCAGCAAGGAACGCACCGAAAAGTCACATGATGAGAAATATGGTAACGGGTTTGTAACTGCCACAGCAAAACAATTTGCCTCCATGCCTGAATCTTCTGTCTTGTGGCTTCAGAAACAGCTTAAAATAATTTTATTTACAAGCAAGTTATGTAAGAGAATGTTTTATACTATAGCCACAATTCTGTCAAAGATAAGTAAAAGTTAATTGATATTAAAAATTATTAGAGATAATTTACTTAGTAAAAGCTTCTAACTCTTCTTGTTGTTCATTTTTTTTCCTTTTTTCTTCTTTGTTTGGATTGCAGCATTCTGCTCTTCTGATGATGCGCTGTGACCCTGCAGTAGCGCAAAGGCTGCGCAGCGTTAATGCGCATTGCGTGCGAATGAACCCCTGTGAACGGTTGACTAGATGAGTAATCTGATTGACTGGCTCCCTCAGTCCTATTCTGTAGCCTTTTTGGATAAAATTGGGTTTTAACATACCTCGAGTCCAACTAATCTCATTAAACAAATATTCTCCATGGGCCTGTCTAGTAGATTAATGGATCTGGTTGGCCGTTTGCTGCGTCTAGGGGTGTTCTATGTAGCGCAGCAGTTCGCAGCGATTGCGCAGTGCGATGCTGTTAGGTTGCGCAAGCGATGTTTGCGCTCGCATTACAGGGACCTCAACCTAGGTGCAATCCTGTCATGTGAGGTTTCAGCTTCAGTCCTCCTTGGGAGACGGGGCATTGTGAGAATGTAACTTAAAGCCTGGCTTTATGATATCCTACTTGGCAGAAAGACATTTTTCTCCTCAGTAGCATAGTTTTGATGTTAGTGAGGAACATTGTTGAAGAGCAGCATTTCCCAAAATGTGTTTCATAGTATTCTAATAAAATGCCCAATGAAAGAAGAGTTCCATGGTCAACTAAGTTCAGGGAACCCTGTTACACTATTAAAGGCTTAGGGAAGTCCAGTAAAGAAACCTATTTTCCGAATTTATTTGATCATGAACTCCTTTTTTTTTCAGCCATACCTCTTAACACCTCATAGAACACACTTTGGGAAACAGTGGGGGTAGGAAAACTCGGCCTCAAGTTGCGCCCTCTAGGTAGCACTTGAAAACATGACAAGGGCCCGTAGTTGTTTGGATAAGAGAACTCCAGCATAGAGCCTTATAGCAACTGACTTCCCAGTTAAGTCCCAGTGTAAGGGTTGGTCTTTGGTTGGCAGAACTGAACATGGTGGTTTGCACTTGGGTTCTGGTGGCGCAGGCGCAGGAGCAGCCAGCTGTGGCAGCGCATTAGTTTTGGCGCAAGCGAGCCTATGCTGCAGGGTCACTTTTGGCTGGTCAGAGAAGGAATAATGATATCACCTTCTTCCCCCCCTCCCCCCAATCTTTTTTTTTTCCCTTTACAAATTTTCCCCTTTCCCTTTACCTCCTTTCCCTCCCATCTTCTTTCATTAACCCCTCCTAAGGCATGTTATTTGAAAGCAATTGAGACGCAACCGAACTTTGCAGTAGCTTGGAGTAATCTTGGCTGTGTTTTCAATGCACAAGGGGAAATTTGGCTTGCAATTCATCACTTTGAAAAGGTTAGTCATTAAATTAATAATTGGTATTTTTGAAGTGCTTACGCATGTAGTGTTTTTACTAGAACTAAATAATAGGTCTTAGCCAGTGACATTATATCTTTGTTTCTCTGGCGGTATAGGCAGTATGTGACTTACAGAGAACAATGATTTGACTTAAATATTTTTTCAACTTGACAATGGTGCAAAAGACATACATATTCAATAGAAATCATACTTCGAGTACCCATGCAGCCATTCTGGTTTTCCCTTTCAGTACAAGATTCAGTAAATTACATGAGATGCCCAACACACTATTATAAAATAAGAAGGAGGCTGAGGCAGGAGGATCACTTGAGCCCAGGAGTTTGAGGCTGCAGTGAGCTGTGACCATGCCACTGTACTTAGCCTGAGTGACAGAGTGAGACCCTGTCTCTAAGATTAAAAAATAAAAAGGTACCATAAAGACACATGCATGCGTATGTTCATCACTTCACAATAGCAAAGACATGGAATCAACCTAGATGCCCATCAACGGTGGGCTAAAGAAAATGTACATATATGCCATGGAATACCATGTAGCCATCAAAAATGAAATCATGTCCTTTGCAGCAACATGGATGCAGCTGGAGTTTATTATCTTAAGTGAATTAATGCAGGAACAGAAAACCAAATATTGCATGTTCTCACAAGTGGGAGCTAAGCATTGGGTACACATGGACACAAAGGGGAACAATAGACAGTGGGGCTTACTTGAGGGTGGAGGGTGGGAGGAGTGTGAGGGTACAAAAACTACTTACCAGGTACTATGTTCACTACCTGAGTGACAAAATCATTTGTATACCAAATTGCTGTGACACAATTTACCCATTTAACAAACCTGCATGTGTACCCCAAACCTAAAATAAATGTTGGAATTAAAATAAAACTCATATTAAAGTTTTAAAAAAGGGCTTTGTATTAGGTAATTTTACCTAAACGTAGGCTAATGTGTTCTGAGCATGTTTAAAATGAGACTAGCCGGGCCAGGTGTGATAGCTCACATCTGTGATCCCAGTGCTTTGGGAGGCCGAGGCGGGCAGATTGCTTGAGCTTAGGAGTTGAAAACCAGCCTGGACAACATAACGAGACCCTGTCTCTACAAAAATGAGCTGGGTGTGGCAGTGTGCTCCTGTAGTCCCAGCCATTTGTAGGGCTGAGGTGGGAGGATTGCTTGGGCCTGGGAGCTGGAGGTTGCAGTGAACCAAGATTGCACCACTGCACTCCAGCCTGGGTGACAAAGTGAGGCCCTGTCTCAAAAAAAAAAAAAAAAAAAAAAAAAAAATTAGGCTAAGCTAGGATGTTCACTAAGTGTTACAGATGCATTTTGACTTAAGATATTTTCAACTTATGATGGGTGTATCGGGACATAACCCCATCCTAAGTTGAGAAACATCTTTATTGCAGCATTTGCTGGATAGTACATGGTATGGCAGTTTCCAATTTTGTGTTGAAAATGTACTTTAGGCTGCGTGCTGTGGCTCACACCTGTAATCCAGCACTTTGCGAGGCTGAGGTGGGAGGATTGCTTGAGCCTAGTAGTTTGAGACCAGCCTGGGCAACATAGTAAGACCCTGTCTCTACAAAAAATACAAAAAGTAGCTATGCGTGGTGACACACACACAGCTACTGGGGAGGCTGAGATGGGAGTTTGAGTCTGCAGTGAGCTGTGATCATGCAACTGCACTCCAGCCTGGGTGATGGTGTGAGACCCTGTCTCAAAAAAAATGTACTTTAGTAATTAAAAATGATTTTTATAAATGGGCTTTAAAGAAGCAGGGCTTCTTGGTGAAAAGGCAGATTCCAGGTCTGGGGCAGGAATTTAAAAAAAATTTTTGGAATGTCTTGTCATACCAGAAAGCAAGGAAGCTTTGACATATTACTTTGCATCAAAAGGACTCAGGAAGCAACTTGAGGAGGCTCCCACTGGCTAAAGATGCAGACTTGAGCATCAATAGGAATAATAACTGAAATATACTAAAACTTATCAAGTATGTTTAAATCTATGAGCTTATAATTATGCTAAAAAATTCATTGGTCATCTTTGGAAGACTTACAAGGAACAATTAATTTGGAAAACTGGTTAAAAAGAGAAGAATAAAGTTTTTGAGGAACCTCTATACTAGTTCCCAAAATGGCTGTGCCAATTTATACTTCCCCCATCAGTTACAAGGCTTCCCTTTCTTTACATCCTCACTAACACTTGTTATTATTCGTCCTTTTGATGATAGCTATACTAACAAGTGTGAGATGCTAACTCATGGTTTTATTTTGCATTTCCTTGATGATTAGTGATGTTGAGCATATTTTTTATATATCTGCTTGCCATTTGTTTTTTTTGTTTTGTTTTGTTTTGTTTTTTTGAGATGAGGTCCTGCTCTGTTGCCCAGGCTGGAGTGCAGTGGCGCCATAATAGCTCACTGCAACCTCGAACTCCTGGGCTCAAGTGATCCTCCCACCTTGGTCTCCCCAAGTGATAGGATTACAGACATGAGCCACTGTGTCTGGCCTGTACCTCTTCTTTTGAGAAATGTCTGTTTAGATCCTTTGCCCGTATTTTAATGGGCGTATTTGCTACTGAGTTGAGCTTCTTAACCCTTTATCAGTTGTATAGTTTGCAAATGCTTTCTCCTAATCCGGGGTTGCCTATTCACTCTGTGTAATTGTTTCCTTTACTGTGCAGAAGCTTTTTAGTTTGATGCAATCTCATTGCATATTTTTGCTTTTGTTATCTGTGCTTTATGCTAAGTGAAATAAACCAGGCACAGAAAGTAGATACTGTATTATGTCACCTATTTGTGGAATCTAAAAAAGTTGATTTCATAGAAACAGAGAGTAGAAGGGTGGTGAGGCTTGGGGGGGTGGAGGAGGGATGGGGAAAAGGGAGATATTGATCAAAGTTTCAGTTAGACTGGAGGAATAAGTTTTAGTGATCTGTAGTACTGCATGGTGACCACAGTTGTTAATAATGTATATTTCAAAATTGCAAAAAGAATAGGTTTTTAATGTCCTCAACCACAAAAAAATAAGTTAGTGAGGTGATGGCTATGTTAATTAGCTTGGTTGACTCTTTCTAAAATGTATACGTGGATCAAACCATCACATTGTATGCCATAAATATACACAATTATATATCAACTTTAAATTTAAAAATTAAAAGAATAAAGCATATGTCTTCCCTCTCCTGTATGAACTAGACCATAGAGTAACCCAATAGTTGATGGGGGAAGCTTTTCTTTATAAAAGCATTCTAGCTAATAAGTGAAGAAGGAATGATAGAATATCACCATTAATAGTGAAAGCATTTATTAGGCCGGGCTTGGTGGCTCACGCCTGTAATCCCAGCACTTCGGGAGGCCATGGCAGGTGGATCACCTGAGGTCAGGAGTTCGAGACCAGCCTGGCCAACATGGCAAAACCCCATCTCTACTAAAAATACAAAAATTAGCCAGGCATGGTAGCAGGAGCCTGTAATCCCAGCTACTCAGGAGGCGGAGGCAGGAGAATCTCTTGAACCTGGGAGGTGGAGGTTGCAGTGAGCTGAGATTGCACCATTGCATTCCAGCCTGGGCGACAGAGCAAGACTCCATCTCAAAAAATAAAAAAAAAGTTAAAGCATTTATCAGTGACAAAAACGAGATACAATCAGGTATTAAGTACCTTGTGGTAAACAATTTCACCAGTGAAGTAGTCTTGCACAAAGAGAAAAGAACACAAACCTAATTAAGCTTCTGGTTCTACCTACCAATTTACAGGAGATATACACGGGACAGGAAACATGTTAAAGGACACCATAGGGATGCAGTCAGCAAAATTCAAACTTTGGGAAGCTGACCTTCTTACTTCAACAAATTGTAATAAAAATGGAGATTTAAATTAAACTTTTAGGCCGGGTGCGGTAGCTCACCCCTGTAATCTCAGCACTTTGGGAGGCTGAGGCGAGTGGATCACTTGAGGTCAGGAGTTCGAGACCAGCCTGGCCAACATGGTGCAACCCCATCTCTACTCAAAATACAAAAGAAAAAAAAAACAGCTGGGTGCGGTGCGGTGGCGTGTGCCTGTAATCCCAGCTACTTAGGAGGCTGAGGCAGGAGAATTGCCTGAACCCGGGAGGAGGAGGAGGTTGCGGTGAGCCAAGATCGTGCCACTGCACTCCAGCCTGGGCGACAGAGTGAGTGACACTCCGTCTCCAAAAATAAATAATGAGTGACACTCCGTCTCCAAAAATAAATAAATAAACACACAAACTTTTAAAGGATTAAAAGAAACTCAGAGAGGCACATTGACAAATTATATCTGTCTTATTTGGATCCTGACTCAGTTAATGAGAAATTGGAGCACTGAATGGATTTTTTTTTTTTTTTTTTTGAGACAGGGTCTCACTTGATCGCCCAGGCTGAAGTGCAGTGGTGTGATCTTGGCTCACTGCAACCTTCACCTCCCAGGCTCAAGGGATTCACTTGCCTCAGCCTCCGGAGTAGGTGGGACTACAGGCGTGCGCCATCATGCCCGGCTAGCTTTTTGTATTTTTAGTGGAGACAGGGCTTTGCCATGTTCCCAGGTCTTGAACTCCTGAGCTCAGGCAGTCTGCCTGCCTCGGCCTCTCAAAGTGCTAGGATTACAGGCATGAGCCACCACGCCCAGCTGATATTTAATATGAAGGAATTGCTGTCTTTTTTTTTTTTTTTTCTGTTAGGTATGATAATGGTATTGTGGTTAGGTTGGGAGGAAAAAGCATTCTTGTGTTGTCCCTGAGATACATATTGAAGTATTTTTGAATGGAATATGTCTGGGCTTTGCTTCAAAATGATCTGCGAAGAGGGGGAGTAAGTTGGAGTATAGATTAAATAAGATCAAACATGATATATGAATTGTTGAAAATGGATAATGGAGACTTGGACGTAATGTTCCTCTGCTTTTGTATATGTTTAAACATTTCTATTATAAAGTTTAAAAGTTCTTGGGGTGGACATCTATCACTATAGACAATCTAAATTAAATGCATCATGCCGTGTTTACTACAGAGTTGTCATCTAAGTGAAGATGAAGTGTTCTTTCTTTATTTTTTTTTGAGACAGAGTCTCGCTCTGTCGCCCAGGCTGGAGTGCAGTGGCACGATCTCAGCTCACTGCAGCTTCCGCCTCCCAGGTTCAAGCAATTCTCCTGCCTCGGCCTCCTGAGTAGCTGGGATTACAGGCGTGAGCCACCATGCCCGGCTAATTTTTTGTATTTTTTAGTAGAGACGGGGTTTCGCCATGTTGGCCAGGGTGGTCTTGAACTCCGGGCCTCAAGTGATCTGCCCGCCTTGGCCTCCCAAAGTGCTGGGATTACAGGCATGAGCCACCGCGCCCAGCAGATGAAGTGTTCTTTATCAGTCTTTAATAAACATACAATTACTCAGTGTCTTAATCAAATACCTTTTCGGTGTGTGTGTTTTTTTTTGTTTTTGTTTTTTGTTTTTGGAGACACAGTCTTGCTCTGTTGCCCAGGCTGGAGTGCAGTGGCGCAATCTTGGCTCACTGTAACCTCTGCCTCTCGGGTTCAAGCCATTCTCATGCCTCAGCCTCTCGAGTAGCTGGGACTACAGTTGCACATCACCATGCCCAGGTAATTTTTGTATTTTTAGTAGAGATGGGGTTTCACCATGTTGGCCAGGCTGGTCTTGAACTCCTGACCTCAAGTGGTCCGACCTCGGCCTCCCAAAGTACTGGGATTACATGTGTGAGCCACTGCACCTGGCCGGTGTTTTGATTGAAGTTTGCATTTACCATGCTGTAGGAGTATCTTTCTTGATCAGTGTTTCTCTTCCTTGGTTATACATGAGGAGCTTATAAAAGATCTGAATATCCTGACCCTATCTTCAGAGGGTCTGATTTAACTGGCCTGTGATAGAGCCTCGGTACCTTTTCTAGGAGGTAAATTCTTAATATATTGCCAAGGTTGAGAATCACTGCTCTAGACAACATGACAGCTATTTGGATGACACCGTGTAATGGTTAGTATTTCCTTGAAGTATTGTATCTTACTGTGTATACAGCTCTAATTGCATGTCTTAATAAGGTCTTGCTGAGCATGTAGTTTGTATGCATACAACTGAGGTATATATTTACCTTTTCAGTAAGAGTTTGCTGCCTCTTTTGCCACTATTTTTCAGAAGAGTTAGACTGGTTAATTGTGAATAAAATAGGGCCAATCATTAGAAGTGTTCAGTTTAATGAAATTGGAGCAGGCCCAATATTTAATTTTTCTCTTCAGGACCCATTTTGCTCATGAGAACATGAGGCATGAGAAGTTATTTTGATAATGTTGAGGTTTGTAAAAATAATGAGAAGACACTAAATAAATAATTGGTTTATTAAAATGAAATGTAATTGAAAGTCTGCAAGGACCTTGGAGTAAAAAAATTGTAATTGGGAAGTTGATCTGGTGAAATCCTAACTTGCTCTGAGTAACTAACTGTCTTGAAATTTTTAGGCTGTCACCCTTGACCCAAACTTTCTGGATGCTTATATCAATTTAGGAAATGTCTTGAAAGAGGCACGCATTTTTGACAGGTGAGAGAATGTTCTGTTTAATAAATTTTCTTGAATCTTTGTTGTATTGACACTTGACAGTTTGGACCGAAATGATGACAATAGTCCATTGAAGCATATTTGCCTTTTCTAGCACGTTGTTCTCTGCCCATGTCCTGTGTTGCCTTTTATTTATAGATGTTGTTCGTTGCCTGACTTTTTGTTGTTGGCTTTCCTCAAAGCCGTTATCCTTCTCATTGGGAGTTTAGTTGAAATTTTTTTATTGTTAAAATGGTTGAAATGATTCTTTCTTAGACTAAATTATTCCTTTGACCTGATTTTAGAAAGCAAAGTAAATCCAGACTTTTAAATTTTTTGTTGTTGTCAAAGGAAAGCCTATTTTTTATGTGGGAGTAGAAAACTTCCCAGTGTAAAGACACATTTTATAAAGGTGTGATTTTGGTTTGAGGTTAAAATATAATACAGCATGAATTATGTAATTAATTACAATTACTTGATATATTTTGATATAGTACAGCTTGAATGAGTTGTAACAAACCATCCATTAAGCATGAGTTACATTTTGTGTGTGTGTGTGTGTGTGTGTGTGTGTGTGTGTGTGTGTGTGTTTATTTACAGAGCTGTGGCAGCTTATCTTCGTGCCCTAAGTTTGAGTCCAAATCACGCAGTGGTGCACGGCAACCTGGCTTGTGTATACTATGAGCAAGGCCTGATAGATCTGGCAATAGACACCTACAGGCGGGCTATCGAACTACAACCACATTTCCCTGATGCTTACTGCAACCTAGCCAATGCTCTCAAAGAGAAGGGCAGTGTAAGGATTTTTACTCATTCTATTTGTTATCTGGTAGGATTAAGAGTCTTTTCTGGCCAGGTGTGGTGGCTCACACTTGTAATGCCAGCACTTCGGGAGGCCGAGATCAGAGGATTGCTTGAGCTTAGGGTTTCGAGACCAGCCTAGGCAACATGACGAAACCCTGTCTCTACAAGAAATACAAAAATTAGCCGGGCATGGTGGCACACACCTGTAGTCCCAGCTCCTTGGGAGGCCGAGGTGGGAGGATCGATTGAGTCCTGGGAGGTTGAGGCTGCAGTGGGCCATGATTGTGCCACAGCACTCCAGCCTGGGCAACAGAGCACGAGACTCTGTCTCAAAAAAATCACAAAAACCAAAAAACAGCAAAAAAGGAAAGTCTTTTGTACAAGTATTGAGATGGTATATTGGTTTACTTTAGAGTTTTGGTTGAGGGTAAGAATACCAAAAAATATCAATTTTCTGTAGCATTACCAGCCATTAGGCTTAATTAAACAATTATTAGAACAGTATCAGTGGAGGCTTTATGATTCTGTACAGTTTTTGAAGACTTTGTTTTGTTTTCTAGGTTGCTGAAGCAGAAGATTGTTATAATACAGCTCTCCGTCTGTGTCCCACCCATGCAGACTCTCTGAATAACCTAGCCAATATCAAACGAGAACAGGGAAACATTGAAGAGGCAGTTCGCTTGTATCGTAAAGCATTAGAAGTATGTGAGGGTGGTGTAGCTGGGCATTTAGCATGATAGTAGAGGGAAAGCAGTTAAGTTTACCATCATCCACCTCTTTTGTAAAAATAGTGGTTGAATCATTTACAAGAGGATTATTCATTGAAGTAACAATTGAGTACCTAAGGTATGATGTGAGGCCCTATGTGACATTCCAGAAAATCCCTGCATTCAGAGTTCATTATTCTGTGGATAAGATCTGTACAAAAAAATTAAACATTAACCCACAGTTCAAGAGAAGTTACTTATAAGTATATAATCTTAGTGCCTGATGGCTGTATGGTAGTGGTTAGTAGATGTGGTAGGAGTTTAGCAGAGAGAGATTTCAGTGGTGTTGGAGTGGTCAGGATAAACTAAGAGGAGAAGAGGTGTACCTCATTATGTTTGAAACAAGAAGAGGTATAAAATAGAGGAAGAGGTAGAATTTGAGAATGAATAGACTTGGAAAAAGTAGAGACAAATTTAGGGGTTTAAATGTACTTGAGCAAAGTTCTTAAGGTTGTGGTGAATTATTACTGCTGCTTTAGCAATTTTTTTAACCTCAGTTCTGATCTTGACTCTTTATAGGTCTTCCCAGAGTTTGCTGCTGCCCATTCAAATTTAGCAAGTGTACTGCAGCAGCAGGGAAAACTGCAGGAAGCTCTGATGCATTATAAGGAGGCTATTCGGTAAGAGACACTAACAGCCTTATTTTTAAAATTATTTTTAATTTTAAAATGTTTGACATTCGGCACATTGCAGATGCTAAAATGGCTTTAAATAACAACGGAATAAGTTAGCATTACAGTGGGTTAAAGATTTTTGTATTGGAGAAATAAAACCTTTGGCTTCTCTTTTAGAATCAGTCCTACCTTTGCTGATGCCTACTCTAATATGGGAAACACTCTAAAGGAGATGCAGGATGTTCAGGGAGCCTTGCAGTGTTATACGCGTGCCATCCAAATTAATCCTGCATTTGCAGATGCACATAGCAATCTGGCTTCCATTCATAAGGTACTACTGTTTATTATAATATGTGCAGTTTAACACCTAAAATTTAACTTTTGGAAATTTTTTACCATCCTGCTTTATTTATTTTCCAGGATTCAGGGAATATTCCAGAAGCCATAGCTTCTTACCGCACGGCTCTGAAACTTAAGCCTGATTTTCCTGATGCTTATTGTAACTTGGCTCATTGCCTGCAGGTAAAGAATAACAGGCCAGTAATTGGCTCTCAGTGTTGTAATAGCTTTTTAATTGTTGTATGCCATAAGAATCCAAGCCTGACTGGAAATAGTATTTTTAATAGGCTATCTGACATTACTTTAGGCCAAAGACATATCAAATATTAAATCCTGGGATAGGACTTTCTGGATAATAACTTGTTTTTGCTTTCTCTAGATTGTCTGTGATTGGACAGACTATGATGAGCGAATGAAGAAGTTGGTCAGTATTGTGGCTGACCAGTTAGAGAAGAATAGGTTGCCTTCTGTGCATCCTCATCATAGTATGCTATATCCTCTTTCTCATGGCTTCAGGAAGGCTATTGCTGAGAGGCACGGCAACCTGTGCTTAGATAAGGTGTGATTCTTTTGTTTTAATCTTTTTGTTGTAAACTAAAACACAAATACAGAAAACTGTAAAAATCAAATCTGTGGCTTAATGAACGATTATAAAGTGAACACCACCCAAGTCGAGAAATAAAACTTTTGTGGGCCACTTCAGAACCCCTTCCATTGTGTCCTGAGTATAACCCCCTGCACTTCATAAGACGGAATCCTTAACTCCTTCACTTAAACACTAATGATAGACTGATGGTACTTTTCTTTAAGTTGAAAGCCATAATTTTTTTTTCTTTTATCTTTTTTTTCTTTTTTTTTTGAGACGGGGTCTTGCTCTGTCGCCCAGGCTGGAGTGCAGCGGTGTGATCATGGCTTACTGCAGCCTTGACCTCCCCGAGCTTAGGTGATCCTCCCACCTCAGCCTCCTGAGTAGCTGGGACTACAGGCGCATGCCACCACACCTAATTTTGTGTTTTTTGTAGAGATGGGGTTTTGCTATGTTGCCCAAGCTGGTCTTGAACCTCTGGGCTCAAGTGATCTGCCCACCTCGCCCGGCCAAAGTGCTGGGATTACGGGTGTGAGCCACCGCGCCTGGCCAGCCATCATGTTTAATGGAGTGCTTGGTATTTTGTATTCACCTTTGAGAATTAGAGCAGTACTTGATCAAGGATTGGATCAAAGGTTGGATAATAGATTGGAGTGCTAGGTGTACTTTTTTTTTTTTTTTGAGACATAGTGTCTCTGTCATCCAGACTGCAGTGCAGTGGTGCCATCTCAGCTCATTGCAACCTCTGTCTCCCAGGTTAAAGTGATGCTCGTGCCTTAGCTTCCCGAGGAGCTAGGATTACAGGCGTGTGCCACCACGCCTGGCTAATTTTTGTATTTTTAGTAGAGATAGGGCTTTGCCATGCTAGGCTGGTCTCGAAATCCTGACCTCAGGTGATCCACCTGCCTCAGCCTCCCAAAGTGCTGGGATTACAGGCATGAGCCACTGCCCCCAGCCATAATTTTGTTTTTAGAAAATGTTTCCCTATAGAATTTTCTAAAATGCGGGAGGAAACCATGCTCTGTCCATACTGCTTCATACCTACAAGTGTTAGATTTGCTCGTACTTTTTTTTTTTTTTTTTTTTTTTTTTGAGACAGGGTCTTGCTCTGTTGCCCAGGCTGGAGTGCAGTGGCACAACCTTGGCTTACTGCAACCTCCACCTCCCAGGTTTGGGCGATTCTCCCACCTCAGCCTCCCAGGTAGCTGGGACTACAAGCATGTGCCACCACGCCCAGCTAATTTTTTTTTTTTTTTTTTTTTTAGTAGAGATTGGATTTCACTGTGTTGGCCAGGCTGGTCTCGAACTCCTGACCTCAAGCGATCCACCTCCTTGGCTTCCCAGAGCGCTGGGATTTGCTCATGCTTTATAGATCTCAGGAGCAGGTCAAAGTATGAAGCATATTACATAAAGTGCTGAGGTTGCATCTCTCTGGCAATATTAACTAAATGCTCTGGGCAGACCTTTTTCAACAGGTGTGAGGTATAGGTTTGGTGTGTTTTTCGTCAGTTTTCCTAGATGAAAATTTATGTAGATTTTACTAACAAGCATTGGATTCTGTTGATAGATTAATGTTCTTCATAAACCACCATATGAACATCCAAAAGACTTGAAGCTCAGTGATGGTCGGCTGCGTGTAGGATATGTGAGTTCCGACTTTGGGAATCATCCTACTTCTCACCTTATGCAGTCTATTCCAGGCATGCACAATCCTGATAAATTTGAGGTAAGACTAGTGTTTCTCTAGAATCACTATTTGTTTAAAAAAGAAAAAACCCACAATGTTGGCTTGTCACCATGAGGCATGGAAACCTAGTGTCTTTTGGAAAGATTTGAGCCAGAAAGATTTGAGCCAATGTTATTAAATATGCCATGTGCTGCCTTTCAGGTGTTCTGTTATGCCCTGAGCCCAGACGATGGCACAAACTTCCGAGTGAAGGTGATGGCAGAAGCCAATCATTTCATTGATCTTTCTCAGGTAGATGAAACTCTCATACTTTAACTTTTTATTTTGAGCAAGTTTAAATAAAACTATTAGCATATAGTTTATTTTTGATGATAAGTATTAAATGCTGTAGTACCACATATAGGCAATTGTGTTGATCTTATTTCCTTGATCATTTGTGTTAATCAGCATGGCTTTTTCCGAGGTTGCAAATGAAACTGAAATGTGTTATGCTTGTGCTTGGACATACAACTTTTCTGGAGATTGAGCCAGCACTTGTGACAGAAGATACTTAATAAATATTGACAAAATGGTGACTTGGGAGAAGAATAAATAGGTCTTTTAAAGAAAATAGGGCCGGGTGTGGTGACTCATGCCTGTAATCCCAGCACTTTGGGAGGTCGAGGCGGGCAGATCATGAGGTCAGGAGATGAGACCATCTTGACTAACATGGTGAAACCCCGTCTCTACTAAAATACAAAAAATTAGCTGGGTGTGGTGGTGCATTCCTGTAATCCCCGCTACTTGGGAGGCTGAGGCAGGGGAATCGCTTGAACCCGGGAGGCGGAGGTTGCAGTAAGCTGAGATCGCACCACTGCACTCCAGCCTGGCAAGAGCAAGACTCTGTCTCAAAAAAAAAAAAAAAAAAAGAAAAAATAGATGAACTATGGTTCATCAGTTTCCATGGGCCTTTGCCTTTGGTTATCTTTATTTCTGTACTTGTTCTATTGTTGTATCCTCTAGGAGAGTAAGTTTTATGATAAATTAAGATTGAAACCTATGGGGGAATTAATTTGCTGAGTATGTAGGCTACAGTGTTTTCTTTGTAGACTCTATTAGCCACTTTGACTAATAGAGATAATATACTCTTTATATGTGTGTGTACACACATGTATGTATGTACATACACATGCAGGTATGATATGTATGCATATATGTATAAATATACATGTGTATGTGTATATATATATGAATCACTGAAGTCCTAGCAGAAAGGTTTTGAGACTTCTCATTTAATAAATAGTATGTACTAACAAATTTTGCAGTATAGCTGTTGCTTCAAAAGTATACCTGGCCATTTTTGATACACAGTTGGACTCTTTGTGACCAAGAAGCATACCTCTTTCTACCTCTGAGACCTTTAGGGACTCACTGCTGATTGATTGCAGTCTAAACTCTTCAGCATAGCTTTTGTAACCTTTCTCTGTTTGCCACAACTTTGTCAATACTTTAACTCACCATTCAACATCTTGTATACCCTATACTAAATAGAAGTGAATTACTCACCCTTTTTTTTTTTGAGATGGAGTTTTGCTCTTGTCGCCCAGGGTGGAATGCAGTGGCACGATCTCGGCTCACTGCAATCTTTGCCTCCCAGGTTCAAGCGATTCTCTTGCCTCAGCCTCCCGAGTAGCTGGGATTACAGGCGCCTGCCACCACACCCGGCTAATTTTTGTATTTTTAGTAGAGACGGGGTCTCACCACATTGGCCAGGCTGGTCTCGAACTCCTGACCTCAGGTGATCCACCTGCCTCGGCCTCCCAAAGGGCTGGGATTACAGATGTGAGCCACCATGCCCGGCCTACTCACCATTTTCTAAACTCCCTCACACTTTACTCTAGTTCTTCATTCATACTGTTCTCTACTGAGATTGTATTCTGTTAAACTCCTTCAAACTCCTATTCGTCTTTGAAGACCTATTTTCAAATACCAATTCTAGGCTGGGTGCTGTGGCTCACGTGTATAATCCTTTGGGAGGCTGAGGTGGAAGGATTGCTTGAGACCATCATGGGCAACATAGTGAGACCCCATCCCTACCAAAAAAAAAAAAAAGATTACAAATTTCAAATACCAATTTCTCTGTGATATGTTGTTATTCATACATTCAATCCAGAAGTGAACTCTCCTTCCTTTGTGTTCTGTTTCTTTAATGCTTTGGGCCCATTTTAATGACAGTCAACCATATTTGTGCCCGAATTAATGTAGTTAATTTGTGTTCTTACCTCTTTTCCATCTGGGAATCTGAATTATGTTAAATGCCATTAAAACTAAATGCCATTAAAACTAAATGTCATTAAAACTAATTGATCTGAGATTATACATAGTGAGTTCTTATTTTGTATTCTGTAGATTCCATGCAATGGAAAAGCAGCTGATCGCATCCATCAGGATGGAATTCATATCCTTGTAAATATGAATGGCTATACTAAGGGCGCTCGAAATGAGCTTTTTGCTCTCAGGCCAGCTCCTATTCAGGTAAACAAATTAACAGTCATCACTTATAACATGTATTTGGCTAAGAATACAGTGAGGTGCTGCTTTTCCTCCCTCTGGTTAACTGATATTTGAAACTGTAGGGCAGACATACTTTTAATTTTTTTAAGTTGTTGAAATGCACAGGACAAAAAGAGTGTAGAGCACAGTGCTTATAGGTACATGTATATAGAGACATGCAATTCATGGTTGGCTATGAACAGTTACTCTGTCTTGCAAATTTGAAGAACATTTTAGCATTTTGAAAGTTAGTCTGAAATACAGGCCGGGTATGGTGGCTCACGCCTGTAATCCCAGCACTTTGGGATGCTTAGGCAGGAGGATCTCTTGAAACCAGGAGTTTGAGTCCTGCCTGGGCAACAAAGCAAAACACCCTATCTCTACAAAAAATTAAAAAATTAGCCAGAGTGGTGGTGTGCCTCTGTGATCCCAGCTATTTGGGAGGCTAAGGTGGAAGGATTGCTTAAGCTTAGGAGTTTGAGGCTGCAGTGAACTATCACTATGCCACTGCACTCCAGCCCAGGTGACAGAGTAAGAGTCTCTCTTATAGAACTGCTTCATTGCTTTCGGCTAAAGAAGTCAGCCTTGCTGTGCGTGTGGCAAGTGCCTGTAATCCTGGCTACTCTGGAGGCTGAGGCAGAAGGATTGCTTGAGCCCAGGAGTTTGAGGCTGTAGTGATCTACGATTGCACCACTGTATTCCAGCCTAGGGAACAGAGTGAGATCCTGTCTCTAAAAAAGAGTTAGACCTCCTTGTTTATTTACTTATTTAATTTTGGCACCTTTAGGTTCTTTTTTTAAAAACCACTTTATTGAGGTACAGTTGACATACAAAAAGTTGTACATATTTAATGTATGTGACTTGATGAATTTAGAGGTAAGTGTACTGATAAAAGTTCTTAATCAGTTTTTGATCTGATTTTTTTAAGGCAATGTGGCTGGGATACCCTGGGACGAGTGGTGCGCTTTTCATGGATTATATTATCACTGATCAGGAAACTTCGCCAGCTGAAGTTGCTGAGCAGTATTCCGAGAAATTGGCTTATATGCCCCACACTTTTTTTATTGGTGATCATGCTAATATGTTCCCTCACCTGAAGGTAGGTATGAAACAGTGCTATGGACGAATTTCAAAGAACTGTAGCTTTTTATTTCCTTGCTATTGTCTATGTAAATCCTAAAAGACATGTCTGAAACTATTTTTTCCATTAGAAAAAAGCAGTCATCGATTTTAAGTCCAATGGGCACATTTATGACAATCGGATAGTTCTGAATGGCATCGACCTCAAAGCATTTCTTGATAGTCTACCAGATGTGAAAATTGTCAAGGTCAGAACCTAGTCAGTATTGTCATTGAAATAAAGTTAACTGCATTCACGATCTTTTCCCTAATGATGCATTTTTTTTTCAGATGAAGTGTCCTGATGGAGGAGACAATGCAGATAGCAGTAACACAGCTCTTAATATGCCTGTTATTCCTATGAATACTATTGCAGAAGCAGTTATTGAAATGATTAACCGAGGACAGATTCAAATAACAATTAATGGATTCAGTATTAGCAATGGACTGGCAACTACTCAGGTGAGAAGATAATAATACACCATTATATGTCCCGCCAAGTATGCATTTATTTCCCTTAACCTCATGATAACTCTAGGAGGCAAGTATCATTATCACCATTTTTATGGATGAGGAAATGAGTTTAGTGGAAACGTGCATCTTATATAGGTGTGTCTGATTTTAAAAGTCTCCTGGATTCAGCCAGCAGATTATTACTTACTGAGAAACTGCTGTGTTAATATCTTGTTATTCCCTGCCTGTGGCTTTACTCTCTTACATGATGAACTATGTGTAGATTCCATACAGTTTCTTGCTTCTGTAAACCCATCCTTTCCCTAGCTAAATCCTACTCAAACGTTCAGTTCAGACAGCTCTTCCAGGAATCCATTTCCGTACTTACCGCTAACGTCTCCATCCCTACTTCATTGGTACCTGTCTTTTATACCTCTGTAATGTTTGGAATATATCATTACATACAGCACAACAGATGATAATTCCCTGTGTTTGTATCCTCTACTGAATTGAATTACTGAGCCCATGTCTTAATCACAGTAATGTAGTATGTACTCAATAAATAATATATTGCATGCTTAAATAAGTAGCTCTATCAAGAGAGTGTAAGGCAAAGATCTCTGACCTCTAGAGGTCATAGATGTCCTTGCACACCTGGAATAGTTATATAACAATGTAAGGCAGTACTCAAATGTGTGAGAATTACAAGATGAAACTAATTATGTATGTAGAAGCTCAGAAACGGTGAGGATCAATGTGAAGAGAGACACTCTTGGGAGAAGAGACCATTTGGAGGAGTAATTTAGCCTTGAAGAGTAGATGTGATTTAGAAAAGGACATTTCATTCATGAAGAAAAGAGTGATCAAAAGCTGTTGGAACGTTAATAGGATTTTGAGACCTTTTTTGGTTAGAGCAAGAAGTTTCATAGTGCAGTCTCCCCCAACTTAAGATAATGCTGCAACGGTTTGCCTTTTCTTAAACTTCATATATCATGAATATTTTCTCATGGTTCAGTGACTTTTAATGGTTATACCATTTTGGATCTTATGGATTGAAATATTGGACTCCTTTTGCCTTTAAATATAACCATCATTTTTTTCTTGTTCTAGATCAACAATAAGGCTGCAACTGGAGAGGAGGTTCCCCGTACCATTATTGTAACCACCCGTTCTCAGTACGGGTTACCAGAAGATGCCATCGTATACTGTAACTTTAATCAGTTGTATAAAATTGACCCTTCTACTTTGCAGATGTGGGCAAACGTGAGTATGCAAGTATGTTAGAGACTAATAAAGATTTTGTATCTAGAGCTTCTTGCTGAAGATGGTCCTTCCACTCCCATTTAGGAGCTGTTCTGCTCATTTCTTTTTAAAATTTTTTTTTGGCTGGGTGCAGTGGCTCACGCCTGTAATCCCAGCACTTTGGGAGGCTGATGCGGGTGGATCACCTGAGGTCAGGAGCTTGAGACCAGCCTGACCAACATTGCAAAACCCCGTCTCTATTAAAAATACCAAAAAATTAGCCGGACATGGTGGTAGGCACCTGTAATCCCAGCTACTCGGGAGGCTGAGACAGGAGAATCACTTGAACCCGGGAGGTGGAGGTTGCAGTGAGCCAAGATCGTGC
This sequence comes from Homo sapiens, assembly GCF_000001405.40. Taxonomy (NCBI): domain Eukaryota; kingdom Metazoa; phylum Chordata; class Mammalia; order Primates; family Hominidae; genus Homo; species Homo sapiens. Next base: position 71,565,118 of record NC_000023.11, read on the forward strand.
CATTGCACTCCAGACTGGGCAACAAGAGCAAACCTCCATCTCAAAAAAATTTTTTTTAAAAATACTTTTTAAAAAATTTATTTTATTTATTTACATGTGACTCAACTGGGTTATGCCCTTTTTTTAAAAAACAGAATCTCACTCTGTTGTTCGGGCTGCAGTGTAGTGGTGTGATCTTGGCTCATGGCAACCTTTGCATCCCAGGTTCGAGTTATTCTTGTGCCTCAGCCTTCCAAGTAGCTGGGATTACAGGCATGTGCCACCATGTCTGGGTAATTTTTTTTTGTATTTTTAGTAGACGGGGTTTCACCATGTTGGCTAGGCTGGCCTCCAACTCCTGGCCTCAAGAGATCTGCCCGCCTTGGCCTCCCAAAATGCTAGGATGACATGTGTGAGCCACCGCACCTGGCCTTGTGCTCATTTATAATCTTCAAGAGATGTAGATTTTTCAGGCATTTTTGGTTTCTCCTTCCAGTGTCTAAATATGACATTGTGAACCTTTTAAATTTACATATTCAAAGCATTCTTCTGTCTAAAGGGTCAGCAAACTTTTTCTTAAAGGGCCAGATGGTAAATATTTTCAGTTTTGTGGTCCATGCTGTTTCACGTCTACTCAGCTTTGCCGTTGTAGCACGAAAATAACCATAGGCATTTTGTAAATGATGAGTGTGGCTGTGTTCCAATAAAATTTTATTTATACGAACTGGCAGTATGCCAGATTTGGCTCACAGGCTGTGTAGTTCGCCAACTCCTGGTCTAAACTGATAGCATATGCTGTCATGTACATCCACCCATTTTTAACATTCTTGTAGTATTGTAGAGTTATAACCAAGAAGGAGTCGATCTGTACATATGATTATCTCTCAGTTCATCAGACAAGTTTGCATAAGTGGGATATCGGATAGCTATAACTGGCTCTTAATCCATAGAACTAAAATAAAATGGCATGTTTTACCTTTAGGTAATCTGGAGATAATTCCTTGGTTAATTTTTTCCCCGATATCTGTTTTGTTTTATGTTTAGAGGAGAGGGGAGGATAGAAGAGAAGAGGAAGCAGATGAGTACAGGTCTACTGTCCTTAATCCTTACTTCCTGATGTTCACAAAAACTCTGAAAATCAAAAGCTTTTTCATAAGTGTGTGGCAAATTTGTTTGGCAGCAAAACTACCTGAACTAACATTAGGGTATATATTAGTCCGTTTTCATGCTGCTATAAAGGACTGCCCGAGACTGGGTAATTTATAAAGGAAAGAGGTTTAATTGACTCACAGTTCCGCGTGGCTATGGAGGCCTCAGGAAACTTAGAGTTACGGCGGAAAAGGGAGCAAACATGTCCTTCTTCGCGTGATGGCAGGAAGAAGGGCTGAGCCAAAGCGGGGAAAGCCCCTTATAAAGCCATCCGATCTTGTGAGAACTCACTCTCTATCACAAGAACAGCAGCATTGGAAATAACTGTCCATGATTCAATTACCTACCACTGGGTCCCTCCCATGACACATGGGGCTTATGGGAACTGCAGTTCAAGAAGAGAGATTTGGGTGGGGGACACAGTCAAACTATGTCAGGGTATTTGTAGTCTTTTATTTATTTCATTTAGTATGACTGTTCCTGCATCTCAATGCAGAGGTACTAATATGTTTATAGGAAGTTGCTGCTGAGGGTGTTAATGTGATACATACACACACAGTACTACTTTTTTAAAATCTGAAATATTCTGAATTTGGAAATTCATCTGTTCTCATAGCTTTCAGAGAAAGGGATTTTGAACTTACATGGTACATAGAGTAGATGTAAATCTAAATCAGGAGTTGGCAAACTATGACCTGTGGGTCAAATCCAGCCCACTGCTTGTTTTTGTAAATAAAACTTAATGGACACATAGCTATGCCTACTTGTTTACACATTGTCTGTGGCTGCTTTCAAGCTACAGCAGAAGAACTGAGCAGCTATGACAGTCCATGTGGCCACAGAACCAAAAATATTTGCTATCTGGCCCTTTACAGAAAAGACCGATTTATATTAGGCAAAGAAAGTTAGGCAAGTGTGAGGTAACTTTCTTGGTTGTATCATAGTGGGGGATTTGAAATTTGGAATGCAAAATTCCTCTCTCAGCAAAACCCACTGCCTGTGTCAATTCCCGCAGGAGGTAGCTGCCTCAGATTTTGCCTGTCTTTCTTTGAACTCACTTTGAGGACAGCTAAGCAGAAGAGGGATAATTCAATTGATCTCATTCATCTCTGTGAAGGAAAGACTTAAGTCCACAGCAGGCTTCTATCTGGATGGAAAGAATAGAGTGTGGTAGAATTATTAGAGACCTCTGGGAGTCTTTGTTGAAAAAGGCAGATCTGCTATTAATAATTATTCTTATTTTCCCTATTTTAGATTCTGAAGCGTGTTCCCAATAGTGTACTCTGGCTGTTGCGTTTTCCAGCAGTAGGAGAACCTAATATTCAACAGTATGCACAAAACATGGGCCTGCCCCAGAACCGTATCATTTTTTCACCTGTTGCTCCTAAAGAGGAACACGTCAGGAGAGGCCAGCTGGCTGATGTCTGCTTGGACACTCCACTCTGTAATGGGCACACCACAGGGATGGATGTCCTCTGGGCAGGGACCCCCATGGTGACTATGCCAGGTAAGTTGCTGATAAATCACTGGAATCTTCCTTGTTCCTTTGAAAATCTCCGTTTGGGGGAGAAACTTCCAGGTGAAATTATATGTACTAGGAGCAACATTAAAGGAAAGGTGATAGAAAGTGAGACTTGTTCTCACTTCATTCTCTTCATCTGCGTTGTGTGGAGGCTTAACATAAATAACATTAACTCTGTGCTGTTTTACGTTCTCAGATGTGCAGTTGTTATCTTTTGTATTACAGGAGAGACTCTTGCTTCTCGAGTTGCAGCATCCCAGCTCACTTGCTTAGGTTGTCTTGAGCTTATTGCTAAAAACAGACAAGAATATGAAGACATAGCTGTGAAGCTGGGAACTGATCTAGAATAGTAAGTAAACTTTTCCTTGAACAAATTATTTGGTAAAGTAGAGAGAATATAGCTGTTATAAAATGAAACCATAAAATAAGTGTAATATAAAATAGGTGAACTAGTTGTATGCCCTCTGGATGGGAGAAGTACTTCTAAACTCTTAGAAATGAAGTGATCAATAGGTTTTACTATGTAAAAAGTAAATGGCTGAATAAAAAATATTCAAGAAAATTAAAAAGCAAACGAGGGGAAAAAATCTTTTGTCTCAGATAACAAAGTATTAATTACCTGGCAATGTAAAGACTGCAGAACATTTAAATTTTATAATCCCCTAATAGGAAAGTAAAAATGGAAATGACCAGACACCTCACTGAAGTGGAAATACAAAAGGTTAACAAGAAAGTGTTTCAGGCTCTGTAGTAGAAATGCCAATTAAAATGGAATTGAGGCTGGGTGTGGTGGCTTATGCCTGTAATCTCAGCACTTTGGGAGGCTTAGGCGGGCGGATCACTTGAGATCAGGAGTTCGAGACCAGCCTGGCCAACATGGTGAAACCCTGTTTCTACTAAAAATACAAAAATTAGTTGGGTGTGGTGGCATGTGCCTGTAGTCCCAGCTACTCAGGAGGCTGAGGCAGGAGAATCGCTTGAACCCGGGAGGCAGAGGTTGCAGTGAGCCGAGATCGCACCATTGCACTCCAGCCTGGGTGACATAGTGAGACTCTATCTCAAAAACAAAAACAAAAACAAAAACAAACAAACAAAAAAAAAACCAAACAAACAAAAAAAACCAAAAAAAGAACCTGAGGTATATCCATTATTTGCCTATACAATAAAAAGATTTTTTGTATCAGTGAGGTAGCATTGAGGACTAGCCTTTTTATGCATTGGTGAATAAATTGGTACAGCCCTTCCTCAGAGTTTTTAGAGCCTTAAAAGTTAGATCTTTGGGCCAGGTGCGGTGGCTCACGCCTGTAATCCCAGCACTTTGGGAGGGCGAGGTGGGCGGATCACGAGGTCAGGAGATGGAGACCATCCTGGCTAACACGGTGAAACCCCCCTCTACTAAAAATACAAAAAATTAGCCAGGCATGGTGGCGGGCGTCTGTAGTCCCAGCTACTTGGGAGGCTGAGGCAGGAGAATGGCATGAGCCCAGGAGACGGAGCTTGCAGTGAGCTGAGATTGCGTCACTGCACTCCAGCCTGGGCAACAGAGCGAGACTCTGTCTCAAAAGAAAAAGTTAGATCTTTGACCCTAATACTGTCACTTCTTCACTACGGTCGGTGTAAGAAATAAACAAAGCATAACTTAAATGCCTGAAAATGAGTAGGAATTAGAGGGGTGATGCTTAGATGAGGAGGATTTATCCATACAATAAACTAGTATTTCTTTCATTCTTTTATTTTTTTTGAGATAGGATTTTACTCTGTTGCCTAGGTTGGAATGCAGTGGGGTGATCTTGGCTCACTGCAGCCTCCACGTCCTGGGCTCAGGTGATCCTCCCACCTCAGCCACCTGAGTAGCAGGGACCATAGGACTATAGGTACATGCCACCATGTCCCATGCCTGGCTAATTTTTAAATTTTTTTGTAGAGATTAAGTTTCAATATGTTGCCCAGGCTGGATATTTCTTTTTTCTTTTCCTTTTTTTTTTCTGGACGGAGTCTCGCTCTGTCGCCCAGGCTGGAGTGCAGTGGCGCGATCTCGGCTCACTGCAACCTCCACCTCCCGGGTTCAAGCAATTCTCCTGCTTCAGCCTCCCGAGTAGCTGGGACTACAGGTGCACGCCACCACGCCCGGCTAATTTTTGTATTTTTAGTAGAGACGGGGTTTCACCATGTTGGCCAGGCTGGTCTTGAACTCCTGACCTCGTGATCCACCCACCTTGGCCTCCCAAAGTGCTGCGATTACAGGAGTGAGCCACTGTGCCTGGCGTTTTTTTTTTTTTTTTTTTTTTTTTTGGAGACAGCCTCGCACTGTTGCCCGGGCTGAAGTGCAATGGCACGATCTCGGCTCACTGCAACCTCTGCCTCCCGGGTTCAAGCGATTCTCCTGCCTCAGCCTCCTGAGTAGCTGGGATTACAGGCATCCACCACCACATCCAGCTAATTTTTGTATTTTTAGTGGAGGCTGGATTTCACTATGCTGGCCAGGCTGGTCTCGAACTCCTGACCTCGTGATCCACCCACCTTGGCCTCCCAAAGTGCTGGGATTACAGGCATAAGCCACCGTGCCTGACGGGTATTTCTTAAATGAGGTTTTTCTTTCGGTATAATGGGTGATGTTTTTTCTTTGTGTTTTTCTGAGAAGTAGCATATTACATAATAATTAAAGAAACATACTTTTTGAGTCAGACTACCTGAGTGAACCCAAGCTCTCCTACTTATGAGTTTTGAGACTTTGGGCAAATAAATCTCTGTGTTGTGCCTTGGTTTCTTCTTCTGCAAAATGGAGCATAATGCTAGTGCCTACTTTGCAGAGATGATGTGAGGATTAAAAAAGGCATTCCATGTAAAGTACTTAGAATAGTTGTTGGTATCTGGTAAACATTCAGCAGATGTTAGCTACTTATTATTTTCAGAATTTCCTCCATAGAACATCACATACGTCTAAGAAAAGTGAGAAATTTGAACCCAGGCATTAAAAAAAAAATAAGATTCATGTCCATTAGCCCAGAGATAACTATAGTAAAAAATGTAGTGCGTTTTATTTTCAGACAGGGTCTCACTCTGTTAACTCAGGCTGGAGTGCAGTGGCATGATCACGGCTCACTGCAACCTCTGCCTCCTGGGATCGAGTGATCCTCCCACCTTAGCCTTCCAGTAGCTGGGACTACAGGCACATGCCACCATGCCTGGCTTTTTTTTTTTTTTAATTTAATATTTTGTGGAGACAGGGTCTCACCAATATTGCCCAGGCTGGTAACTCCTGGGCCCAAGCAGTCCACCCACCTCGGCCTCCCAAAGTGGCGGGATTACAGGCGCGTGAGACACTGCACCCAGCCTGTGGTGCATTTTAAAATTTTTATTAGACTCTTTGGTACTTAGTTTGGTTCATACAATGCTTTTCCTCAACATTTTTGTTCTCAAAATTTTTAATTTTATAATAAACACATCTATACCTACTGCTTAGAATCTACCATTAGCATTTTACTATTCTTGCTTTATTACATATCTATTCATCCATTTATTCCCTTTATTCATCTGCCAATCCATCTTATTGGACACATTTTGAAATAAATTGCAGACATCAGTACACTTCTCCTTAAATACTTAAGATTGGCTGTCATTAACTGGAGTTCAGTACACATATATTTTTTTGAGGTAGGGTCTCCCTCTGTTTCCCAGGCTGGAGTACAGTGATACGATCTCCGCTCACTGCAACTTCCGCCTCCCGGGCTCAAGCAGTCTTCCCCTCAAACTCCTGAATAGCTGGAAATACAAGCATGAGCCACCACACCTAGCTAATTTTTGTATTTTTAGTAGAGGCAGGGTTTTGGCAGGTTGCCCAGGCTGGTCTCAAACTCCTGACCTCAAGTGATCCACCTGCCTTGGCCTCCTGAAGTGTTGGGATTACAGGCGTGAGCCACTGCGCCTGGCCATTTTTTTCTTTTGAGGCGGAAGTTATATACAGTGAAATACACAAATATTCAGTGAGTTTTGAGAAATAACCCTTTTTTTTTTCGTTTTGAAACGGAGTCTTGCTCTGTCGCCCAAGTTGGAGTGCAGTGGTGTGATCTTGGCTCACTGCAGCCTCTGCCTCCTGGGTTCAAGCGATTCTCCTGCCTCAGCCTCTTGAGTAGCTGGGACTACAGGCACGTACCACCACACCCGGCTAATTTTTCATATTTTTAGTAGAGATGGGGTTTCACCGTGTTAGCCAGGATGGTCTTGATCTCCTGACCTTGTGATCCACCTGCCTCGGCCTCCCAAAGTGCTGGGATTACAGGTGTGAGCCACAGTGCCCAACCGAGAAATACCTTTGTAACCCAAATTCCTATGAAGACAAAAAACATTATCACTCCAGAGAGTTTCTTCATGCTCCTTATCAGTCAGTCTTTTTCACCAACCCCCAGAGACAACCACTGTTCTGGAGGGTTTTTTTCCCTTCCATAAATTAGTTTTGCTTTTCTAGAATTTTATCCAAATGGAACTATGTCAATATGCACTCTAAAGGCTTCTTTCATCAAGTTTATTTCTTTTGCTGAGTAGTATTTCACTGTATGAATGCACTACAGTTTATTTTCCTATTGGCATAGAATTTTAAAAAAATAGAGTGCACAGGTCTTTCTCTTTGGAGGGTAGCATTAATATGGACATGGTTGTATTGAGACCAACAGATATGCACAACCATTTTACTGCTTCTGTCACAACAAACATTAAAACAAAGTTGGGCGTGGTGGCGCATGCCTATAATCCCGGCGCTTTAAGAGGCTGAGGGAGGAGGATTGCTTGAGCCCAGGAGTTCGAGACCAGCCTGGACAACATGGCGAGACCCCATCTCTACAAAAAATACAAAAATAGCTGAGTGTGGTGATGCGTGCCTGTAGTCTCAGCTTCCCGGGAGGCTGGGGCAGGAGGATTGCTTGAGCTAAGGAGGTTCAGTCTGCAGTGAGCCATCATCGTTCCATTGCACTCCAGCCTGGGCAACAGAGTGAGACTCTATTTCAAAAATTAAAAGAAAATAAATAAAAATTATTGCTTTTAAAAATGCACAGAAATGTTCTGGCTTCTGGTTCTAAAGTATTTATCCCTTCATCTAAGAATAATCTCATGAAAAATATATTCAAAAGGGAAGTAGAAATCTTTTCCCCTGTGTTTCCTGAAGAATCAATTACTTCTTTTTTATTTTTCTGAACAGAACCATACTCTTGGTGATATTAGCAATTTTTAAAAATCTGAACTCAGTTCAGGTACAAGTGGAAAATTACGAGAGTAGACTTATTGTATTTCTTTTCCCCTTGAGTGGTTTTCTGTTTCATCAAAATGACCATAAATCGAATACTTCATCTTATGTTTATGCTTTAACTTTTGTAAATGATGCTTCAATGAATATCTTTGCATGGTCCTGTATGTTTTTGCATCTGATTATTTCTTTTTAATAGATTTTAAAGTGTTACTGTTAGGCCAGAGGGTTATGAACATTTAAGGTTAATACATACTTGCTAAATTGCTTACCAAAAAGGTAAGCAACAGTACATAGGAATAGTCATGTGCCGTTGTCAATTCTTGTTATTTTAAAGGTAGAAACAAGACGAAATGGAGAACGCGTGGTATCCCTTGGATATACTTGTTTAGGAAAGAACTAAGTTTTTTCAGAGTATATGGAGTTGAGCTCATTTCAGTGTTAGCATTATGCAAGATGTGACCCTTCCCTTTTTAGCACGAAGCCAATCAAGAAATGAGATAGCGTAGAGTTTGGTCATGCATTTTTTGCCACAAATGCGACTAGGTATTTATAGGGTGTGTTTCTGAGTTTCTGCTCTGATTTGTAAACTGGGTTCTTGTTTTTTATTACCCAGCCTGAAGAAAGTTCGTGGCAAAGTCTGGAAGCAAAGAATATCTAGCCCTCTGTTCAACACCAAACAATACACAATGGAACTAGAGCGGCTCTATCTACAGATGTGGGAGCATTATGCAGCTGGCAACAAACCTGACCACATGATTAAGCCTGTTGAAGTCACTGAGTCAGCATAAATAAAGACTGCACAGGAGAATTACCCCTATACCTGAGCCTCAACCTTCTGGGGGAAAGGGAACTAGATAACATACTTCTTACTTGTCTGTACAGTACCTTGTTGCAGATGGGTGATATATAATGGTAATAGAATAGCACAGCCAGACTTGCTTCCTGCATGGTAGGGAGAGACACAAAAGATGGGAAACTGCTTTTCCACAAGGAATCTCCGTAGAATTTTGCGGCGACCAGATGGTGCATAGGTCTGGAAGGTCTGATCTCCCTTGGTCTTCCATGGGATGGTTAGTGTGGAGGGGAGATATAGATTGTCCGGCCGCTTTGTGATTCCATGGATTGATTCAGTCTTCTGGATTTTTTTTTCTTTATATTTTGGGTACTGGAGCTTTTAAAAATGTTTGGTTTCAGGTATTTTTATTCATGTGAAGTGTATATGATTCTCTTGAGATAAGGTTTTAAGCTAAAATGTTACTCCCTGTTTTAGTTTCTGAACTCTGACAGATTGACAGGGACTTTGCTGGTGTAGTCTTTTTATAGGTTTTATAAACCACTTGAGCCTATATCAGTCGTTTTAGTGTCTGACCTAATATTTGGAGCTATCAGTGCTTTGTTGATTTAGATGATGACTCAAGATTTTTTCTGGTCCATTTCCCATTTCCTTTTCTTCCCTGACCCCCATACCCTCACCCTTAAAATTCTCCTGTAACTCAACTAACAAAATCAAGCCTGATTCAAAACATCCTAGGGTGTTTTAAACACACCATCTGGTGCCAAATGAAGATTTTTAGGAGTGATTACTAATTATCAAGGGCACAGTTGTGGTACTGTCATTGATAATAATATAGTTTTTTTTTTTTTCCTAATTTTGACCTGTTTCACCAGTGTTTTACCCTTGACTGCCCCTTCTATGCTGCTTCCAAAAGTGATAGTGTGTGTAAGATTTTTACCTTCCTTTCTAAAGTTTTTTTTTTTTTTTTTTAAGTGAGTCCTGTTCTTCCTATTTCTTTCAGCAGAAATGAAATCCCAGGTAAGTATAAGTATTCAAGTATTTGATCAGTAAGTCACAGTTATCTCCAGTGCATTAAATAACCTTCATCAAGAAATAGGTTATAGGTAAAATCTCTGAAGGATCATCTATGTATTCAAGTAATTATTTTTTAGATAATAACTGTCTTCTGGACTTGGTCTTGAAGTCTGTACAGATTCAGCCTCAGTAGTAGCGAACTGCACTGCTGTTTGGTTTGGAGTACAAATTAGACTTATAGTCCTCCTGGAACTTGAGTTATTAAAATCATAGGAATAAAATTATGGGATCTCAACAAAGGGTCGAGGGTTTGAGGCTTAAACAAGCCAACATATGAATATATGTTTTGTCTCGCTATACTGCACTTACGCTATCCAGTTGCAGGTAATTTTTTGTCTGCTAGTAGTGTTCTAGATTATGTCTTTCCAAAGCGCTGAGGCTGTGCACCTATTCTGTAGTTGCAGCTGATGCCTGAATGTATCCTAGCTGACAAATTATTGATTAATAAGAACTTGAATTTCTGGAAGATTCTTACTGTTAACCAAATTTTGAGCAAGGAGTCTCAAAGGTAATTCTGAACCAGAATTACATGTTAATGAACAGTGTACCTTTTAACAGTGTAAATCACGGAATATCCGTGAAGGGATTTCTTAATTTATTTTTTACCGGTTGATTGAAATATCAGTTAAAGGTTGCCAGCATGGTTGCAGATAAACTGATGTTTGAAATTCGCTGAAATACTTAATGTGGAATAGGATAATATACTTCCAATGCCCTCAAGGCTGTGACCTTACAGCCATTTTACATAGCACATCATTCCTCCTATAGGGATGAACTTTTTCCTGGCACGAAAAGTAGCCGCTCTGGTTGAAGCTTTGCTTATTGTAACAGGCTTTTATTTCCAGGTAATATGTCTTGGAAGACTTAATTCTGATTAGAGATATAGATATTACTGGAAACTAATTGTTTTTTTTCTATTGTACTCTGCTTTATCAAAGAAGTAAAACATTTAAATCGTACTACAGAAATTAAGATGTTGTCTTGCGATCCTTAATAAATGAATGATTTCCCTTTAATACGGCTGATGTATTTTGTATCCTGTTATATTGAGTGTTGGACTGAAGAATAGTGTCATCCAATGATGAAACCTATATTTAAACACCTCCAAACAGCATGAAAGGACCAAATTTCCCTACTGTAGCTATGATATTAGGAATTGTTTTCTCAGCCAGGTCTGGTAGAGGGTGGGGTTAGTTTATGATCCATTAAGAAGGCAAAGTGGCCTTGTGTGGTGGCTCACGCCTGTAACCCCAGCACTTTGGGAGGCGGAGGCAGGTGGATCACTTGAGGTCAGGAGTTCAAGACCAGCCTGGCTAACATGGTGAAACCCTGTCTCTACTAAAAATACAAAAAAACTAGCCGGGAGTGGTGGCACACGCTTGTAATCCCAACTACATGCGAGGCTGAGACAGGAGAATCGCTTGAACCCGGGAGGCAGAGGTTGCAGTGAGCTGAGATCGTGCCATTGCATTCCAGCCTGGACAACAGAGTGAGATGTCATCTCAAAAAAAAAAAAAGACAAAGCCTGTGATCCCCAACACACCCATTCATGCTTGCTCCTCTTTTGCTTGTGACCTCTCTGCTTTCATTTACCCTTGTAGTCTCGGTTTTCATGTGGACCATTCTTTTCTTGGCTCTTGGGGGCAAAATTATTTTCCTTCCTGCTCTGTATAGTGGTCGAACTCTGCCACAAGCATCAGGGAGGAAGATATCAATTCATGATTGATATCATGAATTGATATCATGGCAAATGCTGTTTGCCAGTTTTCTCAGATATGAGAGGGAAGATTTTTTTCAGTAAAATTTTGCATGATTTAATTCCCAACTTCTTAAAGCCCTCATGTGGATTGGTGTTTGTTTCCTAAAAGATTATTATGGGAAGAAAGCCTACTCAAAAGTTTTTACTCCCATTCGCTTCTCTTGAAAAATCTACATTATTTCCAGTCTACTTCAGCTCCTCCTGCCTTCAATCTAAAGGAGTTGCTTGCACACCTTGAGTAAATGTGTGTAATTTCTGAACTGCCCATTTTAAGATTTGATTCCAAACCTATCCCATTCTTTTACTTGAAGCATATGCCTCTCAATTATAGCTAACATCCTGGTTCTTTGCCCAAGCCTCTGAGGCACAGTTATGTAATCCCCATTCTTATAAAGAGGCTTGTAGAGGTTAATTTGCAACTTCATTGTAGAGAGAGAGAGTAATCAGCCCCCTTTATCCAATTTTTTTATCAACTGAGAAAGTATCTGTATTTAGGTAGGCAATCTGGTGCTTAAGAGCAGGTTTTGGAACTAGAGTTGGAGTTTGAATCTCAGCTCTGCCACTTTTTTTTTTTTTTTTGAGATGGAGTCTCGCCCTGTCCCCATGCTGGAGTGCAATGGCACGATCTCGGCTCACTGCAACCTCCGCCTCCCAGGTTCCAGCGATTCTCCTGCCTCAGCCTCCCGAGTAGCTGGGATTACAGGCGCGGGCCACCACACGCGGCTATTTTTTTTTTTTTATCTTTAGTAGAGACGGGGTTTCACCATGTTGACCAGGCTGGTCTCAAGCTCCTGACTTCGTGATCCACCCGCCTCAGCCTCCCAAAGTGCTGGGGTTACAGGCGTGAGCCACTGTGCCCGGCCAGCTCTGCCACTTTCTAGCTGTGTGATCTCTAAAATGAGAGTGCTAACAGTTGCCTACTTTTTAAAGTGTTGTATGAATTAAGTCGTAAGACACTTGGAATAATGCTTAGCACAAAATAGTATCAAACGCAGGGACATTTTATGTGTGTTCTGTTACCCAAAGGCATACATTACGAAATATATAGATGCTCGCTGGAGAAACTGGCACAATCTAGAAAGCGCTGTTTTCCCCGTTTGTTTTTCTTGGTGTGTATGGAGTGAGTGCCAAAAAGCCTCAAGTAACCTTTTTTTATCTCCAGGGTTTGGAGGGTTCTGGAAGTAAACATCATAGTTCGCCGTTGCCAGGCGCTGTTGAGTTGCTGCCTTGCTCTTATCTAGGGGTCTAGATGGCCTTCCCTGCAACCCCCGCCCCCCTGCGCTCCCGCGTCCCCCCGCGCCCCGCCCTCCCCTCGGTGTTCCCGTCCACGCCCCTGCTCCCGCGCCTTCGCTCCAGTTCTCGTGCCCCCGCCCCTCCCCCCGCGCCCTTTCCCAGTGGTTGCAATAACGGACTTAGAGGTCTGGACAATTCAAGTAAGGAACAAGGCTCGCTTATCCAAGTTCTCGCAGGATAAAAGTTTGTTATGAACGATTTCACATGGTTTCTCTTTATCAGAAAGTTGTTAGGGACTTTTAATCGCAGAATTGGCCTCGGGTGCCCACGCTCTAGTATTGAAATGGCGGTTTTGGGACAAATAAGCAACATCCGTGGGAGTGGAAAGCGACAGACCTGATCCCGGAAGCGTTACAGCTAGGCGCCAAGTTCACAGGCGCGAAGTTCAAATTTGTCTTGTGACCACTGTGATAGGTGGGTACAGGGGAGCGCGGGCGAGCACACGTGAATTACTGCTACCGCCCCCTAGGTCCGGGCACTATAAAGGGGCCTGCGCCTGGCGTTGTTCATCGCAGTTGCTCCGGATCTTTGCACACACTCCACGGGCAGTTGGAGGTGAGCTGCTGCCGGCCACGCCAGAGGCTGCAACACCAGGTAGGTGACCGGCTGGTCGGACTGAGATGGGTGCTGAAGTGGTCCAGAGGTTAATCCTAATTGAGTGACTTAATTAAAATCAGGACCACTGTATACCTTGGACTCTGGTTGCCCGTGTAGGCCTGAGGTGGGAGTAGAGGAAGTGGCAGCGAGGGGAGAAGTGGAGGCGCCAGTGGTAGCATTGGGGGAGGTGGGGGCGCCCATGGTGGTGTAGGAAACATATGGTGGCGCCAGTGGCGGCATTGGGAGGGGTGGGGGCGCCGGTGGCGGCGTAGGAGCAGCTGGTAGTGCCAGTGGCGGCGTGGGGAGAAGGGGCGCTGGTGGCGTCATTGCAGATAGTGGGGGGCCTGGTGGTGGCGTAGAAGGAGGTGTTGGTGCCAGTGGCGGGTGGAGAGAAGTAGGGGCACCAGTGGCGGCGTTGGGGGAAGTGGGGGTGCCTGTGGCAGTGTCGGGGAAGTGGGGGTGCTGGTGGTGGTGTAGGAGCATGTGGTAGCACCAGTGACGGTGTGGGGAGAAGTAGGGGCACCATTGGCGGCCTTGGGGGAAGTGGGAGCGCTGGTGGTGGCGTAGGAGCGTGTGGTGGCGCCAGTGGCTATGTAGGAATACGTGGCGCCGGTGGCGGCGCGGGGAGAAGTGAGGGCGCTGGTTGCGGCACTGGGGGGAGGTGGGGGCCCCAGTGGTGGTGTAGGAACAGGTGGTGTCCCTAGTGGCGGGTGGGGAGAAGTAGGGATGCCAGTGGCAGCGTGGGGGGAGGTGGGGGTGCCAGTTGCGGCCTAGGAGTACTTGGTGGCGTTGGTGGCATAGGAGCACATAGTAGCGCTGGCGGTGTGGGGAGAAGTGGAGGCGCCGGTGGCCGCATTGAAGGTGGGGGTGCCAATGGGGGCGTTGAGGGAAGTGGGGGGTTCTGGTGGCGGCGTAGGAACACTTGGTGGTGGTGGAAGTGGCCTAGGAGCACGTGGTGGTGCTGGTGGGCGTGGGGAGAAGTGAGGATGCTGGTGGTGGCATTGGAGGTGGGGGTGCCAGTGGCTGTGGGGAGAAGTGGGGGTGCCCGTTGCAGCATTGGGGGGAGGTGGGAGCTAGTGGTTGTGGGTAGGGGTGTGTGTGTGGGGGTTGAGGTCTCTTTGGCTGAGGACTGAGTGGTGGTGGGAGACAGGAGTGGGGTAGGGCAGAAGTTGGATAGAAGTGTGGGGGAGTGGAAGCCTGCTTGGAAAACCGGTTGGGAGCAGTTGAAGGTGGCTGGAGGTGGTTGGAGGTGCGAGTGTGGGGGAAGGGTGGTGGGGTTGAGGCCTGATTGGTGGAAGACTGAGGTGAGAATGGTGGGGGTAGGGTCCAGACCTGATAGGAGGAAGGAGTTGGGGAGGGGTCAAGGCCTGTTTGGTCGAAGATTGGCTAGAGGCTGGAGGCAGGAATAGGAAGCGTGGAGGGGGTGGCCGGATTCATATAAGACCAGTGAGAAGCCAGAGTGGCGGGAGGTAAGGGGGCAGTGGAGGTTGGACAGAAGGAAGAAGGTGATGAGGGGGCGGTGGTAGCCTATTCTGGGTAAGATTGACAGAGTGGGGAGTAAAGAGGTAGGGGAAGGGGGAGAGGTTGACACCCGGTAGGTGGGAGACTTCCTTGGGGCAGGAGTAGGGGGACTGAAGGTTGTAGGGAGGTGGAGGGCCAGTGGGATGTGGGGGCGGTCGAGCCCTGATACGTGGAAGACTGGCAAGTTGAGGTGGGAGTGGAGGGAGTGGGAAGTGGGGGCGGGTGCAGGGTGGGAAGAGATTGGGGTGGTAGAGGCCTGAGTGGGAAAAGTTTGCAACAAAACAAATTTAAATCCTTTTCATTTTGCAGAGCAAAGTTTCGGCTTTAAGGTGGGGAAGATACCCAAAGATAAATGCAGAATGTAAATGTAGAGATGTCTCTGCTTTTGAGTTCTGGCTTTCTTTTTTTTTTCTTTTTATTTTATTTTCTTTTTCTTTTTCTTTTTTGAGATGGAGTCTAGCTCTGTGGCCCAGGCTGGAGTGCAGTGGCACAATCTCGGCTCACTGCAAGCTCTGCCTCCCGGGTTCACGCCATTTTCCTGCCTCAGCCTCTCGAGTAGCTGGGACTACAGGCGCCCGCCACCACGCCTGGCTAATTTTTTGTATTTTTAATAGAGATAGGGTTTCACCGTGTTAGCCAGGATGGTCTCGATCTCATGACATTGTGATCTGCCCGCCTCGGCCTCCCAAAGTGCTGGGATTATAGGCGTGAGCCACTGCGCCCGGCCGAGTTCTGGCTTTCTTAAGAAAGTGTATCTTTGTCTTTCACTACAGACATGGATGGGTGCAAAAAAGAGCTGCCCCGCTTGCAAGAGCCGGAGGAGGACGAGGATTGGTGAGATTTAGAAAGTTCTGTTTTCTTTTAGTTTAGTGTTACCGTATTGGCAAAACAGCTTTCTCGAGAAGTATGTTTATTTCCTTTAGTATCTGTAGAGCGTATAACTTGGTTTGTTATAAAATGAGAATTGTAAAGAAGGATTTTACAAACTAGGAGTCCAGCCTCCTATGAAATTCTTGAATCCGCTATATAATTTCTTTGTTAGTGGCCAGGAAATGACGACATTTGAGGCAACAGTGCATCGTTGAATATATGTGGTTTCTAGAAAGTTCTTCATTCTGATGCAATTAAAACCTGTTGTTCCACGCCAGTATCGATAGTGCTGCCTCTAGAGGTACACAAGTATTTTTCTTCTCCATGATAACACAAGGTGTTTTTGTTTTAAATTTTTTTATGGAGATGCGCCCTGAACCAATAAAGGTTCAGAGAACTTCCAACATGAGGTATTTTTTTTGTGCGTGTGAGAGACAGGGTCTGCTCTGTCGCCCGGGTTGGAGTGCAGTGATGTGATCAGGAGCTATTTTTAAGATAGCTGCCTGTCTCTAAGTTTTTTCTCTTCTGGAACACTACCCTATTTTCCTCCCTCACAGATATGCATGCAAGGGTATGATATGGGGGAAGGTACAAACCAACAGAAAGTCTGGAAATAGACCTAAGTACATAAGAAAATTTACTAAACAAGAAAAACGACATTTCAGCATTTCAAATCAATGGGGAAAAATATGGATTAGTCAACAAACCATTTGAGGATAACTGGCTAACCATTTGGAAAAAAATGAGACTTGGGTTTTTGCCTTATTGCTTATGCCAAAATAGATTACACATGGATCAAATATTTTAAAATAAAAAATGAAACCATTAAAATGTTAGAAAACAATAGATGGATTTTGTTTCCAATAGTTTTTGGAGTAGAAAGGTCTAAGTTTGATATCAAACAAAACATAAATATGGTAAATAAACTGGAAAAATATTTGTGTTACAAATATAAAGGGCTATTTTCCTTAACAAAAAGCTTTTTATAAATCAGTAATTTAGAAAAAGGTGAACAAACGCATGGAACATGACAAAGAATATTAGAAGGTAGCTCTCTGGGAAAAAAAAAAATACAAACGGACCTCAGACATTAAAATTTTCAGCTTTGGCCGGGCACACTTTGGGAGGCAGAGGTGGGCGGATCGCTTGAGTCCTGAGACCAGCCTGAGCAAGATGATGAAATTCCGCCTCTACAAAAAATAAAAAAATTAGCTGGGCACGGCGGCTGCACCTATAGTCCCAGCTACTCGGGAGGTTCAGGTGGGAGAATCACCTGAGCCCGGGAAGTCGAGGCAGCAGTGAGCCGAGATTGCGCCACTGCACTCCAGCCTCTGCAACCCGAGACCCTCTCTCCAAAAAAAAAAAAAAAAAATCAGCTTTTAATTATATTGCTTCTCATTAAATAAGTGATAAGTTTTAATTATATTACTTCTCATTAAAGGAATGATAAATCTTATTCATTTATTTTTTTTTTCTCCCACTTGGAAAAGTAAAGAAATGATAAATTTTAAAATGAGATACCATTTTTTATATATTTGCAAAAAGTTTGATGATACCCAGTGTTGCCAATTGATAGGAAAACAGAAAATCTCCTACATTCTTTGTGGGAGTATATATTTGGTACAACCTTTTTGGAGGGCAGTCTGGCAGTATCACATTTTAAATGCCTATGTCCTTTGAAGTAGCAGTTCCACTACTGAGACTTTTTCTTTTAAACTCATTTAATTTCTTTATACTTGTACTCCCATATACATGAGTGCATAAATGTGATTATATCATACATGTAATTCAGTAATTGTAATTCAGTCTTATTTTTTCTTGACTTTCTTTTCCCCTTCTCCCATGGCCTTTCTCCCTGTAACCCATGCTAAATATTTATGTAGCTAGCCTTCCATACTTTTCTCCATGTTCATGTAATCATATATAGACATTTACAGGGTATTTTGGTCTTTGTTCACTTTTGTGGAAGAAGGATATATGATTTAATTACCAGTACATAGAGAAATATGTACAAGAACATTCATTGCAGCACTGTTTGTAATAGCACAAATTTGAAAAGAGCTGAAATGTCCTAAGAGTCTACTTGAATAAATTAGGGTTCATTGCAAAAATGTGGTGAGAGCTATGTGTACTGATAATGAAAAGACTACTAAGAAATATAAAGTGAAAAATGCAAGCTGCAGAACAATGCATATAGCATAATATTATTTGTAAAAATAAAAATAAAAAAAGAAAATGGTGTGTGTACTTGTTCTGATGTGTGCTTACGCTTAACTTTCTAGAAGGATAAATAAGATACATTGTCTCCGGGAAGAGCAAGGACAGAGTGTCACTCACTGCTGTTTTCAGAGTTCTTTATCAGTTAGAAAAAAAATGACCTGGTAAACATTATTTTGCCATAGTCATTAAAAATGTGGGTAGGGGGTGGGGTGGCTCACGCCTGTAATCCTAGCACTTTGGGAGGTTGAGGCGGGAGGAATGCTGGAACTTACGAGTTTGAGACCAGCCTGGGCAACATAGCAAGACCTCATCTCTATTTTTTGTTTAAAAAAGCGGGGGGTGTGGAGGGGATCAGCAAAAGAATGACGCCAACATTGGAAAATATACGTCTTAATAAGTAATAAAAAGGAATGCTAATTTAAAAATCATTTACCTATTAGCAAATTTTAAATATTTAATCATAGTAATGCTGCTGACATCATAAACTGACACAACCCTTTGGAAATGATTAAGCAGATGTACCAAGAGCTATAAAATTGGACATACTATTATATTCTTTTTTTTTTTTTTTTTTTTTTTGAGACAGAGCCTTGCTCTATTGTCAAGGCTGGAGTGCAGTGGCGCAATCTTGGCTCACTGCAGCCTCTGCCTCCTGGGTTCAAGCAATTTTCGTGCCTGAGCCTCCTGAGTAGCTGGGATTACAGGCGCATGCCACCACACCCGCCTAACTTTTTTTTTTTTTTGTATTTTTAGTAGAGATGGGATTTCACCATGTTGGCCAGGCTGGTCTTGAACTCCTGGCCTCAAGTGATCCATCCGCCTTGGCCTCCCAAAATGCTGGGATTATAGGCATGTGCCACCACGCCCGGCTAATTTTTTTTTTGTATTTTTAGTAGAGATGGGGTTTCACCACGTTGGCCAGGCTGGTCTCAAACTCCTGGCCTCAAGTGATCCACCCGCCTCGGCCTCCCAAAGTGCTGGGATTACAGGTGTGAGCCACTGTGTGCAGCTGGACATACTGTTGATTGAGTAATTTGATTTTTGGCAACCAAGCATAGGAAAATCCAGTTTATGAAGCCAATTAAATGCCCAAAGTTGCTTTTTGTAGTATTTAATTTTTTTTGTTGTTTGTTTGAGACGGTATTACTCTGTCACCCAGGCTGGAGTGCAGTGGCATGATCATGACTCACTGCAACCTCTGCCTTCTGGTCTCAAGTGATCCTCCCACCTCAGCCTTCAGAGTAGCTGGGACTACAGATGCACCACCATGCCCAGCTAATTTTTGTATTTTATTGTAGAGATGTGGTTTCGCCGCCAAGTTGCCCAGGCTAGTCTCGAACTCCTGGGCTCAAGCGATTTGCCTGCTTTAGCCTCCCAAAGTGCTGGGATTACAGGCGTGACTGCCGCACCCGGCCTCATAGCATTTAATTTAAAAATTAAATTAATAGTCAGGAGCGGTGGCTCACGCCTGTAATCCCAGCACTTTGGGAGGCCGAGGCGGGCGGATCACGAGGTCAGGAGATCGAGACCATCCTGGCTAACACAGTGAAACTCCATCTCTAGTAAAAATACAAAAACAAATTTAGCTGGGCGTGGTGGCAGGCACCTGTAGTCCCAGCTACTCGGGAGGCTGAGGCGGGAGAATGGCGTGAACCTGGGAGGCAGAGCTTGCAGTGAGCCGAGATCGCACCACTGCACTCCAGCCTGGGTGACAGAGTGAGACTCCATATCAAAATAAAAAAAGAAAAAAAATGATTAGTGTTAATTCTTCGTTAAATTTTTGGTAGAATTCACCAGTGAATCAATATGATCCTGGGCTTTTCTTTGTTGGGAGGTTTTTTATTACTGATTCAGTCTCCTGAATCATGTGTGTGATCAAAAATGCAAAAGGTGGCCGAGCCCAGTGGCTCACACCTGTAATCCCGGCACTTTGGGAGGCTGAGGTGGGCGGATGGCTTGAGTCCAGGAGTTTGAGACCAGCCTGGCCAACATGGTGAAACCCTGTCTCTACAAAAAAAAATACAAAAATTAGCCAGGCACAATGGCACACACCTGTAGTCTCAGCTACTTGGGGGGTTAAGGCGGGAGAATTGCTTGAGCCCAGCAGGTGGAGGTTGCAGTGAGTTGAGATCGCGCCATTGCACTTCCACCTGGGCGACGGGAGCAAAGCCCTGTCTCAAAAAAAGAAAAAAAAAAACAAAGCAAAAGGTCAAATTGCAGCTCCATGACCCTCAGTCACTTGCCCTCAAATAGGGAGTGCCCAGGGTGGATCGTTAGTCTCAGTTGTCCTGAGAGGTAAATGGGTTATGTGTTATTATTAGCCCCTTGTGAATTTGGTTGACAGGAGTCATGCCTTTAGCATTTAATGAAGAATTGATAAACCTGAGTTTCTGAAGCTACAGGTCCAAAAAGCAGATCTTAGGCTTCTGGTTGGAGATAGCTCTTGAGGCCAGACACCAACCTGCCAGTCTCTAACCAATCTTAGCTCCAAATTGGAACTGCTACTTCCCTTGATCTGAGCATTGTATTTTCACTAACGAAGATAAGACTGTTAGCTTGTTTTTTACTTTGGGCTGACTCTTTACCTCGAACCTTCACATAGATGGGCATATATGTGTAATTACATTTTTACACACAGAAAATTATTACTTAGTGAGATCTAGTAGGCAGAATTCTTTCACAACTTGAGGTTTTTTTAGGGGGTGGAAAATAATAGAAGGGGTCTTTGGAATCACTTTGAGATTTTGAGATTCATTCATACATTCATTCATTTAAAAAATACTTATTGAATCCTGACTTTGTATGGAACAACGTGAAACAAATACACTTCCAAGTCCTTGCATAGCTTACTGTCTAGGGTGGGGGTTAGAAACACGTAAACAGGTAGTTAAAGTAGAGTGTGATAAACGCTGCGAAGGGGCAGATGTGCATGATGCCATAGGAGTACAGAGGAGGGCAGATAGCATCTTGTTTACTTTCCACAATAGCCCTATGAAATAAATGTTTTTTTTTTTTTTTTCAACTGAGGCCCAAGAACTTGGTATTATGAAAGTCTAGAAGTGATGGTGGCTTAGAGTAGGGTGCTACTAGTGGAGTTGGAGAGATTTGGATGAATATGTAATATATTGTAGTTCATAAATTCAGAGATGTCTTTTCACATTTTTGCATTTCTGAAATTGGCATGTATCATACATTTGATGGCAGGTTGTAGTTTGGTAGTGTTTTTTTTCTTTCATGGAGGAGGTACATATAATAATGTGTCTTAGATGAAATATATTAGAGAAGTGGAGCCAACAGGTCTTGCAGATGGGTTGGATATGGGAGGTGAGGGAAAGAAAGAAATCAAGGATGACTCCTCAATTATTTGGCATTACTGGGTAGATGGTGGTGCCATTGACTGAGATGGGTAGGGCTGGGATAGGAACAGGATTGAGGGAGAAAATAGAGTTCTGTGTTGTTGGCCATGTGGCCATGTTACTTTTTTTTTTTTGAGACAGAGTTTCGCTCTTGTTGCCCAGGCTTGAGTGCAGTGGTGCGATCTCAGCTCACTGCAACCTCTGTCTCCTGGGTTCAAGCGATTTTCCAGCCTCAGCCTCCCAAGTAGCTGGGATTACAGGCACCTGCCACCACACCTGGCTAATTTTTGTATTTTTAGTAGAGACGGGGTTTCACCATGTTGGCCAGGCTGATCTTAAATTCCTGACCTCAGGTGATCCGCCTGCCTCAGCCTCCCAAAATGCTGGGATTACAGGTGTGAGCCACTGCGCCTGGCCCATGTTACCTTTTAAATACTTAATAAATATCCAAGGTGTCAAGTAGACAGTTTGAGTTCAGTGAAGAGCTCAAGGCTATTAATGTAAAGTTGGGGACATGGAGTCTAGGGCTAGTAGCATGAATGATTCAGGAGAAAGGGGAGAATGATGCAGCACAGAGTGCTGGAACTACCGGAATACAATCCTTGGGAAG
The DNA here is from genome assembly GCF_000001405.40 of Homo sapiens. Lineage (NCBI taxonomy): Eukaryota > Metazoa > Chordata > Mammalia > Primates > Hominidae > Homo > Homo sapiens. The sequence continues at coordinate 71,587,103 of NC_000023.11, forward strand.
GCTAGGGGAGACAGGTCCAAAGTACAAGGGAGGGATTGGTCTTTGATAGTGGTAGGGACACTGTGTTCCCTTGTTAGTGATAGAGAAGGCGGAGAGTCTAGTATGGTTGCAGTTAGTTCTGGAGATTTCTTGGTGGGAGGATGAGTGAGTTCCTAGCTGATTGCTTCTATTATCCTAGTGTCTTATGAGACAAGGTCATTAACACAGTGAAGGGGGTGGGGAAGGAGGGATTGGCACTTCAAAGGCAGAAGTTGTACCGAAATGCATAATGCAAGAGGTGGGGGTCTGGTTTTCATTGATAAGCCTAATTGGTACTCTCTGATGCCCACTGACTAGTCTTTTTTAGCCCAAGCAAGATTCTTTGTTTTGTCAATACTATTACAAGATAGCCTTGATGATATGATATTTAAAATATATTTAAAATTATATTTTAAAAATTATCCTGTTAGGCTGAATTTAAAATAATCAGAAAAGCAAATGGGTCACCTAGTGGATTGGCTATGTTTTAAATTTCTTGACAATGCCAAAGTTACTTAATTAGCATTCTATTGATATTTTCAATTCCTGATTTCAAGGAAAAGAAGGCTGTCACATTTAACTGGTGTTCCTGAAAGTGTGGTCTGCCAGCTTCCTGGATCAGAATTGCCTGGGGGTGCTTGTTAAAAATGTAGTTTCTTGGATTTCTTTTTTTTTTTTTAAACAGTCTTGCTCTGTCGCCCAGGCTGGAGTGCAGTGGCACAATCTCAGCTCACTGCAAACTCACTGCAACCTCTGTCTCCTGGGTTCAAGTGATTCTTGTTCCTCAGCCTCCCCAGTAGCTGGGGTTACAGGTGTGCGCCACCATGCCTGGCTCTTAAAATTTTTGTATTTTTAGTAGAGATGGGGTTTCGCCATGTTGGCCAGGCTGGTCTAGAGCTCCTGGGTTCAAGGGATCCACCCACCTTGGCTTCCTAAATTGCTGGGATTACAGGTGTGAGCCACTGCATCCGGCCAAAAATGCAGTTTCTGATTCCTGTTGTTCTAGAGTAAGGCTCATAAATATTGTCTATTTGTTTTTTTGTCTTTGCCACTAGACTGTGAGATCCCTAGAAGTCATTCTTTTTTTCTTTTTTGTAGCCCCAGTACCAAGTATATAGTAGATGCTCGATAAATGTCTAATTAGTGAATGAATGAACCACAGATATCCTAATCATGTTATAATATATTTATTGAGTTGTAAAAATTACTAAGGGAATATAGGTCTGTGGTGAAAATGAACAGTACAGAAGCATATAAATTAAAAAGTGAAAGTCTGCCTTCACATGCCTGCATCCTCCCATTCTTCTGAGGTAATAATTTTGAATAATTTGGCAGTATTTCTTCCAGAGATTTTTCTGTAGTCATATAAAAGCATACATAATCTTTATGATTTATAGTCTTTTAAAGTTTTAAAGGAGAGATCTGGCCAGGCGTGGTGGCTCATGTCTGTAATCCCAGTACTTTGGGAGGCCAAGGCTGGCAGATCACCTGAGGTCAGGAGTTCAAGACCAGCCTGGCCAACATGGTGAAACCCCATCTCTACTAAAAATACAAAAATGAGCTGGGCGTGGTGACACACGCCTGTAATCCCAGCTACTCCACAGGCTGAGGCAGGAGAATCACTTAAACCCAGGAGGTGGAGGTTGCAGTGAACCAAGATCGCGCCACTGCACTGCAACCTGGGTGACAGAGCGAGACTCTGTCTCATAAATAAATAAAATAAAATAAAATAAAATAGATCTTTTTTGGATCTTTTATAACTTTTTTTTAAGTTTTTTTTTTTTTTTCTTTGTCAGCCAGGTGGGAGTGCAGTGATGCCATCATAGCTCATTGCAGCCTCGAACTCTTGGGCTCAAGGGATACTCTTGAGTAGCTGGGAGGATCCCACATCCAGCTAATTTAAAAATATTTTTTGTAAAGACAAAGAGTCTCGCTATGGTGCCCACACTAGTCTTGAACTCCTGCTCCCAAGTGATCCTCCGGCCTCGACCTCCCAAAGTGTTGGGATTATAGGCATGAGCCACTGCTCCCAGCTCTTCTATAGTTTTTGAGGTTTGTTTTTTTTTTTAAATGTATCTTTAAAGCCTTCCAATGTTATTTCTTAGTCCTTTCATGATAGAATTCTGGTTCTTCTTCCTTCAATGCATATATTCTTTTTTTTTAACGAGGTGTGGTGGGGGGTTTCTTGCTGTATTTCCCAGGCCAGAGTACAGTGGCTATTCACAGGTGTGATCATGGTGCACTGAGGCCTCCACCTCCTGGGCTCATGCAGTCCTCCCCTACCCCCTGCATAGCTGGGACTACAGCGTACCTGGCCTGCATATATTTCCTTTTTTTTTTTTTTTTTTTTTTTTTTTTTTTTTGAGACAGAGTCTTGCTCTGTCACCCAGGCTGGAGTGCGGTGGTGCAATCTTGGCTCACTGCAACCTCTGCCTCCAGGTTTCAAGTGATTCTCCTGCCTCAGCCTCTGAAGAAATTGGACTATAGGCATGTGCTACCACACCCAGCTAAGTTTTGTATTTTTTAGTAGAGACGGGATTTTGCTATGTTGGCCCAGCTGGTCTCAGACTCCTGACCTCAGGTGATCACCCACCTCGGCCTCCCAAAGTGCTGGGATTACAGGCATGAGCCACTGCACCCAGCCTCCTTTTTTCCTTTTCCCCTATTCTTAACATGTCAGCTAGCCTGCATATATTTTCTTTTTTTTTAAGACAGGGTCTCACTCCTGTCACCCAGGTGGGAACTGCAGTGGCACTATCATGGCTCACTGCAGCCCCGACCTCTCGGGCTGAAGCAACCCTCCAGCCTCGTTGTTTGATTTTTTTTTTTTTTGTAGAGACGGTTTCACCATGTTGCCCAGGCTGGTCTTGAACTCCTGGGCTCAAGTAATCCTCCCGCCTTAGCCTCCCAAAGTGCTGATTACAAGCGTGAGCCACTGCATTCAGCCACCTGCGTATATTTTCTAATAATAGTAACATGAGCCTTGAAATACATTCTAGGGACTTGTTCCCCTGGTGGTGAATATTACTTGGAAAAGATACCAAACAAAATCTGCCTTCTTTTTGACCATGTATTTCTTCCTTAGTGCTTTCCTTGGACTTCCTCACCTGTTGGTTACTATCCCACCTGGAATTTGATATTTTGCCATTAGGGATTTGGGTGGGGCTCTCTGTCATGTAACTTTTTGCCTCATGTTGATCCTTTGTTCCTTTTGCCTGACCTCTCAAAAAAGTAGGTGTGTTTGTAACACAAAAGTATGTAAAAAGATGGATGAAGTCTGAATCAGCTGTTAGTTTATATAATATATAGTGCTGTTTACTGACAACTAACATCACATATTGACCCATACATGGGAAACCGTACAGCCAGCAAAAGGTTTCTTTCCTGATTAAAGAAAAAAACTTGAAGTCTACTACTAAGTCCAATGTACAGTGGTTGAGAAATGCATAGGAAGTTTAATCAAGGAGTTGAGCCATCATGTATTTTGAAAGATTGGAAAAGTATACAGGCAGCACAGTATCAGCCTCTAGGCCAAATGAAAAGCCGTAAAGAAGTGGCTAAGTCTAATTTTTTTTTTTTTTGATGGGGTCTCGCTCTGTGGCCCAGGCTGGAGTGTAGTGGCGTGGATCTTGGCTCACTGCAACCTCTGCCTCCTGGGTTCAAGTGATGCTCCTGCCTCAGCCTCCCGAGTAGCTGGGATTACAGGCGCCCGCCAACAGGCCTGGCTAATTTTTGTATTTTCAGTAGAGATGGGGTTTCACCATGTTGGTCAGGCTGATCTTGAGCTCCTGACCTCAAGCAATGCAACTGCCTCGGCCTCCCAAAGTGCTGGGATTACAAGCGTGAGCCACCGTGCCCAGCTGAAGTCTAACTTTTAATATGTAGAGCCTGGACTTCCTTATAGCTATTATGTCCCCCTCCTTTAGCATTTTGATATCCTCTGTGGACTACGTGTCACAATAACTAATAACAAGATGACCTATGATGTAGCCAGGCGCCACATTGGAGGAGTGGCAGTGGCGGTGAAGTGGTGCTCACTGCGGTGTGACTCCCCTGGGCTGGAGTTTGGATCTGGCTGACAGTGGATGTCCAGCCGGCTGCTGTCTGGTGAGCTGAAGGGTTCCGAGCAGGAACCTTGGCTTCACCTCAGGTGGTGCTGCATAACTCTCTGGTAAGTGATAGCAAGAGGCAAAGTAGCCTGCCACAGAGCAGCAGAGAGAGAGTGCTGGGACCCCTGGCAGATGAGACAGAGAAGCAAGAGGCCCCAGCATCGTGGCTCACTGCAGGGAGCAGTGGCAGCTTTGAAACCATCCATTCATTGGCTCTGCATGAAACGGAGTTCAGTAGTTGTCCATTTACCTAGATATCAATCCCAAACAGTAGGCTGTCTCCAAGAAGTACACCCTTAACGGGGACCTCCTTGCCCTTTTGCCCTTTAATTTTTGACTGCAATCTCTTCATCCTCAAGTCCTTTCCCCCGAGGCTCTTTTCTCAAGACTCACTTTCATGTCTTTATTTTTTATTTTACTTTTTTTTAGAGACAGGGTCTTGCTGTGTCGCCCACACTGCAGTGCAGTGGCACCATCATAGCTCACTGCAACCTTGAATTCCTGGGCTCAAGCGATCCTCCCCGCTCAGCCTCCCAAGTTGGTGGGATTACAGGCGTGAGCCTCCATGCCTGGTGTTGCTTTCATACCTTTAAATGGAAATAAATTACTTGGCAGAAAACAGGCTTTTCACTGATAGCTAGCGATAACTCATCTAACATTCTTCCCGTGTTTTTGATTCAGCAGTAAGGACTGAGCAGCTCATTGCTTCCAATTTTTGTTCACTTGTGCTGTTGTGATCCTAATTTCCTAAGGGCTTAAAGCCCTTAAAACCTTTTTTGCATTTCAGGAATTCTGATTGGTTGTTTTCTTCACTTATTTGGGATTTTTGATAATTGGTTGCTTATGGCGTCGATAGCCCTCCTTTTATAAAGTATCTCTTTTATTTTTGCAGTTACATCCTTAATGTTCAGTCAAGCAGTGATGACACCAGTGGGTCTTGTAAGTAGAGTCCACTCAAAGCAGGAACATTTTGAAGTGTCTTTGTAGAGATGACTCAACTGTGATTTGGGATGTCTGGCCTAAGTTGGTTCTAAGTTCGTCACCTCTAGGGCTCTCTTTAGGTCGGTGAAATGAAATTTCCCTACTGTCAGGAGTGGAGGAGGTTCTCTGCTTCTTTTCCAACTTACTTTCCTCCTTTTTTTTTGGCTCTGGGTTTCCTTACTTTTATTTCCTTTCTATCCTTCATGGGAGATGTAAATTTTAAGCAGCTCTAATTTATAGACTTTGGTTTTAGGGAGTTAAAGACATAGGCAACCAGATTTTTTCATGCTTCAGATGTTTTCTAATGCCCTCTTTCTCTGATTTAGCTGTGGCCAGAAGAGCTCCGAAGAGACAGGCGAGGTGAGTAGGAGAATTAATGAAACTTTACTTTTTTTTTTTTTTTAAATTAAGGGGGGAAAAACCCCATGCTCTGTCTAAGGAAATTTAAGAGTAAACTTCACATTTCCTCTGTGGACACTCTGTGGTTCTCAGCAGGATCATGATGGCTGTTTGACATCACAACCAGGTTGAAAACATTAGATTCCTTATGCCTGACCCATTATCTAACTGGTCAGTTTCTTCTTTGAGGTATCTCTGTGAACTATGCCTTAACATCCAGGCTCTACTAGTCTAAGCCCTTATCAGTGTTTACTCCCTTTTAGTTTTATTTTTAGTTTACTTTAGTTTTTATTTGTATTTTTATTTTTTTTGAGACTGAGTCTTGCTCTGTTGGAATGCAGTGGCACGATCTCACCTCACTGCAATCTCCACCTCCGGGGTTCAAGTGATTCTTCTGCCTCAGCCTCCAGAGTAGCTGGGATTATAGGCACACGCTACCATGCCTGGCTAATTTTTGTATTTTTAGTAGAGATGGGGTTTCACCATGTTGGTCAGGCTGGTCTTGAACTCCTGACCTCAAGTGATCCACCTGCCTTGGCCTCCCAAAGTGCTAGGATTACAGGCGTGAACCACTGCACCTGGCCTAAGTCTAACTTTTAGTATGTAGAGCCTGGACTTCCTTATAGCTATTATGTCCCCCTCCTTTAGCATTTTGATATCCTCTGTGGACTATGTGTCACAATAACTAATAACAAGATGACCTATGATGTAGCCAGGCGCCACATTGGAGGAGTGGCAGTGGCGGTGAAGTGGTGCTCACTGCGGTGTGACTCCCCTGGGCTGGAGTTTGGATCTGGCTGACAGTGGATGTCCAGCCGGCTGCTGTCTGGCGAGCTGAAGGGTTCCGAGCAGGAAGTGCTTGGCTTCACCTCAGGTGGTGCTGCATAACTCTCGTAAGTGATAGCAAGAGGCAAAGTAGCCTGCCACAGAGCAGCAGAGAGAGAGTGCTGGGACCCCTGGCAGATGAGACAGAGAAGCAAGAGGCCCCAGCATCGTGGCTCACTGCAGGGAGCAGTGGCAGCTTTGAAACCATCCATTCATTGGCTCTGCATGAAACGGAGTTCAGTAGTTGTCCATTTACCTAGATATCAATCCCAAACAGTAGGCTGTCTCCAAGAAGTACACCCTTAACGGGGACCTCCTTGCCCTTTTGCCCTTTAATTTTTGACTGCAATCTCTTCATCCTCAAGTCCTTTCCCCCGAGGCTCTTTTCTCAAGACTCACTTTCATGTCTTTATTTTTTATTTTACTTTTTTTTAGAGACAGGGTCTTGCTGTGTCGCCCACACTGCAGTGCAGTGGCACCATCATAGCTCACTGCAACCTTGAATTCCTGGGCTCAAGCAATCCTCCCTGCTCAGCCTCCCGAGTTGGTGGGATTACAGGCGTGAGCCTCCATGCCTGGCGTCTCTTTCATACCTTTAAATAGAAATAAATTACTTGGCAGAAAACAGGCTTTTCACTGATAGCTAATGATACTCAGCTAACATTCTTCCCGTGTTTTTGATTCAGCAGTAAGGACTGAGCAGCTCATTGCTTCCAATTTTTGTTCACTTGTGCTGTTGTGATCCTAATTTCCTAAGGGCTTAAAGCCCTTAAAACCTTTTTGCATTTCAGGAATTCTGATTGGTTGTTTTCTTCACTTATTTGGGATTTTTGATAATTGGTTGCTTATGGCGTCGATAGCCCTCCTTTTATAAAGTATCTCTTTTATTTTTGCAGTTGCATCCTTAATGTCCAGTCAAGGAGTGGTGACACCAGTGGGTCTTGTAAGTAGAGTCCACTCAAAGCAGGAACATTTTGAAGTGTCTTTGTAGAGATGACTCAACTGTGATTTGGGATGTCTGGCCTAAGTTGGTTCTAAGTTCGTCACCTCTAGGGCTCTCTTTAGGTCGGTGAAATGAAATTTCCCTACTGTCAGGAGTGGAGGAGGTTCTCTGCTTCTTTTCCAACTTACTTTCCTCCTTTTTTTTTGGCTCTGGGTTTCCTTACTTTTATTTCCTTTCTATCCTTCATGGGAGATGTAAATTTTAAGCAGCTCTAATTTATAGACTTTGGTTTTAGGGAGTTAAAGACATAGGCAACCAGATTTTTTCATGCTTCAGATGTTTTCTAATGCCCTCTTTCTCTGATTTAGCTGTGGCCAGAAGAGCTCCGAAGAGACAGGCGAGGTGAGTAGGAGAATTAATGAAACTTTACTTTTTTTTTTTTTTTTAAATTAAGGGGGGAAAAACCCCATGCTCTGTCTAAGGAAATTTAAGAGTAAACTTCACATTTCCTCTGTGGACACTCTGTGGTTCTCAGCAGGATCATGATGGCTGTTTGACATCACAACCAGGTTGAAAACATTAGATTCCTTATGCCTGACCCATTATCTAACTGGTCAGTTTCTTCTTTGAGGTATCTCTGTGAACTATGCCTTAACATCCAGGCTCTACTAGTCTAAGCCCTTTTTGGTGTTTGCTCCTTTTTATTTTTGTTTTTAGATTAGTTTAGTTTTGTTTTGTTTTGAGACTGAGTCTTGCTCGACCAGGTTCGAGTGCAGTGGTGCAATCTCGGCTCACTGCAGCCTCCGCCTCCTGAGTTCTGGTGATTCTTCTCCTCAGCCTCTCAAGTAGCTGAGATTACTGGCACACGCCACCATGCCCGGCTAATTTTTGTGTTTTTAGTAGAGATGGGGTTTCACCATGTTTTTCAGGCTTGTCTTGAACTCCTGACCTGAAGCGATCCACCTGCTTTGGCCTCCCAAAGTTCTGGGATTACAGGTGTGAGCCACCGTGCCCAGCTTGTTTCTTCTTTTTAAGTGGCTTCCTCACCTTGATCTCTTACTTCTGATCCAGTCGGTGTACCACTTGTAGTTGGATCTCCTGAGGCACTGCTTTGATCATATCAATCCTCAATTCAAATAGCTCGTAATAGAAAAATCAAGCTGTTTACCCCAATATTTAACGCCTTCTGTGATCTGGCCATAACCTCTCTTTCAGCCTCACCTGCTACTGTTCCTATTAATGAATCCTCTGTTCTAGCCAGAGCTTGATGGAGGGGTGTTTCCCAGGTGCCAAACTGTAGGGGGTGCTGAAAAAAATTGCTGGAGTAAATATGAAGTATGGTGCTACATAACTGTTTTCCACATTGACTCCTTGAATTACTGTACAAATGCAAATTGGTCATTCTTGTTCCCCCCATCAAGCTAGATAGTGCTGTGAAGTGGGAAAGTTTTTGTTCTGGCTATCTCCGATTTATCTCTATTGAGTATTTTCATAACGTGTAAGCCACCAACTCCTGACACCAATGTGTGAAATGTCATTTAAAATCTGCAGTTGCAGGCCGGGCACAGTGGCTCATGCCTGTAATCCCAGCACTTTGAGAGACCAAGGTGGGCGGATCACTTGAGGTCAGGAGTTCAAGACCAGCCTGGCCAACATGGGGAAACCCCATCTTTAATAAAAATACAAAAATTAGCAGGGTGTGGTAGCATGTGCCTCTAATTCCAGCTACTTAGGAGGCTGAGGCACGAGAATCACTGGAACCTGGGAGGCGGAGGTTGCAGTGAGCCAAGATTGCGTCACTGCACCCCAGCCTGGGTGGGAGTGAGACTCTCTCAATAAATAAATAAATAAATAAAGTCAGCAGTTGCAATCAGCTGAAATTCTAGAGCCAAATAATGTATAAAGCTATTAATCGTTGATGATCAGTTTTGTTAATTGTATTTCTAAAGTCTGGTTTATTGAGGTATGATTTATATATGGTAAAATTCACCCTTTTTAGGTGTACAGTTTGATGGATTTTGACAAGCATATATGGTAGTGTAACCATCACCACTATCAAGATGCAGAGTATTTCCATTGCTGTTATTTATATTTTAAATGTTCTATCATGGCTCCTAAGAAGTATTCCAGTGTATAATATTATACATAATGAAGTCCTTATTTGATAATTAAAATGTATCTGAGTTTTAAATAGAAAAAATAGTTTCTTCCAGCCTCTGCTAGATAGATGGTGAACAAATGTTTAAAGAAAATCAGTTTTAAGGGACCTGCAAGGAGTGCCCACAGGTCTTGGTCCAGTCCCAGGTGCCATCTATATATGGGATATAGGAAGAGTAGATTTGGGAGGAAGGTGATGAGTTTGGTTTTGGGCATGCTAGAATCAAGGAGCCTGTAGGCAGGGCTGATAATCAAAATTTTCTAACAACCAACAGAACACAGGCAGGAATTAGTCAGGATGGTTGCCTGCTGGTCAGGACAGACACCATCAATAAACAAATCGGTAAGGCCGTACCTCTGCATACTGACTAAATATCAGCCCTGCCCACAGGATATCCAGGTAGGAAGTTGGAACTGTGGAGCTAGAAGTCAGAAGAGAAGTTGGGCTCAATATAATGAATTGGGCTGGTGTAATTAATAATTGATTGTATTGGCATGAGAGGGCTGGGGATAAGTCCTGGGATTGAGTCGAGGAAGATGAGTGAGGAGGAGTGAATGGAAAGGTGAGACGAGAACCAAAAGACGACTTTGTCCCAGAAATCAAGAAAAGAGTTTTAAGGATGGAGTAGTCAATAGGATAGCAAAGGCACATCAACTTGGCAGTGTCAAAGTGGTAAACATGGTGGAAGCAGATGAACATGTGTGTCTGTAGCAGGTGCAGACATGTCCTGTAACAGTGTATTAAGTATTTTTCTTTCATTATGAAAGTATATTATACTTATTATACACTGTTTGGGGACAGGAAGGTGGCCAATTTCATCCTGCTGGAACTTCTGAGCCAAATACCAGGATTAGCCGAGGATGAGGACCCCAGGGGGTGCTTACCACTGGCACCCTGGGTGGTGCAGGTGCACTGCTGAGTTTGACACCTACCAGAGCAGTCCGTCAGTTCAAGAGGGTGGTGCTGGTTTGGGGTTGCAGAGAGTAGCACTGAAGAGAAACTCCCTACTCTGAGGCTGCCTCTCTCCATCTGTGGCCCTCTACCCTTCTCAGACAACTGGATCTCAAACTTGATAAAGAAAGATGACAACTCCCTGATCAATTTTACCACTGTGCCAAAACTATCTGAATACATAAAATCTGACAGAGCCCATTTCACTCTCAGTATGTGACAGACTCCTCGTTTTAGAAGGATGTGAGACAGATGGAAAGATGTAGGAAGATGGAAAAAGAGAAAAAGATAGAAAATCAGGTAGAATGGAAGGATTGAGTAGTTCCAAAGGAGGGGAACAGAGTTACTGTGGGAAACAAAAAATTGACAAGTGGTCAAGATCAGAAAAGGTGAGAAATGCCATGAAAAAGAAGACTGTTGCGTTCATACTTCTCTCTTGTTTTTCTCCTGTTTCATCACTCAGCTCCGTGGTAGTGATTGACTCTGATTCTGATGAGGAATGTCACACCCATGAAGAGAAGAAAGCTAAGTTATTGGAAATAAACAGCGACGGCAAGTATATATTACTTTGTTAGATAAGTAGCTGAGCTCCAAAGCCTCATCACACGTGGTACTTTCAGGATCAGAGTCCGCAGACTTTCTATTCAGAATCCCTCAGTAGTGAGTGCCACCGTTTCTTTCCTCGTATGTGCTGGCTGTGGATATGGCCGGGTTCCCTATACCCCCTGGTCAATTTCCCAGCAGCAGCAACTGTTGTTGCTGCCTCAGACCTTGGGGGCCCCCTCAGTAGAGTTCTTACCTGCCTAGAGCTATATCAGTGAAGCGGGGTAGGGGTGGTGGGTCAAGAGCTGAGGCTAGGAAGTATGGAGGCTGCTCTGTGACTCCCTCTTCCTCTCTTCCCCGCTCTATGTGTGGGAATGACGAGGAAGAGGAAAGGAGTAAGAGGCCTGGCTCATTCTTCCTTCCAGCTTGAAGGGTGGTGGTTATGGGCCAGCTGGCAGTGTCGTGTTGAGAAAACTCTTTTTCCATTGAGCTGCTGGTCTTTGCTGTTTGCCGGTCCTTCTGTATTTTCTACAGATTCTTGTGTTTCTTTAGAGCCTGTTTCCCGTGGCAGTTCCTTACCTCTTTGGATCAGAAGCCCCTTTAGCCTTCTGGGTGGCTTGGAGCTTAACTGAATTCAGAACCTACCTGCTCGGTGGGGGATGAAACACAGGAAGACTAGAAACTTTTTAAGCATTAGGGACAGTATTTCACTGAGCTTTGTTCTGTCAGTACAGGTATAGGGCATGATACGTGGGGCACTTAGTTAATGTTTGCTGAGCTGAACTCAACTGAAAATGGGACACCCTTAAAGCACCAACTACAACTTTTTTGGAGACAGTCTCGGTCTGTTGCCCAGGCTGGAGTGCAGTGGCATGATCTCAGCTCTCTGCAACCTCTGCCTCCTGGGCTCAAGTGATTCTCCTGCCTCAGCCTCCTGAATAGCTGGGATTACAGGCGCCCGCCACCATGCCCAGCTAATTTTTTTTGTTGTTGTTTTTTTTTTTTTTAGTAGAGATGGGATTTCTCCATGTTGGCCAGGCTGGTCTTGAACTCCTGGCCTCAAGCAATCTGCTTGCCTTGGCCTCCCAAAGTGCTAGGATACAGGTGTGAGCCACTGGGCCTGACCAGCACCAGCTACTTCTTAGATAACTACCCAAGAGCTATTGTTGGCCAGAGTTGCTTAGCTAACCCGGGATATCAGAGCAGGGAAGGGAGAGGTGGTTTGAAACGCTAGTCTCCTATTGTTCTACCACCTATCCTTTTGGATTTCTTTCCCTGCTTCCTCTCTCTAGCTCTGGGTGGCTGTGCCTGAGCAGGACAGTGGTCTGGGTGCAGAGTAGAGGGTCTGACATGACAAGCTGTTCAAATGTGAAAGGAACTCCAAGGAGGCAGCTTGAGGGCAGGCAGGAGTAACAGAGCCAGAAACCAGTTCACAACCGGAGGCCACCAGGTGCTTTACTCCTTAAATCAGAAGAGACCGATTCTTTTGAGGGTGAACTTTTAGCTAAGGCTGCTCTTAACCTTGCTGGCCTGTGGACTGTAGCTGTGGGCATCCATCGCAGCAATGGAGGGATGAAGAATGCTCCTATAGGACTGGCTTTGTATGTTTCTTTGCTGTTCTCTACGTGGCATTTCTTTTTGTTATAATGAATTTAGGCAATTCTACAGAAAACAAGGCCCAGTGAACTCTAAAACATACCTCCAACCTTTGTCACTGTACATAGTCATTTTTAAATATATCGTAAGCAGTGTGTCCCTACTTTTTCTAATTTTTAATTTCAACTGCAGGTGGCAAATCTTTTAAGTTTTCTAGGAAAGAGGCAGGGCTTTTTACCATAGGAACATCTACTCCTTTTCTCTTCCCTTACTGCATATTTGAAGTTTTTTCATAATTAATTCAAATAACAGATAAGACTCTCAAAATATATTATCTCAAATCTGCAGTTTTAGGATAAAGAGATTTTGCACCATGAATATATCTTTCACATCTTGCCTATGCCATGGTTTAGATTTTTAGATTTTTGTTTACATCCAGAATCATAGAAAGCTAGAACTTGAGCTCCAAACAGACTTCAAAGAGTGTGTGGCGTCAGACACACCGACCTTCATTTCAGTGCAGGCAGTGATGTTCCAAATGTTCTGAGGCCTCTCAGAGAGTGCTGACATCAGGACCTACTCCTGACTCATATCAGTGGTTCTGAGAGCTTTGCACTTATGAACTAATTTAAAGAATGAAATTTTGGTGACCAACACAGAGTTGTCAATTTTTAATTTGTCTAATGAAGGAAATTAAAAAAAAAAAACTTCAGCTACCATTTACTATCTTTGTAATTTTGTAAAGAACACCAAAAGTTTAACCAAGACATAATCACAAAATAAAGGACAGTCCTTTAAATTATAGAAATTTAACTTGATGGGAGAAAAAATACCACTTTATTATTCTAATTTGTCTTATTTTGCTGTGGACCAGTGAAAATATACAAGTCTGCAGACCCGTGTTTGGGAAGCCCGAAGCAACTACTGTATCTTGCTACTTAGAGACTATGATTTGAAAATTGCCACGAGTTTGGTTGCTATTTGATCTGTCACTGCTCTCAGTGAAATAAAAAATAGGGGAAAAACAATCTAAAGTAACTTTCTTTTTTAAAAAATAATTTTTCATTTTTGTGAGTAGATAGTAGGTGTATATATTTATGGGGTACATGAGATGTTTTGATACAAGCATGCAATGTGTAATAATCACATCATAGAGAATGCAGTATCTGTCTTCTCAAGCATTTATCCTTTGTGTTACAAGCAATCCAGTTATACTCTTTTAATTATTTTAAAATGTACAGTTAAGTTAGTGACTTACAGTCATCCTGTTGCGCTATTAAATAGTAGATCTTATTCTTTCTATTTTTTTGTGCCCATTAACCATCCCTACCTTTCCACACCCCTCCACTATCCTTCCCTGCCTCTGTTAACTATTCTTCTATTCTCTGTCTCCATTAGTTCAATTGTTTTCATTTTTAGACCCCACATATAAATGAGAACATGCGTGTGGTGGCTCACGCCTGTAATCCCAGCACTTGGGGAGTTCGAGGCAGGCGGATCACGAGGTCAAGAGATCGAGACCATCTTGGCCAACATGGTGAAACCCCGTCTCTACTAAAAATACAAAAATTAGCTGGGTGTGGTGGTGCGTGCCTGTAGTCCCCGCTACTTGGGAGGCTGAGACAGAATTGCTGGAACCCGGGAGGTGGAGGTTGCAGTGAGCCGAGATTGCGCCACTGCATTCCAGCCTGGCGGCAGAGCAAGACTCCATCTCAAACAACAACAACAACAACAACGAGAAAAAAACGTGAAATTTGTCTTTCTGTGCCTGGCTTATTTCCCTTAACATAATGACCTCCAGTTCCATCCATGTTGTTGCAAATGACAGGATCTCATTCTTTTTTATGGTTGAGCAGTACTCCATTGCTCCATTGTGCATATGTACCACATTTTCTTTATGCATTCATCTGTTTTTTTTTGTTTTGTTTTGTTTTTTTGCGACGGAGTCTTGCTCTGCTGCCCAAGCTGGAGTGCAGTGGCGCAATCTCGGCTCACTGCAGCCTCTGCCTACTGGGTTCAAGCGATTTCTCCTGCTTCAGCCTCCTGAGTAGCTGGGACTACAGGCACCCTCCACCATGCCTGGCTAATTTTTGTAGTTTTAGTAGAGATGGGGTTTCACCATTTTGGCCAGGCTGGTCTCAAACTCCTGGCCTCAAGTGATCCGTGCGCCCTGGCCTCCCAATGTGCTGGGATTACAGGCGCGAGCCACCGTGCCCGACCTCCATTCATCTGTTGATGGGCACATAGGTTGCTTCAAATCTTGGCTATTGTGAACAGTGCTACAACAAACATAGGAGTGCAGATATCTCTTTGATATACTGATTTTCTTTCTTTCGGGTATATACGCAGCGGTGGGTTTGCTGAATTGTATGGTAGGTCTGTTTTTAGTTTTTTGAGGAACCACCAAACTGTTCTCCAGGGTGGTTGTACTAATTTACATTCCTACCAGCAATGTACAAGGGTTCCCTTTTCTCCTCATTCTCACCAGCATTTATTATTGCCTGTCTTTTGGCTAAAAGCCATTTTAACTGGGGTGAGATGATACCTCATTGTAGGTTTTGTTTTTTGTTTTTTGTTTTGTTTGAGACAGTCTCACGCTCACCCAGGCTGGAGTACAGTGGTGTGATCTTGGCTCAGTATAACCCCCACCTCCCAGGTTCAAGCGATTCGCCTGCCTCAGCCTCCCAAGTAGCTGGGACCACAGGCACACATCACCATACCTGGCTAATATTTGTATTTTTAGTAGAGATGGGGTTCTGCCATGTTGGCCAGGCTGGTCTCAAACTCCTTACCTCAGATAATCCACCCGCCTTGCCCTCCCAAACTGCTGGGGTTACAGGTGTGAGCCACCGTGTCTGGTCATTCATTGTAGTTTTGATTTGCATTTCTCTGATGATCAATGATGTTGAACACCTTTTCATATGCCTGTTTGCCATTTGTATGTCTTCTTTTGAGAAATGTCTATTCAGATCTTTTGTCCCATTTTTTCATTGGATTATTAGATTTTTTTTTCCTATAGAGTTGTTTGACCTCCGTATATACTCTAGTTATTAATCCCTTGTCAGATGGGTAGTTTGCAGATATTTTGTCCCATTCTGTGGGTTGTCTCTTCACTTTGTTGATTGTTTCCTTTGCTGTGCAGAAGCTTTTTAACTTAATGTGATCCCATTTGTCCATTTTTGCTTTGGTTGCCAGTGCTTGTGGGGTATTGCTCAAGAAATTTTTGCCCAGACTGATGTCCTGGAGATTTTCCTCAATGTTTTCTTGTAGTAGTTTCATAGTTTGAGGTCTTAGATTTATGTCTTTAATCCATTTTGATTTGATTTTTGTATAGCAAGAGATAGGAGTCTAGATTCATTCTTTTGCATATGGATATCCAGGTTTCCCAGCACCATTTATTGAGGAGACTTCCTTTTCGCCAGTGTATGTTCTTGGCACCTTTTTCTAAAATGAGTTTGCTGTAGGTGTGTGGATTTGTTTCTGGGTTCTCTATTCTATTCCATTGGCCTATGTTGTCTGTTTTTATGCCAGTACCATGCTGTTTTGGTTACTGTAGCTCTGTAGTGTAATTTGAAGGCAGGTTATGTGATTCCTCCACTTTGTTCTTTTTGCTCAGGATAACTTTGGCTATTCTGGGCCTTTCATGATTCCATATAAATTTTAGGATAGTTTTTTCTAGTTCTGTGAAGAATGTCATTGGTATTTTGATAGGGATTGTATTGAATCTTTACATTTCTTTAGGCAGTATGGACATTTTAACAATATTGAGTCTTCCAATCCATGAACATGGAATCTTTCCATTTGTTGGTGTCTCCTTTAAAATAACCGATTCTTAACTGCTATTCAAAATGTCACAGTTCCTGTCTTGTTTAATTTGTGCTAAATAATCTGCTGAAATTTAGCATATAAAGGAGGTGGTAGAGGGAGTATATTTACATATGATTGTGTCTCTTGAATTTCAGATGAGAGTCCGGAGTGTTGTCATGTGAAGCCTGCCATCCAGGAACCTCCAATAGTTATTAGTGATGATGACAATGACGATGACAACGGTAATGATTTGGAAGTTCCCGACGACAACAGTGATGATTCAGAAGCTCCCGACGACAACAGTGATGATTCGGAAGCTCCTGACGACAACAGTGATGATTCGGAAGCTCCCGACGACAACAGTGATGATTCGGAAGCTCCCGACGACAATAGTGATGATTCGGATGTTCCCGACGACAACAGTGATGATTCATCCGACGACAACAGTGATGATTCATCCGACGACAACAGTGATGATTCGGATGTTCCCGACGACAAGAGTGATGATTCGGATGTTCCCGACGACAGCAGTGATGATTCGGATGTTCCCGACGACAGCAGTGATGATTCGGAAGCTCCCGACGACAGCAGTGATGATTCGGAAGCTCCCGACGACAGCAGTGATGATTCGGAAGCTCCCGACGACAGCAGTGATGATTCGGAAGCTCCCGACGACAGCAGTGATGATTCGGAAGCTTCCGACGACAGCAGTGATGATTCGGAAGCTTCCGACGACAGCAGTGATGATTCGGAAGCTCCCGACGACAAGAGTGATGATTCGGATGTTCCCGAAGACAAGAGTGATGATTCGGATGTTCCCGATGACAATAGTGATGATTTGGAAGTTCCTGTGCCAGCAGAAGATTTGTGTAATGAAGGCCAAATTGCTTCAGATGAAGAAGAGCTGGTTGAGGCTGCTGCTGCTGTCTCCCAGCATGATTCATCTGATGATGCTGGTGAGCAGGATCTTGGTGAGAATCTCAGCAAACCACCAAGTGATCCTGAGGCTAACCCTGAAGTTTCAGAGAGAAAGCTGCCAACTGAGGAAGAGCCTGCACCTGTGGTGGAACAATCAGGGAAAAGGAAGTCAAAAACCAAAACTATTGTGGAGCCACCGAGGAAAAGGCAGACAAAGACCAAAAATATAGTGGAGCCACCAAGGAAAAGGCAGACAAAGACCAAAAATATAGTGGAGCCACTGAGGAAGAGGAAGGCGAAAACCAAAAATGTATCTGTGACACCTGGTAAGCCAGTCATGCCAAGTATGCCTGTCCCACTGAATGTGCCTTGCCTGCCAAATGTGCCTGTGTTATCCAGTCTGCCTGTCCTCCCTTTCAACCCTGTGCCATTTCAGCAACTTCCCTGTGGCCCAAGGAGGCATCCATCCCAGTGCAAGGATGGTTCTGGGAACAGGGGAGGAATGCCCACATCTTTCTCATGCTCCTGTATCTTAGTATTTGCTGTTCACTAGCCTAGAGTGCTGTCTCCCTGAACCTTCTGTTCTGAGGATATCTTATTTTTCTTAGGAAATTATCTCTTCCTCTATGAAGCCGTGAGTCAGGGTGGCTCCTGTCTCCTGGGTTACCAAAGTTCTAGAGCCCATCTCTACCAAAGCACTAGTCACATTGTTAGAATACATTCCTGAGTCTGTCCCCTTCCCTACCCCGTCCCGGTAGACTGTGAGCCTCTTCGTGGGAGGACTCTTCCTCATCTTTTAGTCTCTCTCAGGATTTGGCCTGGTGCTTGGCACATGATAGAGGTTCAATAAATTTTTTAGATATATGAATGACACTGACTATTGATACATAAGCCTTTAGCTAGAGCAGCTGGCAGGATCTGCCTTGCCCTGCACACTGAGTAAAGGTGCTGCCTAGAATATGAGCCACTCATTGGAGCAGGTGTGTGAGCTGTTCCATAGCACCCCTTCGACTGTGCACGCTTCAGTTGCCCACACCACCTAGCTTCTAAGGGCACACTCCTGGACCCTCATAGTCCTTGGTGCCTGTGACAGAATCCTGCCCAGCTCATGCTGCTGGCAGCTCTGTGATTCACGTGGGTGAGATCGTTGAGAATGATGAAGGCAGCAGTATGCCACTTCAGACAGTTTTGTTTAGAGAAGTTGCACTGGGCTTGGCTGTGAGGGCTCCTTTTGGGTTTACCTTTCTGTTGGTCTCGTGATGGTACCAATTTTCGGGGTACAAGTAACCTATTATTTTTTCATCTGGTAAAGGACATAAGAAGCGTGGGCCTTCAAAGAAGAAACCCGGTGCAGCAAAAGTTGAAAAACGCAAGACTAGGTATGTACTGCTCGCATACAGTTGAACAGGAATTTATTGCACAGCCGTCACACTGGGCAGTCCACTGGGCACTTGGGTGGGGGTGGTCTGCAAGGGGATGGAGTCTGGCTGGGATGGGACTGGGGGACAAGGTTTCTGTCCTTGAGTAGGAGGGCCCAAGCAAGGGAGAATACTACCCACTGGCTCCTTCCTCCCTTCTTTCCCCACTCTCTGAGGCTGGGCATGGGCTCTCCGCCAAGGTGCCTGCAGTTACCTGGGTGGAGGGGGCCTTTCTGCACCCACAGCAGCTCTGGCCTCTGAGATTGCCTATGTCCTTCAACTCAGATCAAAGAACAATGTGTAGCCAAACAAGACACTTTTCTTCAGGCTGGATACAGCCTCATGGCCACCAGTTTGTGCTAAACCAAGGCAAAGGCACTGGAAATGGTGAGAAGGCGAAAGCAACACATTAATCTGTTGGAATTGGAGGGAGAGTGGTCAAGATTGTCTTCCAGGTTTTTCTAGTGCTTTGGCTGAACCCAGTTACTCTTACTACTATGTATATCTGTATGAATTTTTAAGCTTAAATATTAGGATGAAATGGATTGCTTATCATTCCTTTATTTTTATTAAGCTATATATAGTTGATACTGAAAACAACCACTGATCCTGTAGACCAAAGACATGTTAATACTTAAGGCAAAAAATTAATATATTTTCTTATTTAGATTCCAGGAATTTCTTAGTTTTTCCCTTAAAAATTTGATATAGTAAGCATAATTTTCTTTGTTTTTACTTTCATTGAAGAGTAATGTATGCTCACATCTGAATTGTCTTACAAGACAAAGAATGTATTTGAAGGACTATATGTTATTTTTTAACGAGTATTTGGGGACAATAAGTGTATATTAAGGGAGGGGAAAAAGACTGATGTGTCAGGCATAGGGGCACCAGGTTACCCCGGACCTGAGCAGAAGGGCTGTCTGTTTCTGCACTGGCTTAGGCAGCCGGTAGCAGCTTGCCAAGTACTCTCTTAGCTGGATCCCCTTTCAGCAAGGTTTCTGCTCCAGACTCCTAACTACATATTTAAGCTGCTTTGCCTCCAGGGACGTGTGTCTTGGGTAACTCCCAGGTTACTTTGCTAGAGCGTGACAAAAGAAGGGAAAAGCTGTCCCTTGGTGTCATTGTCAGTCTGCATTATCCAAAGGAGGCTAGCCCGTTTGGACTCTTAACTGTTGTTTAGCACTTCCTGTGTCAGTCTGGAGGCTTCCTGTTATGCTTAGCATTGTTCCTGTGTAGGCTGCTTGCTGGTCATGGTGTCTGATGTACCCAGTTTGGGGTCTTGTCGGTTCCTCTGATGTGAAGGTGCTCAGCCTGCAGTAAAGAGCCACAGGCCTTGAGGTGAAAGTATGCTAAGCCACAAGGCCAACGTTCTGTGAGCACAAACACACAGGGGTCCGGGCTCTGCCAAAGTCTGCAGAGGGTTCAGGTTTGCATCTGCCACCTTAAATACTGATGTAAATTTGCTTTCAGACCTAAGTAACTGGAGGCAGAAATGTTTGAGTCCCCCATTTCAGGCTTGGGATGAAGAACCTTCTGTAACCTCTGTCTTGTCTGGTACTTCCCCCCTCTGCAGCCCAACTTCCTCACGTAGGGTTTAGTTTGTGACTTAAGGGTTAATAAGTGTTCTGGCAAATTCTTAGTCTTAGGAGTTCTATTAAGTCAGAAACTTGCTGCATTTGCTCCCATTTTGTCTTTCCAGCTCTTTGGGCTCATCTCTGGACTTAGTGGACTGTTCCAGCTAAGATAAAAATGCTTCTGTTTAAATGGTAGTTATTACAGTATGAGTCCTTTATGTGTTCAGCATTATTCTTTGTGCCATTTGAATTAGGCCTTGAAAGATGGGGCAGCGATTGTGGTTTAATCAAAAGACCATGAGATTTGGATCAGGAGATTCACTGTCTCTGTGACCTCTGGGCAAGTCACTTGACCCCTGAGCACAGTGGAGATCGTAAAAATAGTAACAGCTTCTTTGAAGGGCAGTTGTGAGGATTAAATATGACAATGCAAAAAGAAGTTCTTTGCAAATGATAAAGTGCTACACAGAAGGTTATTCTCAGTAGAGGTGGAGATGTAGTCCTTGTAAGCCATGGGAAAATAGATTGTACCAAGGCACAAATGCGGGAAATTGCAATTTGTGTCCAGGGAACATTTAAGTTGCCCACTTTGGCTAGAGTGTCAGTGGTAGCTGGGAATAGAGCTTTGGACAGGGTTGACCCTGGCCATGAATGTCAGGCCAGGCAGTCAGTGAAAAACCAGAGGGGGACATTAATTGGAGCATGGCCTGCAAAAATGAATCTGGAGGGGTGTGTGTGATTGGATGAGAAGAGACAGAGCCTGGAGGTAAGGAACACTGGAGTGTTCTCATATCTAGGCATTAAAGGGTAGGACAAGAACTTGAACTAGAGTAGGAACCAGGGGGATGGAAAGGAGGTGCTGGCTGGAAGAGAAAGTGTGAAGAAGATAGTCTGTCTCTGTGCCCAATAAAGAGAGAAAAGGAATTTTATTTTGTTTTATTTTTTGAGACAGAGTCTCGCACTGTCGCCGAGGCTGGAGTGCAGTGGCGCGATCTCGGCTCACTGCAAGCTCCGCCTCCTGGGTTCACACCATTCTCCTGCCTCAGCCTCCCGAGTAGCTGGGACTACAGGCGCCCACCATCACGCCCAGCTAATTTTTTGTATTTTTAGTAGAGACAGGGTTTCACCGTGTTAGCCAGGATGGTCTCGATCTCCTGACCTCGTGATCCGCCTGCCTCGGCCTCCCAAAGTGTTGAGATTAAGGCGCGAGCCACCGCACCCAGCCAAGAAGAGGAATTTTTAAATGTCTTTGAGGTTTTTCAGCCAATTGTAACACAAGTTTGATAATTGAACACACGTTTAGCTGGAGATACATTCATGTTAATCAGTTGGAAGTTTGCACTGGGCAATTGTAAATTCAGAACTAGGTCTCAGGAGAGAGCTCCAGAGTGCAGATACAGATGTGGGGATAAGTCTCGTTGAGCTTGAAACCACGGGCTTTACACCTCTGAGGGTTGCAAAGAGAGAAGAGAAAAGGCTACAAATGAAGGCTTGGGAAATGCCCTGATCTAAGGAGCTGGATGGAAGAGGGAGCAACATGTTTTCAGGGTCTCTTGACGAGACGCTTAGGTGTGCATTCCTTCTCTCTCTTTAGCTACATAAACCTCAGTTGAATTTATCTTTGCAGGACTCCTAAATGCAAAGTCCCTGGATGTTTCTTGCAAGACCTTGAAAAGTCAAAGAAATACTCTGGAAAAAATTTAAAGCGAAATAAGGATGAATTGGTTCAGAGAATCTACGACCTGTTTAACAGATCCGTCTGTGATAAAAAGGTAGGATCAATGAATGAGCACTGATTGAGCACCTGCTATACACCAGTACTCTTGGTGCTGTGAGGTGTGCTAACCATGTATACTTCCTGCCCTTGAGCAGAGGCAGTTAAGGTTGGGAGATGAGCCCTGGTACAGGTGAAAGCAATAGAGAATGTGTATGAGTTATAATGTATAGGACAGATGGCTGTTACCACAGGAGATCAGCAGAGGGAGAAATCACTAAGAGCCTCAACAGCCAGGAAGTAAGATTACCTGGAGGAAGTGAGACTCTGCTTCTTAAAGGATGGTAAGTGGCAAACAGGATGGGGGAGAGGGAGAGTTGAGGCTCGACAATCAGGAAGAGAGGATTCTTGTGGAAGGATAATGGAAAAGAGCTGTGTGACCTTGAACAAGTTACTTGACTTCAGTTTGCCTCAGTTTCTTCATCTGTAAAATGGGGACAACACAGTACGTATTACCTCATAGGATTATTGTTACCCTTACATAAGTTAATACACATACAGTGCCTAGAACAGGGCCTAGGACATAGTAAGCTCTTATTTTTTGATAGTGTAGGACTGGATACCAGAGGGCCTTGGGAATCAGGTTGGAGGAGGTGAAATTTACATCAGTAGGCACCACTGCACAGGGATGGGGTGCATCAGGGAGTGAATGAAATTAACCTGCTGAAAGAAATTAACCTGACACTAACCTGTGGGTATGGACTGGATTGGAGAAAATCTGGAGGCAGAGAGACCTATTGGTCATTAGATTTTTCAGACTTCATCATCTCTGGTGACAAGACTTTATGGAGGGAAGTTCTTACATATTCCTAAAGGTTCCCCAGCCTTTGATGCCCTTCTGGATGACAGTGGTGTCACATCAGATGGGTGGAAACTGAAGTGTTCTGAGTTGCCTTTTCAGTCCAGCCTCGCCCACCTCAGCAGGGTTGTCCTTCTCTCCTTGGCTGCCCTAAGGACAAGAGACCCAAGTCCTGCACTCACGTGTTCTATCAATCTCCCTTGTGTCCTGATTGCCTGTTTGTTGTCTTTACCCAGACGTTAATGTGGCTTTTATTCTCCTCAGAATGTTTTGATTTGTGTGCTCTTTGAATAAATTTCTTCTCAAACTTGCTCTGAGCCAAGAACCTGGGGGAGAAGGTTCTTTTTCCTTTTTATTAGAGGGTAAAAAACTCTGGAGTTAATATTTTCTGGTCTGCTTAAAACTGCTTTCTGGGCCCGGCGTGGTGGCTCACTCCTGTAATCCCAGCACTTTGGGAGACCAAGGCAGGCGGATCACCTGAGGTCAGGAGTTCGAGACCAGCCTGACCAACATGGTGAAACCCTGTCTCTACTAAATACGAAAAATTAGCTGGGTGTGGTGGCGCATGCCTGTAATCCCAGCTACTTGGGAGGCTGAGGCAGGAGAATCACTTGAACCTGGGAAGCAGAGGTTGCAGTGGGCTGAGTTTGCACCATTGCACTCCAGCCTGGGCAACAAGAGCTAAAACTCCGTCTCAAAAACAAAAAAACAAAAAAACCCAAAACAGCTTTCTGATTCCTTTCATTTGCGTTTCATTCTCAGCTGCCAGAGAAACTACGCATAGGCTGGAATAACAAGATGGTGAAAACTGCTGGCTTATGCAGCACTGGTGAGATGTGGTACCCAAAGTGGCGGCGCTTTGCCAAGATCCAGATTGGCTTGAAAGTCTGCGACTCTGCAGGTGATGGCAGGAGTGTGGTAGCTTCACCACTGTGCTCTTTCCTTCTGACACCGTGCCTGTGAAATTACTCCTAGCTGGTAGCCTGTGTCACAGCTCGAACTGTCATTCTTGGGTGGGCAGGCATGCTGTGTGTTGCTTAGAGGACATAGTTATTGGATGTCTCACCATCCCTGTGAATCAAACCTATCGATCTTTATACCAGGCCTGCCTTTCTCTCTGCATTTCCCCTTTGCCAGCAGTAGCATCTTCATTCTCTCAGGAGCTGAGGTTCAAGGTCCCCTCTTTCTAGCCAATCACCAAATCTTCCTTCAGAGTAGCTCACCATTCCTTCTCTATCTGTGCCTCCATCCAAGGACAGGCCCTCATCCCTGCTCTGTTTGGTCTCCCATATGCCACTACATTGCTTTCCTGCTGAGAAACCAGGGCTTTTCAAGGCCTAGAGCCTGGCTTTTGAGGCCATTGTAATCTGCTCCTGTTTGGCTTGGCCAATCTTGTCTCTCAGTATTCTACCACTAGCCCATGCCCCAGACAGGCTCTCTTCACACTGGCCTTCAAAACATACCACAGGCTGGGTGTGGTGGCACCCATCTGTAGTCCCAGCTATTTGGGAGGCTGAGGTAAGAGGCTTGCTTGAGCCCAAGAGTTCGAGGCCGTAGTACACTATGATCGCACCTGTGAATAGCAGTTTCACTCCAGCCTGGGCAACATAGCGAGACTTAGTCTCTAAAATGTTTTTAAAAATGTGCCACATACTCATGTTTTGCCACACCCAGAATGGCCTTTCTAACTTTGCAAATTCAATCAATTAGTAAGAACCCCTGAGATCTCAATTTCACCATGGAGCTTCTCCTAACCAAATCCCACGGCCATAGCGATTGCTCCCCACCCTGTCCATCTCTGTTCCTGGAGGGCAGAAACTAGATCTTGTCCTGATGTTTTTCTAGAAGTGCCTCATAAAAAAATGAGCATGTTGGAGCTGCTCTGAAAAGACCTGCTCACCGAAGGCTCTTTGCCATAAACAATATCGGGTTGAAGTAGGTTCACTATTCACTTTGAGAATCCTGGGAAGGTAACACTCGTGCTTGCCTGCATGTGCTTCTTTAAGATAGCCTTGTGTCTGGTGGCGCTGAAAGTCGAGGGGTTGTTGGGTAGCAGATAAGAAGAGGATTGGGGCCGGGTGTGGTGGCTCACGCCTGTAATCCCAGCACTTAGGGAGGCCGAGGTGGGTGGATCACCTGAGGTCAGGAGTTTGGGACCAGCCTGGCCAACATGGCAAAACCCCGTCTCTACTAAAAAAAAAAAAAAAAAATCAGCCAGGAATGGTGGTGCATGCCTGTAATCCCAGTTACTTGGGAGGCTGAGGCAGGAGAATCACTTGAAACCGGGAGGTGGAGGTTGCAGTGAGCTGAGATCATGCCATTACACTCCAGCCTGGGCGACAAAGCAAGACTATCTCAAAAAAGGAAAAAAAAAAAAAAAAAAAAAAAAAGAGGATTGGTTTTAGTGCTCACATTTCTTTTCATTCTTCTTTCAAGACCGAATCCGGGATACCTTGATCCATGAAATGTGCCATGCTGCCTCCTGGCTGATTGATGGTATCCATGATTCTCATGGTGACGCATGGAAGTATTATGCCAGGAAATCCAACAGGATACACCCGGAGCTGCCCAGGGTCACCCGTTGCCATAACTATAAGATTAACTACAAGGTCCATTATGAATGTACTGGATGCAAAACGAGGTAAGACTCTTCTCAGACTTTTCCCAGTTACGTTTTGCTGGGGCCTCCAAGTGGCTCTTCAGTGATTTTATAAGTAGATGGCTGTCTGAACTGAAGAGGAGAACCTCTCTCCTCCTTTCCACGTTCTCTTTCTCCTTTCTCTTCCGTAATTTGAGCCGGCCTGACCACTGCTGCCGCTTGGTGCCCGGGTCTCTGACAACCCAGAGAAAAGTATTGCTTTGGGCCCAAGGCTAACATCTCAGAGCTGATGCTGAGGTGCAGTGACTGATTCTTTTGTTGTGTGTTGTTCCATTCCTTCCCAGGATTGGCTGCTACACCAAATCGTTGGACACCAGCCGCTTCATCTGTGCCAAATGCAAGGGGTCTCTGGTCATGGTGCCATTAACTCAGAAAGATGGGACCCGTATTGTGCCCCACGTGTGACCATTTGCTGTGTATGTGCAGAAGTATTATAGAAAAATTATGCAGGAGATGGCTAGGATTAGCCTTGGGGATGTGATGAAAACACTTGGCAGGAATTACAAGGCAATGAAGAATTCTTAAGGTTATCTTAGAGTATATTAATGTGAGCTATATCCTTTACTGGTAAGAAGTTTTAGAAAAGTTTGTTTTGTGAAGTTAGGAATATTAGAATTTAGGTACTGTTAAGTAAGTAATGTTAGAATTTAAGATTCATGTTATTAACGATGATTGACCTTAAATAGGGACTCTATTGCTAACCATTCTGTGCCCTTGACAGGGTATTTCTGAAGCCCTTGGGATCTACCTTGGGTCTTACTTGAGTTCCATATTTTTCACATGTAGAACAAAATGCAAAAGAAAAGTGAGTTTTCAAGAGTGGCAGGTTGAGAGAGGAGAATGCTGGAAAGAGGACAAGTTTGAGAGGCAACACTTAAACACTAGGGCTACTGTGGCATCTATGTAGACAGGAAAGACAAACGTGTTTCATAAAATTCGTTGTTGATGGTATTGATTGAAACTATCTGAGCCATGTAATCAAAAAATAAAAGTTTTCTGCATCTTGCTTGTTAGCAAAGTCTGTTCATTGAATCCCTGCACCTAGAGCAGAACAGACCCTCTGGTCTTTTGTCCAAGACTCCGAACATCTGAAGCCCTCCAGGACTCGTCTAGAGGAGCGTGCCGCACTCCGTGTTTCTCTCTGGATTTCTGTGACTGCCCATAAGGACTTAGCAGCTTCCCTACTTCTTGGAGTGATTCAGGATGTGGATTGGGATCCACATTGTATTCGTTTCCTATGGTTGCCACAACAAATTACCACAAGCATAGTGGCTTAAAACAACACACATTTACAGTTCTGGAGGTCAGATAGTCCATCACCGGTGTCACTGGGCTAAAATCAGGGTGTTGACAGGGCTGTGTACCTTCCTGGAGGCTCTGGGGGAGAATCTGTTGCCTTGTATTTTCCTTTCTGTTTTTTTTGAGACAGAGTCTTGCTCTGTCACCCAGGCTGGAGTGCAGTGGCACGATCTTGGCTCACTGCAACCTCTGCCTCCTGCTTTCAAGTGATTCTCCTGCCTCAGCCTCCCGAGTAGCTGCGATTACAGGCACCTGCCACCATGCCCGGCTAATTTTTGTAGTTTTAGTAGAGACAGGGTTTCACCGTGTTGGCCAGGCTGGTCTGGAATTCCTGACATCGAGTGATCCACACGCCTTGGCTTCCCAAAGTGCTAGGATTACAGGCGCGAGCCACCTCGCCCGGCCTTTTCTGCCTTTTAGAGGCTGCTCACATTTCCTGGGTTCATGGTCCCGTCCTCCAGAGGCAGTAACAGCTCCCTCTCTGACTCCCCTGCTGCCTCTCTCTTTCACTTTTATTTTTATTTATTTATTTTTATGAGATGGAGTCTCACTGTCGCCCAGGCTGGAGTGCAGTGGTACTATCTTGGTTTGCTTTAACCTCCGCTTCCTGGGTTCAAGTGATTCTCCTGCCTCAGCCTCCTGAGTAGCTGGGATTACAGGCATGCACCACTGTGCTCAGCTAATTTTTGTGTTTTTATTA
Organism: Homo sapiens; assembly: GCF_000001405.40. Classification (NCBI taxonomy): domain Eukaryota; kingdom Metazoa; phylum Chordata; class Mammalia; order Primates; family Hominidae; genus Homo; species Homo sapiens. The sequence continues at coordinate 71,614,577 of NC_000023.11, forward strand.
GAGACGGGGTTTAGCCATGCTGGCTAGGCTGGTCTCGAACTCCCGACCTCAAGCGGTCCGCCTGCCTCAGTCTCCCAAAGTGCTGGGATTTAAGGTGTGAGCCACCGCTCCCGGCGCCTCTTTCACTTTTAAAGTACTCTTGTGGTTACTTTGGGCCCACCTGGATAATCCAGGAGCCTCTTCTTCAAGTCAGCTGATTGGCAACCTCAATTCCCTTTTGCCATCTAAGGTAACATAGTCACAAGCTCTGGGGGTTAGCACGGGGACATCTTGGGCGCCATGTTTTCAGCCAGCCACAAGCATCTTGACTACCCTGATACTTTTTCTAGGCAGGGTGCATTCTGTCATTTCCCTTCCTTTCTTCATTTTGTAAAAGCTTGGAGTGTCTAGAGGCCACAAAGCGGGATGGTGTGTTTATGTGGTGGGACGAGCTTCCCCAGGTAACTCTTCAGATTCTTCCTCCCCATTCCCATCTCCGGCCGTTTCTGCAGTTTCAGCAGGGGTGCAGCTGGCCTGTGAAACTGGATCCTAGCACATTGGTGACTTAATTAGGGGGCACTGACAGTGCAGTAGACCCACCTTGTCACCTTCTGTTTTAACTCAGCCCTGTCACTTGCCTTTCTGGGAAACCCCAGTTATTTCTTTCCCTCACTTCGGCCTCATTGATAGCCCTGGAAAAATGCTCCCCACAGCCCGCCTCCAGGTGGCTGTGTGCTAATGACTGTTGGCAAGTCATCTGGCCTTGCTTTTCTTCAAGCCCACAGCCATTTCCCTAGTAAGCGCTTGTATCACTCACCTGAAAAACCAGTAGGGCCTTCTGACTGGTCTCCAATACCATCACCTGATCCCAAATTACCTTTCAGTCTTACTTTCAGCCTTCCCACTGTTGCTACTGCCCTCCCTTATGCCTGGAAATACTACTTGCCCTTTAAGTCTTCAAGAAGCCTTCCCAAATGGCTCCAACCTTCAGTGCCCTGAGCTCTGGGTTCACTGTGCCACTTATGTGCCCCATGGCCCAGGCTGCTGGGTTTCGCTAGTTTCACACACATCTTGCCTCCTGTCCTGAGCTGCTGGAGTGCAGGGCTCTCGTGTTCATGTCTGATGGCCCCTTCCCCAATTATGCCAACCAGCTGCCTAACTGCTCACTCTGCACCCATGTACTTGGGTGTTTCCCTGTGAGTAGAACAGGAGTGCCCACGAGGGCAGAGACAAAGCTGCAGACAGACATTGATGAAGGCAGGATGGGCTGGCACAGACCCAGGGCCAGGCAGGGAGAACCAGGAAGTGCCCCTGGAGCCCAGGTGGGCTGGGCTGACTGTAATGATGCACGAACATGCCCTGGTCCTGACGATCTTGTTTATTGAAAAGTTTTAAGCAGGATTTTAGACATAAAAATAAAAGAGCAAATATAGAGGTCTTGGGGACCATGGCCACAGTCACTGCTGAGCTGGAGGCCTGGGCTGTGGCTTCATGGGGCAGCACCCTCTACGCCATGCCTTGTACTCCCCGCACTTGGGGAAGATGAAGTTTTAGTTTCCAAATGAGAAGGGCAGTGGGGCTCCAGGCAGCCACCTCGGGCGGCAGGATGGGGCTTGGCAGCTAAGGAGCAGCAATGGTGCAGTCCTCAGAGCTGGGAGGGTGGCTTCCCGGGAGACCTGGTGGTGCTGGGGCTGCCAGTGAGTCCCGGGAGCGAGGATATTGGGGAGAGCCAGAGCCGGCAGAGGGAGGGAGGAGCCTGGAATGCGGGGAAGTCAGACTGTGGGCGAAAGGGGAGCCCGGATTCCGGCCTCACAAGCCCGAGTAGGAGGCCTCTGAGGTCTCAGACCAGGATGAATCCCGGCGGGAAGACGATGGCTGCCTCTGGAGCCCTCTCTGGTTGGGGCAGCCCAGGCGCAAGAGCAGCATCCACATCCGCTCCCGGAACTTGACCCCTACAAAGGCATAGAGCAGCGGGTTGAGGCAGCAGTGCATGTAGCCCAGGCCTGAGGTGACCGACTTGGCCACGTCTACCCTGCTTTCTCGGCCACAGTTGCGGGCCAAAGCGCCCAGGTCCATGAGGATGTCCACCAGCACCACCAGGTGATAGGGGGTCCAGCAGAGGGCAAAGGCCACCACGACCACCACCACCAGCCGCATGGCCCGCAGGCGCCGCTGGCCCCTGGAAACCAGCAGCACGGCCAGGATGTGGGCATAGCAGTAGGCCATGACCAGCAGGGGCAGCAGAAAGCCAGCCACCAGCTGCAGCACCCGCAGAGCCGTGCGGCCCACCTGTGGGAAGTTGTATTGGCAGTGGGTGGCGTTGAGGCGCTCGTCGTGGTGGGCCGACAGGAAGATGAAGTCTGGGAGGGCGAAAAGCAGGCAGAGCCCCCAGACAGCCAGGCAGGTGAGGGTCACGCGGGCCGGGGGCCCCCGGCGGTAGAGCTGGGTGGCATGAACTATGTTCAGGTAGCGGTCAAAGCTGATGCAGGCCAGCAGGAGGGCTCCTGCGTAGAAGTTGATGTTGAAGAGGGCACCTGCCACTTTGCAGAGGCCAGAGCCAAAGACCCACTGGACGGCAGCGTCCACTGCCCAGAGCGGCAGTGTCAGCACCAGCAGCGTGTCTGCTACAGCTAGGTGGAGCAGGAAGGTGTCGGTGCTGCTCAGGGCTGTCCGCCGGCTCAGCAGCACGGCTGCCACCGCGCCGTTGCCCAGCAGCCCCAGCAGAAAGAGGAGGCTGTAGAGGGCTGGCAGGAAGGCCCGGTCGAAGTTCAGGCTGAAGTCCTGTGGGCAGGGCGGGGAGGTACAGCACGAGTCACTCTCGTTTTCTCCATAGTCATAGGAAGAGCTGAAGTTCTCCAGGAGGGCGGCAACCTCGGCGTCATTTAGCACTTGGTGGTCACTCACCTGTGAGGGCGGGAACGGGGAGGAAGGGGCTGTGTAAAGGCCTGGCAGGAACTCTTTTGTGATTGAGTCTGATTTAGTCTGTGATTTACTCTGAGCAGCTCCTCCTATAACTGTCCCCGCCAGTCTTCCAGGGCCGTACTTCCTCAACTCCATCCGCTCAGCCTGGGCTCTGGGATAGTGACTTCCCTTCTCAAAGGCTGCTTCTCTCGCATTCTTCTGCGTGATCCCATCGGCCCAGGGACCCCTGGGCAGGAAGAAGAGCGTCCCTCCAGTGCCCAGAGCCCTCTCTGCCCACTGTCCTCTCTCTCCCTGCTCTCCCTTCAGGCTTGCCTTGCGTCCTCAGTGCCCCACCCCCAACACATAGTTCAACCACCTTCCTCCCCAGCGCCTCTCCACAATCCCCTTTTCCAGTCACTAACCCTCCTCTTCCCTCCTTGGCCCTTGTCCGGGGACCCCAACTTCCTGCGCCCCCCCCCACCGTGTGGCCTCTCTACAAGTCACCACGCCCCCCAAATGCATGCAGTCTGCCCAGTCCTTCCCCCTCCCTACACTGAGGCTTGCACGGCCATTTAGCTGCCCACAAGGGGATCCCCCACTTAGCTTGAGAAGGAATCTTCTTTATCCCCTCACCCCCAGCACTATGGACCTGCAGGTCTCCCCAGTACCAATTTAGTCCAGCACGCCAAGAGTCAAAGTTCCAAGTCTCCTGAAGGGAGCCTTCGAGTCTACTTGCCCCCCGCCCCCCCCATTTTGCAGACGAGACACCGAAGCCAGAGAGGAGAGGAGAGGCACCCAGGGTCAGTGGCCAAGCTGGGTTCCCAATTCCCCAGTGCTGTTTCTGCCACAACCCATGCGGCCTCCAGCTACTCACCCAACCCTGTGGTGACCCTGGGCTGTGGGCCAGCCCTGGCATTCCCCTGATGCCCCGGGTTTTCCACTTCGAATTCTGGCCTGGCCTGGCTGGGCAGCAGCACTTACCTCAAGGACCATGGCTGGGCTGGTGCTCTGGCTGCTGGGTGGTGTGCTGCCTGCCCCTCTGCTTTGGTGCTTGTGGTTGGAAACCTGCAGTCACAGAGGAAGTGGGAGTTTCAGGCAGTTCTCAGCAGCAGCCTCTTCCAGGGAGTTACCTCTACCAGACCTCCCTAAACCTCAGGCCACAGAGTTTCCGTGACTGGGTGAAACCTCTCTGGAGGAGCTGGCTACAAGCTTGGGACCAGAAAAGCTGGGCAGAGGATGACTGGCTGGGGGCAGGTCCTTTGAGAAGAGAGGTCTGAAGAGGAAGCAATGCAGCTGAGAAGTGAAGGGCAACCCTACTGCCTGCACTGGTAGGGTCAGTGCTCCATAGATTGGAACTCATCTGTCCTGGCCTTGAGTTGATCTTTGCATGATTGTAAAGGCTGGGTAGAGAAATAAGTCTGCAGAGGAGATCCACCTTCTTAAAAATTTCAGCTAGGTGCAGTGGCTCATTCCTGTAATCCCAGCTACTGGGGAGGCTGAGGCAAGAGGATCACTTAAGGCCAAGAGTTTGAGACCAGCCTGGGCAGCATAGCGAGGCTCCATCTCTACCAAAAATAAAAAAAGCCAGCCGGGCATGGTGGCATGTGCCTGTAGTCCTAACTACTTGGAAGCCTGAGACAGGAGGATTGCTTGAGCCCGGGAGTTCAAGTCTGCCTTGAGATATAATTGTACCACTGCACTCCAGCCTGGTGACAGAGTGAGGCCCTGTCTCTTAAAAAGGGAATTAAAATATTTTTTTAAAAAGCCGTTACACTAAATCTAGCTTTTTACCACCACCTCTCCCTGCTAATCAGTGGGGAAAAAGAAAGGGAACTACCAGTAATGAACTTGCTATGTGATAGACATTGCTTTAGGTGCTTTCTCCGACACTGCCTTATTTCAACCACACAACTCACTTGTGACGTGCGGGGTTATCTGCATGGATGATTCAGAAAGGGGACAGGCCTTCGCCAGACACGGCAATTAAAGGTGGGCGTGAGGATTGATCCCACGGCTGTCTGATTCTCCTTTTCCTACTCATGAACACTGTCTTCAGTTTCTTTTAAGTGAATAAGCTATGATATATTCATGCAGTTAAAAACAAATGAACTAAAGCTACACATTTGAACATGGATGCATCTAGAAAAGCCAACGATCACATGGTAGAAGAAGCAAGTTACAGAATGCCATGTATAGTTTGATGCCACTTACATAAACTCTAAAAACCACCACAAAATCAATACCATGTTGTTTTGGATAACACTGTTGGTTCTCGAGGTTTAAAACAGGGACAGGAGATACCACAAATTCATAAAAGCAGTTGCTTCTCGGGCAAGAAGGAGGATGGGGTTGGGGAGGAGGCCATAGGAACTTCTTGATCTTAAGGAAAAGCTGTAAGGCAGCCTTGGTACAGCACATCAGTCACTTTATGGCAGAGAATGGTGAACAATTCCTCTCCCCACCTGCCCTCAGCTCTCCCCTTTGCCCTCTTCTCCCCTCCCTGTCGCCCTCTTCTCATTACCAGTGGGCAAGGCTGCCCGTAATTTGCTTCTCCCAAGCAGTTTCCTCTTTCTCTCTCTCCCCTAGTTGGAAAGCAGGGGTGGAGGGAGAGAGAGAAAGAAGAGAGAAGAGAGAAGAGAGAGAGAGAGAAAAGCAAGTGCTAGCCCATGGTCTTGGGGCCAGTTTTCAGCCAGACTGCCCCACCAAAGCCTCCAGGCTAGGGCCTGGAATTAAATTTACACCCACATGAGGCATACTTGCAAGGCATCAAGGCCCTTCCCCTCCTGTGGACAGATGTGACTCTCCTTGCTCTAAACAGCTTGTCACCTGCAGGGTTCAGGCCAGAGGGAACTGAGGGCCTGGCAGAGGTCAGGAGCAGTGCCAGTGGAGGGAGCAGGAAGGATTCCAGAAACCAGGCCAGTTAGGATGAGCAGGACTTGGCCAGTAGCTACCTATGGGGGTGGAAAAGGGTTGGGAGCTGGGACCACAGTCTCCCAGTGCTGACCTGTGAAGAGGTTTGAGTTCCATGGGCTTCTGCAAATGAGAAAATTGACCATGGAAAGCCACATTTGTTCCATTTAAAGGTCTGTCTTATATTCAGCAATCATGTTATTTGTCCCCTTTTTTTGGTATCAAAAGGGCCTTTTCTTTATGAAATGATGGGGAAAATAGATGGTAGTTTTGGAAACATCTTGTGATGGCAGAAGTTGACAACCCAATGTGGGTCCTCTAAATCAGCAGTCCCCAGCCTTTTTGGCACCAGGGACCGGTTTCGTGGAAGACAATTTTTCCACGGACTGGAGTGGGGATGGTTTCGGGATGAAACTGTTCCACCTCAGATCATCAGGCATTAGATTCTCATAAACAATGCACAACCTAGATCCCTCCCACGTGCAGTTCACAACAGGATTTGTGCTCTGCTGATCTGACAGGAGGCAGAGCTCAGGCAGTAATGCTCCCTCCCCCTGCAGCTTACCTCCTGCTGTCCAGCCTGGTTCCTAACAGGCCACAGACCGGTATACTGGTCCACCACCCATGGGCTGGGGAGCCCTGCTCTAAATAGATGTTGAAATGTTACTGGTCCATGTGAAAGATAAAAGTCCAGGCCGGGCACGGTGGCTCATGCCTGTAATCCCAGCACTTTGGGAGGCCAAGGCGGGCGGATCACCCGAGGTCGGGAGTTTGAGACCAGCCTGACCAACATGGAGAAACCCTGTCTCTACTAAAAATACAAAAATTAGCCGGGTGTGGTGGTGCATGCCCATAATCCTAGCTACTCGGGAGGCTGAGACAGGAGAATTGCTTGAACCCAGGAGGCGGAGGTTGTGGTAAGCCGAGATCATGCCACTGCACTCCAGCCTGGGCAACAAGAGTGAAACTCCGTCTCAAAAAACAAAACAAAACAAGACAAAAAATTAGCCAGGCTGGCACATGCCTGTAGTCCCAGCTACTCAGGAGGCTGAGGCAGGAGAATTGCTTGAACTCAGGAGGTGGAGGTTGCAGTGAGCTGAGATCGTGCTACTGTACTCCAGCCTGGGTGACAGAGTGAGACTCCATCTCAAAAAAAAAAAAAAAAAAAGACAAGAAAGAAAAAAAAAGAAAAAAAGGTAACCCTGGTGTCCTCCCTGGTGTCCTTCCAGTCTCCTCACTTGTTTGTATCATGTCCTTCCCAGGTTGCTGGGAAGGACACATGAGAGAAAGGCAGGGCAAGAGCTTTGGAAAGGAGCAGAGAGCTTTCCTTTCTGAGCTCGGACACCCTGATAATCAGGGCCGTACCCTGATATCAGGGCCGTGTCCTGATAGCCCAAGCTGGGCTATGGGTCTGAGCTGTTCCCAGTGAGGCCATGATGTTGTGGGAAGAATGCTAAACTTGTCTGAGTTCCAGCCCTGACTCCACCCTGTTCGAGCTGTGTGACTTTGGACAAATTACATAGCTGAGTCGAGCCAGTTTCCTCAGCAGGGTTGTTAAAAAGATGAACTGGAATAACCAAGGCTGTAGGCTTCTAGCACAGGGCCCATAGCTTAGTAGGAGTACAATCGAGAATGTTGAGTGAGAGAGATGTTGGCTACAAACCCGGAGCAACCAGGAGCCTTTCATATCAAGGGAGCCAGTGATAGAGGGTGGCACTTGTGGGGCGTACAGGTGTGGGCTTGGCCGGAGGGCTGGTTTTCCAGAGAGGCCACCCTCTGCCTTAACTGGGGGTGGAGGGGGACGGTGAGTTTGCCAGTCCTAGGCGAATCCTCTGGCTGCCCAGCTGTGTAATCTCAGGCAAATTATTTAATCTCTGTACCTTGGTTTCCTCATCTGAAAAATGGGTCTAAGGATAGTATACATTTGATAGGGTTGCTCTGGAGACTGCAAATGATATGTGTAGAAAGTGTCTGGGGCAGGGTAGGTGCCTAGTGAGCAGCAGTCTCCTCCCGCTCTAGGAACTTTCCAAACTGACCCCTCCTAACCTCGCAATTGCAAGTCTGTGGTGGGCTTCTGCCGTCGTGCACAGCTGAGATGTCTTAGAAGGTTGCTGTGTTACGGGGCTGAGCCAAACCCTTGACCAGCTGTCTAATTTGGTTCTTTCTGGTCCCAAACAGCTCCCAGACCAGGACAGAATCAGGCCCAGCTTAGGGGACAGCTGCCTGGCCAAGGGCCTGCAATCAGAGTTCTGGCCAGTGAGCCTCCTGCCTCCGCCCTCCAGAGCAGCTGGCGGGGAAGCCTGAGGAGGAAGTTAGTCAGAGTGAAGCTGCTCCGGGCCCCACCTGTGGTCAAGGTGCGAAATGTGCACCTGGCTCTTCTCTGCCACCCCTCCCCCTGTTTTTTTCTTTTTTTCACACCTCTGGGCTGTGGTTTGAGGAGATGGGAGGCTCAAAGGTTGAGGCCTGGGCCCAGTGCCTCACAGGAAGGAGGGCCCCTACTGCTGTCTGCCAGGCCGGCCAGCCCGGGAAAAGGGCCATTTCCTCCTCCTCTCTGTCAGAGTCGGCTGCTTCACAACCTCTCTTGCAGCTCCTCCAAATGCCTCTTGGAGCACTACTCCAAAAGCTACTGGACTTGGCCGCCAGCCCCAGGCTGTTAGGGGAGCAGGCTCAGCCAGGCCTGAGGTTCCCGTGTGGCCCAGGCTGGGGCTGAGACTATCTTACGTGAAATCAAGAAGAGTCCAAGCCCTGGGCAGGGGTCTGTATCTGCTCCAGACAGTGCCGGGACCCTGGGCTTCCTTCTCCTGGCCCTGAATTTCCCTTGAAAGAGAGCTGAAGTCACAGGGAGACCTGGGGCCTGGGGACTGCCTCTTCCTCTGCCCATGTCCTGCAGCTCTGAGCCCTCCTGGGAGGCAAGTCCATTTTAAGTGCTGGGGGCCGTGGGCTGGGGCCTTGGGAGCCCAGGAGGTGGGACAGACAGCCCCAGCCCATGAGGGTGAGTTCCCAGACCTGTGGGGACACTGCTTTTTTGGGGAATGGAGAAGGCCTCACAGGGGAGATGAAGTTTGAGCTGGGTCTTGGAGGACGTTGCTGCTGTTTGTCACATGGCAAAGGGAGACGAGGCTGTTCTCAGGCTGGGGGAACACCAGGTGCCAAGACAGGGAAGTAAGGAAGAGCTCCTCACACCAGGGGCGGTCAGACTGGTTAGAACGGAACGTTCTTGTGACGGCAGGAGGGTAGAGGGGGCTGGAAAGCAGTTCAGGACCCAAGCCCCACCACCAAGCACAATGACCTTCCTGTCATCCTGTCTCTGGCAGTTCCCTGGGAACTATTAAATAAAAGGACTTCCATTCTGCAAGGCTGTACTTTCATACATGCGATCTCCTTTAAACCGTTCAGCCACCCAGTGAGGGAGAGGCTACTGCGCCCATTTTGCAGAATGGAGGTTCAGAGAGGTGAAGTGATCTGTCCAAGCCTAGTCAGCCAGGAGGGCTGTGTCACACTGCCAGCCCTCCAAACATCCTGCTGCTCAAGGACTCATCAGGAGCCACACCTTTCTCATCACACAGCCCTAATCAGGCATCTTGTGTGGTGAGGGTGGACACCCACTTGGCTGGGCTGGAGCCATAGAGGGGAGTGTTGATAGTTTGCTTCTTGCATTTCCTTGGGTTTCCCCACAGGGTGAGGTCAAACAGGGTCATAAGAACTGAGGACATGTATTTGTTTTGGGGCTTTTTTTGGTTCTTTTTTGTTTTTTTGCTTGTTTTTTTTTTGTTGTTGTCTTTTAGAGACAAGGTCGCACTCTGTTGCCCAGTGGGGAGTGCGATCATAGTTCACTGGAGCTTCGACTCCCTTGGCTCAAGCGATCCTCCTGCCTCAGCCTCCTGAGTAGCTGGGACTATCGGCATGTGCCACCACGCCCAACTTATTATTATTATTGTTTTTAAACTCTTTGTAGAGACAGGGGTCCCGCTATGTTGCCCAGGTTGGTCTCCAACTCCTGTACTCAAGCCATCTGCCCGCCTCAGCCTCCCAAAGTGCTGGGATTATAGGCGTGAGTCACCTCGCCTGATGGACATTTATTGATTACCTACGTGCTAGGCACTGTTCTCAGGGTTTTATTGGGATGAATTCATTTAATACCTACAACTATGTAGTAACTATGTGGCCATTACTATCATCATCATCCTCATTTTACAGATGACAGAAACACAGAAAGTTCAAGGAACTTACTCAAAGTCACACAGCTAGTTAGTGGCACAGGCTCCTCATCTTCCCCCATTACACTCTACAGGGACACTGTGTAAGGTGAGAGGGGCTGGGAGCGAGAGTGCTGTTCAAAGAGGACTGCTTTGGCCTTGTCTGTATTGTTTTATTCAGAGACTGCATTCATGTATTAGCTGTGTGATTAAACAGTCATCAAAAAGGAGAATAAGGCCGGGCACGGTGGCTCACACCTGTAATCCCAGCACTTTGGGAGGCTGAGGTGGGTGGATCACAAGGTCAGAAGTTCAAGACCAGCCCGGTCAATATGGTGAAACCCCATCTCTACTAAAAATACAAAAATTAGCCAGGCGTGGTGGCAGGTGCCTGTAATCCCAGCTACTCAGGAGGCTGAAGCAAGAGAATCACTTTGACCTGGGAGGTGGAGGTTGCAGTGAGCCGAGATTGCACCATTGCACTCCAGTCTGGGTGACAGAGCAAGACTCTGTCTCAAAAAAAAAAAAAAAAAAAAAAAAAAAAAAAGGAGAATAAGCCAGGCATTGTGGCTCACGCCTGTAATCTCAACACTTTGGGATGCCAAGGTGGGCAGATAGCTTCAGCCCAGGAGTTTGAGACCAGCCTGGGCAACACAGTGAAACCCCGTCTCTACAAAAAAAAAAAAACAACCAAAGATTAGCTGGGCGTGGTGGTGCGCACCTTTGGTTCCAGCTACTCGGGAGACTGAGGTGGGAGGATCACCTGAGCCTGGGAATTTGGGGCTGCAGTGAGCCAAGATCGCACAACTGCACTCCAGCCTGGGTGACAGAGCAAGACCCTGTCTCAAAATAATAATAATAATAATGAAAGAATAAAATTAAGCTAAAAGATTGGGACAATTGGTAAAATTTGAATATGGCCTGGAGATTAGACAAAAACCTTGTATTCCTGCTATTTAGCTAATTTGGATAATGTAAGAGAATGTCCTTGTTTGTAGGAAATACACATCGAGATATTTAGAAGTTAAGGGTCATGAGGTCTGCAATTTACTTTCGTGTGACTTGGAAACCAAATATGCAGAGCAAGAGAGAATGCACAAAGGATAAAGCAAATGGGGCGGCATGCTAATAACTGGTGATATGGAGGAAGTGCATAAAGGAGAACTTTGTACTATTCTTGCAACTTGTTTGTATTAGGTTGGTGCAAAAGTAATTGCAGTTTTTGCAATTGAAAGTATTGCAGAAACCGCATTTAATTGCAAAAACCGCAATTACTTTTGCACCAACCTAATAAGTTTTATGTTATATCAAAATAAAAGTTAGGTCGGGCACGGTGGCTCACGCCTGTAATCCAGCATTTTGGGAGGCCGAGGTGGGCGGATCACGAGGTCAGGAGTTTGAGACCAGCTTGGCCAACATAGTGAAAGCCCGTCTCTACTAAAAATACAAAAATTAGCCGGGCATGGTGGCACGTGCCTGTAGTCCCAGCTACTCGGGAGGCCGAGGCAGGAAAATCGTTTGAACCCGGGAGGCGGAGCTTGCAGTGAGCTGAGACTACGCCATTACATTCCAGCCTGGGTGACAGAGTAAGACTCTGCCTCAAAAAAAAAAAAGTATCAGAAGAATCTCAGGCAGGATGGGTTTGATATCGGATGCTATTCCCTGAATCAGCTTAGAGGCCGTGTGAGAAGAAGGTGGGGTCAAGCCTGCCTGGGAACGCATCTTTTCTGGCAGTGGCCTCTGGCCTCATCCCGGTCCCAGGAAAGCACCTCTCCCTCCCTCAGTTGGTCCCCACCTTTCCTGCTCGTGGCCTCACTTTGTGCTTCTAGAATCCTGGGCTTCTTCCCTTTTCTCACTGTCTGGCTACCTCCAACCTCTCAGCCAAGTTCCTCCTGACTTCCCCTGCAGCCTTTTGAACCAGGGAGGGAAGCCTGCTTGCCCTCCAGCTGCAAGGCATCAGCAGCCCGAGGGCTTCTTCTCCAAGCCACTCAGGGCCCCTCAAGGAATACAGGCCACACCAGAGGCTCCCGGGTTGACCCCATCCTTGGCTCAGACTGGCTGAATAGAAGGGATTTGGGGTTGTGTTATTCAGAAGGTGTCACCAGCTGAGAGCCTGAAGTTCTTTTTCCCAAACTGAAGAGGGCCTGCACAGCTGGCTAAGGCCCCTTCCTGAGGAGCAGGTAGTCTGGACTGGGCGTGGCCTGGGGCTCTTGGCTGCTGCTGGGCTTCCAGGAACAGGGAAAGGCACACCCTGGAAACCGTTGTGCCCAACCCAAAGACACTCCACTGAGCAAAGCTGCCAAGTAACGTTCCTCCCTTGGTCCATACCTTCTGAGACACCCAATACTGCTTGAAGCTGCCCTCCCAGGACCCGCACGAGGCCTCTTAATGGTGGGCCTGACTCTGGGCTGGACTTTACCTGCTTGGACTCTCAGGCCTTCTGGAAAATTCCTCAACCAGCCAAAAATCGCTTTCTACAATCCCAATGTGTGGTGTCAGCCTTGGGGACTTTGTCCACATTGCCCTGTGCCGAGGTGCCATGGCCCAGGCCCTGCCTCCTCTTAGAGTGGAGCCCGTATTTCTCCAACTAGGCAGCTAGCCATCTGTACAGGCATAGGCATCAGTGGCAGTCTGGCCAGAGCCTGGCTAGTCCCATGCAAGGCAGGGCAGCAGAGTGGGTAAGCACACGGACCCTGGAGCAGGCTGTCTGGATTGGGTTCCTGGTCCTGGTTTTGCCATTTACTAGCTTTGTGACCACGGACAGGTTATTTAACCTCTCTGTCTTCTGGATTAAGAGTCAATCTAGGGCTGGGTGTAGTGGCTCATGCCTGGGTGCTCCCAGTACTTTGGGAGGCCGAGGTGGGTGGATCATTTGAGATCAGGGGTTTGAGACGAGCTTGACCAACATGGTGAAAACCTGTCTCTACTAAAAATACAAAAAATTAGCCAGGCGTGATGATGGGCGCCTGTAATCCCAGCTACTGGGGAGGCTGAGGCAGGAAAATCGCTTGAAGCGGGAGGTGGAGGTTGCAGTGTACTGAGATCGCACCACTGCACTCCAGCCTGGACGACAGAGCCAGACTGTCTCAAAAAAAAAAAAAAGAAAGAAAAAACTTGAAGAGACACCAAATTAAAAACATGCTCTTGCTTGTGGCAGTCATGAATTCCTCACTCACAAAATCCCAGACTAACTGCTGACTAAGCCAAAACATCTGAAGATGAGCGGACAGATGGATGGCCACAACAATAATATTGACCAGGAACGCTCCCCAAGTGCCAGGTGCTGCTTAAAGCACTTTTACACATATCTATTCTCGTGAAAACTCTTTCAGAAAGGTTCTATTTTTATTTCTCTTTTAAGGATGATAAAACAGACTCAAAGAGGCTAAGTCACTTGCCCAAGGTCAAACGGCTAGTAAGTGACAAAGCCTGGCTTTCAAACCAAGCCTTCTGGCTTCAAAGTCCACACTCCTAACCAGCCCGCCCTTCTGTCTCTGGGAATACGTTTTATCTTGTGAATACCCTTCCTGCCCCCAACTGGATTTGAAAAGACCATGATGTGACTTTAGGGGCTGAGGACACCCAGTCTGGGACCTGGCGATGGGCTCTGGAGTGGAGCACTGAGATAGCGCAGGGGCTGGGGTGAGAACCACGGCAAGGCATCTTCCTGGAGCCAGGGAGTGTGGGAGTGCCTCAGACGGTCTGCAGTTAGGGACTGAGGACAGGAGGTCTAGGGGTTGGGAACTAGAGGTGGTTACCAAGGAAACTAACAGTGCGGTAAGGCTCTGTCTAATTCTAAAAAAAAAAGCAAACGATATTTTTAAAAAGTTAAGGCTGAGTGTGGTGTCTCACGCCTGTAATCCCAGCACTTTGGGCGGGCAAGGCGGGCGGATCACGAGAGTTCGGGAGTTCGAGACTAGCCTGACCAACATGGAGAAAACCCATCTGTACTAAAAATACAAAATTAGCCAGGCCTGGTGGCACATGCCTGTAATCCCAGCTACTCAGGAGGCTGAGGCAGGAGAATCGCTTGAACCCGGGAGGTGGAGGTTGCGGTGAGCCAAGGTGGTGCCATTGCACTCTAGCCTGGGCAGCAAGAGTGAAACTCCGTCTCAAAATAAATACATAAATAAATAAAAATTAAAAGTCAATTTTTTTTTCAAGGATGGCTTAGGACAAACCCTCCGTGAGACTCCAGATGAATTTTTAGCACATTTGCTAGTGAGTAGTGGTATTTCACATAACTAATTCCTGGAGTATTTAGCCATTACCATAGCTTATAAAATAGCTAGAGAAGCGCTTTCATGTGAAGAGGCGTAGGGTAATGGGATGGTGGCAGAGGATGGCTGTGGTTCGGGCAGGGAAGGCAAGTCTGGGAGAGGGGAGATGGTATGGGGGCAGGTAGGTGCAGGGAGACCACTTAGAGGGTAGGAGGATGTTAGTTAAAGTGGAGGTAGCAGGGTGGCAGAGAGCGGAAAGAGGAGGCAATAAAGAGCCGAATCCACAGGATTGACTGGCCACCCCCAGGCCAGTCTGCCTCTAGCGGGGTTCCATCCATCTTTGCCGTGAGGATGGCACTCACCGTGACCCATTGGCTCGCCCTCTGGCCCTCATGCCAGGTCGGAGAAACCCTGCACAAAAGGAATCTGTTCACTTTCACTGAACCTCAACTTATTTAACAAGGAACCTTCACCTTCTCACAACAGACCCCCTCCTATCACTGCTATCATTATCCCCAAACATGAGTGGTCTGCAGGACACGCTTTGGCAAACACCAGCCAAGAGAATGGAGGCTGTTCTCCTGGCCTGGCCATTAAGGCCTTCCATGATCTGGCCCCAGCCTCCAGGCCAGCCTGATTCTCCAGTCTGTCTTGAGCATCCTATATTCCAGCTGAACTGGGCCACATGCTGTTGTAGACCTGCTCCAAGCTTCCACTGCTTGGCTGGTCTGTCTGCCCGAGTCCCACCCACCATCCAGGACTTAGAGATGCAGCTCAGAGCCACAAAGGCATAAAAAGTCTCTTTAGCTGGACTCTGTGGCTCTGCCTGAGGGCCCCAGGTGACAGGGCAGGACACAAAGGAGAGATGAGGAGACCCAGGGGAGGAAGCAGGAAGTTTCAGTACCCTATGACTGCCTTCCAAATATAGAACTAAGTTGAAGCGATTCTGCAGGGCAAGTCTCTGACTAGAAGTGTCCTTTGCCATCTGATCCCCTGCCTCCAGCTTTCTTACCCTCAGAATCATTAGTCAATGATTTCCCAAACTCCACTGGGAATCAGTGAACAATTGTAGTAGAAAGGCCAAGGCAGGCTCTAGAGAATTCCAACGGGAGTCCAGTTGGGTACAGGAACCGTGTAGCATGGTAGTAGTAAATGGGCTTTGTTTGGTGTCAGACCCGCCTAGGTCTCAATCCCAATCCCACATCGACCAATTCATAGCTGTGTGATTTGGACAAATCACTTCACTTCTCTGAGCCTCAGTTTCCTTGTGTACAAAGTAGAGATTACACCTACTTTGTATGATAATGATGAAATGGTTGTTGAGAACATTACATGAGATTAATTTGGGTAAATAACCCGGTGAAGTGCCTTGCCTTCTCTGATCACCCACTGTAAAATACACCCTGCATCCCTCTCTATCCTTTTGGCCCATTTTATATATATATGTGTGTGTTGTGTGTGTGTGTGTGTATGTATATATATATATATATATTTTTTTTTTTTTTTTTTTTGAGACAGAGTCTCACTCTGTCACCTAGGCTGGAGTGCAGTGGCACAATCTTGGCTCACTGCAACCTCTGCCTCCTGGGTTCAAGCGATTCTCCTGCCTCAGCCTCCCAAGTAGCTGGGACTACAGGTGCACACCACCATGCCCAGCTAATTTTTCTTTTTTTTTTGCATTTTTAGTAGAGACGAGGTTTCACCATGTTGGCCAGGCTGGTCTCAAACTCTTGACCTCAGGTGATCCAACCGTCTTGGCCTCCCAAAGTGCTGGGATTACAGATGTGAGCCACCGTGCCTGGCCCATTTTATATTCTTTATAGCATTCATCACCACCTGCTACTTATTTGCTTATTTGCTTATTGATCTATTATTCCACTAGAATATACTTTTCACAAGATATATAATTTGGGTTTTTTAAATTACTATGTCACCAGGGCCTTGAATCATTTCTGACACATAGTAGGTGCTCATTCAACAAATACATTTTTATTTATTTAAATATTCAATAAATAGGCTGGGTGCAGTGGCTCATGCCTGTAATCCCAGCACTTTGGGAGGCCGAGGCGGGCAGATCACTTGAGGTCAGGAGTTTGAGACCAGCCTGGATGACATGGTGAAACTGTCGGAGGTATTTAAACCAGACAACTCCATCTTGAATAGGGGCTGGGTAAAATAAGGCTAAGACCTGCTGGGCTGCATTCCCAGGAGGTTAAGGCATTCTTAGTCAGAGGTTAAGAGGTAAGCATAAGATACAGGTCATAACGACCTTGCTGATAAAACAGGTTGCAGTAAAGAAGCCGGCTAAAACCCATGAATACTGAGATGGCAACAAGAATGACCTCTGGTTGTCCTCACTGTTACTCTCCCACCAGCACAGTGACAGTTTACAAATGCCATGGCAATGTCAGGAAGTTACCCTATATGGTCTAAAACGGGGAGCCATGAATAATCTACGCCCCTTGTTTAGCATATCATCAAGAAATAGGGCTCGGTGGCTCATACCTATAATCCCAGCACTTTGGAAGGCTGAGGAGGGTAGATCACCTGAGGTCAGGAGTTCGAGACCAGCCTGGTCAACATGGCGAAACGCTGTCTCTACTAAAAGTACAAAAATTAGCTGGGCATGGTGGTGGGCACCTGTAATCCCAGCTACCCGGGAAGCTGAGGCAGGAGAATTGCTTGAACCCAGGAGGCAGAGGTCGTAGTGAGCCGAGATCGTGCCACTGCACTGTAGCCTGGGGGACAGAGGGAGACTCCGTCTCAAAAAAATAAATAAATAAACAAATAAAATAAATAAAAATAAAAATGGGCAACCAGCAGCCCTTGGGGCTGCTCTGCTTATCGAGTAGCCATTCTTTTATTCCTTTACTTTCCTAATATGCTTTCACTCTACTCTATGGACTCACCTTGAATTCTTTCTTGCATAAGATCCAAGAACCCTCTCTTGGGGTCTGGATTGGGACCCCTTTCCGGTAACAAAACTTCATCTCTACAAAAAATACAAAAAATCAACCAGATGTGGTGATGTGAGCCTGTAGTCCCAGCTACTCAGGAAGCTGAAGCGGGAGGATCACCTGAGCCTGGGAGGCAGAGGTTGCAAAGAGCCGTGATGGCACCACTGCACCCCAGCCTAGGCAACAGAGTGAGATTGCCTCAAAATAAATAAATAAATAAATATTCAACAAATAATTCTTTATTTGAATGAGTTAGAAAATGAATAAATGGTCTCATGCATAAAGGTCTTGCACACATACAATCTGCGGTGCTGGGAGCTTGGTTCGTGGCGGCTGGCTAAGGTGTGACCTATTGCAGGGTGTGTTCTGTGGAGCACTTGTCTGGGGCCTGTATTTGGAAAACAATGCCCATTAGCATAGGAAAGTTTTCAGGACATTCTGCTATAGACAGAATCACCAAACTCATTTGGTCACTGTAATAGCTTCCTGAGGCTGCCGTAACAAATCACCCCAAACTGGGTGGCTTAAAATAACAGAAATTTATTATCTCAAAGTTCTGAAGGCTGGAAGTCCAAAATCAAGGTGTCAGCAGGGCCATGCTCCCTCCAGAAGCTCTAGGGGAGAATCCATTCTTCACCTCTTGTAGCATCTGGCAGCTGCTGGCTGGCATTCCTGGGTTTGTGAGATCATCACTCCAGGTTCTACCTTCATCTTCATGGGGGCTCTCCTTCTTCCGGGTGTCTGCTCTTTGTCTCTCTTTTATAAGGACACACTTGTGTGTGAGGGCATTTAAGTCCCATCCAGATAATCCAGGATAGTCTCCTCATGGCCAAGTATTTAACTTCATTACATCTGTAAAGACCCTTTTCCCTAAATAAAGCAGCATTCACAGGTTTCAGGGGTTAGGACCAGACTTATCTTTGGGAGCCATTATCAGCCAACCACAGTCACTAACTACTGTGTTTTTCCCAGCTCCCCTGGTCTCTCTACAGAATATATTCTGAGGAATGTTGATTTGAGGAAAACAGGCTTTTAGAAAGAATGGGGTGGAGATGGGAAGGGAGTACAGGAAGAAACAATTTCTCGGAAATTTCAAAGAATGCTACACTTGTCAGACCCTCCTCAAGATGGGAGAGATGAGGCTGGATATTGACCAAGTGCTGCTGCTGATTCTTTTTGTGTGTCAGGGACTAGGACCCACAGCGCACAAAGACATGGAGAGGTAATTATGCCTGATAGAGAGCAATGAGGACCCCGTGCTTCTCGTTTAATTAGGCCAGGGAGAGTGTCTGGCTCTGGGTGGTTTTCAAGAGCTCTCCAGGTAATTGTAATGCACATCAAGAGTGGAAAGCCACTAGACCATAGTGCTGAGGCAATGAGAATTTCAAAACAGCTGTTTAATATCATCTTTAAGAGTAGTAACAAGTTTCATAACGTTGACATCAATGATTAACCCTCTTGACCTTCTCGGTGAGATAATAATGAATGTGAAAGGTCCAGGAGCACTGGCTGTGCTGGGGAGAAAGTCTCAGCAAGCATGAGGGGCAGTGAAAAGCACAAGAGAAAAAGGGTCCCTGGAGCCGCTGATGTTCCACAGCCTTGGCCCCTACATGGAGACTACAGGACCAGGGGCGGCGGAGACGTAGAGGACTAGCAAGAGCTGCCAGGAGTTGCCTGGAGGAAAGAGATGTTTTTCATTGTTGTTGTTTGTTAGTTTCTGTTTTTGTTTTTTTAAAAGGGAAGCCCCTGGTTTAGGCCCAGTGGTCAGTGTCTACTCCCTTCTGCCCCAGGGGGATTGGGATAACCCTGTCATGACTGCTGAGGCTGGAGGCGAGGGACTGCAGTATCTCTCCTCTGGCTCTCTGCAAGAGAAGTTGACCTTTAGGATGGGCCAGTGCTTTTGGTGCCAAAGTATTAAATGTACATGTGAGGTTCAAGCTAACTGGTATGAGGCCTCATGAAGGATTTACTTCCACCCTTTTGAGGTTGGCACTTCCATAAAGGAATGCTCCTTTCTTTCTCTAGTGGGTCCTGTGCAGGGCCTAGCTCCCTCAGCCTCCCAGCTCCCTGGGGAGAGAAACAAGGCAGATTTTTTTTTCTCACTTTTTATTGTGAGGCTGGGGCCAGAGTCTGCGTTGCACATGTTTGTGTCTGAAATGAGGAAAGCTCAGGCCCTGCCTCTCGTGGCCACATGAGTGAAGAGGCTGACTAGGAGACAGAGAATCTGGTAAGACCCAGAGCCCGGTGTGGTGGCACACGCCTGTAGTCCCAGGTACTCGGGAGGCTGAGACGGGAGGATCACTTGAGCCCAGGAATTTGAGACCAGCCAGGGCAACACAGTGGGAGCCCATCTTTATAAGAAAAAAAAATTTAAATTAGCCAGGTGTGGTGGTGTGTGCTTGTAGTCTCAGCTACTTGGGAGGCTGAGGCAGGAGAATCACTTGAGCCCAGGAGTTCGAAACTATAGCGAGCCATGATTGTGCCGCTGTACTCTAGCCTGGGTGACAGACTGAGACCCTGGTTCTTAAAAAAAAAAAGACCCAGATTTGTCAGGCCAAGCCAGACTAGGCTATGCTGTGAAACAAAAAGTACCAAACCTCAGAGCGTTAATCAAACAGAACTTTATTTTTTATTCACATTAAATGTACAACACAGGTTAGCGAAGGCTTGGCTTACTGTAGTCATCCAGGGACCCAGGCGCTGACAGTGGCCCCATCTTGGCACATTCTTTCATGCTCACTGCAGCAGTGGGATGAGAACGAGATGAATTGTACACTGTGTCTTAAAGCTTCATTGGCAAAGGCAAGCCACATGTCCACACCTAACTCTAAAGAGATTCCCTGGGACGTGCAATCCCGCCACAGGCCTGGAAGGAGGACCTATTTGTAGATCCAGCAGCTGTCAACACTCATCTCTAGTCAAGACTTGGCTTTTACATGGCTTAGAGGGAAAGGGGAGACATGGATTTCTACAAGCCCACGAGGCCAGGGCCAGAGGCAGACCATGTGTCCTAACCCCATCCTCCACCACCCTAAGGTGTGGGAGAAAACAGGATACCAGCCATGCTCAGGGCTACCTTCAAGCCCCAGAATGGAAACAGTTACACTGAAAATCATAAGAAGAAATTAAAAACCATGATTTCCTTTTGTAGCTTGTATTTATTTCCTACTGCTGCTATAAAAAATTATGACAAATTTAGTGGCTTCAAACAATACAAATTTATTACCTTATAGTTCTAGAAGTCAGAAGTCTGAGATGCGGGCTGGGTGCAGTGGCTCAAGCCTGTAATCCCAGCACTTTGGGAGGCTGAGGCGGGCGGATCACCTGAGGTCAGAAGTTCGAGACCAGCCTGGCCAACATGGTGAAACAAATAATATTTTTAGTCTCTACTAAAAATAAAAATAAAAAATTAGCCAGGCGTGGTGGCATGCACCTGTAGTCCCAGTTACTGGGGAGGCTGAGGCAGGAGAATTGCTTGAACCCAGGACGCGGAGGTTGCAGTGAGCCAAGATCCTGCCATTGCACTCTAGCCTGGGTGACAAGAGTGAAAATCTGACTCAAAAAAAAAAAAAAAAAAAGCCTGAGATGCGTCTCACTGGACTAAAATCAAAGTGTTGGCAGGCTTGGTGTTTCTTCTAGAGGCTCTAGGGAAGAGTCTATTTCCTTGCGTTTTCCAACTTCTGGATGCCTTGGCCCATGGCCCCTTCCCCCATCTTAAAACCTGGTAACGTCAGGCCAAGTCCTTCTCACACTGCCATCTGTCTGGTTCGTTCATTCTGCCTCCCTCTTCTACTTATAGGGATGCTGAGATTACACTGGGCCTACCTGGATAATCCAAGAGAATATCCCTGTCACAAGTGTGCTGATTGGCAACCTTAATTTTATCTGCAATCTTCATTCCCCTTCGACATGTAATCTCACACACACACAGGTTCTGGGTTAGGATGTGGATGTAGATATCTTTGGTAGTTGGGGAATTATTCTGCCTACCACAGAGGCCTAGGAAGAAAAGGGTCGTTATCCTAGGAGGAAAAGTGGCAATGTCCCCTGGGAGATTTCCTGTGAAAACATGATGTTGGGCTACACCCCCCACTTAAGTATTTTAAGCTTGGTTTTTTCTTTTTGTGGAGACCGGGTTTCACTATGTTGCCCAGGCTGGTCTCGATCCTCCCACCTTGGCCTCCCAAAGTGCTGGGACTACATGCATGAGCCTCTGTGCCCGGCCTAAGTATTTTAACATTAGATTGGATGTTGGCTTTTTATTTTATTTTATTATTATTATTTTTTCCAAGACAGAGTCTCGCTCTGTCACCCAAGCTGGAGTGCAGTGGTGCAATTTGGGCTCACTGCAACCTCTGCCTCCCTGGCTTCAAGCGATTCTCCTGCCTCAGCCTCCCAAGTAACTGGGACTACAGGCACGTGCCACCACATCCGGCTAATTTTTTTGTATTTTTAGTAGACAATCAGTTTATCCCTTTAGGTGCCATAGGCTGAAGCCTGTATCTTCCCTCCTTGTGTTTCCCTCTTTCTCCCCACACCTTATCAAAATGAAGCCAGCTATGTGCTTTATTGCCTCAGGAGAGGTATACAGCCTGGGTAGAAGGAGAAGAGGGAGGAGAGAGAGAGCTGTGGGTCCCCGGGCCCTGCTTCCTAGTAACACTCTGAGGAGCTGGTAATTCCCCAAAGAGGAGTGGTCCCTTGGTGTGTGCAGGGAGATGCACCGGAAACTGCAGGCCTTCCAGCTGCCTGGCAGATTTCCTCAGCCACAGAAGCAGCAATGAACAGGGTAGAATGAATGGCTTAGCAGAAACTTACAGACAACAAGACCCTCTACCCCTCTGCCCCTAGATGTCTGATACCGTGAAAGGTCCCAAGACCTCTTCTTGACATCAGGGAAGCAGGAAATGTGAGGATGACTCAGGGTGAATTTCCCAGACTCTGCCAAGACGGAGTGCAGAATTGAAATTAGATTGATATAGAAAAACAATAAAGAGAGGCAATGTTTCTTGTATACCTAGATTTATAGTCTGGGATGACTAACAATAAAGAAAGATACACCTTTCAATGTACTGAGGAGCCTGGGCATAGTAGAAGAGAAAGCAGGGGGGAGCCATGCATAGTACACGGGGAATCACAAGTTTAACATGAAGCTTTTGATTTTCTTTATCCACATCAGAGAATATGATTCTCCTTCACAGGGCAGTTAATATGCAATAGCATTATGGGAAGACTGAGAAAGAATGAAAAATAGCTGGGGTGCTCTAAAGAACATTTCCTACGTAAATTGGTGCAGCCTTTTTGGAGAGCAGCTGGGTAGTATCTAGGCAACAGGTGCATCTGCGATGATTCAGCAACCCTACCAGCACAAGTGCTCAGAAGCGTATGTTCTTAAATAGGTTCCCTCCTCTCTGCCCTTCCTCCCGAGGCTCAAGCTGGCATCTCTCTACTGGCCCGCTGTGACAGCCCCTCTTACCTGATTCCCCTGTGCCCAGTCTTGCCTTGATATGGAAAGATTGCTCAGGATACAAATCTAATCATATCATTTCCCTGTTCAAAACTCGACAGTGCTCTTCCCCATGGCCCTGTGTATATAGGTCGATGCCCTGAGCCTGACACACAAGGCCCCAGTGGCCTGGCTCTTTAACAAGAGTCCCACTTACTAAGCATACTGCCAAGTTTGTTCACCAAATGAGTCAACAGGCTCCTCTCCATGCCTCTGTGCATGTGTTCCCATGTGCTCTGTCCTAACTCAGTTGCCTTATCCATTGGGAATCTCTTCCTTTCAGAAGCTGGCCTCAAACCTCCAATGCAGTAGTGACTGCTTCTTTTTGGGCTCCCACAGGACAGTCTGCACCAGCGTAGAATAGAATTTTGGATACCGGATTTTAATTTTTTTTTTTTTTTTTTTTTGAGACAGGGTCTTGCTCTGTCGCCTAAGCTGGAGTGCAATGGCATGATCTCGGCTCATTGCAACCTCTGCCTCCCAGGCTCCAGTGATCCTCCCACCTCAGCCTTCTGGATTGTAATTTTTAAAACAATTCTTTTTCCTCCACTTAAAGAATTCTTTGAAGATACAGGCTATCCCTGGTAGGTCTATATTCCCACCGTCTTGTAAGATTCTCAGTGATTCTCTCCAAGGACTTGGTTTCAGGCCCTGGGGCTCGGCTCCTCATTCTCCCAGATCACTTTCTTCTGGTCTCAGTTACCTCAGGCTAAGGGACTGGACTTAGAGATGACTTCAACACCAGAGGGGTGGCGCAGGCAGTAAGTCCTGCTTTCACTCAGCTGGATCAACAAAAGACACGATATCTGGACTGCATGCCTGTATCTGTCACTTCCTGTATGATCATGGACAGATCACAGTCTTTAAGGCTGTTTCTTCCTCAGTAAAATGAGCAAAATAATAATAGCTACCCTCAGAGACTGTTGTGTAGTTACTGAGAGACGAAGTGAAA
The DNA here is from genome assembly GCF_000001405.40 of Homo sapiens. Classification (NCBI taxonomy): domain Eukaryota; kingdom Metazoa; phylum Chordata; class Mammalia; order Primates; family Hominidae; genus Homo; species Homo sapiens. The sequence goes on from NC_000023.11 coordinate 71,638,195, forward strand.
GTGCTGCACTCTAATAACCTCCAAAGAACCATGTTAGTTAAATGTGGCACAGAAAAATAGATGAAAAAAAATTAAGTTCCTAATTTAGGAACTTGTTTATACATATTAAATCCTCTCTATTTCTTTCCCAGTCTTTAAACTAACTTCATGCTTAATTCTGCCTCAACCTGCCTTCATCTGCAGGACATTGTCCTCCCCTCTCCATGTCATCTTTTTTTTACCCCCTTCCCAGATCTTATCTCCAGTGAGAGCAAAGCACCATCTTCCTTTCATGACACAATCAACTCGATCTGAGAGTTACAGATCTGATCAAAGCTCACCTCCTCCATTTCCTAGCTGCGTGACTTTGGACTGGTTACTTAAATTCTCAGTGCCTCAGTTTTTTCATTTCTATGGCCTATGTATGTGATGAGGATTAAATGAGACCCTATAACTGTTCCTTTCAATTTCAGTCATCTCCATCTTGACTCTCATTCAGCCTCCCACACATTTAATCGCACTTAGGATGCCTTCTTGTTCACTCAATCATTGTTTCGTTTTCAAGATTTTAAACTTGGAAATCCTCTTATTTGAGTATAACCTCTGGTTCTTCTTCTTTTTTTTCTTTGAGACAGAGTTTTGCTCTTGTTGCCCAGGCTGGAGTGCAATGGCATGATCTCGACTCACTGCAACCTCTGCCTCCCAGTTTCAAGCGATTCTCGTGCCTCAGCCTCCCGAGTAGCTGGGATTACAAGCATGCACTACCATGCCAGACTAATTTTTTGTATTTTTAGTAGAAACAGGGTTTCACCATGTTGGCTAGGCTGGTCTCAAACTCCCGACCTCAGGTGATCCACCTGCCTTGGCCTCCCAAAGTGCTGGGATTACAGGCGTGAGCCACCTTGCCCGGCCAACCTCTGGTTCTTTCAATTCTCTTCCTTCCACCAAACTCACTCTGTCTCTAGCTTGGGTTCCAGCCCCTTGAACCATTCTCATTCTCCCAGACCATCTTTTTCTGGTCTCAGTCACCTCTCCGCCAAGACAGAACTTCGTGGCCAGACGTTTCACTGTGCGCTCACTGCTACTTTGCATTTCTACACTCCCTGTCTCTGGGTGGTCTCCAGGCCCAGATAACCCCCTGCTTACTGTTTTAACTTCCAAATGTCCAAGTTTGCAGGAGAAAAAGTCCTTCCCTCTTATGCTATGGGACCACTCTCATTACCAGAAAGCCTCTCTGCCTCTCCTTGGCCTCCTGCTGTCATGGCTGAGGAAGAATCATCCCCTTCCTTGCCAACAGTGTCCTCTGACTCTCACCCCAGAGCACTACCTCCAGGCTTTGCTCCAACCATGATCTTACATTTCATTTGCCTCTTCAGTTGTTCTTTCTACATCTCCTTCCCCTCTGCTTATAATACACTCAGATCTCCTCCATTCTATAGACACCTCAGCTCCACGCCAGATACCACCCTATGCTGACCTATTCCTTCATTAAACTTTTTTTTTTTCAAGACAGAGTCTCACTCTGTCACCCAGGCTGGAGAACAGTGGCACGATCTTGGCTCATTGCAACCTCCACTTCCTGGGTTCAAGTGATTCTCCTGCCTCAGCCTCCCATGTAGCTGGGATTACAGGAGCAAGCCACCATGCCCAGCTAATTTTTGTCTTTTTAGTAGAGACGGGGTTTCACCATGTTGGGCAGTCTGGTCTCAAACTCCTGACCTCGTGATCCGCCCGCCTCAGCCTCCCAAAGTGCTGGGATTACAGGCATGAGCCACCTTGCTGGCCCATTAAACTCTTTCAAAGGATAATCTATACATGCTCCTCAACCTGCTCACCGACTATTCACTTGTTAATCCCTTGCAATCTGACTTCTACTCCCACCACTCTACTTGATCACCAACCTAACAACCACTAACATGATGACCTCTCGGCTCCCAAATTCAGACGGCAGTCTTCATCCTCTGTCTAGCACTTGCCACCCTGGCCCACCTGTCTTTTTTGAAACACTCTCCTTCCTTGATCTCTACTGCTGCTTTATTGTGGTTTTACCTCTGTCTATTCTCTTCCTCAAGCATGGTGCTCCTCCCTCGACACCACTCACTTGGTGAGCACCTCTACTCTCATGGTTTTGATGGGGCCTTGGCAGACTTTTCCTAAATATCAGAGAGTAAATCTCTTTGGCTTTGTGTGCCAAGAGGCAAAATCAAGGCAATTCTGTAGGTCTTTATATAAACATTTAAAATGTAAAAACTGGCCGGGCACGGTGGCTCATGCCTGTAATCCCAGCACTTTGGGAGACCGAGGTAGGCGGATCACCTGAGGCCAGGAGTTCAAGACCAGCTTGGCCAACATGGAGAAACTCTGTCTCTACTAAAAATACAAAAAATTAGCTGGGTTTGATGGTGTGTGCCTGTAGTCTCAGCTGCTTGGGAGGCTGAGGCACAAGAATCACTTGAACTTGGGAGGCAGAGGTTGCAGTGAGCTGAGGTGGCACCACTGCATTCTAGCCTGGGTGATAGAGTGAGACTCTGACTCAAGAAAAACAAATATATATATATATATATATATATATATATATATATATATATATATATATGTCTCCTGTTTTCAGCTTGCAAGCCATCTAAAAACAGGTAGTTGGTTTGATTTATCCTATGGGCTGTAGTTTGTTGATCCCTAGTTTATTTATTTATTTATTTATTTTATTTATTTATTTATTTTGAGATGGAGTCTCAGTCTGTTGCCCAGGCTGGAGTGCAGTGGCATGATCTCGGCTCACTGCAATCTCCACCTCCCAGGTTCAAGCGATTCTCCTGCCTCAGCCTCCTGAGTAGCTGGGATTACAGGCTCGTGCCACCACATCCGGCTAATTTTTGTATTTTTAGTAGGGGGGGTGGTTTCACCATGTTGGTCAGGCTGGTCTCGAACTCCTGACCTTGTGATCCGCCCACCTCGGCCTCCCAAAGTGCTGGGATTACAGGCATGAGCCACTGCACCTGGCTTGTCGACCCCTAGTTTCAATCACCACCTCTAAAGAGAAAACTCCCCAATTGGTACCTTCTCACCTCTTTCTAGAATTCCTGACCTGTGCTTCTAATTGCCTACAGGGCAGCTATACTTGCTCTCCTACACTCACCTCAAATTTAATATGTTCGAGGCAAAAATTTCTCTCTCCGCAAATCACTTCCTTTTCCTGAATTCCCTATTTTTGCTAGTGGTGCCATAATTCTCTCAGTCACTCAGGTCTAAAATCTGTCACGTCTGCCTTCTTCTTTCTCTCTAAACTATTGGTGGTGTTACTTCCTAAATGTCTCTTGAAAACTTCACCTCTCCTCCAGTCCATAGTCTGTTGTGGTCCAAGCCCCCAGCATCTCTTGCCTGGACAACTGTCACAGGCAAGATGACTTCCTTTTTTCCAGAGTGGAGATAGGGAGAATTCACTGGTCTCCCTATCTCCACTCTGTGCTCCCATCTAATAAGACGGGGGTTTCACCATGTTGGCCAGGCTGGTTTCGAACTCCTGAGCTCAAGGGATCCACCAGCCTCGGCCTCCCAAACTGCTGGGATTACAGGTGTGAGCCACTGCATCAGGCCCTTTAGGAGGTTTTTGATTATTGATTCAGTCTCCCTACTATCGGTCTGTTCAGATTTTCTGTTTCTTCATGATTCAGTTTTGGTGGACTGTGTATTTCTGGGAATTTACCAATTTCTTCTTGGTTATCTAATTTGTTGGCATACAATTGTTCATAATTTTCTCTTAAATTCCTCTTATTTCGGCCGGGCACAGTGGCTCACGCCTGTAATCCCAGCACTTTGGGAGGCCGAGGTGGGTGGATCATGAGGTCAGGAGATCGAGACCATCCTGGCCAACATGGTGAAATCCCGTCTCTACTAAAAATACAAAAATCAGTTGGGCGTGGCGGCGCATGCCTGTAATCCCAGCTACTCGGAAGGCTGAGGCAGGAGAACAGCTTGAACCCGGGAGGCGTAGGTTGCAGTGAGCGGCGATCGCACCACTGCACTCCAGCCTGGTGACAAAGCTAGACTCCATCTCAAAAAAAAAAACAAAAACAAACAAAAAAAACCCTCTTATTTCTGTGACATTTGTTATAATGTCTCTTTCTTTTCTTCTCTTCTCTTCTTTCTCTTCTCTTCTTTTTTTTTTGATACAAAGTCTCTGTTACCCAGGCTGGAGTGCAGTGGCATGATCTTGGCTCATTGCAGCCTCCGCCTCCTGGATTCTCTCTCTTCAGCCTCCCGAGTAGCTGGGATTACAGGCACCCGCCACCACGCCCAGCTAATCTTTGTATTTTTAGTAGAGATGGGGTTTCACCATGTTGGCCAGGCTGGTCTTGAACTCCTGGCCTAGTGATCCGCCCGCCTTGGCCTCCCAAAGTGCTGGAAATGCAGGTGTGAGCCACTGCTCCCAGGCTTCCTCTTTCATTTCTGATTTTAGTTAGAATCTTTCCTCTTTTTTTCTTAATCTAGCTAAGCATTTGTCAATTTTGTGGATCTTTTCAAAAAACAAACTCAGTTTTATTGATTTTTTCTATTGTTTTTCTATTTCATTTATCTCTGCTCTAATCTTTAATATCTCCTTCCTTTTGATAGCTTTAGGTTTAGTTTGTTCTCCTTTTTCTAGTTTTATGAGGTGTAAAGTTAGGCTGTTTATTTGAGATCTTTCTTTAATGTACGCATTTACAGCTATAAACTTTTCTGTTGGTACTGCTTTTGTTGCATCCCATAAGTTTTGGTATGTTGTGTTTTTATTTTCGTTTGCTTCAACGTATCTTCTAATTTCCCTTGTGACTTCTTTTTAAAAAAATTTCAATAGCTTTAGGGGCACAAATGGTTTTTGGTAACATGAATGAATTATATAGTGGTGAAGTCTGACATTTTAGTGCACCCATTACCCGAGTAGTGTACATTGTACCCAATATGCATATTTTTATCCCTCACCCCTCTCACCATCCCCCTTTCCGAGTCTCCAATGTCCCTTATACCACTCTGTACGCTTTTGTGTACCTATAGCTTAGCTTTCACTTAATGGCCTCCAGCTCCATCCAAGTTACTGCAAAAGACATTATTGTGTTCATTTTTTATGGCTGAGTATTCCACGGTGTATGCCACATTATCTTTATCCACTCATTGGTTGATGGGCACTTAGGTTGGTTCCATATCCTTCCAATTGTGAATTGTGCTGTGATAAACATATGTGTGCAGGTGTCTTCTTTGATATAATGACTTCTTTTCCTCTGGGTAGATACCCAGTAGTGGGATTGCTGGATTGAATGGTAGATTCTTTTAGTTCTTTGAGAAATCTCCATACTGTTTTCCATAGGAATTGTACTATTTTACATTCCTACCAGCAATGTATAAATGTTCCCTTTTCATCACATCCATGCCAACATCTATGGGATTACAGGCGCACTCCACCATGCCTGGCTTGCAAGCTGTCCAGAAACAGGTGGTGGGTTTGATTTGGCCTGTGGGCTATAATTTTTCGATCCTTTGTTTTTCGGTTTTTAAATAATGGCAATTCTGGGCCAGGTGTGGTGGCTTACGCCTGTAATCCTAGCGCTCTGGGAGGCTGAGGCAGGTGGATCACCTGAGGTCAGGAGTTCGAGACCAGCCTGGCCAACATGGTGAAACCCCATCTCTACTAAAAATACACAAGTTAGCTGGGCATGGTGGCGAGCGCCTGTAATTCCAGCTATTGGGAGGCTGAGACAGGAGAATTACTTGAACCCGGGAGGTGGAGGTTGCAGTGAGCTGAGACTGTGCCACTGCACTCCAGCCTGGGAGACAAGAGTGAAGCTCCATCTCAAAACAAACAAACAAACAAACAAACAAACAAACAAAGAAAAAAATGGCAATTCTGGCTGGAGTTAGGTAGTATCTTATTGTGGTTTTAATTTGCATTTCCCTGATGATTAGTGATGTTGAACATTTTTTCATATGTTTCTTGGCCATTTGTATATCTTCATTTGAGAAACATCTATTCATGTCATTTGCCCACTTTTTGATATGATTATTTGTTTTTTTTTTCTTGCTGATTTATTTGAGTTCCTTGCAGATTTCTGGATATTAGTCCTTTGTCGGATGTACAGTTTGCAAATATTTTCTCCCATTCTGAGGGTTGTCTGTTTATTCTGATTTCTTTTGCTGTAGCACGTTTTTTTATTTTTTTATTTTTATTTTTATTTTTTTAGTATTTATTGATCATTCTTGGGTGTTTCTCGTAGAGGGGGATTTGGCAGGGTCATAGGACAACAGTGGAGGGAAGGTCAGCAGATAAACATGTGAACAAAGGTCTCTGGTTTTCCTAGGCAGAGGGCCCTGCCGCCTTCTGCAGTGTTTGTGTCCCTGGGTACTTGAGATTAGGGAGTGGTGATGACTCTTAACGAGCATGCTGCCTTCAAGCATCTGTTTAACAAAACACATATTGCACCGCCCTTAATCCATTTAACCCTTAGTGGACACAGCACATGTTTCAGAGAGCACGGGGCTGGGGGTAAGGTTATAGATTAACAGCATCCCAAGGCAGAAGAATTTTTCCCAGCACAGAACAAAATGGACTCTCCTATGTCTACTTCTTTCCACACAGACACAGTAACAATCCGATCTCTCTTTCTTTTCCCCACACTTCCCCCCTTTCTATTAGACAAAACCGCCATCGTCATCATGGCCCGTTCTCAATGAGCTGTTGGGTACACCTCCCAGACGGGGTGCCGGCCGGGCAGAGGGGCTTCTCACTTCCCAAACGGGGTGGCCGGGCAAAGGCGCCCCCCCACCTCCCAGACGGGGCGGCTGGCCGGGCGGGGTCTGCCCCCCACCTCCCGGATGGGGCGGCTGGCCGGGCGGGGGCTGCCCCCCACCTCCCGGATGGGGCGGCTGGCCGGGCGGGGTCTGCCCCCCACCTCCCGGATGGACTGGGCGGCTGGCCGGGCGGGGTCTGCCCCCCACCTCCCGGACGGGGCGGCTGCCGGGCGGAGATGCTCCTCACTTCCCAGACGGGGCGGCTGCTGGGCGGAGGGCCTCCTCACTTCTCAGAGGGGGCGGCCGGTCAGAGACGCTCCTCACCTCCCAGACGGGGTGGCGGCGGGGCAGAGACACTCCTCAGTTCCCAGACGGGGTCGCGGCCGGGCAGAGGCGCTCCCCACATCCCAGAGGATGGATGGCCGGGCAGAGACGCTCCTCACTTCCTAGACGGGATGACGGCGGGGAAGAGGCGCTCCTCACTTCCCAGACTAGGCGGCCGGGCAGAGGGGCTCCTCACATCCCAGACGGGGTGGCGGCCGGGCAGAGGCTGCAATCTCGGCACTTTGGGAGGCCAAGGCAGGCGGCTGGGAGGTGGAGGTTGTAGCGAGCCGAGATCACACCACTGCACTCCAACCTGGGCAACATTGAGCACTGAGTGAGCAAGCCTCCCTCTGCAATCCCGGCACCTCGGGAGGCCGAGGCTGGCAGATCACTCGCAGTCAGGAGCTGGAGACCAGCCCGGCCAACACGGCGAAACCCCGTCTCCACCAAAAAATACAAAAACCAGTCAGGCATGGCGGCGCGCGCCTGCAATCCCAGGCACTCGGCAGGCTGAGGCAGGAGAATCAGGCAGGGAGGTTGCAGTGAGTCGAGATGGCGGCAGTACAGTCCAGCCTTGGCTCAGCATCAGAGGGAGACCGTGCAAAGGGGTGTGGGAGAGGGAGGAGGGAGATGGAGAGGGAGAGGGAGAGGGAGAGGGAGAGGGAGAGGGGGAGGGGGAGGGGGAGGGGGAGGGGGAGGGGCACAAGTTTTTTAGTTTAATTAGGTCTCATTTATTTATTTTTGCTTCTGTTGCACTTACTTTTGAGGTCTTAGTCATAAATTCTTTGCCAAGGCCTATGTCCAGAAGAGTTTTTCCTAGGTTTTCTTCTAGAATTTTTTTTTTTTTTTGTTAGATGGAGTTTCGCTCTTGTTGCCCAGGCTGGAGTGTGATGGTGCAATCCCCGGCTCACCGCAAACTCCGCCTCCCGGGTTCAAGCCGTTCTCCTGCCTCAGCCTCCCGAGTAGCTGGGAATACAGGCATATGCCACCACACCTGGCTAATTTTGTATTTTTAGTAGAGATGGGGTTTCTCCATGTTGGTCAGGGTGGTCTCAAACTCCCAACCTCAGATGATCCGCCCACGTCAGCCTCCCAAAGTGCTGGGATTACAGGCGTGAGCCACCGTGCCTGGTGGTTTTCTTCTAGAATTTTTATGGTGTCAGGTCTTAGATTTATGTCTTTAATTCATCTCGAGTTGACTTTTGTGTATGGTGAGAAATAGGCGTCCAGTTTCATTCTTGTACATGTGGCTATCCAGTTTTCCCAGCACCATTTATTGAATAGGGTATCCTTTCCCCAGTTTATGTTCTTGTATGCTTTGTTGAAGATCCACTGGTTGTATGTAAATATTTGGCTTTATTTCTGGGTTCTCTATTTTGTTCCATTGGTCTATGTATCTAGCTTTATACCAGTACGACGCCGTTTTGGTTACTATAGCCTTGTAATATAATTTGAATTCAGGTAATGTGATGCCTCCAGATTTATTATTTTTGCTTAGAATTGCTTTGTCTATTCAGGCTCTTTTTTGGCTCCATATAAATTTCAGGAGTTTTTTTTTCTTTTCTTTTTCTTTCTTTTTTTTTTTTTTGAGACAGGGTCTCACTCTGTTACCCAAACTGGGGTGCAGTGGTATGCCCATGGTTCACTGTAGCCTCAACCTTCTGGGCTCAAGCCAGCTTCCCACCTCAGCCTCCTGAGTAGCTGGGACACCAGGCACATGCTACCATGCCCAGCTAATTTTTAAATTTTTTGTAGTGATGGGGTCTTGTTTTGTTGCCCAGGCTGGTCTTGAACTCCTGGGCTCAAGGGACTCTCCTGCCTCAGCCTTCCAAAATGCTGGGATTACAGGCATAAGCTACTGCACCTGGCCTCTTTTTCTAATTTTCTGAAAAATGATTTTGGTATTTTGATAGGAGTTGCATTGAATTTGTAGATTGCTTTGGACAGTCAGTATGGTCACTTTCACAATATCGATTCTTTTTTTTTGAGACAGAGTCTCACTCTGTAGCTCAGGCTGGAATGCAATGGTGCGATCTTGGCTCACTGCAACCTCTGCCTCCTGGGCTTAAGCGATCCTCCCACCTCAGTCTCCTGAATAGCTGGGATCACAGGCACATGCGACCGCACTCAGCTAATTTTTGTATTTTTTGTAGAGACAGGGTTTCACCATGTTGCCTAGGCTGGTCTCGAACTCCAGGGCTCAAGAAATCCACCTGCCTTGGCCTCCCAAAGTGCTGGGATTACAGGCGTGAGCCACTGCACCCAGCCTAGATTCTTCCAATCCATGAGCGTGGGATGTATTTCCACTTGTTTTTGTCATCTTTGATTTCTTTCAGCAGTGTCTTGTAGTTCTTCTAGAGATCTTTCACCTCCTTCCCAAAGGAAATGAAATCACCACCTCATAAAGATATCTTCACTCCCATGTCCATTGCAGCATTATTCACAATAGCCAAGATATGGAAACAACCTAAGTTGATTTTCTTTATCTATTTTCACACACACACACACACACACACAAACACACACACACACGAATATTATTCAGCCTTAAAAAAGGAGATCCTGCCATTTGCCACATCATGGATAGACCTGGAGTACATTATACTAAGTGAAGTAAACCAGACACAGAAATAAAAATATAGCATGAGCTCACTTACATGTAGAATCTTAAAAAAGGTCAAATATATATATAGAGAGAATACAATAGTAGTTACCAGGGGTAGGGTAGGGAGAAAGGGAGGAAATGGGGGAATGTAGGCAAAAGATTTTAAAGTAGCAGTTACATAAGATGAACAAGTCTAGAGGCCTAAGGTACAACATGAGACTAGAGTTAATAAAATTGTATATATTAGGGATTTTTATTAAATAAGTAGATTTTTAGCTGCTCTTGTCACAAAAAAGTAACTGTGTGAAGTGATAACGTTCATTTGCTTCACTATAGTAACCATCTTATTATCTATATGTATTCCATAACATCATGTTGTAAACCTCAAATATATACAATAAAACTTATTAAAAAATATTCTATCTGAAGAAGGTGGGATTCACAATAGTGGTGAGTTAGCATACTTCATTGATCCTAATATACACTTTTTAAAAAAATTATGTCTCTGAAATCAGAATGCTTCTGACAGTCAGTGATGACAGTTGGCCATTTGATATTTTAGTGATCAGGTTGTCATTGCCTGTGCATGAAATCCCCTTAAAAGATCAAGAAAGCATCTTCATTGAAAGTGTGCAGATGGGATCTCAGCAGCTTGGAAGGAAATCCTGGAACCAACAGTGAAACAGTCTTTCAATAAATGATGTACCACCAAAGGATAGCATAGGGTGCAGATCCAGCAACGCAGACAACGCTAATGTAAAAAAGGATTCAGAAGAGTTCTACGCTAAATATAAAGAACTTCTAGAAATAAATTCACTGATTTATTTTGCTTATGTGGACTAATACATTTAAAAAATGTATGCACAGAAGAGATCTACAGTTAAGTAAATATAAATGAGATATTTCAATAAAAACAAAATAAAAATTCTCCAAATTATAAGAAAAAATAATCTAACTATTGACCCAGTTACACTACTCTAGGGAATTTAGCCTCAGGAAATTGCTTAAAAGAAAAAAAATTCTCTATGTACAAAGAAATTTGATCACAGCAGTATAATTTATAAAAGCAAAAAACCTGGTAACAACTTCAGTATTCAACAATGATAAGAGCTACTAATATCTGTTGAAACTTTAATATATCCCTGGTCCTCTACATACATTATGTCATTTGATAATCATCATGGCCACATGAGATAGATACTGATAGGGTTTGGCTCTGTGTCCCCACCCAAATCTCATCTTGAATTGTAATCCCCATAATCCCCATGTGTCAAGGACAAAGCCTGGTGGGAGGTGATTGGATCATGTGGGCGGTTTCCCCCATACTGTTCTCGTGGTAGTGAGTGAGTTCTCACGAGATCTGATGGTTTTATGTGTCTGACAGTTCCTCCTTCACACACTTGCTCTTTCTCACCTGCCACCATGTAAGACATGCCTCTTCCCCTTTCACCATAATTGTAAGTTTCCCGAGGCTTCCCCAGCCATGCAGAACTGTGAGTCAGCTAAGCATCTTTTCTTTATAAATTATCCAGTCTTGCAGTTCTTTATAGCCATGTGAGAATGGACTAATACAGATACTAATCTTATCCCTATTTTATTTTTATTTTTATTTTTATTTTTTGAGATGCAGTCTTGCTCTGTCGCCCAGGCTGGAGTGCAGTGGCGTGATCTCAGCTCACTGCAACCTCTGCCTCCTGAGTTCAAGTGATTCTCATGCCTCAGCCTCCTGAGTAGCTGAGATTACAGACGTGTGCCACCACACCTGGCTAATTTTTGTATTTTTAGTAGAGATGGAGTTTCACCATGTTGGCCAGGCTGGTCTTGAACATCTGACCTCAGGTGATCCTCTCGCCTCAGCCTCCTAAAGTGCTGGGATAACAGGCGTGAGCCACTGCACCCAGCCCTTATCCCCATTTTATATACAAGGCACAGATACGTTATAACTTGCTCAAGGTCACAGAGGTAATAAGTAGGTTGTAGAATCAGGACTTAAACTGATATGGGTTTATATAGATCCAAACTTGTGCTATGCAACTAATAGAAAACACAGTATGTTGCAATAATAAATATGCTGCCCAATTCTGAGCAGAAAAAAGGTAGAATAGATTTGTATATATGCTATAATCACAATTATGTAAAATATGTGTATGAAAGGTTCAAAACTTAAGAAGTCTACAAAATATCTAGAGACACATTGCTGCAGAACATGAATGCCCAAGCTTGGTATCTGGGGACCAGTGGATCTAGTGACTCTGAACCTTTTCTGGGTTATAGGACCCGTATTAGTCAGCTCAGGCTGCCATAATAAAATACCACAGGCTGGGTGGCTTGAACGAAGGAAATTTTTCTCACAATTCTGGAGGCTAGAAGTCCAAGATCAAGGTGCCAGCAATTAGGTTCCTGGTGAGGGTCTTCTTTCTGGCTTGCAGACAGTCACCTTCTCACTATGTCCTTAAAGGGGTGGTGGGGAGAGAGATAGAGAGACAGAGAGACAGAGAGAGAGAGAGATAGCACTCTGGTGTCTCTTCTTCTTCTAAGGGCACCAGTCTTATTGGATTAGGCCTCACCCTCATTTAACCTTAGTTACCTCCCTAAGGGCCCTGTCTCCAAATACAGTCACATCGGAGGTTAATATTTAGACGTATGAATTTTGGGGAAACACAGTTCAGTCCATAACAGGAACTCTTTGAGAATGAGATGAAAGCTCTATACCCTCTCCCTAGGAGACTGCAAACACCACCTCCCACAACTCTGCACACAATTTCAGAAAAGTTCATGGACCTCAGGTTGAGAAGCACTGTTTCAGGCCACCTTTCTGTTTTCACAGATGGAGAAATGGAGGTTTTGTAAGGGGAAGTGATTTTCAGTAGGTTAGGAGAGAGCCAGGTCTTTTGATTCCTCGTCTAGCGCTTGTCCTACCTTACTCTGCCATCTGTTGTGCCTGTACAGAACTGCACAATAGCCAGAGACAACCATCCTGGGTGACCCCAGCACACCACAGGTCCTCTGGATGGAGTAAAGACAATAGCTGCTCCTTCACCCAAGATGCTCTCATGGGTTAATCTGGCTCTAGCTGTAACTGACAGCAAATGGGATGTATTGTAGTGCTTAGAACTAGTCAAGAGGTTGGGAAGAAGCTGCACCAACTTTGATATCAATCCACATGAGGCCTGCGTATGAGGAGATAGAGTGGTTTCTGCCCTGCTGAAGGACAAAATGGAGACTGCGGAGGTGCAGCCTTGAACTATCTGGTGGCCTTGACGTGGCACTGCCCCTCCAGCTCTTAGATTCCTCACTTGCACACTGACCATGAGTTGGCCTGTTAAATTTCTCCAAGAGTTCTTCTAGTTCCAATATTCTGTACTTCTATGATCTTAGAGCAGGAACCATGGAGAAAAAAAATCAGTTGAGGTGTTTGGGTCCTAGCATTATGGGCAAAATAATTTTTTCCCTCAAATTTCTTCTAATGGTATGATAGAATTAGCAATAAAGAAAATGTAGTCTAAAGGGATGAAAAAGGCTGGGTGTGCTGCCTCACACCTGGAATTCCAGCACTTTGGAAGGCTGAGGTAGGAGGATGGCTTAAGCCCAGGAGTTCGAGGCTGGAGTGAGCTATGAGCATGTCACTGCACTCCAGCCTAGGTGATAGGGTGGGACCCTGTCTCAAAAAAAAAAAAAAAAAATGTAGTTGGAAAAGATGAAAAATCCCTAATGAGAATCTGAGAAGACCCTTTACTTAAGTAGTAAAGTAAAGTTTCAACATAAGTGGTTCCTTGATTTCTGCTTCTCACTCAACCTTAAGTAAGTCCTTACAGTTGCTGGACTTCTAAATAATGGAATCAGGGAATGGAGTGGTACTTATCATGAAAATTGCTATTTATCTCTAGGCAGAGGGGTGGCTCCCAGAACCAGTAATAGTTTTGTGTGTGTGTGTGTGTGTGTGTGTGTGTGTGTGTGTGTGTGTTTTGGAGACGGGGTCTCACTTTGTCATCCAGTCTAGAGTGCAGTGGTGATCTCGGCTCACTGCCAGGCTCTACCTTCCAGGCTCAAGCGATCCTCCCACCTCAGCCCCACAAGTGGCTGGGACTACAGGCATGTGGCACCACACCTGTCTAATTTTTTTGTATTTTTCATAGAGACAGGGTTTTGCCATGTTGGCCAGGCTGGTCTTGAACTCCTGAGCTCAAGCGATCTGCCCGCCTTGGCCTCCCAGACAGGCATGAGCCACTGAGCCTGGCCCCAGAGAATAGTTTTTATTTCATTTCATCAATTGATGAAATAAATAATCCCAACATTCGTCCTACTTGACCCTATTAATGCCATAAACCAGTGTGGAGCCTTCACTCAAGCCACCCTCAGGGAGTACAAGGCTAGAAACAAAAGCAGGGGAAACTCATCCTGGGATGGAGGTTGACTTTTTAGGAAAATGCCTCTGGCTTTATTCACAACAATAAGGCCCCAAAGGGCTGCACAGTCCAGCCTGCTATCTCTCTGTTTGTCAGGGCCCCGTGCTTTGTGTAGCACATCAGTGGTCTTAGTTGGGCCTGAGGAGAAGAAACAGGAAGAAAAGAGTTGCTGGGGAAAGCAGCTGGCAAGGTTGGCGTTAGGATGGAAGTGCCAAACAGGCAAAGGAGATGCAGCCCATCAGAAGGATTGCCAACACTGCTTCCATTTTAATTGGCACAAATGGCCCTTTCAATCCCAGCAGCTAACAGTAGAGAAGAGGAGAAACTCAAAAGGCATGAGATCACTAGCTGCCTCCACTTGCATCCCAGCAAACAGCTTAAAACGGCACTGCCCTCACCTGGTCAAATTCATGTATTACATTGAAGGCACATGTTTTTAGATTTTTTTTTTGGTCATTTCTTTTTCTCCAGTTCTTGGTCCTCCACCTCTGAGAATAAGTGGATGGGGAGGTGACAAATCTCCCCTGAGAAAATGTACCAAGTGCATGGGATTCCAGCACAAAGTCACAAACTGTGAATGAAAACTTACCACCCAAATATAAAATACTTACCAAAACATCGAAATTAATATCCCAATTATGTAAGCATCACTCCTATGATGTTTAGTGAAATCTATGAGAATATGAAAATAAAACTATTTTTATCAATAAACTGATATTACTACTCTCAAAGAGATCTGCTATAAATAGAGAAAATAATTTTGGTTATCCTTCTGGTTATAAAATACTTGACTGTTTAATGCAATGTTACTTCCCTTACCACTATTTTTTCTCTGCTTATGGCAGTAAGTAACATACAGAAAGAAAACATCACAATCTATGTGCGTAGTTTAATAAATAATTATCAAGTGCACCTGTATGGGAACTCCACTAGGCAGTCCCCCAGTAGGGACTCTGTGTGGTGGCTCCGACTCCACATTTCCCTTCTGCACTGCCCTAGCAGAGGTTCTCCACAATGCTCCCCCTGCAGCAAACTTTTGCCTGAGCATCCAGGCGTTTCCATACATCTTCTGAAATCTAGGCAGAGGTTCCCAAACCTCAATTCTTGACTTCTGTGTAGCCGCAGGCTCAATACCTCATGGAAGCTGCCAAGACTTGGGGCTTCCACCTTCTAAGGCCACAGCTTGAGCTCTGCATTGGCCCCTTTCAGCCATGGCTGGAGTGGCTGGGCACCAAGTTCCTAGGCTGCACACTGCATGGGAACCCTGGGCCCAGCCCACAAAACCACTTTTTCCTCTTGGGCCCCTGGGCCTGTGATGGGAGGGGCTGCCTTGAAGTTCTCTGACATGGCCTGGAGACATTTTCCCCAGGGTCTTGGGGATTAACATTAGTCTCCTTGCTCTTTATGCAAATTTCTGCAGCCGGCTTGAATTTCTCCTCAAAAAAAGGAGTTTTTCTTTTCTACTTAACTGTCAGGCTGCAAATTTTCTGAACTTTTATGCTGTTTCTCTTTTATTTGTTTATTTATTTATTTTTATTATACTTTAAGTTCTAGGGTACATGTGCACAACATACAGGTTTGTTACATATATATACATGTGCCATGTTGGTGTGCTACACCCATTAACTCATCATTTACATTAGTTATATCTCCTAATGCTATGCCTCCCCCCTTCCCCCACCCCAAGACAGGCCCTGGTGTGTGATGTTCCCCACCCTGTATTCAAGTGTTCTCATTTTTCAATTCCCACCTATGGGTGAGAACATGTGGTGTTTGGTTTTCTGTCCTTACTATAGTTTGCTCAGAATGATGGTTTCCAGCTTCATCCATGTCTCTACAAAGGACATGAATGCATCCTTTTTTATGGCTACATAGTATTCCATGGTGTATATGTGCCACATTTCCTTAATCCAGTCTATCATTGATGGACACTTGGGTTGGTTCCAAGTCTTTGTTATTGTGAATAGTGCCGTAATAAACATATGTCAGCATGTGTCTTTATAGAAGCATGATTTATAATCCTTTGGATATATACCCAGTAATGGGATGGCTGGGTCAAATGGTATTTCTAGTTCTAGATCCCTGAGGAATCGCCACACTGTCTTCCACATGTTTGAACTAGTTTACAGTCTCACCAACAGCATAAAAGTGTTCCTATTTCTCCACATCCTCTCCAGCACCTGTTGCTTCCTGACTTTTTAATGATTGCCATTCTGACTGGTGTGAGATGGTATCTCATTGTAGTTTTGATTTGCATTTCTCTGATGGCCAGTGATGATGAGCATTTTTTCATGTGTCTGTTAGCTGCATAAATGTCTTCTTTTGAGAAGTGACTGTTCATATCCTTCACCCAGTTTTTGATGGGGTTTTTTGATTTTTTCTTGTAAATTTGTTTAAGTTCTTTGTAGATTGTGGATATTAGCCCTTTATCAGATGGGTAGATTGTAAAAATTTTCTCACATTCTGTAGGTTGCCTGTTCACTCTGATGGTAGTTTCTTTTGCTGTGCAGAAGCTCTTTAGTTTAATTAGATACCATTTGTCAATTTTGGCTTTTATTGCCATTGCTTTTGGTGTTTTAGTCGTGAAGTCCTCACCCATGCCTATGTCCTGAATGGTATTACCTAGGTTTTCTTCTAGGGTTTTTATCGTTTTTGGTCTAATATTTAAGTCTTTAATCCATCTTGAATTAATTTTTGTATAAGGTGTAAGCAAGGGATCCAGTTTCAGCTTTCTCCATATGGCTAGCCAGTTTTCCCAGCACTATTTATTAAATAGGGAATCCTTTCCCCATTTCTTGTTTTTGTCAGGTTTGTTAAAGATCAAATTGTTGTAGATGTGTGGTATTATTTCTGAAGGCTCTGTTCTGTTCCATTGGTCTGTATCTCTGTTTTGGTACCAGTACCATGCTGTTTTGGTTACTGTAGCCTTGTAGTATAGTTTGAAGTCAGGTAGTGTGATGTCTCCAGCTTTGTTCTTTTGGCTTAGGATTGTCTTGGCAATGTGGGCTCTTTTTTGGTTCCATATGAACTTTAAAATAGTTTTTTCCAATTCTGTGAAGTCATTGGTAGCTTGATGGGGATGGCATTGAATCTATAAATTACCTTGGGCAGTATGGCCATTTTCACGATATCGATTCTTCCTATCCATGAGCATGGAATGTTCTTCCATTTGTTTGTATCCTCTTTTATTTCATTGAGCAGTGGTTTGTAGTTCTCCTTGAAGAGATCCTTCACATCCCTTGTAAGTTGGATTCCTAGGTATTTTATTCTCTTTGAAGCAATTGTGAATGGGAATTCACTCATGATTTGGCTCTCTGTGTGTTCTTGGTGTATAGAAATGCTTGTAATTTTTGCACATTGATTTTGTGTCCTGAGACTTTGCTGAAGTTGCTTATGAGCATAAGGAGATTTTGGGCTCAGACGATGGGGTTTTCTAAATATACAGTCATGTCATCTGCAAACAGGGACAATTTGACTTCCTCTTTTCCTAACTGAATGCCCTTTATTTCTTTCTCCTGCCTGATTGCCCTGGCCAGAACTTCCAACACTATGTTGAATAGGAGTGGTGAGAGAGGGCATCCCTGTCTTGTGCCAGTTTTCAAAGGGAATGCTTCAAGTTGCTGTTTCCCTTTTAAAACTGAATGCTTTTAACAGCACGCAAGTCACCTTTTGAATCCTTTGCTGCTTAGAAGTTTCTTCCACCAGATACCCTAAATCATCTCTCTCAAGTTCAAAGTTCCACAAATCTTTAGGGCAGGGGCAAAATGCTGCCAGTCTCTTTGCTAAAACAAAACAAGAGTCAACTTTACTCCAGTTCCCAACAAGTTCCTCATCTCCATCTGAGACCACCTCAGCCTGGACTTTATTATCCATATCACTATCAGCATTTTAGGCAAAGCCATTCAACAAGTCTCTAGGAAGTTCCAAATGTTCCCACATTTTCCTCTCTTCTTCTGAGGCCTTAAAACTGTTCCAATCTCTGGCTGTTACCCAGTTCCAAAGTTGCTCCGATGTTTTCGGGTATCTTTTCAACAGCGCCCCACTCTACTTGTACAAATTTACTGTATTAGTCCATTTTCACACTGCCGATAAAGACATACCCAAGACTGGGAAGAAAAAGGTTTAATTGGGCTTACAGTTCCACGTGGCTGGGGAGGCCTCAGAATCATGGCAGGAGGCAAAAGGTGCTTCTTATGTGGTGGTGGCAAGAGAAAATGAGGAAGAAGCAAAAGCAGAAACTCCTGATAAGCCCATCAGATCTTGTGAGACTTATTCATTATCATGAGAATAGCACTGGAAACGCTGGCCCCCATGATTCAATTACCTTCCCCTGGGTCCCTCCCACAACAGGTAGGAATTCTGGGAGATACAATTCAACTTGAGATTTGAGTGGGGACACAGCCAAACCATATAAAATAGAATAGCAGACAATTAATGAGAAAAAGTTTGAAAAACAAGAGCAACATAAGACCAAGGAAAGTAGAAGGAAATAAGGTAAAAGCAGAAATCAGTGAAAGTGGAAACAAGCATAAGGATCACAAAACCAGAAGTTGGGTGTTTGGAAGAGGAATGAAATTGGTAAAAGTCTTGTGAGACTGGTCAAGAAAACAAGGGAGAAGGGCACCACTATCAGGAAAGAAAAGGGAGAAATAAGCACAAATGATGTTACAACCGTTCTTGTGTTGCTATAAAGAAATACCCAAGACCGAGACATTTATAAAGAGAAGAGCTCATGGTTCTGCAAGCTGTACAGGAAGTGTAGTGGCTACTGCTTCTGGGAGGACTCAGGAAGCTTGCAATCATGGCAGAAGGTGAAACAGGAGCAGGTACATTTTACATGGTAGGAGCAAGAGCAAGAGAGAGCAGGGGGAGGTGTCACACACTTTTAAATGACCAGACTCATGAAAACTCACTCATGACCGTGAGGACAGTACCAAGTGGATGGTGCTAAACCATTCCTGAGAAATCCAGCCCCATGATCCAGTCACCTCCCACCAGGCCCCACCTCCAGCATTAGAAGTCACAGTTTGACACGAGACTTGCTGAGGACACAGATCCAAATCATATGATAGGCAGACATCCAAAAGATAGAAAGAGGATATGGTGGGGGAACTGGATATTCACACGGAGTGCCCATGCAGTAACAGCACATAGCTAATTAAATACAAAGAGAAGATGGCACCTCCACAATGGAGTAATCTGGAACAACGCCCTGGCCACATGGTCAAGATGAACATCACGAGTCATAAGAGAAGCCTACATGGAGAATCTGCTGATGTCATGCACCAAGAAGGACAACACATTTGCTGTGCAGTAGTCTTGTCAAAAATGTTAAACTTACCTGAGTTTAATCACAAGGAAGCCATTTGACAAACCCAAGTTCAAGGGCTTCCTGAAAACAACTGCACTGGTTTAAAGCACATTTTAAACATTGCTTTAAAGCACACTTTAAAGGCCTCTGAAGAGACTTGACGGGCTGGGAACCATGGCTCACGCCTATAATCCCAACATTTTGGGAGACCTAGGCGGGTGGATGGCTTGAGCTCAGGAGTTCCAGACGAGCCTGGGCAACATGGTGAAACTCCGTCTCTACAAAAAGTATTTTAAAAATTAGCTGGGCACGGTGGCGCATGCCTGTAGTCCAAGCTACTCAGGAGGTCCAAGCTGAGGTGGGAGGATGGCTTGAGCCTGGGAGGTCAAGGCTGCAGTGAGTCGGGTTCGTGACACTGCCCACCAGCCTGGGAGACAGAGGGAGACCCTGTCTCAAAAGAGACTTGACAACTAAATGCAAAGTATGATGTTTGGTTGGAAAGAGAATTTTGTTAGAAAGCAGCTATGAGGGATACTATGGGACCATGGGGAAAATCGGAGAATGTTTCATGTGATCATACAGTAGAAAATTGTGTGGTCTCCATGTTACATTTCCTGAGTGTCATGGTGGCATTAAGGTTTTGTGGGAGCCCATGCTTCCTTGCAGGCGATACATGCTGCAGTATTTACCGATGATGGATCTAAATGATTCCAACGGATCTCAAATGATTCCACAAAACAATAAAAAAAAAAAATACACCCACACGCTCAGAAAAAGATGGGGGCGCGGCATGGAGGGAGGGCTGAAGCAAATGTGAGAAAATGGTAACAACTGGAGGATCCAGTAGAAGAATATACGTATGGGTGCTCCTTGTGCTTTCCCTGCAACTCTCCTGTGGCTCCAAAATTTAAACAAATGCAATCTGGGATGAAGGGCGTATTATGGACCATTTTATTCCAGTCAGTTTGAAAACAACGAAAAAGTCACCAATTGCTAGGAAACCAAATCCGCCAAGACTGACACAAGAAGGAACAGCCAACCTGAACCATTCCAGAATCATTACAGAAAGATATGAGTAGTCAAAGTCTTTCTACTAATAAACTCCAGGATTCCCCACCATATTCTGACAAACATCCTAGGAATACATATCTTCCATTTGACACAAACTCGTGCAGAAAATTGAAAGGGAGCAACAATCCTCCACTCACTGTATGAGCTTGGCATAACCTCGATACCAAATCCTGCAAGGACACTTAGAGAAATATTGCAGATAAATCACAGGCTCATGACATAGAAGCAAAAATCAGAACCAGAATCTTAGCACACAGAAGCCTACAGGATATAAAAGGAAAACGCCTAATATGGTATGACTAATATTGGCTTCATCCCAGAAATACAAACTTAATTTCCCTTCAGAAAATACAGTGCTATAATTCTCCACATTAACAGATTTGGGGAGAAAGATACACTTTTTGTAGTCACGAAAAGTATTGACTAAATGTCAATATCAATTCAAGATGTATTGCTGACAATTCTTTTTTTTTTTTCTAAAAAGTCAGGACTATTGGACTATAACTACACACAGTTGTATGGGATTTTGTAAATTCATACTGCTGTGGAAACACCAGCACGGTATATATAGATATAGAGCATCGGCATCCCCCCCAGTTTCCCTCACGCCCTCTGGTAGTGAACTCCTAGTCTTAACCCTCAGACCTTGGCAACCACCAATCTGTTTTCTGTTGCTACAGATTTGCCTTTTCCAGAATGTCATATAAATGGAATCACACGGTATATGCATGTGCATTTGGCTTCCTTCAGAGAAAGACATTCTGATCACAATTCTCTGAAGGTGCAATGTACAGTTTCATAACCTCAGTAGTAGTTACCTGGCTTGATCACCTTACAACTGTTTGTCAGAGGGCCGGCTTCTGAGTTCTCTCTGTAAGTGTGTGTGTATGCGTGGGTGTGTGTGAGAGAGAGTATGTGTGTGTGTGTGTGTATTATGTTTCAAACATATAATTTTACATTTAGCTGCCTCTAACTTTTATATCTTGGTGAGGGTTATTAACTGGGAATTATTAGCCCTGTAAAAGAAAGTGAGTGATTATTGGAAAAGTCAGCACAGTGATTACCTCTGGGGTGTGCAAAGGGGGAGGTAGTGATCGGGTTGGGGCAAACAGGAGGGTTCCAAAACCCTGCCAACCTTCTGTTCCTCGCTCTGCATGGTAGTGACCTGGACTTCAACATTGCACAACCACATGGGCGCCGTTCACGCTGGATCATGAGAACGGAGCACCCTGGAATCCCACAGATAGAGTTTGCATGGCCACCCTGGCGGCCATAGCCTATGCGGCCGTACCTGGCAAACACTGGTGTTGGCCTCATCCTTCAAGGAAAGGGATGATGAGAAAATGTGTGGGGGAAAAGAGGAGTTCTTGGGGTGGAGGTTAAGGACAGATGTGCATGAGGTTGTCCAAGTTCATCCAGGAGTGTGTTCCAGGCAGGCTAAAGTTCATGGCTGTTACTCACCATGACCACTGTGATCCCATGATTGCCATCTCACATCCCTGCGTATGGTGCCCTGGGCCTCGGCCACAGCCTGGAAGGCCACTCTTGGGGACTCTGGCTGGCGGGCGTGTGAGGAGACTCACACACCTTTGGCCCTAGTTGGAGTCTGAAGAGGAGATGGTCTTTTCTGCCCACAGAGTAAGAGGTCTCATCTGGAAATGTACCTGTGGCAGCCCTGGCGCCGGGTGTAGGTGGGATTCTGCTCAGGGCTCTGCCACTGTGGCTGCATCAAGGGCAGGCACTCAGCTCGCCAGACCTCCGGAGCCCGTCTGAGCTGAGTGGCAGGACAAGGCAGGAGAGGGTCTAAGGCTCTCCAGCCCAGACCCCACAATCCTCTTGGTGGGAGAGCAGGCTTGAGGGAAAAGCAAAAGGGGGTCACTGAATAAGGGGAGGTGCTCAACCTCTTCCTCTCCACTGGGGCCCAGATGGATTGCGCTAATCCGAGGAACCTCGGATTCTGCACTTATATCCCCTAGAACTGGAAGGCTCCGCCTGACCATGGCCTGGGGTGTACATGTTACAGCCTCAGTATTGTGTGGGAGGTGGTCTGAATATGGAACCGAGGTGGTGTGCTGAGAGGCGGGGCTGGCAAATCCAGCCACCGGGAGATGGGTTCACGCCTTCCATGACTCTGTCCACGGGTTTCTCCCCTTCCACACTCTGTCGACCACGGCCCATGCCCCCCAGGGCAGTGATAGGGGTGGAGTTCTCACCCCACCAGAACCTGCCTAGATGTCTCCGGTGGCAAAAACCCAAGCTGGAGAGTCCCTGACACACGTCTTCCCCCAGACACCAGCCCACTGTGTTATCCCCCCAAGAAACAAACACCTGTGTCAGGGTCAAAGCCTTGGCCCAAGGAATCAAGCCAACCCTCTCAGGCGAGGGGTTTGATGCGGATGGGGTAGGTCCCCACCACCATTTGTTTACGTCTCTGAGGCCTGTGATTGGCCCTCCATGTGCGTGATGGTCCCACCCCATCCCGGCAGTGAGACACAGTGAGAGTATGTGGGAAGGCAGGTACCGAGCCTGACTAGCTGTCCCAGGGCAGTCCCTCTTTCTGGCTTTCCACCTGCACTGTTCCCACCCTGCCCATGTCAAGTCACAGCACCCTCCCATGGGAGATCCCCGCTTCCTAGATGAAACACCAACCAGCAACTCTGAGGCATTATCACTGCACCCACACACGGGAGTGCTGAGACATCCCATCCATCCTGCAGAGGATCAGGAGCCTACTGTGGTGCCTCCAGCATTCTGAGAGCCCGACACCCATCCCTGTGTTTGGGGATGTCCCATTTGTCCCAGTCTGTGCCCTCCTAGGTGTTAGAATTGAACACCACCTCTTGTCAAAGGTAGATCTCAGCCCTGCTTTTGCGCATTCGATCCTTCACGGATCCTTCACCACTGCCTCCACTCTGTGAATCATCTCTTTCTTGCTCAAGGGAGAGCACCCTCAATTAATTTGATTCCCAAGCAGGTGCATGCAGGGGCATGCTCATGCAGGCGCGCGCACACACACACACACACACACACACACACACACACACACACACTAACCTTGAATGGTATCTGCATTTCTACTGTCTTTGTCTATTCAACACCCAGTCTCTTGGCGATGGGAGCAGGGAGAACCTACACACACCTCCTCACTGGAATCGGAATCTGTGCCCGAATCTGGGGCCCACCCAGTCGAGGATTCCGGCTGAAGGTAGCGGGCGATCCCAACTGTCGGGGAGGGTGAAGGCAGAACAGGGAGCTCGAGGAAATCTCATGTGACCTCGAGAGGCAATCTGGAAGACTGAGTAGGGACATGGAAATATCACATCCACAAAAACCTGCGGCCTTGGGGGTGGTGAAATGATATTTCATGGGGACCATCCAAGAACAGCCAGGCCTAGCATCGACACTTGCCCTGGAAAGCAGCTGGCCATTTTCAAATCAAGGGTATGGAGCCGACCAGCCGCAGAAGGGGCTGTTGGCTGCCTATAGGACGCCAAGGATGTGGAAGCCACCTTCCGTGTAGCTCCCAGCCCACAGTTTCTACCAGGTTGGCCCGCAGGCATCAGAACAGACTCAGTGCCCCGGCCTCCAACCAAGAGATGAACCCGCCCTTTTCTTCAGCGTTCCTTGTACCTTCCCTTTGGCTCCGCCACCCACCAGGAGGTGGCTTCTGCCTCCACCTGGCTACTAAGGAGGAGACCTGACCGGATTTGGTAACTGAGGTTCAAAGGTGAGGGCTAAGAGGAACTGAGGATGCCATGCAGGTTACTGGCCCAGATGACCTGACCGTGTGCATGGTGGCACCGGAGGGACATAACAGCTCCAGAAAGAGGACGGGGCTCCATTGTGTTCCTCAACAGCACAGAAATAATCGTGCAGGAAAGGCCACCCACATGAAGCCACTGGGAGGGCAAAGATGCTTATGATGGAAAGAACGGTGACAGGGCAGAACTGGGACAGTGAACCGCAAGAGGAAAGGTGAGAGAGACAGGGGTTCTAGAAGGAGTCCATCAGTTCCTGCTGAAGGAGAGGGAGAAAAGCACTGAAGAAGGGGACCTGTGACACCCCAAAGTGGGAGGAGAAGAGGAGGGACCATGAGCAGGGTGTGTAGGAGAAAGGCAGGAAATGCTGCTGTGGCCGGGCAGGGCCCCCACAGCACCTAGACCCAGGGCACTGTGGTGAGCCCGAGTGCAGGGCTGCTGCTCAGAGGCCGGCCCAGGCGCCCCGCAGGGAGAGGGCTCACCACAGAGCGCCAGGGGAACTGTTCTTCCAGCGCCAGGGAACGGAGCAACACCCGGCACACCCCAACACTCCCAACAATCACAGAGATGGCAGACCACAGACCACAGAATATGAGAACGACTTTATTTCAAATTGCTTTGAACTGCGTTGGGAAGTGTGCAAATGCAGAGGAAGAGAGGAAGCCCTGGCTGAACAGGATATGGAGGGAACCCGCTTGGCTGCAGCTCCGGAGCTCCAAAGGTGGCAGCTGTTCATCTTGTAGGAAGATGCTGGCTCCAACCTGTGAAACAGAGTAGGCTCAGGGACGGGCCCTCAGCCAGGGCCAGCCCACAGCCCTCCTAAGGTACCATGATTGTGGAAAGGGGCATGGTGTGTGCAACACTCACTTCAAAGGTCCTGGAACTTGTCAGTGAGGAACTGCATGGCCGCTGAAAGAGAGAGGCAGAAATGGGCACTCCAGACCCAGGGAAACAGAAACCCACGCCCTGCCCCGGTGGGGAACCACCTAGCCCTGCAACCAGAAACCCCACCAGCCCTGGGACTGACTCATCCACGCGTCACCTGAATTAAATGTAGAAATGCCTTCTAAGCAGGAAAGTGGTTCTCAGGTGCTGGGGCATCCCAGAACCTTTCAGAACGTGTTTCAAAGACAGATAAGCCAGCCAGCAAGCAAACACCATACAAGCCCTACCAGGCTTGTAGGGAAAACACATGAGGTATCTCTAACCGTCGTAAGAGGAGAGTTCTGGGACTCGTGGACTAAGTGTACATGGAGTTCAGACAACACATTGCTGTCTGTGCACACCCCTAGCTGGAAAGGCACAGAAGGCTCCAGGGCCAGGCCTGCTTGGTTCTCTTCCCCAAAGGAAAGTCAGTCCCAGTGATGCCGCCTGTACCTACAGTCCACCCTGCCCCCGGCACCTGCAGAAAGACACTGCTGTCCATCCCTGCCCCAGCCAGGGCTCCCTCATACCTAGTTGGTCTCTAAGGTCCTCAATTTCCCTCTGCAGCCGGATGCACTAGTCCAGGAGACACCAGAGGAAGATAAATGGTTAGTCAATTCTGGCCTCCTCTCTCCCTGTCCTCCCTGTCTCCCCCAACCCTTAGTAGCCCCCATAGCCTGCAGCCCAGTGGCGAGGTGGGTTGGCACAGAATCCTCAATGGAAAGGAGGCACCCTCTCTCCCTGGGGTGCAGAAGGTGGAGGCGGCGGGGGTCGGGGGGTATGCAGCTATCAGTTTAACCTAGACACAGATCCCACCATCTAGTGTGGACCTGGATTTCTAGGAGCCACACAAAACATTACCCGAGGACAGCCCTGGGCTCCCGGGGGCTATTGCTGCCTTTCCGGTCTTGGGGGATGGACAGGTGGCTGCCAGTCACCTGAAAGAGAACACAAAATCCAGCTTCCAAGCCGCCCAGTGAGGTGGAAAAGGCCTAGCAGGGTCTAAAGTGAGGCACCATCACCCTCTGCTGGCAACATGTTGCCCCTGCTCTGCCCAGCATCTCCAACCCTCCCTCTGTGACTGTCTTCCCTGTTCCCCAGTATGAGCCCATCTGCACCTGTGGCCCCCTAGCGTTGTGACTCCGGGTTGGACACCAGCAGTGGGGCAGCCACAGCCAGGCCCTCGGAGGGCCAGTGTGGCTGAGCAGGACTTAACAGAAAAGGGCTCAGTACTGCCGAAAGTCTTCCAGAGTTGGAGTTTGGAGCGCTGCTCCAAATCGCCCCCCACCACACAAACCCCACTCAGAGAGGATGATGTGGCTTAAAGCCAGCCCTGTCGACACCCCATTTCCCATGGGATACCTGCCTGGGTGGGCAGGGAAGCCTGGGAACAAGGCTGAGCCCCCAGAAGCGACAGAGCCAGAGGTTTCCCTCCCGACCCCTCTCCCCTCCACTCCTATCAAACCCGCAAGACTCACCAGAGGGTGCATGGCGTCTGGGCACGAGGCCTCCCAGGCTGTAGGCAGAGGGCTCTGAAGTCCCCAGAACTTGGGGAGCTCTGATGTTGGAGTCGCTACTGCTGAATTCTCCACGATGCGTGGATAGGCGAGGCAGTCCTGGCCGGTGTGTGGGAAGCTAAAACAGAAATTTCTGAGTCGGGCTGGCGGTGGGGGCGGGCAGTGAGTACATATGGGAGGGGTTGTGGTAAGATGGAGACTCCAGAGCCTAATCTCATTAGCACTTTCTCCCCCAGTCAGCCCCAGGCCAGGAGGCAGAGCCCAGCCAGGGAAAACACTGGGGATAGTGAGATAGCCTGGGCCCCTTTCCAGGTGGCTCGGGCAACAGCTAAGTAAGGAGGAGTCGGGAAGTTGATGAGCCTAGATGCCCCAGGTTTGCGGCCCACACTTTAAGGGATCACCCCAACCTAACCAGCTGCCAGCCCTGCCTTCCATCCCAGCTCCTCTCTGGGGGAGGAGGTAGGACCCCTGCAGAGTGTCCGGAGGTTTGCCCGTCACACACCAAGTACTCCCTTTAACGTGTGCCCCTACAACGAAGACCCTGATTGGGCATTCTAGTGTCCCTGGCCTTCCGATAACAACCCTTGAGCAAGGGACATAGGGGGCATGGGTAAACAGGTGTGTGCTGGAAGAGAGGAGGCTGGGGGGAGACCAGAGGAGGAGGAGGATGAAGAGGGAGAGGAGGGTGAGAAGGGCCTACTTACTTGGGCCCTTGGGACCTCATCTCTATTTGGGTCATTATCTTCTCTCGCCACAGCCTGGGACTCCCTGGTCTTCCTTCCTGCTGGTTTCTTCCCAGGGCTGCTGTGCTTAGGCTTTTGGGGTTTCTTGGACATCCCCTGCGGCCGCACACCAGGCAATGGCTGGGAGGTGGCCGGCCCTGGGGGAGTGGCTGAGAGTCTCTCTCCGCAGGCAGGAAAGGGTCTCCATAGGGCCAGTTGAGAGGCACCCCCTAGAGACTTCTCCTGGGCCATCTTCCTCTTAGAAGGGCCCCAGGGCAGGGCCCCTGCAGTGGCAGCTCCTGAGCAGCTGGGCCTGGCCTCCACCTTTCCCAAGGCCCTGCTCAGCATTTTCTTCCCGGGAGAGTCCTCCAGCTCTCCCACAGCCGGCCTCTCCACGACTGGAGTGAGTCCGCGGGGAGCAGAGGTCAGGAAACGGCCTGGCACGGGCAAGTAACTCTCCTTGCAGTGGAAGCTTGAGTGTCTGGATGTGTCTGCTGGCTTCCTGTGGCTGCCGAACTTGGCTTGGCTTCCTTCTTTGTGGCGAATGCCCATCCTCATCAGTGGTAAGTCACTGGTCTCATCGGAGGAATCAGAGTCGTGGGTAGACATCCTGGTGGGGCCTATTACAGAGGGCTGCTGGGGGTCCACGCGGACGCTCCATCTGCTCTTCGAGCCCCTTTCTGGGTTCTTCCAGGCCCGGCCTGGTTCAGGAACACTGAGGTGGAGAGGGCCGGCAGAGGCCTGCTGCCATTCTCCAGGGCTGGGGCTCAGCATGCCTCTCCCACTGGGACCGACCTCCAGGTCCACCCAGTTTTCAGCGGACCCTTCAGTAGTGGCGTCTTCAGGGAACGGGTGTCCCTGGATGCTGGACGGTGGCACGATGGCGGCTGTCTCATCAACCAGGTAGGACGAGTAGTCCACACCGTCCCCTTGGTCGTCGACCGGGGTGCTAGGCCGGCCTTCCTGGCCCCAGAGCACCACCCTTCCCTGCTCTATCAATTCGCTCTCAGACTCGAAGCTGAAGCCCTCGGGATCTGTGAACCTGCTCTCGCCCTTGCTGCTGTGTGGTGCCCCCAGATCGAGGCCTCGGCTGTGGCCCTGTGGGGCTCCGGGGCTGACTGTGCAGGTGCCAGCCTGCTCGCCACCCCCCAGGTCGAAACCAGCCCTCCAAACGGACACCTCATCGGGGGAGCTCATGGCGCCAGTTCAGGCACCCTGGCCTATGGGGAGATGGTCGAGCCCAACCAAGCCCAGCCAAGCAGGCCACGGGACAGGAACAACAAGGCCTTCAGGACACCGTGGCCCTCACGGCAGGTGGAAGTACCGTGTTCCCGACAGCGGGTGGCTTCCGCGCGCCTTCGACACCCGTGTCGAGCCTTCTCATTGGTCCCCCCTCCACCAACCAGCGCCCCCTTTGTTGGGTGAAGCCTCTGGGCTTTAACCAATAGGGACACAGGCTCTTGGTTTGTCCCGCTGCCCGTCATTTGACTGGGTGGATGCACTCTGGTCGGGTCTTGGGGCCAGGGTGCACTGGAGCTCTCGATCCACTTCTTTCTTTCTGTCTTGCTCCCTCTGGCCGGGCACCTACTTTTTAATGATAGCTCCTCTGTGTGCCAGGTGCTTCTCGTGCATCAGGACATTTATTCTCCCAAGCTGATGAGCTGGGGGCAGCTCTCCCCTTGACTTCCGCCTTACAATGGGACACTGGGGCTCAGAGACGTGGCTGTCATTGGAAAGTAGGTGCCTGGCCAGAGGCAGCAGGACAGGAAGAAAGAGGTGGATGGAGAGCTCCAGTGGGCCCTGGCCCCAAGACCT
The DNA here is from genome assembly GCF_000001405.40 of Homo sapiens. Taxonomy (NCBI): domain Eukaryota; kingdom Metazoa; phylum Chordata; class Mammalia; order Primates; family Hominidae; genus Homo; species Homo sapiens. Next base: position 71,667,386 of record NC_000023.11, read on the forward strand.
GACCCAAGTACAACCACCCAGCCAAACCACGGGCGTCCGGGCAATCCAAGAGTCTGCCTCCCAATTGGGTAAAGCCCAGAAGCCGCGCCCAACAAGGGGCACGCTGATTGGCGATGGGCAGACCAATGAGAAGGCGTGGAACAATGAGAAGGCAGGACGCAGGCATTGAGGGAGCCCGGAAGCCACGCGCTGTCAGTGACATCTCGTGAGCAGACTGTGGTGAGGGTGGCGGTGTCCCAAAGGCCTTGCTGTTCCTGTGGCCCCAGAGCACCACCCTTCCCTGCTGTATCAATTCGCTCTCAGGCTCAAAGCTGAGAGTGGCCCCCTCGGCTGGGCTTGGCTGGGCTCGGCTCTCCTCTCCCACTGTTACCAGGACGACTGTCTCCCCACAGCCTGGCTGTCTAGACTGGCGGGCGCCATGAGCTCCACGGATGAAGTGTCCGTTTGCAGGGCTGGTTTAGGCCCAGAGGGTGGCGAGCAGGCCGGCGCCCACACCGCCAGCCCGGGAGCCCCACGGGGTGACGGCCACGGCCGAGACCTCAATTTTGGGGGGCAGCGCAGTGGCAAGGGTAAGGGCAAGGGCGAGAGCGGGTTCACAGATCCCGAGAGCTTCAGCTTCGAGTCTGAGAGCGAATTGATAGAGCAGGGAAGGGTGGTGCTCTGGGGCCAGGAAGGCCGGCCTGGCACCCCGGTCGACGACCAAGCGGGTGGTGGGGACTACTCTTTCTACCTGGCTGATGAGCCAGCCACCATCATGCCGCCGTCCAGCGTCCAGGGACACCCGTCCCCAGAAGGCGCCACTGCCAAAGGGTCCACTGACATCTGGGCGGACCTGGAGGTCGGTCCCAGTTGGAGAGGTGCGCTGAGCCCCAGCCCTGGAGAATGGCAGCAGGCCTCTGCCGGCCCTCTCCACCTCAGTGTTCCTGGGCCAGGACCGGCCTGGGAGAACCCAGAAAGGGGCTCGAAGAGCAGATTGAGCTTCCAAGTGGATCCCCAGCAGCCCTCCGCGGAAGGCCCCGCCGGGCTGAATACTGACGACTCTGATTCCGCAGATGAGAGCAGCGACTTACCGGTGATTAGGGTGATCATTAGCACCAAAGAAGGAAGCCAGGCCAAGCCCGGAAGCCCCAAGAAGCCAGGAGACACTTGCGGACGCCGCAGTTTCCACCGCAGGGAGAGTTACCTTCAGGTTCAGGGACCTCTCCTGATCTCTCCTCCCCGCAGACTCACCCCAGTCGTGGAGAGGCCGGCTGTGGGAGAGCTGGACGTGCCTTCCTTGAAGAAAATGCAGAGCATGGTGTGGGGAAAGAGGGGGGTCAGGCCCAGCTGCTCAGGAGCTGCCGTTAGAGGGCCCCTACCCCGGGGCACTCTGGGAAGGAAGGTGGCCCAGGAGAAGAAATCCCTAGAGGGTGCACCAGAACTGGCCCTGCGGGGAGCCTTTCCTGCCTGGGGGCAGAGACTTTCAGCAGTTCCACCTGATCCGGCTAGCTTCCCGCCAGTGTCTGGCGTGGGGCTCCTGGGGAAGTCCGTGAGACCCAAGGAGCCCAAGCACAGCAGCCCTGGGAAGAAACCTGCAGGAAGGAAGACCAGGGAGTCCCAGGCTGCGGCCAGAGAAGATAATGACCCAAATAGAGATGAGGTCCCAAGGGCCCAAGTGAGTAGGTTCTCTTCGCGCACTCCTCCTTCTCCTCCTTGCTCTCCTCTTCCTCTTTCTCCTCTGTCTCCCCCCACCCACCTCTCTTCCAGCACACGCCTCTTTGCCCATGCCCTCTCTATCCCTTGCTCACAGGTTGTCATCGGGAGCCCAGGGACACTAGGATGCCCGATTGGGGTCCTCCTCTTAGGAGCACACATTAAAGGGAGCACTTGGTGTGTGCCAGGCCTGGCTCTGGACACTCTGCAGTTGTCCTGCCTCCTCCCTGAGAGAGGAGCTGGGATGGAAGACAGGGCTGGCAGCTGGTTTGGATCAGGGCGCAAAGCTTGGGCATCTAGACTCATCAACTTCCCAATTCCTCCTTCCCTAGCTGTTAAGCAAGCCCTCCTGTCTTGGGGTGGACTGAGGGAGAAAGTGTTAATAAGATTAGTCTGGGGTCTCCACCTTAACACAACCCCTCCCCATGTGTACTCACCGCCCGTCCCCACTGCCAGCCTGACTCAGAAATTTCTGTTTTAGCTTCCCACACAGAAGCCAGAGCTGATTTCTCTGTCCGTGCGTCGTGGAGAATACAGCAGTGGTGATCCCAACATCAGAGCTCCCCAAGTACTAGGAACCTCACAGCCCTCGGCCTTTACCTTGAGACGCCTGGTGCCCAGATGCCATGCATCCTCCGGTGAGTCTTGCGGGTTTGATAGGGGTGGAGGGGAGAGGGGTCCGGAGGGAAACCTCTGGCTCTGTCGCTTCTGGGGGCTTAGCTGTGCTCCCAGGCTTCCCTGCCCACCCAGGCAGCTGTCCCACAGGAAATGGGGTGTCGACAGGGCTGGCTTTAAGCCACATCGTCCTCTCTGAGTGGGGTTTGTGTGGTGGGGGCGATTTGGAGCAGTGCCCCACATTCCAACTCTGGAAGGAGACTTTCGGCAGTACTGAGCCCTTTTCTGTTAAGTCCTGCTCAGCCATACCGGCCCTCCCAGGGCCTGGCTGTGGCTGCCGCACTGCTGGAGTCCAACCTGGAGTCACAATGCTAGGGGGCCACAGGTGCAGATGGGCTCACGAGGGAGAACAGGGAAGACCGTCCCAGAGGGAGGGTTGGAGATGCTAGGCAGAGCAGGGGCAACATGTTGCCAGCAGAGGGTGATGGTGCCTCACTTTAGACCCTGCTACGCCCTTTCCACCTCACTGGGCGGCTTGGAAGCTGGATTTTGTGTTCTCTTTCAGGTGACTGGCAGCCACCTGTCCATCCCCCAAGACCGGAAAGGCAGCAGCAGCCCCCGGGAGCCCAGGGCTGTCCTCGGGTAATGCTTTGTGTGGCTCCTAGAAATAGAGGTCCACACTAGATGGTGGGATCCATGTCCAGGTTAAACTAATTTCGGTGTCTCCCCAATCCCCTCTGCCTACCATACCCCATGCAGAGTGAGTGCCTCCTTTCCATTGAGGGTTTTGTGCCAATCCACCTCACCACTGGGCTGCAGGCTATGGGGGCTATAAGGGCTGGGGGAGACAGGGAGAACGGGGAGAAAGGAAGCCAGAATTGACTAACCATTTCTTTTCCACTGGTGTCTCCTGGGCTAGTGCATCTTGCTGCAGAGGGAAATTGAAGACCTTAGAGACCAACTAGGTATGATGGAGCACTGGCTGGGGCAGGGATGGACAGCGGTGTCGTTCTGCAGGTGCTGGTGGTGGGGGTGGACTGCAGGTATAGGTGGTGTCACTGGGACTGACTTCCTCTGGGGAAGAGAACCAAGCAGGCCTGGCCCTGGAGCCTTCTGTGCCTTTTCAGCTAGGGGTGTGCACAGACAGCAATGTGTCGTCTGAACTCCGTGTACACTTTGTCTACAAGTCCCAGAGATCTTCTCTTAGAACGGTTAGAGATACCTTATGTGTTTTCCTTTAACTGCTGCCTGGTACTGCTTGTATGGTGTTTGCTTGCTGGCTGGCTTATCTGTCTTTGAAACATGTTCTGAACGGTTCTGGGATGGCCCAACACCTGAGAACCACTTTCCTGCTTAGAAGGCATTTCCACATTTAATTCAGGTGACGGGTGGATGAGTCAGTCCCAGGGCTGGTGGGGTTTCTGGTTGCAGGGCTAGGTTTTTCCCCACGGGGGCAGGGCGTGGGTTTCTGTTTCCCTGGGTCTGGAGTACCCAGTTCTGTCTCTCTGTTTCAGCTGCCATGCAGTTCCTCACTGACAAGTTCCAGGACCTGTGAAGTGAGTGTTGCACACGTCATGTCCCTTTCCACAGTCCCAGTAGCTTAGAAGGGCTGTGGGCTCACCCTGGCTGGGGGCCCATCCCTGAGCTGCTCTGTTTCACAGGTTGGAGCCAGCATCTTCCTACAAGATGAGCAGCTGCTACCTTTGGAGCTCCGGAGCTGCAGCTAAGCGGGTTCCCTCCATATCCTGTTCAGCCAGGGCTTCCTCTCTTCTGCTGCATTTGCCCCCTTCCCAACACAGTTCAAAGCAGTGTGAAATAAAGTTGTTCTCATATTCTGTGGTCTGTGGTCTGCCCTCTCTGCGATTGTTGGGAGTGTTGGGCGGTGCGGGGTGTTGCTGTGTTCCCTGGCGCTTGAAGAACGCTCTGTGGTGGACCCTCTCCCTGTAGGGCACCTGGGCCGGCTTCTGAGCAGCAGCCCTGCAGTCACCATAGTGCCTGGGTCTAGGTGCTGTGGGGGCCCTGCCCTGCCCTGCCACAGGAGCATTTTCTGCCTTTTCCCAACACACCCTGCTCATGTTCCCTCCTCTTCTCATCCTACTTTGGGGTCTCACAGGTCCCGTTGTTCAGCGCTACTCTCCCTCACCTTCAGGAGGAACTGAGTGCCTCCTTTCAGAACCCCAGTCTCTCTTGCCTTTCCTCCTGTGGTTCACTGTGACAGTTCTGCCATGTCACTGTCCTTTCTGTCATGAGCATCCTTACTCTCCCTGCGGCTTGATGTTGGTGGCCTCTCCTGTATGGTTATTTCCATGCTGTTGAGGAGCATGACGGAGCTCATCCTTCCACTCGGGCCCAGTCCTCTTTCTGGAGCCATTATGTCCCTCTGGTGCCACCACGCATACAGTCAGTTCATCTTGGCCAGAAACCCGCGCGACATCCTCAGTTCCTCTATTAGCCCTCATCTTTGAACCTCTGTTGCCACATCCCATCAGGTCTCCCTCCTTAGTTTCAGTAGCCAGATGGAAGCAGATGCCACATCCCGGTGGGTGGCCGAGCAAAAGGGAAGGCACAGGGAGCGCTGAAAAGGGCGGGGTAGTCTCTTGGTTGGAGGTGGGGGCATTGAGTCTGTTCTGGTGCCTGTGGGCCAACCTGGTGAAAACTGCCTGCTGGGCGCCTGTAGTCCCAGGTACTCGGGAGGCTGAGGCAGGAGAATCACTTGAACAATGGAGGCAGAGGTTGCAGTCGAGATTGTGCCGCTGCACTCCAGCCTGGTGACAGAGCAAGACTCCGTCTAAAACAAAAACAAAAACAAAAAAAACTTCCCACACTTCCCACTGGCAGCTACATGGAAGGTGGCTTCCACCTCCTTGATGTCCTGTAGGCAGCCAACAGCCCCTTCTGCAACTGGTTGGCTTCATATCCTTGATTTGAAAATGGCCAGTTGCCTTCCAGGGCAAGTGTGGATGCTAGGCCTGGCTGTTCTTGGATGGTCCCCGTCAAATACTGTTCCACCATCCCCAAAGCTGCAGGTTTTTGTAGACGTGATATTTCTGTGTGCCTGTTCAGTCTTTCAGACCACCTCTTGAGGTCACATGAGATTTCCTTGAGCTTCCTGTTCTGCCTTCACCCTCCCTGACAGTTGGGATTGCCTCCTTCCTTCAGCCTGAATCCAGGGCTGTATGGGTGTGAGACACAGACAGATTCTGTTTCCAGTGATGTAAGTTCTGCCAGCTCTGAAAGCCAACAGCCTGAGTGTTGAACAGACAAAGACAGGAGAAATGCAGATACCATTCAAGATTAGTATATGTGTGGAGACGTCTGTGTTTTTTTTGATTTGCTTGTTTTTTTTTTTTTTTTTTTTTTTTTTTTGAGACGGAGTCTCACTCTGTTGCCCAGGCTGGAGTGCAATGGCACAGTTTTGGCTCACTGCAACCTCCGCCTCCTGGGTTCAAGCGATTCTCCTGTCTCAGTCTCCCAAGTTGCTGGGTTACAGGTGTGCACCACCACTCCTGGCTAATGTTTGTATTTTTAGTAGAGATGGGGTTTCACCATGTTGACCAGGCTGGTCTTGAAACCCTGACCTCAGGTGATCCGCCGGCCTCGACCTCCCAAAGTGCTAGGATTACAGGCGTGAGCAACCGAGCTGGCCAAGTCATGGTTTCTACACTGGAAGAAGTGATATTGAGGTGAACGGTCAGCTTCCACACCATCTTGGGTTCCATGGCAGAAGACCTGTTCCTGATTCAACCCACAGGAAGCATCGTGAGTGCCTGAGGGGAGAAATGTCCCAGAGGACAGCCAGAGACAAAACGGGGAGGCAGAACTATCATCCTCAGCCCTGGAACCTCTGCTGTGTAACTCAGCCAAAGGAGATGCCAAATCAGAGTGGCCGTTTAGCAGCGCCACACTGTTAGTGGGATGTTCCACGAGCCCCGTGGGCACAGACCCTTAGCCAGCTAGCTCTTCCATACTGGCAAGATATCACCTTTGGGACCTCCCTCATTCTGGATGGGCAGCACTCTGATCATTTGCTTGAGACAAGGTAAAGTTGGGCTTAAGGCACCATCTAATGCTGTAAAGATGGTAGTGGCCTAGCAGAAAAAAATGACATTCAACAGGTAAATTACACAAAATCTGTAAGCAAACATAAAAATCCAAACAAGCCAGACAGAGAAGACTAGAATAAATAACGAATCCTTTAGGTATTTTATTTTATTTCTGGCTGTTGTGAACGAGATTACTTTATCGATTTTTTTTCAGAGTGTTCACTGTTGGCATGTAGAAATGCTAGATTTATGTGTGTTGATTTTCTATCCTGCAACTTGCCTGAATTTACTCATCAGTTTGAAGAGTTTATTGGTGGAGTCTTTAGGTTTTTGCAAATACAAGATCATGTCATCTGCAAACAAGCAGAAAGATAATTACCAGAGGCTGGAAAGGGTAGTGAGGGGTGAGGGAGAGGTGGGGATAATTAATGGGTCCAAAAAAAGATATTTAGATAGAATGAACTGTCGGCTTCCCTGGTTTTGAGACTTTCAGACTTAGACTGAGCCACTCCAAGCTTCTCCCTTTCTCCAGCTTTCAGTTCTTCCCCATTCAGTATGATACTAGCTGTGGGTCTGTATGTCCTTCTATACCCAGTTTTGTGAGGGCTTTCGCCATGAAGGAATTCTGAATTTTATCAAATGGTTTTTTCAGCATTAATTGAAATGATCATATGGTTGTTATCCTTCATTCTGTTGATATGGTGTATCACATTGATTGATTTGCATATGTTGAACCGTCCTCGGATCCCTGGGATATATCGCACTTGGTCATGATGATGACTGAATGCCTTTCCTCTAAGACTTGGAACACAACAAGGTGCCCTTGTTCACCACTTTTGTTCACCATGGTACTGGAAGTCATAGCTAGAACAATCAGACAAGAGAAAGAGATAAAAGGCCTCCAAATTAGAAAGAAAGAAGTCAAATTATCAACGTATTGTTGAATTCGGTTTGCTAGTATTTGCTGAAGGTTTTTGCATCAATATTCATCAGGGAAATTGGCTTGTAGCTTCCTTTTTTTTTTTTTTAAATGTATCTTTGTCTGGTTTTTGGTATCAGGCTTATACTGGCCTGGTAGAATGAGTTTGGAAGTATTCCCTCTTCCTCTGTTTTTCAGAATAGTTTGAGTAGGATTAGTATTAGCTCTTCTTGATTATTTTTTGTTCTTTTTTGATGTGGGTACTTTTAGATATACACTTCTCTCTTTGTACTGCTTTGGCTGTATCCCATAGGTCTGGGTATGTTTTGTTTCCATCGTCATTCATTTTAAGAAATTTTTAAAGTTTTATAGTTTCTAAAATGTCTGTAGTTATTGATCTCTAGTTTTATTCCATTGTGGTCAGAGAAGATGTCTAATATTATTGGAATTTTTTGAATGTTTTAAAACTTGTGACCTCTCCCTCTCCCTCTCCCTCTCCCTCTGGCTCTCCCTCTCCCTCTCCCTCTCCCTCTCGCTCTCTGTCTCCCTCTTTCTACCGTCTCCCTCTCTTGCGGAGCCTGGACTGTACTGCCATGATCTCGGCTCGCTGCAACCTCCCTGCCTCGGGCTCTGGTGATTCTCCTGCCTTGGCCTGCCGAGTGCCTGGGATTCCGGGCACGTGCCGCCACTCCTGACTGGTTTTTGTGTTTTTGGTGGAGACGGGGTTTTGCCCTGTTGACCGGGCTGGTCTCCAGCTTCTGGCCTCGGGTGATCTGCCCGCCTCGGCCTCCCGAGGTGCTGGGATTGCAGATGGAGTCTCGCTCACTCAATGCTCAATGTTGCCCAGGCTGGAGTGCAGTGGTGTGATCTCGGCTCGCTACAATCTCCACCTCCCAGCCGCCTGCCTTGGCCTCCCAAAGTGCTAAGATTACAGCCTCTGCCCGGCCGCCACCCCATCTAGGAAGTGAGGAGTGTCTCTGCCTGGCCGCCCATCGTCTGGGATGTGAGGAGCGCCTATGCCCGGCTGCCCCATCTGGGAAGTGAGGAGCACCTCTGCCCGGCCACCCCATCTGGGAGGAAGTGAGGAGCGCCTCTGCCCGGCCCCTAATGGGAAGTGAGGAGTGCCTCTGCCTGGCCGCCCCTGTCTGGGAAGTGAGGAGCGCCTCTGCTCGGCCGCCACCCTGTCTAGGAAGTGAGGAGCGTCTCTGCCTGGCCGCTCATCATCTGGGATGTGAGGAGCCCCTCTGCCTGGCCGCCCCGTCTGGGAAGTGAGGAGCGCCTCTGCCTGGCCGCCCCGTCTGGGAGGAAGTGAGGAGCGCCTCTGCCTGGTTGCCCCGAATGGGAAGTGAGGAGCGCCTCTGCCCAGACGCCCCGTCTGGGAGGTGAGGAGTGCCTCTGCCCGGCTGCCCCATCTGGGAGGTGAGGGGCGTCTCTGCCTGGCCACCACCCCGTCTGGGAAGTGAGGAGTGCCTCTGCCTGGTCGCCACCCCATCTGGGAGGTGAGGGGAGTCTCTGCCTGGCCGCCCTGCCTGGGAAGTGAGGGGCGCCTCTGCCCAGACGCCCTTCGTCTGGGAGGTGTGGAGCGCCTCTGCCCGGCCGCCCTGTCTGGGAGGTGAGGGGCGTCTCTGCCCGGCCGCCCCATCTGGGAGGTGGGGAGCACCTCTGCCCGGCCGCCGCCCCGTCTGGGAAGTGAGGGGCGCCTCTGCCCGGCCACTCTTCGTCTGGGAGGTGAGGAGCGCCTCTGCCCGGCCGCCCTTCGTCTGGGAGGTGGGGAGCACCTCTGCCTGGCCACCCCGTCGGGGAAGTGGGCACCTCTGCCCAGCCACCCCATCTGGGAGGTGAGGGGCATCTCTGCCCGGCTGCCCTGTCTGGGAGGTGAGGAGCGCCTCTGCCTGGCTGCCCCGTCTGGGAAGTGGGGGGTGCCTCTGCCCTGCCGCTCTTCGTCTGGGAAGTGGGGAGCGCCTCTGCCCAGCCGCCCCGTCTGGGAGGTGGGGAGTGCCTCTGCCTGGCCGCCCCATCTGGGATGTGAGGAGCACCTCTGCCCGGCCGCCACCCCCTCTGGGAGGTGAGGAGCGCCTCTGTCTGGCCGCCACCCCGTCTGGGTAGTGAGGTGTGCCTCTGCCCGGCCGCCCCGTCTGGGAAGTGAGGAGTGCCTCTGCCAGGCCGCCCCATCTGGGATGTGAGGAGTGCCTCTGCCAGGCCGCCCCGTCTGGGATGTGAGGAGTGCCTCTGCCAGGCCGCCCCGTCTGGGATGTGAGGAGTGCCTCTGCCAGGCCGCCCCGTCTGGGATGTGAGGAGTGCCTCTGCCAGGCCGCCCCGTCTGGGATGTGAGGAGTGCCTCTGCCAGGCCGCCCTGTCTGGGAAGTGTACCCAACAGCTCCGAAGAGACAGCGAACATCGAGAACGGGCCATGATGACGACGGCAGTTTTGTCGAAAAGAAAAGGGGAAAATGTGGGGAAAAGAAAGAGAGATCAGATTGTTACTGTGTCTGTGTAGAAAGAAGTAGACATAGGAGACTCCATTTTGTTCTGTACTGAGAAAAATTCTTCTGCCTTGGGATGCTGTTAATCTATAACCTTACCCCCAACCCGGTGCTCTCTGAAACATGTGCTGTGTCCACTCAGGGTTAAATGGATTAAGGGCGGTGCAAGATGTGCTTTGTTAAACAGATGCTTGAAGGCAGCATGCTCGTTAAGAGTCATCACCACTCCCTAATCTCAAGTACCCAGGGACACAAACAGGGCCAAAGGCCACAGGGACCTCTGCCTAGGAAAACCAGAGACCTTTGTTCTCGTGTTTATCTGCTGACCTTCTCTCCACTATTATCCTATGACCCTGCCACATCCCCCTCTCTGAGAAACACCCAAGAATGATCAATAAATACTAAAAAAACAAAACAAAACAAAATTAGCCGGGCATGGTGGCGCATGCCTGCAGTCCCAGTTACACAGGAGGCTGAGGCAAGAGAATCACTAGAACCCGGGAGGCAGAGGTTGCAGGGAGCTGAGATCATGCCACTGAACTCTAGCCTGGGCAACAGTGGAGACTCAGTCTCAAAAATAAATAGCCAGGTGCGGTGGCTCACCCCTGTAATCCCAGCACTTTGGGAGGCCGAGGTGAGCGAATCACAAGGTCAGGAGTTCGAGACTAGCCTGGCCAACATGGTGAAACCCTGTCTCTACTAAAAATAAAAAAAAATTAGCTGGGCATGGTGGCGCGTGGCTATAATCCCAGCTACTTGGGAGGCTGAGGCAGGAGAATTGTTTGAACCCAGGAGGCAGAGGTTGCAGTGAGCTGAGATTGCACCACTGCACTCTAGCCTGGGAGCCCGGGTGACAGTGCAAGACTCCATCTCAAAAAAAAAAATAAATAAAATAAAAATAAACAAACAAACAAACAAAAAAACTTGTGACCTCACATGGTCTGTCCTTAAGAATGATCCGTGTGCTGAGGAAAAGAACGTGCATTCTGCAGCCATTGGATGAAATGTTTTGTAAATATGTATTAGATCCGTTTGCTCTATAGTGCAGATTAAGTCTGATGTTTCTTTGTTGATTTCATGCCTGGAAATCAACTCTAATGCTGAAAGTGAAATGTTGAAGTCTCCAGCTATTATTGTATCGGGGTCTCTCCCTCTCTTTAGCTCTGGTAATATTTGCTTTCTACATATGGGTGCTCCAGTGATGGGTGCATATATGTTTATAATTGTTACATCCTCTTGCTCAATTGACCCCTTTATCATTATATGATGACCTTCTTTATCTCTTCTTATAGTCTTTGTCTTGAAATCTATTTTGTCTGACATAAGTATAGCTACTGGTTCTCTTTTTTGGTTTACATTGGCATGGAATATTTCTTTCCTTCCCTTTATTTTCCATCTATGTTTGTCTTTATAGGTGATGTGTGTTTCTTAAAGGAAACAGATCATTGGGTCTTTTAAAAATATTTATTCAGCTACTTTATGTCATTTGATTGGAGAGTTTAGCTCATTTACATTCAATGTTACTATCAATGAGTAAGGACTTGCTCCTTCCAATTTGTTATTTCCTTTCTGGTTGTTTTGTAATGTTCTTTTCCTGCTTCTTTTCCTCCTGCCTTCCTTTTAGAGAAGATGATTTTCTCTGGTGGTAAAATTTAATTTCTTGCTTTTTATTTTTTATGTATCCATTTTATGTTTTTCCACTTGAGGTTACCATGAGGCTTCCAGATACTATTTTATAACCCATTATTTTAAACCGATGACAACTTAGCACTGATTGTATACACAAACAAACAAGTGAAAAGATAACTTATGAAAATTTAACACTTTAACTTCATCTGCCCACTTTTTAACTTTTGTTGTTTCTCTTTATGTCTTATTGTACTCTCTATGACTTGAAGAGTTCCCATAGTTATTAATTTTTTTACACAATGCTTTTTTGTGTGTAGTTCGTTGTCAAAATTTGGTGTTCCTGCAGGGGGAACAACCAATGGAGGCTTCCATTCCAACTTCTTGCTCCACCCTCCCAATTGCATTCCTCAACTTCACAATTTCAGCTTGATTCCTTTTAACTACTTCAATGCCATTGTTAAATTTATCTGATAGATTTCTGAATTCCCTCTGTGTGTTATTTTGAATTTCTTTCACTTGCCTCAAAACAGCTATTTTGAATTACTTGTCTCAAAGGTCACATATCTTTATTCTCCAGGCCTGGACCCTGGTGCCTTCTTTAGTTCATTTGGTGAGGTCATGTTTACCTGGATGGTCTTGATGCTTGTGGCTGTTCATCGGCGCCTGGGCATTGAAGAGTTAGGTATTTATTGTAGTCTTTGCAGTCTGGGCTTGTTTGTACCATCTTTCTTCAGAAGGCTTTCCAGATATTCAAAGGGAGCTGGGTGTTGTAATCTAAGTTGTATCTGCATTAGGGGTATCCCAAGCCTAGTAACACTGTGGCTTTTGCAGACTTGTAGAGGTACTGCCTCGGTGGTCTTGGATAAGACCCAGAAGAATTCTCTGAGTTACCAGACAGAGACTCTTGTTTTCTTCCCTTATTTCTCCCAAACAAACAAAGTCTCAGTCTCTCTCTCTCTGTCTCTCTCTCTCTGTCTCTCTCTCTCTGTCTCTCTCTCTCTTTCTCTCTCTCTCTTGCTGTCTCTCTGTCTCTCTCTCTCTCACCCCCACCCCCATTTCTCGCTCTCGCTCTCCCTCTTGCTCTCATTCTATCTTGCTCTCTCTTCCTCTTGCTCTCTCTCTGTGCTGAGACACCTGGAGCTGCAGGTGGGGTGACACAATCCCCACTGTGGCCACCACTGGGGCCTTGCTGAATCAGGCCTGAAGCCAACACAGCACTGGTCTTGCCCATTACCTGGCTGTAACCAATACCTGACTACTGCCTATGTTCACTCAAGGCTGGAGGACTCTACAATAAGCAGGTAGCAAAGCCAGCCAGGCCTTTGTCCTTCCCTTCAGGGTGGCTAGTTCCCCCAGACCCCAGGTTGGCTTAGAGATGCCTCCGGGAGACAGGGACCAGAGTCAAAAATTTTAGAAATTTACCTTGTGCTCTACACTATTGCAACTAAGCTGGCATTCAAACCACAATACAAAGTCCTTCCCACTCTTCCGTGCCCGTTCCACAGGCAGAGAAGCCTCTCGCTGTGGCCACCACCACTGCAGGCCCACAGAGACTATTGCCAGGCTACTGCCTGTGTTCACTTAAGGCTGAAGGGCTTCTCAGTCAGCTTGTGGTGAATACTGCTAGGCCTGGGACTCACTCTTCATGGTAATGGGCTCTCCTCTGGCCCAGGGGAGGTCCAAAAGTCCTATGCAAGAGCCAGGGCCAGGACTCAGGTACCCCAAGCCCTCACTTGCTGCTCTGCCTCACTGTGGCCAAGCTGGCGCCTACGGTGCACGGCAAAGTCCCCTATACTCTTCCTTCTGCTATTCTCCCAGAGAAACTGTCTCTGCCCATAGCCACCACAGCTGGGAATGCCCTGGGTCTCCCCTGAAGCCAGCATGTCTTAGAGTCTCACCCAGGGCCCATGGTAAACTACCTGGGTATCATTGCAGGTTCCTCAGGGCCCAAGGGCCCTTTAGTCAGCAGGTGATGAATCCTGTCAGGGCTGAGTCCTTCCCTTCAAGGCAGCAGATTTGCTTCTGGCCCAGGGTGTGTCTAGAAATGTCATCCACAAGCTAGACCCTGAAATGGGGGCCTCAGGACTCTGCCCAGTGCCCTATCCTTCTGCAGCTAAGTTTATATCCAAGATGCAAGACAAAGTCTTCTTTACACTTCCCTCTCCTCTCCTCAAGTGAAAGAAGGCATCTCTCCTGGAGCTGCGAGCTGTGCTGCTGGGGTTGGGAAAGCCATGGTACATGTATTCCCTCAGCCACCTTGGCTGGTGTCTCACTAGGTCGTGTGCTCCCCATGTCCTCTGGCTCTGAGCCCAGCACAGCACTAGGAGTTGCAGACCCTGTGGCCTAGACCACCTTTCAAGTTTATTTATAACCCCTGATCTTGCAGTGGCGAGGCTTCCCAAAACCCAAGTTCTGACTTCTGTGATGTGTAAATTCCCTCTGGCTACGGCTGGTCTAAATGCTCCCTCTGTGGGCATCAGCCAACTTCAGACCAGTTTTGCTTTCTGCTGTGACAGGGCAGCAGTGAGTACAGTGCAAGTCCCATAGGCATTGGGTCATGGTGAGTAATCCCTTAATTAAACAGCAGAAAAACATAAAAAATTAATGTGCTATGAAATTTGGTTTGCTAGTACTTTGTTGAGGATTTTTGCTTCTATGTTCATCAGGGATATGGGCCTATAATTTTCTTGTAGTGTCCTCGTCTGGCTTTGGTGCTAGGGTAATGCTGGCCTTGTAAAATGAGTTTGGAAGTATTCCTTCTTCTTCAGTTTATTGGATGAGTTTGAGAAGGATTGATCTTAATCCTACTCTAAATGTTTGGTAGAATTCAACAGAAAGCCATCAGGTCCTGGGCTTTCCTTTGATGGGTGACTTTCCATTACTGATTCAATCTCTTCACCCAGTTTTTGTCTGTTCAGATTTTTTATTTCTTTACAATTCAGTCTTGGTATGTTGTATGGATAAAAGACATTTATTCATTTATTCTGGGTTATCCAATTTGTTGGCATACAATTGTTCATAATAGTCTCTTATAATCCTTTTAATTTCTGTAGCATTGGTTGTAATGTCTCTGATTTCATTTCTGTTTTTAGTTAGTCTTTCCTCTTTTTTTCTTAATTTAGCTAAGCATTTGTCAATTTTGTTGATATTTTTTAAAAAACCATCCCACATTTGTTGCTATTTTCTATTGTTTTCCAAGTCTCCATTTTATTTATTTGTGCTCTGATGTTTATTATTACCTTCCTTCTACTATCTTTGGGCATAAACTCTCTTCTTTTTCTCGTTCCTTGAGGTGTAACATTTGGTTGTTATTTGAAATCTTTGTTGTTTTTTGAGGTGAGCAATTACTGCTATAAACTTCCCCTTAAAATTGTGTTTTTCCTGCATTTCTCATGTCTTGGTATGTTGTGAGTCCATTTTCATTTGTCTCAAGATAGTTTTTAATTTCCCTTTTAAGTTGTTCTTGGATCAGTTGGTTGTTTGGGAACATGTTGTTTCATTTGTATTTGTGAGTTTTCTAAAATTCCTCCTATTATTGATTTCTAAATTCATAGCATTGTGGTCAGAAAAGATATTTGATATGATTTCAATCTTCTTAAATGTGTTGACTTGTTTTGTGGCCTAACATATAATCTATCCTGGAGAATGTTCAGTGTGCACTTGAGAAGAATGTGTCTTCTGCTGCTGTAAGATGGAACATTCCGTATATGTCTGTTAGGCCCGTTTGTTTCATCGTGTTCAAACCCACTGTTTCCTTACCAGTTTTCTCTCTGAATTTCCATTGTTGACAATGGGATAGTGAAGCCTCCTCCTACTGTTGTATTGCAGTGTATTTCTCCCTTCAGATGTATGATTATTTGCTTTACATATTTAGATGCTCTAAAGTTAGGTGTGTATGTGTTTATAATTATTATAGACTCTTGATGAATCGACCCCTTTATTATCATATAATGACTTTCTTTGTCTCATTTTGTAGTTTTTGACTTAAAGTCTATTTTGTCTCATACAAATATGGCCACACCTGCTCTCCTTTGTTTCCTATTTGAATGACATGTGTTTTTCCATCCCTTCACTTTTAGTCTATGTGTGTCCTAAAGGTGCAGTGGGTCTCTCATAAGCATCATATGCTTTTGCCTTTTTTTTTTTTTTTCCCCATTTAGACTTGCTATGTCTTTGGAGAATTTAATCCATTTACATTCAAGTTAATTCTTGATAGGCAAGGACTTACTGTTGCCTCTTTGCTCATTGTTTCTGGTTGTTTTGTGGATTCCTTGTTCCTTTCTTCTTTTGCTGTCTGCCTTCATGATCAAGTGGTTTTCAATAGTGATATGCTGCGATTCTTCACTTTTTATCTTTCGTGTATCTACTATAGATTTCTGTTTTATGAATACCATGAGGCTTACATAAAATATCTTATGGTTATAACAGACTACTCTGAGCTGATAACAACTTAACTTTGATTACACACAAAAACTACAATTATGCTCCTTAACTCCCTGTATATTTTATGTTTTTGATGTCACTATTTACATCTTTTTTAAATTCCATATCCCTTAACACATTTTTGTAGCTATACTTTCACAAATAGTTTTGTCTTTTAACCTTCATACTAAAGATATAAGTGATTTATACATCGTCATTACAATGAGTATTCTGGGTTTGAACATGTACTTATTTTACTCATAAATTTTCTTCTTTCATATTTTCTTATTACCAATTAACATCTTTTTCTTGGCCAGGTGCGATGGCTCGTGCGTGTAGTCCCAGCACTTTGGGAGGCTGAGGCAGGCTGATCACTTGAGCTCAGGAGTTGGAGACCAGCCTGGGCAACATAGTGAAACACTGTCTCCACACAAAATAGAAACAAACAAAAAAATTAGCTGGGCATGGCAGTGCATGCCTGCAGTCCCAGCTTCTTGGGAGGCTCATGTAGGAGGTTTACTTGAGCCTGGGAAGTCGAGGTTGCAGTGAGCCACGATCACACCACTGCACTCCAGTCCAGGTGACAGAGTGAGATCCTGTCTCAAAACAAACAAAGAAACATACAAAAAACAAAACCCAAATAACAAACAGACTCAAAAACCAGATCGTTTTCTCTCAGCTTGAAGAATTCCCTCTAGCATTCCTTGTAATGCAGTGAACTACTTTAGGAAGATTATTTTTAATTCCTTCTTAGAAAGTTTCTAAATCTCTCTTCTTTAGGGTTGATCAGTGAAGCTTTACTTTGTTCCTTTGGTAGTGTCATGTTTCCCTGATTGATTGTGACCTTTGTGGCTGTACATTGGCTTCTGTGCATTTAAAGAAGTAGGGACTTGGGCCAGGCGCGGTGGTTCATGCCTGTAATCCCAGCACTTTGGGAGGCAGAGGTGGGTGGATCACTTGAGGTCAGGAGCTCGGGACCAGCCTGGCCAACATGGTGAAACCCCGTCTCTACTAAAAATACAAAAAGTTAGCTGGGCGTGGTGGTGGGCGCCTGTAGTCCCAGCTACTCAGGAGTCTGAAGCAGGAGAATCACTGGAACCCGGGAGGCGGAGGTTATAGTGAGCTGAGATTGTGCCATTGCACTCCAACCGGAGCAACAATAGCTGCGGTTAGGAATAAACAACAATAGCTCCATTAGGAAAAAAAAAAAAAAAAAAAAAAGGAAAAAGAAAAACCAAAAAAGAAGTGGGGACTTGCTCCAGTGCTTGATGACTGGCTCTGGCTGGGAAAGCCCTTCACGGTTCAGTCCATCCAGAGATTCTGGGAAGACCATCTGGCATGGTGCATGGATAGACTTGCTGCTGGATTTCTTGGGAAAGCTGGCTTGGTGAGCAGGTATGGTGGAGCTGGAACCTGAGTTCATGGATTTGGGCCTGGGTCCTGGTGCCATGGGGACCAACCTGGCTATTGGGGCCAGTCTTGCCCTGGCGTGGGCCTGAAGCCCGAGGCCATGTGGGTCAGACTTCCTCTTAGCCTGTCTGGCGCCTGGCATGGGCCTGGAGCCTGAGTCTGAGAGGGCCAGCCTGGGGTCTGAGGCCAAAGGTGCTAGTGTGGCACTGGGCAAGCCTGGAGCCTTTAATCCTTGGGGGCTGGCCTGGAAGCTGGCTTTGTAGGTTCTGGCCTGGTGCTTGAGGTCACAGGGGTCAGCCTGGAGCTGGAGTGGGTACAGAGACTAGGTCTGTGGGTGCCAGCCTGAAGTCTGAAACTACAGAAGACGGCCTATCATTGAAGCAGACCAGGTCGAGGGTCACAGGGGTTGTCCTGACACTGAGGAGGATCTGGAAGCTGGGTCCACATGTCCAGGCCTGAAGTCTGGGGCTGTAGGGACTGGTCTGCAGGTGATGTCTGCATGTGTCAGCCTGGAGTCTGGGGCTCTGGAGGCTGGCTTGGAATCTAAGGCTGTAGGGCCACCTTGGCCCCATGGCAGGGCTGGTGGCTCATTCCATGGGTGCCAGCCCAGAGCCTGGGGCTGTGAGGCTAGCCTTGCCCCAACGCAGGCTTGGTTCATGGGTGTACCCAGAGTCTAGGGCTGAGGGAGCGGCCTGGCCATGGGACCAGTCTGGAGCCTGGGAAAACCAGGGCCTGCCTGGTGATGAGGTGGGCCTGGAGCCCGAGACTGTGGGGGGCTGGACCGGCACTGGGGTGGAGCTGAAGACAGTGTGCGTGGGTGACCTGGAGCCTGGGACTGCAAGGACAAGCCTGGAGCCTGAGTCTGTGGGGGTCAGCCTATGCTAAATTGATTTACAACAAGAGCGCCAAGGCCATTCGATGGGGGAAAGAATCGTTTCTTAAAGAAATGGTGCTAGGATAACTGGTTATCCACATGCCAAAGAATGAAGTTGGACCCCTACTTCATACCATATACCATATACAAAAATTAACTCAAAATGAATCAAAAACATAAATGTAAGTGTTAAAATTAATACTTTTAGAATAAAACACAGGGGTAAGTCATATCTTTGTATTTGGCATTGGATTCTTAGAGTATGACACCCAAAGCACAGGCAACAAAACTAAAAATGATAAATGGGGCTTCACTGAAATTGAAAACTTTTGTGGATCAGTGGACATTGTCAAGAAAGTGAAAAGATAACAGAATGGGAGAAAAACCTTTGCCAATCATGTATCTGATCATGTAACATCCGGAATATATTAAAACGTACAAAAAACCCGTCAAGAAAAGGCAACCCCATTTTTGAAATAAGCAAAGGATTTAATAGACATGTCTCCAATGGAGATACACAAATAGTTAAGAAATGCATGTAAAGATACTCAACATCATTAGCTATTAGGAAAATGCAAATCAAAACAATAAGGTACTATTCCACGTCTACCGGGATGGTCATACTTTTTTCAAGATGGGCAATAAGAATTGTTGAATAGGATGTGGAGAAATTAGAACTTTCATACATGGCTGATGGGAATGTAAAATAATTCAGCCACTGTGGAAAACATTTTGGTGGTTCCTAAAAGGTTAAACATAGAATTAACATGTGACTTGAGAATTACTCTCATAGGTATATAGTCAAAAGAACTGAAAACAGGTGCTCAAAGACATACTTGTACATGCACGTTCGTAGCAGCATTATTTCAAAAGTCAAAAGGTGGGAATAACCCAAATATCCATCAACTGATGAATGGATAAACAAGCTGTGGTCTATGCATACAGTGAAATATTATTCAGCCATAACAAGGAATGAAATACTGATAGATGCTACAACGTGGATGGGCCTTGAAAACATCATGCTAAGGAAAGAAGCCAAGGCCGGGTGCAGTGGCTCACGCCTGTAATCCTAGCACTTTGGGAGGCTGAGATGGGTGGATCACTTGAGGCCAAGAGTTCGAGACCAGCCTGGGCAACATGGCGAAATGCCGTCTCCACAATAAATACAAAAAAAAAATTAGCCAGACGTGGTGGTGCGTGCCTGTAGTCCCAGCTACTCGGGAGGCTGAGGTGGGAGGATCCCATGAGCCCAGGGGGTCGAGGCTGCAGTCAGCCTTGTTTCCACCATTGCACTCCAGCCTGAGTGAGACAGGGAGACCGTGTCTCAAGAAAAAAAAAAAAAAAAAAAGGAGAGAGAGAGTGAGAGAGACACGAAGGTCACATATTATATTATTTGATTCATATGAAATATCCAGAATAGGTAAACCCATAAAGTCAGAAACTAACTTAGTGGGTGCCTGAGCCCAGGAGGAAGAGGATGGGAAGTAGTTTCTTAATGAGCATGCGAATTTCTTTGGAAGTGATGAAAATGTTCCAAACTAGATGGAGGCAGTACTTGCACAACATTATGAAAATACTGAATGCTGCTGGACTGTTCATTCTGAAAGGTTAATGCTATAAAAATTTCTCCTCAAAAAATAAATTTAAAAATGTATTGGCAATACATCTAGGGTCTGTTTCTGGAATCTCTGTCTTTTCTGCTGACTTATATCTACCCCATTGCTAATAACATCCTTGTCGTAATTAGTGTAGTACTCTGGTGAGTCTTAGAAGTCAGATTTGGGAGGCCAAAGCAGGAGGACCACTTGAGCTCAGGAGTCCAAGACCAGCCTGGGCAACATAGCGAGACCTGGGAAACATAGTGAGACCCCATCTCTACAAAAAAATAAAAATATTCGTCAGGTGTGGTGGTGCACACCTGTAGTCCCAGCTACTCAGCACGCTGAGGCGGGAAGATCATTTAAGTCTGGGAGTTAAAGGCTGCAGTGAGCCATGATTGTGTCACTGCACTCCAGCCTGGGAACAGAATGAGACTCTGTCTCAAAAAAAAAAAAAAAAAAAAAAAAAAAAGTAGGTAAAGTGATTCCTTCAACTTTATTCTTTTTTATTTTATTTTATTTTATTTTTTTGAGGTGGAGTCTTGCTCTGTCATCCAGGCTGGAGTGCAGTAGCACGATCTCAGCTCACTGCAACCTCCACCTCCCGGGTTCAAGCAATTCTCCTGCCTCAGCCTCCCGAGTAGCTGGGACTACAGGCGCACACCATCACACCCAGCTAAGTTTTGTATTTTTAGTAGATACAGGGTTTCACCATGTTGGCCAGGATGGTCTCGATCTCTTGACCTCATGATCCGCCCGCCTGGACCTCCCAAAGTGCTGAGATTACAGGTGTGAGCCACTGCACCATGCCTAAAATTGTTTTAATGATTGTAGTTCTTTTGATTTTTAGTATAAATTTTAGAACCATGTTGTGTATGTCTACAAAAAATCCTACTATCACTTTAATTGCATTGCGTTAAATATATAGATCAGTTCAAGGAGAACTCATATATTTATTGAGTGTTTCCATTCGTAAACACAGTACACTCATGTGTATTCCATTCATTTAGGCCTTCCTGGATTTCTTTCATTAGCATTGTGTAATTTTCAGAACGTAGAATTTCTTTGATTCATGCCGAGGTATTTCATTGTTGCAGTTATTGTAAATGTCACTGGTTTTTAAATGTTTTGTTTCTATTTCTATACTTACTTTATATAGAAATACAGTTGATTTTTGTGTATTGAGCAAATACACTCTACCTTTAGTAAACTCACTTATGAGTTCTAGGAATTTTTTTTTTGTAGATTCCATGGAATTCTCGGCATAGATAATAATGTCGTATGTGAATACCAGGCAGTTTTATTTCTTCTTTTCCTATCTGAAAGTCTTTTAATTCTATTTCTTGAATTATTACAATAGGAAGGACTTCTAAGTGTGATGTTGAATAGAAGTGGCAAGAGTAGACATCCTTGTATTGTTCATGAACTTAGGAGGAAAACATTCAGGTGTTCACTATTAACTATGATATTAGCTGTGGGTTTTCTTGCAGATTCCCTTTATCAAGCTGAGGAAGGTCTTTTCTATTCTTAGTTTGCTGAGAGTTTATGTCTTGAATGGATATTGAATTTTGCCAAAGGCTTTTTCTACATCAATTCATATGATCATGTATTTCTTTCTTTTATTGACCATTAATATAATGGAATAAATTTATTGTTTGTTTTTAACATTCAATAAGCCCTGCATTCCTGGGATAAGCCTCACATGGTTGAGCTATATATTTTTTAGACATTGCTGGATTCAATTTGCTAATATTTTGTGATGATTTTTGCATTTATGTTCGTGAGAGTTGGTGGTCTGTCGTTTCTTGCTTGCTTGCTTCTTTTATACAGTCTTTGGGTGGTTTTGGTATCAGGGTGATCCTGGCCTCACAAAATGTGTTGACAAGTAGTCTTTACTGTTCTATTTTTGGGAAGAGATATTGTAGAATCGGTATTAATTCTTCTTTGAATGTTTGGTGGAATTTGCCAGTGAAACCACGTGGGTTGGAATATCTTCTTTGGAAGGTATTTTACTATGAATTCCATTTCGTTTTATATATAAATTTTTTTGTAGAGCTAGGGTCTCACTTTGTTGCCCAGGCTGGTCTCGGTCTTCTGGGCTCAGGCGATTCTCCCAGCTTGGCCTCCCAAAGTTCAATGTCTTTATAGGACTACTCAAGTTATTTCATATTGGGTGAGTCTTGATAATTCGTGTCTTCAAAAGATTTAGAGATTTAGTCCATTTCATGTAAGTTCTTGAATTGAGTTGTTTGTGGTATTGGGTTGGTGCAGAAGTTTTTGCTATTAAAAGTAACGACAAAAACTGCAATTACTTTTGCACCAACATTATACCATCTCTGCCTCTTTTGGGCCATTGTTAGCATGTGTCTTAGTCTGTTTTGTGTTGCTGTAACAGAACGCCTGAGACTGGATAATTTAAAAATAAAAGAGGTTGATTTAGCTCATGTTTCAGCAAGCTGGGAAGTAGGAGGAGCATGGCACCAGTAACTGCTCAGCTTCTGGTGACAGCCACCTGCTAGGCCAAAACATAGTGGAAAAGGCCAAAGGGGAAGCAGACACGTGCAAAGAGGGAAAAACCGAGGGGCATGCTGGCTTTATGACAAACCTACCGTCATGGGCACTAATCCAGTCTCACCAGAGCCGGTACTCACTCACTACCTCCAGAACGGCAGCAAGCTCTTCATGAGGGATCTGTCTCCATGACCCGAACACCTCCCACAAGGCCCCACCTTCCAACATCACCACACTGGGGATCCAATTTCCCCATAAGTTTTGGCGGGGACAGACGAATCATATCCAAACCATAGCAGTATATTTCTATATTCCCAGGATCTGGAAAGATCCCAATAAGATGAATTTTTTTTATAATGTGCATTTTTCTGTGCACTTAATGTGTAATAAAGAATGGGATGCTTGGACTTTGTCCCTGAGTCCTGGGAGATAACCTCTAATCCCTTGCAATTTCCTGAGTGACACTGTCATTCCTGATGGGTCCCATGGACCACACTTCATGGTTTATGCTAATGAGGTGAGTCATGGGAGGCCCCTAGATAGTTTGTGTGATGAGATGACTCCAAATGGAGGCTGGCCAGACCAGAAAGACCAATCATATGACTAGAGGGTTGGGGCATTGAACTATGTGATATCAGCCCAGTCACCAGAGAGAGGGAGGGAGGCTGTAGATGGAGTTAAACCAGATGGCCAACTAACAGATGGCCAACACACAGGGTTTATCTGAATTATCTCATCTGCCATTACCAGGAGAAGACATAGGGCTTATTCCCATATCAGTGATCACTCCTCAGTCTTTACTGGTTCCTCATTTTCTCTCAAAATTCTCTTTCTGGGGATGGGAGGATGTTGAAAATGTTCTATATTTTGATCTGGATGGCGGTTACATGGGTGTATAACTGTGATAAAATTGTAGACTTATGTTTCTGTGATTTGCTGTATGTAGGTAATACCTCAATTTTTAAAAGACGTCATATAAAAGTGGAAATACATGGTGCAAGCTGGAAGAAGATCTTTATCCTATATACAATTGACAAAAGATTGGTATCAATAATATATTTTGAGAACTTGTAGAAATCAATAAGAAAGACAAACAACCCATTAAGAAAATAGGCAAAAATCATGAACAGGAATTCCATAGAAGAAGGAACCTATGTGGCCAATAAACACATGAAGATATGCTCAGCTCATCAGTAGTCAGGGGAATGCTAAACATGACCTCAAGATAAATCTTGTACCCATTTGATTGGCAAAGAATAAGAAACCTAGCAACATCAAAGGTTAGAGATAACGCAGAGCAGTGGGATCTCATACAGCTTGCAACATGTTGGGAATATAAACGAACACAACCAGTTTGGAAAACAATGTGGCATCAATATATGAAGTAGGTCATTGCTAACTCAGCAATTCCTATCAATGTCCACTGGACAAGAATTTCACAGCAGCACTGGCCACGGTAGCAAAAACCTGCGACCAATGCAAATGCTCATGAACAAGAGAATGCCTAAACTGTGGTATATGCACACCATGATACACTATGTAGCAAGGCAAATGGGTGAACTGCAGTTCCATAGTCAACAATGGATAATGTTAGTATAAGTATGAAAAAAGTAATTCCCACAAGACTACATACCGTGTGACACCCTTTTCATAAGGTTCAAAATCAAGCAAAACTGAAGAGTTTAATGGCCGAGCACAGTGGCTCACGCCTGTAATCCCAGCACTTTGGGAGGCAGAGGTGGGTGGAGTGCTTGAGTCCAGGAGTTTGAGACCAGCCTGTGCAACATGGCTAAACCCCGTCTCTCCAAAAAATTAGCCAGACATCACAGCGCGCGCTTGTACTCCTAGGTACTCGGGAGACTGAGGTGGGAGAATCACCTGAGCCAGGGAGGTCGAGCCTGCAGTGAGCCAAAATCATGCTACTGCACTTCAGACCGAACAATCAGAGTGAGACCCTGTCTCAAAAACAAAAAAAGGGTATATTGTTTTATATATATACTTATTTGCAATAAAAACCAAAGGAATGCCAAGTACACAATTCAGGCTGGGGTTGCCTCTGGTGGAAGTGAAGGGATTCAGGAGGTTACAGTGAGGGGAGCTCAGAGGTAGATATACAGGTTTCTACTGATAGTCTAGTTATTGGATCGGGTAATAGGTAAATGGGGGCACATTGCATTTTAAAATAAACAAACAGGGCCTCGTATCAATCACGGGTAGCATGTTATGAAATAAGGATTATGATTAACTCAATTCTGTATTACCCAAGTCTCCTCCAAAAATCAAATGCTGCATTGACCTACTTGGACCTGGGCCTGAAATATTTGTTCTTCTCTCCTTCCAGGCTTCACACATGCTCCAGAAGCTCTTTGGTCAGGCCAGAAAGCATTTGAGTTCGACATCTCTGTATTTGTATCTATTTGAGCAGGAGGCACTAGAGCAGGGCTGCATGTCTTGCATCTGACACTGTTTAACCCAAAAGTTAGTTGGGACAGAAAGAATACCTCAGAATCCTGGAATAAACGGGGTCCCGATGATCAATACGAGTTCTACTCAGCGAATGCAGATTACAGCAAACGGAAGAAAGAATGTCCAGACTTCTAAATGAAATGTTTCCCTACAAAACAGTTTAGAATGAAGGTCTTCCAGAGGCCTTTTGCACAATTTCCTACTTAACTAGGAAATATTTCTCCTCTAAGTGCACAAAATCATGTTAGTGTATCGTGTTGGGTTTTATCACTGATTAATAAATATGTTACCCATTTATTATGAAGAACATGAGAAAGGATACAGACGAACAGCCAGATGAAAGAGATGCATAGGGCACAGGTGCACCTCCCTCCAGGAACTTCCATGTGTTCAGCTATCTGGAAGCTCCCTTACCCCAGATTCTTAAAAATATAGAGCCCCGGGGCTCAATTTCTGGTCTGATTCTTTTCTTTAACTACATTCTTGCCACAGCTGATGGAAGACCCTGGTTTCAATACTACCTACATCAGGAGCAAGACAAAGATGCTCCCTTTCACCACGGCTATGCAACGTAGTACTACAACTTTTAGTCAAAAATCTTAGGCCAGAGAAAAAAGATGAAAGGCACACAAAGCAGAAAGTAACAAGTGTGCTGTGTGTGGTGGCTCATGCTTGTAATCCTAACACTTTGGGAGACCGAGGCAGGTGGATCACATGAGGCCAGGAGTTCGAGACCAGCCTGGGCAACACGGCGAAACCCTGCCTCTACCAAAAATACGAAAGCTAGCTGGGCGTGGTGGCGACCAGCTACATCTGGGCCTGAGGCACGAGACTCGCTCGAACCCAGGAAGTCGAGGCTGCGGTGAGCTGAGATCGCACCACTGCACTCCAGCCTGGGTGACAAAATGAGACCCTATCTCAAAAAAGAAATTAAATTACCTCTCTCTGCAGATGACATGATTGTACATATATAAAGTCTTAAAATATTTTACAGAAAACCTTAAAATTCAAATGAATTTTAAGGAAAGTTGCAAAAAACAAAATCAACATGTACAAATCAGTAGCATTTCTATACACTAATAGCAAACTATCTGAAAATAAATCAAGAAAACAATACCATTTAAAACAGTTCTCAAAAACAACATAAAATACTTAGGAATAAGTTCAATCAAGGAGGTAAAAGATCTGTACACTGAAAACTATAAGACATTGATGAAAGCAATTGAGGAAGCCACAAATAAATGGAAAGCTAACCCATGATCAAGGATTGGAAGAATCAGTATTGTTAAAATGTCCATACTACTCAAAGCAATTAACAGATTCGATGCAATCCCTACCAAATTCCAACGCTAGTTTTACATACATAGAAAAAGCAATCCTGAAATTCGCAGCGAACCACAAAAGACTCCAGTTACCCAAAGCAATCTTGAGCGAAACGAACAAAGCTGGAGGAATCACAACCTGATCTCAAAATATAATAAAAGCTAGAGTAATCAAAACAGCATGGTACTGGCATACAAACAGACAAATATAATAGACTAGAAAGAATTAATGCATTTATGGTCAAGTGATTTTCAACAAAGATGCCAAGAACACACATAGGGAAAGGACTGTCTCTTCAATAAATGGTCTTGGGAAAACGGAATATCCACATGCAGAAGAATGAAATGGGACCCTTGTCTCCTATCATACACAAAAATCAAGGCAAATTGGACTCCGGATTTAAATGTAAGACCTGAAACTGTAAAACTACCAGAAGAAAACATAGGGGGAATCATCCATGGCATTGATCTGGGAAATAATTTTTCCACTATGACCCCAAAAGCATGAGCAACCAAAGAAAGAATAGAGAAATGGGATTACGTCAAACTGAAAGGCTTCTGCACAACAAAGGAAACGATCAACAGAGTGAAGAGGCAACCTACAGAATGGGAGAAAATATTCACAAACTATACATCTGATAAGGAGTTAATATCCAAAATACATAAGGAACTCAACTCAATAACAAGAAAACAAATCACCTGATTTTAAAACGTGCAAAGGATCTGAATAGACATTTCTCCAAAGACGACATACAAATGGCCAACAGTTGTATGAAAATGCTCGACATCACTTATCATCAGGGAAATGTCACAATGAGCTATCACTTCACACCTGTTAAAATGGCTATTATCAGAAAGATAAAAGAGAACAAGTGTTGGCGAGGATGTGAAGAAAAGGGAACCCTTATACACTGTTGGTGGGAATGTAAATTAGTACAGCCACTGTGGAAAACAGTATGGAGACTTTTCAAAACACTACAGATAGAACTATCCAGCAATCCCACTACCGGGTATTTATCCAAAAGAAACGAAATCAGTATATCAAAGGGATACCTACACCCCCATGTTTATTGCAGCACTCATCACAATAGCCAAGACATGGAATCAACCTAAGTGTCCATCAGTGGATGAATGGATAAAGAAAATGTGGCATATGTACACAGGAAATACAATTCAGCCACAAAAAGAATGAAATCCTTTCATTTGCAGCAACATGGATGGAACTGGAGGTCATTATGTTAGGTGAAATAAGCCAGGCACAGAAAGACAAATACCATATGTTCTCACTCATATATGGGAGGGAAAAAAGTTGATCTCCTAGAGGCAGAGAATAGAGTGATAGATATGAGAGGCTGGGAAGTGTGTGTGGATTGGAGGAAGGGGGGTTTGGAAGAAGAGAGATTGGTTGACAGGCATAAACATACAGTTAAAAAGGAATAAGTTCTAGGCTGGGCATGGTGGCTGACACCTGTAATCCCAGCAGTTTGGGAGGCCGAGGCGGGCAGTTAGCATGAGCTCAGGAGTTGCAGACCAGCCTGGACAATATAGCGAAACCCTGTCTCTATGAAAAAAAAAAAAAAAAAAAAAGTAGCCCTGCATGGTGGCATGTGCCTGTTGTCCCAGCTACTCAGGAGGCTGAGGTGGGAGGATCGCTTAAGCCTAGGAGGTTGAGGCTGCAGTAAGCTTTGATCGCGCCGCTGCACTCCAGCCTGGGGCGACAGAGTGAGAACCTGTCTCAAAAAAAAAAAAAAAAAAAAAAAAAAAAAGGAATAATTTGTAATGTTCAATAGCAGAGTAGGATGACTACAGTTAACAGCAATGTATTGCATATTTCAAAATAGAAGAGAGGACTTGAAATACCCCCAATACTAGGAATCAAAAATATTCCAGGTGATGGTTACCCCAAATATCCTGAACTGATCATTACACACTCTATGCACGTGACAAAATATCACATGTACATCATAAATATGTGCAAATCTTATGTATCCATTAAACTTAAAATTAAAAACTTATCCATAGCACTATCATTTGATTTAGTAATCCCACTACTGGATAGATGGCCAAAGAAAATGAAATGAGTATGTCAAAAATATCTGCACTTGCATATACATTGCAGCACTGTTCACAACAGCCAAGACGTGAAGTCAAACCAAGAGCCCATCAACGGATGAATGGGTAAAGCACATGTGTATATGTACACACAATAGAATAGTATTGAGCATTTTTTAAAAAATAAAAGGAAATCCTGTCATTTGTGGCAACATGAGTGAATCTGGAGTACATTATGTCGAGTGAAATAAGGCAGGCACGGCAAGACAAATACTGTATGATCTCACTGGGGTGTGGAATCTTAAAAAATCAAACTTTTTAGAAACAGAGAATAGAATGGTGGTTACCAGGGTCTGGGGCTGGGAAGGATTGGGGAGATATTGGTCAGAGGATACAAAACTTCATTTAGACAAGAAGTCTAAGTTCAAGAGATCTATTGTAGACATGGTGACTATAGTTAATAATAATGTATCCTTGAAAATTGTTAAGAGGGTAGATTTTAAGTGTTCTCACCACAGAAGATGAAAGGTATGTGAGTTCATACATATTGTAGTTAGCCTAATTTAGCCATTGCACAATGTATACGTATTTCAAATCATCATGTTGTACACTACAAATGTATACGATTGTGTCATTACAAATAAACAAAAACAAAATACAAAGAAATGAAATAAATTCCATTTGTTCAATAAAACTGATGTGATACTGGTGAAGATGTGCAGAAACTGGAACCTTTGTGCACTGTTGGTGGGAATGTAAAATGGCACAGCTGCTGTGGAAAACAGTATGGCGGTTACTCAGAAAACTAAAAAGAGAATTACCATATGATCCAGTAATTCCATTCTGTGTCTATATCGAAAAAATAGAAATCAGAGTCTCAGAGATATTTGTACATCCGTGCTCATAGCAGCATTATTCATGAGAGCCAAGAGATGGAAGCAACCCAAGTGTCCACTGATGGGTGAATACAGAAACTAAATGTGGTCCACTATTTGGCCCTTACAATGAATTACGATTTGACCTGTAAAAGGATGGAGTTCTGATACAGGCTACAACGTGGATAAAATTTTAGGACCTTATGCTATGAAATGAGCCAGTCACAAAAGGACAAATACTACATGATTCCGCCTATATACGGGATCTAAAATATTCAAACTCAGAAACGGCAGGTAGAATGGTGGTTTCCAGAGGCTGCGGGGCAGGGAAAAATGAGGAGTTGTTTAATGGGTATACATTTCAGTTTTGCAGTTGAAGACATGCTGGAGATTGGCTGCACAGCAATGCAAATATACTTAACACTACTGAACCCAAAACTGAAAAACACTTAAGATGGTAAATTTTATGTTACGTGTATTTTAACATAACTCAATAGAAAAGTGGTGTAATTTCTGTCTCTGGAGTGGGTGTCGGGGGTGCACGGCAACATATTCAAGCTTATGTACAAGGCGTTTGAGGTCGGGGCATGGAAACATACTGAGGCACTGTGTGTATGTTATTTGTGCATGAGAATGAAACTCCTTGACCCTGAAAACAGGACGGGGAGTGGAGTGTGTGGTGTGATAAGGAACGCTGAAAACAGCCTCCCGAGAATGCGGTTTGAGTGCTTTTACCAGGCCACAGGTGTCTCATGACCCGACCTCAAAAAGGCCATCTAGTGGATGTTTGTGGTCTAACAAGCCCTTTCAATGAATACTTGGCGGACAGATGCTGGGGCGGAGTCTCTTAGAAGAGCTGCCCCCGGCCCCCCTCAGCTGGATTTGTCTGAGAACTCATTCTTGGCGTTCACTGCAAGCTATAAGCTCTGCAAGTGGTGACCCCGACGTGATCGCCTTGAAGTTACGCGTGAAGGAGGAGAGCTCATTACTTTTCGGGGAATCCTGGTAAGGGACAGTCCTGACTCCCATCAGGAGGACGGGACCCATGCGTAAACTATCGCGGGTTGGGTTATCATGGGTCAGGAAATGACCAAAGAACAGAAAGTATTTTTTAAAACAGTGCAACAGCTACTTAAGGCTATCCAGTGCACTGTAGAGCCTGGAGCTCTACACAAGCTTATGCTTTTAATTTGGCAGAAATGCCCTTGGTTTCCTGATCAAGGAACCTTAGATTTAGGGTTATGAGAGCAGGTAGGTCGCTGCCTGAAAAGAGGATATGAGCAGGGTCATTTTACTAATGTTACTATTTTGACCACCTGGGCGCTGGTACGCTCTGCGTTGTATCCTCTTTATCTGCCAGATCGTGGTTAGATCGCCCATTATCTCCACCTGAAAAGAATTCAGAAGATTTGAAGGGAGAGATTCCTCTCCCCACTTCATTCCGTTCTATGGGGAATAAGGAAGAGGTTTTTTTCTAGTGAGGACAAACAGGAACCAGAACAGTGGTTGGGGGGTGGGGGTGCTCCTCTCTCTACCTCATTCCCTTCTGTAGGGCATAAGGAGGATTTTTTTTTTTTTTTTTTTTTTTAGTGAGGATAAGGACGGACGGGAGCCTTTTCCTCCCCCTGTAGAAAAGCCATTGCCCTTCTTTCCTCCACCCTTAAAAGGACCTGCATTTGTTGGCCCTGTTCAGCCAACAGCGCCTTCCATCCCCCTTAAGGAGATTGGAGGCCGCCCAAGGGACGGCTCTTAGATAAGACCCCCGGTCAGCGAACATCTGTATGATCTGTATGATTGGGTGGCTGCGTCTCCTCGACTAACTTCCCTGCTGGAGGGGTGCGTCCAGGAGGGAAGGAAAGTGGCTGATTATGATTGTCTTCCTAATATGCAAGTTCCCATTTGCTACTTCCAGCATCAGCCTTTCTGGCCTTGTCTTTTTTCTGTTTCACTGGAGTAAAAGGGGAAGTTGCATGCTGCCTCCTGGGTTTTATCCCAGATAGCTCTAGCTTTCTTGCTGCCCACAGAGGCCTGGGGCAGGAGAGTTGCTGAGATGCCATGGAGTGCACACTTGGTCACTGGCAGCCTGGGCAGGTTGCCCCTTTCTGGGTTTGTGGTGACGGAGGGAAGGCCAAAAGGCACAGACCGAGTCCCCGGGTGGCTGCAGGCAGCTCCAGCCCAGTCCTGAGGATCCGCCTCACCATGGTCACGTGCCTTAGTAACTGTGCCCAGGAAGTGGCCTGCTGCTTGCCGTGCTGCTGCTTTTCCTACTTCTGCCCTTCCCTGCCACTCCTCACATGTCTCAGTTGACGAGCAATTCCTTGTCTTCCCTGGCCCCCTAGGGAAAGGGCTGAGAAATAGTCCATGTGCACCCGGACCTTACTAGCCTAAGGTGGGCAAAGGAGTGTGGAGCAGCCCGGAGTACAGAGCCCTGGAGGAGGAGCCCACTAATAAGGGGCGCTCTCCCATAGCCATATATTAAATGCTAACTAGACTGAGGGGGACGAGCTCTGCCAGCTGCTGTCATCTTCAGAAGATAGACGCAGCAGTAAGGAGTGTTTGTTTTGCTTTTTTACAAAATGTTTAAAAACACTGTGGTTAAGAAACTTCAAAGCAGACCCTGTGCTGCATGTCTGCTCCTCCCCTGAGCCTCTCTGCTTGGGGGTGGTAAAAATAATAAAAAGCCCAGTATATTTTCAGTACCTCACCTAACAGGGTTGGCTGCAGGCGTAGGTGGCCTAGAAGATAAGGGGAGTGTTTTTCTCCCAGCCTGTTACCTTCTTGCCTCCAGCCTCCGCACTTCCACACACAGTTTACCACCCGGTCATTCTCTGGCCTCTTACTGCCGCTTGTACTCTTCCTTCCTTCCTCTCAGGGTAAGGACAGCAACAAGTGGCAGGCTATTAAAAAGAGAAGCTGCCTAAGGGGCCCAGAACGAATAGAAAGAAACTGGCCACAGCCCTACTTTCCCAAGCTCACTTCTAAGACATTCCAGCTAAAGGCTGATGCAGGAAAATGGCTAACACCAAAGGACATTTTAAAAAGCTTTTTTTTGTTTTCTTTTCTTTTTAACACACTTAAGCTAACTCAATGCAGGTTTATTATCCTGGCGACTTGCAGTCACTTTCTAATGGCTTTCAAGGGCCAAAATATAGTAAAAATCACTTAAAATATCCATCCTTTCCATGCCTTAGTTTAACAGGTAGGCTTTATCTTTTGCCATTTCGGTATTTTATATGTTATGTACCTGTCTCATAATCCCTCTAAACTTATACAAAAGACTACAGATATAATAGCTTCTCTTCTCATAAAAGGACGCCAACGTTGCGTCCAGCTGTCAGGATAAGACCCTGCTACTCTTTTCCTACCTTTAAGCAAGGAACAATTTCACACTCTCTTAGCTTGTGATCTTGATTGGCAAGTAGCAATGGCTGTCTTTATTGGTAATATCAGCTTTCATTTACCAGCCTCTAAGCTCCTGAACTTTTTACAAACTGTACCTGTTTAATTTGTATGTATTGTTGTCTCTGAGCCTTTACTTCATGCCACCACTGTCTTTACAGATGGTTA
The DNA here is from genome assembly GCF_000001405.40 of Homo sapiens. NCBI lineage: Eukaryota > Metazoa > Chordata > Mammalia > Primates > Hominidae > Homo > Homo sapiens. The sequence continues at coordinate 71,699,864 of NC_000023.11, forward strand.
AAAAAAAACCCAAAAACTGAAAAAGCAGCTATAGTGTGGCAAGATGCCATGCAGAACTGGCAGTACAAAATCCAGGAGCATTTTAAAAACTATGCAACAGGCGGAATTAGGTGCCCTGATATTGGCCTTACAAACTTTTCCTCACCAAGACATAAATATCGTTGGTGATTCCGCTTATGTGGTGTATAGTATTACTCATTTAGATCTTGCACATGTGAAGGGCATTACTAATAAACCCCTATTAGCTTTGTTTCTTGCAGCGCAAGAGCTCCTCTGTGCCTGTCATCACCCTCTTTACATCACACATATTCGCCGTCATTCTGGGCTACCTGGTCCTTATCAGAAGGGAATGCTTGAGCTGATGCTCTGGTACGACCACAGATGTGCTTTGCAAATTCTCCTGCTTTTTTGCAAGCTCAAGCTGATCATGTTGTTTTTTCATCGGAACGCCCGCCGTCTTAAACAACAGCTTCATTTGACACTTACTCAAGCTTGCATGATTATTAAAACTTGTCCTAATTGCCAACAGCATTCTCTTTCCCCCTTTTCCTTAGGGCTTAGTGCCAACCTACGAGGTCTGGTGCCTAATGCTATCTGGCAAACTAATGTCACTCGGTGTCCACCCTTTGGACGTTTTAAATTTCTCCATGTTACCGTGGACACATATACAGGCCTAATACATGCTACCTCCCAGACAGGAGAAAAAACTAAAGATGCAATCGCTCATTTGTTTAAATCTATGATAACTCTAAGCCTTCCACACACTATAAAAACTAATAATGGACCTTCCTATCTTAGTGCTCGATTTACATATGCATTGCAACTTTGGCACATGCAACATAAAACTGATATTCCTTATAACTCAACCAGTCAGGCCATTGTTAAACGAGCTCATCAAACTCTTAAAGTATATCTTAATTTAAAAAGGGCGGGGGGGAATATGGGGCTCTCTTCTAGAGAACAGGACCAGTCGTTGGAGAACCAACCAACAATGATGGTGATGACTCGGAAGGCACCTGACATCACCTGGGGACAGCTAAAGAAATTGAATCAACAAGCATCTATCCAGCTTGCCGCCGTGGAAGCCCCTGCAACTGCAGACAATCGGTTTCTTACATATCTGGTGGCAATTGGGGAAACTTCTGAGAAAGTAAGACAGACATGGATGTTGGGGTGGCAGGTAATTCTTGTCCTTTGCTAAGTGGGATCAGCTTAAGGACATGTTTATTGGAGTCATGTTCTAAATCCCCCTGTTTTTAATGTTATTACATGGTGGGATGCTGACCCGCCTTTGTCATCTAATGATACTTCTTGGGCAGGAGGCCGATGGATGCCTCTGTCTTACCCCGTAACTGAAAATTTGGGATGGATTCAACTTAATTACTCCTCGATTTTATTGTCTAGTAATCCCCCTCTTTGTTTTTCCACAATAGCACATGATAAGTGTGTTACTCTCATCCCTCAGGAGTATCTTTACTATCAGCCTAAAAGGGATGCTAAGCTTGCAAACTTGACCTTTATTTCTACTATTACCACTAATCTTACTGAGGTCTCTAATGAAGCTACACAAGTGCCTGATCTTCCTATATGCCGTCCGAGTAGGGACTGGCGATAAAAGTTTGAGGCCGTCCAGTGGTCGCCGTGCAGACAGCCTGCTCCACGTCAAGGGCCTCTGTTTGATAATGGCACCTTACTTGATTGGGGTCCCCGTGGTAATCTTATGTCTGCAAATCAGACTATTGGACTTGGGAGTCCCTCCAGTAGTCCTATTACCTAGTCAGAGTATGGGCTTTCAGGACCAGTATTACAAGTGAGAGGGAAACAAGCTTTAAGCCCTGCTCATACCCAAATTTGGAGATTAGGATTTCCTTTTTTTGAACGGGTTCTTTCACATGGTGAGTATATTACTGGCGGTGGCAACCATACCCTCTCTTTGCATAATAATGTTACTGACACAGTCCTGATTTGTACCACGCACCCTTATATACTTTTGTTTGGGCAAGGTGTTCCTAACATAGAGCAGAATCAATCTTTTTATAGTATTAAAGTCTCTTCCAGTAGTTGGTATGCTGCATGCTTGTCCATCGAAACATTACACAGTTGGATATAACCTATGTCATGATCTTAAAATGGCGTGCAGAATTGTGGCTGCCTGTAAATTTAACCTGGAGCTGAAAAGGAGATTCCACCCTGCAGCTATTTAGAAAATCACTATCTCATACTCGGAAAAAAAAAAAAAAAAAAAGATTCCTGGCCACTTTAATTGCCTTTTTAGTCTCAGCTATTATTATATTAGCAACTGCTGCTACTGCAGCTGTTTCTCTGACAGAATCTATTCACACAGCCTCAGTGGTGAACCACATGGTGTATAATGTAACCCGTGAATTTCAAGAACAGGTAAATATAGATAAAACCATTCTGTCTCGCCCGGTCTCTTGAAGCCGCTGTTGAATAACTGGGGAATCAGCAGCAGGCATTCATTACCCATCAAAATTTACATTGTTGATTGGCAATATAATTCTATCTGTGTCACGCCTCTGCCATATAATAGCTCCCAATATGCTTGGGAGAGAGTGAAAGCACATCTGCAAGGGGCTTATCACGACCATTTGTCTTCTCAAATTTCCATTCTTGAGTGTGAATTAAAGAAACACCTTGAAGAATGGTCGCAGCAATTACAAACAAGTATCCTTCAGCAATTACAAGAAGGCTTTCAATGGTTAAACCCGAACACTTGGTTGTCTGGGTTAAACATACGCATTTGGGTGATGGCCGCTGTACTTATTCTTTTTTGTATCTGTTTGCTAGGCACTTGCAGATGGCTCTGTGCTGCCACCCGACGCATCTATGACCAGGGAAGAATCATGGAAGCTTACCTTGCATTGGATGACCAGCACGCTATAAGAATTAAAGAAGGGGGGAATATGGCGGGGTGCACGACAGCATATTCAAGCTTATGTACAAGGCGTTTGAGGTCGGGGCATGGAAACATACTGAGGCACTGTGTGTATGTTATTTGTGCATGAGAATGAAACTCCTTGACCCTGAAAACAGGACGGGGAGTGGAGTGTGTGGTGTGATAAGGAACGCTGAAAACAGCCTCCCGAGAATGCGGTTTGAGTGCTTTTACCAGGCCACAGGTGTCTCATGACCCGACCTCAAAAAGGCCATCTAGTGGATGTTTGTGGTCTAACAAGCCCTTTCAATGAATACTTGGCGGACAGATGCTGGGGCGGAGTCTCTTAGAAGAGCTGCCCCCGGCCCCCCTCAGCTGGATTTGTCTGAGAACTCATTCTTGGCGTTCACTGCAAGCTATAAGCTCTGCGATGGGCCCTGAAAAAAAAAAATCGATACTACGATGACTCTCATATGTATTTCTTCAGCCCAGATCCAGACCTTTGTCTACTCAGCTTCTCCACGTGGATACCTAATAGGCATCTCAAATTTAAATATCCAAAACCAAACTCCTGACATTAAACACAAGAAGCAAGAAATATGAACATATTTTCTGATTCCACTAATATAAAAGTACATAACAGTCAACACCAAACCATATTATTCTTATTTCTTGAATTGAACTTTTATTTTAAGTTCAGAGGTACATGTACAGGTTTGTTACATAGGTAAACTTGTGTCGTGGGGGTTTCTTGTAGAAATTGTTTCGTCACCCAGTGATTAAGCCTAGTACCCATTCGTTATTTTTCCTGCTCCTCTCCATCCTCCCACCCTCCACCGTCCAATAGGCCCCAGTGTGTGTTGTTCCCCTCTTTGTGTCCCCGTGTTCTCATGGTTTAGCTCCCACTTGTAAGTGGGAATATGCGATATTTGGTTTTCTGTTCCTGCATTAGTTTGCTAAGGATAATGGTCTCCAGATCCAACCATGTTCCTGCAAAGGACCTGATCTCATTCTTTTTTATGGCCGCATAGTATCCCGTGGTGTATATGTACCACATTTTCTTTATCCAGTCTACCATTGATGGGCATTTAGGTTGATTCCATGTCTTTGCTATTGTGAATAGTGCTGCAATGAATATACACGTGCACGTGTCTTGATAACAGAATGATTTATTATATTCCTTTGGGTATATGCTCAGCGATGAGATTGCTGGGCCGAATGGTATTTCTGTCTTTAGGTCTTCGAGGAATCACCACACTGTCTTCCACAATGGTTAAACTAATTTACACTCTCACCAACAGTGTATAAGTGTTCCTTTTTCTCTGCAACCTCGCCAGTATCCATTATTCTTTTACTTTGTAGTAATAGCCATTCTGACTGGCGTGAGATGGTATCTCATTGTGGTTTTGATTTGCATTTCTCTAATGGTCAGTGATGTTGAGCTTTCTTTCACAGGATTGTTGGCCGCATGTACGTCTTGTTTTGAAAAGTGACTGTTCGTGTCCTTTGCCCACTTTTTAATGGGGTTGTTTGGTTTTTTCCTTGTAAACTTGTTTAAGTTCCTTATAGATGCTAGATATTAGACCTTTGTCAGATCCATAGTCTGCAAAAGTTTTCTCTTATTCTGTAGGTTGTCTGTTCACTCTGCTGGTAGTTTCCTTTAGTGTGCAGAGCTCTTTAGTTTAATTAGATCCCATTTGTCAATTTTTGCTTTTGTTGTAATTGCTCTTGGTGTCTTCGTCATGAAATCTTTGCCCATTCCTTATCCAGAAAATGATTGCCTGGGTTGCCTTTCAGGGATTTTATAGCTTGGGGTTTTACATTTAAGTCTTTAATCCATGTTGAGTTAACTTTTGTGTATGGTGTGATATAGTTTGGCTGTGTTCCCACCCAAATCTCCTCTTGAACTGTAGCTCCCATAATCCCCACGTGTTGTGGGAGGGATCCGGTGGGCGGTAATTGAGTCACGGGGGTGGATTTTTCCTGTGCTGTTCTCATGATAGCGAATAAGTCTCATGAGATCTCATGGTTTTATAAAGGGCAGTTCCCCTGCACATGCTGTCTTCCCTGTCGCCATGTAACGCACATCCTTTGCTCCTCCTTCGCCTTCTGCCATGATTGTGAGGCCTCCCAAGGCATGTGGAACTGTGAGTCCGTTAAACTTCTTTTCTTTATAAATTACCCAGTCTCGGGTATGTCTTTATTAGCAGCAAGAGAACGGACTAGTACCTGGTGTAAGAAAGGGGTTCAGTTTCAGTCTTCCATATATGGCTAGCCAGTTATCCCAGCACCGTTTGCTGAATAGGGAATCCTTTCCCCATTGCTTGCTTTCGTCAGGTTTGTCAAAGACCAGATAGTTGTAGGTGTGGGGCCTCATTTCTGGGTTCTCTATTGTGTTCCATTGGTCTCCATGTCTGTTTTTGTACCAGTACCATGCTGTTTTGGTTAGTGTAGGCTTGCGGTATAGTTTGAAGTCGGGTAGCGTGATGCCTCCAGCTTTGTTCTTTTTCACTTAGAATTGCCTTGGCCATTCAGACTCTTTTTCAGTTCCATATGAATTTTAAAATAGGTTTCCTCGTACTGTGAAGAATGCCAAAGGTAACTTAATAGGAATCGCATTGAATCTGCAAATTGCTTTGGGCAGTATGGCCACTTTAATGATATTGATTCTTCCTATTCATGAGCAGAAATGTTTTTCCATTTGTTTGTCACGTCTCTGATTTCCTTGAGCAGTATTTTGTAGTTCTTCTTGTAGAGATCTTTCACCTCCCTGGTGTGGTGTATTCCTGGGTATCTTGGTGTGTGTAGCAATTATGAATGGGACTGTGTTCCCGATTTGGCTCTCTGCTTGACTGTTGTTGGTGTATACGAATGTTAGCGATTTTTCACATTGATTTGGTATCCTGAGACTTTGCTGAAGTTGATTATCAGCTTAAGGAGCTTTGGGGCTGAGACTGTGTGGTTTTCTAGATTTAGGAACATGTCGTCTGCAGGCATACTGTAGTATTAAAAGAATGTAATATAGGACATAGGACAGAAAAACGTAGAGAAAAAAGAGGAAAGAAGGATCACAAATGTAAATGTGTTGGTTTCCTCTTGAAGGAGGAATGAGGCTGAGATCAGGCAGAGACACCCCAGGAGCTTTGGGGAATGCTGGCGGTGTTCTCCTCTGTGACATGGGGGTGTTTCTGTAGAGGTGCCCTTGATAATCACTTATTAAACAACACACACATATTGTGAGGTTCTCTCTATGTATGTTACATTTCAAAATAAAGAGGGGCAAAATTGCTAATAACAAATAACACACATTTGTAGTTAAACACTTCTCACAATCCACAGACCTGGAAATGACTGATTAGTTTTCTGTATGTGTAGTTTTCCAGTTTTAAGAATGTTCTACAAATGGAATCATACATTATGTAGAGTTTCATATTTGGTGTCTTTAGCACAATGAAATACATATAAGACCTCTAGAACTGCAATGTACTCTTTCTTGACCTCAGTACTCAATACGTGTTTTCCTCACTTCACAATAGTTCATTCACAGTCGATTGGTTTTCTAAACTTGTATATATGTGTAGTATGCTTTATAAATATCATATGATAGTTAACTTTATGTAATTTGTTATATCTTGGTAATGGACTTTTCTTAAAAATGGACAGTATCCCTAAGAATACCCCGTACATTTCCATTGCAAAAAAAAAAAAAAAAAAAAGGTATTCCATCATGTGAGTATACCACAATTAACTGATATAAACTATGAAGGTAAAAATTTGCGTTGCTGCCCCTTAACGTTGTTGCCTTAATTTCTTTTTCTCAGGTCCTAAGTCGTCTGCCCCTGAGAATAAGTGGATGGGGAGGTGACAAATCTCCCGTGAGAAAAATGTACCAAGTGCATGGTGTTCCAACACATAATCACAAATTCTGAATGAAAACTTGCCACCCAAATATAAAATATTTACCAAAACATCGAAATTAATATCACAATTATGTAAGCATCGTTCCTACGATGTTTGGTGAAATCTATGAGAATTTGAAATCAAGCTATCACTATCAATAAACTGATATTAGTACTCGCAAGGAGATCTGCTATAAATAGAGAAAATAAAATTTTGGTTATCCTTCTGGTTATAAAATACTTACCTGTTTAATGCAGTGTTACTTCCCTTAGCACTATTGTTTTGTCTGCTTATGGTGGCAGGCAACGTACAGAAAGAAAACATCACAGTTTATGTGCATAGTTTAATAAATGATTGTCCAGTGCACCTGCACAGGAACGCTCCCCTAGGTCCCAGAGAAGAACACCGCCAGCATTCCCCAGAGCCTCCTGGGGTGTCCCTGCCTGAGCTCAGCCCCACTCCTACTGCAAGGGGAAACCAACATCCTGACTTTTCTGATTGTCCTTTCCTTGCTCTTCTCTGTGGTTTTATATCCTAAGTATGCATTCTTCAACAAGGTAGGTTAGTGTTGCCTGTCATTTGAAGTTATAGGAATGGAATCATTAAGCATGTCCGTGTTGTCCCTTGCTTCTTTCCCTCGATGTTATCTTTGTAAGATTCGCGCCTATTATTCCATGGAGGAGTACTTTGTACTTTTCCGTTGCTGAAATAGTATTCCATTGTATTAACATACCACAATGTATTCATTCCGTCCCATGGAAGTTGTGATTTTCATTGTTTCCCATATTTGGGACTGGATGATTACAAAAATACTACTCATAAACCCTTGTCGGCACCAGTAAAGGAGTCCTGAGAGGGACGTGTAGGCTGCTAAAAGCATATATTTAAAAGAGGATCGCAGACAATTAAAGAGAAAACGTTCGAAAAAGAAGCCCAACGTAAGACCAAGGAAAGTAGAAGGAAGTCATCAAGGTAAAAGCAGAAATCAGTGAAAGTGGAAACAAGCATAAGGATCACAAAACCAGAAGTTGGGTGTTTGGAAGAAGAATGAAATTGGTAAACCTCTTGTGAGACTGGTCAAGAAAACAAGGGAGAAGGGCACCGCTATCAGGAAAGAAAAGGGAGAAATAAGCACAAACGATGTTACGTCCGTTCTCGTGTTGCTATATAGAAATATCCAAGACCGAGTCATTTATAAAGAGAAGAGCTCATGGTTCTGCAGGCTGTACTGGTAGCATAGCGGCTTCTGCTTCTAGGAGGACTCAGGAAACTTGCAATCATGGCAGAAGGCAAAACAGGAGCAGGTACTTGTTACATGGTAGGAGCAGGAGCAAGAGAGAGAGAACAGGGGGAGGTGTCACACACTTTTAAACAACCAGACTCATGACAACTCACTCGCGACCACAGGGACAGTACCAAGTGGATGCTGCTAAACCATTCCTGAGAAATCCAGCCCCATGATCCAGTCACCTCCCACCAGGCCCCACCTCCAGCATTAGAAGTCACAGTTTGACAGAAGACTTGGTGGGGACACGGTTCCAAGCCATATCATATGCAGACATCCAAAAGATAGAAAGAAGATATTGTGGGGGAACTGGATATTCACACAGAGTGCCCATGCAGTAACAGCGCATAGCTAATTAAATACAAAGAGAAGATGGCACTTTCACAATGGGGTAATCTGGAACAGCGCCCTGAGCACATGGTCAAGATGAACATCGCCAGTCATGAGACAAACCGACATGGAGAATCTGCTGATGTCGTGCACTGAGAAGAACAGCATGTCTGCTATGCAGTAGTCCTGCCAAAAATGTTATACCTACCTGAATCTAATCACAAGGAAGCCATTCGACAAACCTACGTTCAAGGGCTTCCTGACAATGACTGCACTGGTTTAAAGCACACTTTAAGGCGGGCTGATCACGAGATCAGGAGATGGAGACCATCCTGGTTAAGACGGTGAAACCCTGTCTCTACTAAAAAATACAAAAAATTAGCCGGGCGTGGTGGCGGGCGCCTGTAGTCCCAGCTACTCGGGAGGCTGAGGCAGGAGAATGGCGTGAACCCGGGAGGTGGAGCTTGCAGTGAGCCGAGATCGTGCCACTGTGCTCCAGCCTGGGCAACAGAGGGAGACTCCATCTCAAAAAAAAAAAAAAAAAAAAAGCACACTTTAAAGGACACTGAAGAGACTTGATGGGCCGGGAACCATGGCTCATGGCTCACCCCCGTAATCCCGTCAATTTGGGAGACCTAGGCGAGCGGTTGGCGCTTGCCTGTGGTCCAAGCTACTCAGGAGGCTGAGGTGGGAGGATGGCTTGAGCCTGGAGGTCGAGGCTACAGTGAGCCGGGTTCGTGACACTACATGCCAGCGTGGGCGACAGAGGGAGACCCTGTCTCAAAAGAGACTTGACAACTAAATGCAAAGCATGATGTTTGGTTGGAAAGAGAATTTTGTTAGAAAGCAGCTATGAGGGATACTATGGGACCATGGGGACAATCGGAGAATGTTTCATGTGATCATACAGTAGAAAATTGTGTGGTCTCCATGTTACATTTCCTGAGTGTCATGGTGGCATTAAGGTTTTGTGGGAGCCCATGCTTCCTTGCAGGCGATACATGCTGCAGTATTTACCGATGATGGATCTAAATGATTCCAAGGGATCTCAAATGATTCCACAAAACAATAAAACAAAAATACAAGCACGCACACACGCTTAGAGAAAGACAGGGGTGCAGGATGGAGGGAGGGCTGAAGCAGATGTGAGAAAGTGGTAACAACTGGAGGATGCAGTTGAAGAATATACGTATGGGTGCTCCTTGTGCTTTCCCTGCAACTAACTCTCCTGTGACTCCAAAATTTAAACAAATGCAATCTGGGATGAAGCGGGTATTATGGACCATTTTATTCCAGTCAGTTTGAAAACAGTGAAAAAGGTCACCAATTGCTAGGAAACCAAACCCGCCAAAACTGACACAAGAAGGCACAGCCAACCTGAACCGTTCCAGAATCATTACAGAAAGATATCAGTAGTCAAAGGCTTTCCACGAATGAACTCCAGGATTCACCACCACATTCTGACAAACATCCTAGGAATACATATCTTCCATTTTACACAAACTCGTGCAGAAAATTGAAAGTGAGGGGCCAGGCATGGTGGCTCACGCCTGTAATCCCAGCACTTTGGGAGGCCGAGGCGGGTCGATCACGAGGTCAGGAGATCCAGACCATCCTGGCTAACACGGTGAAACCCCATCTCTACCAAAAATTAAAAAAAAAAAAAAATTAGCCAGGCGTGGTGGCAGGCGCCTGTAGTCCCAGCTGCTTGGGAGGCTGAGGCAGGAGAATGGCGTGAACCTGGGACGCGGAGCTTGCAGTGAGCCGAGATCGTGCCACTGCACTCCAGCCTGGGCGACAGAGCGAGACTCCGTCTCAAAAAAAAAAAAAAAAAAAGAAAAGAAAAGAAAAGAAAAGAAAATTGAAAGGGAGGAACAATCCTCCACTCACTGTATGAGCTTGGCATAACCTCAATACCAAATCCTGCAAGGACACCTAGAGAAACATTGCAGGTCAATCACATGCTCGTGACATAGAAGTAAAAATTGGAAGCAGAATCTTAGCACACGGAAGCCTACAGGATATAAAAAGGAAAATACCTAATATGGCATGACTAATATTGGCTTCATCCCAGAAATACGAACTTAATTTCTCTTCAGAAAATACAGTGGTATAATTCCCCACATTAACAGATTCGGGGAGACAAACATGCTCTTCGTAGTCACAAAAGGTATTGACTAAATGTCAATTTCCATTTGAGATGTATTGCTGACAATTTTTTTTTTCTAAAAAGTCAGGACTATTGGGCTATAACTTACACAGAGGTCTGTGAGATCTCGTAAATGCGTATGGCTGTAAAAACACCAGCACAATATATATAGATATAGAGCATCGCCATCCCCCGCCCCCCTCCCCCGCCAGGTTCCCTTACGTCCTCTTGTACTGAACTCCTCGTCTTAACCCTCAGACCCTGGCAACCATCAATCTGTTTTGTGTTCCTAGAGTTTTGCCTTTTCCAGAATGTCATATAAATGGAATCACACGGTACGTAGCATGTGCATTTGGCTTCCTTCAGAGAAAGACACTCGGACTGCGATTCTCTAAAGGTGCAATGTACAGTTTCATGACCTGGGTAGTAGTTACCTGGCTTGATCACCTTACAACTGTTTGTCAGATGGCGGGCTTCTGAGTTCTCTCCGTGTGTGTGTGTGTGCGTGTGTGTGTGTGTGTATCATGTTTCAAACATATAATTTTACATTTAACTGCCTCTAACTTTTATATGTTGGTGAGGGTTATTAAATGACAATTATTAATACTTAAAGGGAAGTGAGTGATTATTGTAAAAGCCAGCAGAGTCATTTCCTCTGGGGTGTGCAAAGCGGGAGGTAGTGATCAGGATGGGGCAAACAGGAGGGTTCCAAAACCCTGCCAACCTTCTGTTCCTCGCTCTGCATGGTAGTGACCTGGACTTCAACATTGCACAACCACATGGGCGCCGTTCACGCTGGATCACGAGAACAGAGCACCCTGGAATCCCACAGATAGATGTGGCCACCCTGGCGGCCACAGCCTACGCGGCCGTACCTGGCAAACACTGGTGTTGGCCTCATCCTTCGAGGAAACGCATGATGAGAAAATGTGTGGGGAAAAGGAGGAGTTCTTGGGGTGGAGGTTGAGGACAGATGTGCGTGAGGTTGTCCGAGTTCACCCAGGAGTGTGTTCCAGGCGGGCTAAAGTTCATGGCTGGTACTCACCATGACCACTATGATCCTATGACTGCCATCTCACATCCCCGTGTGCGATGCCCTGGGCCTCCGCCACAGCCTGGAAGGCCACCCTAGGGGACTCTGGCTGGTGGGCGTGTGCAGAGACTCACACACCTTCGGCTCTAGCTGGAGTCTGAAGAGGAGATGCTCTTTTCTGCCCACAGAGTAAGAGGTCTCATCTGGAAATGTACCTGTGGCAGCCCTGGCGCCGGGTGTAGGTGGGATTCTGCTCAGGGCTCTGCCACTGTGGCTGCATCAAGGGCAGGCACTCAGCTCGCCAGACCTCCGGAGCCTGTCTGAGCTGAGTGGCAGGACAAGGCAGGAGGGGGTCTAAGGCTCTCCAGGCGGGACCCCACATTCCTCTTGGTGGGAGAGCAGGATTGAAGGAAAAGACAAAGCGGGACACTGAATGAGGGGAAGGGCTCGACCTCCTCCTCTCCACTGGGGCCCAGGTGGATTCCTCTAATCCGAGGAGTCTCGGATTCTGCACCTATTTCCCCTAGAACTGGAAGGCTCCACCCGCCCATGGCCTGGGGTGTACATGTTACAGCCTCATTATTGTGCGGGAGGTGGTCTGAATATGGAACCGAGGTGGTGTGCTGAGAGGCGGGGCTGGCAAATGCAGCCACCGGGAGATGGGTTCACGCCTTCCACGACTCCGTCCACGGGCTTCTCCCCTTCCACACCCTGTTGACCATGGCCCATGCCCCCCGGGGCAGTGCCTGGGGCTAGAGTTCTCACGCCACCAGAACCTGCCTAGATGTCTCCGGTGGCAAAAACCCAAGCTGGAGAGTCCCTGACGCACGTCTTCCCCCAGACACCAGCCCACTGTGTTATCCCCCCAAGAAACAACCACCTGTGTCAGGGTCAAAGCCTTGGCCCGAGGAATCAAGCCAACCCTCTCAGGGAAGGTGTTGGATTCCGATGGGGTAGGTCCCCACCAGCGTTCGTTTCCAGGTCTGAGGCCTGTGATTGGCCCACCACGTGCGTGATGGTCCCCCTCACTGAGCTCACACCATGGGCCCACAGGGAGACGCACAGGGAGTATGGGGGAAGGCAGACACCGGGCCCGACCAGCTGTCCCAGGGCAGTCCCTCTTTCCCACTTTCCACCCTCTCTGTGGGCATCCTGCCCGTCCATGTCTTGGTTAGCGGGTGTCGTGGCACCCTCCCACGGGAGCTCCCCACTTCTAGATGAGGCACCAACCAGCGACTCTGAGGTATTACCACTGCACCCACACATGGGAGTGCTGAGACATCCCATCCATCCCGCGGAGGATCGGGAGCCTACTGTGGCACCTCCAGCATTCTGAGAGCCCCGACACCTGTCCCTGTGTTTGGGGATGTCCCCTTCGTCCCACTCCACAGCCTTCTAGGTGTTAGAATTGAACAACACCTCCTGTGAAAGGGTAGATCCCAGCCCCGCTTTAGCGAATTCGATCCTTCATGGATCCTTCACCACTGCTTCCACTCCGTGAATCAGCCCATTCTCCCTCAACGGAGAGCACCCCCGATTAATTTGATTCCCAAGCGGGTGCTTGCAGGGGCGTGCACACACACATACACACGCTAACCTTGAATGGTATCTGTATTTCTCCTGTCCTTGTTCGACACCCTGTCTCTCGGCGATGGGAGCTGGCAGAACCTACACACACCTCCTCACTGGAATCGGAATCTGTGCCCAAATCTGGGACCTGCCCAGCCCAGGATTCTGGCTGAAGGAAGCGGGCGATCCCAACTGTCAGGGAGGGTGAAGGCAGAACAGGGAGCTCTAGGAAATCTCGTGTGACCTCGAGAGGCGGTCGGGAAGACTGACCAGGGACACAGAAATAATCACGTCCACAAAAACCTGTTGGCCTTGGGGGTGGTGAAACGGTATTTCACGGGAACCATCCAAGAACAGCCAGGCCTAGCATCCACACTTGCCCTGGAAACCAGCTGGCCATTTTCAAATCAATGGTATGGAGCCCACCGGCTGCAGAAGGGGCTGTTGGCTGCGTATAGGACACCAAGGATGTGGAAGCCGCCTTCCGCGTAGCTACCGGCGGGCGGTTTCCACCAGGTTGGCCCGCAGGCACCAGAACAGACTCAGTGCCCCCACCTCCAACCGAGAGACTGTCTTGCCCTTTTCTTCCGCACTCCAGGTATCTTCCCTTTGGCTCAGCTTCCCACCAGGATGTGGTTTCTGTCTCCACCTGGCTACTGAAGCTAAGGAGGAGATCTGACAGAATTTGGTAACTAAGGTTCAAAGGTGAGGGCTAAGAGGAACTGAGGATGCCAAGCGGGTTTTTGCCCCAGATGACCTGACCCTGTGCATGGTGGCACCGGAGGGACATAACGGCTCAAGGAAGAGGACTGGGCCCCTGAGGGGCGGGGAGGATGAGCTCCGTCTTGTTCCTCAACAGCATGGAAATAACCATGCAGGAAAGGCCACTGGCATCAAGCCACTGGGGAGAGCAAGGATGCTCACGATGGAAAGGATGGTGAGAGGGCAGAACAGAAACAGTGAACCGCAGGAGGAAAGGTGAGAGAGACGGGTTCTGGAAGGAGGCCATCAGTTCCTGCTGAAGGGGAGGGAGAATAGCGCTGAAGAAGGGGAACTGTGAGACCCCAAAGTGGGAAGAGAAGAGGAGGGACCGTGAGCAAGGCGTGTAGGAGAAAGGCAGGAAATGCTGCTGTGGCCGGGCAGGGCCCCCACACACCTAGACCCAGAGCACTGTGGTGAGCCCGAGTGCAGGGCTGCTGCTCAGAGGCCGGCCCAGGTGCCCCGCAGGGAGAGGGCCCACCACAGAGCACCAGGGGAACTGTTCTTCAACCGCCAGTGAACCGGGCAACACGCTGCAACCCCCAACACTCCCAACAATCGCAGAGAGGGCAGACCACAGACCACAGAATATGAGAACGACTTTATTTCAAATTGCTTTGAACTGCGTTGGGAAGGGGGCAAATGCAGCGGAAGAGAGGAAGCCCTGGCTGAACAGGATATGGAGGGAACCCGCTTGGCTGCAGCTCCGGAGCTCCAAAGGTGGCAGCTGTTCATCTTGTAGGAAGATGCTGGCTCCAACCTGTGAAACAGAGTAGGCTCAGGGACGGGCCCTCAGCCAGGGCCAGCCCACAGCCCTCCTAAGGTACCATGATTGTGGAAAGGGGCATGGTGTGTGCAACACTCACTTCAAAGGTCCTGGAACTTGTCAGTGAGGAACTGCATGGCCGCTGAAAGAGAGAGGCAGAAATGGACACTCCAGACCCAGGGAAACAGAAACCCACGCCCTGCCCCGGTGGGGAACCACCTAGCCCTGCAACCAGAAACCCCACCAGCCCTGGGACTGACTCACCCACCCGTCACCTGAATTAAATGTGGAAATGCCTTCTAAGCGGGAAAGTGGTTCTCAGGTGCTGGGCCATCCCAGTACCGTACAGAACGTATTTCAAAGACAGATAAGCCAGCCAGCAAGCAAACACCATACAAGTCATACCAGGCAGTAGTTAAAGGGGAAACACAGGTGGTATCTCTAACCGCCCTAAGAGAAGGAGAGTTCTGGGACTCGTGGACTAAGTGTACACGGAGTTCAGACGACACATTGCTGTCTGTGCACACCCCTAGCTGGAAAGGCACAGAAGGCTCCAGGGCCAGGTCTGCTTGATTCTCCTCCCCAGAGGAAAGTCAGTCCCAGTGATGCTGCCCATACCTGCAGCCCACCACCGCCCCCAACACCAGCAGAAAGACACCGCTGTCCATCCCTGCCCCAGCCAGGGCTCCCTCATACCTAGCTGCTGTGTAAGGTCCTCAATTTCCCTCTGCAGCCAGATGCACTAGACCAGCGGACACCGGAGGAAGATAAATGGTTGGTCAATTCTGTGCTCCTCTCTCCCCAGCCTCCCTGCAGCCCCCATAGCCTGCAGCCCAGTGGCGAGGTGGGTTGGCAGGGAACCCTCAATGGAAACGAGGCACCCTCTCTCCGTGGGGTGCAGAAGGTGGAGATGTGCGGAGTGCGGTGGGGAGGGAGGGGGCGGACGCAGAAATCAGTTTAACCTGGACACGGATCCCACCATCTACTGTGGACCTCTATTTCTAGGAGCCACACAAAGCATTACCCGAGGACAGCCCTGGGCTCCCGGGGGCTGCTGCTGCCTTTCCGGTCTTGGGGGATGGACAGGCGGCTGCTGGTTACCTGAAAGAGAACACAAAATCCAGCTTCCAAGCCTCCCAGTGAGGTGGAAAGGGCCTAGTGGTGTCTAATGTGAGGCAGCATCACCCTCTGCTGGTACACGTTGCCCCTGCTCTGCCCAGCAACTCCAACCCCGCTCTGGGACTGCCTTCACTGTTCCCCAGTGTAAGCTCATGTGCACCTGTGGCCCCCTAGCATTGTGACTCCAGGTTGGACTCCAGCAGTGCGGCAGCCACAGCCAGGCCCTGGGAGGGCCCATGTGGCTGAGCAGGACTTAACAGAAAAGGGCTCAGTACTGCCGAAAGTCTCCTTCCAGAGTTGGGAGTTTGGGGCGCTGCTCCAAATCGCCCCCCACCACACAAACCCCACTCAGAGAGGACGATGTGGCTTAAAGCCAGCCCAGTCAACACCCCGTTTCCCCGTGGGACAGCTGCCTGGGTGGGCAGGGAAGTCTGGGAATAAGGCTGAGCCCCCAGAAGCGACAGGGCCAGAGGTTTCCCTCCCGACCCCTCTCCCCTCCACCCCTATCAAACCCACAAGACTCACCGGAGGGTGCATGGCGTCTGGGCACGAGGCCTCCCGGGCTGTAGGCCGAGGGCTCTGAAGTTCCCGGAAGTTGGGGAGCTCTGATGTTGGGGTCGCTACTGCTGAATTCTCCACGACGCACAGACAGGCGAGGCAGTCCTGGCCTGTGGGTGGGAAGCTAAAACAGAAACTTCTGAGTCGGGCTGGCGATGGGGGCCGGCGGTGAGTACACGTGGGGAGGGGTTGTGGTAAGGTGGAGACTCCTGAGCCTAATCTCATTAGCACTTTCTCCCTCAGTCAGCCTCAGGCCAGGAGGCAGAGGCCAGCCAGGGAAAACACTGGGGATACTGAGATAGCCCGGGGCCGCCTGCCAGGTGGGTTGGGCAACAGCTAGGGAAGGAGGAATCAGGAAGTTGATGAGCCTAGATGCCCCAGCTTTGCAGCCCACACTTTAAGGCATCACCCGATCCAAACCAGCTGCCAGCCCTGCCTTCCACCCCAGCTCCTCTCTGCGGGCGGAGGCAGGACCCCTGCAGAGCGTCCAGAGGCATGGCCATCACACAAGAAGTGCTCCCTTTAACGTGTGCCCTTATGAGGAAGACACCCATCGGGCATTCTAGTGTCCCTGGGCTCCCGATGACAACCCTCGAGCAAGGGACAGAGGAGGCATGGGTAAACAGGTGTGTGCTGGAAGAGAGGAGGTGTGGGGGGAGGAGGGTAAAGAGGGAGAGGAGGGCGAGAAGGGCCTACTCACTTGGGCTCTTGGGACCTCATCTCTATTTGGGTCATTATCTTCTCTGGCCGCAGCCTGGGACTCCCTGGTCTTCCTCCCTGCTGGTTTCTTCCCAGGGCTGCTGTGCTTAGGCTTTTGGGGTTTCTTGGACATCCCCTGTGGCCGCACACCAGAGAATGGCGGGAAGGTGGCCGGCTCCGGGGGAGCGGCTGAGAGTCTCTCTCCGCAGGCAGGAAAGCCTCTCCCCAGGGCCAGTTGAGAGGCACCCCCTAGGGACTTCTTCCCCCCGGCCATCTTCCTCCTCGAAAGGCCCTGGGGCAGGGCCCCTGCAGCAGCAGCTCCTGAGCAGCTGGGCCTGACCTCCACCTTTCCCCAGGCCCTGCTCTGCATTTTCTTCTGGGGAGAGTCCTCCAGCTCTCCCACAGCCGGCCTCTCTGCGACTGGAGTGAGTCCGCGGGGAGCAGAGGTCAGGAAACGGCCCGGCACAGGCAGGTAACTCTCCTTGCAGTGGAAGCTTGCCTGTCTGGATGTGTCTGCTCGCTTCTTGGGGCTGCCGGGCTTGGCCTGGCTTCCTTCGTTGCGGCAAATGCCTACCTTCATCAGTGGTAAGTCGCTGCTCTCATCTGCGGAATCAGAGTCGTGGGTAGGCAGCCTGGTGGGGCCTTTCGCAGAGGGCTGCTGGGGATCCACGCGGAGGCTCCATCTGCTCTTCGAGCCCCTTTCCGGGTTCTTCCAGGCCCGCACTGGCCCAGGACCGCAGAGGTGGAGACGGCCGGCAGAGGCCTGCTGCCATTTTCCAGGGCTGTGGCCCAGCACGTCTCTCCCACTGGGACCGACCTCCGCATCTGCCCAATTCTCAGCCGACCCTTCGGCAGCGGCACCTTCTGGGAACGGGTGTCCCTGGACGCTGGGCGGCGGCACGATGGCGGCTGGTTCGTCAGCCAGGTAGAATGAGTAGTCCACAACGTCCCCTTGGTCATCCACCGGGGTGCCTGGCCGGCCTTCCCGGCCCCAGAGCACCACCCTTCCTTGCTCTATCAATTCGCTCTCAGACTCGAAGCTGAAGCCCTCTGGATCTGTGAACCCGCTCTCGCTCTTGCCATCGCCGCTGCCCGGCACCCCCAAATCGAGGCCGTGGCTGTGGGCCCCTGGGGCTCCGGGGCTGGCCGTGCGGGAGCCAGCCTTTTTGCCACCCTCCAGGTCGAAACCGGCCCCACAAACGGACACCTTGTCGGGGGAGCTCATGGCGCCAGTCCGGGCAGCCTGGGCTGCGGGGAGACGGTCGTCCTGGTAACGGCGGGAGCGGAGAGCTGAGCCCAGCCAAGCCCAGCTGAGCGGGCCACGCGACAGAAACAGTGAGGCCTTCGGGACACCACCGCCCTCGCCCCAGGCGGAAGTACCAGATGTCCGGGACAGCGAGTGGCTTCCTCGCGCCCTTGACGCCGGCGCCGAGCCTTCTCATTGGTCCCCGTCTGCCAACCAGCACGCCCTTTGTGGGGCGAGGTGCCTGAGCTTTAACCAATCGGGACACAGGCTCTTGGTTTGCCTCCATGCCCGTCATTTGACTGGGTGGCTGCGCTCTGGTCGGGTCTTGGGGCCAGGGGGCACCGTAGCTCTCGATCACCTCTTTCTTCCTGTCCTTCTGCCTCTGGCCGGGCACCTACTTTCCAAGGAGAGCCACGTCTCTGAGCCCCAGTGTCCCATCTGTAAGGTGGGGATTAAGGGGAGACCTTCCCCCAGCTCATCAGCTTGGGAGAGTAAATGTCGTGATGCACGCAAAGCACCCGGTGCACAGAGGAGGTCTCATTGGAAAGTAGGTTCCCAGCCAGAGGCAGCAGGAGAGCAAGAAGGAGGTGGATCGAGAGCTCCAGTGCCCCCTGGCCGCAAGACCAGACCAGAGCACAGCCACCCAGTCAAATGACGGGTGTCGGGGCAAACCAAGAGCCTGTGTTCCGATTGGTTAAAGCCCAGAGGCCTCTGCCAACAAAGGGCGCGCTGGTTGGTAGAGGGGGACCAATGAGAAGTCGCGGCACTGGCGTCAAGTGCACGCGCAGAAGCCACGCGCTGTCGGGGACATCTGGTACTTCCACCCGGGGTGAGGGCAGCGGTGTCCCGAAGGCCTCACTGTTCCTGTCGCGTGGCCCGCTCCGCCGGGCTTGGCAGGACTCGGCTCTCCCCTTCTGCCGTTACCAGGACGACCGTCTCCCCGCAGCCCAGGCTGCCCAGACTGGCGCCATGAGCTCCCCCGACAAGGTAGCCGTTTGTGGGGCCAGTTTCGGCCTGGAGGGTGGCAAGCAGGCTGGCTCCCGCATGGCCAGCCCCGGAGCCCCACGGGGCCAGGGCCACGGCCTCGATTTGGGGGCGCCAGGCAGCCGCGAGGGCGAGAGCAGGTTCACAGATCCCGAGGTCTTCAGCTTCGAGTCTGAGAGCGAATTGATAGAGCAGGGAAAGGTGGTGCTCTGGGGCCGGGAAGGCCGGCCTGGCACCCCAGTCGACGACCAAGGGGACGATGTGGACTACTCGTCCTCCCTGGCTGACGAACCAGCCACCATCGTGCCACCGGCCCAGCGTCCAAGGGCGCCCCTCCCCAGAAGGTGCCGCTGCCGAAGGGTCGGCTGACAACTGGGCGGACCTGGAGGTCGGTCCCAGTGGGAGAGGCGTGCTGGGCCCCAGCCCTGGAGAATGGCGGCAGGCCTCCGCCGGCCCCTGGGAGCCCAGGGTTGCCCTCGGGTAATGCTTTGTGTGGCTCCTAGAAATAGAAGTCCACGTTAGATGGTGGGATCCGTGTCCAGGTTAAACTGATTTCTGTGTCCCCCCGCCCCGCCCCGTCACCACCTTCTGCATCCCACGGAGAGAGGGTGCCTCTTTTACATTGAGGGTTTCATGCCAACCCACCTCACCACTGGGCTGCAGGCTATGGGGGCTACTAAGGGCTGGGGGAGACAGGGAAGACGAGGAGAGAGGAGGCCAGAATTGACTAACCATTTATCTTCCTCCGGTGTCTGCTGGTCTAGTGCATCCGGCTGCAGAGGGAAATTGAGGACCTTACACAGCAGCTAGGTATGATGGAGCCCTGGCTGGGGCAGGGATGGACAGCGGTGTCTTTCTGCTGGTGCGGGGGGCGGGGGTGGGCTGTAGGTACAGGCGGCGTCACTGGAACTGACTTTCCTTTGGGGAAGAGAACCAAGGAAAGCCTGGCCCTGGAGCCTTCTGTGCCTTTCCAGCTAGGGGTGTGCACAGACAGCAATGTGTCGTCTGAACTCCGTGTACACTTAGTCCACGAGTCCCAGAACTCTCCTTCTCTTAGGAGGGTTAGAGATACCGCATGTGTTTTCCCTTTAACTGCTGCCTGGTATGGCTTGTACGGTGTTTGCTTGCTGGCTGGCTTATCTGTCTTTGAAACACGTTCTGAATGAACGGTTCTGGCATGGCCCAGCACCTGAGAACCACTTTCCCGCTTAGAAGGCATTTCCACATTTAATTCAGGTGACGGGTGGATGAGTCAGTCCCAGGGCTGGTGGGGTTTCTGGTTGCAGGGCTAGGTGGTTCCCCACGGGGGCAGGGGGTGAGTTTCTGTTTCCCTGGGTCTGGAGTGCCCGGTTCTGCCTCTCTGTTTCAGCGGCCATGCAGTTCTTCAACGACAAGTTCCAGGGCCTTTGAAGTGAGTGTTGCACACACCGTGCCCCTTCCCACAATCCCGGTAGCTTAGGAGGGCTGTGGGCTGGCCCTGGCTGGGAGCCAGTCCCTGAGCCTGCTCTGTTTCACAGGTTGGAGCCAGCGTCCGGAGCTGCAGCCAAGCGAGTTTCCTCCTTATCCTCCTTAGCCAGGGCTTTTTCTCTTCCGCTGCATTTGCCCCCTTCCCAACGCAGTTCAAAGCAGTGTGAAATAAAGTCGTTCTCATATTCTGTGGTCTGTGGTCTGCCCTCTCTGCGATTGTTGGGAGTGTTGGGGTGTGCCGGGTGTTGCTCCGTTCCCTGGCGCTGGAAGAACAGTTCCCCTGGCGCTCTGTGGTGGGCCATCTCCCTGCGGGGCGCCTGGGCGGGCCTCTGAGCAGCAGCCCTGCACTCGGGCTCACCATAGTGCCCTGGGTCTAGGTGCTGTGGGAGGCCCTGCCCGGCCACAGCAGCATTTCCTGCTTTTCCTGTACACGCCCTGCTCATGCTCCCTCCTCTTCTCCTCCCACTTTGGGGTCTCACAGGTCCCCTTCTTCAGTGCTATTCTCTCTCCCCTTCAGCAGGAACTGATGGCCTCCTTTGAGCACCCTGGTCCTTTGAGCAACCTTTCCTCCTGCAGTTCACTGTCCCTGTTTGTCCTGTCACTGTCCTTTCCATCATGAGCATCCTTGCTCTCCCCCGTGGCTTGACCCCGGTGGCCGTTCCTGCATGGTTATTTCCGTGCTGTTGAGGAACACGACGGAGCTCAGTCCTCTTTCTGGAGCCATTATTTCCCTCCGGTGCCACCATGCACACGGTCAGGTCATCTGGGCCAGTAACCTGCGTGACATCCTCAGTTCGTCTTAGCCCTCACCTTTGAACCTCAGTTATCAAATCCCGTTAGGTCTCCCTCTTTAGTTTCAGTAGCCTTGTGGAGGCAGAAGCCACACCCCGGTGGCTGGCTAAGTCAAAGGGAAGGTAGATGGAGTGCAGAAGAAAAGGGCAAGATAGTCTGTTGGTTGGAGGTGGGGGCACCGAGTCTGTTCTGGCGCCTGTTGGCCAACCTGGTGGAAACTGTTCGCAGGCACCTACACAGAAAGTGGCTTCCATATCCTTGGTGTTCTATAGGTGGCCAGCAGCCCCTTCTGCAGCCAGTGGACTCCATACCCTTGATTTGAAAATGGCCAGCTGCTTTCCAGGGCAAGTGTGGATGCTAGGCCTGGCTGGTCTTCGATAGTCCCTGTGAAATACCATTTCACCACCCCCAAGGCCGCAGGTTTTTGTGGACATAATATTTTCGCGTCCCTGGTCAGTCTTCCAGACCGCCTCTCCAGGTCACACGAGATTTCCTCGAGCTCTCTCTTCTGCCTTCACCATCCCTGACAGTTGAGATCGCCTCGTTCCTTCAGCCGGCATCCTGGGCTGGGCAGGCCCCAGATTCGGGCATAGATTCTGGTTCCAGTGAGGAGGTGTGTGTAGGTTCTGCCAGCTCCCATTGCCAAGAGACTGGGTGTTGCGAACAGACAAAAACAATAGAAATGCAGATACCATTCAAGGTTAGCGTGTGTGTGTGTGTGTGTGTGTGTGCGCGCGTGAGCATGCCCCTGCTAGCACCTGCTTGGGAATCAAATTAATCGTGGGTGCTGTCCCTTGAGCGAGAATGGACTGATTCATGGAGTGGAAGCAGTGGTGAAGGATCCATGAAGGATCGAATTCGCTAAAGCAGGGCTGGGATCTACCCTTTCACAAGAGGTGTTGTTCAAGTCTAACACCTAGAAGGCTGTGGAGTGGGACGAAGGGGACATCCCCAAACACAGGGACGGGTGTCGGGGCTCTCAGAATGCTGGAGGTGCCACAGTAGGCTCCTGATCCTCCACAGGATGGATGGGATGTCTCAGCACTCCCGTGTGTGGGTGCAGTGATAATACCTCAGAGTCGCTGGTTGGTGCCTCATCTAGGAAATGGGGAGCTCCCGTGGGAGGGCACCACGATGCCCGCTAACCAACACATGGGCAAGATACGCACAGAGAGGGTGGAAAGTGGGAAAGAGAGACTGCCCTGGGACAGCTGGTTGGGCTCGGTATCTGCCTTCCCCCATACTCCCTCTGTGTCTCCCTGCTGGGCTCATGGTGTGAGCTCAGCGAGGGGGACCACCACGCACGTGGTGGGTCAATCACAGACCTCAGACCTGGAAACCAACGCTGGTGGGGACCTACCCCATCCGAATCTAACCCCTCACCGGAGAGGATGGGCTTGACTCCTTGGGCCAAGGCTTTGACCCTGACACAGGTGGTTGTTTCTTGGGGGGATAACACAGTGGGCTGGTGTCTGGGGGAAGACATGTGTCAGGGACTCTCCAGCTTGGGTTTTTGCCACCGGAGACATCTAGGCAGGTTCTGGTGGGGGCAGAACTCCAGCCCCAGTCACTGCCCCGGGGGGCATGGGCCATGGTCGACAGGGTGTGGAAGGGGAGAAGCCCGTGGACGGAGTCTTGGAAGGCGTGAACCCATCCCTCAGTTGCTGGCTTTTGCCAGCCCCGCCTCCCAGCACGCCACCTCGGTTCCATATTCAGACCACCTTCTGCACAATAATGGGGCCATAACATGTACACCCTAGGCCCATGGTACACCGCATGGTCGGGCGGAGCCTTCTGGTTCTAGGGGATGTAAGTGCAGAATCCGAGGCTCCTCGGATTAGAGGAATCCATCTGGGTCCCATTGGACAGGAGGAGGTTGAGCCCTTCCCCTCATTCAGTGGCCCCCTTTTGCTTTTCCCTCAAGCCTCCTCTCCCACCAAGAGGAATGTGGGGTCTGGCCTGGAGAGCCTTAGACCCCCTCCTGCCTTGTCCTGCCACTCAGCTCAGATGAGCTCCAGAGGTCTGGTGAGCTGCGTGCCTGCCACAGTGGCGGAGCCCTGTGCAGAATCCCACCTACACCTGGTGCCAGGACTGCCACAGGTACATTTCCATATGAGACCTCTTACTTTGTTGGCAGAAAAGAGCATCTCCTCTTCAGACTCCAGCTAGGGCCGAAGGTGTGTGAGTCTCCTAGCACGCCCGCCAGCCAGAGTCCCCAAGGGTGGCCTTCCAGGCTGTGGCGGAGGCCCAGGGCACCGCACACGGGGATGTGAGATGGCAATCATAGGATCATAGTGGTCATGGTGAGTACCAGCCATGAACTTTAGCCCGCCTGGAACACACTCCTGGGTGAACTCGGACAACCTCATGCACATCTGTCCTCAACCTCCACCCCAAGAACTCCTCCTTTTCCCCACACATTTTCTCATCATGCGTTTCCTCGAAGGATGAGGCCAACACTTGTGTTTGCCAGGTATGGCCGCGGAGGCTGTGGCCGCCAGGGTGGCCGTGCAAACTCTATCTGTGGGATTCCAGGGTGCTCCGTTCTCGTGATCCAGTGTGAACGGCGCCCATGTGGTTGTGCAGTTGTTGAAGTCCGGGTCACTACCATGCAGAGCGAGGAACAGAAGGTTGGCAGGGTTTTGGAACCCTCCTGTTTGCCCCATCCTGATCACTACTTCCCACTTTGCACACCACAGAGGAAATGACTCTACTGACTTTTCCAACAATCAGTCACTTTCTCTTAAAGGATTAATAATTGCCATTTAATAACCATCATCAAGATATAAAAGTTAGAGGCGGTTAAATGTAAAATTACATTTTTGAAACATAATACACCCCCCCACGCACGCACACACCCATACACTCTCTGTCTCACATACACGCACACACACGCACACGGAGAGAACTCAGAAGCCGGCCATTTGACAAACAGTTGTAAGGTGATCAAGCCAGGTAGCTATTACCCAGGTCATGAAACTGTACATTGCACCTTTAGGGAATCGCAGTCCGAGTGTCTTTCTCTGAAGGAAGCCAAATGCACATGCTACGTACCGTGTGATTCCATTTATGTGACATTCTGGAAAAGGCAAAACTCTAGGAACACAAAACAGATTGATGGTTGCCAGGGTCTGAGGGTTAAGACGAGGAGTTCAGTACAAGAGGACGTAAGGGAACCTGGCGGGGGAGGGGGGCGGGGGATGGCGATGCTCTATATCTATATATATTGTGCTGGTGTTTTTACAGCCATACGCATTTACGAGATCTCACAGACCTCTGTGTAAGTTATAGCCCAATAGTCCTGACTTTTTAGAAAAAAAAATTGTCAGCAATACATCTCAAATGGAAATTGACATTTAGTCAATACCTTTTGTGACTATGAAGAGCATGCTTCTCTCTCCAAATCTGTTAATGTGGAGAATTATACCATTGTATTTTCTGAAGAGAAATTAAGTTTGTATTTCTGGGATGAAGCCAATATTAGTCATGCCATATTAGGTATTTTCCTTTTTATATCCTGTAGGCTTCCGTGTGCTAAGATTCTGGTTCCAGTTTTTACTTCTATGTCATGAGCCTGTGATTGATCTGCAATATTTCTCTAAGTGTCCCTGCAGGATTTGGTATCGAGGTTATGCCAAGCTCATACAGTGAGTGGAGGATTGTTCCTCCTTTTCAATTTTCTGCACGAGTTTGTGTCAAACGGAAGACAGGTATTCCTAGGATGTTTTTCAGAATGTGGTGGGGAATCCTAGAGTTTATTAGTGGAAAGCCTTTGACTACTCATATCTTTCTGTAATGATTCTGGAACGGTTCAGGTTGGCTGTTCCTTCTTGTGTTAGTTTTGGTGGATTTTGTTTCCTAGCGACTGGTTACCTTTTTCTTTGTTTTCAAACTGACTGTAATAAAGTGGTCCATAATATCCCCCTTCATCTCAGATTGCATTTGTTAAAATTAGGAAGTCACAGAAGAGTTGCACAGAAAGCCAAAGGAGCACCCATACGTATATTCTTCTACTGGATCCTGCAGTTGTTACCATTTTCTCACATTTGCTTCATCCCTCCCTCCATGCCGCGCCCCCATCTTTTTCTGAGCGTGTGCGTGTATTTTTTTTTTTTTATTGTTTTGTGGAATCATTTGAGATCCATTGGAATCATTTAGATCCATCATCCGTAAATACTGCAGCATGTATCGCCTACAGGGAAGCATGGGCTCCCACAAAACCTTAATGCCACCATGACACTCAGGAAATGTAACATTGAGACCACACAATTTTCTACTGTATGATCACATGAAACATTTTCCGATTGTCCCCATGGTCACATAGTATCCCTCATGGCTGCTTTCTAACAAAATTTTCTTTCCAACCAAACATCATGCTTTGCATTTAGTAGTCAAGTCTCTTTTGAGACAGGGTCTCCCTCTGTCGCCCAGGCTGGCTTGCAGGGTCGTGAACCTGGCTAAGTGCAGCCTTGACCTCCCAGGCTCAAGCCATCCTCCTGCCTCAGCCTCCTGAGTAACTTGGACTACAGGCGAGTGCCACCATGCCTGGCTAATTTTTAACATATTTTTTGTAGAGACAGGGTTTCACCGTCTTGCCCAGGCTCGTCTGGAACTCCTGAGCTCAAGCCATCCGCCCGCCTAGGTCTCCCAAACTGTTGGGATTACAGGCGTGAGCCATGGTTCCCGGCCCATCAAGTCTCTTCAGTGTCCTTTAAAGTGTGCTTTAAAGCAATGTTTAAAGTGTGCTTTAAATCACTGCAGCTGTTGTCGGGAAGCCCTTGAACTTGGCTTTGTCGAGTGGCTTCCTTGTGATTAGATTCAGGTAGGTTTAACATTTTTGGCAAGACTACTGCATAGCAGACGTGCCGTCCTTCTCGGTGCATGACATCAGCAGATTCTCCATGTAGGCTTCTCTCATGACTGGCGATGTTCATCTTGACCGACCATGTGGCCAGGGCGTTGTTCCAGATTACTCCATTGTGAAGGTGCCATCTTCTCTTTGTATTTAATTAGCTATGTGCTGTTACTGCATGGGCACTCTGTGTGAATATCCAGTTCCCCCACAACATCCTCTTTCTATCTTTTGGATGTCTGCATATGATATGGCTTGGAACCGTGTCCCCACCAAGTCTCGTGTCCAACTGTGACTTCTAATGTTGGAGGTGGGGCCTGGTCGGAGGTGACTGGATCATGGGGCTGGATTTCTCAGGAATGGTTTAGCAGCATCCACTTGGTACTGTCCTCATGGTTGCGAATGAGTTGTCATGAGTCTGGTCGATTAAAAGTGTGTGACACCTCTCCTTTCTCTTTCTTGCTCCTGCTCCTGCTCCTATCATGTAACAGGTACCTGCTTCTGTTTCACCTTCCGCCGTGATTGCAAGCTTCCTGAGTCCTCCCAGAAGCAGAAGCCGCTATGCTTCCCTTCCCGTACAGCCTGCAGAACCATGAGCTCTTCTCTTTATAAATGACTCGGTCTTGGATATTTCTATATAGCAACACGAGAACGGACGTAACATCGTTTGTGCTTATTTCTCCCTTTTCTTTCCTGATAGCGGTGCCCTTCTCCCTTGTTTTCTTGACCAGTCTCACAAGAGTTTTACCAATTTCATTCCTCTTCCAAACACCCAGCTTCTGGTTTTGTGATCCTTATGCTTGTTTTCGCTTTCACTGATTTCTCCTTTTACCTTGATGACCTCCTTCTACTTTCCTTGGTCTTACGTTGGGCTTCTTTTTTGAACGTTTTCTCGTTAATTGTCTGCGATCCTCTTTTAAATATGTGCTTTTAGCAGCCTACACGTCCCTCTCAGGACTCCTTTACTGGTGCCGACAAGGGTTTATGAGTAGTATTTTTGTGATCATCCAGTTCCAAATATGGGAAACCATGAAAATCGCAACTTTCATGGGACGGAATGAATACATTGTGGTATGTTAATACAATGGAATACTATTTCAGCAACGGAAAAGTACGAAGTACAAAGTACTCCTCCATGGAATAATAGGCGCGAATCTTACAAAGATAACATCGAGGGAAAGAAGCAAGGGACAACACGGACATGCTTAATGATTCCATTCCTATAACTTCAAATGACAGGCAACACTAACCTACCTTGTTGAAGAATGCATACTTAGGATATAAAACCACAGAGAAGAGCAAGGAAAGGACAATCAGAAAAGTCAGGATGTTGGTTTCCCCTTGCAGTAGGAGTGGGGCTGAGCTCAGGCAGGGACACCCCAGGAGGCTCTGGGGAATGCTGGCGGTGTTCTTCTCTGGGACCTAGGGGAGCGTTCCTGTGCAGGTGCACTGGACAATCATTTATTAAACTATGCACATAAACTGTGATGTTTTCTTTCTGTACGTTGCCTGCCACCATAAGCAGACAAAACAATAGTGCTAAGGGAAGTAACACTGCATTAAACAGGTAAGTATTTTATAACCAGAAGGATAACCAAAATTTTATTTTCTCTATTTATAGCAGATCTCCTTGCGAGTACTAATATCAGTTTATTGATAGTGATAGCTTGATTTCAAATTCTCATAGATTTCACCAAACATCGTAGGAACGATGCTTACATAATTGTGATATTAATTTCGATGTTTTGGTAAATATTTTATATTTGGGTGGCAAGTTTTCATTCAGAATTTGTGATTATGTGTTGGAACACCATGCACTTGGTACATTTTTCTCACGGGAGATTTGTCACCTCCCCATCCACTTATTCTCAGGGGCAGACGACTTAGGACCTGAGAAAAAGAAATTAAGGCAACAACATTAAGGGGCAGCAACGCAAATTTTTACCTTCATAGTTTATATCAGTTAATTGTGGTATACTCACATGATGGAATACCTTTTTTTTTTTTTTTTTTTGCAATGGAAATGTACGGGGTATTCTTAGGGATACTGTCCATTTTTAAGAAAAGTCCATTACCAAGATATAACAAATTACATAAAGTTAACTATCATATGATATTTATAAAGCATACTACACATATATACAAGTTTAGAAAACCAATCGACTGTGAATGAACTGTTGAGAAGTGAGGAAAACACGTATTGAGTACTGAGGTCAAGAAAGAGTACATTGCAGTTCTAGAGGTCTTATATGTATTTCATTGTGCTAAAGACACCAAATATGAAACTCTACATAATGTATGATTCCATTTGTAGAACATTCTTAAAACTGGAAAACTACACATACAGAAAACTAATCAGTCATTTCCAGGTCTGTGGATTGTGAGAAGTGTTTAACTACAAATGCGTGTTATTTGTTATTAGCAATTTCGACCCTCTTTATGTTGAAATGTAACATACATAGAGAGAAGTTCACAATATGTGTGTGTTGTTTAATAGTGATTATCAAGGGCATCTCTACAGAAACACCCCCATGTCACAGAGGAGAACACCGCCAGCATTCCCCAAAGCTCCTGGGGTGTCTCTGCCTGATCTCAGCCTCATTCCTCCTTCAAGAGGAAACCAACACATTTACTTTTGTGATCATTCTTTCCTCAGTTTTCTCTATGATTTTTGGTCCCACGTCCTATACTACATTCTTTTATCTTTTTTTTTTTTTCCTTTTTCTGGAGAACGGGGTCTCGCTATATTGCCCAGGCAGGTCTCGAACTCCTGGGCTCAAGCTATCCTCCCGCCTCTTGCCTCCCTGAGAGCTGGGATTACAGGCGTGAGCCACCGCGCCCGGCCTACATTCTTTTAATACTACAGTATGCCTGCAGACGACATGTTCCTAAATCTAGAAAACCCCACAGTCTCAGCCCCAAAGCTCCTTAAGCTGATAAACAACTTCAGCAAAGTCTCAGGATACCAAATCAATGGGAACAATCACTAACATTCCTATATGCCAACAACAGTCAAGCAGAGAGCCAAATCAGGAACACAGTCCCATTCATAATTGCCACACACACACACACACACACACACACACACACACACACACAAGATACCTGGGAATACACCACACCAGGGAGGTGAAAGATCTCTGCAAGAAGAACTACAAAACACTGCTCAAGGAAATCAGACATGTCACAAGCAAATGGAAAAACATTCATGCTCATGGATAGGAAGATCAATATAATTAAACTGGCCATACTGCCCAAAGCAATTTGCAGATTCAATGTGATTCCTAGTAAGTTATCATTGGCATTCTTCACAGAACTAGAAAAACTATTTTAAAATTCATATGGAACTGAAAAAGAGCCTGAGTGGCCAAGGCAATCCTAAGCGAAAAAGAACAAAGCTGGAGGCATCACGCTACCCGACTTCAAAATATACCACGGGCCCACAATAACCAAAACAGCATGGTACTGGTACAAAAGCAGACACGGAGTCCAATGGAACAGAATAGAGAGCCCAGAAATAAAGCCGCACACCTACAACTCTCTGATATTTGACAGACCTGACAAAAGCAAGCAATGGGGAAGGTATTCTCTGTTCGGCAAAGGGTGCTGAGATAACTGGCTAGCCATACATGGAAGACTGCAACTGGATCCCTTTCTTACACCAGGTACTGGTCTGTTCTCTTGCTGCTAATAAAGACATACCCGAGACTGGGTAATTTATAAAGTAAAGAAGTTTAATGGACTCACAGTTCCACATGCCTTGGGAGGCCTCACAATCGTGGCAGAAGGCGAAGGAAGAGCAGAGGTGTGTGTTCCATGGCGGCAGAAAAGACAGCATGTGCAGGGGAACTGCCCTTTATAAAACCATGAGAACTCATGAGACTTATTCGCTATCACGAGGACAGCACGGGAAAAATCCGTCCCCATGATTCAATTACCTCCCACCGGATCCCTCCCACAACACGTGGGGATCATGGGAGCTACAGCTCAAGAGGAGATTTGGGTGGGGACACAGCCAAAGTATATCATACCGTATACAACAATTAACTCAACATGGATTAAAGACTTAAATTAAAACCCCAAAATATAAAAACCATGGAAGACAACTTAGGCAATCATATTCTGGACACAGGAACGAGCAACGATTTCATGACGAAGACACCAAGAGCAATTACAACAAAAGCAAAAATTGACAAATGGGGTCTAATTAAGCTAAAGAGCAAGCTTCTACACACTAAAGGAAACTGTCAACAGAGTGAACAGAAAACCTACAGAATGGGAGAAAATTTTTGCAAACTGTGGATCTGACAAAGATCTAATATCCAGCATCTATAAGGAACTTAAACAAGTTCCACAAGAAAAATACCAAACAACCCCATTAAAAAGTGGGCAAAGGACATGAACAGACACTTTTCAAAAGAAGACATACATGCGGCCAACAATCCCATGAAAGAAAGCTCAACGTCACTGACCATTAGAGAAATGCAAATCAAAACCACAATGAGATACCATCTCACGCCAGTCAGAATGGCTATTACTACAAAGTAAAAGAATAATGGATACTGGCGAGGTTGCAGAGAAAAAGGAACACTTATACACTGTTGGTGAGAGTGTAAATTAGTTCAACCATTGTGGAAGACAATGTGGTGATTCCTCGAAGACCTAAAGACAGAAGTACCATTCAGCCCAGCAATCTCATTACTGGGCATATACCCAAAGGAATATAAATCATTCTATTATCAAGACACGTGCACGTGTATGTTCATTGCAGCACTATTCACAATAGCAAAGACATGGAATCCTAAATGCCCATCAATGGTAGACTGGATAAAGAAAATGTGGTACATATACACTATGGAATATTATGCAGCCATAAAAAGAATGAGATTAGGTCCTTTGCAGGAACGTGGTTGGATGGGGAGGCCATTATCCTTAGCAAACTAATGCAGGAACAGAAAACCAAATACCGCATCTTCCCACTTATAAGTGGGAGCTAAATGACGAGAACACAGGGACACAAAGAGGGGAACAACACACACCGGAGCCTATCGGACAGTGGAGGGTGGGAGGAGGGAGAGGACCGGGAAAGTAACAAATGGTACTAGGCTTAATCACTGGGTGACGAAATAATTTCTACAAGAAACCCCCACGACACAAGTTTACCTATGTAACAAACCTGTACGTGTACCCTCGAACTTAAAAAAAAAGTTAAATTCAAGAAATAATAATGATATGGCTTGGTGTTGACTGTTCTGTACTTTTATATTAGTGGAATCAGAAAATATGTTCATATTTCTTGCTTCTTGTGTTTAATGTCAGGAGTTTGGTTTCGGATGTTTAAATCTGAGATGTGTGTTAGGTATCCAAGTGGAGATGTTGAGTAGACGAAGGTCTGGCTCTGGGTTGAAAAAGTATCTATGAGAGTCATCATAGTATCGATATTTTTTTCCAGGGCCCACTCCAGAGATAGAAATTACACCACTTTTCTATTGAGTTATGTTAAAATACACGGAACATAAAATTTACCATCTTAAGCATTTTTCAGTGTTCAGTTCAGTAGTGTTAAATATATTCGCAGTTCTGTGCTGCCAATCTCCAGGATGTCTTCAACTGCAAAACTGAAATGTATACCCGCTAAACAACTCCTCGTTTTCCCCTGCCCCCCAGCCTCTGGAAACCACCACTCTACCTTCTGTTTCTGAGTTTGAATATTTTAGATCCCTTATACAGGTGGAACCATGTAGTATTTGTCCTTTTGTGACTGACTCATTTTATAGCATAATGTCCTAAAGTTTTATCCACATTGTAGCATTTATCAGAATTCCATCTTTTTATGGGCGAAATCATAATTCATTTTAATGGCCAAATAATAACTCACCATACTTTGTTTCTGTATTCATCCATCAGTGGACACTTGGGTTGCTTCCATCTCTTGGCTCTCATGAATAATGCTGCTATGAGCAGGGGTGTACAAACAGCACTTTGAGACTCTGATTTCTCTTCTTTTGGATATAGACACAGAATGGAATTACTGGATCATATGGTAATTCTCTTTTTAGTTTTCTGAGTAACTGCCATACTGTTTTCCACAGCAGCTGTGCCATTTTACATTCCCACCAACAGTGCACAAAGGTTCCAGTTTCTGCACATCTTCACCAGTATCACATCAGTTTTATTGAACAAATGGAATTTATTTCATTCCTTTGTATTTTATTTTTGTTTATTCGTAATGACACAATTGTATATATTTATAGTGCACAACATGATGCTTTGAAATACGTATACATTGTACAATGGCTAAATTAGGCTAACTACAATATGTATGAACTCACATACCTTTCATCTTTTGTGGTGAGAACACTTAAAACCTACCCTCTTAACAATTTTCAAGTATACATTATTATTAACTATAGTCACCTTGTTTACAATAGATCTCTTGAACTTAGACTTCTTGTCCAAATGAAGTTTTGTATCCTTTGACCAATATCTCCCCAATCCTTCCCAGCCCCAGACCCTGGTAACCACCATTCTATTCTCTGTTTCTAAAAAGTTTGATTTTTTAAGATTCCACATCGCAGTGAGATCATACAGTATTTGTCTTCCTGTGCCTGGCTTATTTCACTCGACATAATATATTCCAGATTCACTCATGTTGCCACAAATGACAGGATTTCCTTTTATTTTTTTAAAAAAGGCTCAATACTATTCTATTGTGTGTGCACATACACATGTGCTTTATCCATTCATCCATTTGATGGGCTCTTAGGTTCATTTCACGTCTTGGCTGTTGTGAACAGTGCTGCAATGTATATGTGAGTGCAGATATTTTTGACATACTGATTTCATTTCCTTTGGCCATATATCCAGTAGTGAGATTACCAAATTAAATGATAGTACTATTTATATTTCTTTAATTTTAATTTTTAATGGATACATAATATTTGCACATATATATGGTGTACATGTGGTATATTGTCACGTGCATAGAATGTATAATGATCAATTCAGGATATTTGGGGTAACCATCACCTGGAATACTTTTCATTCCTATGTATTGGGAACATTTCAAGTCCTCTCTTCTGGCTATTTTGAAATATACAATACATTGCCGTTAACTGTAGTCATCCTACTCTGCTGCTGAACATTAGAAGTTACTCTGTCTTTGTTTTTTTGGGGACTGGGTCT
This sequence comes from Homo sapiens, assembly GCF_000001405.40. Classification (NCBI taxonomy): domain Eukaryota; kingdom Metazoa; phylum Chordata; class Mammalia; order Primates; family Hominidae; genus Homo; species Homo sapiens. The sequence goes on from NC_000023.11 coordinate 71,733,453, forward strand.
CACTCTATTGTCCCAGGCTGGAGTGCAGCGGTGCAGTCACAACTCACTGCAGCCTCAACCTCCTGGGCTTAAGCGATCCTTCCACCTCAGCCTCCCGAGTAGCTGGGACGACAGGTGCGCCCCACCACGCCTGGCTAATTTTTTTTTTTTTTTTTTTTGTAGAGACTGGGTTTCACTATACTGTCCAGGCTGGTCTGGAACTCCTGAGCTCATGCGATCTGCCCGCCTCGACTTCTCAAAGTGCTGGGATTACAGGCATCAGCCACCATACCTGGCCTAGAACTTATTCCTTCTTTTCAACTATATGTTTGTACCTATTAACCAACTTCTCTTCTTCCCAACCCCTCGTCCTCCAATCCACACATCCTTCCCAGCCTCTCATATCTATCACTCTATTCTCTACCTCTATGAGATCAACTATTTTAGCTCCCTCATATGAGTGAGAACACACGGTATTTGTCTTTCTGTGCCTGGCTTATTTCACCTAACTTAATGACCACCGGGTCCATCCATGTTGCTGCAAATGAAAGGATTTCATTCTTTCTGTGGCTGAATCGTATTTCCTGTGTATATATGCCACATTTTCTTTATCCATTCATCCACTGATGGTTGATTCCATACCTTGGCTATTGTGATGAGTGCTGCAATAAGTATGGGAGTGTAGGTATCCCTTTGGTATACCAATTTCCTCTCTTTTGGATAAATACCCGGTAGTGGGATTGCTGGATAGTTGTACTTTTAGTGTTTTGAGAAGTCTCCATACTGTTTTTTTACAGTGGTTGTACTAATTTACATTCCCACCAACAGTGCATAAGGGTTCCCTTTTCTTCACATCCTCGCCAACACTTGTTCTCTTTTATCTTTCTGATAATAGCCATTTTAACAGGTGTGAAGTGATAGCTCATTGTGACATTTCCCTGATGATAAGTGATGTCGAGCATTTTCATACAACTGTTGACCATTTGTATGTCTTCTTTGGAGAAATGTCTATTCAGATCCTTTGCACGTTTTAAAATCAGGTGATTTGTTTTCTTGTTATTGAGTTGAGTTCCTTATGTATTTTGGATATTAACTCCTTATCAGATGTATAGTTTGTGAATATTTTCTCCCATTCTGTAGGTTGCCTCTTCACTCTGTTGATCGTTTCCTTTGTTGTGCAGAAGCCTTTCAGTTTGACGTAATCCCATTTCTCTATTCTTTCTTTGGTTGCTCATGCTTTTGGGGTCATAGCGGAAAGATTATCGCCCAGGTCAATGCCATGGATGTTTCTCGCTATGTTTTCTTCTGGCAGTTTACAGTTTCAGATCTTACGATTAAATCCGGAGTCCATTTTGACTTGATTTTTGTATATGATGTGAGACAAGGGTCCCATTTTATTCCTCTGCATGTGGATACTCCGTTTTCCCAAGACCATTTATTGAAGAGACAGTCCTTTCTACATTGTGTGTTCTTAGCATCTTTGTTGAAAGTCACTTGACCATAAGTGCATGGATTTTTTCTAGTCTATTATATTTGTCCATGTGTCTGTTTGTATGCCAGTACCATGCTGTTTTGATTACTCTAGCTTTTATTATATTTTGAGATCAGGTTGTGATTCCTCCAGCTTTGTTCTTCTTGCTCAAGATTGCCTTGGGTAACTGGAGTCTTTTGTGGTTCTCTGCGAATTTTAGGATTGCTTTTTCTGTTATGTAAAAATAGCATCGGAATTTTGATAGGGATTGCAGTGAGTCTGTTGATTGCTTTGAGTAGTATGGACATTTTAACAATATTGATTCTTCCAATCCATAATCATTGGATAGCTTTCCATTTATTTGTGGCTTCCTCAACTTCTTTCATCAGTGTTTTATAGTTTCCAGCGTACAGATCTTTCAACTCCTTGGTTGAATTTATTCCTAAGTAGTTTACATTATTTTTGAGAGCTACTGTGAATGGGATTGTTTTCTTGATTTCCTTTTCAGATAGTTTGCAATTAGTGTATGGAAATGCTACTGATTTGTGTATGTTGGCTTTGTATTTTGCAACTTTCCTTAAAATTCATTTGAATTTTAAGGTTTTTCATAAAATATTTTAAGATTTTAGATATATAAAATCATGTCATTGTCGTCTGCAGACAGAGATAATTTAAATTCTTATTTTTTTTCTTTTGCTTTTTGGGACAGGTTCTCTCTTTGTCACCCAGGCTGGAGTGCAGTGATGGGATCTCGGCTCACCGAAGCCTCGCCTTCCTGGGTTCAAGCGATTCTCATGCCTCAGCCCCCCAGGTAGCTGGGACTACAGTCGCATGCCACCACGCCCAGCTAACTTTTGTATTTTTGGTAGAGACAGGGTTTCGCCATGTTGCCCAGGCTGGTCTCGAACTCCTGGCCTCATGTGATTCACCATCCTCAGCCTCCCAAATGTTAGGATAACAGGTGTGAGCCACCGTGCCCAGAAACTTTTTATTTTCTGATTTGTGTGCTTTAAATTTTTCTCTCTTGCCTAAATTTTTTGGCTAAAATTTCCAGTACTATGTTGCATTGAAGTGGTGAAAGGGGGCATGTTTGTCTTGTTTCTGATACAGGTAGTATTAAAACCAGGGTCTTCCATCAGCTATGACAAGAGTGTAGTTAAAGGAAAGAATCAGACCAAGGACTGAGCCCGGGGGCTCTCTATTTGTTAGGATAAGAATTTGGGGAGAAGAGAACTTCCGCATAGCTGAACACATGGAAGTTCCTGGAGGGAGGTGCACCTGGAGAGGGCATGGAAGCTCCATGCCCCTTCCCACATACTGTGTCCTATGCATCTCTTTCATCTGGCTGTTCGTCCGTATCCTTTTTCCTTTGTCATGTTCTTCATAATAAATGGGTAAACATATTTACTAATCAGTGTTAAAACCCAACACGATACACTAACATGATTTTAGTGCACTTAGAGGAGAAATATTTCCTAGTTAAGGGGGAAATTGTGCAAAGGGCCTCTGGAAGACCTTCATTCTAAATTGCTTTGTAGGGAAACATTTCATTTAGAAGTCTGGACATTCTTTTTCAGTTTGCTGTAATCTACATTCACTGAGTAGAACTTGTATTGATCATTGGGACCCAGTTTATTCCAGGGTTCTGGGGGATTCTTTCTGTCCCAGCTAACACCTGGGTTAAACAGTGCCAGATGCAAGACATGCAGCCCTGCTCTGGTGCCTCCTGCTCACATATATACAAAGAGAGAGAGATCACACTCGAATGCTTCCTGGCCTGACCAAAGAGCTGGGGGAGCATCTGCGTAGCCTGGAAGGAGGGAAGAACAAATATTTCAGGCCCGGGTCTAAGTAATCCAATGCAGCATTTGATGTTTGGAGGAGACTTAGGCTATATAGAATTGAGTTAACAATACTCCTGGTTTCATAACATGCTACTCATGATTGATGTCAGGCCCTATTTGTTTATTTATTTTATAATATAGTGTTCTCCCATTTACCTATTACCCAATCCAAAAACTAGACTATTACCAGTAACTTACGTCCACCTCTGAGCTCCCCCTCACTGCATCCTCCTGACCCTCTTCACTCCCACTAGAAGCAACCCTAACCTAAATTGTGTACTTGGTATTTCTTTGATTTTTATTGCAAATAAGTACACACACACACACACACACACACACACACACACACACACACACACACATATATATATATATATATATATATATATATATATATATATATATATATATGTACTTATGGTTTTGGCTCACTGCAGCCTCAACCTCCCCAGCTCGTATATATATATAAATATATACTTATGATTTTGGCTCACTGCAGCCTCAACCTCCCCAGCTCAGGTGATTCTCCCACCTCAGCCTCCCGAGTACCTGGGAGCACAAACGCGCGCCGTGATGCCTGGCTAATTATTTGTAGAGATGGGGTGTAGCCATGTTGCGCAGGCTGGTCTCCTATTCCTGGACTCAACCACTCCACCCACGTCTGCCTCCCAAAGTGCTGAGATTACAGGCGTGAGCCGCTGCGCCTGGCAATTATACTGTTCAGTTTTGCTTGATTTTGAATTTTATGAAAAGGTTGTCATACTGCATGTAGTCTTGTGGTAACTGCTTTTTTCATACTTATACTAACATTGATCCATTGTTGAGCATAAAACTGCAGTTCACCCATTTGCCTTGCTACATAGTATATCATGGTATGCATACACCACAGTTTATCTACACATTCTCTTATTTGTGATCATTTGCATAGTTCCCAGGTTTTTTGCTACTGTGGTCAGTGCTGCTGTGAAATTCTTGTCCAGTGGACATTGACAGGAATTGCTGAGTTGTCAATGATCTACTTTATATATTGATGCCACATTGTTTTCCAAACTGGTTGTGTTCGTTTATATTCCCAACGTGTTGCAAGCTGTATGAGATCCCACTGCTCTGCATCCTCTCTAACCTTTGATGTTGCTAGGTTTCTAAATCTTTGCCAATCAAATGGGTACAAGATTTATCTTGAGGTCATGTTTAGCATTTCCCTGACTACTGATGAGCTGAGCATATCTTCATGTGTTTATTGGCCACATAGGTTCCTTCTTCTATGGAATTCCTGTTGATGATTTTTGCCTATTTTCTTACTGGGTTGTTTGTCTTTCTTACTGATTTCTAGGAGTTCTCAAAATATATTCTTGATAACCAATCTTTTGTCAATTGTATGCAGGATAAAGATCTTCTTCCAGCTTGTACCATGTATTTCCACTTTTATATGACATCTTTTAAAAGTTGAGGTGTAACAGGCCGGGCACAGTGGCTCACGCCTGTAATCCCAGCACTTTGGGAGGCCGAGGCAGGTGGATCACTTGAGGCCAGGAGTTCGAGACCAGCCTGACCAACATGGTGAAACCCCATCTCTACAAAAATAAAAAATTAGCCAGGCTTGGGGTTGGGCACCTGTAATCTCAGCTACTTGGGAGGCTGAGGCAGGAGAATCGCTTGAACCCAGGAGACGGAGGGTGCAATGAGCTAAGATGGAGCCATTGCACTCCAGCCTGGGTTACAAGAGCAAAACGCCGTCTCAAAAAAAAAATAAAATAAATAATAAAATAAAATAAATTGAGGGTTAACATGCATACGACAAATCACAGAAACTTAAGTGTACAATCTTAACACAGATCTACACCCATGTAACCGCCATCCAGATCAAAATAGAGAACATTTTCAACATCCTCGCATCCCTAAAAAGAGAATTTTGAGAGAAGATGAGGAACCAGTAAAGAAGATTGAGGAGTGACCACTGAGATTGGAATAAACCCAATGTCTTCTCCTCCTGGCAATGGCAGACTAGACAATTCAGATAAACCCTCTGTGTTGGCCATCTGTTAGTTGGCCATCTGGTTTAACTCAATCTACAGCCTCCCCCCGTCTCTCTGATGATTGGGCAGATATCACATAGTTCAATGGCCCAACCCTCTAGTCATATGGTTGGTCTTCCTAGTATGGCCAGCCTCCATTCAGAGTCATCTCATTACATAAACTATCTAGGGGCCTCCCATGATTCACCTCATTAGCATAAACCATGTAGTGTGGTCCGTGGGGCTCACCAGGAATGACAAAGGCATGCCCATCACTCAGGAAATTGCAAGGGATTAGAGGTTATCTCCCAGGACTCAGGGACAAGGTCCAGGCAAATTCTTTATTATACATTAAGTGCACAGAAAAATGCACATTATAGAAAAAATTCATCTTATTGGGATCTTTCCAGATCCTGGGAATATAGAAATATACTGCTATGGTTCGGATATGATTGGTCTGTCCCCGCCAAAACTCATGTGGAAATTGGATCCCCAATGTGGTGGTGTTGGGAGATGGGGCCTTGTGGGAGGTGTTTGGGTCATGGAGACAGATCCCTCATGAACAGCTTGCTGCCGTTCTGGAGGTAGTGAGTGAGTACTGGCTCTGGTGAGACTGGATTAGTGCCCATAACGGTAGGTTTCTTATAAAGCCAGCATGCCCCTCGGGTTTTCCCTCTTTGCATGTGTCTGCTTCTCCTTTGGCCTTCTCCACTATGTTTTGGCCTAGGAGGTGGCTGTCACCAGAAGCTGAGGAGTTACGGGTGCCATGCCTCTCCTACTTCCCAGCTTGCTGAACCATGAGCTAAGTCAATCTCTTTTATATCTATATTACATATCTAAATAATATATAGATATAGAATATATCTGTATATTATATAGATATAGAATACATCTCCATACTATATAGATATAGAATACGTCTCTATACTATATAGACATAGAATACGTCTCCATACAACACAGACATAGAATACGTCTCTATACTACATAGACATAGAATACGTCTCTATACTACATGGACATAGAATACGTCTCTATACTACATGGACATAGAATACGTCTCTATACTACATGGACATAGAATACGTCTCTATACTACATGGACATAGAATACGTCTCTATACTACATGGACATAGAATACGTCTCTATACTACATGGACATAGAATACGTCTCTATACTACATGGACATAGAATACGTCTCTATACTACATGGACATAGAATACGTCTCTATACTACATGGACATAGAATACGTCTCTATACTACATGGACATAGAATACGTCTCTATACTACATGGACATAGAATACGTCTCTATACTACATGGACATAGAATACGTCTCTATACTACATGGACATAGAATACGTCTCTATACTACATGGACATAGAATACGTCTCTATACTACATGGACATAGAATACGTCTCTATACTACATGGACATAGAATACGTCTCTATACTACATGGACATAGAATACGTCTCTATACTACATGGACATAGAATACGTCTCTATACTACATGGACATAGAATACGTCTCTATACTACATGGACATAGAATACGTCTCTATACTACATGGACATAGAATACGTCTCTATACTACATGGATATAGAATATGTCTCTATATTATATGGATATAGAATATGTCTATATTATATAGATATAGAATATGTCTATATTATATAGATATAGAATATGTCTCTATACTATATAGATATAGAATATGTCTCTATACCATACAGATATAGAATATGTCTCTATATTATATAGATATAGAATATGTCTCTATATTATATATATAGAATAAACAGATATAGAATATATCTATATATTATATCTATATAATATATAGATATAGAATATATCTATATAATATATAGATATAGAATATATCTATATTATATATCTATAAAATATATAGAATATATATAACTATATAATACATAGAATATATCTATATATCTACATAATATAAAGATATATATCTATATATCTATATAGCATATATATATCTAGATATATGCTATATAGATGTATAGATATATATATCTATATTATAAGTTTTTGTAGAAATAGGGTCTCTATATCTAATATAGATATATTATATAGATATATATCTTTATATTATGTAGATATATAGATATATTCTATATATTATATAGTTATATATATTCTATATATTTTATAGATATATAATATAGATATATTACATATCTATATATTATATAGATATATTCTATATCTATATATTATATAGATATAATATATAGATATATTCTATATCTGTTTATTCTATATATATAATATAGAGACATATTCTATATCTGTATGGTATAGAGACATATTCTATATCTATATAGTATAGAGACATATTCTATATCTATATAATATAGACATATTCTATATCTATATAATATAGACATATTCTATATCCATATAATATAGAGACATATTCTATATCCATGTAGTATAGAGACGTATTCTATGTCCATGTAGTATAGAGACGTATTCTATGTCCATGTAGTATAGAGACGTATTCTATGTCCATGTAGTATAGAGACGTATTCTATGTCCATGTAGTATAGAGACGTATTCTATGTCCATGTAGTATAGAGACGTATTCTATGTCCATGTAGTATAGAGACGTATTCTATGTCCATGTAGTATAGAGACGTATTCTATGTCCATGTAGTATAGAGACGTATTCTATGTCCATGTAGTATAGAGACGTATTCTATGTCCATGTAGTATAGAGACGTATTCTATGTCCATGTAGTATAGAGACGTATTCTATGTCCATGTAGTATAGAGACGTATTCTATGTCCATGTAGTATAGAGACGTATTCTATGTCCATGTAGTATAGAGACGTATTCTATGTCCATGTAGTATAGAGACGTATTCTATGTCCATGTAGTATAGAGACGTATTCTATGTCCATGTAGTATAGAGACGTATTCTATGTCCATGTAGTATAGAGACGTATTCTATGTCCATGTAGTATAGAGACGTATTCTATGTCTATGTAGTATAGAGACGTATTCTATGTCTGTGTTGTATGGAGACGTATTCTATGTCTATATAGTATAGAGACGTATTCTATATCTATATAGTATGGAGATGTATTCTATATCTATATAATATACAGATATATTCTATATCTATATATTATTTAGATATGTAATATAGATATAAAAGAGATTGACTTAGCTCATGGTTCAGCAAGCTGGGAAGTAGGAGAGGCATGGCACCCGTAACTCCTCAGCTTCTGGTGACAGCCACCTCCTAGGCCAAAACATAGTGGAGAAGGCCAAAGGAGAAGCAGACACATGCAAAGAGGGAAAACCCGAGGGGCATGCTGGCTTTATAAGAAACCTACCGTTATGGGCACTAATCCAGTCTCACCAGAGCCAGTACTCACTCACTACCTCCAGAACGGCAGCAAGCTGTTCATGAGGGATCTGTCTCCATGACCCAAACACCTCCCACAAGGCCCCATCTCCCAACACCACCACATTGGGGATCCAATTTCCACATGAGTTTTGGCGGGGACAGACCAATCATATCCGAACCATAGCAGTATATTTCTATATTCCCAGGATCTGGAAAGATCCCAATAAGATGAATTTTTTCTATAATGTGCATTTTTCTGTGCACTTAATGTATAATAAAGAATTTGCCTGGACCTTGTCCCTGAGTCCTGGGAGATAACCTCTAATCCCTTGCAATTTCCTGAGTGATGGGCATGCCTTTGTCATTCCTGGTGAGCCCCACGGACCACACTACATGGTTTATGCTAATGAGGTGAATCATGGGAGGCCCCTAGATAGTTTATGTAATGAGATGACTCTGAATGGAGGCTGGCCATACTAGGAAGACCAACCATATGACTAGAGGGTTGGGCCATTGAACTATGTGATATCTGCCCAATCATCAGAGAGACGGGGGGAGGCTGTAGATTGAGTTAAACCAGATGGCCAACTAACAGATGGCCAACACAGAGGGTTTATCTGAATTGTCTAGTCTGCCATTGCCAGGAGGAGAAGACATTGGGTTTATTCCAATCTCAGTGGTCACTCCTCAATCTTCTTTACTGGTTCCTCATCTTCTCTCAAAATTCTCTTTTTAGGGATGCGAGGATGTTGAAAATGTTCTCTATTTTGATCTGGATGGCGGTTACATGGGTGTAGATCTGTGTTAAGATTGTACACTTAAGTTTCTGTGATTTGTCGTATGCATGTTAACCCTCAATTTATTTTATTTTATTATTTATTTTATTTTTTTTTTGAGACGGCGTTTTGCTCTTGTAACCCAGGCTGGAGTGCAATGGCTCCATCTTAGCTCATTGCACCCTCCGTCTCCTGGGTTCAAGCGATTCTCCTGCCTCAGCCTCCCAAGTAGCTGAGATTACAGGTGCCCAACCCCAAGCCTGGCTAATTTTTTATTTTTGTAGAGATGGGGTTTCACCATGTTGGTCAGGCTGGTCTCGAACTCCTGGCCTCAAGTGATCCACCTGCCTCGGCCTCCCAAAGTGCTGGGATTACAGGCGTGAGCCACTGTGCCCGGCCTGTTACACCTCAACTTTTAAAAGATGTCATATAAAAGTGGAAATACATGGTACAAGCTGGAAGAAGATCTTTATCCTGCATACAATTGACAAAAGATTGGTTATCAAGAATATATTTTGAGAACTCCTAGAAATCAGTAAGAAAGACAAACAACCCAGTAAGAAAATAGGCAAAAATCATCAACAGGAATTCCATAGAAGAAGGAACCTATGTGGCCAATAAACACATGAAGATATGCTCAGCTCATCAGTAGTCAGGGAAATGCTAAACATGACCTCAAGATAAATCTTGTACCCATTTGATTGGCAAAGATTTAGAAACCTAGCAACATCAAAGGTTAGAGAGGATGCAGAGCAGTGGGATCTCATACAGCTTGCAACACGTTGGGAATATAAACGAACACAACCAGTTTGGAAAACAATGTGGCATCAATATATAAAGTAGATCATTGACAACTCAGCAATTCCTGTCAATGTCCACTGGACAAGAATTTCACAGCAGCACTGACCACAGTAGCAAAAAACCTGGGAACTATGCAAATGATCACAAATAAGAGAATGTGTAGATAAACTGTGGTGTATGCATACCATGATATACTATGTAGCAAGGCAAATGGGTGAACTGCAGTTTTATGCTCAACAATGGATCAATGTTAGTATAAGTATGAAAAAAGCAGTTACCACAAGACTACATGCAGTATGACAACCTTTTCATAAAATTCAAAATCAAGCAAAACTGAACAGTATAATTGCCAGGCGCAGCGGCTCACGCCTGTAATCTCAGCACTTTGGGAGGCAGACGTGGGTGGAGTGGTTGAGTCCAGGAATAGGAGACCAGCCTGCGCAACATGGCTACACCCCATCTCTACAAATAATTAGCCAGGCATCACGGCGCGCGTTTGTGCTCCCAGGTACTCGGGAGGCTGAGGTGGGAGAATCACCTGAGCTGGGGAGGTTGAGGCTGCAGTGAGCCAAAATCATAAGTATATATTTATATATATATACGAGCTGGGGAGGTTGAGGCTGCAGTGAGCCAAAACCATAAGTACATATATATATATATATATATATATATATATATATATATATATATATATGTGTGTGTGTGTGTGTGTGTGTGTGTGTGTGTGTGTGTGTGTGTGTACTTATTTGCAATAAAAATCAAAGAAATACCAAGTACACAATTTAGGTTAGGGTTGCTTCTAGTGGGAGTGAAGAGGGTCAGGAGGATGCAGTGAGGGGGAGCTCAGAGGTGGACGTAAGTTACTGGTAATAGTCTAGTTTTTGGATTGGGTAATAGGTAAATGGGAGAACACTATATTATAAAATAAATAAACAAATAGGGCCTGACATCAATCATGAGTAGCATGTTATGAAACCAGGAGTATTGTTAACTCAATTCTATATAGCCTAAGTCTCCTCCAAACATCAAATGCTGCATTGGATTACTTAGACCCGGGCCTGAAATATTTGTTCTTCCCTCCTTCCAGGCTACGCAGATGCTCCCCCAGCTCTTTGGTCAGGCCAGGAAGCATTCGAGTGTGATCTCTCTCTCTTTGTATATATGTGAGCAGGAGGCACCAGAGCAGGGCTGCATGTCTTGCATCTGGCACTGTTTAACCCAGGTGTTAGCTGGGACAGAAAGAATCCCCCAGAACCCTGGAATAAACTGGGTCCCAATGATCAATACAAGTTCTACTCAGTGAATGTAGATTACAGCAAACTGAAAAAGAATGTCCAGACTTCTAAATGAAATGTTTCCCTACAAAGCAATTTAGAATGAAGGTCTTCCAGAGGCCCTTTGCACAATTTCCCCCTTAACTAGGAAATATTTCTCCTCTAAGTGCACTAAAATCATGTTAGTGTATCGTGTTGGGTTTTAACACTGATTAGTAAATATGTTTACCCATTTATTATGAAGAACATGACAAAGGAAAAAGGATACGGACGAACAGCCAGATGAAAGAGATGCATAGGACACAGTATGTGGGAAGGGGCATGGAGCTTCCATGCCCTCTCCAGGTGCACCTCCCTCCAGGAACTTCCATGTGTTCAGCTATGCGGAAGTTCTCTTCTCCCCAAATTCTTATCCTAACAAATAGAGAGCCCCCGGGCTCAGTCCTTGGTCTGATTCTTTCCTTTAACTACACTCTTGTCATAGCTGATGGAAGACCCTGGTTTTAATACTACCTGTATCAGAAACAAGACAAACATGCCCCCTTTCACCACTTCAATGCAACATAGTACTGGAAATTTTAGCCAAAAAATTTAGGCAAGAGAGAAAAATTTAAAGCACACAAATCAGAAAATAAAAAGTTTCTGGGCACGGTGGCTCACACCTGTTATCCTAACATTTGGGAGGCTGAGGATGGTGAATCACATGAGGCCAGGAGTTCGAGACCAGCCTGGGCAACATGGCGAAACCCTGTCTCTACCAAAAATACAAAAGTTAGCTGGGCGTGGTGGCATGCGACTGTAGTCCCAGCTACCTGGGGGGCTGAGGCATGAGAATCGCTTGAACCCAGGAAGGCGAGGCTTCGGTGAGCCGAGATCCCATCACTGCACTCCAGCCTGGGTGACAAAGAGAGAACCTGTCCCAAAAAGCAAAAGAAAAAAAATAAGAATTTAAATTATCTCTGTCTGCAGACGACAATGACATGATTTTATATATCTAAAATCTTAAAATATTTTATGAAAAACCTTAAAATTCAAATGAATTTTAAGGAAAGTTGCAAAATACAAAGCCAACATACACAAATCAGTAGCATTTCCATACACTAATTGCAAACTATCTGAAAAGGAAATCAAGAAAACAATCCCATTCACAGTAGCTCTCAAAAATAATGTAAACTACTTAGGAATAAATTCAACCAAGGAGTTGAAAGATCTGTACGCTGGAAACTATAAAACACTGATGAAAGAAGTTGAGGAAGCCACAAATAAATGGAAAGCTATCCAATGATTATGGATTGGAAGAATCAATATTGTTAAAATGTCCATACTACTCAAAGCAATCAACAGACTCACTGCAATCCCTATCAAAATTCCGATGCTATTTTTACATAACAGAAAAAGCAATCCTAAAATTCGCAGAGAACCACAAAAGACTCCAGTTACCCAAGGCAATCTTGAGCAAGAAGAACAAAGCTGGAGGAATCACAACCTGATCTCAAAATATAATAAAAGCTAGAGTAATCAAAACAGCATGGTACTGGCATACAAACAGACACATGGACAAATATAATAGACTAGAAAAAATCCATGCACTTATGGTCAAGTGACTTTCAACAAAGATGCTAAGAACACACAATGTAGAAAGGACTGTCTCTTCAATAAATGGTCTTGGGAAAACGGAGTATCCACATGCAGAGGAATAAAATGGGACCCTTGTCTCACATCATATACAAAAATCAAGTCAAAATGGACTCCGGATTTAATCGTAAGATCTGAAACTGTAAACTGCCAGAAGAAAACATAGCGAGAAACATCCATGGCATTGACCTGGGCGATAATCTTTCCGCTATGACCCCAAAAGCATGAGCAACCAAAGAAAGAATAGAGAAATGGGATTACGTCAAACTGAAAGGCTTCTGCACAACAAAGGAAACGATCAACAGAGTGAAGAGGCAACCTACAGAATGGGAGAAAATATTCACAAACTATACATCTGATAAGGAGTTAATATCCAAAATACATAAGGAACTCAACTCAATAACAAGAAAACAAATCACCTGATTTTAAAACGTGCAAAGGATCTGAATAGACATTTCTCCAAAGAAGACATACAAATGGTCAACAGTTGTATGAAAATGCTCGACATCACTTATCATCAGGGAAATGTCACAATGAGCTATCACTTCACACCTGTTAAAATGGCTATTATCAGAAAGATAAAAGAGAACAAGTGTTGGCGAGGATGTGAAGAAAAGGGAACCCTTATGCACTGTTGGTGGGAATGTAAATTAGTACAACCACTGTAAAAAAACAGTATGGAGACTTCTCAAAACACTAAAAGTACAACTATCCAGCAATCCCACTACCGGGTATTTATCCAAAAGAGAGGAAATTGGTATACCAAAGGGATACCTACACTCCCATACTTATTGCAGCACTCATCACAATAGCCAAGGTATGGAATCAACCATCAGTGGATGAATGGATAAAGAAAATGTGGCATATATACACAGGAAATACGATTCAGCCACAGAAAGAATGAAATCCTTTCATTTGCAGCAACATGGATGGACCCGGTGGTCATTAAGTTAGGTGAAATAAGCCAGGCACAGAAAGACAAATACCGTGTGTTCTCACTCATATGAGGGAGCTAAAATAGTTGATCTCATAGAGGTAGAGAATAGAGTGATAGATATGAGAGGCTGGGAAGGATGTGTGGATTGGAGGACGAGGGGTTGGGAAGAAGAGAAGTTGGTTAATAGGTACAAACATATAGTTGAAAAGAAGGAATAAGTTCTAGGCCAGGTATGGTGGCTGATGCCTGTAATCCCAGCACTTTGAGAAGTCGAGGCGGGCAGATCGCATGAGCTCAGGAGTTCCAGACCAGCCTGGACAGTATAGTGAAACCCAGTCTCTACAAAAAAAAAAAAAAAAAAAATTAGCCAGGCGTGGTGGGGCGCACCTGTCGTCCCAGCTACTCGGGAGGCTGAGGTGGAAGGATCGCTTAAGCCCAGGAGGTTGAGGCTGCAGTGAGTTGTGACTGCACCGCTGCACTCCAGCCTGGGACAATAGAGTGAGACCCAGTCCCCAAAAAAACAAAGACAGAGTAACTTCTAATGTTCAGCAGCAGAGTAGGATGACTACAGTTAACGGCAATGTATTGTATATTTCAAAATAGCCAGAAGAGAGGACTTGAAATGTTCCCAATACATAGGAATGAAAAGTATTCCAGGTGATGGTTACCCCAAATATCCTGAATTGATCATTATACATTCTATGCACGTGACAATATACCACATGTACACCATATATATGTGCAAATATTATGTATCCATTAAAAATTAAAATTAAAGAAATATAAATAGTACTATCATTTAATTTGGTAATCTCACTACTGGATATATGGCCAAAGGAAATGAAATCAGTATGTCAAAAATATCTGCACTCACATATACATTGCAGCACTGTTCACAACAGCCAAGACGTGAAATGAACCTAAGAGCCCATCAAATGGATGAATGGATAAAGCACATGTGTATGTGCACACACAATAGAATAGTATTGAGCCTTTTTTAAAAAAATAAAAGGAAATCCTGTCATTTGTGGCAACATGAGTGAATCTGGAATATATTATGTCGAGTGAAATAAGCCAGGCACAGGAAGACAAATACTGTATGATCTCACTGCGATGTGGAATCTTAAAAAATCAAACTTTTTAGAAACAGAGAATAGAATGGTGGTTACCAGGGTCTGGGGCTGGGAAGGATTGGGGAGATATTGGTCAAAGGATACAAAACTTCATTTGGACAAGAAGTCTAAGTTCAAGAGATCTATTGTAAACAAGGTGACTATAGTTAATAATAATGTATACTTGAAAATTGTTAAGAGGGTAGGTTTTAAGTGTTCTCACCACAAAAGATGAAAGGTATGTGAGTTCATACATATTGTAGTTAGCCTAATTTAGCCATTGTACAATGTATACGTATTTCAAAGCATCATGTTGTGCACTATAAATATATACAATTGTGTCATTACGAATAAACAAAAATAAAATACAAAGGAATGAAATAAATTCCATTTGTTCAATAAAACTGATGTGATACTGGTGAAGATGTGCAGAAACTGGAACCTTTGTGCACTGTTGGTGGGAATGTAAAATGGCACAGCTGCTGTGGAAAACAGTATGGCAGTTACTCAGAAAACTAAAAAGAGAATTACCATATGATCCAGTAATTCCATTCTGTGTCTATATCCAAAAGAAGAGAAATCAGAGTCTCAAAGTGCTGTTTGTACACCCCTGCTCATAGCAGCATTATTCATGAGAGCCAAGAGATGGAAGCAACCCAAGTGTCCACTGATGGATGAATACAGAAACAAAGTATGGTGAGTTATTATTTGGCCATTAAAATGAATTATGATTTCGCCCATAAAAAGATGGAATTCTGATAAATGCTACAATGTGGATAAAACTTTAGGACATTATGCTATAAAATGAGTCAGTCACAAAAGGACAAATACTACATGGTTCCACCTGTATAAGGGATCTAAAATATTCAAACTCAGAAACAGAAGGTAGAGTGGTGGTTTCCAGAGGCTGGGGGGCAGGGGAAAACGAGGAGTTGTTTAGCGGGTATACATTTCAGTTTTGCAGTTGAAGACATCCTGGAGATTGGCAGCACAGAACTGCGAATATATTTAACACTACTGAACTGAACACTGAAAAATGCTTAAGATGGTAAATTTTATGTTCCGTGTATTTTAACATAACTCAATAGAAAAGTGGTGTAATTTCTATCTCTGGAGTGGGCCCTGGAAAAAAATATCGATACTATGATGACTCTCATAGATACTTTTTCAACCCAGAGCCAGACCTTCGTCTACTCAACATCTCCACTTGGATACCTAACACACATCTCAGATTTAAACATCCGAAACCAAACTCCTGACATTAAACACAAGAAGCAAGAAATATGAACATATTTTCTGATTCCACTAATATAAAAGTACAGAACAGTCAACACCAAGCCATATCATTATTATTTCTTGAATTTAACTTTTTTTTTAAGTTCGAGGGTACACGTACAGGTTTGTTACATAGGTAAACTTGTGTCGTGGGGGTTTCTTGTAGAAATTATTTCGTCACCCAGTGATTAAGCCTAGTACCATTTGTTACTTTCCCGGTCCTCTCCCTCCTCCCACCCTCCACTGTCCGATAGGCTCCGGTGTGTGTTGTTCCCCTCTTTGTGTCCCTGTGTTCTCGTCATTTAGCTCCCACTTATAAGTGGGAAGATGCGGTATTTGGTTTTCTGTTCCTGCATTAGTTTGCTAAGGATAATGGCCTCCCCATCCAACCACGTTCCTGCAAAGGACCTAATCTCATTCTTTTTATGGCTGCATAATATTCCATAGTGTATATGTACCACATTTTCTTTATCCAGTCTACCATTGATGGGCATTTAGGATTCCATGTCTTTGCTATTGTGAATAGTGCTGCAATGAACATACACGTGCACGTGTCTTGATAATAGAATGATTTATATTCCTTTGGGTATATGCCCAGTAATGAGATTGCTGGGCTGAATGGTACTTCTGTCTTTAGGTCTTCGAGGAATCACCACATTGTCTTCCACAATGGTTGAACTAATTTACACTCTCACCAACAGTGTATAAGTGTTCCTTTTTCTCTGCAACCTCGCCAGTATCCATTATTCTTTTACTTTGTAGTAATAGCCATTCTGACTGGCGTGAGATGGTATCTCATTGTGGTTTTGATTTGCATTTCTCTAATGGTCAGTGACGTTGAGCTTTCTTTCATGGGATTGTTGGCCGCATGTATGTCTTCTTTTGAAAAGTGTCTGTTCATGTCCTTTGCCCACTTTTTAATGGGGTTGTTTGGTATTTTTCTTGTGGAACTTGTTTAAGTTCCTTATAGATGCTGGATATTAGATCTTTGTCAGATCCACAGTTTGCAAAAATTTTCTCCCATTCTGTAGGTTTTCTGTTCACTCTGTTGACAGTTTCCTTTAGTGTGTAGAAGCTTGCTCTTTAGCTTAATTAGACCCCATTTGTCAATTTTTGCTTTTGTTGTAATTGCTCTTGGTGTCTTCGTCATGAAATCGTTGCTCGTTCCTGTGTCCAGAATATGATTGCCTAAGTTGTCTTCCATGGTTTTTATATTTTGGGGTTTTAATTTAAGTCTTTAATCCATGTTGAGTTAATTGTTGTATACGGTATGATATACTTTGGCTGTGTCCCCACCCAAATCTCCTCTTGAGCTGTAGCTCCCATGATCCCCACGTGTTGTGGGAGGGATCCGGTGGGAGGTAATTGAATCATGGGGACGGATTTTTCCCGTGCTGTCCTCGTGATAGCGAATAAGTCTCATGAGTTCTCATGGTTTTATAAAGGGCAGTTCCCCTGCACATGCTGTCTTTTCTGCCGCCATGGAACACACACCTCTGCTCTTCCTTCGCCTTCTGCCACGATTGTGAGGCCTCCCAAGGCATGTGGAACTGTGAGTCCATTAAACTTCTTTACTTTATAAATTACCCAGTCTCGGGTATGTCTTTATTAGCAGCAAGAGAACAGACCAGTACCTGGTGTAAGAAAGGGATCCAGTTGCAGTCTTCCATGTATGGCTAGCCAGTTATCTCAGCACCCTTTGCCGAACAGAGAATACCTTCCCCATTGCTTGCTTTTGTCAGGTCTGTCAAATATCAGAGAGTTGTAGGTGTGCGGCTTTATTTCTGGGCTCTCTATTCTGTTCCATTGGACTCCGTGTCTGCTTTTGTACCAGTACCATGCTGTTTTGGTTATTGTGGGCCCGTGGTATATTTTGAAGTCGGGTAGCGTGATGCCTCCAGCTTTGTTCTTTTTCGCTTAGGATTGCCTTGGCCACTCAGGCTCTTTTTCAGTTCCATATGAATTTTAAAATAGTTTTTCTAGTTCTGTGAAGAATGCCAATGATAACTTACTAGGAATCACATTGAATCTGCAAATTGCTTTGGGCAGTATGGCCAGTTTAATTATATTGATCTTCCTATCCATGAGCATGAATGTTTTTCCATTTGCTTGTGACATGTCTGATTTCCTTGAGCAGTGTTTTGTAGTTCTTCTTGCAGAGATCTTTCACCTCCCTGGTGTGGTGTATTCCCAGGTATCTTGTGTGTGTGTGTGTGTGTGTGTGTGTGTGTGTGTGTGGCAATTATGAATGGGACTGTGTTCCTGATTTGGCTCTCTGCTTGACTGTTGTTGGCATATAGGAATGTTAGTGATTGTTCCCATTGATTTGGTATCCTGAGACTTTGCTGAAGTTGTTTATCAGCTTAAGGAGCTTTGGGGCTGAGACTGTGGGGTTTTCTAGATTTAGGAACATGTCGTCTGCAGGCATACTGTAGTATTAAAAGAATGTAGGCCGGGCGCGGTGGCTCACGCCTGTAATCCCAGCTCTCAGGGAGGCAAGAGGCGGGAGGATAGCTTGAGCCCAGGAGTTCGAGACCTGCCTGGGCAATATAGCGAGACCCCGTTCTCCAGAAAAAGGAAAAAAAAAAAAAGATAAAAGAATGTAGTATAGGACGTGGGACCAAAAATCATAGAGAAAACTGAGGAAAGAATGATCACAAAAGTAAATGTGTTGGTTTCCTCTTGAAGGAGGAATGAGGCTGAGATCAGGCAGAGACACCCCAGGAGCTTTGGGGAATGCTGGCGGTGTTCTCCTCTGTGACATGGGGGTGTTTCTGTAGAGATGCCCTTGATAATCACTATTAAACAACACACACATATTGTGAACTTCTCTCTATGTATGTTACATTTCAACATAAAGAGGGTCGAAATTGCTAATAACAAATAACACGCATTTGTAGTTAAACACTTCTCACAATCCACAGACCTGGAAATGACTGATTAGTTTTCTGTATGTGTAGTTTTCCAGTTTTAAGAATGTTCTACAAATGGAATCATACATTATGTAGAGTTTCATATTTGGTGTCTTTAGCACAATGAAATACATATAAGACCTCTAGAACTGCAATGTACTCTTTCTTGACCTCAGTACTCAATACGTGTTTTCCTCACTTCTCAACAGTTCATTCACAGTCGATTGGTTTTCTAAACTTGTATATATGTGTAGTATGCTTTATAAATATCATATGATAGTTAACTTTATGTAATTTGTTATATCTTGGTAATGGACTTTTCTTAAAAATGGACAGTATCCCTAAGAATACCCCGTACATTTCCATTGCAAAAAAAAAAAAAAAAAAAGGTATTCCATCATGTGAGTATACCACAATTAACTGATATAAACTATGAAGGTAAAAATTTGCGTTGCTGCCCCTTAATGTTGTTGCCTTAATTTCTTTTTCTCAGGTCCTAAGTCGTCTGCCCCTGAGAATAAGTGGATGGGGAGGTGACAAATCTCCCGTGAGAAAAATGTACCAAGTGCATGGTGTTCCAACACATAATCACAAATTCTGAATGAAAACTTGCCACCCAAATATAAAATATTTACCAAAACATCGAAATTAATATCACAATTATGTAAGCATCGTTCCTACGATGTTTGGTGAAATCTATGAGAATTTGAAATCAAGCTATCACTATCAATAAACTGATATTAGTACTCGCAAGGAGATCTGCTATAAATAGAGAAAATAAAATTTTGGTTATCCTTCTGGTTATAAAATACTTACCTGTTTAATGCAGTGTTACTTCCCTTAGCACTATTGTTTTGTCTGCTTATGGTGGCAGGCAACGTACAGAAAGAAAACATCACAGTTTATGTGCATAGTTTAATAAATGATTGTCCAGTGCACCTGCACAGGAACGCTCCCCTAGGTCCCAGAGAAGAACACCGCCAGCATTCCCCAGAGCCTCCTGGGGTGTCCCTGCCTGAGCTCAGCCCCACTCCTACTGCAAGGGGAAACCAACATCCTGACTTTTCTGATTGTCCTTTCCTTGCTCTTCTCTGTGGTTTTATATCCTAAGTATGCATTCTTCAACAAGGTAGGTTAGTGTTGCCTGTCATTTGAAGTTATAGGAATGGAATCATTAAGCATGTCCGTGTTGTCCCTTGCTTCTTTCCCTCGATGTTATCTTTGTAAGATTCGCGCCTATTATTCCATGGAGGAGTACTTTGTACTTCGTACTTTTCCGTTGCTGAAATAGTATTCCATTGTATTAACATACCACAATGTATTCATTCCGTCCCATGAAAGTTGCGATTTTCATGGTTTCCCATATTTGGAACTGGATGATCACAAAAATACTACTCATAAACCCTTGTCGGCACCAGTAAAGGAGTCCTGAGAGGGACGTGTAGGCTGCTAAAAGCACATATTTAAAAGAGGATCGCAGACAATTAACGAGAAAACGTTCAAAAAAGAAGCCCAACGTAAGACCAAGGAAAGTAGAAGGAGGTCATCAAGGTAAAAGGAGAAATCAGTGAAAGCGAAAACAAGCATAAGGATCACAAAACCAGAAGCTGGGTGTTTGGAAGAGGAATGAAATTGGTAAAACTCTTGTGAGACTGGTCAAGAAAACAAGGGAGAAGGGCACCGCTATCAGGAAAGAAAAGGGAGAAATAAGCACAAACGATGTTACGTCCGTTCTCGTGTTGCTATATAGAAATATCCAAGACCGAGTCATTTATAAAGAGAAGAGCTCATGGTTCTGCAGGCTGTACGGGAAGGGAAGCATAGCGGCTTCTGCTTCTGGGAGGACTCAGGAAGCTTGCAATCACGGCGGAAGGTGAAACAGAAGCAGGTACCTGTTACATGATAGGAGCAGGAGCAGGAGCAAGAAAGAGAAAGGAGAGGTGTCACACACTTTTAATCGACCAGACTCATGACAACTCATTCGCAACCATGAGGACAGTACCAAGTGGATGCTGCTAAACCATTCCTGAGAAATCCAGCCCCATGATCCAGTCACCTCCGACCAGGCCCCACCTCCAACATTAGAAGTCACAGTTGGACACGAGACTTGGTGGGGACACGGTTCCAAGCCATATCATATGCAGACATCCAAAAGATAGAAAGAGGATGTTGTGGGGGAACTGGATATTCACACAGAGTGCCCATGCAGTAACAGCACATAGCTAATTAAATACAAAGAGAAGATGGCACCTTCACAATGGAGTAATCTGGAACAACGCCCTGGCCACATGGTCGGTCAAGATGAACATCGCCAGTCATGAGAGAAGCCTACATGGAGAATCTGCTGATGTCATGCACCGAGAAGGACGGCACGTCTGCTATGCAGTAGTCTTGCCAAAAATGTTAAACCTACCTGAATCTAATCACAAGGAAGCCACTCGACAAAGCCAAGTTCAAGGGCTTCCCGACAACAGCTGCAGTGATTTAAAGCACACTTTAAACATTGCTTTAAAGCACACTTTAAAGGACACTGAAGAGACTTGATGGGCCGGGAACCATGGCTCACGCCTGTAATCCCAACAGTTTGGGAGACCTAGGCGGGCGGATGGCTTGAGCTCAGGAGTTCCAGACGAGCCTGGGCAAGACGGTGAAACCCTGTCTCTACAAAAAATATGTTAAAAATTAGCCAGGCATGGTGGCACTCGCCTGTAGTCCAAGTTACTCAGGAGGCTGAGGCAGGAGGATGGCTTGAGCCTGGGAGGTCAAGGCTGCACTTAGCCAGGTTCACGACCCTGCAAGCCAGCCTGGGCGACAGAGGGAGACCCTGTCTCAAAAGAGACTTGACTACTAAATGCAAAGCATGATGTTTGGTTGGAAAGAAAATTTTGTTAGAAAGCAGCCATGAGGGATACTATGTGACCATGGGGACAATCGGAAAATGTTTCATGTGATCATACAGTAGAAAATTGTGTGGTCTCAATGTTACATTTCCTGAGTGTCATGGTGGCATTAAGGTTTTGTGGGAGCCCATGCTTCCCTGTAGGCGATACATGCTGCAGTATTTACGGATGATGGATCTAAATGATTCCAATGGATCTCAAATGATTCCACAAAACAATAAAAAAAAAAAAATACACGCACACGCTCAGAAAAAGATGGGGGCGCGGCATGGAGGGAGGGATGAAGCAAATGTGAGAAAATGGTAACAACTGCAGGATCCAGTAGAAGAATATACGTATGGGTGCTCCTTTGGCTTTCTGTGCAACTCTTCTGTGACTTCCTAATTTTAACAAATGCAATCTGAGATGAAGGGGGATATTATGGACCACTTTATTACAGTCAGTTTGAAAACAAAGAAAAAGGTAACCAGTCGCTAGGAAACAAAATCCACCAAAACTAACACAAGAAGGAACAGCCAACCTGAACCGTTCCAGAATCATTACAGAAAGATATGAGTAGTCAAAGGCTTTCCACTAATAAACTCTAGGATTCCCCACCACATTCTGAAAAACATCCTAGGAATACCTGTCTTCCGTTTGACACAAACTCGTGCAGAAAATTGAAAAGGAGGAACAATCCTCCACTCACTGTATGAGCTTGGCATAACCTCGATACCAAATCCTGCAGGGACACTTAGAGAAATATTGCAGATCAATCACAGGCTCATGACATAGAAGTAAAAACTGGAACCAGAATCTTAGCACACGGAAGCCTACAGGATATAAAAAGGAAAATACCTAATATGGCATGACTAATATTGGCTTCATCCCAGAAATACAAACTTAATTTCTCTTCAGAAAATACAATGGTATAATTCTCCACATTAACAGATTTGGAGAGAGAAGCATGCTCTTCATAGTCACAAAAGGTATTGACTAAATGTCAATTTCCATTTGAGATGTATTGCTGACAATTTTTTTTTCTAAAAAGTCAGGACTATTGGGCTATAACTTACACAGAGGTCTGTGAGATCTCGTAAATGCGTATGGCTGTAAAAACACCAGCACAATATATATAGATATAGAGCATCGCCATCCCCCGCCCCCCTCCCCCGCCAGGTTCCCTTACGTCCTCTTGTACTGAACTCCTCGTCTTAACCCTCAGACCCTGGCAACCATCAATCTGTTTTGTGTTCCTAGAGTTTTGCCTTTTCCAGAATGTCACATAAATGGAATCACACGGTACGTAGCATGTGCATTTGGCTTCCTTCAGAGAAAGACACTCGGACTGCGATTCCCTAAAGGTGCAATGTACAGTTTCATGACCTGGGTAATAGCTACCTGGCTTGATCACCTTACAACTGTTTGTCAAATGGCCGGCTTCTGAGTTCTCTCCGTGTGCGTGTGTGTGCGTGTATGTGAGACAGAGAGTGTATGGGTGTGTGCGTGCGTGGGGGGGTGTATTATGTTTCAAAAATGTAATTTTACATTTAACCGCCTCTAACTTTTATATCTTGATGATGGTTATTAAATGGCAATTATTAATCCTTTAAGAGAAAGTGACTGATTGTTGGAAAAGTCAGTAGAGTCATTTCCTCTGTGGTGTGCAAAGTGGGAAGTAGTGATCAGGATGGGGCAAACAGGAGGGTTCCAAAACCCTGCCAACCTTCTGTTCCTCGCTCTGCATGGTAGTGACCCGGACTTCAACAACTGCACAACCACATGGGCGCCGTTCACACTGGATCACGAGAACGGAGCACCCTGGAATCCCACAGATAGAGTTTGCACGGCCACCCTGGCGGCCACAGCCTCCGCGGCCATACCTGGCAAACACAAGTGTTGGCCTCATCCTTCGAGGAAACGCATGATGAGAAAATGTGTGGGGAAAAGGAGGAGTTCTTGGGGTGGAGGTTGAGGACAGATGTGCATGAGGTTGTCCGAGTTCACCCAGGAGTGTGTTCCAGGCGGGCTAAAGTTCATGGCTGGTACTCACCATGACCACTATGATCCTATGATTGCCATCTCACATCCCCGTGTGCGGTGCCCTGGGCCTCCGCCACAGCCTGGAAGGCCACCCTTGGGGACTCTGGCTGGCGGGCGTGCTAGGAGACTCACACACCTTCGGCCCTAGCTGGAGTCTGAAGAGGAGATGCTCTTTTCTGCCAACAAAGTAAGAGGTCTCATATGGAAATGTACCTGTGGCAGTCCTGGCACCAGGTGTAGGTGGGATTCTGCACAGGGCTCCGCCACTGTGGCAGGCACGCAGCTCACCAGACCTCTGGAGCTCATCTGAGCTGAGTGGCAGGACAAGGCAGGAGGGGGTCTAAGGCTCTCCAGGCCAGACCCCACATTCCTCTTGGTGGGAGAGGAGGCTTGAGGGAAAAGCAAAAGGGGGCCACTGAATGAGGGGAAGGGCTCAACCTCCTCCTGTCCAATGGGACCCAGATGGATTCCTCTAATCCGAGGAGCCTCGGATTCTGCACTTACATCCCCTAGAACCAGAAGGCTCCGCCCGACCATGCGGTGTACCATGGGCCTAGGGTGTACATGTTATGGCCCCATTATTGTGCAGAAGGTGGTCTGAATATGGAACCGAGGTGGCGTGCTGGGAGGCGGGGCTGGCAAAAGCCAGCAACTGAGGGATGGGTTCACGCCTTCCAAGACTCCGTCCACGGGCTTCTCCCCTTCCACACCCTGTCGACCATGGCCCATGCCCCCCGGGGCAGTGACTGGGGCTGGAGTTCTGCCCCCACCAGAACCTGCCTAGATGTCTCCGGTGGCAAAAACCCAAGCTGGAGAGTCCCTGACACATGTCTTCCCCCAGACACCAGCCCACTGTGTTATCCCCCCAAGAAACAACCACCTGTGTCAGGGTCAAAGCCTTGGCCCAAGGAGTCAAGCCCATCCTCTCCGGTGAGGGGTTAGATTCGGATGGGGTAGGTCCCCACCAGCGTTGGTTTCCAGGTCTGAGGTCTGTGATTGACCCACCACGTGCGTGGTGGTCCCCCTCGCTGAGCTCACACCATGAGCCCAGCAGGGAGACACAGAGGGAGTATGGGGGAAGGCAGATACCGAGCCCAACCAGCTGTCCCAGGGCAGTCTCTCTTTCCCACTTTCCACCCTCTCTGTGCGTATCTTGCCCATGTGTTGGTTAGCGGGCATCGTGGTGCCCTCCCACGGGAGCTCCCCATTTCCTAGATGAGGCACCAACCAGCGACTCTGAGGTATTATCACTGCACCCACACACGGGAGTGCTGAGACATCCCATCCATCCTGTGGAGGATCAGGAGCCTACTGTGGCACCTCCAGCATTCTGAGAGCCCCGACACCCGTCCCTGTGTTTGGGGATGTCCCCTTCGTCCCACTCCACAGCCTTCTAGGTGTTAGACTTGAACAACACCTCTTGTGAAAGGGTAGATCCCAGCCCTGCTTTAGCGAATTCGATCCTTCATGGATCCTTCACCACTGCTTCCACTCCATGAATCAGTCCATTCTCGCTCAAGGGACAGCACCCACGATTAATTTGATTCCCAAGCAGGTGCTAGCAGGGGCATGCTCACGCGTGCACATGTGCGCGCGCGCGCGTGCACATGTGCGCGCGCGCGCGCGCACACACACACACACACACACACACACACGCTAACCTTGAATGGTATCTGCATTTCTATTGTTTTTGTCTGTTCGCAACACCCAGTCTCTTGGCAATGGGAGCTGGCAGAACCTACACACACCTCCTCACTGGAACCAGAATCTATGCCCGAATCTGGGGCCTGCCCAGCCCAGGATGCCGGCTGAAGGAACGAGGCGATCTCAACTGTCAGGGATGGTGAAGGCAGAAGAGAGAGCTCGAGGAAATCTCGTGTGACCTGGAGAGGCGGTCTGGAAGACTGACCAGGGACGCGAAAATATTATGTCCACAAAAACCTGCGGCCTTGGGGGTGGTGAAATGGTATTTCACAGGGACTATCGAAGACCAGCCAGGCCTAGCATCCACACTTGCCCTGGAAAGCAGCTGGCCATTTTCAAATCAAGGGTATGGAGTCCACTGGCTGCAGAAGGGGCTGCTGGCCACCTATAGAACACCAAGGATATGGAAGCCACTTTCTGTGTAGGTGCCTGCGAACAGTTTCCACCAGGTTGGCCAACAGGCGCCAGAACAGACTCGGTGCCCCCACCTCCAACCAACAGACTATCTTGCCCTTTTCTTCTGCACTCCATCTACCTTCCCTTTGACTTAGCCAGCCACCGGGGTGTGGCTTCTGCCTCCACAAGGCTACTGAAACTAAAGAGGGAGACCTAACGGGATTTGATAACTGAGGTTCAAAGGTGAGGGCTAAGACGAACTGAGGATGTCACGCAGGTTACTGGCCCAGATGACCTGACCGTGTGCATGGTGGCACCGGAGGGAAATAATGGCTCCAGAAAGAGGACTGAGCTCCGTCGTGTTCCTCAACAGCACGGAAATAACCATGCAGGAACGGCCACCGGGGTCAAGCCACGGGGGAGAGCAAGGATGCTCATGATGGAAAGGACAGTGACAGGACAAACAGGGACAGTGAACTGCAGGAGGAAAGGTTGCTCAAAGGACCAGGGTGCTCAAAGGAGGCCATCAGTTCCTGCTGAAGGGGAGAGAGAATAGCACTGAAGAAGGGGACCTGTGAGACCCCAAAGTGGGAGGAGAAGAGGAGGGAGCATGAGCAGGGCGTGTACAGGAAAAGCAGGAAATGCTGCTGTGGCCGGGCAGGGCCTCCCACAGCACCTAGACCCAGGGCACTATGGTGAGCCCGAGTGCAGGGCTGCTGCTCAGAGGCCCGCCCAGGCGCCCCGCAGGGAGATGGCCCACCACAGAGCGCCAGGGGAACTGTTCTTCCAGCGCCAGGGAACGGAGCAACACCCGGCACACCCCAACACTCCCAACAATCGCAGAGAGGGCAGACCACAGACCACAGAATATGAGAACGACTTTATTTCACACTGCTTTGAACTGCGTTGGGAAGGGGGCAAATGCAGCGGAAGAGAAAAAGCCCTGGCTAAGGAGGATAAGGAGGAAACTCGCTTGGCTGCAGCTCCGGACGCTGGCTCCAACCTGTGAAACAGAGCAGGCTCAGGGACTGGCTCCCAGCCAGGGCCAGCCCACAGCCCTCCTAAGCTACCGGGATTGTGGGAAGGGGCACGGTGTGTGCAACACTCACTTCAAAGGCCCTGGAACTTGTCGTTGAAGAACTGCATGGCCGCTGAAACAGAGAGGCAGAACCGGGCACTCCAGACCCAGGGAAACAGAAACTCACCCCCTGCCCCCGTGGGGAACCACCTAGCCCTGCAACCAGAAACCCCACCAGCCCTGGGACTGACTCATCCACCCGTCACCTGAATTAAATGTGGAAATGCCTTCTAAGCGGGAAAGTGGTTCTCAGGTGCTGGGCCATGCCAGAACCGTTCATTCAGAACGTGTTTCAAAGACAGATAAGCCAGCCAGCAAGCAAACACCGTACAAGCCATACCAGGCAGCAGTTAAAGGGAAAACACATGCGGTATCTCTAACCCTCCTAAGAGAAGGAGAGTTCTGGGACTCGTGGACTAAGTGTACACGGAGTTCAGACGACACATTGCTGTCTGTGCACACCCCTAGCTGGAAAGGCACAGAAGGCTCCAGGGCCAGGCTTTCCTTGGTTCTCTTCCCCAAAGGAAAGTCAGTTCCAGTGACGCCGCCTGTACCTACAGCCCACCCCCGCCCCCCGCACCAGCAGAAAGACACCGCTGTCCATCCCTGCCCCAGCCAGGGCTCCATCATACCTAGCTGCTGTGTAAGGTCCTCAATTTCCCTCTGCAGCCGGATGCACTAGACCAGCAGACACCGGAGGAAGATAAATGGTTAGTCAATTCTGGCCTCCTCTCTCCTCGTCTTCCCTGTCTCCCCCAGCCCTTAGTAGCCCCCATAGCCTGCAGCCCAGTGGTGAGGTGGGTTGGCATGAAACCCTCAATGTAAAAGAGGCACCCTCTCTCCGTGGGATGCAGAAGGTGGTGACGGGGCGGGGCGGGGGGACACAGAAATCAGTTTAACCTGGACACGGATCCCACCATCTAACGTGGACTTCTATTTCTAGGAGCCACACAAAGCATTACCCGAGGGCAACCCTGGGCTCCCAGGGGCCGGCGGAGGCCTGCCGCCATTCTCCAGGGCTGGGGCCCAGCACGCCTCTCCCACTGGGACCGACCTCCAGGTCCGCCCAGTTGTCAGCCGACCCTTCGGCAGCGGCACCTTCTGGGGAGGGGCGCCCTTGGACGCTGGGCCGGTGGCACGATGGTGGCTGGTTCGTCAGCCAGGGAGGACGAGTAGTCCACATCGTCCCCTTGGTCGTCAACTGGGGTGCCAGGCCGGCCTTCCCGGCCCCAGAGCACCACCTTTCCCTGCTCTATCAATTCGCTCTCAGACTCGAAGCTGAAGACCTCGGGATCTGTGAACCTGCTCTCGCCCTCGCGGCTGCCTGGCGCCCCCAAATCGAGGCCGTGGCCCTGGCCCCGTGGGGCTCCGGGGCTGGCCATGCGGGAGCCAGCCTGCTTGCCACCCTCCAGGCCGAAACTGGCCCCACAAACGGCTACCTTGTCGGGGGAGCTCATGGCGCCAGTCTGGGCAGCCTGGGCTGCGGGGAGACGGTCGTCCTGGTAACGGCAGAAGGGGAGAGCCGAGTCCTGCCAAGCCCGGCGGAGCGGGCCACGCGACAGGAACAGTGAGGCCTTCGGGACACCGCTGCCCTCACCCCGGGTGGAAGTACCAGATGTCCCCGACAGCGCGTGGCTTCTGCGCGTGCACTTGACGCCAGTGCCGCGACTTCTCATTGGTCCCCCTCTACCAACCAGCGCGCCCTTTGTTGGCAGAGGCCTCTGGGCTTTAACCAATCGGAACACAGGCTCTTGGTTTGCCCCGACACCCGTCATTTGACTGGGTGGCTGTGCTCTGGTCTGGTCTTGCGGCCAGGGGGCACTGGAGCTCTCGATCCACCTCCTTCTTGCTCTCCTGCTGCCTCTGGCTGGGAACCTACTTTCCAATGAGACCTCCTCTGTGCACCGGGTGCTTTGCGTGCATCACGACATTTACTCTCCCAAGCTGATGAGCTGGGGGAAGGTCTCCCCTTAATCCCCACCTTACAGATGGGACACTGGGGCTCAGAGACGTGGCTCTCCTTGGAAAGTAGGTGCCCGGCCAGAGGCAGAAGGACAGGAAGAAAGAGGTGATCGAGAGCTACGGTGCCCCCTGGCCCCAAGACCCGACCAGAGCGCAGCCACCCAGTCAAATGACGGGCATGGAGGCAAACCAAGAGCCTGTGTCCCGATTGGTTAAAGCTCAGGCACCTCGCCCCACAAAGGGCGTGCTGGTTGGCAGACGGGGACCAATGAGAAGGCTCGGCGCCGGCGTCAAGGGCGCGAGGAAGCCACTCGCTGTCCCGGACATCTGGTACTTCCGCCTGGGGCGAGGGCGGTGGTGTCCCGAAGGCCTCACTGTTTCTGTCGCGTGGCCCGCTCAGCTGGGCTTGGCTGGGCTCAGCTCTCCGCTCCCGCCGTTACCAGGACGACCGTCTCCCCGCAGCCCAGGCTGCCCGGACTGGCGCCATGAGCTCCCCCGACAAGGTGTCCGTTTGTGGGGCCGGTTTCGACCTGGAGGGTGGCAAAAAGGCTGGCTCCCGCACGGCCAGCCCCGGAGCCCCAGGGGCCCACAGCCACGGCCTCGATTTGGGGGTGCCGGGCAGCGGCGATGGCAAGAGCGAGAGCGGGTTCACAGATCCAGAGGGCTTCAGCTTCGAGTCTGAGAGCGAATTGATAGAGCAAGGAAGGGTGGTGCTCTGGGGCCGGGAAGGCCGGCCAGGCACCCCGGTGGATGACCAAGGGGACGTTGTGGACTACTCATTCTACCTGGCTGACGAACCAGCCGCCATCGTGCCGCCGCCCAGCGTCCAGGGACACCCGTTCCCAGAAGGTGCCGCTGCCGAAGGGTCGGCTGAGAATTGGGCAGATGCGGAGGTCGGTCCCAGTGGGAGAGACGTGCTGGGCCACAGCCCTGGAAAATGGCAGCAGGCCTCTGCCGGCCGTCTCCACCTCTGCGGTCCTGGGCCAGTGCGGGCCTGGAAGAACCCGGAAAGGGGCTCGAAGAGCAGATGGAGCCTCCGCGTGGATCCCCAGCAGCCCTCTGCGAAAGGCCCCACCAGGCTGCCTACCCACGACTCTGATTCCGCAGATGAGAGCAGCGACTTACCACTGATGAAGGTAGGCATTTGCCGCAACGAAGGAAGCCAGGCCAAGCCCGGCAGCCCCAAGAAGCGAGCAGACACATCCAGACAGGCAAGCTTCCACTGCAAGGAGAGTTACCTGCCTGTGCCGGGCCGTTTCCTGACCTCTGCTCCCCGCGGACTCACTCCAGTCGCAGAGAGGCCGGCTGTGGGAGAGCTGGAGGACTCTCCCCAGAAGAAAATGCAGAGCAGGGCCTGGGGAAAGGTGGAGGTCAGGCCCAGCTGCTCAGGAGCTGCTGCTGCAGGGGCCCTGCCCCAGGGCCTTTCGAGGAGGAAGATGGCCGGGGGGAAGAAGTCCCTAGGGGGTGCCTCTCAACTGGCCCTGGGGAGAGGCTTTCCTGCCTGCGGAGAGAGACTCTCAGCCGCTCCCCCGGAGCCGGCCACCTTCCCGCCATTCTCTGGTGTGCGGCCACAGGGGATGTCCAAGAAACCCCAAAAGCCTAAGCACAGCAGCCCTGGGAAGAAACCAGCAGGGAGGAAGACCAGGGAGTCCCAGGCTGCGGCCAGAGAAGATAATGACCCAAATAGAGATGAGGTCCCAAGAGCCCAAGTGAGTAGGCCCTTCTCGCCCTCCTCTCCCTCTTTACCCTCCTCCCCCCACACCTCCTCTCTTCCAGCACACACCTGTTTACCCATGCCTCCTCTGTCCCTTGCTCGAGGGTTGTCATCGGGAGCCCAGGGACACTAGAATGCCCGATGGGTGTCTTCCTCATAAGGGCACACGTTAAAGGGAGCACTTCTTGTGTGATGGCCATGCCTCTGGACGCTCTGCAGGGGTCCTGCCTCCGCCCGCAGAGAGGAGCTGGGGTGGAAGGCAGGGCTGGCAGCTGGTTTGGATCGGGTGATGCCTTAAAGTGTGGGCTGCAAAGCTGGGGCATCTAGGCTCATCAACTTCCTGATTCCTCCTTCCCTAGCTGTTGCCCAACCCACCTGGCAGGCGGCCCCGGGCTATCTCAGTATCCCCAGTGTTTTCCCTGGCTGGCCTCTGCCTCCTGGCCTGAGGCTGACTGAGGGAGAAAGTGCTAATGAGATTAGGCTCAGGAGTCTCCACCTTACCACAACCCCTCCCCACGTGTACTCACCGCCGGCCCCCATCGCCAGCCCGACTCAGAAGTTTCTGTTTTAGCTTCCCACCCACAGGCCAGGACTGCCTCGCCTGTCTGTGCGTCGTGGAGAATTCAGCAGTAGCGACCCCAACATCAGAGCTCCCCAACTTCCGGGAACTTCAGAGCCCTCGGCCTACAGCCCGGGAGGCCTCGTGCCCAGACGCCATGCACCCTCCGGTGAGTCTTGTGGGTTTGATAGGGGTGGAGGGGAGAGGGGTCGGGAGGGAAACCTCTGGCCCTGTCGCTTCTGGGGGCTCAGCCTTATTCCCAGACTTCCCTGCCCACCCAGGCAGCTGTCCCACGGGGAAACGGGGTGTTGACTGGGCTGGCTTTAAGCCACATCGTCCTCTCTGAGTGGGGTTTGTGTGGTGGGGGGCGATTTGGAGCAGCGCCCCAAACTCCCAACTCTGGAAGGAGACTTTCGGCAGTACTGAGCCCTTTTCTGTTAAGTCCTGCTCAGCCACATGGGCCCTCCCAGGGCCTGGCTGTGGCTGCCGCACTGCTGGAGTCCAACCTGGAGTCACAATGCTAGGGGGCCACAGGTGCACATGAGCTTACACTGGGGAACAGTGAAGGCAGTCCCAGAGCGGGGTTGGAGTTGCTGGGCAGAGCAGGGGCAACGTGTACCAGCAGAGGGTGATGCTGCCTCACATTAGACACCACTAGGCCCTTTCCACCTCACTGGGAGGCTTGGAAGCTGGATTTTGTGTTCTCTTTCAGGTAACCAGCAGCCGCCTGTCCATCCCCCAAGACCGGAAAGGCAGCAGCAGCCCCCGGGAGCCCAGGGCTGTCCTCGGGTAATGCTTTGTGTGGCTCCTAGAAATAGAGGTCCACAGTAGATGGTGGGATCCGTGTCCAGGTTAAACTGATTTCTGCGTCCGCCCCCTCCCTCCCCACCGCACTCCGCACATCTCCACCTTCTGCACCCCACGGAGAGAGGGTGCCTCGTTTCCATTGAGGGTTCCCTGCCAACCCACCTCGCCACTGGGCTGCAGGCTATGGGGGCTGCAGGGAGGCTGGGGAGAGAGGAGCACAGAATTGACCAACCATTTATCTTCCTCCGGTGTCCGCTGGTCTAGTGCATCTGGCTGCAGAGGGAAATTGAGGACCTTACACAGCAGCTAGGTATGAGGGAGCCCTGGCTGGGGCAGGGATGGACAGCGGTGTCTTTCTGCTGGTGTTGGGGGCGGTGGTGGGCTGCAGGTATGGGCAGCATCACTGGGACTGACTTTCCTCTGGGGAGGAGAATCAAGCAGACCTGGCCCTGGAGCCTTCTGTGCCTTTCCAGCTAGGGGTGTGCACAGACAGCAATGTGTCGTCTGAACTCCGTGTACACTTAGTCCACGAGTCCCAGAACTCTCCTTCTCTTAGGGCGGTTAGAGATACCACCTGTGTTTCCCCTTTAACTACTGCCTGGTATGACTTGTATGGTGTTTGCTTGCTGGCTGGCTTATCTGTCTTTGAAATACGTTCTGTACGGTACTGGGATGGCCCAGCACCTGAGAACCACTTTCCCGCTTAGAAGGCATTTCCACATTTAATTCAGGTGACGGGTGGGTGAGTCAGTCCCAGGGCTGGTGGGGTTTCTGGTTGCAGGGCTAGGTGGTTCCCCACCGGGGCAGGGCGTGGGTTTCTGTTTCCCTGGGTCTGGAGTGTCCATTTCTGCCTCTCTCTTTCAGCGGCCATGCAGTTCCTCACTGACAAGTTCCAGGACCTTTGAAGTGAGTGTTGCACACACCATGCCCCTTTCCACAATCATGGTACCTTAGGAGGGCTGTGGGCTGGCCCTGGCTGAGGGCCCGTCCCTGAGCCTACTCTGTTTCACAGGTTGGAGCCAGCATCTTCCTACAAGATGAACAGCTGCCACCTTTGGAGCTCCGGAGCTGCAGCCAAGCGGGTTCCCTCCATATCCTGTTCAGCCAGGGCTTCCTCTCTTCCGCTGCATTTGCCCCCTTCCCAACGCAGTTCAAAGCAATTTGAAATAAAGTCGTTCTCATATTCTGTGGTCTGTGGTCTGCCCTCTCTGCGATTGTTGGGAGTGTTGGGGGTTGCAGCGTGTTGCCCGGTTCACTGGCGGTTGAAGAACAGTTCCCCTGGTGCTCTGTGGTGGGCCCTCTCCCTGCGGGGCACCTGGGCCGGCCTCTGAGCAGCAGCCCTGCACTCGGGCTCACCACAGTGCTCTGGGTCTAGGTGTGTGGGGGCCCTGCCCGGCCACAGCAGCATTTCCTGCCTTTCTCCTACACGCCTTGCTCACGGTCCCTCCTCTTCTCTTCCCACTTTGGGGTCTCACAGTTCCCCTTCTTCAGCGCTATTCTCCCTCCCCTTCAGCAGGAACTGATGGCCTCCTTCCAGAACCCGTCTCTCTCACCTTTCCTCCTGCGGTTCACTGTTTCTGTTCTGCCCTCTCACCATCCTTTCCATCGTGAGCATCCTTGCTCTCCCCAGTGGCTTGATGCCAGTGGCCTTTCCTGCATGGTTATTTCCATGCTGTTGAGGAACAAGACGGAGCTCATCCTCCCCGCCCCTCAGGGGCCCAGTCCTCTTCCTTGAGCCGTTATGTCCCTCCGGTGCCACCATGCACAGGGTCAGGTCATCTGGGGCAAAAACCCGCTTGGCATCCTCAGTTCCTCTTAGCCCTCACCTTTGAACCTTAGTTACCAAATTCTGTCAGATCTCCTCCTTAGCTTCAGTAGCCAGGTGGAGACAGAAACCACATCCTGGTGGGAAGCTGAGCCAAAGGGAAGATACCTGGAGTGCGGAAGAAAAGGGCAAGACAGTCTCTCGGTTGGAGGTGGGGGCACTGAGTCTGTTCTGGTGCCTGCGGGCCAACCTGGTGGAAACCGCCCGCCGGTAGCTACGCGGAAGGCGGCTTCCACATCCTTGGTGTCCTATACGCAGCCAACAGCCCCTTCTGCAGCCGGTGGGCTCCATACCATTGATTTGAAAATGGCCAGCTGGTTTCCAGGGCAAGTGTGGATGCTAGGCCTGGCTGTTCTTGGATGGTTCCCGTGAAATACCGTTTCACCACCCCCAAGGCCAACAGGTTTTTGTGGACGTGATTATTTCTGTGTCCCTGGTCAGTCTTCCCGACCGCCTCTCGAGGTCACACGAGATTTCCTAGAGCTCCCTGTTCTGCCTTCACCCTCCCTGACAGTTGGGATCGCCCGCTTCCTTCAGCCAGAATCCTGGGCTGGGCAGGTCCCAGATTTGGGCACAGATTCCGATTCCAGTGAGGAGGTGTGTGTAGGTTCTGCCAGCTCCCATCGCCGAGAGACAGGGTGTCGAACAAGGACAGGAGAAATACAGATACCATTCAAGGTTAGCGTGTGTATGTGTGTGTGCACGCCCCTGCAAGCACCCGCTTGGGAATCAAATTAATCGGGGGTGCTCTCCGTTGAGGGAGAATGGGCTGATTCACGGAGTGGAAGCAGTGGTGAAGGATCCATGAAGGATCGAATTCGCTAAAGCGGGGCTGGGATCTACCCTTTCACAGGAGGTGTTGTTCAATTCTAACACCTAGAAGGCTGTGGAGTGGGACGAAGGGGACATCCCCAAACACAGGGACAGGTGTCGGGGCTCTCAGAATGCTGGAGGTGCCACAGTAGGCTCCCGATCCTCCGCGGGATGGATGGGATGTCTCAGCACTCCCATGTGTGGGTGCAGTGGTAATACCTCAGAGTCGCTGGTTGGTGCCTCATCTAGAAGTGGGGAGCTCCCGTGGGAGGGTGCCACGACACCCGCTAACCAAGACATGGACGGGCAGGATGCCCACAGAGAGGGTGGAAAGTGGGAAAGAGGGACTGCCCTGGGACAGCTGGTCGGGCCCGGTGTCTGCCTTCCCCCATACTCCCTGTGCGTCTCCCTGTGGGCCCATGGTGTGAGCTCAGTGAGGGGGACCATCACGCACGTGGTGGGCCAATCACAGGCCTCAGACCTGGAAACGAACGCTGGTGGGGACCTACCCCATCGGAATCCAACACCTTCCCTGAGAGGGTTGGCTTGATTCCTCGGGCCAAGGCTTTGACCCTGACACAGGTGGTTGTTTCTTGGGGGGATAACACAGTGGGCTGGTGTCTGGGGGAAGACGTGCGTCAGGGACTCTCCAGCTTGGGTTTTTGCCACCGGAGACATCTAGGCAGGTTCTGGTGGCGTGAGAACTCTAGCCCCAGGCACTGCCCCGGGGGGCATGGGCCATGGTCAACAGGGTGTGGAAGGGGAGAAGCCCGTGGACGGAGTCGTGGAAGGCGTGAACCCATCTCCCGGTGGCTGCATTTGCCAGCCCCGCCTCTCAGCACACCACCTCGGTTCCATATTCAGACCACCTCCCGCACAATAATGAGGCTGTAACATGTACACCCCAGGCCATGGGCGGGTGGAGCCTTCCAGTTCTAGGGGAAATAGGTGCAGAATCCGAGACTCCTCGGATTAGAGGAATCCACCTGGGCCCCAGTGGAGAGGAGGAGGTCGAGCCCTTCCCCTCATTCAGTGTCCCGCTTTGTCTTTTCCTTCAATCCTGCTCTCCCACCAAGAGGAATGTGGGGTCCCGCCTGGAGAGCCTTAGACCCCCTCCTGCCTTGTCCTGCCACTCAGCTCAGACAGGCTCCGGAGGTCTGGCGAGCTGAGTGCCTGCCCTTGATGCAGCCACAGTGGCAGAGCCCTGAGCAGAATCCCACCTACACCCGGCGCCAGGGCTGCCACAGGTACATTTCCAGATGAGACCTCTTACTCTGTGGGCAGAAAAGAGCATCTCCTCTTCAGACTCCAGCTAGAGCCGAAGGTGTGTGAGTCTCTGCACACGCCCACCAGCCAGAGTCCCCTAGGGTGGCCTTCCAGGCTGTGGCGGAGGCCCAGGGCATCGCACACGGGGATGTGAGATGGCAGTCATAGGATCATAGTGGTCATGGTGAGTACCAGCCATGAACTTTAGCCCGCCTGGAACACACTCCTGGGTGAACTCGGACAACCTCACGCACATCTGTCCTCAACCTCCACCCCAAGAACTCCTCCTTTTCCCCACACATTTTCTCATCATGCGTTTCCTCGAAGGATGAGGCCAACACCAGTGTTTGCCAGGTACGGCCGCGTAGGCTGTGGCCGCCAGGGTGGCCACATCTATCTGTGGGATTCCAGGGTGCTCTGTTCTCGTGATCCAGCGTGAACGGCGCCCATGTGGTTGTGCAATGTTGAAGTCCAGGTCACTACCATGCAGAGCGAGGAACAGAAGGTTGGCAGGGTTTTGGAACCCTCCTGTTTGCCCCATCCTGATCACTACCTCCCGCTTTGCACACCCCAGAGGAAATGACTCTGCTGGCTTTTACAATAATCACTCACTTCCCTTTAAGTATTAATAATTGTCATTTAATAACCCTCACCAACATATAAAAGTTAGAGGCAGTTAAATGTAAAATTATATGTTTGAAACATGATACACACACACACACACGCACACACACACACACGGAGAGAACTCAGAAGCCCGCCATCTGACAAACAGTTGTAAGGTGATCAAGCCAGGTAACTACTACCCAGGTCATGAAACTGTACATTGCACCTTTAGAGAATCGCAGTCCGAGTGTCTTTCTCTGAAGGAAGCCAAATGCACATGCTACGTACCGTGTGATTCCATTTATATGACATTCTGGAAAAGGCAAAACTCTAGGAACACAAAACAGATTGATGGTTGCCAGGGTCTGAGGGTTAAGACGAGGAGTTCAGTACAAGAGGACGTAAGGGAACCTGGCGGGGGAGGGGGGCGGGGGATGGCGATGCTCTATATCTATATATATTGTGCTGGTGTTTTTACAGCCATACGCATTTACGAGATCTCACAGACCTCTGTGTAAGTTATAGCCCAATAGTCCTGACTTTTTAGAAAAAAAAAATTGTCAGCAATACATCTCAAATGGAAATTGACATTTAGTCAATACCTTTTGTGACTACGAAGAGCATGTTTGTCTCCCCGAATCTGTTAATGTGGGGAATTATACCACTGTATTTTCTGAAGAGAAATTAAGTTCGTATTTCTGGGATGAAGCCAATATTAGTCATGCCATATTAGGTATTTTCCTTTTTATATCCTGTAGGCTTCCGTGTGCTAAGATTCTGCTTCCAATTTTTACTTCTATGTCACGAGCATGTGATTGACCTGCAATGTTTCTCTAGGTGTCCTTGCAGGATTTGGTATTGAGGTTATGCCAAGCTCATACAGTGAGTGGAGGATTGTTCCTCCCTTTCAATTTTCTTTTCTTTTCTTTTCTTTTCTTTTTTTTTTTTTTTTTTTGAGACGGAGTCTCGCTCTGTCGCCCAGGCTGGAGTGCAGTGGCACGATCTCGGCTCACTGCAAGCTCCGCGTCCCAGGTTCACGCCATTCTCCTGCCTCAGCCTCCCAAGCAGCTGGGACTACAGGCGCCTGCCACCACGCCTGGCTAATTTTTTTTTTTTTTTAATTTTTGGTAGAGATGGGGTTTCACCGTGTTAGCCAGGATGGTCTGGATCTCCTGACCTCGTGATCGACCCGCCTCGGCCTCCCAAAGTGCTGGGATTACAGGCGTGAGCCACCATGCCTGGCCCCTCACTTTCAATTTTCTGCACGAGTTTGTGTAAAATGGAAGATATGTATTCCTAGGATGTTTGTCAGAATGTGGTGGTGAATCCTGGAGTTCATTCGTGGAAAGCCTTTGACTACTGATATCTTTCTGTAATGATTCTGGAACGGTTCAGGTTGGCTGTGCCTTCTTGTGTCAGTTTTGGCGGGTTTGGTTTCCTAGCAATTGGTGACCTTTTTCACTGTTTTCAAACTGACTGGAATAAAATGGTCCATAATACCCGCTTCATCCCAGATTGCATTTGTTTAAATTTTGGAGTCACAGGAGAGTTAGTTGCAGGGAAAGCACAAGGAGCACCCATACGTATATTCTTCAACTGCATCCTCCAGTTGTTACCACTTTCTCACATCTGCTTCAGCCCTCCCTCCATCCTGCACCCCTGTCTTTCTCTAAGCGTGTGTGCGTGCTTGTATTTTTGTTTTATTGTTTTGTGGAATCATTTGAGATCCCTTGGAATCATTTAGATCCATCATCGGTAAATACTGCAGCATGTATCGCCTGCAAGGAAGCATGGGCTCCCACAAAACCTTAATGCCACCATGACACTCAGGAAATGTAACATGGAGACCACACAATTTTCTACTGTATGATCACATGAAACATTCTCCGATTGTCCCCATGGTCCCATAGTATCCCTCATAGCTGCTTTCTAACAAAATTCTCTTTCCAAC
This sequence comes from Homo sapiens, assembly GCF_000001405.40. NCBI lineage: Eukaryota > Metazoa > Chordata > Mammalia > Primates > Hominidae > Homo > Homo sapiens. The sequence continues at coordinate 71,772,480 of NC_000023.11, forward strand.
CAAACATCATGCTTTGCATTTAGTTGTCAAGTCTCTTTTGAGACAGGGTCTCCCTCTGTCGCCCACGCTGGCATGTAGTGTCACGAACCCGGCTCACTGTAGCCTCGACCTCCAGGCTCAAGCCATCCTCCCACCTCAGCCTCCTGAGTAGCTTGGACCACAGGCAAGCGCCAACCGCTCGCCTAGGTCTCCCAAATTGACGGGATTACGGGGGTGAGCCATGAGCCATGGTTCCCGGCCCATCAAGTCTCTTCAGTGTCCTTTAAAGTGTGCTTTTTTTTTTTTTTTTTTTTTGAGATGGAGTCTCCCTCTGTTGCCCAGGCTGGAGCACAGTGGCACGATCTCGGCTCACTGCAAGCTCCACCTCCCGGGTTCACGCCATTCTCCTGCCTCAGCCTCCCGAGTAGCTGGGACTACAGGCGCCCGCCACCACGCCCGGCTAATTTTTTGTATTTTTTAGTAGAGACAGGGTTTCACCGTCTTAACCAGGATGGTCTCCATCTCCTGATCTCGTGATCAGCCCGCCTTAAAGTGTGCTTTAAACCAGTGCAGTCATTGTCAGGAAGCCCTTGAACGTAGGTTTGTCGAATGGCTTCCTTGTGATTAGATTCAGGTAGGTATAACATTTTTGGCAGGACTACTGCATAGCAGACATGCTGTTCTTCTCAGTGCACGACATCAGCAGATTCTCCATGTCGGTTTGTCTCATGACTGGCGATGTTCATCTTGACCATGTGCTCAGGGCGCTGTTCCAGATTACCCCATTGTGAAAGTGCCATCTTCTCTTTGTATTTAATTAGCTATGCGCTGTTACTGCATGGGCACTCTGTGTGAATATCCAGTTCCCCCACAATATCTTCTTTCTATCTTTTGGATGTCTGCATATGATATGGCTTGGAACCGTGTCCCCACCAAGTCTTCTGTCAAACTGTGACTTCTAATGCTGGAGGTGGGGCCTGGTGGGAGGTGACTGGATCATGGGGCTGGATTTCTCAGGAATGGTTTAGCAGCATCCACTTGGTACTGTCCCTGTGGTCGCGAGTGAGTTGTCATGAGTCTGGTTGTTTAAAAGTGTGTGACACCTCCCCCTGTTCTCTCTCTCTTGCTCCTGCTCCTACCATGTAACAAGTACCTGCTCCTGTTTTGCCTTCTGCCATGATTGCAAGTTTCCTGAGTCCTCCTAGAAGCAGAAGCCGCTATGCTACCAGTACAGCCTGCAGAACCATGAGCTCTTCTCTTTATAAATGACTCGGTCTTGGATATTTCTATATAGCAACACGAGAACGGACGTAACATCGTTTGTGCTTATTTCTCCCTTTTCTTTCCTGATAGCGGTGCCCTTCTCCCTTGTTTTCTTGACCAGTCTCACAAGAGGTTTACCAATTTCATTCTTCTTCCAAACACCCAACTTCTGGTTTTGTGATCCTTATGCTTGTTTCCACTTTCACTGATTTCTGCTTTTACCTTGATGACTTCCTTCTACTTTCCTTGGTCTTACGTTGGGCTTCTTTTTCGAACGTTTTCTCTTTAATTGTCTGCGATCCTCTTTTAAATATATGCTTTTAGCAGCCTACACGTCCCTCTCAGGACTCCTTTACTGGTGCCGACAAGGGTTTATGAGTAGTATTTTTGTAATCATCCAGTCCCAAATATGGGAAACAATGAAAATCACAACTTCCATGGGACGGAATGAATACATTGTGGTATGTTAATACAATGGAATACTATTTCAGCAACGGAAAAGTACAAAGTACTCCTCCATGGAATAATAGGCGCGAATCTTACAAAGATAACATCGAGGGAAAGAAGCAAGGGACAACACGGACATGCTTAATGATTCCATTCCTATAACTTCAAATGACAGGCAACACTAACCTACCTTGTTGAAGAATGCATACTTAGGATATAAAACCACAGAGAAGAGCAAGGAAAGGACAATCAGAAAAGTCAGGATGTTGGTTTCCCCTTGCAGTAGGAGTGGGGCTGAGCTCAGGCAGGGACACCCCAGGAGGCTCTGGGGAATGCTGGCGGTGTTCTTCTCTGGGACCTAGGGGAGCGTTCCTGTGCAGGTGCACTGGACAATCATTTATTAAACTATGCACATAAACTGTGATGTTTTCTTTCTGTACGTTGCCTGCCACCATAAGCAGACAAAACAATAGTGCTAAGGGAAGTAACACTGCATTAAACAGGTAAGTATTTTATAACCAGAAGGATAACCAAAATTTTATTTTCTCTATTTATAGCAGATCTCCTTGCGAGTACTAATATCAGTTTATTGATAGTGATAGCTTGATTTCAAATTCTCATAGATTTCACCAAACATCGTAGGAACGATGCTTACATAATTGTGATATTAATTTCGATGTTTTGGTAAATATTTTATATTTGGGTGGCAAGTTTTCATTCAGAATTTGTGATTATGTGTTGGAACACCATGCACTTGGTACATTTTTCTCACGGGAGATTTGTCACCTCCCCATCCACTTATTCTCAGGGGCAGACGACTTAGGACCTGAGAAAAAGAAATTAAGGCAACAACGTTAAGGGGCAGCAACGCAAATTTTTACCTTCATAGTTTATATCAGTTAATTGTGGTATACTCACATGATGGAATAACTTTTTTTTTTTTTTTTTTTTGCAATGGAAATGTACGGGGTATTCTTAGGGATACTGTCCATTTTTAAGAAAAGTCCATTACCAAGATATAACAAATTACATAAAGTTAACTATCATATGATATTTATAAAGCATACTACACATATATACAAGTTTAGAAAACCAATCGACTGTGAATGAACTATTGTGAAGTGAGGAAAACACGTATTGAGTACTGAGGTCAAGAAAGAGTACATTGCAGTTCTAGAGGTCTTATATGTATTTCATTGTGCTAAAGACACCAAATATGAAACTCTACATAATGTATGATTCCATTTGTAGAACATTCTTAAAACTGGAAAACTACACATACAGAAAACTAATCAGTCATTTCCAGGTCTGTGGATTGTGAGAAGTGTTTAACTACAAATGTGTGTTATTTGTTATTAGCAATTTTGCCCCTCTTTATTTTGAAATGTAACATACATAGAGAGAACCTCACAATATGTGTGTGTTGTTTAATAAGTGATTATCAAGGGCACCTCTACAGAAACACCCCCATGTCACAGAGGAGAACACCGCCAGCATTCCCCAAAGCTCCTGGGGTGTCTCTGCCTGATCTCAGCCTCATTCCTCCTTCAAGAGGAAACCAACACATTTACATTTGTGATCCTTCTTTCCTCTTTTTTCTCTACGTTTTTCTGTCCTATGTCCTATATTACATTCTTTTAATACTACAGTATGCCTGCAGACGACATGTTCCTAAATCTAGAAAACCACACAGTCTCAGCCCCAAAGCTCCTTAAGCTGATAATCAACTTCAGCAAAGTCTCAGGATACCAAATCAATGTGAAAAATCGCTAACATTCGTATACACCAACAACAGTCAAGCAGAGAGCCAAATCGGGAACACAGTCCCATTCATAATTGCTACACACACCAAGATACCCAGGAATACACCACACCAGGGAGGTGAAAGATCTCTACAAGAAGAACTACAAAATACTGCTCAAGGAAATCAGAGACGTGACAAACAAATGGAAAAACATTTCTGCTCATGAATAGGAAGAATCAATATCATTAAAGTGGCCATACTGCCCAAAGCAATTTGCAGATTCAATGCGATTCCTATTAAGTTACCTTTGGCATTCTTCACAGTACGAGGAAACCTATTTTAAAATTCATATGGAACTGAAAAAGAGTCTGAATGGCCAAGGCAATTCTAAGTGAAAAAGAACAAAGCTGGAGGCATCACGCTACCCGACTTCAAACTATACCGCAAGCCTACACTAACCAAAACAGCATGGTACTGGTACAAAAACAGACATGGAGACCAATGGAACACAATAGAGAACCCAGAAATGAGGCCCCACACCTACAACTATCTGGTCTTTGACAAACCTGACGAAAGCAAGCAATGGGGAAAGGATTCCCTATTCAGCAAACGGTGCTGGGATAACTGGCTAGCCATATATGGAAGACTGAAACTGAACCCCTTTCTTACACCAGGTACTAGTCCGTTCTCTTGCTGCTAATAAAGACATACCCGAGACTGGGTAATTTATAAAGAAAAGAAGTTTAACGGACTCACAGTTCCACATGCCTTGGGAGGCCTCACAATCATGGCAGAAGGCGAAGGAGGAGCAAAGGATGTGCGTTACATGGCGACAGGGAAGACAGCATGTGCAGGGGAACTGCCCTTTATAAAACCATGAGATCTCATGAGACTTATTCGCTATCATGAGAACAGCACAGGAAAAATCCACCCCCGTGACTCAATTACCGCCCACCGGATCCCTCCCACAACACGTGGGGATTATGGGAGCTACAGTTCAAGAGGAGATTTGGGTGGGAACACAGCCAAACTATATCACACCATACACAAAAGTTAACTCAACATGGATTAAAGACTTAAATGTAAAACCCCAAGCTATAAAATCCCTGAAAGGCAACCCAGGCAATCATTTTCTGGATAAGGAATGGGCAAAGATTTCATGACGAAGACACCAAGAGCAATTACAACAAAAGCAAAAATTGACAAATGGGATCTAATTAAACTAAAGAGCTCTGCACACTAAAGGAAACTACCAGCAGAGTGAACAGACAACCTACAGAATAAGAGAAAACTTTTGCAGACTATGGATCTGACAAAGGTCTAATATCTAGCATCTATAAGGAACTTAAACAAGTTTACAAGGAAAAAACCAAACAACCCCATTAAAAAGTGGGCAAAGGACACGAACAGTCACTTTTCAAAACAAGACGTACATGCGGCCAACAATCCTGTGAAAGAAAGCTCAACATCACTGACCATTAGAGAAATGCAAATCAAAACCACAATGAGATACCATCTCACGCCAGTCAGAATGGCTATTACTACAAAGTAAAAGAATAATGGATACTGGCGAGGTTGCAGAGAAAAAGGAACACTTATACACTGTTGGTGAGAGTGTAAATTAGTTTAACCATTGTGGAAGACAGTGTGGTGATTCCTCGAAGACCTAAAGACAGAAATACCATTCGGCCCAGCAATCTCATCGCTGAGCATATACCCAAAGGAATATAATAAATCATTCTGTTATCAAGACACGTGCACGTGTATATTCATTGCAGCACTATTCACAATAGCAAAGACATGGAATCAACCTAAATGCCCATCAATGGTAGACTGGATAAAGAAAATGTGGTACATATACACCACGGGATACTATGCGGCCATAAAAAAGAATGAGATCAGGTCCTTTGCAGGAACATGGTTGGATCTGGAGACCATTATCCTTAGCAAACTAATGCAGGAACAGAAAACCAAATATCGCATATTCCCACTTACAAGTGGGAGCTAAACCATGAGAACACGGGGACACAAAGAGGGGAACAACACACACTGGGGCCTATTGGACGGTGGAGGGTGGGAGGATGGAGAGGAGCAGGAAAAATAACGAATGGGTACTAGGCTTAATCACTGGGTGACGAAACAATTTCTACAAGAAACCCCCACGACACAAGTTTACCTATGTAACAAACCTGTACATGTACCTCTGAACTTAAAATAAAAGTTCAATTCAAGAAATAAGAATAATATGGTTTGGTGTTGACTGTTATGTACTTTTATATTAGTGGAATCAGAAAATATGTTCATATTTCTTGCTTCTTGTGTTTAATGTCAGGAGTTTGGTTTTGGATATTTAAATTTGAGATGCCTATTAGGTATCCACGTGGAGAAGCTGAGTAGACAAAGGTCTGGATCTGGGCTGAAGAAATACATATGAGAGTCATCGTAGTATCGATTTTTTTTTTTCAGGGCCCATCGCAGAGCTTATAGCTTGCAGTGAACGCCAAGAATGAGTTCTCAGACAAATCCAGCTGAGGGGGGCCGGGGGCAGCTCTTCTAAGAGACTCCGCCCCAGCATCTGTCCGCCAAGTATTCATTGAAAGGGCTTGTTAGACCACAAACATCCACTAGATGGCCTTTTTGAGGTCGGGTCATGAGACACCTGTGGCCTGGTAAAAGCACTCAAACCGCATTCTCGGGAGGCTGTTTTCAGCGTTCCTTATCACACCACACACTCCACTCCCCGTCCTGTTTTCAGGGTCAAGGAGTTTCATTCTCATGCACAAATAACATACACACAGTGCCTCAGTATGTTTCCATGCCCCGACCTCAAACGCCTTGTACATAAGCTTGAATATGCTGTCGTGCACCCCGCCATATTCCCCCCTTCTTTAATTCTTATAGCGTGCTGGTCATCCAATGCAAGGTAAGCTTCCATGATTCTTCCCTGGTCATAGATGCGTCGGGTGGCAGCACAGAGCCATCTGCAAGTGCCTAGCAAACAGATACAAAAAAGAATAAGTACAGCGGCCATCACCCAAATGCGTATGTTTAACCCAGACAACCAAGTGTTCGGGTTTAACCATTGAAAGCCTTCTTGTAATTGCTGAAGGATACTTGTTTGTAATTGCTGCGACCATTCTTCAAGGTGTTTCTTTAATTCACACTCAAGAATGGAAATTTGAGAAGACAAATGGTCGTGATAAGCCCCTTGCAGATGTGCTTTCACTCTCTCCCAAGCATATTGGGAGCTATTATATGGCAGAGGCGTGACACAGATAGAATTATATTGCCAATCAACAATGTAAATTTTGATGGGTAATGAATGCCTGCTGCTGATTCCCCAGTTATTCAACAGCGGCTTCAAGAGACCGGGCGAGACAGAATGGTTTTATCTATATTTACCTGTTCTTGAAATTCACGGGTTACATTATACACCATGTGGTTCACCACTGAGGCTGTGTGAATAGATTCTGTCAGAGAAACAGCTGCAGTAGCAGCAGTTGCTAATATAATAATAGCTGAGACTAAAAAGGCAATTAAAGTGGCCAGGAATCTTTTTTTTTTTTTTTTTTCCGAGTATGAGATAGTGATTTTCTAAATAGCTGCAGGGTGGAATCTCCTTTTCAGCTCCAGGTTAAATTTACAGGCAGCCACAATTCTGCACGCCATTTTAAGATCATGACATAGGTTATATCCAACTGTGTAATGTTTCGATGGACAAGCATGCAGCATACCAACTACTGGAAGAGACTTTAATACTATAAAAAGATTGATTCTGCTCTATGTTAGGAACACCTTGCCCAAACAAAAGTATATAAGGGTGCGTGGTACAAATCAGGACTGTGTCAGTAACATTATTATGCAAAGAGAGGGTATGGTTGCCACCGCCAGTAATATACTCACCATGTGAAAGAACCCGTTCAAAAAAAGGAAATCCTAATCTCCAAATTTGGGTATGAGCAGGGCTTAAAGCTTGTTTCCCTCTCACTTGTAATACTGGTCCTGAAAGCCCATACTCTGACTAGGTAATAGGACTACTGGAGGGACTCCCAAGTCCAATAGTCTGATTTGCAGACATAAGATTACCACGGGGACCCCAATCAAGTAAGGTGCCATTATCAAACAGAGGCCCTTGACGTGGAGCAGGCTGTCTGCACGGCGACCACTGGACGGCCTCAAACTTTTATCGCCAGTCCCTACTCGGACGGCATATAGGAAGATCAGGCACTTGTGTAGCTTCATTAGAGACCTCAGTAAGATTAGTGGTAATAGTAGAAATAAAGGTCAAGTTTGCAAGCTTAGCATCCCTTTTAGGCTGATAGTAAAGATACTCCTGAGGGATGAGAGTAACACACTTATCATGTGCTATTGTGGAAAAACAAAGAGGGGGATTACTAGACAATAAAATCGAGGAGTAATTAAGTTGAATCCATCCCAAATTTTCAGTTACGGGGTAAGACAGAGGCATCCATCGGCCTCCTGCCCAAGAAGTATCATTAGATGACAAAGGCGGGTCAGCATCCCACCATGTAATAACATTAAAAACAGGGGGATTTAGAACATGACTCCAATAAACATGTCCTTAAGCTGATCCCACTTAGCAAAGGACAAGAATTACCTGCCACCCCAACATCCATGTCTGTCTTACTTTCTCAGAAGTTTCCCCAATTGCCACCAGATATGTAAGAAACCGATTGTCTGCAGTTGCAGGGGCTTCCACGGCGGCAAGCTGGATAGATGCTTGTTGATTCAATTTCTTTAGCTGTCCCCAGGTGATGTCAGGTGCCTTCCGAGTCATCACCATCATTGTTGGTTGGTTCTCCAACGACTGGTCCTGTTCTCTAGAAGAGAGCCCCATATTCCCCCCCGCCCTTTTTAAATTAAGATATACTTTAAGAGTTTGATGAGCTCGTTTAACAATGGCCTGACTGGTTGAGTTATAAGGAATATCAGTTTTATGTTGCATGTGCCAAAGTTGCAATGCATATGTAAATCGAGCACTAAGATAGGAAGGTCCATTATTAGTTTTTATAGTGTGTGGAAGGCTTAGAGTTATCATAGATTTAAACAAATGAGCGATTGCATCTTTAGTTTTTTCTCCTGTCTGGGAGGTAGCATGTATTAGGCCTGTATATGTGTCCACGGTAACATGGAGAAATTTAAAACGTCCAAAGGGTGGACACCGAGTGACATTAGTTTGCCAGATAGCATTAGGCACCAGACCTCGTAGGTTGGCACTAAGCCCTAAGGAAAAGGGGGAAAGAGAATGCTGTTGGCAATTAGGACAAGTTTTAATAATCATGCAAGCTTGAGTAAGTGTCAAATGAAGCTGTTGTTTAAGACGGCGGGCGTTCCGATGAAAAAACAACATGATCAGCTTGAGCTTGCAAAAAAGCAGGAGAATTTGCAAAGCACATCTGTGGTCGTACCAGAGCATCAGCTCAAGCATTCCCTTCTGATAAGGACCAGGTAGCCCAGAATGACGGCGAATATGTGTGATGTAAAGAGGGTGATGACAGGCACAGAGGAGCTCTTGCGCTGCAAGAAACAAAGCTAATAGGGGTTTATTAGTAATGCCCTTCACATGTGCAAGATCTAAATGAGTAATACTATACACCACATAAGCGGAATCACCAACGATATTTATGTCTTGGTGAGGAAAAGTTTGTAAGGCCAATATCAGGGCACCTAATTCCGCCTGTTGCATAGTTTTTAAAATGCTCCTGGATTTTGTACTGCCAGTTCTGCATGGCATCTTGCCACACTATAGCTGCTTTTTCAGTTTTTGGGTTTTTTTTTAACCATCTGTAAAGACAGTGGTGGCATGAAGTAAAGGCTCAGAGACAACAATACATACAAATTAAACAGGTACAGTTTGTAAAAAGTTCAGGAGCTTAGAGGCTGGTAAATGAAAGCTGATATTACCAATAAAGACAGCCATTGCTACTTGCCAATCAAGATCACAAGCTAAGAGAGTGTGAAATTGTTCCTTGCTTAAAGGTAGGAAAAGAGTAGCAGGGTCTTATCCTGACAGCTGGACGCAACGTTGGCGTCCTTTTATGAGAAGAGAAGCTATTATATCTGTAGTCTTTTGTATAAGTTTAGAGGGATTATGAGACAGGTACATAACATATAAAATACCGAAATGGCAAAAGATAAAGCCTACCTGTTAAACTAAGGCATGGAAAGGATGGATATTTTAAGTGATTTTTACTATATTTTGGCCCTTGAAAGCCATTAGAAAGTGACTGCAAGTCGCCAGGATAATAAACCTGCATTGAGTTAGCTTAAGTGTGTTAAAAAGAAAAGAAAACAAAAAAAAGCTTTTTAAAATGTCCTTTGGTGTTAGCCATTTTCCTGCATCAGCCTTTAGCTGGAATGTCTTAGAAGTGAGCTTGGGAAAGTAGGGCTGTGGCCAGTTTCTTTCTATTCGTTCTGGGCCCCTTAGGCAGCTTCTCTTTTTAATAGCCTGCCACTTGTTGCTGTCCTTACCCTGAGAGGAAGGAAGGAAGAGTACAAGCGGCAGTAAGAGGCCAGAGAATGACCGGGTGGTAAACTGTGTGTGGAAGTGCGGAGGCTGGAGGCAAGAAGGTAACAGGCTGGGAGAAAAACACTCCCCTTATCTTCTAGGCCACCTACGCCTGCAGCCAACCCTGTTAGGTGAGGTACTGAAAATATACTGGGCTTTTTATTATTTTTACCACCCCCAAGCAGAGAGGCTCAGGGGAGGAGCAGACATGCAGCACAGGGTCTGCTTTGAAGTTTCTTAACCACAGTGTTTTTAAACATTTTGTAAAAAAGCAAAACAAACACTCCTTACTGCTGCGTCTATCTTCTGAAGATGACAGCAGCTGGCAGAGCTCGTCCCCCTCAGTCTAGTTAGCATTTAATATATGGCTATGGGAGAGCGCCCCTTATTAGTGGGCTCCTCCTCCAGGGCTCTGTACTCCGGGCTGCTCCACACTCCTTTGCCCACCTTAGGCTAGTAAGGTCCGGGTGCACATGGACTATTTCTCAGCCCTTTCCCTAGGGGGCCAGGGAAGACAAGGAATTGCTCGTCAACTGAGACATGTGAGGAGTGGCAGGGAAGGGCAGAAGTAGGAAAAGCAGCAGCACGGCAAGCAGCAGGCCACTTCCTGGGCACAGTTACTAAGGCACGTGACCATGGTGAGGCGGATCCTCAGGACTGGGCTGGAGCTGCCTGCAGCCACCCGGGGACTCGGTCTGTGCCTTTTGGCCTTCCCTCCGTCACCACAAACCCAGAAAGGGGCAACCTGCCCAGGCTGCCAGTGACCAAGTGTGCACTCCATGGCATCTCAGCAACTCTCCTGCCCCAGGCCTCTGTGGGCAGCAAGAAAGCTAGAGCTATCTGGGATAAAACCCAGGAGGCAGCATGCAACTTCCCCTTTTACTCCAGTGAAACAGAAAAAAGACAAGGCCAGAAAGGCTGATGCTGGAAGTAGCAAATGGGAACTTGCATATTAGGAAGACAATCATAATCAGCCACTTTCCTTCCCTCCTGGACGCACCCCTCCAGCAGGGAAGTTAGTCGAGGAGACGCAGCCACCCAATCATACAGATCATACAGATGTTCGCTGACCGGGGGTCTTATCTAAGAGCCGTCCCTTGGGCGGCCTCCAATCTCCTTAAGGGGGATGGAAGGCGCTGTTGGCTGAACAGGGCCAACAAATGCAGGTCCTTTTAAGGGTGGAGGAAAGAAGGGCAATGGCTTTTCTACAGGGGGAGGAAAAGGCTCCCGTCCGTCCTTATCCTCACTAAAAAAAAAAAAAAAAAAAAAAATCCTCCTTATGCCCTACAGAAGGGAATGAGGTAGAGAGAGGAGCACCCCCACCCCCCAACCACTGTTCTGGTTCCTGTTTGTCCTCACTAGAAAAAAACCTCTTCCTTATTCCCCATAGAACGGAATGAAGTGGGGAGAGGAATCTCTCCCTTCAAATCTTCTGAATTCTTTTCAGGTGGAGATAATGGGCGATCTAACCACGATCTGGCAGATAAAGAGGATACAACGCAGAGCGTACCAGCGCCCAGGTGGTCAAAATAGTAACATTAGTAAAATGACCCTGCTCATATCCTCTTTTCAGGCAGCGACCTACCTGCTCTCATAACCCTAAATCTAAGGTTCCTTGATCAGGAAACCAAGGGCATTTCTGCCAAATTAAAAGCATAAGCTTGTGTAGAGCTCCAGGCTCTACAGTGCACTGGATAGCCTTAAGTAGCTGTTGCACTGTTTTAAAAAATACTTTCTGTTCTTTGGTCATTTCCTGACCCATGATAACCCAACCCGCGATAGTTTACGCATGGGTCCCGTCCTCCTGATGGGAGTCAGGACTGTCCCTTACCAGGATTCCCCGAAAAGTAATGAGCTCTCCTCCTTCACGCGTAACTTCAAGGCGATCACGTCGGGGTCACCACTTGCAGAGCTTATAGCTTGCAGTGAACGCCAAGAATGAGTTCTCAGACAAATCCAGCTGAGGGGGGCCGGGGGCAGCTCTTCTAAGAGACTCCGCCCCAGCATCTGTCCGCCAAGTATTCATTGAAAGGGCTTGTTAGACCACAAACATCCACTAGATGGCCTTTTTGAGGTCGGGTCATGAGACACCTGTGGCCTGGTAAAAGCACTCAAACCGCATTCTCGGGAGGCTGTTTTCAGCGTTCCTTATCACACCACACACTCCACTCCCCGTCCTGTTTTCAGGGTCAAGGAGTTTCATTCTCATGCACAAATAACATACACACAGTGCCTCAGTATGTTTCCATGCCCCGACCTCAAACGCCTTGTACATAAGCTTGAATATGTTGCCGTGCACCCCCGACACCCACTCCAGAGACAGAAATTACACCACTTTTCTATTGAGTTATGTTAAAATACACGTAACATAAAATTTACCATCTTAAGTGTTTTTCAGTTTTGGGTTCAGTAGTGTTAAGTATATTTGCATTGCTGTGCAGCCAATCTCCAGCATGTCTTCAACTGCAAAACTGAAATGTATACCCATTAAACAACTCCTCATTTTTCCCTGCCCCGCAGCCTCTGGAAACCACCATTCTACCTGCCGTTTCTGAGTTTGAATATTTTAGATCCCGTATATAGGCGGAATCATGTAGTATTTGTCCTTTTGTGACTGGCTCATTTCATAGCATAAGGTCCTAAAATTTTATCCACGTTGTAGCCTGTATCAGAACTCCATCCTTTTACAGGTCAAATCGTAATTCATTGTAAGGGCCAAATAGTGGACCACATTTAGTTTCTGTATTCACCCATCAGTGGACACTTGGGTTGCTTCCATCTCTTGGCTCTCATGAATAATGCTGCTATGAGCACGGATGTACAAATATCTCTGAGACTCTGATTTCTATTTTTTCGATATAGACACAGAATGGAATTACTGGATCATATGGTAATTCTCTTTTTAGTTTTCTGAGTAACCGCCATACTGTTTTCCACAGCAGCTGTGCCATTTTACATTCCCACCAACAGTGCACAAAGGTTCCAGTTTCTGCACATCTTCACCAGTATCACATCAGTTTTATTGAACAAATGGAATTTATTTCATTTCTTTGTATTTTGTTTTTGTTTATTTGTAATGACACAATCGTATACATTTGTAGTGTACAACATGATGATTTGAAATACGTATACATTGTGCAATGGCTAAATTAGGCTAACTACAATATGTATGAACTCACATACCTTTCATCTTCTGTGGTGAGAACACTTAAAATCTACCCTCTTAACAATTTTCAAGGATACATTATTATTAACTATAGTCACCATGTCTACAATAGATCTCTTGAACTTAGACTTCTTGTCTAAATGAAGTTTTGTATCCTCTGACCAATATCTCCCCAATCCTTCCCAGCCCCAGACCCTGGTAACCACCATTCTATTCTCTGTTTCTAAAAAGTTTGATTTTTTAAGATCCCACACCCCAGTGAGATCATACAGTATTTGTCTTGCCGTGCCTGCCTTATTTCACTCGACATAATGTACTCCAGATTCACTCATGTTGCCACAAATGACAGGATTTCCTTTTATTTTTTAAAAAATGCTCAATACTATTCTATTGTGTGTACATATACACATGTGCTTTACCCATTCATCCGTTGATGGGCTCTTGGTTTGACTTCACGTCTTGGCTGTTGTGAACAGTGCTGCAATGTATATGCAAGTGCAGATATTTTTGACATACTCATTTCATTTTCTTTGGCCATCTATCCAGTAGTGGGATTACTAAATCAAATGATAGTGCTATGGATAAGTTTTTAATTTTAAGTTTAATGGATACATAAGATTTGCACATATTTATGATGTACATGTGATATTTTGTCACGTGCATAGAGTGTGTAATGATCAGTTCAGGATATTTGGGGTAACCATCACCTGGAATATTTTTGATTCCTAGTATTGGGGGTATTTCAAGTCCTCTCTTCTATTTTGAAATATGCAATACATTGCTGTTAACTGTAGTCATCCTACTCTGCTATTGAACATTACAAATTATTCCTTTTTTTTTTTTTTTTTTTTTTTTTTGAGACAGGCTCTCACTCTGTCGCCCCAGGCTGGAGTGCAGCGGCGCGATCAAAGCTTACTGCAGCCTCAACCTCCTAGGCTTAAGCGATCCTCCCACCTCAGCCTCCTGAGTAGCTGGGACAACAGGCACATGCCACCATGCAGGGCTACTTTTTTTTTTTTTTTTTTCATAGAGACAGGGTTTCGCTATATTGTCCAGGCTGGTCTGCAACTCCTGAGCTCATGCTAACTGCCCGCCTCGGCCTCCCAAACTGCTGGGATTACAGGTGTCAGCCACCATGCCCAGCCTAGAACTTATTCCTTTTTAACTGTATGTTTATGCCTGTCAACCAATCTCTCTTCTTCCAAACCCCCCTTCCTCCAATCCACACACACTTCCCAGCCTCTCATATCTATCACTCTATTCTCTGCCTCTAGGAGATCAACTTTTTTCCCTCCCATATATGAGTGAGAACATATGGTATTTGTCTTTCTGTGCCTGGCTTATTTCACCTAACATAATGACCTCCAGTTCCATCCATGTTGCTGCAAATGAAAGGATTTCATTCTTTTTGTGGCTGAATTGTATTTCCTGTGTACATATGCCACATTTTCTTTATCCATTCATCCACTGATGGACACTTAGGTTGATTCCATGTCTTGGCTATTGTGATGAGTGCTGCAATAAACATGGGGGTGTAGGTATCCCTTTGATATACTGATTTCGTTTCTTTTGGATAAATACCCGGTAGTGGGATTGCTGGATAGTTCTATCTGTAGTGTTTTGAAAAGTCTCCATACTGTTTTCCACAGTGGCTGTACTAATTTACATTCCCACCAACAGTGTATAAGGGTTCCCTTTTCTTCACATCCTCGCCAACACTTGTTCTCTTTTATCTTTCTGATAATAGCCATTTTAACAGGTGTGAAGTGATAGCTCATTGTGACATTTCCCTGATGATAAGTGATGTCGAGCATTTTCATACAACTGTTGGCCATTTGTATGTCGTCTTTGGAGAAATGTCTATTCAGATCCTTTGCACGTTTTAAAATCAGGTGATTTGTTTTCTTGTTATTGAGTTGAGTTCCTTATGTATTTTGGATATTAACTCCTTATCAGATGTATAGTTTGTGAATATTTTCTCCCATTCTGTAGGTTGCCTCTTCACTCTGTTGATCGTTTCCTTTGTTGTGCAGAAGCCTTTCAGTTTGACGTAATCCCATTTCTCTATTCTTTCTTTGGTTGCTCATGCTTTTGGGGTCATAGTGGAAAAATTATTTCCCAGATCAATGCCATGGATGATTCCCCCTATGTTTTCTTCTGGTAGTTTTACAGTTTCAGGTCTTACATTTAAATCCGGAGTCCAATTTGCCTTGATTTTTGTGTATGATAGGAGACAAGGGTCCCATTTCATTCTTCTGCATGTGGATATTCCGTTTTCCCAAGACCATTTATTGAAGAGACAGTCCTTTCCCTATGTGTGTTCTTGGCATCTTTGTTGAAAATCACTTGACCATAAATGCATTAATTCTTTCTAGTCTATTATATTTGTCTGTTTGTATGCCAGTACCATGCTGTTTTGATTACTCTAGCTTTTATTATATTTTGAGATCAGGTTGTGATTCCTCCAGCTTTGTTCGTTTCGCTCAAGATTGCTTTGGGTAACTGGAGTCTTTTGTGGTTCGCTGCGAATTTCAGGATTGCTTTTTCTATGTATGTAAAACTAGCGTTGGAATTTGGTAGGGATTGCATCGAATCTGTTAATTGCTTTGAGTAGTATGGACATTTTAACAATACTGATTCTTCCAATCCTTGATCATGGGTTAGCTTTCCATTTATTTGTGGCTTCCTCAATTGCTTTCATCAATGTCTTATAGTTTTCAGTGTACAGATCTTTTACCTCCTTGATTGAACTTATTCCTAAGTATTTTATGTTGTTTTTGAGAACTGTTTTAAATGGTATTGTTTTCTTGATTTATTTTCAGATAGTTTGCTATTAGTGTATAGAAATGCTACTGATTTGTACATGTTGATTTTGTTTTTTGCAACTTTCCTTAAAATTCATTTGAATTTTAAGGTTTTCTGTAAAATATTTTAAGACTTTATATATGTACAATCATGTCATCTGCAGAGAGAGGTAATTTAATTTCTTTTTTGAGATAGGGTCTCATTTTGTCACCCAGGCTGGAGTGCAGTGGTGCGATCTCAGCTCACCGCAGCCTCGACTTCCTGGGTTCGAGCGAGTCTCGTGCCTCAGGCCCAGATGTAGCTGGTCGCCACCACGCCCAGCTAGCTTTCGTATTTTTGGTAGAGGCAGGGTTTCGCCGTGTTGCCCAGGCTGGTCTCGAACTCCTGGCCTCATGTGATCCACCTGCCTCGGTCTCCCAAAGTGTTAGGATTACAAGCATGAGCCACCACACACAGCACACTTGTTACTTTCTGCTTTGTGTGCCTTTCATCTTTTTTCTCTGGCCTAAGATTTTTGACTAAAAGTTGTAGTACTACGTTGCATAGCCGTGGTGAAAGGGAGCATCTTTGTCTTGCTCCTGATGTAGGTAGTATTGAAACCAGGGTCTTCCATCAGCTGTGGCAAGAATGTAGTTAAAGAAAAGAATCAGACCAGAAATTGAGCCCCGGGGCTCTATATTTTTAAGAATCTGGGGTAAGGGAGCTTCCAGATAGCTGAACACATGGAAGTTCCTGGAGGGAGGTGCACCTGTGCCCTATGCATCTCTTTCATCTGGCTGTTCG
Source organism: Homo sapiens (assembly GCF_000001405.40). NCBI lineage: Eukaryota > Metazoa > Chordata > Mammalia > Primates > Hominidae > Homo > Homo sapiens. The sequence goes on from NC_000023.11 coordinate 71,789,196, forward strand.
TCTGTATCCTTTCTCATGTTCTTCATAATAAATGGGTAACATATTTATTAATCAGTGATAAAACCCAACACGATACACTAACATGATTTTGTGCACTTAGAGGAGAAATATTTCCTAGTTAAGTAGGAAATTGTGCAAAAGGCCTCTGGAAGACCTTCATTCTAAACTGTTTTGTAGGGAAACATTTCATTTAGAAGTCTGGACATTCTTTCTTCCGTTTGCTGTAATCTGCATTCGCTGAGTAGAACTCGTATTGATCATCGGGACCCCGTTTATTCCAGGATTCTGAGGTATTCTTTCTGTCCCAACTAACTTTTGGGTTAAACAGTGTCAGATGCAAGACATGCAGCCCTGCTCTAGTGCCTCCTGCTCAAATAGATACAAATACAGAGATGTCGAACTCAAATGCTTTCTGGCCTGACCAAAGAGCTTCTGGAGCATGTGTGAAGCCTGGAAGGAGAGAAGAACAAATATTTCAGGCCCAGGTCCAAGTAGGTCAATGCAGCATTTGATTTTTGGAGGAGACTTGGGTAATACAGAATTGAGTTAATCATAATCCTTATTTCATAACATGCTACCCGTGATTGATACGAGGCCCTGTTTGTTTATTTTAAAATGCAATGTGCCCCCATTTACCTATTACCCGATCCAATAACTAGACTATCAGTAGAAACCTGTATATCTACCTCTGAGCTCCCCTCACTGTAACCTCCTGAATCCCTTCACTTCCACCAGAGGCAACCCCAGCCTGAATTGTGTACTTGGCATTCCTTTGGTTTTTATTGCAAATAAGTATATATATAAAACAATATACCCTTTTTTTGTTTTTGAGACAGGGTCTCACTCTGATTGTTCGGTCTGAAGTGCAGTAGCATGATTTTGGCTCACTGCAGGCTCGACCTCCCTGGCTCAGGTGATTCTCCCACCTCAGTCTCCCGAGTACCTAGGAGTACAAGCGCGCGCTGTGATGTCTGGCTAATTTTTTGGAGAGACGGGGTTTAGCCATGTTGCACAGGCTGGTCTCAAACTCCTGGACTCAAGCACTCCACCCACCTCTGCCTCCCAAAGTGCTGGGATTACAGGCGTGAGCCACTGTGCTCGGCCATTAAACTCTTCAGTTTTGCTTGATTTTGAACCTTATGAAAAGGGTGTCACACGGTATGTAGTCTTGTGGGAATTACTTTTTTCATACTTATACTAACATTATCCATTGTTGACTATGGAACTGCAGTTCACCCATTTGCCTTGCTACATAGTGTATCATGGTGTGCATATACCACAGTTTAGGCATTCTCTTGTTCATGAGCATTTGCATTGGTCGCAGGTTTTTGCTACCGTGGCCAGTGCTGCTGTGAAATTCTTGTCCAGTGGACATTGATAGGAATTGCTGAGTTAGCAATGACCTACTTCATATATTGATGCCACATTGTTTTCCAAACTGGTTGTGTTCGTTTATATTCCCAACATGTTGCAAGCTGTATGAGATCCCACTGCTCTGCGTTATCTCTAACCTTTGATGTTGCTAGGTTTCTTATTCTTTGCCAATCAAATGGGTACAAGATTTATCTTGAGGTCATGTTTAGCATTCCCCTGACTACTGATGAGCTGAGCATATCTTCATGTGTTTATTGGCCACATAGGTTCCTTCTTCTATGGAATTCCTGTTCATGATTTTTGCCTATTTTCTTAATGGGTTGTTTGTCTTTCTTATTGATTTCTACAAGTTCTCAAAATATATTATTGATACCAATCTTTTGTCAATTGTATATAGGATAAAGATCTTCTTCCAGCTTGCACCATGTATTTCCACTTTTATATGACGTCTTTTAAAAATTGAGGTATTACCTACATACAGCAAATCACAGAAACATAAGTCTACAATTTTATCACAGTTATACACCCATGTAACCGCCATCCAGATCAAAATATAGAACATTTTCAACATCCTCCCATCCCCAGAAAGAGAATTTTGAGAGAAAATGAGGAACCAGTAAAGACTGAGGAGTGATCACTGATATGGGAATAAGCCCTATGTCTTCTCCTGGTAATGGCAGATGAGATAATTCAGATAAACCCTGTGTGTTGGCCATCTGTTAGTTGGCCATCTGGTTTAACTCCATCTACAGCCTCCCTCCCTCTCTCTGGTGACTGGGCTGATATCACATAGTTCAATGCCCCAACCCTCTAGTCATATGATTGGTCTTTCTGGTCTGGCCAGCCTCCATTTGGAGTCATCTCATCACACAAACTATCTAGGGGCCTCCCATGACTCACCTCATTAGCATAAACCATGAAGTGTGGTCCATGGGACCCATCAGGAATGACAGTGTCACTCAGGAAATTGCAAGGGATTAGAGGTTATCTCCCAGGACTCAGGGACAAAGTCCAAGCATCCCATTCTTTATTACACATTAAGTGCACAGAAAAATGCACATTATAAAAAAAATTCATCTTATTGGGATCTTTCCAGATCCTGGGAATATAGAAATATACTGCTATGGTTTGGATATGATTCGTCTGTCCCCGCCAAAACTTATGGGGAAATTGGATCCCCAGTGTGGTGATGTTGGAAGGTGGGGCCTTGTGGGAGGTGTTCGGGTCATGGAGACAGATCCCTCATGAAGAGCTTGCTGCCGTTCTGGAGGTAGTGAGTGAGTACCGGCTCTGGTGAGACTGGATTAGTGCCCATGACGGTAGGTTTGTCATAAAGCCAGCATGCCCCTCGGTTTTTCCCTCTTTGCACGTGTCTGCTTCCCCTTTGGCCTTTTCCACTATGTTTTGGCCTAGCAGGTGGCTGTCACCAGAAGCTGAGCAGTTACTGGTGCCATGCTCCTCCTACTTCCCAGCTTGCTGAAACATGAGCTAAATCAACCTCTTTTATTTTTAAATTATCCAGTCTCAGGCGTTCTGTTACAGCAACACAAAACAGACTAAGACACATGCTAACAATGGCCCAAAAGAGGCAGAGATGGTATAATGTTGGTGCAAAAGTAATTGCAGTTTTTGTCGTTACTTTTAATAGCAAAAACTTCTGCACCAACCCAATACCACAAACAACTCAATTCAAGAACTTACATGAAATGGACTAAATCTCTAAATCTTTTGAAGACACGAATTATCAAGACTCACCCAATATGAAATAACTTGAGTAGTCCTATAAAGACATTGAACTTTGGGAGGCCAAGCTGGGAGAATCGCCTGAGCCCAGAAGACCGAGACCAGCCTGGGCAACAAAGTGAGACCCTAGCTCTACAAAAAAATTTATATATAAAACGAAATGGAATTCATAGTAAAATACCTTCCAAAGAAGATATTCCAACCCACGTGGTTTCACTGGCAAATTCCACCAAACATTCAAAGAAGAATTAATACCGATTCTACAATATCTCTTCCCAAAAATAGAACAGTAAAGACTACTTGTCAACACATTTTGTGAGGCCAGGATCACCCTGATACCAAAACCACCCAAAGACTGTATAAAAGAAGCAAGCAAGCAAGAAACGACAGACCACCAACTCTCACGAACATAAATGCAAAAATCATCACAAAATATTAGCAAATTGAATCCAGCAATGTCTAAAAAATATATAGCTCAACCATGTGAGGCTTATCCCAGGAATGCAGGGCTTATTGAATGTTAAAAACAAACAATAAATTTATTCCATTATATTAATGGTCAATAAAAGAAAGAAATACATGATCATATGAATTGATGTAGAAAAAGCCTTTGGCAAAATTCAATATCCATTCAAGACATAAACTCTCAGCAAACTAAGAATAGAAAAGACCTTCCTCAGCTTGATAAAGGGAATCTGCAAGAAAACCCACAGCTAATATCATAGTTAATAGTGAACACCTGAATGTTTTCCTCCTAAGTTCATGAACAATACAAGGATGTCTACTCTTGCCACTTCTATTCAACATCACACTTAGAAGTCCTTCCTATTGTAATAATTCAAGAAATAGAATTAAAAGACTTTCAGATAGGAAAAGAAGAAATAAAACTGCCTGGTATTCACATACGACATTATTATCTATGCCGAGAATTCCATGGAATCTACAAAAAAAAAATTCCTAGAACTCATAAGTGAGTTTACTAAAGGTAGAGTGTATTTGCTCAATACACAAAAATCAACTGTATTTCTATATAAAGTAAGTATAGAAATAGAAACAAAACATTTAAAAACCAGTGACATTTACAATAACTGCAACAATGAAATACCTCGGCATGAATCAAAGAAATTCTACGTTCTGAAAATTACACAATGCTAATGAAAGAAATCCAGGAAGGCCTAAATGAATGGAATACACATGAGTGTACTGTGTTTACGAATGGAAACACTCAATAAATATATGAGTTCTCCTTGAACTGATCTATATATTTAACGCAATGCAATTAAAGTGATAGTAGGATTTTTTGTAGACATACACAACATGGTTCTAAAATTTATACTAAAAATCAAAAGAACTACAATCATTAAAACAATTTTAGGCATGGTGCAGTGGCTCACACCTGTAATCTCAGCACTTTGGGAGGTCCAGGCGGGCGGATCATGAGGTCAAGAGATCGAGACCATCCTGGCCAACATGGTGAAACCCTGTATCTACTAAAAATACAAAACTTAGCTGGGTGTGATGGTGTGCGCCTGTAGTCCCAGCTACTCGGGAGGCTGAGGCAGGAGAATTGCTTGAACCCGGGAGGTGGAGGTTGCAGTGAGCTGAGATCGTGCTACTGCACTCCAGCCTGGATGACAGAGCAAGACTCCACCTCAAAAAAATAAAATAAAATAAAATAAAAAAGAATAAAGTTGAAGGAATCACTTTACCTACTTTTTTTTTTTTTTTTTTTTTTTTTTTTTGAGACAGAGTCTCATTCTGTTCCCAGGCTGGAGTGCAGTGACACAATCATGGCTCACTGCAGCCTTTAACTCCCAGACTTAAATGATCTTCCCGCCTCAGCGTGCTGAGTAGCTGGGACTACAGGTGTGCACCACCACACCTGACGAATATTTTTATTTTTTTGTAGAGATGGGGTCTCACTATGTTTCCCAGGTCTCGCTATGTTGCCCAGGCTGGTCTTGGACTCCTGAGCTCAAGTGGTCCTCCTGCTTTGGCCTCCCAAATCTGACTTCTAAGACTCACCAGAGTACTACACTAATTACGACAAGGATGTTATTAGCAATGGGGTAGATATAAGTCAGCAGAAAAGACAGAGATTCCAGAAACAGACCCTAGATGTATTGCCAATACATTTTTAAATTTATTTTTTGAGGAGAAATTTTTATAGCATTAACCTTTCAGAATGAACAGTCCAGCAGCATTCAGTATTTTCATAATGTTGTGCAAGTACTGCCTCCATCTAGTTTGGAACATTTTCATCACTTCCAAAGAAATTCGCATGCTCATTAAGAAACTACTTCCCATCCTCTTCCTCCTGGGCTCAGGCACCCACTAAGTTAGTTTCTGACTTTATGGGTTTACCTATTCTGGATATTTCATATGAATCAAATAATATAATATGTGACCTTCGTGTCTCTCTCACTCTCTCTCTCCTTTTTTTTTTTTTTTTTTTTCTTGAGACACGGTCTCCCTGTCTCACTCAGGCTGGAGTGCAATGGTGGAAACAAGGCTGACTGCAGCCTCGACCCCCTGGGCTCATGGGATCCTCCCACCTCAGCCTCCCGAGTAGCTGGGACTACAGGCACGCACCACCACGTCTGGCTAATTTTTTTTTTGTATTTATTGTGGAGACGGCATTTCGCCATGTTGCCCAGGCTGGTCTCGAACTCTTGGCCTCAAGTGATCCACCCATCTCAGCCTCCCAAAGTGCTAGGATTACAGGCGTGAGCCACTGCACCCGGCCTTGGCTTCTTTCCTTAGCATGATGTTTTCAAGGCCCATCCACGTTGTAGCATCTATCAGTATTTCATTCCTTGTTATGGCTGAATAATATTTCACTGTATGCATAGACCACAGCTTGTTTATCCATTCATCAGTTGATGGATATTTGGGTTATTCCCACCTTTTGACTTTTGAAATAATGCTGCTACGAACGTGCATGTACAAGTATGTCTTTGAGCACCTGTTTTCAGTTCTTTTGACTATATACCTATGAGAGTAATTCTCAAGTCACATGTTAATTCTATGTTTAACCTTTTAGGAACCACCAAAATGTTTTCCACAGTGGCTGAATTATTTTACATTCCCATCAGCCATGTATGAAAGTTCTAATTTCTCCACATCCTATTCAACAATTCTTATTGCCCATCTTGAAAAAAGTATGACCATCCCGGTAGACGTGGAATAGTACCTTATTGTTTTGATTTGCATTTTCCTAATAGCTAATGATGTTGAGTATCTTTACATGCATTTCTTAACTATTTGTGTATCTCCATTGGAGACATGTCTATTAAATCCTTTGCTTATTTCAAAAATGGGGTTGCCTTTTCTTGACGGGTTTTTTGTACGTTTTAATATATTCCGGATGTTACATGATCAGATACATGATTGGCAAAGGTTTTTCTCCCATTCTGTTATCTTTTCACTTTCTTGACAATGTCCACTGATCCACAAAAGTTTTCAATTTCAGTGAAGCCCCATTTATCATTTTTAGTTTTGTTGCCTGTGCTTTGGGTGTCATACTCTAAGAATCCAATGCCAAATACAAAGATATGACTTACCCCTGTGTTTTATTCTAAAAGTATTAATTTTAACACTTACATTTATGTTTTTGATTCATTTTGAGTTAATTTTTGTATATGGTATATGGTATGAAGTAGGGGTCCAACTTCATTCTTTGGCATGTGGATAACCAGTTATCCTAGCACCATTTCTTTAAGAAACGATTCTTTCCCCCATCGAATGGCCTTGGCGCTCTTGTTGTAAATCAATTTAGCATAGGCTGACCCCCACAGACTCAGGCTCCAGGCTTGTCCTTGCAGTCCCAGGCTCCAGGTCACCCACGCACACTGTCTTCAGCTCCACCCCAGTGCCGGTCCAGCCCCCCACAGTCTCGGGCTCCAGGCCCACCTCATCACCAGGCAGGCCCTGGTTTTCCCAGGCTCCAGACTGGTCCCATGGCCAGGCCGCTCCCTCAGCCCTAGACTCTGGGTACACCCATGAACCAAGCCTGCGTTGGGGCAAGGCTAGCCTCACAGCCCCAGGCTCTGGGCTGGCACCCATGGAATGAGCCACCAGCCCTGCCATGGGGCCAAGGTGGCCCTACAGCCTTAGATTCCAAGCCAGCCTCCAGAGCCCCAGACTCCAGGCTGACACATGCAGACATCACCTGCAGACCAGTCCCTACAGCCCCAGACTTCAGGCCTGGACATGTGGACCCAGCTTCCAGATCCTCCTCAGTGTCAGGACAACCCCTGTGACCCTCGACCTGGTCTGCTTCAATGATAGGCCGTCTTCTGTAGTTTCAGACTTCAGGCTGGCACCCACAGACCTAGTCTCTGTACCCACTCCAGCTCCAGGCTGACCCCTGTGACCTCAAGCACCAGGCCAGAACCTACAAAGCCAGCTTCCAGGCCAGCCCCCAAGGATTAAAGGCTCCAGGCTTGCCCAGTGCCACACTAGCACCTTTGGCCTCAGACCCCAGGCTGGCCCTCTCAGACTCAGGCTCCAGGCCCATGCCAGGCGCCAGACAGGCTAAGAGGAAGTCTGACCCACATGGCCTCGGGCTTCAGGCCCACGCCAGGGCAAGACTGGCCCCAATAGCCAGGTTGGTCCCCATGGCACCAGGACCCAGGCCCAAATCCATGAACTCAGGTTCCAGCTCCACCATACCTGCTCACCAAGCCAGCTTTCCCAAGAAATCCAGCAGCAAGTCTATCCATGCACCATGCCAGATGGTCTTCCCAGAATCTCTGGATGGACTGAACCGTGAAGGGCTTTCCCAGCCAGAGCCAGTCATCAAGCACTGGAGCAAGTCCCCACTTCTTTTTTGGTTTTTCTTTTTCCTTTTTTTTTTTTTTTTCCTAATGGAGCTATTGTTGTTTATTCCTAACCGCAGCTATTGTTGCTCCGGTTGGAGTGCAATGGCACAATCTCAGCTCACTATAACCTCCGCCTCCCGGGTTCCAGTGATTCTCCTGCTTCAGACTCCTGAGTAGCTGGGACTACAGGCGCCCACCACCACGCCCAGCTAACTTTTTGTATTTTTAGTAGAGACGGGGTTTCACCATGTTGGCCAGGCTGGTCCCGAGCTCCTGACCTCAAGTGATCCACCCACCTCTGCCTCCCAAAGTGCTGGGATTACAGGCATGAACCACCGCGCCTGGCCCAAGTCCCTACTTCTTTAAATGCACAGAAGCCGATGTACAGCCACAAAGGTCACAATCAATCAGGGAAACATGACACTACCAAAGGAACAAAGTAAAGCTTCACTGATCAACCCTAAAGAAGAGAGATTTAGAAACTTTCTAAGAAGGAATTAAAAATAATCTTCCTAAAGTAGTTCACTGCATTACAAGGAATGCTAGAGGGAATTCTTCAAGCTGAGAGAAAACGATCTGGTTTTTGAGTCTGTTTGTTATTTGGGTTTTGTTTTTTGTATGTTTCTTTGTTTGTTTTGAGACAGGATCTCACTCTGTCACCTGGACTGGAGTGCAGTGGTGTGATCGTGGCTCACTGCAACCTCGACTTCCCAGGCTCAAGTAAACCTCCTACATGAGCCTCCCAAGAAGCTGGGACTGCAGGCATGCACTGCCATGCCCAGCTAATTTTTTTGTTTGTTTCTATTTTGTGTGGAGACAGTGTTTCACTATGTTGCCCAGGCTGGTCTCCAACTCCTGAGCTCAAGTGATCAGCCTGCCTCAGCCTCCCAAAGTGCTGGGACTACACGCACGAGCCATCGCACCTGGCCAAGAAAAGGATGTTAATTGGTAATAAGAAAATATGAAAGAAGAAAATTTATGAGTAAAATAAGTACATGTTCAAACCCAGAATACTCATTGTAATGACGATGTATAAATCACTTATATCTTTAGTATGAAGGTTAAAAGACAAAACTATTTGTGAAAGTATAGCTACAAAAATGTGTTAAGGGATATGGAATTTAAAAAAGATGTAAATAGTGACATCAAAAACATAAAATATACGGGGAGTTAAGGAGCATAATTGTAGTTTTTGTGTGTAATCAAAGTTAAGTTGTTATCAGCTCAGAATAGTCTGTTATAACCATAAGATATTTTATGTAAGCCTCATGGTATTCATAAAACAGAAATCTATAGTAGATACACGAAAGATAAAAAGTGAAGAATCAATTGTGAATGGGAGTTCACTCATGATTTGGCGCTCTGTTTTTCTGTTATTGGTGTATAAGAATGCTTGTGATTTTTGTACATTGATTTTGTATCCTGAGACTGCTGAAGTTGCTTATCAGCTTAAGGAGATTTTGGGCTGAGACAATGGGGTTTTCTAGATATACAATCATGTCGTCTGCAAACAGGGACAATTTGGCTTCCTCTTTTCCTAATTGAATACCCTTTATTTCCTTCTCTTGCCTAATTGTCCTGACCAGAACTTCCAACACTATGTTGAATAGGAGTGGTGAGAGAAGGCATCCCTGTCTTGTGCCAGTTTTCAAAGGGAATGCTTCCAGTTTTTGCCCATTCAGTATGATATTGGCTGTGGGTTTGTCATAGATAGCTCTTATTATTTTGAGATACGTCCCATCAATACCTAATTTATTGAGAGTTTTTAGCATGAAGCCTTGTTGAATTTTGTCAAAGGCCTTTCTGCATCTATTGAGATAATCATGTGGTTTTTGTCTTTGGTTCTGTTTATATGCTGTATTACATTTATTGATTTGTGTATATTGAACCAACCTTGCATCCCAGGGATGAAGCCCACTTGATCATGTTGGATAAGCTTTTTGATGTGCTGCTGGATTCAGTTTGCCAGTATTTTATTGAGGATTTTTGCATCAATGTTCATCAAGGATATTGGTCTAAAATTCTCTTTTTTGGTTGTGTCTCTGCCAGGCTTTCGTATCAGGATGATGCTGGCCTCATAAAATGAGTTAGGGAGGATTCCCTCTTTTTCTATTGATTGGAATCATATCAGAAGGAATGGTACCAGTTCCTCCTTGTACCTCTGGTAGAATTCGGCTGTGAATCCATCTGGACCTGCACTGTTTTTGGTTGGTAAGCTATTGATTATTGCCACAATTTCAGATCCTGTTATTGGTCTATTCAGAGATTCAACTTCTTCCTGGTTTAGTCTTGGGAGAGTGTATGTGTCGAGGAATTTATCCATTTCTTCTAGATTTTCTAGTTTATTTGTGTAGAGGTGTTTGTAGTATTCCCTGATGGTAGTTTGTATTTCTGTGAGATTGGTGGTGATATCCCCTTTATCATTTTTTATTGTGTCTATTTGATTCTTCTCTCTTTTTTTCTTTATTAGTCTTGCTAGAAGTCTATCAATTTTGTTGATCCTTTCAAAAAATCAGCTCCTGGATTCATTAACTTTTTGAAGGGTTTTTTTTGTCTCTATTTCCTTCAGTTCTACTCTGATTTTAGTTATTTCTTGCCTTCTGCTAGCTTTTGAATGTGTTTGCTCTTGCTTCTCTAGTTCTTTTAATTGTGATGTTAGGGTGTCAATTTTGGATATTTCCTGCTTTCTCTTGTGGGCATTTAGTGCTATAAATTTCCCTCTACACACTGCTTTGAATGTGTCCCAGAGATTCTGGTATGTTGTGTCTTTGTTCTGGTTGGTTTCAAAGAACATCTTTATTTCTGCCTTCATTTCATTATGTACCCAGTAGTCATTCAGGAGCAGGTTGTTCAGTTTCCATGTAGTTGAGCGGTTTTGAGTGAGTTTCTTAATCCTGAGTTCTAGTTTGATTGCATTGTGGTCTGAGAGACAGTTTGTTATAATTTCTGTTCTTTTACATTTGCTGAGGAGAGCTTTACTTCCAACTATGTGGTCAATTTTGGAATAGGTGTGGTGTGGTGCTGAAAAAAATATATATTCTGTTGATTTGGGGTGGAGAGTTCTGTAGATGTCTATTAGGTCCGCTTGGTGCAGAGCTGAGTTCAATTCCTGGGTATCCTTGTTAACTTTCTGTCTCGTTGACCTGTCTAATGTTGAAAGTGGGGTGTTAAAGTCTTGCATTATTATTGTGTGGGAGTCTAAGTCTCTTTGTAGGTCACTAAGGACTTGCTTTATGAATCTGTGTGCTCCTGTATTGGGTGCATATATATTTAGGATAGTTAGCTCTTCTTGTTGAATTGATCCCTTTACCATTATGTAATGGCCTTCTTTGTCTCTTTTGATCTTTGTTGGTTTAAAGTCTGTTTGATCAGAGACTAGGATTGCAATCCCTGCCTTTTTTTGTTTTCCATTTGCTTGGTAGATCTTCCTCCATCCTTTTATTTTGAGCCTATGTGTGTCTCTGCATGTGAGATGGGTTTCCTGAATACAGCACACTGATGGGTCTTGACTCTTTATCCAATTTGCCAGTCTGTGTCCTTTAATTGGAGCATTAAGTCCATTTACATTTAAAGTTAATATTGTTATGTGTGAATTTGGTCCTGTCATTATGATGTTAGCTGGTTATTTTGCTCATTAGTTGATGCAGTTTCTTCCTAGTCTCGATGGTCTTTATATTTTGGCATGATGTTGCAGTGGCTGGTACCGGTTGTGCCTTTCCATGTTTAGTGCTTCCTTCAGGAGCTCTTTTAGGACAGGCCTGGTGGTGACAAAATCTCTCAGCATTTGCTTGTCTGTAAAGGATTTTATTTCTCCTTCACTTATGAAGCTTAGTTTGGCTGGATATGAAATTCTGGGTTGAAAATTCTTTTCTTTAAGAATGTTGAATATTGGCCCCCTCTCTCCTGGCTTGTAGAGTTTCTGCCGAGAGATCCGCTGTTAGTCTGATGGGCTTCCCTTTGTGGGTAACCCGACCTTTCTGTCTGGCTGCCCTTAACATCTTTTCCTTCATTTCAACTTTGGTGAATCTGACAATTATGTGTCTTGGAGTTGCTCTTCTCGAGGAGTATCTTTGTGGTGTTCTCTGTATTTCCTGAATCTGAATGTTGGCCTGCCTTGCTAGATCGGAGAAGTTCTCCTGGATAATATCCTGCAGAGTGTTTTCCAACTTGGTTCCATTCTCCCCGTCACTTTCAGGTACACCAATCAGACGTAGATTTGGTCTTTTCATATAGTCCCATATTTCTTGGAGGCTTTGTTCATTTCTTTTTATTCTTTTTTCTCTAAACTTCCCTTCTCACTTCATTTCATTCATTTCATCTTCCATCCCTGTTACCCTTTCTTCCAGTTGATCGCATCGGCTCCTGAGGCTTCTGCATTCTTCACGTAGTTCTTGAGCCTTGGCTTTCAGCTCCATGAGCTACTTTAAGCACTTCTCTGAATTGGTTATTCTAGTTATACATTCATCTAAATTTTTTTCAAAGTTTTCAACTTCTTTGCCTTTGGTTTGAATTTCCTCCTGTAGCTCAGAGTAGTTTGATCATCTGAAGCCTTCTTTTCTCAACTCGTCAAAGTCATTCTCCATCCAGCTGTGTTCCATTGCTGGTGAGGAACTGCATTCCTTTGGAGGAGGAGAGGTGCTCTGCTTTTTAGAGTTTCCAGTTTTTCTGCTCTGTTTTTTCCCCATCTTTGTGGTTTTTCAAAGAGAATAAAATACTTAGGAATCCAACTTACAAGGGACGTGAAGGACTTCTTCAAGGAGAACTACAAACCACTGCTCAATGAAATAAAAGAGGATACAAACAAATGGAAGAACATTCCATGCTCATGGGTAGGAAGAATCAATGTCATGAAAATGGCCATACTGCCCAAGGTAATTTATAGATTCAATGCCATCCCCATCAAGCTACCAATGACTTTCTTCACAGAATTGGAAAAATCTACTTTAAAGTTCATATGGAACCAAAAAAGAGCCCGCATCGCCAAGTCAATCCTAAGCCAAAAGAACAAAGCCGGGGGCATCAACCTACCTGACTTCAAACTATACTACAAGGCTACTGTAACCAAAACAGCATGGTACTGGTACCAAAACAGAGATATAGATCAATGGGACAGAACAGAGCCCTCAGAAATAACGCCGCACATCTACAACTATGTGATCTTTGACAAACCTGAGAAAAGCAAGCAATGGGGAAAGGATTCCCTATTTAATAAATGGTGCTGGGAAAACTGGATAGCCATATGTAGAAAGCTGAAACTGGATCCCTTCCTTACGCCTTATACAAAAATCAATTCAAGATGGATTAAAGACTTAAATGTTAGACCTAAAACCATAAAAACCCCAGAAGAAATGCTAGGCATTACCATTCAGGCATAGGCATGGGCAAGGACTTCATGTCTAAAACACCAAAAGCAATGGCAACAAAAGCCAAAATTGACAAATGGGATCTAATTAATCTAAAGAGCTTCTGCACAGCAATAGAAAATACCATCAGAGCGAACAGGCAACCTACAAAATGGGAGAAAATTTTCGTAACCTACTTATCTGACAAAGGGCTAATATCCAGAATCTACAATGAACTCAAACAAATTTACAAGAGAAAAACAAACAACCCCATCAAAAAGTGGGCAAAGGATAGGAACAGACACTTCTCAAAAGAAGACATTTAAGCAGCCAAAAGACACATGAAAAAATGCTCATCATCACTGGCCATCAGAGAAAAGCAAATCAAAACCACAGTGAGATACCATCTCACACCAGTTAGAATGACAATCATTAAAAAGTCAGGAAACAACAGGTGCTGGAGAGGATGTGGAGAAATAGGAACACTTTTACACTGTTGGTGGGACTGTAAACTAGTTCAACCATTGTGGAAGTCAGTGTGGCGTTTCCTCAGGGATCTAGAACTAGAAATACCATTTGACCCAGCCATCCCATTACTGGGTATATACCCAAAGGATTATAAATCTTGCTGCTATAAAGACACATGCACACGTATGTTTATTGCAGCACCATTCACAATAGCAAAGACTTGGAACCAACCCAAATGTCCAACAATGATAGACTGGATTAAGAAAATTTGGCACATATACACCACGGGAATACTATGCAGCCATAAAAAATGATGAGTTCATGTCCTTTGTAGGGACATGGATGAAATTGGAAATCATCATTCTCAGCAAACAATCTCAAGGACAAAAAACCAAACACCGCATGTTCTCACTCATAGATGGGAATTGAACAATGAGAACACATGGACACAGGAAGGGGAACATCACACTCTGGGGACTGTTGTGGGGTGGGGGGAGGGGGGAGGGATAGCATTAGGAGATATACCTAATGCTAAATGACGAGTTAATGGGTGCAGCACACCAGCATGGCACATGTATACATATGTAACAAGCCTGCACATTGTGCACATGTACCCTAAAACTTAAAGTATAATAAAAAAAGATCAATCCTTCTCAAACTCATCCAATAAACTGAAAAATTAAGAATACTTCCAAACTCATTTTACAAGGCCAGCATTACCCTAATTCCAAAGCCAGACGAGGACACTACAAGAAAATTATAGGCCCATATGCCTGATGAACATAGAAGCAAAAATCCTCAACAAAGTACTAGCAAATCAAATTTCATAGCACATTAATTTTTTGTGTGTTTTTCTGCTGTTTAATTAAAGGATTGCTCAGCATGACCTAGTGCCTATGGGATGTGCATTGAACTCAGTGCTGCCCTGTCACAGCAGAAAGCAAAACTGGTCAGAAGTCGGCTGATGCCTGCCCACAGAGGGAGCATTTAGACCAGCCCTAGCCAGAGGCGATTTATACACCGCAGAGGTCAGAACTTGGGTTATGGGAAGCCTCACCACTGCAGGATCTGGGTTTCTAAATAAACTTGAGAGGTGGTCTAGGATACAAGGACTGCAACTCATAGTGCTGTGCTGGGCTCAGAGTAAGAGAACGTAGGGAGCCCATGACCTAGTGAGACACCAGGCAAGGTGGCTGAGAGAATGCATGCACCACGGCTCCCCTAACCCCAGCAGCACAGCTCAGAGTTCCAGGAGAGACTCCTTCCTTCACTTGAGGAGAGGAGAGGGAAGCATAAAGAAGAATTTGTGTTGCATCTTGGACACCAACTTAGTCACAGTAGGATACAGCATTGGGCAGAGTCCTGAGGCCCCCATTTCAGGGTCTAGCTCATGGATGACATTTCTAGACACACCCTGGACCAGAAGGGAATCTGCTGCCTTGAAGGGAAGGACTCAGCCCTGACAGAATTCATCACCTGCTGACTAAAGAGCCCTTGGGCCCTGAGCAACCTGCAATGATACCCAGGTAGTTTACCACGGGCCCTGGGTGAAACTCTAAGACATGTTGGCTTCAGGGGAGACCCAGCACATTCCCAGCTGTGGTGACTATGGGCAGAGATAGTTTCTCTGGGAGAATAGCAGAGGCAAGAGTAAAGGGGAATTTGTCTTGCACCTTAGATGTCAGCTTGGCCACAGTAGGGCAGAGCAGCAAGTGAGCTCTTGGGGTCCCTGAGTTTAGGTCCTGGTTCTTGCATGGGACTTTTGGACCTCCCCTGGGCCAGAGGAGAGCCCACTGCCCTGAAGGGTGAGTCCCAGGCCTGGCAGCATTCACCACAGATGACTGAGGAACCCTTCAGTCTTAAGTGAACACAGGCAGTAGCCTGGCAATAGTCTCTGTGGGCCTGCAGTGGTGGTGGCCACAGCGAGAGGCTTCTCTGCCTGTGGAAAGGGTGGGGAAGAGTGGGAAGGACTTTGTCTTGTGGGTTGAGTGGCAGCTTAGCTGCAATAGTGTAGAGCACAAGGTAGATTTCTAAGGTTTTTAACTCTGGTCCCTGGCTCCCAGAGGGCATCTCTGGACCCACCTGGGATCTGGGGGAACTCGCCACCCTGAAGGGAAAGACACAGACCTGGCTGGCTTTGCCACCTGCTGATTGTAGAGTCTTAGGGCCTTGAGTGAACATAGGCAGTAGTCAGGTATTGGTTACAACTAGGTAATGGGTGAGACCCAGTGCAGTGCTGGGTTCAGGTCTTCAATCAAATGACATAGAGTAGCTGAATAATTATTTTAAAAAGACCCAATGATCTGTTTTCTATAAGAAGCACACATCAACCATAAAGACAAACATAAACTGAAAATAAAGGGAAGGAAAGAAATCTTCCATGCCAATGGAAACCACAAAAAGAGAACATGTAGCTATACTTATGTTAGATAAGATAGATTTCAAGACAAAGACTATAAGAAGAGATAAAGAAGGTCATTATATAATGATAGAGGTGTCAATTGAGCAAGAGAATACAACAATGGTAAATATATATGCACCCAACACTGGAGCACCCAGATATATAAAGCAAATATTACTAGAGCTAAAGAGAGGAATAGACCCCAATACAATAATAGCTGGAGACTTCAACATCCCACTTTCAGCATTAGAGAGATCTTCCAGACAGGAAATCAACAAAGAAACATCAGACTTAATCTGCACTATAGGGCAAGTGGATGTAATAGATATTTATAGAACATTTCATCTAATGGCTGCAGAAAACATATTATTTTCCTCAGCACATGGATCATTCTTAAGGATAGACCAGGTGAGGTCACAGTCTTAAAACATTCAAAAATTGAAATAATATCAGACATCTTCTCTGACCACAATGGAATAAAACTAGAGATAAATAACTACAGGCATTTTAGAAACTATACAAATACATGGAAATTAAACAGTATGCTCCTGAATGGCCAATGGGTCAGTGAAGAAATTAAGAAGGAAATTTAAAATTTCTTGAAATGAATGATGATGAAAATACAATATACCCAAACTATGGGATACAGCAAAAGCAGTACTAAGAGAGAAGTGTATATCTAAAAGCACCTACATCAAAAAGGAACAAAAATGTCAAGAAGAACTAATACTAATCCTACTCAAACTGTTCTGAAAAACAGCGGAAGAGGGGATACTTTCAAACTCATTCTACAAGGCCAGGATTGCTCTGATATCAAAAAAACAGACAAAGACACGTTAAAGAAATAAAAAAGAAAGCTGCAGGCCAATTTCTCTCATGAATATTGATGCAAAAATCTTCAGCAAAATACTAGAAACCAAATTCAACAATACATTGATAATTTGACTTCTTTCTAATTTGGATTCCTTTTTTTCATATATATATACATATTTACACATATATATATACATATTTATACTTTAAGTTCTGGGGTATATGTGCACAACATCCAGGTTTGTTACATAGGTATACATGTGCCATGTTGGTTTGCTGCACCCATCAACTCGTCATCTACATTAGGTATTTCTCCTAATGCTATCCCTTCCCCAAACCCCCACCCCCCCGACAGGCCCTGGTGTGTGACGTTCCCACCCTGAGTCTATGTGTTCTCATTGTTCAACTCCCACTTATGAGTGAGAGCATGTGGTGTTTGTTTTTCTGTCCTTGTGATAGTTTGCTTAGAATGATGGTTTCCAGCTTCATCCATGTCCCTGCAAAGGACATGAACTCATCCTTTTTTATGGCTGCATAGTATTCCATGGTGTATATGTGCCACATTTTCTTAATCCAGTCTATCATTAATGGACATTTGGGTTGGTTCCAAGTCCTTGCTATTGTGAATAGTGCAGCTGTAAACATACGTGTGCGTGTGTCTTTATAGTAGCATGATTTCTAATCCTTTGGGTATATGCCCAGTAATGGGATTGCTAGGTCAAATGGTATTTCTAGTTCTAGATCCTTGAGGAATCGCCACACTGTCTTCCACAATGGTTGAACTAATTTACACTCCCACTAACAGTGTAAAAGTGTTCCTATTTCTCCACATCCTCTCCAGCACCTGTTGTTTCCTGCCTTTTTAATGATCGCCATTCTAACTGGCATGAGATGTTATCTCATTGTGGTTTTCATTTGCGTTTCTCTGATGACCAGTGATGATGAGCAATTTTCCATGTGTCTGTTGGCTGCATAAATGTCTTCTTTTGAGAAGTGTCTGCTCATATCCTTTCCCTACTTTTTGATAGGGTTGTTTGTTTTTTTCTTGTAAATTTGCTTAATTTCTTTGTAGATTCTGGATATTAACCCTTTGTCAGATGGGTAGATTGCAAAGATTTTCTCCCATTCTGTAGGTTGCCTGTTCACTCTGATGATAGTTCCTTTTGCTGTGCAGAAGCTCTTTAGTTTAATTAGATCCCATTTGTCTATTTTGGCTTTTGTTGCCATTGCTTTTGGTGTTTTGGACATGAAGTCCTTGCCCATGCCTATGTGCTGAATGGTAATGCCTAGGTTTTCTTCTAGGGTTTTTATGGTTTTAGGTCTAACATATAAGTCTTTAATCCATCTTGAATTAATTTTTGTATAAGGTGTAAGGAAGGGATCCAGTTTCAGCTTTCTCCATATGGCTAGCCAGTTTTCCCAGCACCATTTATTAAACAGGGAATCCTTTCCCCATACCAGAGGTACAAAGAGGAGCTGGTACCATTCCTTCTGAAACCATTTCAATCAATAGAAAAGGAGGGAATCCTCTCTAACTCATTTTATGAGGCTAGCATCATTCTGATACCAAAGCCTGGTAGAGACACAACAAAAAAAAGAGAATTTTAGGCCAATATCCCTGATGAACATCTATGTGAAAATCCTCAATAAAATACTAGCAAACCGAATCCAGCAGCACATCAAAAAGCTTATCCACCATGATCAAGTCAGCTTCCTCTCTGGGATGCAAGGCTGGTTCAATGTACACAAAGCAATGAAGGTAATCCATCACATAAACAGAATCAAAGATAAAAACCACATGATTATCTCAATAGATGCAGAAAAGGCCTTAGACAAAATTCAACAGCCCTTCATGCTAAAAACTCTCAATAAACTAGGAATTGATGGAATGTATCTCAAAATAATAAGATTTATTTATGACAGACCCACAGCCAATATCGTACTGAATGGGCAAAAACTGGAAGCATTCCCTTTGAAAACTGGCACAAGACAAAGATGCCCTTTCTCACCACTTCTATTCAACATAGTGTTGGAAGTTCTGGCCAGGGAAATCAGGCAAGAGAAAGAAATAAAGGGTATTCAATTAGGAAAAGAGGAAGTCAAATTGTCTCTGTTTGCGGATGACATGATTGTATATTTAGAAAACCCCATCATCTCAGTCCAAAATCTCCTTAAGCTGATAAGCAACTTCAGCAAAGTCTCAGGATACAAAATCAGTGTGCAAAAATCAAGCATTCCTATACACCAATATAGACAAACAGAGAGCCAAATCATGAGTGAACTCCCATTCACAATTACTACAAAGAGAATAAAATACCTATGAATCCAACTTACAAGGGATGTGAAGGACCTCTTCAAGGAGAACTACAAACCAGTGCTCAATGAAATAAAAGAGGACACGAACAAATGGAAGAACACTCCATGCTCATGGATAGGAAGAATCAATATCGTGAAAATGGCCATACTGCCAAAAGTAATTTATAGCTTCAATGCTATCCCCATCAAGCTACCACTGACTTTCTTCACAGAATTGGAAAAAACTACCTTAACATTTGTATGGAACCAAAAAAGAGCCCACATAGCCAAGAAAATCCTAAGCAAAAAGAACAAAGCTGGAGGCATTATGCTACCTGGCTTCAAACTATACTACAAGGCTACAGTAACCAAAACAGCATGGTCCTGGTACCAAAACAGATATATAGACCAATGGAACAGAACAGAGGCCTCAGAAACAACACCACACATCTACAACCATCTGATCTTTGGATGCCTTCTATTTCTTTCTCTTGTCTGATTGCTCTAGGTAGGACTTCCAGTACCATGTTGAAAAAAAGGGGTGAATGTGGGCATCTTGTTATGTTCCAAATCTTAGAGGAAAGGTGTTCAGTCATCATCATGACCAAGTGGGATTTATCCCTGGGATCCAAGGACGGTTCAACATATGCAAATCAATCAATGCGAAACACTATATCAACAGAATGAAGGATAACAACCATATGATCATTTCAATTGATGCTGTAAAAAGCATTTGATAAAATTTGAAATTCCATTATGGTGAAAGCCCTCCCAAAACTGAGTATAGAAGGAACATACAGATCCCCAACTCTCCCTCACACCTCATTACCCTTTCCACCCTCTAGTGATTATCCTTCTACTTGTTTGCAGATGACATGATCATGTATTTGCAAAAACCTAAAGACTCCACCAATAAACTATTCGAACTGATGAACAAATTCACGTAAGTTGCGGGATACAAAATCAACACACATAAATCAATAGCATTTCTATATGCCAACAGTGAACAATCTGAAAAAGAAATCAAGAATGTAATTTCATCCACAACAGCTACAAATAAAAAAAAATACCTAAAGGATTTGCTATTTATTCCAGTCTCCTCTGTCTGGCTTGTTTGGATCTTTATGTTTGCTTAGAGATTCTGTGTAATTTACCTGTTGAATGTCTTATTTTTTTCTGCTAGGCCACTAGCAGCAAAATAAACACACCTTTACAGCATTAGATGGTGCCTTAAGCCCATCTGCTTTGTCTCAAGCAAATGAAGAGAGTGCTGCCCATCCAGAATGGGGGAGGTCCCAAAGATGGTATCTTGGCAGTGTAGAAAAGCTGGCTAAGGGTCCGAGTCCAGGAGGCCTGTGGAACATACCACCTACAGTGTGGCGCTGCTGAACAGCCACTCTGATTTGGCATCTCCTTTGGCTGAGTTACAGAGCAGAGTTTCCTGGGTTGAGGATGATAGTTCTGCCTCCCCGTTTTGTCTCTGACGGTCCTCAGGGACATTTCTCCCCTCAGGCACTCACGATGCTTCCCGTGGGTTGAGTCAGGAACAGGTCTCCTGCCAGGGAACCCAAGATGGTGCGGAAGCTGACCGTTCACCTCAATATCACTTCTTCCAGTGTAGAAACCATGACTCAAGGGAAATTTTCCGCACACGTGGTGCCAAGCAGATTCAGGGGGAGGGTGTTGCAGATATGGAAATCCAATTCTCTTTTTGTTTGCTTGGAGTGTTTTCACTTCTCTGTGGCCCTGGGAACTGACTCATCCTCATAATTGAGTTGAGGGATATTGCAGGTGATAATCTTGGCGTCGTATATTTGTTTTTGTTTTTCTGTGAGGTGGAGTGAAGCCAGCTTCCACTTATGCCACCATTTCGGAACCAGAAACCAAAACTTCTTTCATTGTGTTTTTTTAAGATACTATAATTTTTAAGTGCCATCATTTAAATTTCACTTAAATTAGGCAGATTGCATTATTCATTCCCGTAAGCATAGAAACATAGTAACACTAAAAGATATTGAACACATTTTACAGTTGTCTGGCTATATTATATAAATGTGGTAAGCAACTTTTGTAGAGATAGTACGTGTGTGATAATGTAATATTCTTTTCCAAGTTTGGGCTACAGTTGAATAAACTTTTTATTTTTATTTTTTATTTGAGATGAAGTCTCACTCTGTTGCCCAAGCTGGAGTGCAGTGGTGCGATCTCAGCTCACCCCAACCTCTGCTTCCTGGGTTCAAGTGATTCTTTTGCCTCAGTCTCCCAAGTAGCTGGGGTTACAGGCGCCTGCCACCACGGCCCCCTAATTTTTGTATTTTTAGTAGAGGCTAGGTTTCACCATCTTGGCCAGGCTGGTTTTGAACTCCTGACCTCAGGTGATCCACCCGCCTCAGCTTCCCAAAGTGCTGGGATTACAGGCGTGAGCCACCGAGCCCAGCCGAATAAACTTTTTAATTATTTAAAAACACATTTACTGAATAACATGATAGGTTTTTGTATAATGTATTTGGTTTTGTAAATATGTATTTCTTGATGTGATTTTTGTGAGAAACGCTAAATCTTTTATAAATCATATTCTCACAGAATTGCCATGAGCTAAATAATAGTTTGTGGGTGATTTGCATTGTACAACAACTGTGAGACTTTTAGAATTATAAAAATATTTATCAACTTTTAGTGTGTTGTTTAAACAAATTATTGGAACATACTAAAGATATGAGTAGGATTTTTCTGAGTATTTTGGACGTGTACTCAGGCTAGCTTTCCTGTTTTTTTCAAAACAAAATAGTGTCTTTCCTCTTAAAATCAGTAAATCTGTTTTCTTGTTACAAAGAAGTTTACAATTTTAACTATTGTTAAGCATACAGTTTAGTAGTATTAACTACATCCCCATTGCTGTACAACCGTCACCACTATCTATCTCTACAGGTTGTTTCATCTTCCCAATCAGAAACTATGTACCCATGAAATAACCCCGCATTTTCTCTTCCCCCACTCAGATGCTGGAACACAGCATTCTACTTTCTGTTGATATGAATTTGATTACTCTAGGTACCTCATATAAATGGAATCACACAGTATTTTTTAATAATTTTTGCCTTTTGATCCATCCTATTCTCTGCAACCTCGTTGAATTTGTGTATTAACTTGTTCATTAGCTTTAGTAATGGTTTTGAAGATTCTTTCAGGTTTTCTATGTATAGAATTGTGTCATCTGTGCATAGAGATAATTTTACATCTCCCTTACTAGTTTGAACGCACTTTGGTATTTTTTCTTGCCTAATTTCTCTGCATAGAACTTTTTTGATTGTGGTAAAAAGTAACATAAAACATACCATCATAATCATTTTTAAGTATACAGTACAGTAGTGTTACCTACGTGAATGTTATTGTGCAACTGATCTCTAGAACATTTTCATCCTGCAAAACTGATTTATACCCACTGAACAACAACTCCCCTTTCCCCTGCCCTCCACAGCCCCTGGCAATCACCCTTTTACTTTTTGTTTCTAAGAGTTTGACTTTTAAAAGTACCTCATATAAGTATAATCATGTAATGTTTTTCTTTTTGTGACTGGCTTATTTCACTTAGCATAATGTCCTGAAGATTCATTCATGTTGTATCATATGACAGGATTTCCTTTTTTAAAGGCCAAATAATAGTTCATTGGATGTATATGCCACCTTGTAAAAATCCATGCATCCATTCATGGAGAGTCAGGTTGTTTCTACCTCCTGGCTATTGTGAATAATACTGCCATGAATATGGGTGTGCAAATACGTATTCAAGATCCTTTTTCAGGTCTTCTGGATATATACCCAGAAGTCGGATTGATGGATCATATTGAAGTAATTCTATTTTTAAATTTTGGAGAAATTCCCATACTGTTTTTAATAATGGGTGCACCATCCCCAGTAGTGTACAAGGATTCCAGTTTCTGGGGTTTTTTTTTTTCTTAATAGTGGCCATCCCAACAAGCATGAGGTGATATTGTGGTTCTCATTTGTATTTCCCTGATGATTAGTATCTTAGTCAATTCAGGCTGCTATAACAAAGTACCATAGACTGGATGGCTTAAAGAACAAATGTTTATTTCCCACAGTTCTGCAGACTGGGAAGTTCAAGGTAAAGGTGCTGGCAGATTCAGTGTCTGGTGACGGCCCTCTTCATGATGCATGAGAAGCACCGGGCTCACAGAGGAGCTGCAAGCCTCTGTTCCACACAAAGAGCTAGAACCTGATAGAAACATGGGCAGGGAGGCTCACAGTCAAGAAGCAGGGGTTTTAGGTTTGTTTCTGCTAGTGCTGTGAAAAACACCATTGTCGATTTCCTAGGGACTCACTGCATTGAACGTGTAACGGCTTTGTGTAGCACCTACGTGTTAACCGTCTTCCCGTCCATGAACACGGGATGTGTCTGCATTTATTGGTCTTCTGCGTGTTTCATCAGTGTTTGATTGGTTTCAGTGTGCACACCTTTCACCTCCCTGAATAAACGTATTCCAAGGGTTTTATTCTTGTCCTGGTATTCTAAATATGTTGGTTTCCCGGGTGTCTTTTTCGCATAGTTTGTTGTTCGGGCATAGAAAAGCGAGTGATTTTCACATGTTGCTTTTCACTCTGTAACTTTGCTGAGTTTGTTTATTGGTTTTGACCATTTTTTGGTGCAGTGTATATCAGGGTTTTCTCTAGGTGAGATCATGTCATCTGCAAGCCGAGAAAATTGAGCTTCTTAGTTTCCAATTTGAATCCTTTTTATTTCTTTTCTTAAAATAGGTGATCAAATCGGCACGTGGCTGTGCCCACGAGGGTTGTTTGGCATGTGGGTGTGCTGGTTTGGCAGGCCAGAAATTTTTATTTCTAAGAGTTTATCCCACTCCACACCCTTCTAGGTTTTAGAATTGAAAAAATACCTCTTGTTTAAGGTAGATCCCAGCCCTGCTTTTACGCGTTGGATCCTTCGCGGATCCTTCACCACTGCCTTCACTATGTGAATCAGCCCTTTCTCCCTCAAGGGAGAGCATCTCCGATTAATTTGATTCCCAAGTGGGGGCATACATGGGCACCAGCCCATATGCGTGCGTGCATGCGTGCACGCACACGCACGCGCACACATGCACACACACGGGACACACAACCACGTGTCGATTTGGTCATGTGTTGTAAGAAAAAGAAATAAAAGGCGCCAAACTAGACAGTAAGAAGCTCAATTATCTCTGCTTGCTGATGGCATGAAGTCACATAGAGAAAACCCTGATGTGCACTGCACCAAAAAACGATCAAAACCAATAGACAAAGTCAGCAAAGTTGCGGAATGGAAAAGCAACATGCGAAAATCTCTCGCTTTTCTATGCCTGAACAACAAACTATCCCAAAAAGACACCCGGGAAACCAACATATTTAGAATATCAGGCCAAGAATAAAACCCTTGGAATACGTTTATTCAGGGAGGTGAAAGGTGTGCACACTGAAACCGATCAAACACTGATGAAACAGGCAGAAGACCAAAAAATAGAGACACATCCTGTGTTCACGGACGGGAAGACGGTTAACACATAGGTGCTACCCAAAGCTGTTACACATTCAATGCAGTGAGTCCCTAGGAAATCGACAATGGTGTTTTTCACAGCACTAGCAGAAACAAACCTAAAACCCCTGCTTCTTGACTGTGAGCCTCCCTGTGAGCCTTGACTGTGAGCTACCCAAAGCTGTTACAGGTAAAACGCAGTGAGTCATGCCACCGCCCAGCATCCAGGGACAACTGTCCCTAGAAGGCATCACTGCCAAAGGGTCCGCTGACATTGGGGCAGACCTGGAGGTCGGTCCCAGTGGGAGAGGTGTGCTGGGCCCCAGCCCGGGGAAATGGCAGCGGAGGAACTTCGTCGGCCCTCTCCACCTCACTGGTCCTGGGACAGGCCCAGCCTGAGAGAACCCGGAAAGGGGCTTGAAGAGGAGACGCAGCATCTGCGTGGATCCCCAGCAGCCCTCCGAGGAAGGGCCCGCAGGGCTGTCTACCCAAGACTCTGATTCCGGAGATGAGTGCAGCGACTTACCGTTGATCAGGGTGATCATTTTCACCAAAGAAGGAATCCAGGCCAAGCCCGGAAGCCCCAAGAAGCCAGCAGACACTTGCAGACGCCCCAGTTTCCACCGCAGGGAGAGTTACCTTCAGGTTCAGGGACCTCTCCTGACCTCTCCTCCCCGCAGACTCACCCCAGCCATGGAGAGGCCGGCCGTGGGAGAGCTGGACACGTCTTCCTTGAAGAAAATGCAGAGCATGGTGTGGGGAAAGAGGGGGGTCAGGCCCAGTTGCTCAGGAGTTGCCATTAGAGGGCCCCTACCCCGGGGCATTCTGGGAAGGAAGGTGGCCCAGGAGAAGAAATCCCTAGAGGGTGCACCAGAACTGGCCCTGCGGGGAGCCTTTCCTGCCTGGGGGCAGAGACTCTCAGCAGTTCCACCTGATCCGGCCAGCTTCCCACCAGTGTCCAGTGTGGGGCTCCTGGGGAAGTCTGCGAGACCCAAGGAGCCCAAGCACAGCAGCCCTGGGAAGAAACCAGCAGGAAGGAAGACCAGGGAGTCCCAGGCTGCGGCCAGAGAAGATAATGATCCAAATAGAGATGAGGTCCCAAGGGCCCAAGTGAGTAGATTCTCTTCGCACACTCCTCCTTCTCCTCCTTGCTCTCCTCCTACTCTTTCTCCTCTGTCTCCCCCCACCCACCTCTCCTCCAGCACCCACCCATGCCCTCTCTATCCCTTGCTCACAGGTTGTCATCGGGAGCCCAGGGACACTAGGATGACCGATTGGGGTTCTCCTCATAGGGGCACACATTAAAGGGAGCACTTGGTGTGTGCCAGGACCGGCTCTGGACACTCTGCAGTTGTCCAGGCTCTGCCCCCAGAGAGGAGCTGGGATGGAAGACAGGGGTGGCAGCTGGTTTGGATCAGGGGACTCCTTAATGTGTGGGGCACAAAGCTTGGGCGTCCAGACTCATCAACTTCCCAATTCCTCCTTCCCTAGCTATTACGCAAGCTCTCCTGTCTTGGAGCTGACTGAGGGAGAAAGTGCTAATGAGATTAGTCTGGAGTCTCCACCTTAACACAACCCCTCCTCACTTGTACTTACTGCCAGCCTCCACTGCCAGCCCAACTCAGAACTTTCTGTTTTAGTTTCCCAAAGAGAAGCCCCAGCTGATTTCCCTGTCCGTGAGTTGTGGAGAATGCAGCAGTGGCGACTCCACCATCAGAACTCCCCAAGTTCCAGGAACCTCACAGCCCTTAGCATTGAGCCTGAGACGCCTTGTGTCCTGACACCGTGCATTCTCCAGTGAGTCTTGCGGGTTTGATAGGCTTGGCGGGGAGAGAGGACGGGAGTGAAACCTCTGGCTCTGTCGCTTCTGGAAGCTCAGCCTTGTTCCCGGACTTCCCTGCCCACCCAGGCAGCTGTCCCAAGGGAAATGCAGGGTTCACAGGGCTAGCCTGAAGGCACATCGCCCTCTCTGAGTGGGATTTGTGCAGTGGGGGGTGATTTGGAGCCCCACCCCAAACTCCAGCTCTGGAAAGAGACTTTCAGCAGTACTGAGCCCTTTTCTGTTAAGTCCTGCTCAGCCACACTGCTCCTCCCAGGGCCTGCCTGTGGCTGCCCCGCTGTTGGCATCCTACCCAGAGCCACAATGCTAGTGGGCCACAGGTACAGATGGACTCACACTGGGGAACAGGGAAGACAGTCCCAGAGGGAGGGTTGGAGCTGCTGGGCAGAGCAGGGGCAATGTGTTGCAAGCACAGGGTAATGCTGCCTCACATTGGACCCTGCTAGGCCCTTTCCACCTCACTCAGAGGCTTAGAAGCTGGATTTTGTGTTTTCTTTCAGGTGACCAGCAGCTGCCTGTCCATCCCCCAAGATTGGAAAGGCAGCAGCAGCCCCCAGGAGCCCAGGGCTGTCCTCAGGTAATGCTTTGTGTGGATCATAGTAATCCGGGTCCACACTAGATGGTGGGATCCATGTCCAGTTTAACTGATTTCTGCGTCTCTCCCACCTCCAACTTCCGTACCCCATGGAGAGTGGATGCCTCCTTTCCATTGAGGGCTCTGTGCCAACCCACCTCACCACTGGGCTGCAGACCATGGGGGCTGTAAGGTCTGGGAGAGACAGGGAGGATGGTGAGAGAGCAGGCCAGAAGGGACTAACCATTTCTCTTCCTCCAGTGTCTGCTGGTCTAGTGCATCCTGCTGCAGAGGAAAACTGAGGACCTGAGGGGAGGTTCCAAGATGGCCGAATAGGAACAGCTCCAGTCTACAGCTCCCAGCATGAGTGATGCAGAAGACGGGTGATTTCTGCATTTCCAACTGAGGTACCGGGTTCATCTCACTGGGGCTTGTCAGACACTGGGTGCAGCCCATGGAGCAGGGCGGGGCATCACCTCACCCGGGAAGCACAAGGGGTCGGGGAATTCCCTTTCCTAGCCAAGGGAAGCCATGACAGATGGTACCTGGAAAATCAGGACACTCCCACCCTAATACTGCGCTTTTCCAACAGTCTTAGCAAACAGCACACCAGGAGATTATATTCCACGCCTGGCTCAGAGGGTCCCATGCCCACAGAGCCTCGCTCACTGCTAGCACAGCAGTCTGAGATGGAACTGTAGGGGGCTGGGAGATAGGCATCCGCCATTGCTGAGGCTTGAGTAGGTAAACAAAGCAGCTGGGAAGTTCGAACTGGGTGGAGCCCACCACAGCTCAAGGAAGCCTGCCTGCCTTTGTAGACTCCACCTCTGGGGGCATGGCATAGCTGAACAAAAGGCAGCAGAAACTTCTGCAAACTTAAAAGTCCCTGTCTGACAGCTTTGAAGGAGTAGTGGTTCTCCCAGCAGGGAGTTTGAGATCTGAGAACGGACAGACTGCCTCTTCAAGTGGGTCCCTGACCCCCGAGTAGCCTAACTGGGAGACACCTCCCAGTAGGGGCCGACTGACAACTCAGACAGCCAGGTGCCCCTCTAAGAAGAAGCTTCTAGAGGAAGGATCAGGCAGCAACATTTGCTGTTCTGCAGCCTCTGCTGGTGATACCCAGGCAAACAGGGTCTGGAGTGGACCTCCAGCAAACTCCAACAGACCTGCAGCTGAGGGTCCTGTCTGTTAGAAGGAAAACTAACAAACAGAAAGGACATCTACACCAAAACCCCATCTGTACGTCACTGTCATCAAAGACCAAAGGTAGATAAAACCACAAAGATGGGGA
Organism: Homo sapiens; assembly: GCF_000001405.40. Classification (NCBI taxonomy): domain Eukaryota; kingdom Metazoa; phylum Chordata; class Mammalia; order Primates; family Hominidae; genus Homo; species Homo sapiens. The sequence goes on from NC_000023.11 coordinate 71,817,687, forward strand.
GAAACCAGGGCAGAAAAGCTGAAAATTCTAAAAATCAGAGCGCCTCTTCTCCTCCAAAGGAATGCAGCTCCTCACCAGCAATGGAACAAAGCTGGATGGAGAATGACTTTGAAGAGTTGAGAGAAGAAGGCTTCAGATGATCGGTAATAACAAACTTCTCTGAGCTAAAGGAGGATGTTCGAACCCATCACAAAGAAGCTAAAAACCTTGAAAAAAGATTAGACAAATGGCTAACTAGAATAAACAGTGTAGAGAAGTCCTTAAATGACCTGATGGAGCTGAAAACCATGGCACGGGAACTATGTGACGCACGCACAAGTTTCAGCAGCTGATTTGATCAAGTGGAAGAAAAGGTATCAGTGATTGAAGACAAAATGAATGAAATGAAGCGAGAAGAGAAGTTTAGAGAAAAAAGAGTAAAAAGAAATGAACAAAGCCTCCAAGAAATATGGGACTACGTGAAAAGACCAAATCTCCATCTGATTATTGGACCTCAAAGTGATGGGGAGAATGGAACCCAGTTGGAAAACACTCTTCAGGATATTATCCAGGAGAACTTCCCCAACCTAGCAAGGCAGGCCAACATTCAAATTCAGGAAATACAGGGAATGCCACAAAGATACTCCTTGAGAAGAGCAACCCCAAGACACATAATTGTCAGATTCACCAAAGTTGAAATGAAGGAAAAAATGTTAAGGGCAGCCAGAGAGAAAGGTCGGGTTACCCACAAAAGGAAGCCCATCAGACTAATAGCAGATCTCTCGGCAGAAACTCTACAAGCCAGAAGAGAGTGGGGGCCAATATTCAAAGAAAAGAATTTTCAATCCAGAATTTCATATCCAGCCAAACTAAGCTTCATAAGTGAAGGAGAAATAAAATCCTTTACAGACAAACAAATGCCGAGAGATTTTGTCACCACCAGGCCGGCCTTACAAGAGCTCCTGAAGGAAGCAATAAACATGGAAAGGAACATCCGGTACCAGCCATTGCAAAAACATGCCAAATTGTAAAGACCATCGATGCTAGAAAGAAAGTGCATCAACTAATGAGCAAAATAACCAGCTAACATCATAATGACAGGATCAAATTCACACATAACCATATTAACCTTAAATGTAAATGGGCTAAATGCTCCAATTAAAAGACACAGACTGGCAAATTGGATAAAGAGTCAAGACCCATCAGTGTGCTGTATTCAGGAGACCCATCTCTCATGCAGAGACACACATAGGCCCAAAATTAATGGATGGAGGAAGATCTACATAGCAAATGGAGAACAAAACAAAACAAAAAAGCAGGGGTTGCAATCCTAGTCTCTGATAAAACACACCTTAAACCAACAAGGATCAAAAGAGACAAAGAAGGCCATTGCATAATTGCATAATTGCATAATTCAACAAGAAGAGCTAACTATCCTAAATATATGTGCACCCAATACAGGAGCATCCAGATTCATAAAGCAAGCCCTTAGAGACCTACAAAGAGACTTAGACTCCCACATAATGATAATGGGAGACTTTAACACCCTACCGTCAACATTAGACAGATCAACGAGACAGAAAGTTAACAAGGATACCCAGGAATTGAACTCAGCTCTGCACCAAGCGGACCTAATAGACATCTACAGAACCCTCCACCCCAAATCAACAGAATATACATTCTTCTCAGCACCACACCACACTTATTCCAAAATTGACTACATAGTTGGAAGTAAAGCACTCCTCAGCAAATGTAAAAGAACAGAAATTATAACAAACTGTCTCTCAAACCACAGTGCAATCAAACTAGAACTCAGGATTAAGAAACTCACTCAAAACTGCTCAACTACATGGAAACTGAACAAACTGCTCCTGAATGACTACTGGATACATAATGAAATTAAGGCAGAAATAAAGATGTTCTTTGAAACCAACGAGAACAAGACAACATACCAGAATCTCTGGGACACATTCAAAGCAGTGTGTAGAGGGAAATTTACAGCACTAAATACCCACAGGAGAAAGCAGGAAAGATCTAAAATTGGCACCCTAACATCACAATTAAAAGAACTAGAGAAGCAAGAGCAAACACATTCAAAAGCTAGCAGAAGGCAAGAAATAAGATCAGAGCAGAACTGAAGGGGATAGAGACACAAAAAACCCTTCAAAAAATCAATGAATCCAGGAACTGGTTTTTTGAAAAGATCAACAAAATTGATAGACCGCTAGCAAGACTAATAAAGAAGAAAAGAGAGAAGAATCAAATAGACTCAATAAAAAATGATAAAGAGGATATCACCACTGATCCCACAGAAATACAAACTACCATCAGAGAATACTATAGACACCTCTACAAAATAAACTAGAAAATCTACAAGAAATGGATAAATTCCTGGACACATACATCCTCCGAAGACTACACCAGGAAGAAGTTGAACCTCTGAATAGACCAATAACAGGCTCTGAAATTGAGGCAATAATTAATAGCCTACCAACCAAAAAAAGTCTAGGACCAGACGGATTCACAGCCGAATTATACCAGAGGTACAGAGAGGAGCTGGTACCATTCCTTCTGAAACTTCCAATCAATAGAAAAATAGGGAATCCTCCCTAACTCATTTTATGAGGCCAGCATCATCCTGATACCAAAGCCTGTTCTCAGAGACACAACAAAAAAAGAGAATTTTAGACCAATATCCCTGATGAACATTGATGCAAAAATCCTCAATAAAATACTGGCAACCTGAATCCAGCAGTACATCAAAAAGCTTATCCACCACAATCAAGTTGGCTTCATCCCTGGGATGCAAGGCTGGTTCAACATTCCAAGTCAATAAACATAATCCATCATATAAACAGAATCAAAGACAAAAACCACATGATTATCTCAATAGATGCAGAAAAGTTCTTCAACAAAATTCAACACCCCTTCATGCTAAAAAATCTCAATAAACTAGGTATTGATGGGATGTATCTCAAAATAATAAGATTCATTATTTTATTTATAAAATAAATAAAATATTTATTTTATTTATGACAAACCCACAGCCAATATCATACTGAATGGGCAAAAACTGGAAGCTTTCCTTCAAAAACTGGCACAAGACAGGGATGCCCTCTCTCACCACTCCTATTCAACATAGTGTTGGAAGTTCTGGCCAGGGCAATTGGGCAGGAGAAAGAAATAAAGGGTATTCAATTAAGAAAAGAGGAAGTCAAATTGTCCCTGTTTGCAGATGACCTGATTGTATATTTAGAAAACCCCATCATCTGTGCCTAAAATCTCCTTAAGCTGATAAGCAACTTCAGCAAAGTCTCAGGATACAAAATCAATGTGCAAAAATCACAAGCATTCCTATACACCAAGAACACACAGAGAGCCAAATCATGAGTGAACTCCCATTCACAATTACTACAAAGAGAATAAAATACCTAGGAATTTGACTTACAAGGGATGTGAAGGACCGCTTTAAGGAAAACTACAAACCACTACTAATGAAATAAAAGAGGACACAAACAAATTGAAAAACATTCCATGCTCATGGATAGGAAGAATCAATATCATGAAAATGGCCATACTCCCCAAGGTAATTTGCAGATTCAATGCCATCCCCATCAATCTACCAATGAGTTTTTTCACAGAATTGGAAAAAAACTACTTTAAAGTTCATATGGAACCAAAAAAGAGCCTGCATTGCCAAGACAATCCTAAGCCAGAAGAACAAAGCTGGAGGCATCACGCTATCTGAGTTCAAACTATACTAAAAGGCTACAGTAACCAAAACAGCATGGAACTGCTACCAAAATAGAGATATAGACCAATTGAACAGAACAGAGCCCTCAGAAATAACACTGCACATCTACAACCATCTGATCTTTGGCAAACCTGACAAAAACAAGAAATGGGGAAAGGATTCCCTATTTAGTAAATGGTGCTGGGAAAACTGGCTAGCCATATGGAGAAAGCTGAAACTGGATCCCTTCCTTACACCTTATACAAAAATTAACTCAAGATGGATTAAAGACTTAAATGTTAGACCTAAAACCATAAAAACCCTAGAAGAAAACCTAGGCAATACCATTCAGGACATAGGCATGGGCAAGCACTTCATGACTAAAACACCAAAAGCAATGGCAACAGAAGCCAAAATTGATAAATGGGATCTAATTAAACTAAAGAGCTTCTGCACAGCAAAAGAAACTACCATCAGAGTGAACAGGCAACCTACAGAATGGGAGAAAAGTTTTACAATCTACCCATCTGACAAAGGGCTAATATCCAGAATCTACGAAGAACTCAAACAAATTTACAAGAAAAAATGAAACAACCCCATCAAAAAGTGGGGAAAGGATATGAACAGACACTTCTCAAAAGAAGACATTTATGCAACCAAAAGAAACATGAAAAAATGCTCATCATCACTGGCCATCAGGAAAATGCAAATCAACACCACAATGAGATAACATCTCACACCAGTTAGAATGGCAATCATTAAAAACTCAGGAAACAACAGGTGCTGGAGAGGATGTGGAGAAATAGGAACACTTTTACACTGTTGGTGGGACTGTAAACTAGTTCAACCATTGTGGAAGATGGTGTGGCAACCCCTCAAGGATCTAGAACTAGAAATACCATTTGACCCAGTGATCCCTTTACTGGGTATATATCCAAAGGATTATAAATCATGCTGCTATAAAGACACATGCACACGTTGTTTATTGTGGCACTATTCACAATAGCAAAGACTTGGAACCAACCCAAATGTCCATCAATGATAGACTGGATTAAGAAAACGTGGCACATATACACCATGGAATACTATGCAGCCATAAAAAAGGATGAGTTCATGTCCTTTGTAGGGACATGGATGAAGCTGGAAACCATCATTCTGAGCAAACTATGGCAAGGACAGAAAACCAAACTCCACATGTTCTCACTCGTAGGTGGGAATTGAACAATGAGAACACTTGGACACAGGGTGGGGAACATCACACACTGGGGCCTGTCGTGGTGTCAGGGAGGGGGGAAGGATAGCATTAGGAGATATACCTAATGTAAATGATGAGTTAACGGGTGCAGCACGCCAACATGGCACATGTATACATATGTAACAAACCTGCACGTTGTGCACATGTACCCTAGAACTTAAAGTATAATAATAATAAAAAAAAAAAACTGAGGACCTTAGAGACCAACTAGGTATAATGGAACCATGGCTGGGGCAGGGATTGACAGCACTGTCTTACTGCAGGTGCCAGGGCAAGGGTGGGCTGCAGGTGCAGGCAACGTCACTGGGATTGACTCCTCTGGGGAAGAGAACCAAGGAAAGCCTGGCCCTGGAGCCTTCTGTGCCTTTCCAGCTAGGGGTGTGCACAGACAGCAATGTGTCGTCTGAACTCCATGTACACTTTGTCCACGAGTCCCAGAGATCTCCTTCGCTTAGGACGGTTAGAGACACTGTGTGTGTTTTCCTTTAACTGCTGCCTGATATGGCTTGTACGATGTTTGCTTGCTGGCTGACTTATCTGTCTTTGAAACATGTTCTGAACGGTTCTGGGATGGCCCAACACCTGAGAACCACTTTCCCACTTACAAGGCATTTCCACATTTAATTCAGGTGACGGGTGGATGAGTCAGTCCCAGGGCTGGTGGGGTTTCGGGTTGCAAGGCTAGGTGGTTCCCCACTGGGGCAGGGGGTGGGTTTCTGTTTCCCTGGGTCTGGAGTGCCCATTTCTGCCTCTCTCTTTCAGCGGCCATGCAGTTCCTCACTGACAAGTTCCAGGACCTTTGAAGTGAGTGTTGCACACATTATGCACCTTCCCACAATCCCGGTAGCTTAAGAGGGCTGTGGGCTGGCCCTGGTTGGGGGCCCGTCCCTGAGCTGCTCTGTTTCACAGGTTGGAGCCAGCATCTTCCTACAAGATGAGCAGCTGGTACCTTTGGAGCTCCGGAGCTGCAGCCAAACGGGTTCCTTCCGTATCCTCTTCAGCCAGGGCTTCCGCTCTTCTGCTGCATTTGCCCCCTTCCCAAAGCAGTTTCCAATAAAGTCGTTCTCATATTCTGTGGTATGTGGTCTGCCCTGTGATTGTTGGGAGTGTTGGGGGGTGCAGGGTGTTGCTGTGTTCCCTGGCCCTTGAAGAGCAGTTACCCTAGTGCTGAGTGGTGAGCCCACTCCCTGGGGGTCGCCTGAGCCGGCCTCTGAGCAACAGCCCTGCACTCAGGCTCACCATAGTGCCCTGGGCCTAGGTGCTTTGGTGGCCCTGCCTGGCCACAGCAGCATTTCTTGCCTTTCCCCGGCACACCTTGCTCATGGTCCATCCTCTTTTCCTCCTACTTTGGGGTCTCACAGGTCCCCTTCAGCACTATTCTCGCTCTCCTTCAGCAGGAACTGATGGCCTCCTTCCAGAACCCCGCTCTCTCTCACCTTTCCTCCTGCAATTCACTGTCATGGTTCTGCCCTGTCACTGTCCTTTCCATCACGAACATCCTTGCTTTCCCCCGTGGCTTGACGCCGGAGTCCTTACCTGCATGGTTGCTTCTGTGCTGTTGAGCATGACAGAGCTCATCCTACCCCTCGGGAGCTCAGTCCTCTTTCTGGAGCCATTATGTCCCTCTGGTGCCACCATGCACACGGTCAGGTCATCTGGGCCAGAAAGCCACATGGCGTCCTCAGTTTCACTCTTACCCCCCACCTTTGAACCTCAGTTACCAAATCCTGTTAGGTGTCTCTCCTTTGTTTCAGTAGCCAGCTGGAGACAGAAGCCACATCCCGGTGGGTGGCTGAGCAAAAGGAAAGGCACAGGGAGCACAGACAAAAAGGGCGGGTTGGAGGTGGGGGCACTGAGTCTGTTCTGGTGCCTGCAGGCCAACCTGGTGGAAACTGCCCACCTGAAGCTACACAGAAGGCGGCTTCCACATCCTTGGTATCCTGTAGACGGCCAACAGCCCCTTCTGCAGCCGGTGGTCTCTACACCCTTGATTTGAAAATGGCCAGCTGCTTTCCAGGGCAAGTGTGGATGCTAGGGCTGGCTGTTCTTGGATGGTACCTGTCAAATACTGTTCCACCATTCCCAAAGCCGCAGGTTTTTGTAGATGTAATATTTCTGTGTGCCTGCTCAGTCTTTCAGATCGCCTCTCGCAGTCACATGAGATTTCCTCAAGCTCCCTGTTCAGCCTTCACCCTCCCTGACGGTTGGGATCACCTCCTTCCTTCAGCTGGAACCCCGGGCTGGATGAGCATGAGATTCGGACATAGATTCTGGTTCCAGTGAGGAGGTGTGTGTAGTTTTTGCCAGCTCCCATCTCCAAGAGACTGGGTGTTGAACAGACAAAGACAGGAGAAATGCAGATGACATTCAAGATTAGCGTGTGTGCAGAGACGTATGTGGTGGGTTTTTTGGGTTTTTTTTTGTTTGCTTTTTTGAGATGGAATCTCACTCTGTCACCCAGGCTGCAGTGCAGTGGCACAATCTTGGCTCACGGCAACCTCTACCTGCCAGGTTCAATCAATTCTCCTGCATCAGCTTTCCAAGTAGCTGGGGACTACAGGCATGCACCACCATGCCTGGGTAATTTTTTTTTTTTTTTTGGTGGATATGCGGGTTTCACCATGTTGGCCAGGCTGGTCTCAAACTCCTGACCTCAAGTGACCTGCCTGCCTCAGCCTCCCAGAATGCTGGGATTAGAGGTGTGAGCCACCATGCTGGGCCCTGTGTTTCTCTTGTGTGTGTGTGCACTCGTGCACACGCGCGTGCCTATGCACACACCTGCTTGGGAGTCAAATTAATCAGGAATGCTCTCCTTTGAGGGAGAAAGGGCTGATTCACAGAGTGGAGGCAGTGGTGAAGGATTTGTGAAGGCGTGAATGCACAAAAGCAGGGATGGTATCTACCTTAAACAAGTGGTATTTTTCAATTCTAAAACCTAGGAGGGCATGGAGTGGGACAAACTCTTAGAAATAAAAACTCTGGCCTGCCAAACCACCACACCCACATGCCAATCAACCCTCTTGGGCAGAGCCATGTGCCGATTTGATCACCTATTCTAAGAAAAAGAAATAAAAGGCAAACAAATTGGAAACTAAGAAGCTCAATTTTCTCTGCTTGCGGACGACATGATCTCACATAGAGAAAACCCTGATGTACACTGCACCAAAAAAATGGTCAAAACCAATAAACAAAGTCAGCAAGTTACAGAGTACAAAAGCAACATGTGAAAATCATTTGCATTTCCATACCTGAACCAGAAACTATCTGAAAAGACACCTGGGAAACCAACATATTTAGAATACCAGGACAAGAACAAAACACTTCGGAATACATTTATCCAGGGAGGTGAAATGTGTGCACACTGAAACCGATCAAACACTGTTGAAACATGCAGAAGACCAATAAATGGAGACACATCCCGTGTTCATGGATGGGAACATGGTTAACACATAGGTGCTACACAAAGCCGTTACACGTTCAATGCAGTGAGTCCCTAGGAAATCGACAATGGTGTTTTTCACAGCACTAGCAGAAACAAACCTAAAACCCCTGCTTCTTGACTGTGAGCCTCCCTGCCCATGTTTCTATCAGGTTCTAGCTCTTTGTGTGGAACAGAGGCTTGCAGCTCCTCTGTGAGCCCGGTGCTTCTCATGCATCATGAAGAGGGCCGTCACCAGACACTGAATCTGCCAGCACCTTTACCTTGAACTTCCCAGTCTGCAGAACTGTGGGAAATAAACATTTGTTCTTTAAGCCATCCAGTCTATGGTACTTTGTTATAGCAGCCTGAATTGACTAAGATACTAATCATCAGGGAAATACAAATGAGAACAACAACATCACCTCATGCCTGTTGGGATAGCCACTATTAAGAAAAAAAAAAAAAAAACCCAGAAGCTGGAACCCCCGTACACTAGTGGGGATGTGAAATGGTGCACCCACTATTAAAAACAGTAAGATAATTTCTCCAAAATTTAAAAATTGAATTACCTAAATAAGATCCATCAATCTGACTTCTGGGTATATATCAAGAATACCTGAGAAAGGATCTTGAATACGTATTTGCACACCCATATTCATGGCAGTATTATTCACAATAGCCAGGAGGTAGAAACGACCTTACTCTCCATGAATGGATGCATGGATTTTTACAAGGTGGCATATACATCCAATGAAATATTATTTGGCCTTTAAAAAAGGAAAAGCCTGTTATATGATACAACATGAGTGAACCTTCAGGGCATTATGCTAAGTGAAATAATGCTAGTGAAATAAGCTAGTCACCAAAGGACAAATACTGTATGAGTCCATTTATATGAGGTACCTAGAGTAATCAAATTTATATTGACAGAAAACAGAATGCTGTGTTCCAGCATCTGAGTGGGGGAAGAGGAAATGGGGGGTTATTTCATGGGTACATAGTTTCCGTTTGGGAAGATGAAACACCTTGTAGAGATAGATAGTGGTGATGGTTGCACAGCAATGGGGATGTAGTTAATACTATTAAAATGTATGCTTAACAATAGTGAAAATTGTAAACTTCTTTGTAACAAGAAAACAGATTTATTGATTTTAAGAGAAAAGACACTATTTTGTTTTGAAAAATACAAGAAAGCTAGCCCAAGTACACATCTGAAATACGCAGAAAAAATCCTACTCATATCTTCAGTATGTTCCAATCATTTGTTTAAACAACACACTAAAAGTTAATAAATATTTTTATAATTCTAAAAGTCTCACAAGTATTGTACAATGCAAATCACCCACAAACTATTATTTAGCTCATGCCAATTATACAAGGATATGATTTACAAAAGATTTAGTGTTTCTCACAAAAATCACATCAGGAAATACATATTTACAAAATTAAATTTATTATTCAAAAAACCATAACATTATTCAGTAAAAATGTGTTTAAATAATTAAAAAGTTTATTCAACTGTAGTCCAAAATTGGGAAAAAAATTGCATTATCACACACATACTATCTCTACAAAAGTTGCTTACCACACTTATATAATATATCCAGTCAATTGTAAAATATGTTCAACTATCTCCTAGTGTTACAATGTTTATGTGCTTGCTCTGAGCCAATCTGATGCCTTGGGTGGTCCTGGACCTGCATCTCAGAGGCCCAGACTGGAATTGAGGCCAAAGGAGCTAGCCTGGCACTGGGCAAGCCTGGAACATTTAATCCTTGGGGGCTGGCATGGAAGCTGGCAGTGCAGTTGCTGGCCTGGTCCTTGAGGTCACAGGGGTCAGCCTGGAGCTGGAGTAGGTACAGAGGCTAGGTCTATGTATGCCAGCCTAAAGTCTGAAACTACAGAAGCCAGCCTATCATTGAAGCAGACTGGGTCCAGGGTAGGTACACATTGTCCTGACATGGGAGGATCTGGAAGCTGGGTCTACAAGTCCAGGCCTGAAGTCTGGGGTGGTGGGGAGTGGTCTGGAGGTAACGTCTGCGTGTGCCAGCCTGGAGTCTGGGGTTCTGGAGGCTGACCTGGAGTCTGAGGCTGCAGGGCCACCATGGTGACTCGGCAGGCCTGGCGGCCATGGGTGCCAGCCCAGAGCCTGGGGCTGTGAGGCTAGCCTGGCCCCAAGGCGGGCCTGGTGGCTTGGTTCATGGTGCACCCAGAGTCTAGGGTTGAGGGGAGCAGCCTGGCCATGGGGCCAGTCTGGAGCCTGGGACAATCAGGGCCTGCCTGGTGATGAGGTGGGCCTGGAGCCTGAGTCTGTGCAGGCTGGACTGGCACTGTGTTGGAGCTGAAGACAGTGTGCACGGGTGACCTGGAGCCTGGGATTGGCACTGGGTTGGAGCTGAAGACAGTATGCAGGGGTGACCTGGTGCCTGGGACTGCAAGGGCAAGCCTGGAGCCTGAGTCTGTGGGGGCCAACCTATGCTAAATTGATTTTCATCAAGAGTCCCAAGGCCATTCAATGTGGAATCATTTCTTAAAGAAATGGTGCTAGGACAACTGGTTATCCACATGCCAAAGAATGGAGTTGGACCGCTATCTCATACCCTATACCATGTACCAAAATTAACTCAAAATGTATCAAAAACCTAAATGTAAGAGTTAAAAATATTAAACTATTAAAACAAAGTATAGGGATAAATCATGACTTTGTATTTGGCATTCGATTCTTAGAATATGACACCAAAAACACAGGCAATGAAAATTAAAAAGATAAATGGGACTTCATTGAAATTGTAAACTTTTGTGCATCAATGGATATTTTCAAAAAGTGAAAAGATAACAGAATGGTAGAAAAAACTTTGCCAATCGTATATCTGATAGTTTGATATCCAGAATATATTAAAACTTACTGAAAAAACCCAACAACAAAAGACAAACCCAGTTTTGAAATAAGCAAAATATTTGAATGGACATGTCTCCAGCGAAGATACACAAATAGCCAAGAAATGCATGTAAACATACTCAACATCACTAGCTACTAGGAAAATGCAAATGAAAACAATGAGGTACTATTTCACATGTACCAGGATGGCTATACTTACTTCAATAGGGAAAATAAGAATTGTTGAATAGGATGTGGAGAAATTAGAACTTTCATACATGGCTGCTGGGAATGTAAAATAATTCAGCCACTGTGGAAAACATTTTGGTGGTTCCTAAAAAGTTAAACATAGAATTACCATGTGAATTGGGAATTACACTCATAGGTCTATAGTCAAAAGAAATGAAAACAGTCCAGGTGCGGTGGCTCAAACCTGTAATCTCAGCACTTTGGGAGGCCAAGGCTGGCAGATAACCTGAGGTCAGGAGTTCAAGACCAGCCTGGCCGACCTGGTGAAACCCCTTCTCTACAAAAATACAAAAATTAGCTGGGCGTGATGGCAGATGCCTGTAATCCCAGCTACTTGGGAGGCTGAGGTGGGAGAATTGCTTGAACCTGGGAGGCGGAGGTTGCAGCGACTTGAGATCCCACAATTGCACTCCAGCCTAGGCAACAGAATGAGACTCCATCTCAAAAAAAGAAAAGAAAAGAAAAGAAAAGCAGGATGGTCAAATAGGAACAGCTCTAGTCTGCAGCTCCCAGCGAGTTCAACAGAGAAGGCAGGTGATTTCTGCATTTCCAACTGAGGTACCCGACTCATCTCATTGGGACTGGTTAGACAGAGGGTGCAGCCCATGGAGGGCGAGCTGAAGCAGGGTGGGCTGTCGCCTCACCCAGGAAGCTCAAGGGGTTGGGGAACTCTCTCCCTTAGGCAAGGGAAGCAGTGAGGGACTGTGCTGTGAGGAACAGTGCACTCTGGCCCAGATACTACACTTTTCCCATGGTCTTCGCAACCCTCAGACCAGGAGATTCCCTCGGGTGCCTATGCCACCAGGGCCCTGGTTTTCAAGCACAAAACTGGGCAGCCGTTTGGGCAGACACCGAGCAGCTTCAGGAGTTTTTTTCTCATACCCCAGAGGCACCTGGAATGCCAGCGAGACAGAACTGTTCACTCCCCTGGAAAGGGGGCTAAAGCCAGGAAGCCAAGTGGTCTAGCTCAGTGGATCCCACCCTCGTGGAGCTCAGCAAGCTAAGATCCACAGGCTTGAAATTCTCAATGCCAGCACAGCAGTCTGAAGTCGACCTGGGATGTTCAAGCTTGATGAGGGGAGGGGCATCTGCCATTACTGAGGCTTGAGTAGGCGGTTTTCCCCTAACAGTGTAAATAAAGCCCCTGGGAAGTTCAAACTGGGCGCAGCTGCTGTAGCCAGACTGCCTCTCTAGATTCCTCCTCTGTGAGCAGGGCATCTCTGAAAGAAAGGCAGCAGCCCCAGTCAGGGGCTTATAGATAAAACTCAGATCTCCCTGGGACAGAGCATGTGGGGGAAGGGGCGGCTGGGGGCACAGCCTCAGCAGACTTAAACGTTCTTGCCTGCCAGCTCTGAGGAGAGCAGCGGATTTCCCAGCACAACACTCAAGCTCTGTTAAGGGACAGACTGCCTCCTCAAGTGGGTCCCTGACCCTTGTGTCTCCTGACTGGGAGACACCTCCCAGCAAGGATCGACAGACATCTCATACAGGAGAGCTCTGGCTGGCATCTGGTGGGTGCCCTTCTGGGATGAAGCTTTCAGAGGAAGGAACAGGCAGCAATCTTTGCTGTTCTGCAGCCTCTGCTGGTGATACCCAGGCAAACAGGGTCTGGAGTGGACCCCCAGCAAACACCAGCCAACCTGCAGGAGAGGGTCCTGACTATGAGAAGGAAAACTAACAGAAAGAAAGGAACAGCATCAACATCAACAAAAAGGACATCCACACAGAAACCCCATCTGAAGGTCACCAACATCAAAGAACAAAGGTAGGTAAATCCATGAAGATGACAAAAACCCAGTACAAAAAGTCTGAAAATTCCAAAAACCAGAACACCTCTTCCCCTCCAAAGGATCACAACTCCTCACCAGCAAGGGAACAAAACTGAACGGAGAATGAGTTTCACAAATTAACAGGGTAGACTTCAGAAGGTGGGTAATAACAAACTCCTCTGAGCTAAAGGAGCATGTTCTAACCCAATGCAAGGAAGCTAAGAACCTTGAAAAAAGGTTAGACGAATTGCTAACTAGAAAAATTAGTTTACAGAGGAACATAAATGACCTGATGGAGCTGAAAAACACAACATGAGAACTTCATGAAGCATACACAAATATCAATAGCTGAATCAATCAAGTAGAAAGGATATCAGAGATTGAAGATCAACTTAATGAAATAAAGTGAGAAGACAAGGTTAGAGAAAAAAGAGTAAAAAGAAACGAACAAAGCCTCCAAGAAATATGGGACTATGTGAAATGACCAAATCTACATTTGATTAGTGTACCTGAAAGTGACAGGGAGAATGGAACCAAGTTGGAAAACACTCTTCAGGATATTATCCAGGAGAACTTCCCCAATCTAGCAAAATGGGCCAACATTCAAATTCAGGAAATACAGAGAACACCACAAAGATACTCCTTGAGAAGAGCAACCCCAAGACACATAATTGTCAGATTCAACAAGGTTGAAATGAAGGAAAAAATGTTAAGGGAAGACAGAGAAAGGTAGGGTTACCCACAAAGGGAAGCCCATCAGACTAACAGCAGATCTCTCTGCAGAAATCCTACAAGTCAGAAGAGAGTGGGGGCCAATATTCAACATTCTTAAAGAAAAGAATTTTCAACCCAGAATTTCATATCCAGCCAAACTAAGTTTCATGAGTGAAGGAGAAATAAAATCCTTTACAGACAAACAAATGCTGAGAGATTTTGTCACCACCAGGCCTGCCTTACAAGAGCTCCTGAAGGAATCACTAAATATGGAAAGGAAAAACTGGTACCAGCCACTGCAAAAACATACCAAATTGTAAAGACCATTGACACTGTGAAGAAATGGCATCAACTAACGGGCTAAATAACCAGCTAGCATCATAATGACAGGATGAAGTTCACACATAACAATATTACCTTAAATGTAAATGGACTAAATGCCCTAATTAAAGACACAGATTGGCAAATTGGATAAAGAGTCAAGACCTGTTGGTGTGCTGTCTTCAGGAGACCCATCTCACCTGCAAAGACACACATAGGCTCAAAATAAAGGGATGGAGGAGTATTTACCAAGCAAATGGTAAGAAAAAAACAAAAAAGGATGGGTTGCAATCCTAGTCTCTGACAAAAAAGACTTTAAACCAACAGAGATCAAAAAAGACAAAGAAGGACGTTACATAATTGTTAAGGGATCAATTCAACGAGAAGAGCTAACTATCCTAAATATATAGGCACCCAATACAGAAGCACTCAGATTCATAAAGCAAGTTCTTAGAGACCTACAAAGAGACTTAGACTCCCACACAATAATAGTGGGAGACTTCAACACCCCACTGTCAATATTAGGCAGATCAATGAGACAGAAAATTAAGAAGGATATTCAGGACTTGAACTCAGCTCTGCACCAAGTGGACCTAATAGATATTGACAGAACTCTCCACCCCAAATCAACAGAATATACGTTCTTCTCAGCACCACATCACATTTATTCTAAAATTGACCACATAATTCGAAGTAAAACACTGCTCAGCAAATGCAAAAGAACAGAAATCATAACAGTCTCTCAGACCACAGTGCAATCACATTAGAATTCAAGATTAAGAAACTCACTCAAAACTGCACAACTACATGGAAACTAAACAACCTGCTCCTGAATGACCACTGGGTACATAACGAAATGAAGGCAGAAATAAATAAGTTATTTGAAACCAATGAGAACAAAGACACAAGGTACCAGAATCTTTGGGACACAGTTAAAGCAGTGTTTAGAGTGAAATTTATGGCAGTAAATGCCCACAGGAGAAAGTGGGAAAGATCTAAAATCAACACGCTAACATCACAATGAAAAGAACTAGAGAAGCAAAAGTAAACAAATTCAAAAGCTAGCAGAAGACAAGAAATAACTAAGATCAGAGCAGAACTGAAGGAGATGAAGACACAAAAAAACCTTCAAAAAAATCAATGAATCCAGGAGGTGGTATTTTGAAAAGATCAACAAAATAGATAGACCACTAGCTAGACTAAGAAAGAAGAAAACAGAGAAGAATCAAATAGATACAATAAAAAATGATAAAGGGGATATCACCACTGATCCCACAGAAATACAAACTACCATCAGAGAGGACTATAGACACCTCTATGCAAATAAACTAGAAAATCTAGAAGAAATAGGCAAATTCCTGGACAAATACACTCTCCCAAGACTAAACCAGGAAGAAGGCGAATCCCTAAATAGACCAATAACAAGTTCTGAAAATGAGGCAGTAATTAATAGCCTACCAACCAACAAAAGTCCAGGACCAGACGGATTCACAGCTGAATTCTACCAGAGGTACAAAGAGGAGCTGGTACCATTCCTTCTGAAACTATTCCAAACAATAGAAAAAGAGGGAATCCTCCCTAACTCATTTTATGAGGCTAGCATCATCCTGATACCAAAATCTGGCAGAGACACAACAAAAAAAGAAAACTTCAGGCCAATATCCCTGATGAACATTGATGTGAAAATTCTCAGTAAAATACTGGCAAATCAAATCCAGCAGCACATCAAAAAGCTTATCCACCATGATCAAGTTGGCTTCATCCCTGGTATGCAAGGATGGTTCAACACACACAAATTAATAAATATAATCCATCACATAAACAGAACCAAAGGCAAAAACCACATGATTATCTCAATAGATGCAGAAAAGGCCTCTGATAAAATTCAACAACACTTCATGCTAAAAACTCTCAATAAACTAGGTATTGATGGAACATATCTCAAAATAATAAGAGCTATTTATGGCAAACCCACAGCCAATATCATACTGAATGGGCAAAAGCTGGAAGCATTCCCTTTGAAAACCGGCATGAGACAAGGATGCCCTCTCTCACCACTCCTATTTAACATAGTATTGGAAGTTCTGGCCAGGGCGATCCTGTAAGAGAAAGAAATAAAAGGTATTCAAATTGGAAGAGAGGAAGTCAAATTTTCTCTGTTTGCAGATGACATGATTGTATATCTAGAAAACCCCATTGTCTCAGCCCAAAATCTCCTTAAGCTGATAAGCAACTTCAGCAAAGTCTCAGGATACAAAATCAATGTGCAAAATCACAAGCACTCCTATACACCAATAACAGACAAACGGAGAGACAAATCCTGAGTGAACTCCCATTCACAATTGCTACAAAGAGAATAAAATACCTGGGAATACAACTTTAAAGGGATGTGAAGGACCTCTTCAAGGAGAACTACAAACCACTTCTTAACGAAATATAAGAGGACACAAACAAATTTTAAAACATTCCATGCTCATGGACAGGAAGAATCAATATCGTGAAAGATTTTATGCTATCTCCAACAAGCTACCAGTGCCTTTTTTCACAGAATTAGAAAAAACTACTTTAAATTTCATATGGAACAAAAAAGGAGCCCATATAGCCAAGACAATCCTAAGCAAAAAGAACAAAGCTGGAGGTATCACGCTACCTGACTTTAAACTATACCACAAGGCTACAGTAACCAAAACAGCATGGTAGTGGTACCAAAAGATATATATATATATATATATACATACATACATATATATCAATGGAACAAAACAGAGGCTTCCAAAATAATGCCACACATCTACAACCATCTGATCTTTGACAAACCTGACAAAAACAAGCAATGGGGAAAGGATTCCCTATTTAATAAATGGTGTTGGGAAAACTGGCTAGCCGTATGCAGAAAACTGAAACTGGACCCCTTCCTTACACCTTATACAAAAATTAACTCAAGATGGATTAAAGACTTAAACGTAAGACCTAAAACTATAAAAACCCTAGAAGAAAACCTAGGCAATACCATTCAGGACATAGGCATGGGCAAAGACTTCATGACTAAAACACCAAAAGCAATAGCAACAAAAGCCAAAACAGACAAATGGGATTTAATTAAACCAAAGAGCTTCTGCACAGCAAAAGAAACTATCATCAGGGTGAACAGGCAACCTACAGAATGGGAGAAAATTTTTGCAATCTCTCCATCTGACAAAGGGCTAATATCCAGAATCTACAAAGAACTTAAACAAATTTACAAGAAAAAAACAAACAACCCCATAAAAAAATTGGGCAAAGGATATGAACAGACACTTCTCAAAGAAGACATTTATGTGGCCAACAAACATATGAAAAAAAGCTCATCATCACTGGTCATTACAGAAATGCAAATCAAAACCACAGTGAGATACCATCTCACACCAGTTAAAATGACGATCACTAAAAAGTCAGGAAAAAAAATGCTGGAGAGGATGTGGAGAAATAGGAACGCTTTTACACTGTTGGTGGGAGTGTAAATTAGTCCAACCATTGCAGAAGACAGTATGGTGATTCCTCAAGGATCTAGAACCAGAAATACCATTTGACCCAGCAATCTCATTACTGGGCATATACCCAAAGGATTATAAATCATTCTACTATAAAGAGACATGCACATATATGTTTATTGCAGCACTGTTCACAATAGCAAAGACTTGGAACCAACCCAAATGGCCATCAATGATAGACTTGATAAAGAAAATCGGGCACATATACACCATGGAATACTATGCAGCCATAAAAATGATGAGTTTATGTCCTTTGCAGGGTCATGGATGAAGCTGGAAACCATCATTCTCAGCAAACTAACACAGGAACTGAAAACCAGACAACGCATGTTCTCACTCATAAGTGGGAGGTGAACAATGAGAACACATGGACACAAGGAGCAGAGCATCACACACTGGGGCCTGTCAGGGGGTTGGGGGCTAGGGGAGGGATAGCATTAGGAGAAATACCAAATGTAGATGATGAGTTGGTGGGTGCAGCAAACCACCATGGCACTTGTATACCTATGTAACAAACCTGCATGTTCTGCACATGTATCTCAGAACTTAGAGTATAATAATAATAAAAAAAGAACTGAAAACAGGTGCTCAAAGAAATACTTGTACATGCACGTTCATAGCAGTATTATTTCAAAAGTCAAAAGGTGGGAATAACCCAAATATCCATCAACTGATGAATGGATTAACAAACTATTGTCTATGCACACAGTGAAATATTATTCAGCCTTTAAAAGGAATGAAGTACTGATACATGCTATAACGTGGATAGGCCTCAAAAACATCATGCTAAGAAAAAAAAAAAGCAAAGATCAGGCGCAGTGGCTCATGCCTAACACTTTTGGAGGCCAAGATGGGTGGATCACTTGAGGCCAGGAGTTCGAGACCAGCTGGGCAACATGGCAAATGCCATCTCTACAAAAAAATTAGTCAGACGTGGTGGTGTGTGCTTGTAGTTCCAGCTACTCGGGAGGCCAAAGTGGGAGGATCCCATAAGCCCAGGAGTTCTAACAAGGCTGAAGTGAGCCATGTTCGCACCATTGCACTCCAGCCTGAGTGACAGAGTGATACTCTGTCTCAACAAAAAAAAAAAAAAAAAAAAAAAAAGAGAGCGAGATAGACATGAAGGTTACATATTGTATGATTTGATTCATATGAAATATCCAGAATAGGTAAATTCATAAAGACAGAAACTAAATTAGTGGGTGCCAGAGCCCAGGAGGAAGAGGATAGGAAGTAGTTTCCTAATGGGTATGCAATCTCTTTGAAAGTGATGAAAATGTTCCAAACTAGATAGAAGCAGTACTTGCACAACATTATGAAAATACTAAATGCTGCTGGGCTGTTCATTTTGAAAGGCTAATATTATGAAAATTGCTCCTCAAAAAATAAAGTTTCTTATTTTTTGTTTTTTTTTTTTTGAGACAGAGTCTCGGTCTGCTGCCCAGGCTGGAGTGCAGTGGCGCACTCTCTGCTCACTGCAAGCTCTGCCTCCCGGGTTCACACCATTCTCCTGCCTCAGCCTCCCAAGTAGCTGGGACTACAGGCACCCAACCCAAGCCTGGATAACTTTTTGTACTTATAGTAGAAATGGGGTTTCACCTTGTTAGCCAGGATGGTCTCATCTCCTGACCTTGTAATATGCCCACCTCGGCCTCCCAAAGTGCTGTGATTACAGGCGTGAGCCACCATGCCAGGCCCATAAATTTAAAAATTTATTGGCAATAGATCTAGGGTCTATTTCTGGAATCTCTATATATCCCCCTGACTTATATCTACTGCATTGCCAATAATACACTTGTCTTAATTAGTGTAGTATTCTGGTGAGTCTTAAAAGTGGGTTTTGGCATGGACACAGGGAGGGGAACATCACACACCAGGGCCTGTTGGGGGCTGGGGGGCTGGGGGAGGGATAGCATTAGGAGAAATACGTAATGTAAATGACGAGTTGATGGGTGCAGCAAACTAACATGGTTCATGTATACCTATGTAACAAACCTGCACCTTGTGCCTAGGTACCCCATAACTTAAAGTATAATAATAATAATAAAGTGGGTTTTGGGAGGCCAAACCAGGAGGACCACTTGAGCTCAGGAATTGAAGACCAGCCTGGACAACATAGTGAGACCTGTGAAACATAATGAGATCTCATCTCTACAAGAAAATAAAAAACTTAGGTGTCATGCTGCACACCTTTAGTCCTAGCTACTCAGGAGGCTGAGGCGGGAAGATCACTTAAGCCTGGTAGTTAAAGGCTGCAGTGAGCCAAAATTTTGTCACTGCACTCCAGCCTGGACAACAGAATGAGACTCTGTCTTAAAAAAAAAAAAAAGAAAAGAAAAAGAAAGAAAGAAAGAAAAGAAAAGAAAAAAAGTAGGTAAAGTGATTCCTCCAACTTTATTCTTTTTTTAAATTATATTTTAAGTTTCAGGGTACATGTGCACAATGTACAGGTTAGTTACATATGTATACATGTGCCATGTTGGTGTGCTGCACCCAGTAACTTGTCATTTAAAATTAGGTATATCTCCAAATGCTATCCCTCCCCCCTCCCACCCCACAACAGGCCCTGGTGTGTGATATTCCCCTTCCTGTGTCCATGTGTTCTCATTGTTCAATTCCCACCTATGAGTGAGAACATGCTGTGTTTGGTTTTTTGTTCTTGTGATAGTTTGCTGAGAATGATGATTTCCAGCTTCATCCATGTCCCTACAAAGGACATGAACTCATCATTTTTTATGGCTGCATAGTATTCCATGGTGTATATGTGCCACGTTTTCTTAAGCCAGTCTATCATTGTTGGACATTTGGGTTGGTTCCAAGTCTGCTATTGTGAATAGTGCCGCAATAAACAACGTGTGCATGTGTCTTTATAGCAGCATGATTTATAAATCTTTGGGTATACACCCAGTAATCGGATTGCTGGGTCAAATGGTATTTCTAGTTCTAGATCCCTGAGGAATCACCACACTGTCTTCCACAATGGTTGAACTAGTGTACAGTCCCACCAACAGTGTAAAAGTGTTCCTATTTCTCCATACCCTCTCCAGCACCTGTTGTTTCCTGACTTTTTAATGATCGCCATTCTAACTGGTGTGAGATGGTATCTCATTGTGGTTTTGATTTGCATTTCTCTGATGGCCAGTGATGATGAGCATTTTTTCATGTGTCTTTTGGCTGCATAAATGTCTTCTTTTGAGAAGTGTCTGTTCATATCCTTTGCCCACTTTTTGATGGGGTTGTTTGTTTTTTTCTTGTAAATTTGTTTGAGTTCTTTGTAGATTCTGGATATTAGCCCTTTGTCAGATGAATAGATTGCAAAAATTTTCTCTCATTCTGTAGTTTGCCTGTTCACTCTGATGGTATTTTCTTTTGCTGTGCAGAAGCTCTTTAGTTTAATTAGATCCCTTTTGTCAATTTTGGCTTTTGTTGCCATTGCTTTTGGTGTTTTAGACATGAAGTCCTTGCCCATGCCTATGTCCTGAGTGATATTGCCTATGTTTTCTTCTAGGGTTTTTATGGTTTTAGGTCTAATATTTAAGTCTTTAATCCATCTTGAATTAATTTTTGTATAAGGTGTAAGAAAGGGATCCAGTTTCAGCTTTCTACATATGGCTATCCAGTTTTCCCAGCACCATTTATTAAATAGGGAATCCTTTCCCCATTTCTTGTTTTTGTCAGGTTTGTCAAAGATCAGATGGTTGTAGATATGCGGCATTATTTCTGAGGGCTCTGTTCTGTTCCATTGGTCTATATCTCTGTTTTGGTACCAGTACCATGCTGTTTTGGTTGCTGTAGCCTCCTAGTATAGTTTGAAGTCGGGTAGTGTGATGTCTCCAGCTTTGTTCTTTTGGCTTAGGATTGACTTGGCAATGTGGGCTCTTTTTTGGTTCCATATGAACTTTAAAGTAGTTTTTTCCAATTCTGTGAAGAAAGTCATTGGTAGCTTGATGGGGATGGCATTGAATCTATAAATTACCTTGGGCAGTATGGCCATTTTTACGATATTGATTCTTGCTAACCATGAGCATGGAATGCTCTTCCATTTGTTTGTATCTTCTTTTATTTCATTGAGCAGTGATTTGTAGTTCTCTTTGAAGAGGTCCTTCACGTTGCTTGTAAGTTGGATTCCTAGGTATTTTATTCTCTTTGAAGCAATTGTGAATGGGAGTTCACTCAGGATTTGGCTCTCTGTCTGTTACTGGTGTATAGGAATGCTTGTGATTTTTGTACATTGATTTTGTATCCTAAGACTTTGCTGAAGTTGCTTATCAGCTTAAGGAGATGTTGGGCTGAGATGATGGAGTTTTCTAGATATACAATCATGTCATCTGCAAACAGGGACAATTTGGCTTCCTCTTTTCCTAATTGAATACCCTTTATTTCCTTCTCCTGCCTGATTGCCTTGGCCAGAACTTCCAACACTATGTTGAACAGGAGTGGTAAGAGAGAGCATCCCTGTCTTGTGCCAGTTTTCAAAGGAAAGGCTTCCAGTTTTTGCCCATTCAGTATGATATTGGCTGTGGGTTTGTCATAGATAGCTCTTATTATTTTGAGATACATCCCATCAATACCTAATTTATTGAGAGTTTCTAGCATGAAGGGTTGTTGAATTTTGTCAAAGGAATTTTCTGCATCTATTGAGATAAACATGTGTTTTTGGTCTTTGGTTCTGTTTATATGCTGGATTACATTTATTGATTTGTGTATGTTGAAACAGCCTTGCATCCCAGGGATGAAGCCCACTTGATCTTGGTGGATAAGCTTTTAGATGTGCTGCTGGATTTGGTTTGTCAGTATTTTATTGAGGATTTTTGCGTTGATGTTCATCAGGGATATTGGTCTAAAAATCTCTTTTTTTGTTGTGTCTCTGCCAGGCTTTGGTATCAGGATGATGCTGGCCTCATAAAATGAGTTAGGGAGGATTCCCTCTTTTTCTATTGATTGGAATCATATCAGAAGGAATGGTACCAGTTCCTCCTTGTACCTCTGGTAGAATTCGGCTGTGAATCCATCTGGTCCTGGACTTTTTTTGGTTGGTAAGCTATTAATTATTGCCTCAACTTCAGATCCTGTTATTGGTCTATTCAGAGATTCCACTTCTTCCTGGTTTAGTCTTGGGATAGTTTATGTGTCGAGGAATTTATCCATTTCTTCTAGATTTTCTAGTTTATTTGCATAGAGGTGTTTATAGTATTCTCTGATGGTAGTTTGTATTTCTGTGGGATCGGTGGTGATATCCCTTTTATCATTTTTTATTGCATCTATTTGATTCTTCTCTCTTTTCTTCTTTATTAGTCTTGCTAGTGGTCTATCAATTTTGTTGATCTTTTCAAAAAACCAGTTCCTGGATTGGTTAATTTTTTGAAGGGTTTTTTGTGTCTCTATCCCCTTCAGTTCTGCTCTGATCTTAGTTATTTGTTGTCTTCTGCTAGCTTTTGCATGTGTTTGCTCTTGCTTCTCTAGTTCTTTTAATTGTGATGTTAGGGTGTCGATTTTAGATCTTTCCTGCTTTCTCTTGTGGGCATTTAGTGCTATAAATTTCCCTCTACACACTGCTTTGAATGTGACCCAGAGATTCTGGTATGTTGTGTCTTTGTTCTCATTGGTTTCAAAGAACATCTTTATTTCTCCCTTCATTTCGTTATGTACTCAGTAGTCACTCAGGAGCAGGTTGTTCAATTTCCATGTAGTTGAGTGGTTTTGAGTGAGTTTCTTAATCCTGGGTTCTAGTTTGATTGCACTGTGGTCTGAGAGACAGTTTGTTATAATTTCTGTTCTTTTACATTTGCTGAGGAGTGCTTTACTTCCAACTATGTAGTCAATTTTGGAATAGGTGTGGTGTGGTGCTGAAAAAAATGTATATTCTGTTGATTTGGGGTGGAGAGTTCTGTAGATGTCTATTAGGTCCGCTTGGTGCAGAGCTGAGTTCAATTCCTGGATATCCTTGTTAACTTTCTGTCTCATTGACCTGTCTAATGTTGAAAGTGGGGTGTTAAAGTCTTGCATTATTATTGTGTGGGAGTCTAAGTCTCTTTGTAGGTCTCTAAGGACTTGCTTTATGAATCTGGATGCTCCTGTATTGGGTGCATATGTATTTAGGATAGTTAGCTCTTCTTGTTGAATTGATCCCTTTACCATTATGTAATGGCCTTCTTTGTCTCTTTTGATCTTTGTTGGTTTAAAGTCTGTTTGATCAGAGACTAGGATTGCAACCCCTGCCTTTTTTTGTTTTCCATTTGCTTGGTAGATCTTCCTCCATCCCTTTATTTTGAGCCTATGTGTGTCTCTGCACATGAGATGGGTTTCCTGAATACAGCACACTGATGGGTCTTGACTCTATCCAATTTGCCAGTCTGTGTCTTTTAATTGGAGCATTTAGCCCATTTACATTTAAGGGTAATATTGTTATGTGTGAATTTGATCCTGTCATTATGATGTTAGCTGGTTATTTTGCTCATTAGTTGATGCAGTTTATTCCTACCCTTGATGGTCTTTACAATTTGGCATGTTTTTGCAGTGGCTGGTACTGGTTGTTCCTTTCCATGTTTAGTGCTTCCTTCAGGAGCTCTTTTAGGGCAGGCCTGGTGGTGACAAAATCTCTCAGCATTTGTTTGTCTGTAAAGGATTTTATTTCTCCTTCACTTATGAAGCTTAGTTTGGCTGGATATGAAATTCTGGGTTGAAATTTCTTTTCCTTAAGAATGTTGAATATTGGCCCCCACTCTCTTCTGGCTTGTAGAGTTTCTGCCGAGAGATCCACTGTTAGTCTGAAGGGCTTCCCTTTGTGGGTAACCCGACCTTTCTCTCTGGCTGCCCTTAACATTTTTTCCTTCATTTCAACTTTGGTGAATCTGACAATTATGTGTGTTGGAGTTGTTCTTCTCGAGGAGTATCTTTATGGCATTCTCTGTATTTCCTGAATTTGCATGTTGGCCTGCCTTGCTAGATTGGGGAAATTCTCTTGGATAATATCCTGCAGAGTGTTTTCCAACTTGGTTCCATTCTCCCTGTCACTTTCAGGTACACCAATCAGATGTAGATTTGGTCTTTTCACATAGTCCCATGTTTCTTGGAGGCTTTGTTCATTTCTTTTTATTCTTTTTTCTCTAAACTTCTCTTCTCGCTTCATTTCATTCATTTGATATTCCATCACTGATACCCTTTCTTCCAGTTGATCGCATCAGCTACTGAGGCTTGTGCGTTTGTCACATAGTTCTCATGCCTTGGTTTTCAGCTCCATCAGGTCCTTTAAGGACTTCTCTGCATTGGTTATTCTAGTTAGCCATTCATCTAATTTTTTTTCAAGGTTTTTAACTTCTTTGTCATGGGTTTGAACTTCCTCCTTTAGCTCAGAGTAGTTTGATTGTCTGAAGCCTTCTTCTCTCAACTTGTCAAAGTCTTTCTCCCTCCACCTTTGTTCTGTTGCTGGTGAGGAGCTGCGTTCCTTTGGAGGAGGAGAGGCACTCCGATTTTTAGAGTTTCCAGTTTTTCTGCTCTGTTTTTTCCCCATCTTTGTGGTTTTATCTACCTTTGGTCTTTGATGATGGTCACGTACAGATGAGGTTTTGGTGTGGAGGTCCTTTCTGTTTGTTAGTTTTCCTTCTAACAGTCAGGACCCTCAGCTGCAGGTCTGTTGGAGTTTGCTAGAGGTCCACTCCAGACCCTGTTTGCCTGGGTATCAGCTGTGGAGGCTGCAGAACAGTGGATATTGGTGAACAGCAAATGCTGCCTGATCATTCCTCTGGAAGTTTTGTCTCAGAGGAGTACCTGGCCGTGTGAGGTGTCTGTCTGCCCCTACTGGGGGGTGCCTCCCAGTTAGGCTGCTCGGGGATCAGGGACCCACTTGAGGAGGCAGTCTGTCCGTTCTCAGATCTCCAGCTGCATGCTGGGAGAACCACTGCTCTCTTGAAAGCTGTCAGACAGGGACATTTAAGTCTGCATAGGATTCTGCTGCCTTTTATTAGGCTATGCCCTGCCCCCAGAGGTGGAGTCTACAGAGGCAGGCAGGCCTCCTTGAGCTGTGGTGGGCTCCACCCAGTTCGAGCTTCCTGGCCACTTTGTTTACCTAGTCAAGCCTCAGCAATGGTGGGCACCCCTCCCCCAACCTCGCTGCCACCTTGCAGTTTGATCTCATACTGCTGTGCTAGCAATGAGCAAGGCTCCATGGGCGTAGGATCCTCTGAGCCAGGTGCAGGATATAATCTCCTGGTGTGCCGTTTGCTAAGACCATTGGAAAAGTGCAGTATTAGGGTGGGAGTGACCTGATTTTCCAGGTGCTGTCTGTCACCCCTTTCTTTGACTAGGAAAGGAAATTCCCTGACCCCTTGCACTTCCTGGATGAGGCAATGCCTCACCCTGCTTTGGCTCATGCTCAGTGTGCTGCACCCACTGTCCTGCACCCACTTTCTGACACTCACCAGTGAGATGAACCTGGTACCTCAGTTGGAAATGCAGAAATCACCCATCTTCTGTGTCACTCACGCTGGGAGCTATAGACTGGAGCTGTTCCTATTTGGCCATCTTGGCTCCCGTCAGTCTATTCTTTTTAAAATTGTTTTAATCATTGTAGTTCTTTTGATTTTCAGTATAAATTACAGAATCATGTTGTGTATGTCTACAAAAAATCATACTATCAGTTTAATTGTATTGTGTTATATCTATAGATGAATACAAGGAGAACTCATATTTATTGAGTGTTCCCATTCATAAACAAAGTATACTCATGTTTATTCCATTCATTTAGGCCTTCCTGGATTTATTTTATTAGCATTGTGTAGTTTTCAGGACTTCAAATTTCTCTGATTCATACCTAGGTTTTTCATTTTTGGAGCTATTGTAAATGATACTGGTTTTTAAATGTTTTGTTTCCATTTATGCACTTAGTGTATATATAAATACAACTGATTTTTGCATATTGAGCATATATGCTTTACCTTTCATAAAGTCACTTATTATTTCTAGGATTTTTTTGTAGATTCCATGGGATTCTCTGCATAGATAATAATGTCATCTGTGAATACCAGGCAGTTTTATTTCTCCTTTTCCTCTACGAATGTCTTTTGTTTCTATTTCCTGAATTATTACAATAGGAAGGACTTCTAAGTATGATGTTGAATAGAAGTGGCAAGAGTACACAACCTTGTATTGTTCATGAACATAGGAGAAAAACATTCAGTTGTTTACTCTTAACTATGATATTAGCTGTGGGTTTTCTTGTAGAATCCCTTTATCAAGTTGAGGAAGTTTTCTATTCTTAGTTTGGTGGGAGTTTATGTCTTGAATAGATGTTGAATTTTGCCAAAGGCTATTTATACATCAATTAATATTACTATGTCTTTCTTTCTTTTATTGACCATTAATATAATGGAATCAATTGATTTTCTTAACATTGAATAAACCCTGCATTCCTGAAATAAGCCTCACATGGTTGAGTGATATTTTTCTTTTTAGACATTGCTGTATTCAACTTGCTAATATTTTGTGATGATTTTCCCATTTATGTTCATGAGAGTTGGTGGTCTGTCATTTCTTGCTTGCTTGCTTCTTTTATACTGTCTTTGGCTGGTTTTGGTATCAGAGTAATCCTGGCCTCATAAAATGTGTTGACATGTAGTCCTTCCTGTTCTATTTTTGGGAAGAGATATTGTAGAGTAGGTATTAGTTCTTCTTTGAATGTTTGGTGAAATTTGCCAGTGAAGCCATCTGGGCTGGGAATATCTTTTTTGGAAGGTATTTAACTATGAATTCCATTTCTTTTTATATATAATTTTTTTGTAGAGATAGGGTCTCACTTTGTTGCCCAGGCTGGTCTCAGTCTTCTGGGCTCAGGTGATCCTCCCACCTTGGCCTCCCAAATTTCAATGCCTTTATAGGACTATTCAAGTTATTTTATATTGGGTGAATTTTGATAATTTGTGTCTTTAAAAGAATTAGTGCATTTCATGTAAGTTGTTGAATTACATGCACTGAGTTGTTTGTATTATTGGGTTGGTGTAGAAATTTTTGCTGTTAAAAGTAATGACAGGCCAGGAGCGGTAGCTCATGCTTGTAATCCCAGCACTTTGGGAGGCCAATGTGGGCGGATTACCTGATATCAGGAGTTCAAGACCAGCCTGGCCAACTTGGTGAAACCCTGTCTCTACTAAAAATACAAAAAAAAAAAAAAAAAATCCTGGCGTGGTTGGGAGCGCCTGTAATCCCAGCTACTCAGGAGGCTGAGGCAGGAGAATTGCTTGAACCTGGGAGGCGGGGGTTGCAGTGAGCCGAGATCAAGCCATTGCCCTCCAGCCTAGGCAACAAGAAAGAAACTCCAAAAAAAAAAAAAAAAAAAAAAGTAACGGCAAAATCTGCAATTACTTTTGCACCAACTTAATACCATTTTTCCCTATACTGGGACATTGCTAGTATGTGTCTTAGTCTGTTTTGTGTTGCTGTAACAGAATACCTGAGACTGGGTAATTTAAAAATAAAAGAGGTTTACTTAGCTCATGATTCAGCAAGCTGGGAAGTAGAGGAAGCATGGCAAAAGTAACTGCTCAGCTTCTGGTGACAGCCACCTCCTAGGCCAAAACATAGTGGAAAAGGCCAAAGGAGAAGCAGACACGTTCAAAGAGGGAAAATCCGAGGGGCATGCTGGCTTTATAACAAACCTACCATTATGGGCACTAATCCAGTCTCACTGGAGCCAGTACTCACCCACTACCTCCAGAACGGCAGCAAGCTGTTCATGAGGGATCTGTCTCCATGACCCAAACACCTCCCACAAGGCTCCACTTCCCAACACCACCACATTGGGGATCCAATTTCCACATGAGTTTTGGCGGGGACAGACCAATCATATCTAAACCATAGCAGTATATTTCTATCCCAATAAGATGAAATTTTTATAATGTGCATTTTTCTGTGCACTTAATGTAAAATAAAGAATTTGTCTGGACCTTGTCCCTGAGTCCTGGGAGATAACCTCTAATCCCTTGCAATTTCCTAAGAGATAAGTGTGTCTTTGTCATTCCTGGTGGGCCCCATGGACCATGCTTCATGGTTTATGCTAATGAGGTGAATCATGGTAGGCCCCTAGATAGTGTTTATGTAACGAGATGACTCAGAATGGAGGCTGGCCATACTAGAAAGACCAACCCTATGACTAGAGGGTTGGGTCATTGAACTATGTGATATCAGCCTAATCATCAGAGAGAGAGAGAGCAAGATTGTAGACTGAGTTCAATCAGATGGCCAACTAAGTGATGGCCAACACAGAGGGTTTATCTGAATTATCTAGTCTGCCACTACCAGAAGGAGAAGACATTGGGTTTATTCCAATCTCAGTGATCACTCCTCAATCATCCTTACTGGTTCCTCATCTTCTCTCAAAATTCTCTTTTTGGGGATAGGGGCTGTTGAAAATGTTCTCTATTTTGATCGCATGGTGGTTACTGGGTGTAGAACTGTGTTAAAATTGTACACTTAGGTTTCTGTGATTTGCCATATGTATGTTATACCTCATTTTTTTATTTTTCATTTTTAAATTTTTTTTGAGACAGAGTTTTGCTTCTGTTACCAGGCTGGAGTGCAATGGCATGATCTTGGCTCGATGCAACCTCTGCCTCCTGAGTTGAAGCTATTCTCCTGCCTCAGCCTCCTGAGTAACTGAGATTGCAGGCACCCGCCACCATGCCTGGCTAATTTTTGTATTTTAGTAAAGACAGGATTTAACCATGTTGGTCAGGCTGGTCTCAAACTCCTGACTTCAGGTGATCCACCCACCTCGGCCACCCATAGTGCTAGGATTACAGGTGTGAGCCCCCTTTCCTGGCCTGTTCTACCTCAATTTTAAAAGTTATCATACAGAAGTGGAAATACATGGTACAAGCTGGAAGAAGATATTTATCCTATATGCAATTGACAAAAGGCTGGTATCAAGAATATATTTTGACAATTCCTAGAAATCAATAAGGAAAGACAAACAACCCAGTAAGAAAATAGGCAAAAATCATCAACAGGAATTCCATAGAAGAAGGAACCTATGTGGCCAATAAACACATGAAGATATGCTCAGCTCATCAGTAGTCAGGGAAATGCTAAACATGACCTCAAGATAAATCTTGTACCCATTTGATTGGCAAAGAATAAGAAGCTTAGCAACATCAAAGGTTAGAGAGGATGCGGAGCATTGGGATCTCATACAGCTTGCAACATGTTGGGAATATAAATGAACACAACCAGTTTGGACAACAATGTGGCATCAATATATAAGGCTGAACATTCACAACTCAGCAATTCCTCTCAAAGTCCACTGGACAAGAATTTCACAGCAGCACTGGCCACAGTAGCAAAAACCTAGTAACAATGCAAATGCTCACGAACAAGAGAATGCATAGAACAACTGTGGCAAATCCACACCATGATATACTATGTAGCAAGGCAAATGGGTGAACTGCAGTTTTATGCCCAACAATGGTTAAATGTTAGTTTGAGAAAAGCAATTCCCACAGGGCTACATGCAGTGTGACACCCTTTTTATAAAATTCAAAATCAAGCAAAACTGAAGAGGATAATGGTCAGGCACAGTGGCTCACGCCTGTAATCCCAGCACTTTGGGAGGCAGATGCAGATGGAGTGCTTGAGTCCAGGAGTTTGAGATCAGCCTGGGCAACATGGCTAAATGCTGTCTCTACAAAAAATTGGCCAGGTGTCATGGCACGCTCTTGTAGTCCCAGCTACTCGGGAGGCTGAGGTGGGAGAATCACCTGAGTCGGGGAGGTCAAGGCTGCAGTGAGCCAAAATCATGCCACTGCACTCCATACTGAACAATCAGAGTGAGACCCTGCCTCAAAAAAGAAAAAAAGAGTATATTGTTTTATATATATACTTATTTGCAACAAAAATCAAAGGAATGCCAAGTACACAATTCAGGTTAGGGTTGCTTCTGGTGGGAGTGAAGGGAGTCAAGAGGACGCAGTGAGGGGGAGCTTAGGGGTGGATGTAAGTAAGTTACTAGTAATAGTCTAGTTCTTGGATTGGGTAATAGGCAAAAGGGGGCACCTAGCATTGTAAAATAAATAAACAAATAGGGCCTCACATCAATCACAAGTAGCATGTTATGAAATAAGAAGTATTATTAACTCAATTCTGTATTACCTAAGTCTCCAAAAATCAAATGCTGCATTAGACTACTTAAACCCGGGCCTGAAATATTTGTTCTTCTCTCCTTCCAGGCTACACACAAGCTCCACCTTTCATCAGGCCAGAAAGCATTCGAGTTTGACATCCCTCTCTTTGTATATATTTGAGCAGGAGGCACTAGAGCAGGTCTGCATGTCTTGCATCTGACACTGTTTAACCCAGATGCTAGTTGGGACAGAAAGAATCCCCCAGAACCTTGGAATAAACTGGGACCCAATGATCAATGCAAGTTCTACTCAGTGAATGTAGATTACAGCAAACTGAAGAAAAAATGTTGAGACTTCTGAATGAAATGTTTCCCTACAAAACAGCTTAGAGTGAAGGTCTTCCAGAGGCCCTTTGCACAATTTTCCCGTTAACTAGGAAATATTTCTCCTCTAAGTGCACAAAATCATGTTACTGTATTGTGTCGGGTTTTAACACTGATGAGTAAATATGTTTACCCATTTATTATGAAGAACATGACAAAGGATACAGATGAACAGCCAGAGTAAAGAGATGCGTAGGGCACAGTATGTGGGAAGGGGCATGGGGCTTCCATGCCCTCTCTAGGTGCAGCACCCTCCAGGAACTTCCATGTGTTCAGCTATGTGGAAGTTCTCTTCTCCCCAAATTCTTACAAATAGAGAGACCCAGGGCTCAATCCTTGGTCTGATTCTTTTCTTTAACTACACTCTTGCCATAGCTGATGGAAGATCCTGGTTTTAATATTACCTGTATGAGGAACAAGACAAAGATGCCCCCTTTCACCGCTTCTATGCCACATAATACTGAAAATTTTAGCCAAAAAACTTAGGCAAGAGAAAAAATATGAAAATCACACAAATAAAAAATAACAAGTTTACTGGGTGCGGTGGCTCATGCCTGTAATCCTAAGACTTTGGGAGTCTGAGGCAGGTGGATCACAAGAGACCAAGAGTTCGAGACCAGCCTGGGCAACATGGCGAAACCCTATCTCTACCAAAAATACAAAAGTTAGTCGGGCGTGCTGGCGTGTGCCTGTAGTCCCAGTGACCTGGGGGGCTGGAGCATGAGAATCACTTGAATCCAGGAAATTGAGCCTGCAGTGAGTCGAGATCACACCACTGCACTCCAGCCTGGGTGAGAAAGTGAGACCCTATCTCAAAAAAGAAAAGAAAAAAATAAGAAATTAAATTACCTCTGTCTGCAGATGACATGATTTTGTATACATAAAATCTTAAAATATTTTACAAAAAAATTAAAATTCAAATGAATTTTAAGGAAAGTTGCAAAACATAAAATTAACATACACAAATCAGTAGCCATCTGAAAAAGAAATCAAGAAAACAATCCCACTTACAATAGCTCTCAAAAATAACATAAACTGCTTAGGAGTAAATTCAACCAAGGAGGTGAAAGATCTGTACACTGAAAACTGTAAAACACTGATGAAAGAAATCAAGGAAGCCATAAATAAATGGAAAGCTATCCCATGATCATGGATTGGAAGAATCAATATTGTTTAAATGTCCATACTACTCAAAGCAATCAACAGACTCAATGCAATCCCTATCAAAATTCCAATGCTATTTTTACATGCATAGAGAAAGCAATCCTAAAATTCACACCAAACCACAGAAGACTCCAGTTACCCAAAGCAATCTTGAGCAAAAAGAGCAAAGCTGGAGGAATCACAACCTGATCTCAAAATATAATAAAAGCTAGAGTAATCAAAACAGCACGGTACTGGTATAAAAACAGACACATAGACAAATATAATAGATTAGAAAAAAATTCATGCATTTATTGTCACGTGATTTTCTTTTTTTAACGTTTATCATACATATTTACTTAATCTATACAGAATCAAGTGGATAAAACCAGATTCACATTAGTGAAAAATCTCTACAAAATGTCTTTGAAAAGCAAAACAAGACTGCCTCTTAACAATTCGTATCCTTATGAAAGACGTGGGCAGTAAATATAAAGCAGTGTGTTTAGCACAAACTGGAAGATATCTGCATCATTTTTTTCACAGTTATTTCCATCTACAGTCTGAAAGAGGTAGATTTTTCTGCAACACCTGAGAATTGAATTGTGATAACCAGGTATAATAAAGGTAGTTGCATACATAACTGAAAAATACTGGTCTCAAGACCAAGAAATGTACTCCTAACAAGTCTGAGGATGAAAAGGTCCATATTACCCAAGACCCAAGTTTTCTCTACACCTTGGAGTCTACTGCCACTATAAATAATGCACATCACGATTCCATGATGGTGCAACAAATGTAATTTAAGTGAATTCAACATTTAAACATTTTCTGGGCCAGCCTAGTAGCATTACAATGTTCTAGAATATGGTAGATATGGGGTGTGCTACAAAGCCACAACACTGGGCTGTTGAGGTATTGTCACGTGATTTTCAACAAAGATGCCAAGAACATATGTGGTGAAAGGACTGTATCTTCAATAAATGGTGTTGGGAAAACTGAATATCCACATGCAGAATAATGAAACGGGACCCTTGTCTCATATTATATACAAAAATCAAGGTAAATTGGACTCCGAATTTAAACGTTAGAGCTGAAACTGTAAAACTACCAGAAGAAAACATAGGGGGAAACATCCATGGCATTGATCTGGGCAATAATTTTTCCGCTATGACCACAAAAGCATGAGCAACCAAAGAAAGAATAGAGAAATGGGATTACGTCAAACTGAAAGGCTTCTGTACAAAGGAAACGATCA
The DNA here is from genome assembly GCF_000001405.40 of Homo sapiens. Lineage (NCBI taxonomy): Eukaryota > Metazoa > Chordata > Mammalia > Primates > Hominidae > Homo > Homo sapiens. The sequence continues at coordinate 71,851,429 of NC_000023.11, forward strand.
ACAGAGTGAAGAGGCAACCTATAGAATAGGAGAAAATATTCACAAACTATACATCTGATGAGGAGTTAATATCCAAAATATATAAAGAACTCAACTCAATATCAAGAAAACAAATCACCTGATTTTAAAATGTGCAAAGGATCTGAATAGACATTTCTTCAAAGAAGACATACAAATGGCCAACAGTTGTATGAAAAGGCTCAGCATCACTTATCATCAGGGAAATATCACAATGAGCTATCACTTCACACCTGTTAAAATGGCTATTATCAGAAAGATAAGAGAACAAGTGTTGGTGAGGACGTGAAGAAAAGAGAACCTTTATACACTGTAGGTGGTAATGTAAACTAGTACAACCACTGTGGAAAACAGTATGGAGACTTTTCAAAACACTACAAATAGAACTATCCAGCAATCCCACTACTGGGTATTTATCCAAAAGAAAGGAAATCGGTATATCAAAGGGATACCTACACCCCCATGTTTATTGCAGCACTCATCACAATATCCAAGACATGCAATCAACCTAAGTGTCCATCTGTGGACGAATGGATAAAGAAAATGTGGCATATGTACACAGGAAATATGATTTGGCCACAAAAAGAATGAAATCCTTTCATTTGCAGCAACGTGGATGGAACCAGTGGTCATTAAGTTAGGTGAAATAAGCCAGGCACAGAAAGACAAATACCGTACGTTCTCACTCATATGTGGGAGCTAAAATAGCTGATCTCATAGAGGTAGAGAATACAGTGATAGATATGAGAGGCTGGGAAGGATGTGTGGAATGGGGTCGGGGGGTTGGAAAGAAGAGCAGTTGGTTAATAGGTACGAACATACTGTTGAAAAGAAGGAACAAGTTATAGGCTGGGCATGGTGGCTGACGCCTGTAATCCCAGCACTTTGGGAGGCTGAGGCAGGCAGACGGCTTGAGCTCAAGAGTTCCAGACCACCCTGGACAGTATTGCGAAACCCTGTCTATAAAAATAAAAAATAAAAAAATTAACCCAGCATAGGGGTGCGTGCCTGTCATCCCAGCTATTCTGGAGGCTGAGGTGGGAGGATCGCTTAAGCCCAGGAGGTTGAAGCTGCAGTGAGCTGTGATTGCGCCACTGCACTCCAGCCTGGGGCGACAGAGTGAGACCCTATCTCAAAAACAAACAAACAAACAAACAAAAAACAAAACAAGAAGGAATAATTTCTAATGTTCAGCCACAGAATAGGGTGATTAGAGTTAACAGCAATGTATTGTAAATTTCAAAATAGCCAGAAGAGAGGACTTCAAATGTTCCCAATACATACAAATGAAAAATATTCCAGGTGATGGCTAACCCAAATATCTTGAATTGATCATTACACATTCTATGCACGCAACAAAATATCACATGTACACCATAAATATGTGCAAATATCACGAATCCATTAAAAATTAAAATTAAAAAATTATAAACAGAACTGTCAGTTGATTCAGCAATCCCTCTACTGGATATATGGCCAATGGAAATGAAATGAGTATGTCGAAAATATCTGCACTCGCATATTCATTGCAGCACTGTTCGCAATAGCCAAGACGTGAAATCAACCTAAGAGCCCATCAGTGGATGAATGGATAAAGCACATGTGTATATGTACACAGAATAGAATACTATTGAGACTTAAAAAAAAACAAAAGGAAATTCTGTCATTTGTGACAACATGAGTGAATCTGGAATATATTTTGTTGAGTGAAATAAGCCAGGCACAGCAAGACAAATACTGTATAATCTCACTGGGACGTAGAATCTTAAAAAATCAAACTTTTTAGAAACAGAGGCTAGAATGGTGGTTACCAGGGTCTGGGGCTGGGGAGGATTGGGGAGATATTGGTCAAAGTGTACAAAACTTCATTTAGTCAAGAAGTCTAAGTTCAAGAGATCTATTGTAAACATGGTGACTATAGTTAATGTATATTTGAAAATTGTTGAGGGTAAATTTTAAGTGTTCTCACCACAAAAGATGAAAGGTATGTGAGTTCATACATATTGTAGTTAGCCTAATTTAGCCATTGCACAATGTATACGTATTTCAAAACATCATGTTGTACACTATAAAAATATACAGTCTTGTCAATTAAAAAATAAACAAAAATAAAATACAAAAAATTGAAATAAATTCCGTTTATTCAGTAAAACTGATGTGATACTGGTGAAGATGTGCAGAAACTGGAACCTTTGTGCACTGTTGGTGGGAATGTAAAATGGCACAGCTGCTGTGGAAAACCGTATGGCGGTTACTCAGAAAATTAAAAATAGAATTACCATGTGATCCAGTAATTCCATTCTGTGTCTATATCCAAAAGAATAGAAATCAGAGTCTCAAAGAGATATTTGTACATCCCTGCTCATAGCACCATTATTCATGAGAGCCAAGAGATGGAAGCAACCCAAGTGTCCACTGATGGATGAATAGAGAAACAAAGTATGGTACGTTATTATTTGGCCATTAAAATGAATTATGATTTAGCCCATAAAAAGATGGAATTCTGATAAATGCTACAATGTGGATAAAACTTTAGGACATTATGCTATAAAATGAGTCAGTCACAAAAGGACAAATACTACATGGTTCCACCTGTATAAGGGATCTAAAATATTAAAACTCAAAAACTGAAGGTAGAGTGGCAATTTCCAGAGGCTGGGAGGCAGGGGAAAATGAGGAGTTGTTTAATGGGTATACATATCAGTTTTGCAATTAAAGACATCCTGGAGATTGGCTGCACAGCAATGCAAATATACTTAACACTACTGAACTGAAAACTGAAAAACGCGTAAGATGGTAAATTTTATGTTCTCTGTATTTTAACATAACTCAATAAAAAAGTGGTGTGATTTCTGTCTCTGGAGTGGACCCTGAAGAAAAATATCGATACTATGATGACTCCCATATGTATTTCTTTAGCCCAGAGCCAGACCTTTTTCTACTCAACATCTCCACATGGATACCTAATAGACATCTCAAATTTAAATATCCACAACCAAACTCCTGTCATTAAACACAAGAAGCAAGAAATACCAACATATTTTGTGATTCCACTAATATAAAAGTACAGAACAGTCAACACCAAGCCATATCATTATTATTTCTTGAATTTAACTTTTATTTTAAGTTCAGGGGTACATGTACAGGTTTGTTACACAGGTAAACTTGTAACATGGGGGTTTCCTGTAGAAATTATTTCGTCACCCAGTGATTAAGCCTAGTACCCATTAGTTATTTTTCCTGCTCCTCTCCCTCCTCCCACCCTCCACCATCTGATAGGCCCTGGTGTGTGTTGTTCCCCTCTTTGTGTCCCTGTGTTCTCATTATTTAGTGCCCACTTACAAGTGGGAACATGTGGTATTTGGTTTTTTGTTCCTGCATTAGTTGGCTAAGGATAATGGCCTCCAGATCCAACCATGTTCCTGCAAAGGACCTGATCTAGTTCTTTTTTTATGGCTGCGTAATATACTATGGTGTATATGTACCACATTTTCTTCATCCAGTGTACCATTGATGGGCATTTAGGTTGATTCCATGTCTTTGCTATTGTGAATAATGCTGCAGTGAACATACACTTGCATGTGTGTTGATAATAGAATGATTTATATTCCTTGGGGTATATGCCCAGTAATGAGATTGCTGGGACGAATGGTATTTCTGTCTTTAGGTCTTCGAGGAATCACCACACTGTCTTCCACAATGGCTGAATTAATTTACACTCCACCAACAGTGTATAAGTGTTCCTTTTTCTCTGCAACCTCGCCAGTATCTGTTATTTTTTTACTTTTTAATGATCGCCATTCTAACTGGCGTGAGATGGTAAATCATTGTGGTTTTGATTTGCATTTCTCTAATGGTCAGTGACGTTAAGCTTTCTTTCACAGGATTGTTGGCCGCATGTATGTCTTCTTTTGAAAAAGTGTCTGTTCATGTCCTTTGCCCGCTTTTTAATGGGGTTGTTTGTTGTTGTTGTTTTTTAAACTTGTTTAAGTTCCTTATAGATCCTGGATATTAGACCTTTGTCAGATCCATCATGTGCAAAAATTTTCTCCCGTTCTGTAGGTTATCTGTTCACTCTGTTGATAGTTTCCTTTAGCGGGCAAAGCTCGGTAGTTTATTTATATTCCATTTGTCAATTTTTGCTTTTGTTGTAATTGCTCTTGCTGTCTTTGTCATGAAATCTTTGCCTGTTAGTTTGTCTGGAATATGATTGCCTAGGTTGTCTTCCAGGACTTTTATAGTTTGGGGTTTACATTTAAGTCTTTAATCCATTTTGAGTTAATTTTTGTGTATGGTGTGATATAGTCTGGCTATGTCTCCACCCACATCTCATCTTGAATTGTAGCTCCCATAATCCCCACATGTCCTGGGAGGGATTCGGTGGGAGGTAGTTGAATCATGGAGGCAGATTTTTCCTTTGCTATTCTCATGACAGCGAATAAGTCTCACAAGATCTCATGGTTTCATAAAGGGCAGTTTCCGTGCACATGCTGTCTTCCCTGCAGCCATGTGAGACATGCCTTTGCTCCTCCTTCACCTTCTGCCATGATTATGAGGCCTCCCAAGGAATGTGGAACTGTGAGTCCACTAAACTTCTTTACTTTATAAATTACCCAGTCTCGGTATGTCTTTATTAGCAGCAAGAGAATGGACTAGTACCTGGTGTAAAAAAAGGCATCCAGTTTCAATCTTCCATATATGGCTAGCCAGTTATCCCGGCACCATTTGCTGAATAGGGAATCCTTTCCCCATTGTTTGCTTTTGTCAGGTTTATCAAAGATCAGATAGTTGTAGGTGTGCGGCCTTATTTCTGGGTTCTCTATTCTGTTCCATTGTTTTCCATGTCTGTTTTTGTACCAGTACCATGCTATTTGGGTTATTATAGGCCTGTGGTATAGTTTGAAGTTGGGTAGTGTGATGCCTCCAGCATTGTTTTTTTTTTTGCTTAGGATTGCCTTGGCCGTTCAGGCTCTTTTTCAGTTCCATATGAATTTAAAACAGTTTTTCTACTTCTGTGAAGAATGTCAAAGGTAACTTAATAGGAATTGCATTGAATCTACAAATTGCTTTGGGCAGTATGGCCATTTTAATGATATTGATTCTTTCTATCCGTGAGCAGGAATGTTTTTCCATTTGTTTGTGACATCTCTGATTTCCTTGAGCAGTGTTTTGTAGTTCTTCTTGTAGAGATCTTTCACCTCCCTGGTGTGGTGTGTTCCTGGGTATGTCTGTGTGGCAATTACGAATGGGACTGTGTTCCTGATTTGGCTCTCCACTTGACTGTTGTTGGCGTATAAGAATGTTCGTGATTTTTCACATTGATTTTGTATCCTGAGACTTTGCTGAAGTTGTTTATCAGCTTAAGGAGGTTTGGGGCTGAGACTATGGGGTTTTCTAGATTCAGGATCATGTTGTCTGCAGGCAAACTGTACTATTAAAAGAATGTAATATAGGACATAGGACAAAAAAAAATAGAGGAAAAAGAGGAAAGGATGATCACAAAAGTAAATGTGTTGGTTTCCTCTTGGAGGAGGAATGAGGCTGAGATCAGGCAGAGACACCCCAGGAGCTTTGCGGAATGCTGGTGGTGTTCTCCTCTGTGACATGGGGGTGTTTCTGTAGAGGTGACCTTGATAATCACTGTTAAACAACACACACATATTGTGAACTTCTATGTATGTTACATTTCAAAATAAAGAAAGGCAAAATTGCTAACAACGAATAACACGCATTTGTAGTTAAACACCTCTCACAATCCACAGACATGGAAATAACTGATTAGTTTTCTGTATGTGTAGTTTTCCAGTTTTAAGAATGTCCTACAAATGGAATCACACATTATGTAGCGTTCCATATTTGGTGTCTTTAGCACAATGAAATACATATAACACCTCTAGAACTGCAAAGTACTCTTTCTTGACCTCAGTACTCAATATGTGCTTTCATCACTACACAACAGTTCACTCACAGCCAATTGGTTTTCTAAACTTGTATATATGTATAGTATGCTTTATAAATATCATATAATATTTAACTTTATGTAATTTGTTATATATTGGTAATGGACTTTTCTTAAAAACAGATAGCATTCCTAAGAATACCCAGTACATTTCCACTGCAAAAAAAAGGTACTCCATCATATGAATATATCACAATTAACTGATACAAACTTATGAAAGTAAAAATTTGCATGGTTTCCCCTCAGTATTGTTGAATGGGATGAAAGCTCTATACACTCTTCCTAGGAGACTGCATACACCACCTCCCACAACTCTGCTCACAATTTCCGAAAGTTCATGGACCCCAGGTTGAGAAGCACTGTTCCAGGCCACCTTTCTGTTTTCACAGATGGAGAAATGGAGGTTCTGAAAGGGGAAGTGCTTTTCAGCAGGTTAGGAGAGAGCCAGTTCTTTTGACTCCTCATCTAGTGCTTGTTTTACCTTATTCTACCATCTGTTGTGCCTGTACAGAACTGTACAATACCAAGAGACAACCATCCTGGGTGACCCCAGCACACCACAGGTCCTCTGGATGGAGTAAAGACAATAGCTGCTCCTTCACCCAAGATGCTCTCATGGGTTAATCTGGCTCTAGCTGTAACTGACAGCAAATGGGATATATTATAGTGCTTAGAACTAGTCAAGAGGTTGGGAAGAAGCTGCACCAACTTTGATATCAATCCACATGAGGCCTGCGTATGAGGAGATAGAGTGGTTTCTGCCCTGCTGAAGGACAAAATGGAGACTGAAGAGATGCAGCCTTGAACTATCTGGTGGCCTTGACGTGGCACTGCCCCTCCAGCTCTTAGATTCCTCACTTGCACACTGACCATGAGTTGGCCTGTTAAATTTCTCCAAGAGTTCTTCTAGTTCCAATATTCTGTACTTCTATGATCTTAGAGCAGGAACCATGGAGAAAAAAAATCAGTTGAGGTGTTTGGGTCCTAGAATTATGGACAAAATTATTTTTTCCCTCAAATTTCTTCTAATGGTATGATAGAATTAGCAATAAAGAAAATGTAGTCTAAAGGGATGAAAAAGGCTGGGTGTGCTGCCTCGCACCTGGAATTCCAGCACTTTGGAAGGCTGAGGTAGGAGGATGGCTTGAGCCCAAGAGTTTGAGGCTGGAGTGAGCTATGAGCATGTCACTGCACTCCAGCCTGGGTGAGAAGGTGGGGGCCCTGTCTCAAAGAAAATGTAGATGAAAATTCCCTAACGAGAATCTGAGAAGACCCTTTACTTAAGTAGTAATTTAAAGTAAAGTTTCAAAGTAAGTGGTTCCTTGATTTCTGCTTCTCATTTGCCCTTAAGTAAGTCCTTACAGTTGCTGGACTTCTAAATAATGGAATCAGAGAATGGAGCAGTACTTATCATGGGAAATGCTATTTATCTCTAAGCAGAGGGGTGGCCCCCAGAGAACCAGAGAATAGTTTGTTTGTTGTTTTGTTTTGTTTTGTTTTGTTTTGTGTGTTTGTTTGAGGCAGGGTCTCACTTTGTCATCCAGTCTGGAGTGCAGTGGTGATTTCGTCGGCTCACTGCCAGGCTCTACCTTGCAGGCTCAAGTGATCCTACCCCTTCAGCCCCGCAAGTGGCTGGAACTACAGGCATGCGGCACCACACTTGCCTAATTTTTTGTAATTTTCGTAGAGGCAGGGTTTTGCCATGTTGGCCAGGCTGGTCTCGAACTCCTGAGCTCAAGTGATCCTCCTGCCTTGGCCTCCCAGACAGGCATGAGCCACTGCGCCTGGCCCCAGAGAAGAGTTTTTATTTCATTTCATCAATCGATGAAATAAATAACCACAACATTCTTCCTACTTGACTGTATTAAAGCCACAAATTAGTGTGGAGCCTTCACTCAAGCCACTCTGGAGGAGTACAAGACTAGAAACAAAAGCAGGGGAAACTCATCCTGGGATGGAGGCTGACTTTTTAGGAAAATGCCTCTGGCTTTGCCTATTATTCTGTAGAGGAGTACTTTGTACTTTTACGCTGCTGAAATAGTACTCCATTGTATGAACACACCACAATGTATTGATCCCATCCCATGAAAGTTGCAACAAACAATAAGGCCCCAAAGGGCTGCACACTCCAGCCTGCTATCACTCTGTCTGTCAGGGTCCAGTGCTTTGTGTAGCACATCAGTGGTCTTAGTTGGGCCTGAGGAGAAGAAAGAGGAAGAAAAGAGTTGCTGGGGAAAGCTGTTGGCAAGGTTGGTGTTAAGAAGGAAGTGCCAAGCAGGCAAAGGAGATGCAGCCCATCAGAAGAATTGCCAACCCTGCTTCCACCTTCATTGGCACAAATGGCCCTTTCAATCCCAGCAGCTAACCTTAGAGAAAAGGACAAATTGAAAAGGCATGAAATCACCAGCCGCCGCTACTAGCTTCCCAGCAAACAGCTTAAAACGGCACTGCCCTCACCTGGTCAAATTAATGTATTACATTGAAGGCACATCTTTTTAGATTTTTTTTTGGTCATTTATTTTTCTCCAGTTCTTGGTCCTCCACCTCTGACAGTTAAGTGGATGGGAGGTGACAAATCTCCCCTGAGAAGCTGTATCAAGTTACCAAATTCATGGGGCTCCAGCACAAAATCACAAATTCTGAATGAAAACTTACCATCCAAATATAAAATATTTACTAAAAAGTTAAAATTAATATCACAATTATGTATCATTCCTATGATGTTTAGAGAAATTTATGAGAAGTTGAAAATAAAGCTATTATTATCAATAAACTGATATTACTACTCTCAAGGAGATTTTCTATAAATAGCAAAAATAATTTTGGTTATTCTTCTAGTTATAAAATACTTACCTGTTTAACGCAATGTTATTTCCCTTAGCACTATTTTTTTCTCCGCCTATGGTGGCAGGCAACGTATGGAAAGAAAACATCACAATCTATGTGTATAGTTTAATAAATGATTATCAAGTGCACCTGTACGGGAACACTCCCCTAGGTCCCAGAGGAGAACACCGCCAGCATCCCCCAGAGCCTCCTGGGGTGTCCCTGCCTGAGCTCAGCCCCACTCCTACTGCAAGGGGAAACCAACATCCTGACTTTTCTGATTGTCCTTTCCTTGCTCTTCTCTATGGTTTTATACCCTAAGTATGCATTCTTCAACAAGGTAGGTTAGTGTTGCCTGTCATTTGAAGTTATAGGAATGGAATCATTAAACTTGTCCGTGTTGTTACTTGCTTCTTTCATTCGGTGTTATCTTTGTAAGACTCATGCCTATTATTCAGTAGAGGAGTACTTTGTACTTTCACTTTTTCAGAAAGTTCATAGACCTCAGGTTGAGAAGCACTGTTCCATGCCATCCTTCTCTTTTCACAGATGGAGAAATGGAGGTTCTGAAAGGGGAAGTGCTTTTCAGCAAGTCTGGAGAGAGCCAGGTCTTTTGATTCCTCATCTAGCACTTCCTAGATGAAGTGTTGAAATAGTATTCCATTGTATGAACACACCACAATGTATGGATCCCATGGAAGTTGTAATATTCATTGTTTCCCATATTTGGAACTGGATGATTACAAAAATACTACTCATAAACCCTTGTTGGCACAAGCAAAGGAGTCCTGAGGGGGACGTGTAGGCTGCTAAAAGCACATATTTAAAAGAGTGTATTAGCCTGTTTTCACACTGCTTATAAAGACATACCCCAGACTGGGAAGAAAAAGAGGTTTAATTGGACTTACACTTCCACATGCCTGGGGAGGCCTCAGAATCATGGCGGGAGGTGAAAGCACTTCTTACATGTTGGCGGCAAGAGAAAAGGAGGAAGAACAAAAAGTAGAAACCCCTGATAAACCCATCGGATCTCATGAGACTTATTCACTATCACAAGAATAGCACAGGAAGGACCAGCCCCCATGATCCAATTACCTTCCCCTGGATCCCTCCCACAACATGTGAGAATTCTGGGAGATACAATTCAAGTTGAGATTTGGATGGGGACACAGCCAAACCATATCATTCTGCCCCGGCCCCTCCAAATCTCATGTCCTCACATTTCAAAATTAATCATGGCTTCCCAACAGTCCCCCAAAGTCTCAGCTCATTTCAGCATTAACCCAAAAGTCCACAGTTGAAAGTATCATCTGAGACAAGGCAAGTCCCTTCCGCCTATGAGCCTGTAAAATCAAAGCAAGCTAGTTACTTCCTAGATACAGTGGGCATACAAGTATTTGGTGAATACAGCCATTCCAAATGGGAGAAATTGGCCAAAATAAAGAGGTTACGGGGCCCATACAAGTCCAAAATCCAGCAGGGCAGTAAAATTTTAAAGCTCCAAAATTATCTCCTTTGACTCCAGGTCTCACATCTAGGCCACACTGATGCAAGAGGTGGGTTCCCGTGGTCTTGGGTAACTCCGCCCTTGTGGCTTTGCAGGATACAGCCTCCCTCCTGGCAGGTTTAACGGGCTAGCATTGAGTGTCTGCAGCTTTTCCAGGAGCACAGTGCAAGCTGTCAGTGGATCTACCATTCTGGGGTCTGGAGTACAGTGGTCCTCTTCTCACAGCTCCGCTAGGCAGTCCCCCAGTAGGGACTCTGTTTGGGGACTCCGATACCACATTTCCCTTCTGCACTGCCCTAGCGGAGGTTCTCCGTAAGGGGCCCGCCTCTGCAGCAAACTTTTGCCTGGGCATCCAGGCATTTCCATACATCTTCTGAAATCTAGGCAGAGGTTCCCAAACCTAAATTCTTGACTTCTGTGCAGCCACAGGCTCAATACCTGATGGAAGCTGCCAAGGCTTGGGGCTTCCACCCTCTGAAGCCACAGCCTGAGCTCTACACTGGCCCCTTTCAGACATGGCTGGAGTGGCTGGGACACAGGGCATCAAATCCCTAGCTGCACACTGCACGGAAACCCTGGGACCAGCCCATGAAACCACTTTCATGGGCCTCCAGGCCTGGGATGGGAGGGGCTGCCTTGGAGGTCTCTGACATGGCCTGGAGACATTTTCCCCAGGGTCTTGGGGATTGACATTAGGCTTCTTGCTCCTTGTGCAAATTTCTGCAGCCGGCTTGAATTTCTCCTCAAAAAATTGGTTTTTCTTTTCTACTGTATTGTCAGGCTGTAACTTTTCTGAACTTTTATGCTCTGTTTCTGTTTTAAAACCGAATGCTTTTAACAGCACCCAAGTCACCCTTTGAATCCTTTGCTGCTTAGAAATTTCTTCCACTGGATACCCTAAATCATCTCTCTCAAGTTCACAGTTCCACAAATCTCTAGAGCAGGGGCAAAATGCCACGAGTCTCTTTACTAAAACCTAACAAGAGTCACCTTTACTCCAGTTCCCAAAAAGTTCCTCATCTCCATGTGAGACCACCTCAGCCTGGACCTTATTGTCCATATCACTATCAGTATTTTGGGCAAAGCCATTCAACAAGTCTCTAGGAGGTTCCAAATGTTCCCACATTCTCCTCTCTTCTTCTGAGGCCTCAAAACTGTTTCAACATCTGCCTATTACCCAGTTCCAAAGTTGCTACCACATTTTCAGATATCTTTTCAGCAACGCCCCACTCTACTGGTACCAATTTAGTAGATTAGTCAGTTTTTACACTGCTGATAAACACATACCAAGACTGGGAAGAAAAAGAGGTTTAATTGGACTTACAATTCCACATGGCTGGGGAGGACTCAGAATCATGGCGGGAGGTGAAAGGCACTTCTTATGTGGTGGCGGCAAGAGAAAAGGAGGAAGAAGCAGAAGTGGAAACTCGTGATAAACCCATTAGATCTCGTGAGACTTATTCATTATCACAGGAATAGCATGGGAAAGACCGGCACCCATGATTCAATTACCTTCACCTGGGTCTCTCCCACAAGACATGGGAATTCTGGAAGACACAATTCAAGTTGAGATTTGGGTTGGGGACACAGCCAAACCATATAAAATAGGACAGCATACAATTAATGAGAAAAAGTTACAAGATAAGACCAACTAAAGTAGAAGGAAATAATCAAGGTAAAAGCAGAAATCAGTGAAAGGGGAAGTAAGCATAAGGATCACAAAACCAGTTGGGTGTTTGGAAGAAGAATGAAATTGGTAAAACTCTTTTGAGACTGGTCAAGAAAATAAGGGGGAAGGGCACAGCTATCAGGAAAGAAAAGGGAGAAACAAGCACAAATGATGTTACGTCCGCTCTCGTGCTGCTATAAAGAAATACCCAAGACTGAGCCATTTATACAGAAAAGCTCAGGGTTCTGCAGGTTGTACAGGAAGTGTAGTGACTTCTGCTTCTGGGAGGACTCAGGAAGCTTGCTATCATGGCGGAAGGCGAAACAGGAGCAGGTACGTGTTACATGGTAGGAGCAGGAGCAAGAGAGAGAGCAGGGGGAGGTGTCACACACTTTTAAACAACCAGACTCATGAGAACTCACTCGCCACCATGAGGACAGCACCAAGTGGATGCTGCTAAACCATTCCTGAAGATTCAGCCCCATGATCCAGTCACCTCCCACCAGGCCCCACCTCCAACATTAGAAGTTACAATTTGACATGAGACTTGGTGGGGACACAGATCCAAACCATATCATATGCAAGCATCCAAAAGATACAAAGAGGATATTGTGTGGGTACTGGATATTCACACAGTGCTCATGCAGTAACAGCACATGGCTAATTCAATACAAAGAAAAGATGGCACCTTCACAATGGAGTAATTTGGAACAGTGCCCTGACCACATGGTCAAGATGAACATCACCTGTCATAAGACAAACCAACATGGAGAATCTGCTGAAGTCATGCTCCAAGAAGGCCAGCACATCTACTACGGAGTAGTCCTGCCAAAAATGTTAAACCTACCTGAGTCTAATCACAAGGAAGACATTCAACAAACCCAAGTTCAAGGGCTTCCTGACAACTGCACTGGTTTAAAGCAAATTTTAAACATTGCTTTAAAGCACACTTTAAAGGACACTGAAGAGACTTGACGGGCCAGGCACCATGGTTCACGCCTGTAATACTAACATTTTGGGAGACCCAGCTGGAGCTCAGGAGTTCCAGACCAGCCTGGGCAACACAGTGAAACCAAGTCTCTACAAAATATATTTTAAAAATTAGCTGGGCATGGTGGTGCATGCCTGTAGTCCAAGCTACTCAGGAGGCTGAGGCGGGAAGATAGCTTGAGCCTGGGAGCTCAAGGCTGCAGTGGGCTGGGTTTGCGACACTACACGCCAGCCTGGGTAACAGAGGGTGACCCTGTCTCAAAAGAGACTTGACAACTAAGTGCAAAGCATGATGTTTGGTTGGAAAGAGAATTTTGTTAGAAAGCAGCTATGAGGGATACTATGGGACCATGGGGACAATCGGAAAATGTTTCATGTGATCATACAGTAGAAAATTGTGTGGTCTCAATGTTACATTTCCTGAGTGTGATGAAGGCATTAAGGTTTTGTGAAAGACCATGCTTTCTCGTAGGTGATACATGCTACAGTATTTAGGGATGATGGATCTTAATGATTCAAATGGATCTCAAATGATTCCACAAAATAATGGAAAATATGCGCACACACAGAGAAAGACAGGGGATGGGTTGGAGGGAGGGATAAAGCAAATGTGAGAAAATGTTAAAAACTGCAGGATCCAGTAGAAGAATATACGTATGAGTGCTCCTTGTGCTTTCCCTGCAACTCTTCTGTGGCTTTGAAATTTAAACAAATGCAATCTGAGATGAAGGGGGATATTATGGACCATTTTATTCCAGTCAGTTTGAAAACAAAGAAAAAGGTCGCCAATCGCTAGGAAACAAAACCTGCCAAAACTGACACAAGAAAGAACAGCCAACCTGAACCGTTCCAGAATCATTACAGAAAGATATGAGTAGTCAAAGGCTTTCCACTAACAAACTCCAGGATTCCCCACCACATTCTGAAAAACATCCTAGGAATATGTCTCTTCCGTTTGACACAAACTCGTGCAGAAAATTGAAAAAGAGGAACAATCCTCAACTCACTCTATGAGCTTGGCATAACCTCAACACCAAATACTTCAAGGATACTTAGAGAAACATTGCAGATCAATCACATGCTCATGACATAGAAACAAAAACCAGAACCAGAATCTTAGCACACAGAAGCCTACAGGACATAAAAAGGAAAATACCTAATGTGGCATGACAAATATTAGCTTCATCCTAGAAATATGAACTTAATTTCCTTTCAGAAAATAAAATGCTATAATTCTCCACATTAACAGATTAGGGGAGAGAAACATGCTCTTCGTAGTCACAAAATTATTGACTAAGTGTCAATTTCCTTTCGAGATGTATTGCTGACAATTTTTTTTTCTAAAAAGTCAGGACTATTGGGCTATAACTTACACACAGGTCTACGGAATTTTCTAAATGCATACAGCTGTGGAAACACCATCACAAGATATATAGATATAGAGCATCGCCATCCCCGCCAGGTTCCCTCGCGCCCTCTGGTAGTGAACTCCTGGTCTTAACCCTCAGACCCTGGCAACCACCAATCTGTTTTCTGCTCCTATAGTTTTTGCCTTTTCCAGAATGTCATATAAATGGAATCACATAGTAGGTAGCATGTGCATTTGGCTTCCTTTAGGGAAAGACATTCTGACCGCAACTCTCCGAAGCTGCAATGTACAGATTCATAACCTGGGTAGTAGTTACGTGGCTTGATCACCTTATAACTATTTGTCAAATGGTCAACTTCTGAGTTCTCTCCGTGTGTGTGTGTGTGTGTTTGTACGTGTGTGTGTGTGTATTGTTTCAAAAATATAATTTTACATTTAACTGCCTCTAACTTTTATATCTTGGTGAGGGTTATTAAATGGAAATTATTAATCCTTTAAAAGAAAGTGAGTGATTATTGGGAAAGTCAGCAGAGTGATTACTTCTGGAGGAGTATGCAAAACGGGAAGTAGTGATCAGGGTGGGGCCAGCAAGAGGGCTCCAACACCCTGCCAGCCTTCTGCTCCTTGCTCTGCATGGTAGTGACCTGGACTTCAACATTGCACAACCACAGGGGAGCAGTTCATGCTGGATCATCTGAACTGGGCACCCTGGATTCCTGCATATAGTGTTTGCATGGCCACCCTGGTGGCCACAGCCTACGCGGCCGTACCTGGCAAACATGAGTGTTGGCTTCATCCTTCAAGGAAATGGATGATGAGAAAAAGTGTGGGAGAAAGGAAGAGATCTTGGCGTGCAGGTTGAGGACAGATGGGCATGAGGTTGTCCGAGTTCACCCAGGATTGTGTTCCAGGCAGGCTAAAGTTCATCCTGTTACTCACCAAGACCACTATGATCCTATGATTGCCATCTCACATTCCCGTGTGCAGTGCCCTGAGACTCCACCACAGCCTGGACGGCCACCCTTGGGGACTCTGTCTGGCATGTGTGTGAGGAGACTCACACACCTTCAAACCCAGCTGGAGCCTGAAGGGGAGATGCTCTTTTCGGCCAATGGAGTAAGAGGTCTCATCTGGAAATGTACCTGTGGCAGCCCTGGCACCGGGTGTAGGTGGGATTCTGCTCAGGGCTGCGCCACTGTGGCTGCATCAAGGGCAGGCACGCAGCTCGGCAGACCTCTGGAGCCCGTCTGAGCTGAGTGGCAGGACAAGGCAGGAGGGGGTCTAAGGCTCTCCAGGCCGGACCCCACATTCCTCTTGGTGAGAGAGGAGACTTGAGAGAAAAGCAAGAGGGAGGCACTAAATGAGGGGAGGGGTTCAACCTCCTCTCCACTGGGGCCCAAATGGATTCCTCTAATCTGAGGAGCCTCAGATTCTGCACTTATTTCCCATAGAACTGGAAGGCTCTGCCCGACCATGGCCTAGGGTATACATGTTACAGCCCCATTATTGTGCAGAAGGTGGTCTGAATATGGAACCGAGGTGGTGTGCTGAGAGGCGGGGCTGCCAAATCCAGCCACCGAGGGATGGGTTCTCGCCTTCCACGACTCCGTCCACAGGCTTCTCCCCTTCCACACCCTGTTGACCATGGCCCATGGCCCCCGGGGCAGTGCCTGGGGCTGGAGTTCTCACCCAACCAGAACCTGCGTAGGTGTCTCCAGTGGCAAAAACCCAAGCTGGAGAGTTCCTAACAGACGTCCTCCCCAGATCTCAGCCCGCTGTGTTATCCTCCCAAGAAACAACCATCTGTGTCAGGGTCAAAGCCTTGGCCCAAGGAATCAAGCCAACCATCTCAGGCTAGGGGTTTGAGGCGGATAGCATAGGTCCCCACCACCATTGGTTTCCAGCTCTGAGCCCTGTGATTGGCCCACCACATGCGTGATGGTCCCCCTCACTGAGCTCACACCACGAGCCCAGCAGGGAGACACAGAGAGAGTATGGGGGAAGGCAGGTACCGAACCCGACCAGCTGTCCCAGGGCAGTCCCGCTTTCCCGCTTTCCACCCTCACTGTCTGTCTTGCCCGTGTCTCCGTTAGCTGGCGTCGTGGCACCCTCCCATGGGGGCTCCCCACTTCCTAGACGAGGCACCAACCAGCGACTCTGAGGTATTATCACTGCACCCACACACGGGAGTGCTGAGACATCCCATCCATCCCGCGGAGGATCGGGAGCCTACTGTGGCACCTCCAGCATTCTGAGAGCCCCAACACCCATCTCTGTGTTTGGAGAAGTCCCATTTGTCCCACTCCACAGCCTTCCAGGTGTTAGAATTGAACAACACGTCTTGTAAAAAGTGGATCCCAGCCCTGCTTTTGCGCATTGCATCCTTCAGGTATCCTTCATCACTGCCTCCACTCTGTCAATTAGCCCTTTCTCCCTCAAGGGACAGCACCCATGATTAATTTGATTCCCAAGCAGGTGCTTGCAGGGGCACACGCACACATACACACGCTAACCTTGAATGGTATCTGCATTTCTATTGTCTTCGTCTGTTCAACACCCAGTCTCTTAGAGATGGGAGCTGGCAGAACATACACACACCCCCTCACTGGAACCAGAATCTGTGCCCGAATCTGGAGCCTGCCCAGCCCAGGATTCTGGCTGAAGGAAGCAGGTGATCCCAACTGTCAGGGAGGGTGAAGGAAGAACAGGGAACCCAAGGAAATCTCGTGTGACCTCGAGAGGCGGTCTGAAAGACTAACCAGGGATGCGGAAATATCACGTCCACGAAAACCTGAGACTTGCCCTGGAAGGCAGCTTGCCATTTTCAAATCAAGGGTATGGAGTCGACTGGCTGCAGAAGGGGCTGTTGGCCACCTATAGGACACCAAGGATGAGAAAGCCACCTTCCGTGTAGCAGTTTCTACCAGGTTGGCTCACAGGCACCAGAACAGACTCAGTGCCCCCACCTCCAACCAAGAGACTACCCTGCCCTTTTCTTCGGCACTCCATGTACCTTCCCTTTGGCTCAGCCACCCACAGGGATGTGGCTTCTGCCTCCACCTGGCTACTGAAACGAAGGAGGAGACCTGATGGGATTTGGTAACTGAGATTCAAATATGAGGGCTAAGAGGAACTGATGATGCCACCCGGTTTCTGGCCCAGATGACCTGACCATGTGTGTGGTGGCACCAGAGGGACATAATGGCTCCAGAAAGGGGACTGGTCTCCTGAGTGGGAGGATAAGCTCCAACGTGTTCCTCAACAGCACGGAAATAACCGTGCAGGAAAGACCACCGGCGTCAAGCCACGTGGGAGAGCAAGGATGCTCACAACGGAAAGGACAGTGACAGGGTAGAACCGGGACAGTGAACTGCAGGAGAAAAGGAGAGAAAGACCACGGTTCTAGGAGGGCATCAGTTCCTGTAGAAGGGGAGGGAAAATAGCGCTGAAGAAGGGGACTTGTGAGACCCCGAAGTAGGAGGAGAAAAGGTGAGACCATGAGCAAGGCGTGTAAGGTAAAGGCAGGAAATGCTGCTGTGGCCAGGCAGGGCCCCCACAGCACCTAGACCCAGGGCACTATGATGAGCCCGAGTGCAGGGCTGCTGCTCAGAGGCCAGCCCAGGAGTCCCCCAGGGAGAGGGCCCACCACAGAGCAACAGGGGAATTGTTCTTCAAGCGCCAGGGAAGGCAGCAACACACCGAATCCCCCAACACTCCCAACAATCGCAGAGAAGGCAGACCACAGACCACAGAATATGAGAACGACTTTATTTCACACTGCTTTGAACTGCGTTGGGAAGGGGGCAAATGCAGCGGAAGAGAAAAAGCCCTGGCTAAGGAGGATAAGGAGGAAACTCGCTTGGCTGCAGCTCCGGACGCTGGCTCCAACCTGTGAAACAGAGCAGGCTCAGGGACGGGCCCCCAGCCAGGGCCAGCCCACAGCCCTCCTAAGCTACCGGGATTGTGGGAAGGGGCATGGTGTGTGCAACACTTACTTCAAAGGTCCTGGAACTTGTCAGTGAAGGACTGCATGGCCGCTGAAACAGAGAGGCAGAACCGGGCACTCCAGACCCAGGGAAACAGAAACTCACCCCCTGCCCCCGTGGGGAACCACCTAGCCCTGCAACCAGAAACCCCACCAGCCCTGGGACTGACTCATCCACCCGTCACCTGAATTAAATGTGGAAATGCCTTCTAAGCGGGAAAGTGGTTCTCAGGTGCTGGGGCATCCCAGAACCGTTCAGAATATGTTTCAAAGACAGATAAGCCAGCCAGCAAGCAAACACCATATAAGCCTTACCAGGCAGCAGTTAAAGGGAAAACACATGCAGTATCTCTAACTGTCCTAAGAGAAGATCTCTGGGACTCATGGACAAAGTGTACACAGAGTTCAGACGACACATTGCTGTCTGTGCACACCCCTAGCTGGAAAGGCACAGAAGGCTCCAGGGCCAGGGTTTGCTTGGTTCTCTTCCCCAAAGGAAAGTCAGTCCCAGTGACGCTTCCTGTATCTGCAGCCCACCCCCGCCCCCGGCACCTGCAGAAAGACACTGCTGTCCATCCCTGCCCCGGCCAGGGCTCCGTCATACCTAGTTGCTGTGTAAGGTCATCAATTTCCCTCTGCAGCTGGATGCACTAGACCAGCAGACACCAGAGGAAGAAAAATGGTTAGTCAATTCTGGTCTGCTCTCTCCCCGGCCTCCGTCTCTCCCCCAGCCCTTACAGACCCCATAGCCTGCAGCCCAGTGGTGAGGTGGGTTGGCACAGAATCCTCAATGGAAAGGAGGCACCCTCTGTCCGTGGGGTGTGGAAGGTGGAGGCGGGGGGTTGGGGGACACAGAAGTCAATTTAACCTGGACATGGATGCCACCATCTAGTGTGGACCTCTATTTCTAAGAGCCACACAAAGCATTACCCAAGGACAGCCCTGGGCTCCCAGGGGCTGCTGCTGCCTTTCCGGTCTTGGAGGATGGACAGGTGGCAGCTGGTCACCTGAAAGAGAACACAAAACCCAGCTTCCAAGACTCCCAGTGAGTTGGAAAAGGCCTAGCAGGGTCTAAAGTGAGGCACCATCACCCTCTGCTGGCAACACATTGCCCCTGCTCTGCCCAGCAACTCCAACAGACTGTCCCAGAGACAGTCCTCTGGGACTGCCTTCACTGTTCCCCAGTGTGAGCCCATCTGCACCTGTGGCCCCCTAGCGTTGTGACTCCGGGTTGGACTCCAGCAGCGCGGCAGCCACAGCCAGGCCCTGGGAGGGCCAGTGTGGCTGAGCAGGACTTAACAGAAAAGGGCTCAGTACTGCGGAAAGTCTCCTTCCAGAGCTGGAGTGTGGGGCACTGCTCCAAATCGCCCCCCACCACACAAACCCCACTCAGAGAGGACGATGTGGCTTAAAGCCAGCCCCGTCAACACCCCGTTTCCCCGTGGGACAGCTGCCTGGGTGGGCAGGGAAGCCTGGGAACAAGGCTGAGCCCCCAGAAGCGACAGAGCCAGAGGTTTCCCTCCCGACCCCTCTCCCCTCCACCCCTATCAAACCCGCAAGACTCACCGGAGGGTGCATGGCGTCTGGGCACGAGGCCTCCCGGGCTGCAGGCCGAGGGCTCTGAACTTCCCAGAATTTGGGGAGTTCTGATGATGGGGTCGCCACTGTTGAATTCTCCATGACGCACAGACAGGCGAGGCAGCCCTGGCCTGTGTGTGGGAAGCTAAAACAGAAATTTCTGAGTCAGGCTGGTGGTGGGGGTGGGTGGTGAGTACATGTTGGGAGGGATTGTGGTAAAATGGAGACTCCGTAGCCTAATCTCATTAGCACTTTCTACCTTAGTCAGCCCCAGGCCAGGAGGCAGAGGCCAGCCAGGGAAAACACTAGGGATACTGAGATAGCCCGGGCCGCCTGCCAGGTGGCTCAGGCAACAGCTAAGAAAGGAGGAATCAGGAAGTTGATGAGCCTAGGTGCCCCAGCTTTGCAGCCTACACTTTAAGAGCTCACCCCATCCAAATCAGCTGCCAGCCCTGCCTTCCGTCCCAGCTCCTCCATGGAGGAGGAAGCAGGACCCCTGCCGAGTGTCCACAGGCATGCCGGTCACATACCAAGTGCTCCCCTTAACGTGTGCCCCTACGACGAAGACCCCGATAGGGCATTCTAGTGTGCCTGGGCTCCTGATGACAACCCTGGAGCAAGGGACAGAGGGGACATGGGTAAACAGGCGTGTGCTGGAAGAGAGGAGGCGTGGGGGGAGACCAGAGGAGTAGGAGGGTGAAAAGGGAGAGGAGGGTGAGAAGTCCCAAGGCTTACTTCCGTGGGACCTTGGGACCTCATCTCTATTTGGGTCATTATCTTCTCTGGCCGCAGCCTGGGACTCCCTGGTCTTCCTTCCTGCTGATTTCTTCCCAGGGCTGCTGTGCTTAGGCTTTTAGGGTTTCTTGGACATCCCCTGCGGCCGCACACCAGACAATAGCGGGAAGGTGGCCGTTTCTGGGGGAGTGGCTGAGAGTTTCTCTCCGCAGGCAGGAAAGGCTCTTCCCGGGGCCAGTTGAGAGGCACCCCCTAGGGACTTCTTCTCCTGGGCTATCTTCCTTCTTGAAGGGCCCCGGGGCAGGGCCCCTCCAGCGGCAGCTCCTGAGCAGCTGGGCCTGACCTCCACCTTTCCCCAGGCCCTGCTCTGCATTTTCTTCTGGCAAGAGTCCTCCAGCTCTCCCATAGCCGGCCTCTCTACTACTGGAGCGAGTCCGGGGGGAGCAGAGGTCAGGAAAAGGCCCAGCACGGGCAGGTAACTCTCCTTGCAGTGGAAGCTTGCGTGTCTGGATGTGTCTGCTGGCTTCTTGGGGCTGCAGGGCTTGGCCTGGCTTCCTTCGTTGCGGCGAATGCCCACCCTCATCAGCGGTAAGTCGCTGCTCTCATCTGGGGAATCAGAGTCGTGCCCCGCGGGGCCTTTCACGGAGGGCTGCTGGGGATCCACGTGGCCGCTCAACCTGCTCTTCGAGCCGCTTTTCCGGGTTCTCCCAGGCCCGGCCTGGCCCAGGACCACTAAGGTGGAGAGGGCCTGCAGAGGCCTGCTCCCATTCTCCAGGGCTGGGGCCCAGGGCGCCTCTCCCACTGGGATCGACCTCCAGGTCCGCCCAGATGTCAGCGGACCCTTTGGCAGCGGCGCTTTCTGAGGACTTGTGTCCCTGGACGCTGGGCGGCGGCACGATGACAGCTGGCTTGTCAGCCAGGTAGGACGAGTAGTCCACACGGTCCCCTTGGTTGTCGACTGCGGTGTCAGACCGGCCTTCCCAGCCCCAGAGCACCACCCTTCCCTGCTCTGTCAATTCGCTCTCAGAATCGAAGCTGAAGCCCTCGGGATCTGTTGCCCGCTGTTGCCCTCGCCCTCGCCCTTGCTGCTGTGCAGCACCCCCAAATCGAGATCGTGGTTATTCCCGTGGCCCCAAGGGGCTCCTGAAGTGGCCATGCCAGCGCCAGCCTGCTCGCCACCCTCCGGCCCAAAACCGGCCCCCCAAAGGGACACCTCGTCTGGGGAGCTCCTGGCGCCAGTCCAGGCAGCCTGGGCTGTGGCGAGACGGTCGTCCTGGTAGCGGTGGGAGGGAAGAGCCAAGCCCAGCCAAGCCCAGCCAAGCCCAGCCAAGGGGGCCACGCGACAGGAGCAGCAAGGCCTGCAGGTCACTGCCATCCTCTCCCTAGGCGGCAGTAGGAGATGTCCTCGACATCGGTGGCTTCTGTGCACCCTGGAAGCCTGCACCGTGCCTTCTCATTGGTCCACCCTCTGCCAACCAGTGCTCCCTTTGTTTGGCGGGGCCTCTGGGCTTTAACCAGTCGGGACACAGGCTCTTGGTTTGCCCCGACGCCTGTCATTCGACTGGGTGGCTGTGCTCAGGTCGGGTCTTGGGGCCAGGGTGCATTGGAGCTCTCCATCCATCTCTTTCTTCCTGTCCTGTCGCCTCTGGCCAGGCACCTACTTTCCAATGAGAGCCGCATCTCTGAGCCCCAGTGTCCCATCTGTAAGGCAGGAGTCAATGGGAGTGCCACCCCCAGCTCATCAGCTTGGGAGAGTAAATGTCGTGATGCACGCCAATCACCCGGCGCACAGGAGCTTCAAGCCTGCGTTCCACACTAAGAGGTAGCACCTGATAGGAACATGGACAGGGAGGCCCACAGTCAAGAAGCAGAAGTTTCAGGGTTGTTTCTGCTAGTGCTGCGAAAAACCCCGTTGTCATTTTCCTAGGGACTTACCACGCTGAACCTGTAACGGCTTTGGGTGGCACGGACGTGTTAACTGTCTTCTCGACCATGAGCACAGGATGTGTCCCCATTTATTTGTCTTCTGAGTCTCTCATCAGTGTTTGGTCGGTTTCATTATGCACACCTTTCACCTCCCTGGATAAATGTATTCCGAAGGGTTTTGTTCTTTTCCTGGTATTCTAAATATGTTGGTTTCCCGCGTGTCTTTTTTTGGATAATTTGCTGTTAGGGCATAGAAATGCCAGTGATTTTCGCATGTTGCTTTTCCATTCTGCAATTTTGCTGACTTTGTCTATTGGCTTTGAACGTTTTTTGGTGCAGTGTATGCTAGGGTTTTTTTCCATGTGAGATCATGTCATCTGCAGGCAGAGATAATTGAGCTTCTTACTTTGCAATTTGGATGCCTTTTTTTTTCTTTTTCTTAGAATAGGTGATCAAATTGGCACGTGGCTGTGTGCCCACAAGGGTTGATTGGCCTGTGGGTATGGTGGTTTGGCAGGCCAGAGCTTTCCCACCTCTCCCAGCCTCCCCAAGCCCACTGTCGTTTATTCAACGAAGCCGGAAGTCCAACCAATGGTCTAGGATACCCCAAAGATGCTCACCATCACTCACCTTAAAGGTGCAAACTAAAATCAAAACTCAATTTACACACGGCAGGTTTGTGACTCTTAGAGAGCTTAACCATTCCGGGGGTAGGAGAGGTCCTGAGCAAACCAGTGCATTTGCTCACTTGCTGGGGGAAAGGGGGAGGGCGGCCACTTGGGAGGGTAATTTGGCAGGATCCGTGAAACTCAACTTATGCATCATTCACTATGTGCCTGGCTGTCTTCTGGGCCTTATCGCTACATGTTAACTCATACTCGGGACAGTTTTAGGTGGAAGTACCTGCTATTGCCACCTTCTTACAGGTGGAGAAGTGGGCACAGAGAGGTTCAGGACTTGCTCAAGGTCATTTGTTTGGCTGGTGGGTGTCAGCTGCAGGTCAGAAACCAGGCAGGTGGGCTCCATGGAGTTCGTGCTTAGAGCTGAGCCTCCTAAAACTGCAAAACACATTTGCAAGGCTGTTAAATCCCACGACACCAGAAAGTGCCTGTAGTCGAGTAGACTTGCTTATCTAGTCATATATTCCAGCCCCTTGATCCAGCCTCTTAAAGTCCATTCGCGGGGTATTTCCCTGTCTCCTGCCTGTACAGGCTATCTCTTGCTTGGCATATAATCTCCATTCTCCCTTTATCCGGCTCAGCATCACCCAGCGAGGTGACAGAGAGCATATGGGGCAGCCCCTGAGGGAGGCACCCTTGGCTTTGTGGGGCCCAGGGCTGTGTAGCACCTACCAGCATGGGGTCCGGGGTAGCTCTTGCTAGGACAGGAAGGCTCACCTTTCACACACTCCATCCAGCCATCCCCATCCCATAGTTCAGGTGACTGGGTTTCTCCAAACACGGCCCTGACCTTAGCATAACAGGCCTGTGTTGCTTGAGGGTGCCATCATCTCTGGAGTTCTGTGTCATTTGCTATCAAATTATGTTGATGTGGTGCTCCTCAGTTGTGTCTGCTCGTCTTCTGCAAGAGGTGAGGCTCTTCTTGGAAGCAACCAAAGAGGCCTTTTGGGTCTTACACTACAATAAATACCTAACTTTGGCCCGGCGTGGCGGCTCACGCCTGTAATCCCAGCACTTTGGGAGGCTGAGGCCGGTGGATCACCTGAGGTTGGGAGTTCAAGACCAGCCTGACCAACATGGAGAAACCCTGTCTTTGCTAAAAATACAAAATTAGTCAGGCGTGGTGACTCATGCCTTTAATCCCAGCTACTCGGGAGGCTGGGGCAGGAGAATCACTTGAACCTGGGAGGCAGAGGTTTCAGTGAGCCAAGATCATGCCACTGCACTCCAGCCTGGATGGCAGAGTGAGACCCTGTCAAAAAAAAAAAAAAAAAATACCCAACTTTTCAATGTCCAGACACTGACGGACATCTACAAGCACCAAGATCATCCAGGAAGACATGACCTCACCCAACAAATTAAAGGACCAATCCTGGAGAAACAGAGAAAAGTGACCTTTCAGACAGAGAAGCCAAAATAGTTGTTTTGAGAAAACTCAAAGAAATTCAAGATAACACAGAGAAGGAATCAGAATTCTATCCAATAAATTTAACAAAAAGATTGAAATTAAAAAGAATGAAGAAATTCTAGAGTTGAAAATGCAATTGACATACTGAAGAATGAATCAAAATCTCTCTCTTTTTTTTTTAGTATTTATTGATCATTCTTGGGTGTTTCTCGCAGAGGGGGATTTGGCAGGGTCATAGGACAATAGTGGAGGGAAGGTCAGCAGATAAACAAGTGAACAAAGGTCTCTGGTTTTCCTAGGCAGAGGACCCTGCGGCCTTCCGCAGTGTTTGTGTCCCTGGGTACTTGAGATTAGGGAGTGGTGATGACTCTTAACGAGTATGCTGCCTTCAAGCATCTGTTTAACAAAGCACATCTTGCACCGCCCTTAATCCATTTAACCCTGAGTGGACACAGCACATGTTTCAGAGAGCACAGGGTTGGAGGTAAGGTTATAGATTAACAGCATCCCAAGGCAGAAGAATTTTTCTTAGTACAGAACAAAATGGAGTCTCCTATGTCTACTTCTTTCTACACAGACACAGCAACAATCTGATTTCTCTATCTTTTCCCCACATTTCCCCCTTTTCTATTTGACAAAACCGCCATCATCATCATGGCCCCTTCTCAGTGAGCTGTTGGGTACACCTCCCAGACGGGGTGGCCGCCCGGCAGAGGGGTTCCTCACTTCCCAGAAGGGGCGGCCGGGCAGAGGCGCCCCCCACCTCCCGGATGGGGCGGCGGCCAGGCGGAGGCGCCCCCCTACCTCCCTCCCGGATGGGGCGGCTGGCCAGGCGGGGGCTGCTCCCCACCTCCCTCCGGGATGGGGCGGCTTGCCGGGTGGGGGCTGCCCCCCACCTCCTTCCCGGACGGGGCAGCTGGCCGGGTGGAGACGCTCCTCACTTCCCAGATGGGGCGGCTGCCAGGCGGAGGGGCGCCTCACTTCTCAGATGGGGCGGCCGGTCAGAGACGCTCCTCACCTCCCAGATGGGGTCGTGGCCGGGCAGAGGCGCTCCTCACATCCCAGACGGGGCGGCGGGACAGAGGCGCTCCCCACATCTCAGACAATGGGCGGCCGGGCAGAGACGCTCCTCACTTCCTAGATGGGATGGCAGCCGGGAAGAGGCACTCCTCACTTCCCAGACTGGGCGGCCGGGCAGAGGGGCTCCTCACATCCCAGATGATGGGTGGCCAGGCAGAGACGCTCCTCACCTCCCAGACGGGGTGGCGGCAGGGTAGAGGCTGCAATCTCTGCACTTTGGGAGGCCAAGGCAGGCGGCTGGGAGGTGGAGGTTGTAGCGAGCCGAGATCACGCCACTGCACTCCAGCCTGGACAACATTGAGCACTGAGTGAACGAGACTCCATCTGCAATCCCAGCACCTCAGGAGGCCGAGGCTGGCAGATCACTCGCAGTTAGGAGCTGGAGACCAGCCCGGCCAACACAGCGAAACCCCGTCTCCACCAAAAAAATACGAAAACCAGTCAGGCATGGTGGCGTGCACCTGCAATCCCAGGCACGCGGCAGGCTGAGGCAGGAGAATCAGGCAGGGAGGTTGCAGTGAGCCGAGATGGCGGCAGTACAGTCCAGCTTCGGCTCGGCATCAGAGGGAGACCGTGGAGAGAGAAGGAGAGGGAGACCATGGGGAGAGGGAGAGGGAGAGGGAGATCAAAATCTCTTAATAGCAGAATTGGTCAACTAGAAGAAAGAATTAGTGAGCTTGAAGACAGGATGTTTGAAAATACACAGTCAGAGGAGACAAAAGAAAAAGTCAGAGGAGACAAAAGAAAAAAAAGAATAAAAAACAATGAGGCAGAAATAAATGAATTTGAAATGAAGAAAATAACAAAAAAGATCAACAACAGAAAAAGTTGGTTTTTCTTTTGACAAACCTTTAGCCAAACTAATAAAGAAAAAAGAGAGAAGACCCAAATATATAAAATCAGAGGTGAAAAAGTAGACATTACAACTGATACTGCAGAAATTCAAAGAATTATTAACAGCCATGAGTAACTATTTGCCAATCAATTGGAAAATCTGGAAGAAATAGACAAATTCCTAGACACATACAACCTACGAGGATTGAACCATGAAGAAATCCAAAACCTGAACAGACCAATAACAAGCAATGAGATCAAAGCTGTAATAAAAAGTCTCCCAGTAAAGAAAAGCCCAGGACCTGATGGCTTCACTACTGAATTCTACCAAACACTTAAAGAAGAACTAATATCAATCCATTCAAACTATTCCAAAAAATGGAGGAGGAGGGAATACTTTCGAACTAATTCTATGAGGCCAGTATTACCCTGATACCAAAACCAGACAAAGACACATCAAAAAAAGAAAACTACAGGCCAATTTCTCTAATGAATATTGATGCAAAAATCCTCTACAAAATACTAGCAAACTGAATTCAACAATTCATTAAAAAGATCATTCATCATGACCAAATGGGATTTATCCCTGGAATGCAAGAATGGTTCAACATATGCAAATCAATGTGATACATCATATCAACAGAATGAAGGACAAAAACTATATTTTTTTTTTAAACAGAGTCTTGCTCTGACTCCCAGGCTGGAGTGCAGTGGGATGATCTCGGCACACTGCAACCTCCATCTCCCAAATTCAAGTGATTCTCCTGTCTCAGCCTCCTGAGTAGCTGAGATAACAGGTGTGTGCCACGACACCTGGCTATTTTTTTTTTGTATTTTTAGTCTAGACAGGATTTCTCCACGTTGGCCAGGCTGGTCTCAAACTCCTGTCCTCAAGTGATCCACCCTCCTTGCCCTCCCAAAGTGCTGGGATTACAGGCGTGCACCACTGTGCCCAGGCTGAAACTATATGATCTTTTTAACTGATGCTTAAAAAGCATTTGATAAAATTAAACATCCCTTCATGATAAAAACCCTTAAAAAACTGGGTATAGAAGGAACATACCTCAATATAATAAAAGCCATATATGACAGATCTACAGCTAGTACCATACTGAATGGGGAAAAGCTGAAAGCCTTTCCTCCAAGATCTGGAACATGACAAAGATGGTGCCCACTTTCACCTCTGTTATTCAACACAGTACTTGAAGTCTTAGCTAGAGCAATCAGACAGGAGAAAGAAATAAAGGGCATAGAAATTAGAAAGGAAGAAGTCAAATTATCCTTGTTTGTGGATGATATGATCTTATATTTGGAAAAACCTAGACTCCTTCAAAAAACTATTAGAACTGATAAACAAATTAAGTAAAGTTGCAGGATACTAAATCAACATACAAAAATCCGTAGCAGTTCTATATGCCAACAACAAACAATCTGAAGAAGAAATCAACAAAGTAATCCCATTCACAATAGCCACGAATAAAATTAAACACCTAGGAATTAACCAAAGAAGTGAAAAATCTGTATAATAAAAACAATAAAACACTTATGAAACAAATTGAAGAGAACACAAAAAAAGGAAAAATATTTCATGTTGATGGTTTGGAAGAATCAATATTGTTAAAATATCCATATTACTCAAAGCAATCTACAGATTCAATGCAATTTCTATCAAAATGCCAAAGACATTCTTCACAGAAATAGAAAAAACAATCCTAAAAATTATGTGGAACCACAAAACACCCAGAATAGCCAAAGTAAGCCTAAGTAAGAAGAAAGAAACTGGAGGAATCACATTACCTGACTTCAGATTGTACTACAGAACTATAGTCAGCAAAACAGCATGGTACTGGCATAAAAACAGACACATAGACCAATGGAACTGAATAGAGAACCCAGAGACAAATCCACACACCTACAGTGAAATCATTTTTGACAAAACTTCCAAGAACATACACTGGGGAAAAGACAGTCTCTTCAGTAAATGGTGCTGCAAAAACTGAATATCCATATGCAGAGGAATGAAACTCGACCCCTATGTCTCACCATATACAAAAGCCAAATCAAAATGGATTAAATACTTAAATCTAAGACCCCACACTATGAAACTACTAAAAGAAAACATGGAGGAAACTCTCCAGGACGTTGGAGTGGGCAAAGGTTTCTTGAGTAATACCTCAGAAGCACAGGCAGCCAAAGCATAAATGAACAAATGGGATCACATCAAGTTAAAAAGCTTCTGCACAGCAAAGGAAAAAACCAACAAAGTGAAGAGACACCCCGCAGAATGGGAGAAAATATCTGCAAACTACTGATCTGAAAAGGAAAAGTATGTGAGTTATATACTCTTATAATTAGAGCATATAAGGAGCTCAAACTCTGTAGAGCAAAACTCTACAGGAAAAAAATCTAATAATCCATTGAAAAACTGGACAAAAGATCTGGATAGACATTTCTCAAAAGAAGACATAAAAATAGCAAACAAGTATATGAAAAGGTGCTTACCATCATTGATCCTCAGATAAATGCAAATCAAAACTACAATATCATCTCACCCTAGTTTAAATGGCTTTTATTCAAAAGACAGGCAGTAACAAATACTGGGAAGGGTATGGTGAAAAGGGAACCCATGTACATTTTTTGAGGGAATGTAAATCAGTATAACCACCATGGAGAGCAGTTTGGAGCTTCCTCAAACAACTAAAAATAGAGCTCCCATATGATCCAGCAACCCCACTGCTGGGTATATGCCCATAAGAAGGGAAATCAGTATATTGAAAAGATATCTGCACTCCCATGTTTGTTGCAGCATTATTCACAATAGCCAAGATTTGGGAGCAACCCAAGAGTCCATCAACAGATGAATGGATAAAGAAAATGTGGCACTCATACACAATGGAGTACTATTCAGCCATAAAAAGGAATGAGAGCTCGTCGTTTGCACCAACATGGATAGAACTGGAGTTCATTATATTAAGTGAAATAAGTCAGGCACAGAAAGACAAACATCTCATGTTGTCACTTATTTGTGGTATCTAAAAATCAAAACAATTTAACTCCTGGACACAGAGTAGAAGGATGGTTACCATAGGCTGGAAAGGGTAGTGGGGGTCAAGGGGGAGAGGTAGGGATGGTAATGGTTATGCAAAAATAGTTGGAAACAGTGAATAATAGCTACTACTCGATAGCACAAATAGGGACACTATAGCCAATAATAACTTAGTTGTACATTTTAAAATAACTAAGAGAGTATAATTGTATTGTTGCTAACACAAAGGATAAATGCTTGAGGGGACAGATACCCCATTTTCCATGATGTGATTATTATGCATTGCATGCCTCTATCAAAATGTCTCATGTACCCCATAAGTATATATACCTACTGTGTAGCCACAAAAATTTAAAAAGTGCAATCTATACGAAAAAAGTTTCTACAAAGAACTTACATCATATTTTGTGGAGAAATGTTGAGAGGATTTGATTTAAGATCAGGAATAAAACTAGGATGTCTGCTCTCACCACTTGTATTCAGCATTGTACTCAAGCACCTAGACAGCACAGTATGGCAAGAAAAAATACATGGAAAGCAAAGAATTGAAAAATAAAGGAGTATAATCTCTCATTATTTGTGAATGACTTGATTGTGTCAATATAAAAGTCAAATGAAATCTATGGAGAAATTATAGGAATTAGTGAAAGTATTTAGCAGAGTTGTTTCATAGTCAGTATGCAGAAATCAATTTTATTTCTAAATAGCATGAATACAAAAAATAAATTTTAAAGTCCAATTTATGATAATATCTAAATTACTTAAATTACATCAGAATAAATCTGATAAAAGATATACATGATCTCTCTGAGGAAAATAATAAAACTTTATTGAAAAATTTATCCAAAAGGAGGACTATTCTATGTCTTCAGATTGGAAGAGTCGAATTTATAAAGATGTCAATACACTCCAAATTGGTCTATAGATTCAATGCAATCCCAATCAAAACACCAACAGGATATTTGTGGAACTTGATAAGCTTATTCTAAAATGTATATGGAAGTGCAAAGAGCCAAGAATGGCCAAGATTCTCTCATGAAGAAGAACAAGGTGGGAGGACTCGCTCTAAAAGATGACAAGTTCATATGGAACCAAAAAAGAGCCCGCATTGCCAAGACAATCTTAAGCCAATAGAACAAAGCTGGAAGCATCACGCTACCTGACTTCAAAGTATACTACAGTAACCAAAACAGCATAGTACTGCTACCAAAACAGATATATAGATAGACCAATGGAACAGAACAGAGTCCTCAGAAATAATACCACACATCTACAACCATCTGATCTTTGACAAACCTGACAAAAACAAGAAATGGGGAAAGGAGTCCCTATTTAATAAATGGTGCTGGGAAAACTGGCTAGCCATATGGAGAAAGTTGAAAGTGGATCCCTTCCTTACACCTTATACAAAAATTAATTCGAGATGGATTAAAGACTTAAATGTTAGACCTAAAACCATAAAAACCCTAGAATAAAACCTAGGAAATACCATTCAGGACATAGGCATGGGCAAGGACTTCATGTCTAAAACACCAAAAGCAATGGCAACAAAAGCCAAAATTGACAAATGGGATCTAATTAAACTAAACAGCTTCTGCATGGCAAAAGAAACTATCATCAGAGTGAACATGCAACCTACAGAATGGGAGAAAATCTTTGCAATCTACCCATCTGACAAAGGGCTATTACCCAGAATCTACAAAGAACGTAAACAAATTTACAAGAAAAAAACAGACAACCCCATGAAAAAGTGGGCAAAGTATATGAACAGACACTTCTCAAAAGAAGACATTTATGCAGCCAGCAGACACATGAAAAAATGCTCATCATCACTGGTCATCAGAGAAATGTGAATCAAAGCCACAATGAGACACCATCTCATGCAAGTTGGAATGACAATCATTTAAGTCAGGAAACAACAGGTGCTGGAGAGGATGTGGAGAAATAGGAACACTTTTACACTGTTGGTGGGACTGTACACTAGTTCAACCATTGTGGAAGACAGTGTGGCAATCCCTCAAGGATCTAGAACTAGAAATACCATTTGACCCAGCCATCCCATTACTGGGTATATACCCAAAGGATTATAAATCATGCTGCTATAAAGACACATGCACACGTATGTTTATTGCGGCACTATTCACAGTAGCAAAGACTTGGAACCAACCCAAATGTCCATCAATGATAGACTGGATTAAGCAAATGTGGCACATATACACCATGGAATACTATGCAGCCATAAAAAATGATGAGTTCATGTCCTTTGCAGGGATATGGATGAAGCTGGAAACCATCATTCTCAGCAAACTATCACAAGGACAGAAAACCAAACACCACATGTTCTCACTCATAGGTGGGAACTGAACAATGAGAACACTTGGACACAAGGCAGGGAACATCACACACTGGGGCCTGTCGGGGGTGGGGGCTGGGGGAGAGACAGCATTAGTAGAAATACCTAATGTAAATGACGAGTTGACCAACATGGCACATGTATGCCTATGTAACAAACCTGCACATTTTGCATGTGTACCCTAGAACTTAAAGTATAATAATAAAAATAAAAGAAAAGAAAAGTTTATGGGGACAATATTCCAAATAAATCACCAGTTTACAAATTGATAAATCTTTTACTTATTTTTTTTTTCATTTCCATAGGTTTTTGGGGGAACAGATGGTGTTTGGTTACATAAATAAGTTCTTTACTGGTGATTTCTGAGATTTTGGTGCACCCCTCACCTGAGCAGTATACACTGTACCCAATTTGGAGTCTTTTATCCCTCACCCCCTGCCACCCTTTCCCCCAAGTCCCCAAAGTCGATTGTATAATTCTTATGCCTTTGTATTCTCATAGCTTAGCTCCCACTTATGCGTGAGAACATGCAATGTTTAGATTTCCATTCCTGAGTTACTTCACTTAGAATAATGGTCTCCAGGCCAGGTGCAGTGGCTCACGCCTGTAATCCCAGCACTTTGGGAGGCCGAGGTGGGTGGATCACGAGGTGAAGAGATCGAGACCATCCTGGTCAACATGTTTTAGTAGACCCCATGTCTACTAAAAATACAAAAATTACCTGGGTGTGGTGGCAGGTGCCTGTAGTCCCAGCTGCTCGGGAGGCTGAGGCAGGAGAATCACTTGAACCCAGGAGGCGGAGGTTGCAGTGAGCTGAGATCACGCCACTGTACTCCAGCCTGGCAACAGAGTGAGACTCCACCTAAAAACAAACAAACAAACAAACAAAAAACGAATAATGGTCTCCAGTTCCATCTAGGTTGCTGTGAATGCCATTATTTTTGATCCTTCTTATGGCTGAGTAGTATTTCATGGTATATATACACACACACACATATATATACATATATACACATATATACATATATACATATGTGTATATACACGTGTGTATATATGTATATACACGTGTGTATATATGTATATACACGTGTGTATATATACCATGAAATACTACTCAGTATACATATATACACATATATGTATATATCGACATATGTACATATATACACATGTGTATATATGTATACGTATATACACACGTGTGTAAATGCATATATACACGTGTGTATATATGTATACGTATATACATACGTGTGTATATGCATATATACAAGTATGTGCACACATATACATGTATGTGTGCACGTGTACATGTATGTGTACACATGTACATGTATGTGTACGTGTGTATATGCATGTACAGATATGTGTACACATATGTGCAAATACATGTACATATATGCACGCACATATGTACATATGCATATATGTACGTGCGTATATACATATGTACATATATACATATATGTGTTTATATGTACATATGTACATATATGTGTATATATACAATGTACATATGTGTGTATATACACATATGTGTGTATGTGTATACGTATATACATATGTGCATATATACCTATAGGTATATATGCATACATATATACATATATACATTTATATACATTTATATACATGTAAATACAGGTATACCTATATACATATATACATATGTGTGTATATATGTATATGCATATGTGTATATATGTATACGTGTATATATGTATATGTGTATATATGTATGTATATACATATTTGTGTATATGTATGTATGTACATATTTGTGTATATGTATGTATATACATATGCGAGTATGTGTATGTATATACATATGTGTGTATGTGTATGTATATACATATGTATGCATATACATATATGTATAGAAATATCCACTTGTTGGATTCTTTATCCACTTGTTGATTGATGGACATTTGGGCTCGTTCCATATTTCTGCAATTGCATATTTTGCTGCTATAAACATGCAAGTGCAAGTATCTTTTTTGTATAAAGACTTCTTTTCCTCTAGGTAGATACCCAGTAGTGGCATTGCTGGATCAAATGGTAGTTCTACTTTTAGTTCTTAAAGGAATCTCTACACTGTTTTCCATAGTGGCTGTACTAGTTTACATTCCCACCAGCAGTGTAAAAGTGATCTCTTTTTACAGCATCTCTGCAAACATCTGTTATTTTTTACTTTTTTTAGTATGGCCATTCTTGCAGGAGTAAGGTGATATCACACTGTGGTTTTGATTTGCATTTCCCTGTTCATTAGTGATATTGAGCATTTTTTTCATATGCTTGTTGGCCATTTGTATATCTTCTTTTGAGAATTGTCTATTCATGTCCTTAGCCCATGTTTTGATGGGGTCGTTTGTTTTTTCTTGCTGTTTTGTTTGAGTTCCTTGTAGATTCTGGATATTAGTCCTTTGTCAGATGCATAGATTGTGAAGATTTTCTCCCACTTTTTTGTCTGTTTACTCTGCTGATTGTTTCTTTTGCTATGTGGAAGCTTTTCAGTTTAATTAAATCCCATCTATTTATCTTTGTTTTTGTTGCATTTGCTTTTGGGTTCTTGGTCATGAAGTCTTTGCCTAAGCCAATGTCCAGGAAGGTTTTTCTGAGGTTATCTTCTAGAATATTTACGGTTTCAGGTCATAGATTTAAGTCCTTGATCCATCTTGAGTTGATTTTTGTATAAAATGAAAGATGAGGATCAAGTTTCATTCTTCTACATGTGGCTTGCCAATTTCCCCAGCACCATTTGTTGAATAGGGTGTCCTTTCCCCACTTTATGTTTTTGTTTGCTTTGTCAAAGATCAGTTGGCTGTAAGTGTTTGACTTTATTTCTGGGTTCGCTATTCTGTTCCATTGGTCTATGTCGTTATTTTTATACCAGTACCATGCTGTTTTGGTGACTATGGCCTTATAGCATAGTTTGAAGTTGGGTAATGTGATGCCTCCAGATTTGTTCTTTTGGCTTAGTCTTGCTTTGACTATGTGGGCTCTTCTTTTTTGGTTCCATATGAATTTTGGAATTGGTTTTTCTAGTTCTGTGAAGAATGATGGTGGTATTTTGAGGGGAATTCCATTGAATTTGGAGATTGCTTTTGGCAGTAGGGTCATTT
Source organism: Homo sapiens (assembly GCF_000001405.40). Lineage (NCBI taxonomy): Eukaryota > Metazoa > Chordata > Mammalia > Primates > Hominidae > Homo > Homo sapiens. Next base: position 71,886,517 of record NC_000023.11, read on the forward strand.
TCACGATAATGATTCTACCCATCCATGAGCATGGGATGTGTTTCTCTTACAAATTGATAACTCTTTTAAAGAAGAGATGAGATGCTATCGAAGATGAAGCCTGTAATGGCAGACCATCCATACCAATTTGTGAGGAAAAAATTAACCTTGTTAGTGCCTTAATTGAAGAGAACAGACGATTAACAGCACAAACAACAGCCAACACTGTAGCTATCTCAATTGGTTTAGTTTACACAGTTCTGACTGAAAAAATAACATTGAACAAACTTTCCACTTGATGGGTACCAAAACTGTTGTGCCTAGGTCAGCTGCAGACAAGAGCAGAGCTTTCAATTGAAATTTTGAAGTGGGATCAAGATCCTGAAGCATTTGAAGATTTGTAACAGGTGATGAAACATGGCTTTACTAGTAGAATCCTGAAGACAAAGCACAATCAAAGCAATGGGCACCAAGAGGTGGAAGTGGTCCAGTCAAAGCAAAAGTAGCCTGATCAAGAGCAAAGGTCATAGCAACAGTTTTTTGTTTTTTAATTCTCAAGGCATTTTGCTTGTTGACTTTCTGGAGGACCGAAAATGATAACGTCTGCTTATTACAAGAGTGTTTTGAGAAAATTAGCCAAAGCTTTAGCAGAAAAATACCTGAGAAAACTTCACCGGAGCGTTCTTCTCTACCACAATGATACTCCTGCTCATTCCTCTCAACAATCCAGGGCAATTTTGCAAGAGTTTTGATGGGAAATCATTAGACATCCACCTTACAGCCTTGATTTGGCTCTTTCTGACTTCATTTTGTTTCCTGATTTTAAAAAAATCTTTAAAGAGCACCCATTTTCTTCAGCTAGTAATGTACAAAAGACTGCATTGACATGGCTAAATTCCCAGGACCCTCAGTTCTTTAGGCACGGGTTAAAAAGCTGGTATCATGACTTACAAAAGTGTCTTGACATTGATGGAGCTTAAGTGAGAAATAAAGTTTATATTTATTATTTTTATCTCTTAATTTTGTTTTTCCATGAACTTTGTTTTTTTGAGACAAGTTCTTTGTCTGTCACCCAGGCTAGAGTACAGTGGCATGATTACAGCTCACTGCAGCCTCGATTTCCTGGGTTTAAGCAATCTTCCTACCTCAGCCTCCAAAGTAGCTGGAACCACAGGGGCATGTTGCCACACCTGGCTAATTTTTTTTATTACTGTTATTTTGTGTGTGTGTGTGTCTGTGTATGGAGATGAGGTCTCCCTATGTTACCTAAGTGAGTCTCAAACTCCTGGAGTCAAGCAATTCTCCCACCTTGGCCTCCCAAAATGCTGGGATTACAGATGTGAGCCACTGCACCTGGTCTTCACGAACTTTTTGAAGTCTCTTGTATTTTACTTTTTACAAGCTCTTATTCTCTGTTCCCATTTTAAAGCATGTATGCAGAATCTTCTCTCATTTATCTAGGATAGCAATTAGAGGTTTTGTCATTTATGGTTTAAATTTTTTTCTATTCCCCATATTGTGTGAAAATTTCCTCTGGATTCTCCTTTTCTGTTTGTCTTGATCCTGTAATTTTGGAGACCTTCCCAAATATCATGGGATCCCTGGTATTCTACTAATATTAAAATTTGAAGCACTAAAATGCTGACTGAAAGTTCTATTAATGTATATAGTGTCTGATCACAAACTCTTCCACCACACACTGCTTAGTGATTCCCAATTTGGAGTCTTCTTTTTCTTTCTTTCTTTCTTTTACATTAAAAATTTTTTATTGTGAAAAGTCATGTGTATACAGGTGATCACAGAACATAAATTGATATATCAATGAATTATCATGAAGCAAATACCTTTGTAATCAACACACAGGTCAAGAAATAGAACATTACCAGCACTCAGATGCTTCCCCTGTGTCTCTTCTCAATCACTTCATCTTCTGCTTTACCCCAAAGTAATAACTATCCTAAAATTTATGGTTATCACTTCTTTTTTGTTCTTTAGAGTCTTACCACCAGTAAGGAGCATTTTTGAACATTACAGCAAGTTTTTATTTTTTAACTTGGAATCTTATGGCATATGTGATTGTGGGTTTGGATTGTATGGTAGGCAGAATAATGGCCCCTTAAATGTCTACATTTTAATCCTTGGAACTTGTGGCAATGTTTGGTTACCTGACAAATGGGAATTGAGATAGCAGGTGGAATTAAGGCTGCTGTTCAGTTGACCTTAAGATAGGAAGATTATTTTGGATTATCTGGGTGGGCTCAATGTAATCACAAGGGTCCTTAAAAGTGAAAGAAGGAAGCATAAGAGGGAGAATCATAGAGACGGTAGCATAAGAAAGATTCAGTACAGCTTTGTTGGCTTTGAAGAAGGAGGAAGGGGGCCACAATCCAAGGAATGCAGAAGACCTCTAGAAGCTGAAGCCAAGAAAACATACTGGATTAAGAAAATGTGGCACATATACAGCATGGAATACTATGCAGCCATAAAAAAGGATGACTTCATATCCTTTGTAGGGACATGGATGAAGCTGGAAACCATCATTCTCAGCAAACTATTGCAAGGACAAAAAAACCAAACACCACATGTTCTCACTCATAGGTGGGAATTGAACAATGAGAACACTTGGACACAGGAAGAGGAACATCACACGCTGGGGCCTGTCGTGGTGTTGGGGGAGGGTGGAGGGTTAGCATTAGGAGATATACCTAATGTAAATGACCAGTTAATGGGTGCAGCACACCAACATGTCGCATGTATACATATGTAACAAACTTGCACGTTGTGCACATGTACCCTAGAACTTAAAGTATAATAAAAAAAAGAAAGAAACAAGCAAAAAAAGAAAACATATTCTTCCCTAGAGCCTCCAGAAGGAACACAGCCCTACCAACACCTTGATTTCAGTCCAGTGAGATCAGTGTTAGACTTCTGATCTCCAGAGATGTAAGATAATAAATTTGTATTAAATACTTAGTTTGTGGTTATTTATTTATTTAGTTATTATTTTTGAGACCATCTCACTCTGTCACCAAGACTGGAGAGCAGTGGCATGATCTTGGCTCGTTGCAACTTTCGCCTGCCGGGTTCAAATGATTCTCATGCCTCAGCCACCCAATGTAGCTGGGATTACAGGTGCGCACCACCATGCCCAGATAATTTTTGTAATTTTAGTAGAGATGGAATTTTGCCATGTTGGCCAAGCTGGTCTCGAACTCCTGGCCTCAAGCAATCCTCCCACCTCAGACTCCCAAAGTGCTGGGATTACAGGCATGAGCCACTGTGCCCAGCCAGTTTTTGGTAATTTATTATAGCAGCAATAGGAAACTAACACAGGTTACTTTCTCTCAGCATTATATTTGTGAGATTTGTCCATGTTGTCAGGAGTAGCTATAGTTTATTAATTTTCTTTGATCTATAGCAGGGGTAGGCAAACCCCAAACTGTGGTCTATAGACCAAATCTGGCCTGGTGTCAATTTTTGTATGGCTTGTGACTTAAGAATAGTTTTTACATTATTAAATGGTTGGGGAAAAATCACAAGAAGAATATTTTATGATATACAAATTTTAGCATCCTTAAACAAAGTTTTGTTTTTTGGGTCTTCTTTAGAGATTGGGGTCTCATTATGTTACCCAAGCTGGTCTTAAACTCCTGTGCTCAAGTGATCTTCTTGTGTCAACCTCCCAAGTAGCTGGGATTACAGGCATGTGCCACTGTGCCTGGCCATAAATAAAGTTCTATTAGAACATTTCCATGCTCATTAACTGGGTATGGTGTTGTGTGCCTGCAGTCCTAGATACTTGGGAGGCTGAGGTGGGAAGATCGCCTGAGCCCAGGAGTTCAAAGTTACAGTGAGCTATGATGTGAAAGAAAGGAGGGAAAAGAATACAACCACAGAAATTCCTTAATGTATCATTTATGTATGCCTTCATGCTACAATGGCAGAGTTGAGTAGTTGGGACAGACCATATGGCCTACAAAGCCTAAATTATGTACTGCTAGGCCATTTACATAAAAAGGTTGCTGTACACCCATTATGAAAAGCACTATGTAGGTTCCTCAAAAAATTAAAAATACCACTACCATATGATCTAGCAATCCCACTTCTGGGTATATATCCAAAGGAAATGAAATCAGTATATTGAAGAGATATCTGTACTCCCACGTTCATTGCAACGTTTTTCACAATAGCCAAGATATGGTATCAACCTAAGTGTCCATTGGTATGTTAAAGGAGATTCACTCATTTTGTTGCAAAAGACAAGATTTCCTTCCTTCTTTTTTAAGGCTAAATAATATGTATGTCTCCTTTGGAGTTAATATTTTTTCTCTGAATTTTTTTAAATTTTAAAAACTTTTAAATTAGGGTAAAATACACATAATACAAAATTTACCATCTTACATTTTTAAGTGTACAGTTCAGTAGTGTTAAGTATTTTCACATTATTGTGTAACTGATCTTCAGAATTCTTTTCATCTTGCAAAGCAAACTGTATACCCATTAAAAACCAATTCTTCATCCCTCCACACCCCTGGCAACCTCCCTTTTACTTTCTGTCTCTGTGAATTTAACTACTCTAGGCACCTCATATAACTGGAATCATACAGTATTTGTTTTTCTTGCAACTGGCTTATTTCACTTAGCATAATGTCTTCAAGTTTCATTCATGTTGTAACATGTGTCCGAATCTTCTTCCTTTTTAAGGCTAAGTAATATTCCATTATATAGAAATACAACACTTTATTTATTCATCTATAAATGGACACTTAGGTTGCTTTCAACTTTTGGTTATTGTGAATAATGCTGCTATGAAACAGCTGTCCAAATATCTCTGTGAGACCTTGCCTTCAGTTCTTCTGGGTATATACCTTAGAAGTGGAATTTCTGGATCAATACTATTGATTAAAATACTATTTTTAATATTTTTAGAGACATAGTCTCACCATGTTGTCCAGGCTGGGTGGAAATGGGGAGTTATTGCTTATTGGTTGCAGGGTTTCTGTTTTAGATTATGAAAAAGTTTTGGAAACAGCTAATGGTAATGGTTGCACAACACTGTGGATGTGGTTAATACCACTGATTTGTACATTTAAAATGGTTAAAATAACAAATTGTATGTTATATATATTTTACCACAAAAAAATAATTCCAGAAAATGGTCTATTAACCTATGAGAAGGGAGAGAAAGAGGAAAAAAGAAACAAAGAAAAGATGGAACAAATTGAAAACAGCTGGCAAGATGATATAACTTAATCCAAACGTATCAATAATCATGTTAAATGTGAATAGTCTAAATGTACCAGTTAAGAGACAGAAATTATCAGATTAGATAAAAAAGAAAGACCAAATCATATGCTGTCTACAAAAAAAAAAATCAACTTTAAATATACAGAAATAGATTAAAAGTAAGATGGGGGAAAGATATACCATACAGACGCTAACCAAAAGAAAGCTGAACTAGCTATATTAATTTTACACAAAACTGAGTTCAAAACAATGAATATTTTCAGGGATAAAAAGGGGCATTACATAATGATAAATGTGTCAATTTTTCAAGAAGGTATAACAATCCTAAATGTGTATGCAGGAATGGGAAGTACAAATTTTGCTAGTGGATCAGTAAAATGGATCCAGTAAGAACAAAACACTGCCCCTTCCATAATGGAAGTGGTCCTGTGTAATCAGCTTGCCACCAGGTAGCTGCCTGATCACTCCAGGGAATGGAACCATATGAGAGAGTCAGTGTTGGTCTCTGTTGCTGGCAGTTGGGCATTGAGCAGTGGCTGAAGCAAAGATGGCCTTGGAGGGTAGAAATTCATGTTGCTGAGCCCATGCATTACCTTGGTCCCTGCCACCATGGCTACTTTTTTCATGAGCCCATTGAGCAATGACAGGAGTAGCTAGGGAAAGAGGCAGACTGGTATCTGTATGGCAGGTAGTCTTAGCCACTTGATCATTCAATCCTCCACTGCTGAGGTCACCCTTTAGTGAGCATTCACATAGGACACAGATATCTTCACATTCTTTGCCTGTTCAGTGAGTTCTAGCCATATACCTCTTCCCCAGAACTCATCAATTTTTCAATTACATTTCTTCCAAGTCCCTGGTCATCCATCAAAGCCATTGGCCACAGCCCATCAACCTATAGACTCTTAGCTCTGGCCATTTCTACTTTCCAGGCAAAATGAATATCTAGGAGCACTGCTCAAAGTTCTGTTTACTAAGAGGATTTCCCTTCCCTACTGTCTTTGAGGGCTTTCCCAGAAAGGGATTGTAGTGCCACTTTCTAGTGATGCCTGCATATTTTGTAGAATCATCTGTAAACCAGGCCTAAGTTGTTTCTTCCTCAGTCAACTAGTTGCAGGAACCACTCATAGGTGCAGGCTAATAGTGAGAAGGTAATGTAGAAGGAGTAGGAGCCATGGGTATTTTGACTTCTTCCTCCTACAATGTACTTGAACCTTCAGGACCTGCTTAAGCCCAATCTCATACATACCTCTTCCATTTGACAATGGAGTGCTTAATGAGCAAACTTTGTGGCTTGGTAAGTCAGACAACACTTAGTTTATAATCAGCAGCTCAGATTGCCCGGTAACATGGTGACCCATGGGTAACATTTAGTCTCCACTGAAGCCGTGTAGCAAGTCAAAAACCATTTCTCAAAATGAGTGTAGTTATCTGCAGAGGATGGTAGGCTTTGCTTCCAAATCTTAAGGATCTACACTGTGATTCACCTACAAGGGCCTGCCAGAGTTTCCAAACAGAATGTCTATCTGCCACTGACATTGAACACCCCATCAGATCTGCTGGAGTATATGGGTGAAATGGCAGAGCAGCTTGCACCTGCAAGCTTGATGTGTTGCCAAGCCTTTTCTTGTTCATGGTGTCACTCAAAACTAGCAGTTTTTTTATCACTTGGTAAATGAAGCACACCCCAATGAGGTATATGTTGCCTCCAAAATCCCCTGGATTTGGTGTTTCTTTTGGTAGTAGGATGAGCCAGATGCAATAATTTATCCTTTACATTAGAATGAATGTTTTGACATCCCCCCACACTGCTGGACCCCAAGAAATTTCACTGAGATGGAAACCCCTGAATGTTTGTAGGATTTATTTCCTATTCTCTGGCACACAAATGTCTTACCACATTGTTTAGAGTAGTTGCTACTTCCTGCTCACCAGGTCTAGTCAGGACAGCATCATCAATTTCATGGACCAGTTGATATTAACTAGAAGGGAAAGGCAATAAAGTTTCTTGTGGACATGAGAATGAATAGATTTATCCCTGAGGTACAAGAGAAGGCTCGGTAACAGGTCAAGGCTGCACTGCAAGCTGCTCTGCCACTTGGGTCATATGCTCCAGCAGATGTGATGGTATTTCAGTGGCAATAGCAAATAGACACTCTAGAACCTCTGGCAGATCCCTGTAGGTAAATCACAGTGCAGATTCTTAGGACTTGGGGAAAAAGTCTGAACATCCTCTGAAGTGAAGGGGTATTGCTGGCCTTGCCAGAAGAAAGCAAACTGCTTCTGGTGGTCGTTGTTGACAGGCATACAGAAAAGCATTTACTATATTAGTAGCTGCATACCAGGTTACCAGAGGAGGTGTTAATTTTCTCAAGCAACAAAACAACATATGAAAAAGCAGCTGCAATTGGATTCACCACCTGATTTATTTCGCTGTCATTCTCTAAGATCTAATTGTCTTCTGGACAGGCAAAATAGGTGTGTTGAGTAAGGAAGTAACGGGAATCACCACCCATGAATCTTTCACATTCCGGATAGTGCACTAATCTCTGCAGTCCTTCCAGGAATGCAATATTGCTTTTGGTTTACTATTTTTGTAGACAGAGACAGTTCTAGTGGTGTCCATTTGGCCTTTCCAAATGAGGGCTAATGTAATAGCCTTCATTCCAAAATCAGGGAAATAATGTGAAGATTCTAACTGTTGCAGAATATGTCTCTTCTAAGTATGCATTCTGGAAATGGGGAAATGACCACAGAGTGGATTTGGGAACCCAAAGGGCCCACTGCAAGTTGGGCCTTATCTAAAACCCCATCAATCACTTGACCTCCACCAACCTCTAGTCTGACTAGTGGACCATTGTGATATTTTGGGTCACCAAGAATTAGAGTCAGTTCAGAGCCAGTGTCCAGTAATCTCCCCAAAGTCTGATTATTTCTCTTTCCCCAATACAAAGTCATAGGTTTCTTACTAGGAGCTTGTGGAATTCTGGCATCCCCTCTTCACTCTAGGCTATAGTAACATAGAGGCTGGAGGATAGATCATTTTACTCTTAACCTCTCCCAATCATGAGTTGATTAAGTAAAGTGTAGTGTGAGATGAGACGAGAAAAGATGGCAAGAATTGTGAGGGGTGTGAAATTTTACTTTATTTGCAAGCTAACAAGTTAGCCTGTCATAGTTTCATATATGTTTGTAAGAGACATGAGACTGCTGGATCAGAGACAAATGACTTTATTACAATGATAGCATAGCCAGAGTATTTGTATTTTCTGATGCTGGTTTCCTGAGTACCAATTCCCATAGAGCAACACAAAGAGGCCAGGTGTCACCTGCACACATAGTGGGTAGCATTACAGGAGAGGAACTCTGAGCTTGGGGAATCTGAATCTTTTATTATAATAAGCAGTAAGCATAGTTGCCCTTTATTCTGGAGGGAGACAAGACATAATCTTTATTATGCTGGACGGTAAGCACATTTGATCTAGAGGGCAACATTTTTTGTATCTTCTAAGGCTGTTCACTATACAAATGTCCTTGAAAAGATAGTTTGGAACAAAGGCAGTCAGTGCTTCTGCTTGCAAGATATGTAGAAGCATAAGAGAACAATGGGAAATTGTTTCCCAGCAAGAAGGCTAGAACTGAAACCTGGATTAGGAGGTGAAGCTATTAGAGAGCTAGGAAGAGTCAGGATATAGTAGCATTACGAATGTGAAGGCATTTGGGAGGCTGAAGTAGGAGGATTGCTTGAGCCCAGGAGTTTGAGGTTTCAGTGAGCTATAATTGCACCACTGCACTCCAGCCTGGGTGATAGAATGAGACCCCATCTCAAAAGAAAAGAAAAGAAAAGAGAAAAGAAAAGGAAAGAGGCAGGAAGGAAAGAAGGAAGGAAGGGGAAGGAAGGAAGGAAGGAAGGGAGGGAGGGAGGAATGGAGGGAGGGAGGAAGGGAGGGAGGAAGGAAGGGAGGGAGGAAGGAAGGGAGGGAGGAAGGAAGGGAAAGGGAAAGAAAAAAGAAGAAAGAGAAAGAAAAAAGGAAAGAGAAAGAAAAAGAAAAAAGAAGAAAGAAAGAGAAAGAAAAAGGGAAAGAGAAAGAGAAAGAAAAAAGAAGAAAGAGAAAGAAAAAAGAGACAGAAAAAGAAAGAAGGAAATAAAGAAAAAAGAAAGAAATTAGAAAGAGAAAGAGAAAGAAAAAAGAAAGAAAGAAAGAAAGAGAAAAAGAAAGAAAGAAGAAGAAAAGGCAGGATGAAGTTTCAAGAATGTGGGTGTGGTCATCATTGTCAAATGCTACGGAGACGTCCAGTATAATAAGGATGGAGAAGAGTTTATTGAGTTGGTTGATTGGTGATTGTTTGAGCCTAGGTCCTCTGAGAAGCAGATATCAAGACAGGATTAGATGTGCAAGAAATGTATCAGGAAAGTTCCCGAGAAAATACGTGGAGGGAACTGGGGGAGGCTAAGAGGCCCATCAGTCTATGATTCAGGTCAGTTATGAGGAATACTTGAGCTGTCAGTTTATCCTCAAGCCAAGAATGACCATCAGAAGGGTCTCATTTCTCCCTGGAATAGACCTATCTTAGTATCCTTGCTGCACTCAGTCATTGGGCTTTCCTCCTTCCTAACAGAACCTCACTTTTTTACAGGTATCCACTCCACACCTGGCTCTATGTGTGTGCTGATTAGAATGTGTCAGTACATTCCCCTGATGACACATAATGGTTTGAAGATGGGCATCTGTCCAGTGAAAATGGGGGGGAAATATTTATTCCATGTTTGGGAGAGTGCTTTTTTTATTCTCTTCCTCTGGATGTATATAAAGAAGTATATTGCTCCAGCCCCTAAATGGTATCTAGCCTGGGAATAAACCCAACATGCCAATGATGGCAAAGCAGAAAGACAGAGAAAACCTAGCTCCTGGATGATGTTGTCAAGCATCTGGATTAACCAAACTTAGTGCCTACCCTTTATTTCTTATTTTATGAGATAATAAATGTCCTTATTGTCAACTTCGAGTTGTGTTTTTTGTTGCTTACAGCCAAAGCATCCTAGCATACACAAGGTCAAGACCGAGATGGCTGCTGTTTCTTGGGCAGATTACTTTATACCCTCTGTGCTTCAGTTTACTTATCCATAAAATGGACAAGGCAAATATTCAGTTGGTGTGCTTTGATAAAAAATGGAATCCATTTCCCTTTGGAAAAAGAAAGCTTTCACTGTATTTTGGTGGTGGATAATATTTTATTGTCTGCAATTGATAATATATGAAATTGATCCTGCAATTGCATACAGTGATGAGATATTCATTTTTTTTATTTTATTTTATTTTATTTTGTTTTATTTTATTATTATTATACTTTAAGTTTTAGGGTACATGTGCACAACGTGCAGGTCTGTTACATATGTATACATGTGCCATGTTGGTGTGCTGCACCCATTAACTCGTCATTTACATTAGGTATATCTCCTAATGCTATCCCTCCCCCCTCCCCCCACCCCACAACAGTCCCCAGTGTGTGATGTTCCCCTTCTTGTGTCCATGTGTTCTCATTGTTCAATTCCCACCTATGAGTGAGAACATATCATGTTTGGCTTTTTGTCCTTGCGATAGTTTGCTGAGAATGATGGTTTCCAGTTTCATCCATGTCCCTACAAAGGACATGAACTCATCATTTTTTATGGCTGCATAGTATTCCATGGTGTACATGTGCCACATTTTCTTAATCCAGTCTATCATTGTTGGACATTTGGGTTGGTTCCAAGTCTTTGCTATTGTGAATAGTGCCGCAATAAACATACGTGTGCATGTGTCCTTATAGCAGCATGATTTATAATCCTTTGGGTATATACCCAGTAATGGGATGGCTGGGTCAAATGGTATTTCTAGTTCTAGATCCTTGAGGAATCACCACACTGTCTTCCACAATGGTTGAACTAGTTTACAGTCCCACCAACAGTGTAAAAGTGTTCCTATTTCTCCACATCCTCTCCAGCACCTGTTGTTTCCTGACTTTTTAATGATCGCCATTCTAACTGGTGTGAGATGGTATCTCATTGTGGTTTTGATTTGCATTTCTCTGATGGCCAGTAATGATGAGCATTTTTTCATGTGTTGTTTGGCTGCATAAATGTCTTCTTTTGAGAAGTGTCTGTTCATATCCTTTGCCCACTTTTTGATGGGGTTGTTTGTTTTTTTCTTGTACGTTTGTTTGAGCTGATTATAGATTCGGGATATTAGCCCTTTGTCAGATGACTAGGTTGCAAAAATTTTCTCCCACTCTGTAGGTTGCCTGTTCACTCTGATGGTAGTTTCTTTTGCTGTGCAGAAGCTCTTTAGTTTAATTAGATCCCATTTGTCAATTTTGGCTTTTGTTGCCATTGCTTTTGGTGTTTTAGACATGAAGTCCTTGCCCATGCCTATGTCCTGAATGGTATTGCCTAGGTTTTCTTCTAGGGATTTTATGGTTTTAGGTTTAACATTTAAGTCTTTAATCCATCTTGAATTAATTTTTGTATAAGGTGTAAGGAAGGGATCCAGTTTCAGCTTAATACATCTGGGTAGCCAGTTTTCCCAGCACCATTTATTAAATAGGGAATCCTTTCCCCATTTCTTGTTTTTGTCAGGTTTGTCAAAGATCAGATGGTTGTAGATATGCGGCATTATTTCTGAGGGCTCTGTTCTGTTCTATTGGTCTATATCTCTGTTTTGGTACCAGTACCATGCTGTTATGGTTACTGTAGCCTTGTAGTATAGTTTGAAGTCAGGTAGCGTGATGCCTCCAGCTTTGTTCTTTTGGCTTAGGGTTGACTTGGCAATGCGGGCTCTTTTTTGGTTTCATATGAACTTTAAAGCAGTTTTTTCCAATTCTGTGAAGAAAGTCATTGGTAGCTTGATGGGGATGGCATTGAATCTACAAATTACCTTGGGCAGTATGGCCATTTTCACGATACTGATTCTTCCTACCCATGAGCATGGAATGTTCTTCCATTTGTTTGTATCCTCTTTTATTTCATTGACCAGTGGTTTGTAGTTCTTCTTAAAGAGGTCCTTCACATCCCTTGTAAGTTGGATTCCTAGGTATTTTATTCTCTTTGAAGCAATTGTGAATGGGAGTTCACTCATGATTTGGCTCTCTGTTTTTCCGTTATTGGTGTATAAGAATGCTTGTGATTTTTGTATATGATTTTTTATCCTGAGACTTTGCTGAAGTTGCTTATCAACTTAAGGAGATTTTGGGCTGAGACGACGGGGTTTCCTAGATATACAATCATGTCATCTGCAAACAGGGACAATTTGACTTCCTCTTTTCCTAATTGAATACCCTTTATTTCCTTCTCCTGCCTGATTGCCTTGGCCAGAACTTCCAACACTATGTTGAATAGGAGTGGTAAGAGAGGGCATCCCTGTCTTGTTCCAGTTTTCAAAGGGAATGCTTCCAGTTTTTGCCCATTCAGTCTGATATTGGCTGTGGGTTTGTCATAGATAGCTCTTATTATTTCAAGATACGTCCCATCAATACCTAATTTATTGAGAGTTTCTAGCATGAAGGGTTGTTGAGTTTTGTCAAAGGCATTTTCTGCATCTATTGAGTTAATCATGTGGTTTTTGTCTTTGGTTCTGTTTATATGCTGGATTACATTTATTGATTTGTGTATGTTGAGCCAGCCTTGCATCCCAGGGATGAAGCCCACTTGATCATGGTGGATAAGCTTTTTGATGTGCTGCTGGATTCAGTTTGCCAGTATTTTATTGAGGATTTTTGCATCAATATTCATCAGTGATATTGGTCAATTCTCTTTTTTGGTTGTGTCTCTGCCAGGCTTTGGTATCAGGATGATGCTGGCATCATAAAATGAGTTAGGGAGGATTCCCTCTTTTTCTATTGATTGGAATAGTTTCAGAAGGAATGGTACCAGCTCCTCCTTGTACCTCTGGTAGAATTCGGCTGTGAATCCATCTGGTCCTGGACTTTTTTTGGTTTGTAAGCTATTGATTATTGCCTCAATTTCAGAGCCTGGTATTGGTCTATTCAGAGATTCAGCTTCTTCCTGGTTTAGTCTTGGGAGGATGTATGTGTTGAGGAATTTATCCATTTCTTCTAGATTTTCTAGTTTATTTGCATAGAGATGTTTATAGTATTCTCTGATGGTAGTTTGTATTTCTGTGGGAGCGGTGGTGATATCCCCCTTATCACTTTTTATTGCGTCTATTTGATTCTTCTCTCTTTTCTTCTTTATTAGTCTTGCTAGTGGTCTATCAATTTTCTTGATCTTTTCAAAACACCAGCTCCTGGATTCATTGATTTTTTGAAGGGTTTTTTTGTGTCTCTATCCCGTTCAGTTCTGCTCTGATCTTAGTTATTTGTTGTCTTCTGCTAGCTTTTGCATGTGTTTGCTCTTGCTTCTCTAGTTCTTTTAATTGTGATGTTAGGGTGTCAATTTTAGATCTTTCCTGCTTTTTCCTGTGGGTATTTAGTGCTATAAATTTCCCTCTACACACTGCTTTGAATGTGTCCCAGAGATTCTGGTATGTTGTGTCTTTGTTCTTGTTGGTTTCAAAGAACATCTTTATTTCTGCCTTCTTTCGTTATGTACCCAGTAGTCATTCAGGAGCAGGTTGTTCAGTTTCCATGTAGTTGAGCAGTTTTGAGTGAGTTTCCTAATCCTGAGGTCTAGTTTGATTGCACTGTGGTCTGAGAGACAGTTTGTTATAATATCTGTTCTTTTACATTTGCTGAGGAGTGCTTTACTTCCAACTATGTGGTCAATTTTGGAACAGGTGTGGTGTGGTGCTGAAAAGAATGTATATTCTGTTGATTTGGGGTGGAGAGTTCTGTAGATGTCTATTAGGTCTGCTTGGTGCAGAGCTGAGTTCAATTCCTGGATATCCTTGTTAACTTTCTGTCTCGTTGATCTGTCTAATGTTGACAGTGGGGTGTTAAAGTCTCCCATTAATATTGTGTGGGAGTCTAAGTCTCTTTGTAGGTCACTAAGGACTTGCTTTATAAATCTGGGTGCTCCTGTATTGGGTGCACATGTATTTAGGATAGTTAGCTCTTCTTGTTGAATTGATCCCTTTACCATTATGTAATGGCCTTCTTTGTCTCTTTTGATATTTGTTGGTTTAAAGTCTGTTTGATCAGAGACTAGGATTGCAACCCCTGCCTTTCTGTGTTTTCCATTTGCTTGGTAGGTCTTCCTCCATCCTTTTATTTTGAGCCTATGTGTGTCTCTGCACGTGAGATGGGTTTTCTGAATACAGCACACTGATGGGTCTTGACTCTTTATCCAGTTTGCCAGTCTGTGTCTTTTAATTGGAGCATTTTTCCCATTTACATTCAAAGCTAATATCATTATGTGTGAATTTGATCCTGTCATTATGATGTCGGCTGGCTATTTTGCTCATTAGTTGATGCAGTTTCTTCCTAGCCTTGATGGTCTTTACAATTTGGCACGTTTTTGCAGTGGCTGGTACCAGTTGTTCCTTTCCATGTTTAGTGCTTCCTTCAGGAGCTCTTTTAGGGCAGGCCTGGTGGTGATAAAATCTCTCAGCATTTGCTTGTCTGTAAAGTATTTTATTTCTCCTTTGCTTATGAAGCTTAGTTTGGCTGGATATGAAATTCAGGGTTGAAAATTCTTTTCTTTAAGAATGTTGATTATTGGCCCTCACTCTCTTCTGGCTTGTAGAGTTTCTGCCGAGAGATCAGCTGTTAGTCTGATGGGCTTCCCTTTGTGTGTAACCCGACGTTTCTCTCTGGCTGCCCTTAACATTTTTTCCTTCATTTCAATTTTGGTGAATCTGACAATTACTTGTCTTGGAGTTGCTCGAGGAGTATCTTTGTGGCATTCTCTGTATTTCCTGAATTTGCATGTTGGCCTGCCTTGCTAGATTGGGGAAATTCTCTTGGATAATATCCTGCAGAGTGTTTTCCAACTTGGTTCCATTCTCCCCATCACTTTCAGGTACACCAATCAGACGTAGATTTGGTCTTTTCACATAGTCCCATATTTCTTGGAGGCTTTGTTCGTTTCTTTTTATTTTTTTTTCTCTAAACTTCTCTTCTGGCTTCATTTCATTCATTTGATCTTCCATCACTGATACCCTTTCTTCCAGTTGATCGCATTGGCTGCTGAGGCTTCTGCATTTGTCACGTAGTTCTCGTGCCTTGGTTTTCAGCTCTGTCAGGTCCTTTAAGGACTTCTCTGCATTGATTATTCTAGTTATCCATTCATCTAATTTTTTTTCAAAGTTTTTAACTTCTTTGCCATTGGTTTGAACTTCCTCCTGTAGCTCGGAGTAGTTTGATCGTCTGAAGCCTTCTTCTCTCAACTCATCAAAGTCATTCTCCATCCAGCTTTGTTCCATTGCTGGTGAGGAGCTGCGTTCCTTTGGAGGAGGAGAGGCTCTGTGATTTTTAGAGTTTCCAGTTTTTCTGCTCTGTTTTTTCCCCATCTTTGTGGTTTTATCTACCTTTGGTCTTTGATGATGGTGACGTACAGATGGGTTTTTGGTGTGGAGGTCCTTCCTGTTTGTTAGTTTTCCTTCTAACAGACAGGACCCTCAGCTGCAGGTCTGTTGAAGTTTGCTAGAGGTCCACTCCAGACTCTGTTTGCCTGGGTATCAGCAGCAGAGGCTGCAGAACAGTGGATATTGGTGAACCGCAAATGCTGCTGCCTGATCGTTCCTCTGGAAGTTTTGTCTCAGAGGTGTACCCGGCCGTTTGAGGTGTCAGTCTGCCCCTATGGGGGGGGGGTGCCTCCCAGTTAGGCTACTCGGGGGTCAGGGACCCACTTGAGGAGGCAGTCTGCCTGTTCTCAGATCTCAAGCTTCATGCTGGGAGAACCACTACTCTCTTCAAAGCTGTCAGACAGGGACATTTAAGTCTGCAGAGGTTACTGCTGTCTTTTTGTTTGTCTGTGCCCTGCCCCCAGAGGTGGAGCCTACAGAGGCAGGCAGGCCTCCTTGAGCTGGGCTCCACCCAGTTCGAACTTCCTGGCCGCTTTGTTTACCTAATCAAGTCTCGGCAATGGTGGACACCCCTCCCCCAGCCTCGCTGCCACCTTGCAGTTTGATCTCAGACTGCTGTGCTAGCAATGGTCGAGACTCCGTGGGCGTAGGACCCTCTGAGCCAGGTGCGGGATATAATCTCCTGGTGTGCCGCTTTTTAGCCCATTGGGAAAGTGCAGTATTAGGGTGGGAGTGACCCAATTTTCCAGGTGCCATCTGTCACCCCTTTCCTTGACTAGGAAAGGGAATTCCCTGACCCCTTGCACTTCCCGGGTGAGGCAATGCCTCGCACTGCTTTGGCTTGTGCATTGTGTGCTGCACCCACTGTCCTGCACCCACTGTCTGGCACACCCCAGTGAGATGAACCCGGTACCTCAGTTGGAAATGCAGAAATCACCCATCTTCTGCGTCGCTCATGCTGGGAGCTGTAGACCAGAGCTGTTCCTATTCAGCTATCTTGGCTCCTCCCTGAGATAGTCATTTTTAATGTAAATATGTAAACTCATCTAAGATATTTAGTGACTGTTCCCTGGGTAACTCCAGAAACTGGGCTTACTAAGGAGTTGAGTGAACATCCATTTAGACTGTCCAAGGTGATGACTCTGGGCTAGAGAGTAACCAATAGAATCCTACTTATTTTTTTTTTTTTTTTTTTTTTTTTTTTGAGACGGAGTCTCGCTCTGTCGCCCAGGCTGGAGTGCAGTGGCGCAATCTCGGCTCACTGCAAGCTCCGCCTCCCGGGTTCACGCCATTCTCCTGCCTCAGCCTCCCAAGTAGCTGGGACTACAGGCGCCCGCCACTACACCCGGCTAATTTTTTGTATTTTTAGTAGAGACGGGGTTTCACCGTTTTAGCCGGGATGGTCTCGATCTCCTGACCTCGTGATCCGCCCGCCTCGGCCTCCCAAAGTGCTGGGATTACAGGCGTGAGCCACCGCGCCCGGCCCCTACTTATTTAAGATATAGCTAAGATGATTGGGAAGTGGGACAACCCAGACATAAAGAAGCAAATAAGGACCAGCACTTGTTATTGCCACAAGTTTGTAATGCAGTTTAACCTAATAAATCTTACTAATTTGGCTGAGAAAGGTTTGATAAATAAGTTGAGACAACCTGAATGTCAGAAAGCCTATGACAAATTAAAAGCTAATTTGGCAAGAGACAAGATCTAGACTATTCCTGATTTTAATAAATTCTTCAGAAACTCTGAAGTAAGGACTTGAGGCTATGTTGACCCAGGATGGAGAAGGGAGAAAAAAAGTCCCTTCCTTTTTTAAAAATAGGAAACTACTATCTATACTACTAATAATAGGAGCTAACATTTATTGAGTGCCTCCTACGTGCCAAGCACAGTGCTAAGCACTTTATGAATATTATTTCATGTAATCCTGAGAATAATCCTATAAGGTAAGTACCACTGTTATCCCCATTTTTAGGAGTGATATTCATAATGTTTAATGTATGGCATAAGCCCTAGCCAAGCAGGATGGACACCTATAGACAATCAGTACAGCCACACTCACACACACTAATTGAATATTGGCCACGTCCATTTTATTTTATTTATTTATTTATTTATTTTTATTATACTTTAAGTTTTAGGGTACATGCGCACAATGTGCAGGTTAGTTACATATGTATACATGTGCCATGCTGGTGTGCTGCACCCATTAACTCGTCATTTAGCATTAGATATATCTCCTAATGCTATCCCTCCCCCCTCCCCCCACCCCATAATAGTCTCCAGAGTGTGATGTTCCCCTTCCTGTGTGCATGTGTTCTCATTGTTCGATTCCCACCTATGAGTGAGAACATGCGGTGTTTGGTTTTTTGTCCTTGCAATAGTTTACTGAGAATGATGATTTCCAATTTCATCCATGTCCCTATAAAGGACATGAACTCATCATTTTTTATGGCTGCATAGTATTCCATGGTGTATACGTGCCACATTTTCTTAAGCCAGTCTATTATTGTTGGACATTTGGGTTTGTTCCAAGTCTTTGCTATTGTGAATAGTGCTGCAATAAACATACGTGTGCATGTGTCCTTATAGCAGCATGATTTATAATCCTTTGGGTATATACCCAGTAATGGGATGGCTGGATCAAATGGTATTTCTAGTTCTAGATCCCTGAGGAATTGCCACACTGTCTTCCACAATGGTTGAACTAGTTTACAGTCCCACCAACAGTGTAAAAGTGTTCCTATTTCTCCACATCCTCTCCAGCACCTGTTGTTGCCTGAATTTTTAATGATTGCCATTCTAGGCCACGTCCATTTTATGGATGAGGAAACTGAGGCACCAAGAGAATAAGTAACCTGTCCAAGACACACAGCCAGCAATGGAGCTGGGGATTTGAAGTCAGATCAGTGGATCTCCAAAGCCTGTGTTTGGCTGTTATCACTGTGTTTTGCTGCCTAGCTTCCTACAGAGAGGGAAGACTGATCATGTATCTAACCATATTTGGGTGCTTGATAAAACTGACACGTTAGTTATTCAGATTCAGTATTTCTCCATAATTAATCACAAAATCCTGATCTATATAACAACCTCTTCTATGGTATGAATGTTTATGTTCCATCCAAAATCCACATGTTGAAACCTAATTCCCAATATGATGATATTGGGAGGTGGAACCTTCGGGAGGTGATTAGATCATGAGGGTGGGACCCTCATGAATGGGATTAGTGCCTTTATAAAAGAGGCCCCAGAGAGCTGCCTTGCCCTTTTCCACCATGTGAGGACACAGCAGGAAGGCAACATCTATGAACCAGGAGGTGGGCTCTCAACAGACATTGAATCTACTGTCACCTTATCTTGGAGTTCCCAGCTTCCAGAACTGTGAGAAATAAATTTCTTTTATCTATAAGCCACTCAGTTTATTATAGCAGTTAGTTATAGCAGCCCAAATGGACTAAGACAACACCCAATGTAATGCTGTACATGGACATGGTTATTACCTAAATCTAGCCTTAATATCAAACACACTGAAGACATGTCATTACGTGGCATACATAGCCCATTCTGGGGGGATTAAGGACTTTTACTTACTGCTTTGGGATTTTGTGGGGAGACAGAGGTTTGCAGAGGAGGAATGGTGGTTGTCAGGTCAAGAGTAGGATAGTCAGGGAGTGGCTTAATATGATTTTTCTTGTGTAAAGTAAGCATGTTAAGATAAAATTACCTATTAAATGCAACAACATTCGAATGTTCCTAATTATAGTCTCATCCTAACAAGACAGAGCGGGTAAAACATGACGGTTGGGTGGCGGGTGAGGGATTGGTGGTGAAGGAGGATCTACATAGGACATGAAGATGAGGGACTGAAAAAGAATTTGTTCACATTCTGCTGAAATCTCCCATAGTTTCCTTCATAACGCCACAAGTCTTTTTTCGAAGT
Source organism: Homo sapiens (assembly GCF_000001405.40). Classification (NCBI taxonomy): domain Eukaryota; kingdom Metazoa; phylum Chordata; class Mammalia; order Primates; family Hominidae; genus Homo; species Homo sapiens. The sequence continues at coordinate 71,906,143 of NC_000023.11, forward strand.
CTCAGCCTGTGCTCAGAGTCAGGGTCAAAGTTCAAACAACGTCAAAGTTTATTTTTGAAATAAAGGTTTATTTCCTCACGGAATTCTTGAAGGGTTTGCCCCATGTGTGTGAAGCATTGAGACTGGACTGAAAGGAATTTATTTTAGGACCCTGAGCCGTCTTTGGCTCACACGCTTACTGCCCTAGGAGATGATTGATGGCCATGTAAGTTTCCAGTCCACCCTTGGAGGCCCAGCTCTGGGGTTACATCCCTCCCACTCAGCGAAGCCTCTGTTGCCTCTAGGGCAGAAGCATGCTCTTTCCTCTCAAATCTTGTAGCACTGATCCACTCAATGTACCCACTCTTTTTTTTTAACTTTGCATGCTTCATTAATAATTTATCTAATTCTATATGTTTTGATAAATTGTTAATAATCATTATAAAGATAAACTCAATCCACAAATCCCTCTCTTTTCAGAGTGTAGCATTGATTAGCCTTGATACTGTCTGCATTGTTAATTGAATTATAGGCTCTATCTGACTGAAAAGCTGGCAGTTCGATTTCTTTGGGCTACTGGGCTGCCTATCTGAGGAGAGAGAGTTTAATTGTATTCTTAACTGCAGAGCCATGCATTTATACCAAAAAGGGTAAATGACATTTAAAAAGAGAGTCGATTCAATCTAGTATTTGCCAATTCTTGTTAATTTCTCTTGGTACAGACACTTAGAACCAGAGAACAGAATGTTAGAGTTAGGATTAATGAGCAGCCTTTTCATACCCCCACTGCCTGTATATATATTTTTATTGAGTCTCATGGCAAGAGGGTGTGGGGTGAAATATATATTCTTAAAACTTAGATAAAACACAGTGCGACCCTGTAGTTCCAGCTACTTGGGAGGATTGCTTGAGCTGGGTAGTTCGAGTTCAGTCCAGGCAACATAGCAAGACGTTGTCCCTAAAACCAGAAAAAAAAAAAAAAAACTTAGATAAAACAATTGACTGTAGAGGAATATCAAAGAGAAAGCCAACATCTCTTCTTAGCCACCAAGTTGCTACTATCTGGCATATTTGAGAGGTAGCAACATGGAGGCAGTTTTCTTGTTTCTCATCCTGAAATAAGACTGAGGGCTGTACTGGGAAGCTGGGTAGGTTACATGAGGTTTGCTCATAAATTTTCATTTTGCAGCTGTGGAAACTGCCAGCTCAAGGAAGGAGAAATGGCATATCCTGTGTCACTTATTTATTCTTTCAAGTTCATTTTTATTGAAATTCTAGGTTCTTAGCAGCAGCTAGGAAGGCAGATTGGGAGATGGGAAGGAAAGCAGAGGCCTTACTGGTCTTGAGTGGTCAATGCTCCCATTTCCTCCTGCCTCTCTGGCTACTCCTTCTGTCTCTGTTTCTAGGTCGGATCCATACCTGATTCCACAGGGGCTTAGGCTTAGGCTCAGAGTGCAACTCCAAAATCTGGTGTCAGGATGAACTGCTGCAGGCCTGGAGCATGGGAGTTGGTGGGTGCGTGGGAAGCATCCAGCACTTTCAGGTCTGGCTTGGCTGTGAAGGGCCTCCCCTTCTCTTCTTTGCACCTTCATTTTCTCTCTCTCCTTCTGAATGTGAAATGCCAAGGTTTATAGGCAAATCAAAGCAAATGTTGAATTCACAGAGCACTTTCTGGCTACTTGGCTCTGGAGATGTGAGCGCAGGTGGGGCGTAGCAGCCTTGGCCTCCACATGAAAAGTTCTTAAGCACTTCCTTCCTTGTGTCAGGCAATGTTCTACTCCAGAATCCACAACGACTCTCTATAGCCCCTTCGGCTGAGTTGAATCCTTTAGTAAGGCTCTTCATATCTTGCTCTGCCTATAATCCTCCATTTATTCATTCATTCATTCAGCAGGCATTTTCAGAGTACCTGTGGTGTACCCGTCACTGGGCTTGGCACTGGGCATACAGCAGTGAACAAGACAGAAGTGATTCCTGCTGCCATGCAGCTAACAATCATGTGGGGGAGACAATATTATTACAAAGGAATATTAGTATTACTATTAAACAAGGATGTTCATATCACCCTCCAGTACACTGTGCCAGATACTGTGCTAGAGGGTGATGTGGGAGCACAGGAGAGGACACTTTACCCTAGCTGCTTTCCTGCCCAGCCAGCTTGGCTGGAGCACGGTATTTCAAGAACTCTAACTTTCCCTCCACATACCAGAGCCTGGCTCCCTACGCTCCTTCCTCTGAGGCTTTCTGCATCTCTGCTCACCTCTTGAACCCAAGGCAGCCCCTTATTCGAGGTCTCACCTTTCCTGTTGGGAAGAGACTGGATAAGAAGCAAGGTGACAACTTATATTCCCTTGGCTTCTTCCATCATACATGCAGACCCACTCTAGTCCTGGCAAGGGAGGAGGGACTCTGCTGTGAAGTGACTCCATTGCAAATACTTGATGTTTCCTTGACGAAAGCCAGGGCCATCTCATTGATGAGGCTGGAGTGAGAGCAGACTAGGCTGGGGGAAAGGGGGTAGGGCCAAAGCTGGTTTGCTTGGAATTGGGCTTGTTATTATAGATCTCTGAAAGATTCATCAGCATCAGGAATCAGAGTAGTGAGGGAGGCTCAGCGACCAGGCCCAGTCCAGGCCTGCTGTGCTCAGGCAGTGAAGCTCTGACCACACAGTCTCCTTCAATCTGCTCGTACCTCATTTCTTCTTCTCCAGAGCAGAGATCAGTCTAAACAGCTCATAGGTCAAGGAAAAGTATCCCTGGAGAGTCCAGCCAAGTCCCTGCTTCCTCCCAGTTGCTCTCTTGGCTCAGGTTTGAGTTTGCCAAATCGAGAATTTGGGGTTTTTATTCTGCAACTGGATTTTACATTTCAGAAAGGGTACAAGTCTTTTGCCCATTTGTTGATTCTTATTTTAATCAGAACCCAACTTTTCTAATATCCATGTTCTAATTTACTAAACAAGAAACAACTATATGCTGAAAAGGGAAATCGGATTACGCTTTTACTTTATTTTTAATTGACAAACAATTATATGTATTTATGGGGCACGATGTGGTTTGATGTATATATATTAATACATTGTGGAATGATTAAATCAAACTAGTTAACATATCCATTACCTCACATATTTACCATTTTTCTGTGGTGTGAACATTTAGAATCTATTAGCAATTTTGAAATATACTAGTTGTAGAACCTTCTTGAACTGCTTCAGGGACAATTAATTATCTGAAGGAATGCATGAAAACAGGCCACGCTTAGAATCATTAATGTAGATGCAGGTATTCTGTTCAAAGTATTTTACTGGCCAGTGTGGTGGCTCATGCCTGTAATCCCAGTGCTTTGGGAGGCTGAGGCAGGAGGATTGCTTGGGGCCAAGGAGTTTAAGGCCAGCCTGGGCAACATAGGGAGATTCCGTCTCTTCAAAAAATAAAAACTAAATTAGCAGGAGTGGTGGCACGTGCCTATAGCCCTAGCTACTCAGGAGGCTGAGACCGGAGGATCCCCTGAGCCCAGAGTGAATTCAAGGCTGCAGTGAGCTGTGACCACACCACTGCACTCCAGCCAGGGTGACAGTGGTAGATCTTGTCTCTTAAAAAAAAAAGTGTTTTGCTAATGGATTATAAAGGATTATAAGGATGTGAACATTTGTAAGAGGAAAAATGAGAAGAGAATGAAGAGAAGGAAGAAACCGAAGTACACCAAAGTCAAAGAAGTGGGTTAGAGGAGAGTCAGATGGGAGCTCAGTGTGTTGAAAATAAGCGTTCTGAGTGGAAAGGTCCTAAGTGCATGAGGACATATGCTCACGTACTCTGGTTTTCTGAGGACAATAATGTGCCCCCTCTTTTCTGCCTTCTGGAATGGAGAGAAATCAGGCCGTGACCACAGGGTTGCCCGCACTGAAAGCACATCTCGGCTCCTGTAACCCTCTTCGGAGAGCATCCCAGCAGCCCAGCCTGGCCAGGGATAGAGCCTATCCCAGCTGGCGGACCCTACCAGAAGGAGGCGTCCCTGGGCTCTCTTTTTGCATAAACTATGGAGTGGCGTCCCTCTATCTGAATTAAGTCTATTGTTCCAGAAAATGGGTTTGTTTCTATTCATCCACTCCAATGGCTTTACAATGTCCAGCCACTGTGGGACTCCCTAGAGACATTGTCTTCTTGAACAGTCGAATAAGATATTTGGTTTTTTGGTCCTTATTTCCAAGCTCCTGGGTGCTAGAAGGTTGTATTCACAGCCTAGTCTAGCCCGTGCGTGGCACCGAGTACGTTTGGGAAAGGAAATCTAGATCAATAAAGTCAAACTATTCGGTCGGTCTTCGCTGATTACCCGCTGGTGTGGGCGCGGGTGTGCTTGAATTTTTTTTTTTTTTTTTGTAATTATGAAGAAAAAGTTTAAGTTAAAAAAAAAAGCAAAAAATAACTTTAACCATCAGAACTGGGAGTGGAGCTCCTCAGGAGGACCGGGGCACACATTCTACACCGTACCTTACGTCCCCCCTCACGCAGACATTCCTTCTTTCACGCTCCAGCTCGCTCTTTTTACTCCTACTTCCCTTTCTCCCTCTCCCGGATCAAGCGTTAATCTGCGAATCTCTGACCGCAAAAGAAGAAAAAAAAAAAAGGTGGGTGGGGGGATCCCGAAGTAGCAGAGCTAGGAGGAGGAGGAGGAGAAAAGAGAGGAGGAGGAGGGGGGAGGAGGAGGAGGAGCCCGGCGAAGCAGAGTCAGAGGGACTGGTGGCTCCGGCGAGTGTGCAGCCCCGGGGGAGCCGGCGCTCTAGGCGAGGAACCCGTCAGCCCGCCTACCCGCCCGTCGTCTTTGGCGCCCGCACGCTCTCCGGCCCGCGCCCAGGGGCCTGCTACACCCGGAGCTGGGGCCGCCGCTCAGGGGCGCTCGGGCCAGGGGCGCTGCTCGGGGTGAGCCCGCCGCGCCGCCAGACTGGTCCCCTGCGCCCGCGCCCGCGGCCGGGATGCCGTTCTACAGGCGCACGGTGGTACCCCAGCGCCTGTGCCCGCGCAACCCGCCGCAGCAGCTGGCGGAGCTCCGCGACGTGAGCCACCTGGCAGCGCTCAGCCTGCTCCGGCAGCTCGCCGACCTCTGTGGCCACTCGTTGGCTCTGCTCGAGGACCTCGAGGGGCACCTGCTGGCCCTGGGGCGCCGCACAGACAGCCTGTACCGGCGCACCGTGCGCCTCCGCCGCCGCCTTCCCTGCCGCCTGCTTGGCCCGGAGGAGGACGAGGAAGAGCTAGGTAAAAACGGCGCCCCGGTGGCTCGCGGCCCCGCGTCTACCCCGCCTCTAGGGGCGCCGGTCGGCGCTTAGCGCTGTGCCCACCCTCTCCCCGCCTCTCTCCGCCCCTCCCCTCCCCTCCATTCGGGGAGTGAGGGGATCCCATTTCCCCGACCCCCGCCTCCGCCCCACGGTCGCCCTACCGCTGGAACTTCCTGCTCTTGGACCCGGTCGCGCCGTCCGGAGTGGCCCCGTGCCCTTGGGACTCCCGACCCTGGGGTTGGTGGCCGCCTCCTGGGGTTTTGGCTGGGGACGCGCTGGGTCCAGGACGGCTTGGGCGATACTCCCCCTACCCGCCCACCTAGCCCCAGGCCCTCGGCGCCGTCCTCATCGCCGCGTCGGGAGCTAAATGGCCGAGCCGCTGGCTTCTTTGCTCCTGTCTAGGAGCTCGGCCACTTCAGAAAGCGCGCCGCAGCCGACCGCAACCTACGCGGCGGCAGGAGCCGGCGGTGGTGCCTACAGGCTTTAAACCTGTGCAACTTCCCGCTGGAGCGTGGACGCGGCTCCCACTCACAGGAGTGTCTGAGCGTCCTCCCGCTTGCTTCTCTCCGCACGTTTTGGGCCGCTGTGCTGGGGAGTGGCCGGGAGGGGGGAGGGGAGAATGTCCGGGGCTTTGCTGACCCCCTACCCACTACCGCTAGGGTCTGGCTGTTATTTGCTGGAGAGAATCATTTAAAGAAACTATCATCAGTTTCCTGAAGCGCATTCACTTTAGGAATCAGCCATGCCTGAGAAACCAGGTTCCAGTGGTGCCCTCACTGAGCACGCGGGACGTGTGAGAGGGTAGGGGGGCTACGCGAGCCCTTGTCCTTTACTGTTTTGGATCCCAGCACTTTACACGGGGAATCCTCTGTCTGTGGAAATGCAGTGCCCCTGAGAGTGTGGGACTTCTGCTGAAAGCAAGGGGACTGAGTAGGCTGGAAATGCTGACTACAGCTGGGGCATGCCAGGTACCAGGGCCAATCGGTTCCTCCAGAAAGCTGGGGAGAGAAGGAGCAGTGTGGCCAGAAAGTTTCCAATGGGGGCAGAAGATGACTGCTGGCTGATTTCTGAGTGCAAGCTTCCAGCTAACTTGGGAAAGAATTGCCTGGGCCAGCCCCTCTTCATTGCAGACCCCACCCCATCCCCACCCCTTCCAGAAGGACTGGAGTCAGGCCCTGGCACCTCTCTTCATAAAGGTCTCTGACCTCTGAGGTAGATGGCAGAGGTCTCTGGTGGAGATAAATGAACTGAGTCCTATTGGAAAAGAAAGGTGGAAGCCACAGATGACTGCCAGATGGAATGTAGACGTTGGACCAGGAGCCTCTGCATGGCAGGGGCTCAGTTTTTTGCTGGGGTCCCACTGATTACAGGATTAGTCTAGGAGAAATTTGATAAGTCAGCTTGAGGAGTAGTTTTCAAAATCCCTACACAGTTTGCAGAGAGCCACCTACTGAGTTCAGTAGGGTAAGTTAAGGACAGTTTTTTCAACTCTACCTTCCTGTCCACTGAATTAGCAAGCCCTTTCTGTGGGAGGGAAGGCAGGGCTTCACCAAGTCACCTTTGGGACCTAACCCTCTCCGGTGATCTGCCAGGTTAGAAGGAGATGGCTTTATGCAATGGATAGCTTGCAATGGAGAGGAACAATTGTTAAGTTAAATTACCACTGGTTTGGCTTCTTGGCAGTTTTCAAGAGCAGGAAGAGTGGCCATCTCTCATCCCTGGTGTGGCCTCTTGCTTTTGAGAATGTACATGTCCCACGGCTCAGAGGCACCCAAGGGACTGCTGCATAAATGGAACACAGCTACCTTCTGTAAGTTGGTGAAAAGGTCTGATTTTCCATTTTCTGGTCTAATGCCCTACCCTAGACTCCCCTTGAAGTTCTCAGTGCACACTTTTCTCTTCAGGAGCTGTAATTGGGTAGCACTGAAATTAGGCCTTCTCAGCAATGGTCTGAACATAAGTGCCAAATGCAAAGAGAGTTGGGGAGCGTAATCAGTGCACCATCTGGCCACTCCCTTGTCGCTCAGGCATAAGCTTCAACAGGGTGTTTAGCAAGCCGAATATTAGATTTTGACCGTAAGTAAGTAAATAAATGAACATTGTCATGTCTTGCCCTTTTTTCTTCCCTATGCGTTTTCCTCCTAGGATTCCCACTCCCTTACTGACCATTTTGCTGGGGGTCAGCATTTTACCCTGCATATCCTCCATCTGTCTGGATTGCCCTCAGATTCTTCCTCTAGCTATTTATTTTGACCATGGGGCAGGAGAAACCTGGGAAGGTGGGAGGAAGGTTGGAAAGCAACATGGCCAGAGTGAATGACAGCTGACAGGCCAGCAGTATATAGCCTCCCTGCAGTGACAACTTGGCTGCCACTGACTGAGTAGTGGCAAGTCAGACTGGCCTATAGCCTGCAGGCTGGGCTGGGGCCCTGAGAAGCAGCAGGGGAGGACAGAGAGAGGAGGAGCGAGATAGAGGAGGAGAAAGTGGATGCTGAAGAAGTTGAAGGTGCTTCTCTACACAATCACAATCATGGGTCATGCCCCCACCATCTTCAAGGTTACAGGGGTGGACTGGGCTAGGCTAGTTGCCTCGCAACATCCCACCCACTCCACTGAAGGCTGTTCTTTGGTAACATGAACCCCTTTGAGACTGCCCTAAAAGCTCTTGTAACTGGTATGGTGTGGGAGATGGGGATGGAAGGAGGAGACGGTAGACCACAGGACTGCCGAAGGCCCCTGTGGTTGTGGATCTGTGGCAGTTGCCACACCCTAGGCATGGCCCTGCCTATAAGTTGAGGTTTTCCCCACATCTGGTTTTGAATGTGTCCTGTTTTATGGCATCTGTGGCCTGTACACTGGGTTCTTCATCTAAAAAATGGTGTAGTCAAAGCCATTGGGAAATAGCTCCATGCCTGCCACCATATGCTGAGTCAATCTAAGCTTTCCAACTTCTCCCTTGGAGATCTATATAATGTTTGTAGGTGCTTAGATGATAATTACAAAAGCAATCAGGCCATCCGCGTAGGGATATAATATCTCCTTTGCCATCAAGGAAGTCACTGAAGGGCTAGATAATTCTAGGTATGTTTAATAACACTGGAAAACTATCATGTTACACTAGCTCATGAACTTGCTGTGGGAAAGATGTTCTGTTGCTTCTTACAATTATTTTGGCTTGAATACAGCCAGTTGGGTCCGTGGTGAAAACTCCCTCTTCATCTTTATGTAAAATTCCTACTTCTTGATTTTCCAACTTTATGGCAACTCTGGCTCCAAATCAGAAAGGACAGCTGGTTTATTTGTGTTTAAATCATAATTCCAGTGTGAGGATAGACTGTTGTAAATCTATACGGAGATGAAAAAATGAAAAAAGCACCTCCAGACTGCAATGAGTTTGCCATTAGATGAGGTGTTGTGGACCCTGAGTCTGACCGTCCTTGCTAATGAAGAGAAGAGATGGCCTCTTGAGTCAGATGGAGTGGGGAGGGTGGCAGGAATTTGGGGACTTGGAACAGGCACTCAGCCAGGGCTTACTTTGTCTCTGTGGTACGTTTCATCCCGAGGCTCTTGGGACAGAGGGTTGACAGAGTATGGAGGGAGAAGCAAACCCATTTTCTTTTCTCTTCCCACCCCACCCTGCTTTCCATTTTCTTTTTAAATACCATGAAATTCCTGGTCTGCTTCATGGTATTTCCATGTGTTGAAAACATCTTCCCTGGAGATTTGGATACCAAAATGTCCACTAGAATTTCTTCCACTTTAGAAACAAGACATTTAATCTTCTCTTTTTTAAGACACATGAATAGCTAAAGTGATAAAAGTGTCAGGATGTTGGAATAGTAGAGTAATAGGAGAAGATTCAAGTTATGGCTCTTGGGCTCAACCTTGACCTTGACGACATTGATTAGGTTTTAGGAGGAGAGTGGTATATTTACATCATCTGTTCCTGTACCTCTCTGGTGTGGTACCAACAATTCAGTCATTAACCACCATATGTGTCATAACACTTGACATCCCGGACCCAGAAAGGGGAAGGTACCTGTCCAAAGGCACCCAGCTGGATCAAGACCTTCAGTAGTCATGAGTGCTGAAAAGATTTTAGTGCCTCCCCATATGTAATTCCAAGTGAAAGCAATACTAAACCTTTAAACAAAAATGTTACTCTTTTTAAATGGCTCAAAGCTCACATGGATGTTGAAATTAAAATATCTTACTAGATTCTTTCTCCCTTCCTCTCTGTCTTTTGTACCCCTGCTGTTGGTGGCCTAATCATGTATTTAATCTGCTGATTTGGGAATGTGGTACCGGCTGGGTCACACAGCAGGTCAGTGACAGGAGGCCTCCACCTAGAAGCCATGCCTTCTGACAACCAGACTAGTGCTCTGCCCTCTGCAGTGATGCTAAGTTCAAAGTCAGTTGTTCTTCGAGAGTCATTTTCTTGGCATTTTCTCTAGTTGGAACTTGTCCAGGATGAGAAATAACTCCTGTTACCTTTAGTAACTGAGGGCACCCTGTGGTTCTGTAGTTGTGGCCGGGGGTGAGCTGAAGCTGGAGAGGAGAAAGGAAGGTCAAACTTTCTCATATAGAGAATATAGAGAATAGGTGTGAGGCAACAGGCTCTCTTGTTAAAGCAAAACATAGTCTTCTTTGAATGGAAAATTGCTCCAGAAAAAGGATCTTCAGGTGGGAAGGGGTGGCTGGCCAGTGACCCTGACACTGTTGCAATCCCTCCTGATCCCTCTGCCATCTTTATACCTGTTCTTCTCCCTTGTAGCTTTCAATCCAGTTGTAGACACTACTTGCCACACACCTGCATCCTGACTATTTTCTGTTATTCTAGTAGAGGCTGGTTGGCATTTCAGAAGGCACCTTTTATTAAAAACCAATGGGAACAAGAAAGTAACATTATTACCAAAAGTGCATTTAGCATACACATTTACAGGGTATGGATTTCTTATCCTTCAGTGCTCAAGTAGCTTAACAGGCTCACTGGCTTTGCTGCTGTATTCCCTTTCTGAAGGCCTCAAATCGTCTTTTCCTTAGATCATTATTTTCTAGCCTCGAAAAGTGGGCACAACTGCGTCTGGACCCTGTCTGACCTTTGTGCTGGGTGCTAAAGACCCAGAGGTGAATAAGACCCAATGTCTCCATTCGAGGAGCTGCCAAGCTGCAGAGGTAGGTGCCATCTCATTCCTGACCACATCAGCATGTGGTGCCTGGGAATCAGGTCTTATTTAGGTGGAGGAGAGCTGATAACCAGAACCAGGACCCTAGTTCACATACCAGAAGATTCTTCTGCTCAGTCCGGTTTGGCGTCCAAAGATGGAATTTGGACTTTTAGAATTCCCTATGGTAAAAACAAAAATAAAAACCAATCTGTCATTCTGTTAGTGTTATTGTGAATTTAGCAATGCTTTTAAATGAATTTGCAGTTTTAAACACTATAATGTTATCTTCATGCATATGAAGAGTAGTGCTTATTCAGTCCATAGACAATGCTTGGTGGATCTGCAAACTAACAGACTTCTTGTGATAACTCTATGGTCCTCTAGAGTCCTCTACTGTCAGTTGGGAATCGCTGGCCTTCCTGGTTCAAGCTATCAGCTCTCCCCTGCTCTGTGGAACTCCACAATTTCACTCAAATAAGCCCTCATTGAAGTTTTCAAGTTAGAGGGCACAGGATGGCAATCTTAACAGTCAAGACTACTTTAATAATGCCACAAACAGGAGGTATGTTTATTAAGTGTACAGGTAGTTTGCAGTAAAGTGCTTTGTATGAGGTCATGCACAAGACCACTAGGTATCAGCCAGTTAACTTGGGAGGTTTGAGCAATTAGGCAGCTCTTCCTCCCTCCCTTCCTCTCTCCCTCCCCCCTCCCTCCCTCCCTCCCTCCCTCCTTTCCTCCCTTCCATTCCCTTCCTCCCTCCCTCTCTTTCTAAAATGTAAGCTCCTCAATAAGATATAAGCTCCTTGAGGGTAGTAGTCTTTATCTGTTTTCACTGTTGTGTCTCCAGCTCCCAAAACAATGCTTGGCACCTAATAGGCACTTAATAAATACCTGTTAGATTGAATACCTTCTTTCTTTCTTTCTAGCTATCGCACACTCTTTGAGTACTTGACTCTGGGCCCTGCCCTGTGCTGATTTCTGGGGGTACAGAGTAGAACTAGGATGCAGGCCCACAGTCCAGTGGGGAGAACAGTGAGCCATAGTGCTGTGGAGATAAGGTCTAGGCTACCGGGGCAAGGCAGAGGAGGCACACCTGACTCAGGACAGAGGCTGAGCGAAGCTTCCAGGAAGATGTGATGTCTGAGTTCTGAAGGATGATCTGGAGCTGGCCGTTGAAGGTTGAAGAAGGTGGGGGAAGGAATTCCTGGCTCAGGAAGTAGCCTGTGCAAAGCCCTGGATATGTGAGAGAGCTGGTGTGGGGGAGGAATTCACTGCCAGTGATTCAGGAGGAGAGGGAGCAAGGCACCTCCTGACTCAGAATAAGCCCCCAGGGTGGAGGTGGGGTGGGAAGTTCCTCACATCCTGTTTGTTCGTCAGGGAGTTGGATATGAGGGTCTTGAGAAGGTTAAACTGCATGGTTCAAATGAAGTTGTAATATTAACTAACTGTGGATTTTCTTTATCTACACTCAAGTTTTCATTATCCTTGGGCAGATGAGACCCAGGCAACCTCGGCTCCTTCATGCTTTGCAGGGCCAGGCCCTGGGCCCCTCTAAAAAGGCTAGACAGAGCAGGAGGGGCTCCGAGCCACAGTGAGAAAGAGAGAGAAAGCAAGAGTCTACCTGCCTGTGTGTCCCCGGCTGTGTGTATCCAGTTGCACTCCAAAGCTAAATGTATTATTTATGCCCCTGCTTTTCTGTGAGTGGGGAAATTTGAGGCTTGACGATATCTTTTATTATTATTTTTCTTTCTGAATAGCATAGATTCTTCAGAATCGTCTGTAATTCATCAAGGGGAAAATCAGAATTTTTTTTTTTTTTTTAAAATGGACTCAAAGAGGAGATGAGTTTTTAAAAAATATCTATCATCTGTTTTTATTTTGACTGGAATCATTTGCTTCCGAGCACAGTGTAATTAGCTGCCTGACAATTTATAGCCTGATCCCCAGTAACTGAAAAATACCAAACTCAAATTATTCCCCCAGACTAGGAGGCCCGGAGGTGATTGAGGTCTCCTTACGTTAACATCCTCTGTCCTTGGGGGCTGAGGGGGAGGGCAGTTCTCTGCCCTTGCAGGAGGTGGTATCTCCGAGTTGTCAGCAAGACAGGCCTTGTTGTTATACACTGAGTGTCTCCTTTGACTCAGTAATTCCATTTCCAGGATTTTATGCTAAAGAAATAATCAGATATTGTGGGGGGAAAAATGTGCAGGGAACCCCCACTGCATTTTTTGGTTATTTGCATTAGCCAGAAAAAGGAAAATAACTTACACATTCAATAATAGGGGAGTGGTTATATAAATTTTCCTAGGTCTATGTGATAGACTAATATACAGCCATGAAAAGCTATGCTCTAAATGAATTATAAGGCTACATGGAAATGCACAAAATAATGCTGAGTAAAAACCAAAGATAAAATTTACTACTATATACAATATCGTCTAAAACAGAGCACCCACACAGACACATACACATAAGAAGAAACTGGAGAAGCCTATGCCAAAATGCTGACAATGATTATCTCAGGGTGATGGGATTATGGGGATGAGTGGTAGTATTTTCCTTCTACCATTCTGTATTTGTCAAAATTTCCCCAATCAACATCTATTACTTTTAGTAAATAGAAAAGACAATGGATGACATGTTAAGGAAAAGGATCTTTGGATTTGGAATCGTCAGCTTCCAGGTGAAGTCCCACTTGCCCAGCACCTACTATCTGACTCTAGTGTCTCTGAGCCACAGTTCCTCATCTGTAAAATGGGGTTAAATACTACCCAGTTCACAGGGTTGTTGTGAGGATCCAAAATAATGTATGTATTAATGAAATGCCTGGTGCCTATGCTGCAACCATGGACACCATCACTAAATACTAAGAAGGTGAAATTCCACGAAGCTTGCTGAAATCCCTGGATGGGGGTACTGTCAAGATGAAGTTATAATAAGAATGTTCCTAGACAGCTATGAATTGCAGCCATTCTTCCCTTTTCCAGAATATGTAAAGAATGTTTGTGTGCCCACGGAGGAGCCGCATCTAGCCTTTGAGGCTGTCAGCTCATCTTTCCCAACCCGAGGATTTTCCTTTCCTCTGACTCCTCCCTTCATTCTCCCCCACTGACATCTGTTCACTGCCTCGCCAACCAAGGGGGAAAACATTCTTTGGAACTGAAGCTGAGGCACCACCAAGAGTCAAGGCAGCTATGAGATGTTTATTGTCACAGAGAATATGTGGTGCTGGCTGACCACAGAACCTGCCAGGCTGGGATGCCAAGGAGGGACTTTAATGAAGCAGCAGAGGATGGATGCAAGCCGCATAGCCAGGCAGTGTCCCCTGCCTTTGGGCAGAGCTCTTGTCCAAGTGTCTCACTGGCTCTCTGTTTTCTTCCCCTTGGGATGTCTGCATGGCTCCTGGTTGAGCTCACCAGTTTTACAGAACCAGCCTGGTTTATGGGTGAAGAAACACCTTCTCACAGAACTTATGGGGCCTAAGCGTGTTTCAGTAAAGTACTGGGCAGTTTGCCTGAGGGCCCAGCATGCCTAACTCTCACCAGCGTGGATATGAAGCGAGGAAAACCTGAGCTCACAGCCAGGCAGCCTCAAGGACATAGGCACACCTCAGCAGTGTCTACAAGATGCCCTGGCCACCAGGCAATCCAGCCATCTCCCTGGGTAGAATCCTTCACACTGCATGTCTGATTGCATTTTTCATTTTTTAATTACAGCCGTAGACTCATATAGACTCTGACTGCCAATCTAAAGCACCTAGAGAGTTTTTTTAAATTGTTAATGTTTTGCTAAATTCTTAGTAATTATACAAAATCATTATGTAGACCAATAGATATTATTGACCAAGATATAGTGATGCTTAAAACAAAGTCCTCTGTAATCAGTACAACATGTTGGTAGAATTTACCCTAAATGTTAAAAAAAAAAAAAGTACTAATGCTGTGGCTCCACCCCATACCAATAAATCCAGAATTTCTGGGGGATGAGGCCCAAGAAACAGTACTATTTAAAAGTTCCCATGTGATTCTACCGTGCAGCTTAGGTGAAGAACTCCTGTTATAGATGTTAAAGCTGGGAGAGACCCAGTTTCCTGACTTATTTGAACACGCAATCCTTTACAAATTATACTTGTGGATAATGAGCATGAACTATGATGCAGACTTAGATTAAAGTAAGTGACAAAAAAAAATGATCTCGCAGATGAATTAATTGTAAGCAGTAATAATGCGAGGTTAGGTTACATATATATTTTGTTTTTGTTTTTTTTGAGACTGAGTCTTGCTCTGTCGCCCAGCTGGAGGGCAGTGGTGCGATCTCGGCCCACTGCAACCTCTGCCTCCCAGGTTCAAGTGATTCTCCTGCCTCAGCCTTCCTAAGTAGCTGGGATTACAGGTACCCGCCACCATGCCCGGCTAATTTTTGTATTTTTAGTAGAGACGGGGTTTCGCCATGTTGGTCAGGCTGGTCTTGAACTCCTGACCTCGTGATCCGCCCACCTTGGCCTCCCAAAGTGCTGGGATTGCAGGCGTGAGCCACCGTTCCCGGCCAATATATTTTTTAACATTATAAGAGAACATAGGGGTTGGGCACAGTGGCTCATGCCTGTAATCCCAGCACTTTGGGAGGCCGAGGCTGGTGGATCATCTGAAGTCAGGAGTTTGAGACCAGCCTGGCCAAACATGGTGAAACTCCGTCTCTACTAATAATACAAAAAATTAGCCGGGTGTGGTTGCGCATGCCTGTAATCCCAGCTACTCAGGAGGCTGAGGCAGGAGAATCACTTGAACCCGGGAGGTGGAGGTTGCAGCGAGCCGAGATTGTGCCATTGCACTCCAGCCTGGGTGACAAGAGCAAAACTCCGTCTCTGAAAAAAAAAAAAAGAGAGAGAGAGAACATAGGAAATTAGAAACATGAAACCATTTTATTTTATTAATAAAAAGGATAAATATATGATGAAGTAGAGTAAAACATCTTTTATTTTACATATTTTGGTTATAACACGTCATCAAAACCCACTAACATTTTAAACAAGAATAGCATTTTTGTTTTCTTACGTCACCGCCACTTAATATCACCCATGATGTTACTGGGTTGGATCCCTACACCAGGTCAATCTCAACTTATTTTTCTTTGCAACAGAATATAACGACTCCACTATGCACGAGTTCATCGGAGTATAGGCAAGAGGAAAGAAACTTCCAGTCGTAATATTTAGTGTTCTGAAATAGGCTGTGCCAGAAATTCCAAATAGAAGTTGGAATGGTTGCCTCCAAATCAACGTCTAGATCAGACTCTGTGCTTTCCCGTGTTCTCTGATGTGGCACACTCTTTCATGCAGGTAGATTATTGTGTTAATAATACGGCATAAGAGTGAAATGTATTATCCACATTTGTATTTTGTATTTGTATCCACAAATATAATTTGTAAAGGATTGTGTGTTCAAATAAGTTGGGAAACTTTGGAGTGGTCTCTCCCAGCTTTAACCATCTATAACAGGGGTTCTTCATCCCAGTTGCACAGTAGAATGTATAAATGTATTGAGTATTTTTAATCCCATTTATACTTCAACAAATGCAATGCAGAAGAAAGAGTATTTATCTTTTTTCCCTTCATGATCGCAACAGAAATAGTTTTAGAATGTGGATCTAGGCCAACACTCACCCAGAGAAAGGAAGAGGACTGGGGCAAAGGGATCTCTGGGTAGGTGGCTGTGTGTTTGGATTTCCAGTGCAGAACCTCTCTTGTGGCTATTTTGGGGTCCTGAGACATCCACTTATGTGACCCTGTCAGCAGCCCCCCTGGGAAATACGAAGGCAAGGGGGACAAAGGGAAAGGGAGAACTATGGGGGGCACTTTTGGCATCCCTCCATAGTGTGATCAGAGAGGGGAGATGCTAAAGGTAACCCCTATAGTTTGCCTCCCAAGCAATACTGTACATCGAGGATGATAAATAAGGCATCAAGAATAGGCTGTAGGTGGGAGAGGTGGCACGGGCCTGTAGTCCCAGCTACTTGGGAGCCTGAGGCGGGAGGATCCCTTGAGCCCAAGAGTTCAAGGCCAGCTGGGGCAACATAGCGAGAACTTGACTGTATTTAAAAAAAGAAAAAGAGGCTTCAGCATCTTCAGAGGAATCTGTTTAAGAAGGCTGAGAAGGGTGTGTTCAGGAAGAGTTCCACTTGAAATGCTGAAAATTGAAGAAAAGATTAAATACTGAAAAGTGGGAAACATTCCAGCTCCCAGGAAACTTACCCATTAAGAGAACTCATTTCTTGAGGATTTTGGATAGCAAAGTCTCCCTGTATTCCAATTTCCAGCCTGTATTACCTCTTGGAATAAAGAGTTACATAAGTTTACTGCCTGTTGCGAAATAGCCCAATGAAATCTTTTTTCCCATAATTCTGAGTTAATGAAAATGGTAGATTTAGGAAACAAATGTTATTGGCTTGCACAGAAGTTTTATATTTTGTGTCTGTAGCTTCCAGACTACCTAATGCACATGGGGTGTGGGGTCATGAGGGAAGGGGAAGAGCTAGTGAAGGAGAAGGTTCTCTTTGTCCTATTAAATATTTATTTCACTCTCGTAAGATGCCAGAGGGAGCTGGTAGAAATTTGGCAAGCAGGTGTCCCCTCCAGGTAGAGGGATGGCAAAGGGTGCTTTCCCTGGGTGGATTAATTAGGAGAAGCCACTCTTTTTGGTGGAATCTTTAGACAGGCACATCCTCTGGGAACAGCAATTAGAAAAAGTCCCCTTTTCTGGTAATAAGTATTAAAATATGGAGTATCCTCTGGGTGGACCAATTTTAAAAAGTCACCCTTTCTGGGCATAGTAACTAGATAAAGGTACTTCTTCCTCCATGTGCAGTCAGACAAGGCATTGGGCTTGGCTGAATTGTGTCTCCAACTTGAGACCCCTTTGCAGGGTACCCTTGTAGGAATACAACTTGCCCAACAGTATAAGTGGTCCTGTAGTGCCAGGTGCCACCAGGCACCAGGTATACAGAAATATGTCAGTGATATACCCTGTTCTTGGATAATTTATAGGACAGCCCCTCTAAATCCCCACTGGCTTTAACTCGCCCCATCTGCTGCCAGCTCCACCCCTCCTGCGTCCCTGCTGGCAGAGCTACTCTCTATGGTGATGAAACATCCACCCTCCAGATGCCCAGGCTGCAGGCTGTTGTTTGACGTGGCTGTGCTGCTCCTGTCTGGGGATCCAGGCTAAATGTCTGCTTTCCACAATGAACAGCCAGAGTTACTGGTTAATTGTGGTGGCTCATTGCTTCTGGGTTCTAGATGGGAAAACATGGAAATCATTTAACACTTCACTATGGCTTTAAAACTTTTCTGTGTTCTGTTTAAATGGGCTTTGAAATGGTGAGTTTTGGTGTAGCTGAGATATTTCTGCCCTTTAATTTTCCTGTTCTTTAATAAAGGAAAGCAGTTTATCTTTAATCTGGTGATTTAGAGCTGACTCTGAGGGGTAATTCCTACCCCACTCATTGTACTATAACTTTGCCAGGCTTTTTGCCAGGTATTGGTGATACCAAAGTGAAAAGACTTACCTTTTGCTCTTCAGTCTTAGCATTTAGTTGGGGAGACAGTATGGAAGAAGACAACTTTGCTGCAGACCTCGCTACAGACCCTTTCACATAGGGTCCAATGTGAAAAGCACAGAGTACTGAGGCAGGGAAGGTTTTCATAGCATTTTCCTCTCGTGTCTTCCGGAAAACTCTTATTCATTCCTCCAGATTTCTATTCAGGCATTCCTTCCTGTTTACGGCCCTCTCTGACTCCCTTCACTATGTTCCTGCTATACTTTTTTCACTATGTTCCTCCAGGTAGCCTACCCTATGGGTAGGAGGCAGAGACTGCCAGTATGTATTGACCATTTTTGAATTCATGTTTATTTCCTTCTTTTACCACCTCTTGAAAAGTAATATGACCCTCTTCTTTAGAACTTGAAAGAACACCCTGGCCATCCCTTGGCCTAAGATAAACTGGAAGCTAGAAGTTAGAGGTCTCTTCCTAGGAGAATTAAAGCCCATCTTAAAGGTTGTGAGGATTTGGAAACAGAGTAGAACTATTGAGGCCTTCTGATCCCAATACATTTAGATGAATATAAAGAGTTCCTTCTAGCTCAAGGGAAATCAGAGTTACATTAGGTGGTTGTAGGCTAGTGACGGGCCTTTGAGAGTAGAAAGAGCCCTGATTATGAACTTGGCTTACTTTGCTAATTTTGCCCAATGTAAGCCCAATTCCAGTATTTGCTAATGGAGGTAATTTTTGGTGTTGAGCCTCTGTTTTCTGTTTGTCAGGAGGATCAAATGAAAGCCTGTATGGGAAAAGGCTTTGTAAACAAAAAATCACCCCCCCTCCCCAAATGTTATGTATTATCATCTTTTAGGGCAAGGATAGTGGCTGACTCATTCCTTTTTCTTCAAAATCTAGTTTGGAAGTAGGCACACTGTGAATGTTTGTTGAATGATTAACTGGCCTAGTAAGAGATGAGTTTTTGTGTTTCTTTAAAGCTCTGCATGTTATCTAATAAATCCGCTATATTAGTTAATGCCTACCCTTAGCTTTTTTGGTAATTTTTGCCATTACCAATACTGTGAACCTCGTAACACCCAAGAGGTGGTTATTGACTCCTAGATATTTTGCCTGCAATAGGATATACCAGTGCCAAATTGACAGTGGTGTCTGGGCTGATGCCTCTTGTCTTAAGAGCTTAGGTTTCCCACCAGACTCCTCAAGGGTTGTATTTTATTCCTGTCTGTTTTCCCCCACTGCCCTGGTATGCAGTAAGTGCTCAATACATATTTTCTGAGTGACTAACAGAGAGAGGGAGTGGCATGTTTTTGCACTTTTTTTTTTTTTTTTAAGACGGAGTCTCGCTCTGTGACCCAGGCTGGAGTGCTGGAGTGCAGTGGCGCGATCTCAGCTCACTGCAAGCTCCGCCTCCTGGGTTATGTTTTTGCACTTCTATTTGGCCAGCCAAATAAACTCCAGATAGCAGAAAGTGACAGATGTCACAGCTAGATCACCCTCATCTTACTTTTATACTTGAGATGACACTCCTTTTCTAATTTAAAAAACCTTTGGACAAAAACCCATGTTTTTATTGTTATCTTTAAGAGCTTTCTGTGTGCCTGACAATATATACATCATTAACTCATTTTATCCTCACAATGATTGCATGAAATAGTTACCATTATTATCTCAATTTTCTTGATAAGGAAACAGGCTCAGAGAAGAGTAAACAATTTAGAGTTATGGAGTAAGTTGAGCATCCACAATTTGAATGCCCATCCATGTTCTCCATCACAATCAATGGGGAATAGATTTTACTGAAAGCAAGGATCAGAAAAGAAATGTGTTTTTACCACTATCAGGGAGGAGATTTTGTTCAATGCACTGAGTTGGGATAGGATCTGATGGAGGGCTTTCTAGTGGATTGCAAGAGATTCAGCAGGAACATATCCAATGAGATTAAAAAAAGAGTTAAAATGTCTGGGGGGGCACAGGGAGAAAAAACAGGAAATTGAGTTTTCTCTGTGAAATTAACTAGCATTTTTGCCTTTCTTTCTAATTTATGAAGCTCTTTTACATTTGTTATCTCATGTGATTCCCATGACAACCCTGTGAGTTATTACTTCTATTTGAGAAATGAAAAAAATAGACTCAGAGATATTAAAACTGACCTGCCCACAGTGGCAAGTGGGAAGTGAAAACCAAGAAACCATTTGCACTGTTTTAGGTGGTGGAGATACAGGAGTGAACAAGAGAGGCCAAAATATTTGTCCTCGTGGAACTTACTAGGTAGATAAACTATGACTTATTTCTTTTCAATTACCCTCTGTCAAGTAATAGATACTGGTTTTGGTTTTCAACCTTAACTGTATTTTAGAATCACCGGGCACACTTTGAACAAAACATTGATGTGTGTGTGTGCACACACACTCAAATTTTAAACCTGCTCTCGGGGGTTTTAGTGTGCAATCAAGCTCAAGAACCGTTGGTTTAGAGCAGTGGTTTTCAACCTTGGCTGTTCATTAAAATCACCTTGAGAATATACATATATATACATACACCAATGTCTGGGCTTTACCTCTGAGGCTAATTAAATTAAAATCTCTGTGGTTGTGTCCAGACATGTGTACTTTTAAAATGTGCCTCCTCAAATGGTGCTACTAAGTTCAGGGTGTGGGGTTTACATGAAGCACTTGAGATAAAGAATAGCTTGGTCCCATTTCACAGACTGTGCCCCTCACCTCTTGAGCATATGAATCATCGGTCCTTCATTCTTGCAACAAAATGTTTATTGAGTACCTGCTGTATCTCTGGTGAGTTCCTTCTCTTTCCTGGGTCCTGATTCCTCCCTTTGTAAAATGAGAGACTGGGGTGTCTCTGAGACTTATTGCAGCTCGGTCTATAATTCTATAAAGGAGAGTGGGCTGGGAATGTTAATGGCTCAGAGGACCCACTCTTGGAGACCCAGGTTAAATTATTTGTCCTCTTGACAGTACTGTATGCTTCATTTGAGAGACAGAAATTCATGAAATTCCAAAAATACGCGAGCAAGCCTTCTCTCACTAAGCAGTTTGTCCACAAGGAGCAGATGGAATCTTCTTCCTTCGTCTCATTCACCATCTTGCTGACCATCGGGTTGGCAGCACAAATGTGCATATGAGGGCCGGATCAGAGGGAGGGACTCAATGGGGTCAGGCTGTGAAAGTCAGCCAGAGGGAACAAGAACCAAAAATGTGCCTTGAAGATCAAAAGCACCTGGAAGCAGCAGAAAGCGAGCTAGAGGAAAGCAGCCTACCACTTGGCCTAATTTTCTTTTGCACCTAGAGTTGGTTTAACACTGACAGAAGACGGATAATAAGGATAGCTGTTGAGAGGTAGCAGAGTTAGCATAGCAGTGAAGTGCTTGGGCCTTGGGGCCACCCTCTCTGGGTTTGAATCCTCACTCTATTACTTGTTTTCTTTCTTTTTTTTTTTTCTTTTCTTTTTTTGAGACGGAGTCTTGCTCTGTGACCCAGACAGGAGGGCAGCAGCGCAATCTCAGCTCACTGCAACCTCCGCCTGCTAGGTTCAAGCGATTCTCCTGCCTCAGCCTCCTGAGTAGCTAGATTACAGGCGCCTGCCACCAAGCCTGGCTAATTTTTTTACTTTTTTTAGTAGAGACAGGGTTTCACCATGTTGGCCAGGCTGGTCTTGAACTCCTGATCTCAGGTGATCCACCCGCCTCTGCCTCCCAAACTGCTGGGATTACAGGCCTGAGCCATCGCACCCGGCCCTACTACTTGCTTTCTTTATGACCCTGGACAAGTAGCCTGACATCTCTTTCCATTAGTTTCTCTATCTGTAAGTTAGGGATCATTATAATAATAGTACCTACTTTATAGACATGTTATGAAGATTATAAGCCTGGCAGGCATTAAATATTTGTCACACAAAATTTATAAGTAATACTTCTAAGTGTTGAGCACTTTACTTGTATTTGCTTCTTAATCTTTGCTTTATTTGAAACAGGTACTATTTTCCCAATTTTGTAGATGAAGAAATCCAGGCATGGAGATGTTGTCACTGTGTCATTAACTAAGTTAGTAGTTATTGCAAAAAATGAGCTAACTAGTAAGCCACAGAGCCAGGATTTGACCCTGGGAGAATTGATTCTTTAGTGCCCACTCAACTGCAGGATTGTATAGGACTGCACACAGCCATTATCTTAGGCTTGATACCTGAAGATAAAGGAACTGAATTGGGCCCTGGAAATCCTGAAAAGGGGGAAATATGGGTCTCACCCAGAGGAGTTGACTCTGTGGGTAGGGACAGCAGACATATGCATAAGAAGACTGCAATAAAAGATGCTTTGTGCCTAATGTCATGGGAGTTCAAAGTGGCCAGTGACAGGTTTGTTGTGATGCTTGGCTTTGGACTGGATCCTTGATGGACATACAGAGTGTGCCCTGGGCAAGGGGAGTTGCATGAGCAAAGGCAAGGAGGTAAGGCTGTGGATGGCATTTTTGGAGTTGGGGAAAGCACTGTTTCCCCTCTACCATATGGTATAGAAGCCTGGGTGGCCCCTCAAACTTGGTGCCAAGGTCGAGGGGCACCTGGTACTACTGGGCCTCTTTTTGGGACCCCAGGGAAGCAGATGGTACAGAAGCATAAACTTGGGCTGTCATAGGTGGTTTGGACATCCAGTCCAAACCCTTCATAGCATAGATAGGGAAACTAAGGCCCGGAGAAATGAAAGACTTAGCCCCAGCAAGCCAGCAGCAAACTATGGAAGGTTTTGTCAGGCCAATATTTCTGCCATGCAGTGATGCATAAGAGAGCCTGGGCCATATCCTGGAGATATAATTGAGTAGCACACAAATCTACTGTAGTACCCAGAAGTCTTCTTCGGAACTTGATTCCAAGTTTTCTTCTGCTTAACTCCCCATACTGTCATAGATGGAGTCTTAAACATGAGGTTTGGCAGACCTACCGTGGAGGCAGTTTTACAGGGCAAGCTGAGAGGAAGACAGGGCAGGGACCCAACATGATGTGAATTATCCCCTAAGACTTTGAAGTTCTCAGGTGTTTTCATAATTGTTTTTTAAGCATGAGATAAAATACCTAGGCTTACAAAGGAAAACAATGGTACTGAAAGATAGTTATCAAAATACTTTTTAAATTGTGATATATAGTAGTATATGTGCTTCTTAGCATATTTCAAATTACAAGATCTAGCGCTGGGTCTTATAATTACCAAAATATTGAATGAGTGAAATTTCAAGATACCTTCAACAACTGTCATATGATCTGTGATTTCTATTACTGACAAAGGCACAGGTATTGCTAACACTTCTGTGGTTTGTTGCCTACATTCATCATTTCAATTAGAGTTTAGTGAAAATAAACAGTTAATTATTTTCACATACAAGTTCACGGGCCTCCTGAACTCTCTTCATGTAACACCTGGTTAAGAACTTAATTTAACTCATTAAGAATCCCTGTCCTAAGGCAAAGCCGAAGCTGGAGAACTGACCCAGCATGGGATCTTAATCCTGCTCTAAGAAATTGACTTGAAGGAGGTGCTTGAGTGCCCTGAAACTCTACTCAAGATTGTAGTGTGCATGGATGGTTTTCATTAGTGCAACTCACTGAGTAGTTCTGGCTCTCTTTCTGTTTCTTTCTCTTTTTTTTTTCTTTTTGGCGGTGGGGGACAGTGTCTTGCTCTGTTGCCCAGGCTGAAGTGCGGTGGCATGATTATGGCTCGCTGCAGCCTCAACCTCCCAGGCTCAAGTGATCCTCACCCCTCAGCCTCCCGAGTAGCTAGGACTACAGGTGTGTGCCACCACACCTGACTAATTTATGTATTTTTTGTAGAGGCGGGGTTTTGTCATGTTGCCCAGGCTGGTCTCAAACTCCTGGGCTCAAACAATCTGCCTGCTTCAGCCTCCCAAAGTGCTGGGATTATAGGCATGAGCCACCACGCCCAGACTCTGGCTGTCCTTCTTCCAGGAACATGGCAGGATTGCACTTCCTCACCCCCTTGCAATTAGGGGTGGCCATGTGGCTTGAACCTCATCATATTCAGAATTGATTCCACATTCTATCTGCCCTGCCCACCTCTCTTACCTCACCTCCCACCCGTTTCACCGGGTCTACTTCAGCTGTGCTGGCCTCATTTCTGTTCCTCACCAAGCTTATTCCTGCCTCAGGATCCTTGCACTAGCTGTTCTTTTTGGCTGGAACACTCATTCCCCAACTCTTAGTATGACTGGCTCATTCTTAGCCTTTAGAACTCACTGTTCACCTTATTTTTAACAGCTTTATTGAAAATAATTCACATACCATTTAATTCCCCCATTTAAAGTGTATAATTCAGTGCCTTTTAGCATGTTGGTGGAGTTGTGCAACCATCACCACAATCAATTTTAGAACATTTTCATTACCCTAAAAGGAAATTCCATTCCCCTTACTGGTCCAATTCCCCATCTTCCCACCAGTCCCTGGTAACCACTAATTTACTTTGTGTCTCTATGGATTTGCCCATTTTGGAAATTTCGTATTAATGGAGTCATATAATATGTAGTCTTTTGTGTCTGGCTTCTTTCACTTAGCATGTTGTTTTCAAGGTTCATCCGTGCTACAGCATGTATCAATACTTCATTATTTTTTATGGCTGAGTAATATTCCATTGTATGGATGGACCATAGTTTGTTTATCCACTCACACATTGAAGAGTATGTTTCTATGGCTTGTTCCTATCCTTTGGCTATTATGAATAATGCTCCTATGAACATGTGTGTTCAAGTTTTTGTGTAAACATATGCTTTCATTTTTCTTGGGTATGTACCTAAGGAATGGAATTGCTGGGTCATATAGTAACTCTACATCTAACTTTTGAGGAACTGCCAGACTGTTTTCTACAGAGGCTGCACCATTTGATATTCCCATCAGCAATGTACAAGGGTTCCAATTTCTCTGCATCCTCACCAATACTTGTTATTTTCTGAATTTTTTATTATAGCCATCCTAGGGAGTGTGGAGTGGTATCTCATTGTGGACTAAACATCTTTTCATGTGCCTAGTGGCCATTTGTATGTCTTTTTAGATAAATGTCTATTCGAGTCTTTTGCCCGTTTTTGAATTGGGTTGTTTATTATTTTGTTGTGGAATTATAGTTCTTTATGTATTCCGTATATTAATCCCTGGTCAGGTATATGACTTGTAAATATTTTCTCTCATTCTGTGAGTTGCCTTTTCACTTTCTTAACAGTGTCCTTTGATGCACAGAAGTTTTTTAAATTTGATGATGTCCAAGTTACCTATTTTTTCTTTGGTTGCTTGTCCTTTTGCCATCATACGTAAGAGACCATTGTCTAATCTAAGAACGTGCAAATTTACATGTTTACTTTTAGGAGTTTTATAGTTTTAGCTCTTATATTTTGGTTTGTGATCCATTTTGAGTTAATTTTTGTATACGGTGTGAAGTAGTGGTCCAACTTCATTCTTTGCATGTTCTTGGATATCCACTTGTTTTAGCGCCTTTTGTTAAAGAGACTATTCCTTCCTCCATTGAATGGCATTGGTATCCTTGTGAAAAATCAATTGACTGTAGGTGAATGGGTTTATTTCTGGACTGTCAATTCTATTACTTTGATCTATATGTGTATCCTTATGCCAGTAGCACATAGTTTTGAAAACTTTGATTGCTTTAATTACTTTTGATTACTTTGTAGTAAGTTTTGAAATTGGGACGTGTTAGTCCTCCAACTTAGTTTTTTATTTTCAAGATTGTTTTGGCTATTCTGGGACCTTTGAATTTCCACATGATTTGTAGGATCAGTTTCTTCATTTCTGCAGCACTGCCTTATTTTTGCCCAGCTGTTTACTGTTTATCAAGGATATCCACATTCATTTTTTCTTTCGACAAATATTGATTGAGCACCTACCATGTGCCAGACACTGTGCCAGGTGCTGTGAACAATTAGCCATGGCCCTTGCCTTCAGGGAGCTAAGCATTTAGTGGGAGAAGCAGACATTAGTCAAATAATCACCAAAATAAATTTTAAATGAATGATAGAAATGATTGACTTAGTCGTGGGGGACCAAGAAAATCCTTCCTGGAGAAATCAATAATTAGGAAGGTGCCTGAGTTGGAGGAGATGTATGGGAAGAGTATTCCAGGCAGCAAGAACATCGTTCTCAAAGGCGAGAAAGGAGGATGCTTTTAAGGAACTGCAAGGAGACGAATTTGATGACCTACAAGCACAAGAGAAAGAGCAGCATGAGATGAGGGCGAGCTGCCTGAGGGGGACCAATTCTACAGGGTCTGTGGGCCACCGAAGCAAAGAAGTAACATGATCTGATTTTGATTTCAAAATGCTCACTCTGGCTGCTGTGCTGAGAATGGACTGGAGAGGGGTGTGCAAGATCAGTGCCAGTTAAGAGGATATTACCGTAGTCCGAGAGAGAGATGAGGGAGGGCTAGATGAAGGTGGCGATGGCAACCCTGCAGAGGAGGTGGACAGATTCACAGATGCAAGAGAAATGGAGGAGGTTTCAGAGTCAGTCCTTGGTTCTTGAGGCCTATGTGATGGTGTTGGCAGGGGTGGTCTTCACCAAAATAAAGAGTACATGAGTGTAGGTGGCTTTGGAGGAATCATTGTTACTGAGTTTGAGATGCCTTCCAGATATTATTAAGTTATCTGATCCTCACTCCAAATCATCCCTATGAGAAAGGTGTAAGACTCTTCTCTTCATTTTGCAGATGAGGAAACTGAGTACCAGAGAGGTTATCATGGTTTGCCCAGTGCTGGCCTGCCAATAAGTGGCAAAGCCAGACCAGAATCCTGTTATTCTAAGAACAACCCTTGTGCTTTTTCTTTTCCATGACACCAGAGCTGACTCCCTAGAAAGGCCCATCCCAAATAGTTTCCAATAATAAGTGAAGATCACTACTAGGACTTCTCCCACAGACACCAAGTGTTTCCCAGCCCTCCACACCTATGCTCCCAGGGAAGCATTGGCCTCCTTTTTACAGAATTCATCTCTACAGCATTGCTACCAAGCCCCTCCAGGAGTGTTTAGATCTTCCAAGTATCTGATTTGTAAACCTGGATTTGTTGTTTGTGCACAGAGAGCTACACTGCCTCTTTTCCCAGTGAGAGTCGCCCTGTCCAAAAGCCTTCCTTTTTCTCTACTGTTAGAGACAAGGGTCACCTGTCAGTAGTCAATGTATGGAAAGCTGAAATGCTGAGACATTGAGCCAGAAGATGGATGACAGAAAGACTAATAATAGATGACATGTCAAGGTGCACTTAACTTTTTTTTTTTTTTATGTTCAAGTAGAGGACTGTGAGGAGAAGGAA
Organism: Homo sapiens; assembly: GCF_000001405.40. NCBI lineage: Eukaryota > Metazoa > Chordata > Mammalia > Primates > Hominidae > Homo > Homo sapiens. The sequence continues at coordinate 71,933,431 of NC_000023.11, forward strand.
TTGAACAGGTGGCAGGAAATGGGGTGAAATGAAAAACTAGGAGAAAGTAAAACAAATACATAAATTCGAGGAGTAGGAAAAAGAGAAAATAAAGTAGTGAAAGACATAGGTTGGGGAGGAGATATCCTAGTTTCAAATCAGGCTCTGACATTTATTAGCTGTATGATCTTAGGCAAGTTGCTCAGTGTCTCTAAGTGGACATAAAATTGCACTAACTTTATGGGGTTTGTGTGAGGATTATAGGGAGAGCATGTAATATCCTTGCCACAGTGCCTGGCACAAGATAAGCACTCGATAACTGTCAGCTGTTACTATGACGTGGAAGCCCTTCCTCATTTCTGCTGCCTCTGCTTCCCCCAGCTATCCCCAGGCAGGTTCATTTTGGCCAGCTTGGTTCACCATTCCAGCCACTGAGCCAAAATCCCAACTGAGGCAGGAAATATTGCGTTGGCTTCAGCAGACCCAGGAGCTGGGGAACTTGTGACAACAGCTGGACTCTGCATTGGTTCCTGGGGCTTCTTGCTGCCAATTTGATCTGCGATCAGGCACCTCCAAGAGCGACCCTTGGAGATCCATGCTGCCTCTAGGTTGTTTCCTCCTCCCTTCCTTTCCTTCCTCTTTCCCTACCACCCCCACCATATTGACTTCTACTAAATTCTGCCTACTCACTCTTCTTTGTATTCCAGTTCTCCTCCAGGACCAAAGTCCTGTCCTCTATCCTCGTTTTGGTACAGATTTCCTGACTGCTGAGCAGCCTACTTGCTTGACTTCTTTCATCAATACCATGCCGCTTCCCAGGGTTTACATAACTAGGTTTGTTAATTGCACACTCTGAACATTGTACTTCACTCAGCCAGCTCCCTTTTCCTTGTAGAGCAGTGGTTAAGATAATCCTTTGGGATCTCACACTTCTTTAGGACTCAGTTGAAGCCATAATGCCTGCTCCCAAAATACACGTGAATTCAATGCACGTGGATAGGCTAAGTTATGCTCCAGTGGCCACCACTATCAAATTCTCACTCGCTGGAACTGTCCGATGTGGATTGATGGGAGGGATGTGTTCTTCTTAGTCACTCAGTAATCCAGGCTGGTGGAGCTTCCCTCTTGAACATGTGCTTCCATGGCATGAAAAAGAGGTATAGGATCTGACTTAACGTTTTTAAAAGATCCCCCTGACTTCTGTGTAGAGAATGGACTGTGAGGCAGCAAGGGTGGAAGCAGGGAGGCCTGGAAGGAGGCCTGGTTCAGAGGACAGCTGACGGTGACTTGAGCCACACAGATGGCAGTGGAGGGGGAAGAAGTAGATGGATTAGGATCTGTTTTGGAGTAGAGCAGACAAGATTTTCTGCTGGATTGGAGATGGGGAGTAAGGAGAATAAAAGAGTCCAGGATGACCTCCAGGTTTTTGGCTTGAACATCTGGTTAGATGGCGTCCATTCTTAACTAGCATCAAAACCACAGAATCCTTGACTTTGTCAAGACATACCTGAGTGATAACTGAAAGGAGCCTCAGCTTGGACTTCTTTTAGGGTGCCCTTCCAGCTGTTTTGTAACAATATAACTGGCAGGACCGTTTTTTTGTTTTTCAGGCAAGCTGTTCAGTAAAGGACACTCATGCACACCCACATGTTCACAAACACACACTCACACACATCACATGTCACACACTGCTGTGGCAGCCCTTTCTGGACCTCACACAGCACCATTCCCGGGAGTCCTTCAGGGTCTCTTACATGGTCCTGTCACTATTTTTGTTTCTTATACAAATCTTTTGCTAATGATTCTCAGTTTAAAAACAACAACCATGGCTGTACCCTCAAGGAGCCTCATCCTAGGAAGCAGCCCTCTTCTGTTTTGTCCCTGGGAGGGGGTCAGCAGCAATGAGTGACCTAGGTGGTCTGAAGGGCCTTTTATCCTATCAGAGTGGTTTCCAGCCTAGGGAAATGTGAAAACCATAGTAGTAGCACACTTATTAAACCAAATGTGCTGCTGCACCATCCCAAGTGGCAATCTGTGGCTGTTAAGTGCAATTGCTAACTAAATGTGTAGCCTGTTGCCTAGGCAGCTCATTTGAAGGAGAGGGGGTTGTGGAAAACGAAATAAAATGAAAGAGTCTTGGCCACTGACCTGGTTGGTTCCAGGCGGAGTCGGTTCTGAGGTACACTCTGTAGCTTTAGTGTTTCTAGGGCCTCAGGGTGGGAGTTCACATTAGTGGTGTAAACAGGTACTAATGGGTTCCATTCAGATGCTGGTTGCCAAACTTTCTCTCAGAAAAGGCCAGCTGGGCAGCCCTTCAGGCTGTGTGCTTGAGAGGGGAAGTGGAACAAAAGGAGGGCCCTGAGGCAGGGAGGGGTGAGCCTTAGTACAGCCAGGACTGGGAAGCTGCCTGTTGGCTAGGAAAAGCCTAGGGGATTTGTGAGAGGCCAGAGGCTTTTCATAAATAGGAATTAGGGTTCTGTGGAGGGGAGTGAATCTCACTCCTGCCTGGAAAAAGGAAAAATGTGTGAGGTGCCTATCTTCCTTCCCACCACCATTATCTGTGTCCCTCCTGGAAAGTCTGAAAGCCAGGTGTTGCCTATGAGTGTTTTGCGGAGGTAAAGGCACACACAGGTAAAGTTACATAAAGCTTCTGTGAGATAGGCATCATAAGCCTATTTGACAGAGGGAAGATGGAGCTGCAGAGAGAGGGAGTGATTTGCCCGAGGCCACACAGCTACCAAGTGGCTGTGTTAGGCTTTGAGTCAACCTCTTGACACTTGATTAGGGGATACTGCTTCCTAGGCATGGTGAGAGGCAGGCTGTGCTCCCGAAGCCTAGAGATGGGAGCAGGAGGCTGGTTCCCCTGCTCTCTCCTGCTCTGGGGCCCACCACCTGTCAGTCAGCCTGGGGGCCTACGTGACCTTCAGGGTTCTTTCCAGCCCTTGGAGCCAAAAGCTCTCTGAATCTCTAGGCATGTTTCCCATCCAGAAATTTAGGCAGTGGGTCAGTGGATGGCCTCTGAGGGGCCTGCCAGCTCTGATGTTCTGAAGACCTGGAAAGAGCAAAGAGCCCAATAGTTTTTAATGTGTGATCCATTGAGCCCTAGGGAATCCCACAGAGGTGTTTCAGGGGCTGCCATGAGCAGTTCTGATTCTGTCTTTTATATATTAGAGATCTACAGATGATTTTTGTTTGCAAGGGAGTGCCACTTCTAAATACAAACAAAGAGAAACAAAACAGAAACTTTAAAGCCCCTGAACTAGATAGTGAATGAGAGACAAGTTTGAACGAAGGTGTCTGCTGTGGTGAGAGTGATGATGGTGGTGTGTGTGTGTAGTGGGGGGAGTTTGAACTGGAAGGAAAAAGAGGAAAATGAAAACAAGAGGAAAGAATGAGGTTACAGTTTGGGTCAGTGGTATGGGTCAGTTGCCATTTTGAAAAGAGGAGAAAGTAGAAAAGGGAAAGGGAAGCAACAGCTACTGAGTGCCTACTTGTGTGCCAGTTTCTCTGCTTGCATCCTCACTCATAGGATGCAGACAGCAACCCCTTGAGTTCTAAGTATTATTGTTCCTATTTTAAAGATGAAGAAATTCAGACCCAGAGAGTGAAAATAACTTTTATAAGATCACATAGCAAGTAAATTGTGTTGCTAGGATTCAAACCGAGCTCTTTTTGACCTCAAACTCTACACCCTGTCCTGTTAGGAGCTCTCTCCTAGAAGACAGTTGAGGAGTTACAGGTGGATGGGCATCAAGAACACATAGTACCTTTCTTCGGCAGCAGCAGAGGTCTGGGAGTGCTTGTGGAGAACAAAAAGGTGGAGCTCATGTTCTCAGTAATTTGGGAATTTGAGAGAGGGGGCTGTAGCCAGGGTGGAGGGAGAACCAGGGGAGACTTAGGAAGAGAAATCAGTAGTTCCACAAGGCTGGAGAGTCAAAGCGTCACCAGGAAGGGCCTAGGTTTGGACCTGGACCAAAGGACCTAGAACCTCTTAGGACTTGTGTCCTTGAATGGACAGGTTTGGACTCTTGGACTATACTGTGCATTTCAGAATTGCTGTTTGCATCCAGATAATCATCACGTTTGTAGCCAAGTGTTTTTTGCCTCATTTGTTAATGTAATAATATTAATATAACAAACATTCATGAACCCACCACCCAAATCATGATCTAGAACATTGCTAAAAACTTACCCTTACTAATATGCTTAATATTTTTTGGTAGTCATTTTGATAAATGATTGTCTGTCTTCTCAGTATGGTGGTTGTGGTTTCCTATCTCTAATAATGCCAAACTCCAAAGGAAAGATGTAGCTTGTGTTATTGGTCAGGATGAACAACTTTGTGCCGTGCTAAAAGACATCCCCAGAATCCTAGTGGGTCATGACAACAAAGGTTTATTCTTTGCCTTTGCTTTATGTCTATGATGAGTTAGCTGAGGGCTGTGCTCCTTGTCTCTTTACCTTACAGCTCCGGTGATCAGAGAACCTACCGTTGTGAACATTGCTAGTCATTATGGGAAAGGGAAAGAGAGCCCTGTCAGGCAGCATAATGGCATAGAAATATTCCAGCTTGGAAGTCACATATATTTACTTCTGTGCCGTTGGCCAGAACTCATCATATGGTTCCACCCAACTGTAATGGGCCAAGAAGTGAAATCTCACCACGTCCCTACAAGGCACAGTGCTGGGAATATTTGGGAAACAGTGCTAATGACTATCATAGCCCACTTGCCCACTGTGGTACAACATATGAACATGACTTGCTCCTAGCTGATGAAGTTGTGGAGAAGGAAGGGATTGCATGAGCAGGGTTGAGGAAGCCCACCTGAGTTTTGTCCATCCCTGTGTCCCTTTAGGTGATACCGTTAAGGCAGCCTGCCCCATTATGCACCGATTTTCCAGCCAGAGCCCCCTTCCCCTTGGAAGTTCGCCATTCTGCTCTACCTGTTTCTGTCTGTCTGTATTTCACAGGCTTCAAGGACACAGGGCATTTGACCATAGAGTCTGACTAGCAGCTCACTTGAGATCTCCTTGGCGTCTTCTTCTCCCATGCATGATTGCTCAGATATCCAAGGAGCTGCTGCTACCTCATCCAGAATGGCACTTGACTTGACAGTGGTGGGATTGGATTTTGTGCAGAGTGGTGAAGGGAGGCGAGTAGGGTTGGGTGAGTCATCATTGTTATTTCCGTTGCATTCCCATCGATCTCACAAAGCTATTAAAAGAGTCAGTAACTAAGACATAGCTCGACTCTGGTTCTAAAAGTCAAGTGATAATTGAAATTCACATTGCAAATCCTGCCCAGGAAATGGAGTGAAGAGAATGCACTGGCTCTTGGCCCCACTGCTGGGAAGGAAGGTATGAGCTGATAGCTCAGGAAACATATCCTTAGCTTGAGAGCACAGGACCTGTTCCAGGCAGCTGGCCCCAGGATGATTCCTCTGACCACTGAGTGTATGGCTTGGAGAAGGCAAGTGAACAGAGAGGGCTTTGATATGGTTTATACCGTAAGGTGCGGAGATGAGCAAAACAGACAATGTCCCTGGTCTCACAGAAATTAGAGTCTAGTGGGGGAAGAAAATGATTAAACAAATATTATAGGGCATGGCAAGTGCTCTGACAAGGCTGAGTACAGGGTAATAAGGCAATGGCAGCTAAGCTGGACTTGGGGAGCCAAGGCCAGCCTCCTAGAGGAATAGTCCTTCATCTAAACAGAGGACTGAAGGATAATTAGGTGGTAGCCAGGTGAAGGCAGGTGGGAAGGAAGGAAGTTGCAGAAAGTTAGGAGGTAGAGGGGAGTGGGAGAATCGGAGCCTAGAGAGGCAGGCAGGGACTAGATCATGAAGGACCATGTAAGCCATGTTAAGGGGCTTGGACATTATCCTGAGGGGAGCAGGGGACCATGGAATAGTTGGCCATTCAGATCACACTTGCTTTTCAGAAACATCACTGTGGAAGCAGTATAGAAGGTGGGTTAGGAAGTTGTGACATTGGAGGCTGGGAGTGCAGGTGACCTGCTTAAGATATTTGTGATGGAGATGGGAAGGAATGGATGAATCTCAGGCACATTTAGAAGAAAGAATAGACAGATGTGGACAGTGAAGGAAAGTCAGGCATCAGGGATGATGCCTAGGTTTCTGGCCTAGACAACTGGAGAGCAGTGATGGGAGAATAGGTTGGTGGTTAAGCGTAGTGGCTCTGAAGCCAACCTGTCTGGATTTTGAATTCCAGATCTGCCACTGATTGGCTGTGTGACCTTGGACAAGTTCCTTAACCTCTCTGTGTCTCAGTTTCCTTACCTAAAACGAGAATATTAACACTACCTTCCTTTTAATGATTAAGTGAAATAATATATATAAAATGCTTTGAACTGTATCTGGAGCATAGAAAATGTTCGATAAATGTTAGCTATTATAGGCAACAAGGAAGAGGAACAGGCTTCATAGGAATGATGATGAGTTCAGTTCTGAGCATGTCAAATTTAGGTTGTCTGTGGGACACTCAAGTGCAAATTGGTTATATGGATCTGAGGCTCAGGAGATATTTGGCTAGAAATATAAATTTGAGAGTTATCAGTTTATAGATGGTAATTGAGACCTTGGAAGACTGTGCAGGGAGAATTTGTAGAGTGGGAAGAAAAGAAGGCCTAGGAGCAAGACCTGAGAACCCTCAACATTTGTGGACAGAGGTAAAAGAGCCTAACGAGGAAGCTGAGCAGCAACCAGAGAGGAGGGAGAAAAATCAGGAGAGAACACAGCATCATAGAAGCCAAGCTACAAGAAAGTTTCAAGATAGAGGCAGTGGCCAATGGTTGCAGTGCTTTGGAGAGGTCAGTATAAAAGAAGATCTGATAAACAACAATGGGAGTTAGCTACGAGAAATTGTTGGTGAGACTAGTTTCGTGGAGTGGTAGAACTGTATGTCAGACTACATTGGGTTGAAGAGTGGGAGTGAGGAAATGGAGACAGCAAGTGTAAACAACTCTTTCCAGAAGTTTGTCTGTGAAAAGGAAGGGTGAGCAGATGATTGCAGGTTATGGGAGAAGAGAGGGCATGCTTCAGTGCTGATGGAGAAGAGGCTGACAGTAGAGAGGGAAAGATGGGAGACACAGGTGAGGGAGGGGACAATTGAGGCTTGAAGTCCCTGAGATGGTGGGAGGAGATGGAACTCGCAGAGTGCAGGCCAGGTTGGAAGTGTTAATCTTGGTTGGGAGGAGTCATAAGAGGGAAGGCAGAAAGTATGGATGTGGTGAGTGAATGTGCAGATTTGGTTGTGGGAAGTTGCTGCCTGGTGGCTTTCTCTCTGTGAAATTGGGTGAGGGGGATGTGGCAAGGCTGGGGGTTTGTAGATGATAGAAGTGCTCAGAGAGCCACTGGATAAAATGGAAGAGAGAGCCCAATGGAGACGGAAAATAAAAAGGGTTGCCTAGTTGTACCAGAGGCCCAGTAGGTTCATAGCGGTTCCCAGCTGCATGGTTGGAGTATTTTCACCAAGGAGTGCTTAGCAATCCTGGAGTAGGAGCAGAAAGGGTAGACATTTGGATTGATTTAAACATCACTTGTGGATTTGCAAGATGGATGAAGGATGGGCAATGGAGTAAGAAAGGTGCGGATGTCGGTAAGGGAGTAGTTAAAATGATTGACTCATAATTCTCCTACTCTCTGATTCAGAAGCTTCTGTTTCTGCTGCTGCTTACAACTTCTCTCTATTCCCCACTCCATAGCTTCTGCTCATTCAAGGCTCTTATGCTCATGGCTTCTGCCTCTTGTGTATGTGTGTGTGTCTGTGTGTCTGCTTTTGCCTTCATTACTGACTGAAGACCCTCTCCCTGTCTCACATTCAGAATCCACAGGAAAGACTATCTGAGTGATTCTATGGGTCATTGTATTCATGTTTGACTGATAGGTCAGGTCACCCCTTAGGCTGCTGGCCAACCTATGGGTTTTCTGCCCTGAGTCAGGGATCTATGTCTGGTCCAGTCAGCGTCAACATCTTTCAGAAGGTTTTGTGAGTAAAACAAGCAGAATGGTTAAGGGGCTCTGGAACCTGATGCCTAGGCTTGAATCCAGGCTGTCCCACTTATTGTGTAACCTTGGGAGATTTACTTCACCTCTCTGATCCCCAGTTTCCTCATTTCTAAAATGGGTTCAGTAAGTGTACCTGCCTCATTAAGGTATTTGTGAAAATGAAATAAGACAGTACTAAAAAGCACTTAGCACAGTACCTGGCACATATTTATTTCCCTGTAAACATTACTTATTATTACAATCATTGCTATTATGATTATTTTACTATGAAAGCAGGCACTGGGGGCCTAATAGAATTTAGAAAAGACATTAGGGGAGATGGGATCTGAACTCCATCACCATTGAATAAACACAGTCTTCTTTCCTTCACACCAGCTCTTTACCATTTTCTGGTCTTCTGACCTTTCCTCAGGGAATGTTTGTCACCTTGTGGGCTCTAAAGGCCCAAAGCCTTTGGAGTACTGAGTCTGCCATGAGCTGGGGATCGAGCTGCTGGGTCTGCTCATTGTCAGCTTGGGAGGAATCCTGGCAGCGAGGCCTCTGTTGCTCAGTCCTCGGTTTCTATGAGTCATGCTCCTCTTATGCTAAGTCCAGCTCAGATTTGGAAGGGGGCTAGAGGAGTGGGGGTGGATGAGGGAAGGAAAGGGAAGAGGAAGGCAGCAGTTTAGCCTCTTTCTGAGTTTCTTGGTTAGCTCCAGTTATGGGAATCTTTCCTTAGAGCTCTAGTGAGAGGATTTGAGGCCCCACTGTGACCAGACTGCAATGTGAGGGGATCCTTCACCTGCATGGTGCAGCCTAAGATGCCTGATGTGTGACCAACCCCTCCCCAGGCACCCTGATAGTCAGGGCATCTTCTCTCCATCTCTCTTTTCCTTACAGCTTGATACAGATGGGTAAAGATTCTTTTTCCCCTGAAGATAATGTAACTTGCTGATGTAGGGGAAGGGAATGTATTAAGAGGCCCATTGCTCAGATATCAGGCTCCTTGAAATGACCTGGTCCCTGATGACTTGTGTCTGAGCTGATGTTTTCCTAAGGGTGGTGTTTAGGTCACTAGTGAAACATGAAATAATTTCAGGTAGTACCTGGCTGAACATTTTTTAACTTTGATAGTTATGCATTTATTTTCATGTATTTTAGAAGAAAATATAACTAACATACAAAACTGGTGGTTTCAAGGGTATTATTGTTTAAAGCCATGTAAAGTTTTAGAAAAGGAAGTTTATTTAAAGAAAAATACTAAGTGAATAGTAGTGTAGGTGTTAGACATGTAGCAAAAGTCATGAAGGTAGTACACAGATGACTGAGGTTTGGGAAAGAGTGGTCTTAACCAAATGACGTTCCCTTTTCTGCTGCCTCTTTTGCCCCCCACCCCCAGACTCAGGATGTCTGCGTTGGGAATTGTCTAATAGACATAGTAATCTGTGTGGTCAACTGTCATCTGAACAGGTCAAAGTCAAAAGCCCCATCTCCCTTTCTTGACTTCCTAGTCTTTGTCGAGGGCTCTAATGCTCTCTCTCTCTCTCTCTCTCTCTCTGTGTGTGTGTGTGTGTGTGTGTGTGTGTGTGTGTCTTTCCCAGCCTGGTGATTGGTAATATCCCTGGGATCCCTCCCTCTTCCATTTTCACACTGAATCTTGAACAAGTCCTGTTAATTCTTCCTTCAGAGTCTCTCTCTCCCTCTCCCTCTCTTTTTTTTAGAGAGAGGATCTCACTATGTTGCCCAGGCTGGATTCAAACTTCTGGCCTCAAGTGATCCTCTTGCCTCAACCTCTCGAGTAGCTGGGACTACAGGCGCACGCCACCATGCCCATCTCAGAATATCTCTTGCACTGTGCTCCTTCCAACTGTCATCACCCGTTTGAATACCACAGCCTCAGTCTATACTTCACCATCCAATTCATCTTCCTTAAGCACAACTTTCACCATGAATTTCTCCTGGATTGGTTTTCCACTGAGTATCAGATCATGGCCAGACTCCTGAATGAGCAATTTTCAGTCCTTGGACTATGGCTTCAGCCTAACAGTATCTGCACATATCGCCTGTTTCCCTTCTAGGACCCATCTAGGTCTTTACTATTCCACAGATGTACTCTGCTTACCTCTAGCTCTAGCTCTGTTCTATATACCTTGACTAAAATAGTTTCTTCAGTCCTTTCCATTTGGTTACTTACTTATTTTCCGTATATTGCTTTTTGTGTTTCATTTGTGTCTCTTTAAGTAGACTCAGCTTGCTGAGGTATAGGAGTGTACTTTTCATTTCTTTTGTAACCTCTTTGGCATTTAGCAACATGCAAGGCATATGGGAGGTATAACTGGGTATACTTTGGCCTGAAAGTAACAGAAAACCCAACTTAGAGTGGCTTAAACAAATAGAGGTTTATTTTTTGCATAACAAAAAGTTTAGAGTTAGGTGGTTGCCTGCTCTGCCATCCGTAGTGAATTGGCTTTCATCCTACGCTTGTTGCCTCATGGTCACAGGTGGCTGTTGCATCTTAAGGTATCACAACTGCATTCAAGCAGGAAGAAGGAGCAAAGGTTTTCTGCTCAGGGGGCTTTGTCCTGTTATTTGGGAAGGGAGACTTCCCCAGGAGACTGCCCCTTACATTTCATTATCCAGAACCCTCTCTCCACACTCTTGAGTATAGCCTGCTAGAGAAAAGACCCAAGTTCAAGTTACAAGAGTGTGGACTGAGAGACTTGGCCAATGCCTGCCCACCTCACTCTGCTTCTGTCACATGCTCCCTCTTAGACCAGTGACTGATTTAGACCAATCATAATTCAAGCCTGGGACTGCAGTTGAGTTTTCCCTCTCTGATATGAAAGAATCTTTGCCAGCTACAAATTGGAGTTCTGTTAGCAAGGAAGAAGGTGCAGAGGATGGCTGTGAGGTAGGCAACCAGCAATGTCTACCAAAGAGCTCAATAAAGACCAGTTTAGAGAGTAAGTGGCCTGCTCCGGTCCTGAGTCAGGTTCTAAGATTTGGTAGGTCTAAGGCCAGGAGGTTTCCAGAAAGAGCCATCTTCTCTGTGCCCAAACAACTGCACCTGAATTTCCCTGACTGTCCATTGGAAGGTCAAGCTGGTCATATGGGCTTTCTCGGCTGTTTCCCTCAGCCAAAAGGAAGAGCCTGTGTAGAGCATGGTGCTGTCCCATTTAGTTACTGCTAGGTGAGTAGCTTCTGCCTGTGGCTCTACTTCAAGGACTGAGGGGAGAATGAATGGATAGGCTTGCTTCTTCATGGAAAAATCATCCCTGCCCTTGGAGCTTTGGTTTTCATATGTTTTCTGGAGTAGTTCTGGAATTGAATTTGCACCCAAAGAAAAAAATCTAGAAGAGGAAATTTCCAAAATCACATTGTGCAAAGTGTTATTTATTATAGCAAGAAATAGAAACAACCCAAACAGCCAATAATAGGGATTTGGCTAAGCAGACTGTGAGTTTTAGTATATTAGGCTACAATACAGCCACCAAATGTGACTACTTCAGGAACTCTGATGGTACAAAAATATATATGGAATAATGTTAAGTGGAAAAGGCAGAAAAAAATAGTAGGTACATACTGGCTGTGTAAAATGTACATGTGTGCTTTGAAAAAGATCAGAAGACAGTTGTCCAGTTTGAAATCAAAGAGGAATTAGGCAACCAAGATGTATTTTTTGAAATTGAATGCCAACTCTGAGGCAGTTGGGGGGGTCATCCGTTGGGGAGTCCAGTTCAGCTGAAGTTTAAAAAGTGGGAGTTAGGGCATCCAATACTATTCCTTCTTTCACCATGAAGACGGAAAGGTTAAGATAGAGCTTGAACTTGAACTTGGGTCTTTTCTCTAGCAGGCTACGTTCCAAATGTGGAAAGAGAGACTTGGCCTCTGTGGGCCCACCTCACTCTGCCTCACTGCTGAGAAGTCCCCTTTCTTCTGTCTCGCAGCTGACGAAGCATTCTGTTGGAAGACTACACTTCCATTCCAGAACAGTGTGCGTTACTGTGTGGAGACCCAGTGTGAGTTCCTTCCTGAGGTTTCTTGGCACTGGCTGTGCTCCTGCGTCCCCCCACCCCGCAACCCCTGCCGTTCATCATCCAAGGTTTACACTGTAAATATCTGAATGGGGTGAAAAGAAAAACCAGACCTCCGACTTGGGGCTGGTCTGCTGGAGGCTGAGCCAAGGGTGTGTTGTTGATATAGAAGATAGTTCTCTCCTAAGAGTTTACTGAAGGAGATTATTTTTGCTGGTTCAGGTTTTCCAACTTTATTCAAGAGCCTGAAGACAGGAGGGAAGCAGGATGGGTGTGTATATGGGCTAGCAGGGAAGAGAGACTTGTTTTTCTCTTTTTTCCTGACCAGTTGCTGCCCAGCAATAGCTGCCATTTATTGAGCGCTTACTGTGTGCTGTGTGCTTTACACATGCCATCTTGTTTAACCCTCACAAGAGCTTTGCCAAGTATTACCCCCACACACACTTTACCTTTGGGGAAACAGGCTCAGAGGGGACTTAGCCAGAGTAACTTACCCAGGGAATAATGAAATCAGGATTTGCTCAACAAAAATGTATTGAGCCACCTACTCCAAGACAAGCCTCAGGCTGACATACCGGCTGTGCGGCTGTGAATAAGATCGGCTCATTGTCTTCAGCAACTTGTACCCATAAGGGTGGGTGTGACAGATAAGCAGGCAGTGATAGGACAGGGTAGTGCCTGTTCTGATGGGGAAGAGCCTAGTGCCATGGGAGGACAGAGAAGGGGGAACCCATCACAGACAGGAGCAGGAGGCAGGGAGTCAGCAAAGGCTTTCCAGAGAAAGTGATGAGCTGTATGGATCTGGAGAAAGAGTACAAGTCAGCCCAGTGAAGGAGATGGCCAATAAGCAATTCAGGCAGAGGGCATAGCCTGCCTGTTGATTAAGTATTCAAGAATTTTGCAAGCTGGTTATCAGACCATTGGTCACTTCAAATTGGGTCATGATGGAAGTGTTTATAGCAAGGAAGGGAGTTGGGAGTTCTCAGCTATAGATGTGAATGGGATTACCGTGGCAGGCTATACAGAGTGCCAGGCCGAGGACCAAGCCTTGGTAAATGCTAAGAGGCAGGCAGAGAAAGATGAGCTCACACAGGAGACTGACAGGGAGCGGTCGTCTGGCTCCACTTTCACAACCATCTCATCATTTCCAACTCTGTTACCACTGCCTTTCTTGAAGCCCATATCATCTTATATCTGGACTATCTAGTCAGATAGTCTTTACAACTTATCTCCTGGTTTCTCAAGTCTTTTTAAAAGTTCCTTATAGCTTTTCTGCTAACTGGGTAACTGGGTAAGTAAAATAATCTGGTTGGAGCAGACAGCTTATATAGAAGAGTATGGATTTTAGCATGTTCACTCCTACCACTTGCTGGCTATGTGAACTTGGGCAAGTTTCCTGGTTTTTCTGAACCTCAATTTCTTCATCTGTAAAATGGGACTAGTACTTCCTTCTGCTGCCAGGGCTCTGAGAATCCATGGAGACTACACATGTGATAAAGGGCCCAGCACAGGGCCTGGTTCACCATTGGCCAGTGGAGAGGTCGCCAAAGATTTTCCCATATGGTAGCTGGTATCCACAGGAAGGCTCATTGAGGACTCTGCAAACCTCCATCCTCAGCTGCGCACCCTCTACCTGGGCACTCCAGCTTCTCTCACTTCCCTTGTCTGCTGCTCCTGCCCCTCTCCTCCCTTCCATTCTGGCAAAATTGAACAATGGCCCCTTCCTCTACCCTCCCTGCCTCATGCTCAACCTGTTCACACTCCAGGAGCCTGAAGAATTCCTGTTCCTCACCAGCCCATCAGGGCTTCCCTCTCCTCACTCCAGCTGATCCTTGACTCTTGGCTCCTCCTAGAAACGTCCTTGGGCCATGGGCCTCCGTTCCTAACCTCGTCCTGCAGATGTACTAACTTTAGTTCCCGGAACCGGATTGAAAGGACTAGAATGAACCGCATCAAATGTTAAGGAACACAATTCAAGAACGCTGCAGCACTTTTCATGTGCTATACAACAGATTGTGCTGAGGCTGGGGGGCATAGATGCTTGTTGGCAGCAGGGTTGTTTTCCAAATCACTCCCTGATGCTTTGAAGAGGAAAAGGAAGTAAGTTAGGAGACTAGTATTCATTGAATGCCTCCTGGGTGTCTGGCCTTATGCTAGGGTGCTTCATAAATTGTGTCATTCATTGTCACAACAACCTTGTGAGATGATGATGTTATTCAAGTTGTCTGTAGTGTCCCTGCTTCCCTGTGAGCTCTGTGAGGATATGGAACACACTGTCTTCGACACTGCATCTGGCAACCTGGATGGAGTTGGAGACCATTATTCTAAGTGAAGTAACTCAGGAATGGAAAGCCAAACGTCGTATATTCTCACTCATAAGTGGAAGCTAAGCTATGAGGATGCAAAGGCATAGAATGACACAATGGACTTTGGGGATTCGGAGGAAAGGGTGGGAGGTGGGTGAGGGATAAAAGACTACATACTGGATGCAGTGTACACTGCTCTGGTGATGGGTGCACCAAAATCTCAGAAATCACCACAAAAGAACTTATTCATATAACCAAACACCACCTGTTCCCCAAAAACCTATGGAAATAAAAAAAGAAAGAAAATGGCCATTAAATAAAATAAAAAGCAAAAGAGATCCAAGAGAGAAAAATAAAAATAAAATAAAATAAAATAACAGGTGTCAACACACCTAAAAAGAAGAAGAACATGGAGTCTGTGCTCAATAAATACCGGTTGAATTGAATTGCTGACACTGTTGTGTTGAGGCAGTTTGGCCCAGGCAGGCAAATAAGCCCAGGATTTGCAGTCTTGGCCTGTGTGGCTTTGGGCAAGCTATTTCATTTTTCTGAGCCTCAGTTTCTTCATGTGTAAAATGGGAATAATGACACCTATATCCCAGGGGTTGTGAGCATGTGCAAGTGGTTTGGTAAACTCCAAGTGCTGCCCAAATTAGTGTGTGGGGTGCATCACATGCGCTCTAAGCTAGGCTTTTAGTTATCCAATTATCATCTAGGTCTGCAGTTCCCAAATGCAAATCAGCACTCATCCTTCGTAAAGTTTTTACTCTTCTGAATTAAAAAATGATGATGTAGGCCAGGCACGGTGGCTCACGCCTGTAATCCCAGCACTTTGGGAGGCCGAGGTGGGTGGATCACGAGGTCAGAAGTTCGAGACCAGCCTGACCAATATGGTGAAACCCCGTCTGTACTAAAACTACAAAAATTAGTCGGGCATGGAGGCACGCACCTGTAGTCCCAGCTACTCGGGAGGCTGAGGCAGAAGAATCGCTTGAACCTGGGAGGTGGAGGTTGCAGTGAGCCGAGATCATGCCACTGCACTCCAGCCTGGGCGACACAGCAAGACTCTGTCAAAAAAAAAAAAAATGTAGTTTTGTTTTTTTTTTTTTGAGACAAGTTCTCTGTCACACAGGCTGAAGTGCAGTGGCATGATCATGGCCACTAATTTTTGTACTTTTTTTTTGTAGAGATGGGGTTTCGCCATGTTGCCCAGGCTGGTCTCAAATTCCTGAGCTCAAGTAGTCCTCCCACCTCGGCCTCTCAAAGTGCTGGGATTACAAGCATGAGCCACCGTGCCCGGCCGATGTAGTTTTTATGAAGCCAAATTTGTTCAGTTTTTTAAATTCTAAAATTGTCATTCCAATTGTTTGATGTTAAAACATCATTTTGTTGTTTATGACATCTTGGTTTTAGTATATGGCAGTTTTTAAAATTAAAAAATGCTCTTACTTGATCAAATAAAATGTTGGCACAGCTATGCCAGATCCCCCAACAAGAAAAGTAGCATAGAGGGGCTGATAGAGAGGAACCTGGGCTGGGCGTGGGTGAGAAGGCATTTGAGGTGGGCTTCCTGAAGGCAAGGGGGCCTGAGGAGAGTTAAGAAGGGTGAATAGGAGAACATTCAGCAACAAAGGGTGGGAAAGACACAAGCTGGAGAGCTGGGCCAGGATGAGTCCAGACAACCTCTAGAAATCTGTGAAGTCTGGGCCGCCACCCAGCAGGTGAGCACCTCTGAGCTTCCCTGTGGAGTGTTAGGGTCGGGGAGTGAGCCGATTTGTCCCAGACCCGCCTGGCTCACACACGGGGATGAAAAAGTCCAGGTCACTGCATTGGACAGCCACTGAGCTCCCCCACCACAGCCCAAAGGGGTGCCTTGCGGTCCGTCCAGGCAATTGCTGCCACACTCTGCATCAAACCCCCAACTCCCCGTCTGACTTTGCCTATCCTCCACCTCCTCTCCTACTCTGGCAGCTTCAGTAAAGCAGGAATCACTCAGCTCTGTGTGTGGGAAAGCACAGAGCCCACAGCGCAAACATACAGGCTCATCGGAAACTCGAAATCCCCCCTCTGCCTTCCACATACCAAGCCACACACAAGGAGTGGCAGTGGGGTAGAGGCTGGTTCCTTTCTCCAGAATGCCACAGGGCTGGCCTGAGGTTGTGGTGGGGGAAGCACTTCCCCCTGGCCAGCTGTATGACCTCTGGATTCCCCAGACCACACGGTTGGCAGCAGGAGGCCCCTGGCGGCTGGGAGCGCCAGACCCATCCGCTGGGGCAGAGAGTATGACCACCTGAGCATGCGCTTTCGCATTCCAAGTGGTGGGTCTGGATTATCCATTTCTTGGTTTTCTCCAGACCTCTGCTCCATCCATCAGAGTATTTTTTTTTCCACCTGGAATCCTTTGGCCAGTGGGTGCAGCCATAAGTTTGTCCAGCCAGGGGCATACGCCAGGTGCCTGCCGAGCTGTCCATCTGGCCCAGGCAAGAGGCAAAGGATAACTTCCAGAAAAAGAGAAAGCCCATGAGGGCAGGGCAGAAGGCAAGGCTAAGGAGTGGAAGTAACAGTCCCAATGCCCAGCCCAAAGACCTAAGCCTGGCCAACAATACTCGGCAGGCATCCCTCGCTCCCTGTTTAGGGCAGGTTGCCATGGTATTTTGCCTGCTGGTGCACTGGGACTGGAAAAAAAGCAGAGTGAGCCTGAGGGTGGAGGATTGGGAGGATGGTTAATAATGGGAGGAGAGCTGGACTTTTTGCCCCAGTTCTAGCTGGAGTTTGCTTCAGCAGCAGAGTATTGTGGCTGTTTCAGGGAGAAGCCCTTGTGCCTTTATGACCCCAGGGATTCCTGCTGCTATAAGTGCCCAAGAATGGCATATGCCTTACAAGCTGCCCAAGGGCCGGGCATCTATGCCATGGCTCTGCTCCCACTTGTGACATGGTGGGTCTTTCTTATGGCTTGTAAACTCTCCCCATCCCTGTGGCTGGACTTAGACAGCTCTGTTTATCATTCTCACACTGAACCAACTAGCCATTTCTGTGGGTGGGTGTCAGTCACACCCTACTGATTTCTGGTATATCCTGACATTGAGTAGCAGCCTGTAGCTGTGATGGGGAGAAAGGTTAATGCTCATTTTGACAGAAGCATTAGAGTTAAGTCCAAACTCCCGGGCTTGGCATTCAAAGACTTCAACAATTAATCTTCTATAATGCTCAACATTCCAATGCCACATATTTGGACCCCAAAATACAAAATACACACACACACACACACACACACACACACACACAAATACCTGGCATCATGTTGAAAAAAAATAGTGGATAGAACCTTTTCAGTTTTCATTTGTGTGTTTGCCATCTCACAGTTACAGGTATGGTGTCAAATTTTATTTGCAAATTGACAATCTCCAACTCTGTGTGTCTAAATATATTTGGATTATCAGTACTTGATATAGTGATTGGTGTCTCTGTGTTTATGTGTCCAAGTCTTACCTGCACTGACAGGCCAGGCAAACTAATTTGTTCTCCCTAAGATTTTAGACATAAAGCTAACATAAAGCTTTGCTATAAGAAATAGGTTGAGGAGAATCAGCCAAGTCCCTGCTTTCAATTCTTCTGGATATATATCCAGAGGTAGAATTGCTGGATTATATGGTAATCCTGTGTTTAATTTTTTCAGGAACTGCCATACTGTTTTCCCTACTGGCTGCACCATTTTGCATTCCCATCAACAATGCATAAGGGCCCAATTTCTCTGCATCCTAACCAACATTTGTTATTTCTTGTGTTTCTGGTAATGTCCAGCCTATTGGGTGCAAGGTGGTATCTTGTGGTTTTGCTTTGCATTTCCCTAATGACTAGTGATGTTGAGCCTCTTTTCATGTGGCAGGCATGTAAGTTTTTGACCTGTTGATGAAACTGCGCATTTAGTCTTGTTTTCCAAACACTCTTGGACACTGGATATGGCCATTGTTTTATAGGTTAGAATGACCTTTACTTAAAGAATGCTTTGTTGTGCAGTTACCTCTGGACTCTCCACATGCTTTGAAGGCTGCAACCTTACAGCCAGTCAGCCCTGTGGCTTCTCTATACTCTCTGCCCCTCACTGTAGACTTGGCTTTCCATAAGCCCTAAGATTTCTTCGATTCTCTGTTTTCTGTTGTATTTAACCCTTATAGTCCCACCCTGCTGTGATAGCCAGCCAGCCATCCTGAAGAGGAAAAGATTCAGGGAATGGAGAAGAGGGGAAAAGGAAGGAGGTGACAGATTTCTCTGAACCCATTATCTGGTCAAAAGAGTAAGTGAATCTGGTCCTCCTTCTATGCAAAAACAAAACCAAAAACACCCTATTTTGTCTGTCTATCAAGCAGTTCTATGCCTTCTTAGAAACTTGCCTATTCTCCAATATGGGTTGAAGTATAGAAAATGTAGCTATGAGAGGGCAAGTGTCAAAATGCCTGGATTTGTCACTAAAAATGCTATCTAGGGATTTCCTTTACTGATTGATCTCTTAGTGAGTGTAAAGAGCCAGTGAACCTCATGGAAAACAAAAGTAAGAACAAAAAGGAAGCCCCTCCAAGTTCTTAGCATTACAGTAGGAGTGTTTACAGTTGGAGAAGGGATGCTGTCTTAGTCAGCTTGGGCAGCTATAACAAAATGCCATAGACTAGGTAATTTATAATGAATAGAAACTTATTTTTCACAGATCTGGAGGCTGGAAAGTCCAAGATAAGGCGCCAGCAAATTTGGTGTCTGATGAGTACCTGTTCCTCATAGATAGCACCTTCTACGTGTCCTCATGTGGGAGAAGGGGTAAACAGGCTCCCTTCCCTCAAGCTTCTTCTATAAGGGTACTAATCCCATTCATGAGAGCTGAGCCCTCATGACCTAATCATCTCCTAAAGGCCTCACCTCTTAATACTATCACATTGGGTATTGGGTTCCAACATACGAATTTTGGGGGGCTACCAATGTTCAGAGCATAGCAGACACGTGTCTTCAGTTTCACCTTCCTGTTGGGGTCCTCTCCCTGATCCCCACTGTCCACACTATACCAGGTGGCCTGGGTTAACCCACCTGGGGACCAGATCCACATTCTTCTCCTTTGGACTCCTGAGATATCTTGCATTCTCATCAGGAAATTTGTCAAATACTACAGGACAGCAAGGAGGAAATCATTGCAAAAATTACAATGAACAGCATATTAAATAGGCAGGTTTCCTGAGTGTAAGTTTTGGGTCCAACAGTGAATGCAGTCTGAACCACCAAGAGCCAGGGCATCGTGGCTGGTCCCTTGCCTGACGTCCTTCTGGCCCAGCTCCCAGCCTGTCTCTGGGGAGTGGGTGCCATCTAACTCTCCACTGTCTAGGAGAAGTTTCCAGGATAAGACCAGAAGAGACCATATTCCAAATTAGCTGTTCATTTGGGCCCTCTGGCTCTAAACCTGGATCCCTGTTTGGGAAGTAGCTGTGCCTCCCTGTATACATCCTCAAGGCAAATGGTCTTGTTTTCTAGAGCTGGCTTCCCAAGGTAGACCTGTGTCCCCCAGAGAGTGGGAGTCCATCTCGTGCTTTTGGATGGGACACGAATTAGTATTATGTTTTTAATAGCAATGTGTTTACTTTCGTAGTTTCCTTCTATTTAAGTCATGTGGTAGTGGTTTTCCATTTACATCAATGAGTCACAGATTTTTTAAGTAAAAGAGTAAGAAATTGAAAAAAAATTAACTAAATAATAGTTAAGGGGGTATGTGGATGTGACAAAAATTGTGAAGGTAGCCCCCAAGTGACTGAAGATTGGGACATACTTCCTTAGAGTGACTTGCCTCTCTAAAAATAACCTTTTAAGAGACAGTTGCCAGGAGGACTGTGTGAAAGAATTACCAACTTTGGGTTCCAGGGATCTTTCCCTTTCTGGATCTCTGATGCTCTCTGGTGAGAGCAAGGAAAGCCTAGAATATAATTTTCTCTCCCCTTTGAATAGTTCTACTAATAGGCTCCTCTGTGAGCACAGATAAAGGGGCCATTGACCATATTTTATTTCTTCATTAGCTTCCTGTAATGCTTTCCTTGCTGAAATTCAAGGCAGAAATGGTGTGCCTAAACCTCAGATTACTCTTCTTCAGAAGAATCTCTTCAGCTCAATAGTTTACCTTCTATCCCCAGCCTGCACCTTCGAGAAAGAGGATTTTTCAAATCTTTTCTCGTTTTGCTCCTCACTCTCCCAGCACATATTTTCCAGAAGCATTACATGGGAAGCATTCATAAACATTTTTTGCACTGAAGAAATCTGCACTAAGCTTGACTTCTGCTTATAAAACTACTCCTTGCTCCATTATGTTACAGGCATTCCCTGGGGGGCTGTCCCTGGCATGCTAGGAAGGGACTGAGGCATCTGGCGTTTATCTAGTCCCTGAGCCAGGCACTACATGAGCCAGGAGCTACACTAGGCCTTCTATTTGTTTGAATTCTGGCTGAATTCTCAAACCAGCCCAGTAGGTGTCATTTGACATCTGAGGAAACTGAGCTCAGAGAAGCTCAGTAACTTGCCCACCATCACACAGCAAGGAAGGGGCAGAAGCCAGGAGGACTTGCCCCCGGTTTCCTGACTCTCATGCACTGTGCACTGCCTCTGTGGGGGCTTGCTCTTTTCTGCCTGGCGTGTGCTGCTGCGCTGCTGTTTGGACAACTAGCAAAAGGTCTCAACACAGGGGCTTTCTCTTTTGCCTGCAACAACAATGAGCTCAAGGGGAAAACAGATTGATTAAAGCTGATTTTGCCCTAGTGAGAAACTGGCCAGAGCATCTCTGGAGGGCCTCGGGCTGGGCCCAGTTGGCTGTCAGGATGTGGCCTGGAGCCTCACTTCCCTTCCTGGCTCTCCCTTTATCTTCTACACTCTCCCATTGCCTTCTGCGCCCTGACCCTGCTGCCCTTCCATGGGAGCTGAAAAGCAAGCTGCTCAGAAGGAAATGGCTTTTGTTATTTAACCTGAATAAGTGTCACCATGTGCCTTCTCTGGAAATCTACTCATGGCTGAAGAGGGGGACCAGGGTTACCCTAGTGTCCTTTGTTTTGTTAGGGGCCTAAAGCAGAAGCAAAGGCAACCCTCATGTATACCACTGCTTTTGTCCCCACTTCCTTTCCAAACACTGATCTTAACCCTATTCCCCTAAAACATAGCTGATAAATGATAAATATTCAGGCCCTTGCCTGGCATTGCAAGCTACAAACAAGCTGGTCTCAAGCAGCCTTTCCAGTCTTGTGACCCACCACTTCCTTATACAATCCTCACTTTCCTGGTGGCCAGAATACCCACCATGCCCTAAACGCTCCTGGCTTTCTGGCCTCCTTGTTCCTCCCACCTCTGCCTATTAAGCAACTTCGTGAAGTAGGAACGAGCTCACATCCGAAGCGCCGGAGAGAGTGGCATGCCTACCAGCCTCATCTTCTATGTGCTTCAGTTTCCTTCTCTCTCGAATGTGCCTGATGGTGTAGCCCACTTACCTTGTCAAATGGTTGTGATGAGATTGAATGCTATGAAAAACCCTTAGTAAAATGTGAAACACCATCCAAATGCTGTTTTGTATTGGTAAAGGAAAATGACCCATCCTTTAGGGCTCAGCTCAATGGCACCTCCCCCGTGAAGTCTCCCCTGATTCCCTGGAGAGAGTGATCACTCTCTCTTTGTGCAGTGCTGTAGCACTTGGTGGTTCTTGGTGGTATGCATCACTTTTTGCCCAGCACGAGAGTTATTTGTGTCCAAGTTTGCCTATTCTGTCTTCAAGGCCGGGAGTTTATGTGGAGGGCAGAGAAGTGCTTAGGCATCTTTGTTTCCCACTAGGCCTAGCCCACACGTCTCAAAAAGCACTTATTGAACTGGGGAGGCAAAAAACAAAGTCAATTCTTTGACCTGGAAGCTCATCTGAGTCCATGTATGTCTCCTCTGGGAGCTGTGAGAGGAGGGAAAATGACAGAGGATGGGGTGGGGAGGGTAGGATGGCTGTAGAGGGAAGTGATGGGAAGCTTTCGAATGACTTAAATTGACTTTTTTTTTTTTTTAGTTTTCATTCAATTCTGACCACATGTTTCCCATGAATCCTTAGGGAGAAGGAAGTCAGAAAGTTAGTCCTTCGCCTCTCCCTGGCTCGCCCTGGAGTACCACATGGATGAGCCAAAGAGCAGGACAGCCTGAGGAACTTGCCTCGTGGGCCTCACGCTCTGTAGCAACTCAGAGGCAGAGAGAAGCTCCTGGGAGGCCCCATATGTGACAGCTTCTAAGGAAGCTGCTTGTGGTGCATCCATGAAACAGGGTGGAACAACTGCTGATTTTGAACAACAAAGCTACTTGGAGGCCACATTAGACTCAGACCCTGCTCAACATTTGGGTTCTCCCCACCCCGCTCTTCTTTTACATTATTGAGGTAAAATTGGCATTCACTAAATGGCACATATTTGAAGTATACAGGTTGATGAGTTTGATCATATGTATGCACCTGTGAAACCATTACTACAATCAAGATAATGAATATTTCCATCACCCCTAAAAGTTTCCCCTTATTGATCACCTTTAATCTTTCTTCATAGCCTAAGTAAGGGAAGAACATGGTTTTATTGTTGATGGGTTATTCTTATGTTAGAAAACTATCAGGAGCAGTGGCCTTGGGGACCTGAGTCCAACTTAACCCTCTGTGAGCCTCAGTTTGTCCATCAATAAAATGGGATAGTTGGACAAAAAAATTGCTAAGGTTTCCTGTCAGTCTGAGTGACAGGACCTTTCTATGATACAACCTTTCTAAACAGCAATTTTTAAAAAACATAAAAGAAGTGTAATCTACTTTGCTTTCTCATGCCCCCAAGTTACATTCTGGCAGGGTCATGGCTGATGGTCAGAGTGATGTCGGGTTCTGAGGGTTCTGGGTGGATTATTAACTACATTTTACAGATGAGAAAACAGGCTAAGAAAGAAGAGAAGATCGGCTCAAAGTTACACAGCCAACACGTAACTGAGCTGGGATGCAAATCCAGCAGTGACTCCTAATCTAATGTTCTTTGCACTGCCCCACACTCCATTCCCAAGAATACAGGCCTAGTTCCATGTTGCTGTCATGACTAAGGGTCCTTGCATCCAACAGATAGTTCTACTTTCCTCCTGGTTTAATCTGGGGACCATAGTTCACCTCCTCAGATCTCTGGTAGGTAAGGAGGCAAGAGAGGAGGCTCCCCTGCCCTCCTAAATCAGACCAAATCAGGCCACAGAACAGGAGTCTTAAGTTTTCTTAGACTGGAGGTTTCCAGAAAGCAGACGCTCTCTGGGCATGTAATTCATTGTATTCAGCCTCCTAGTACCAGGTACGGACAAATGTTCAGTAAACCCCATGGCGGGAACACAAGGTCAGCAGGACAGGATAGAAATCTTGGGATTAGGAGGGACCTCTACCTGGCACTTTGCCTCATGTTTGCCCTGGGGTACAATCCCCCAAGGGGACCTGTTATGGGCTGGGGTTGGGGCAGTGCTGGGCTGAGCTGAGTTGCACACAGTCATTATGGTGTGAGCACGTGCCCCAACAGTGCAGTGGCACGATCTCGGCTCACTGCGAGCTCCGCCTCCCGGGTTCACGCCATTCTCCTGCCTCAGCCTCCTGAGTAGCTGGGACTACAGGTGCCCACCACCGTGCTCAGCTAATTTTTTGTATTTTTAGTAGAGATGGGGTTTCACCGTGTTAGCCAGGATGGTCTCGATCTCCTGACCTCGTGATCCGCCTGACTTGGCCTCCCAAAGTGCTGGGATTACAGGTGTGAGCCACAACAGCTGCATCTTTTATAACTCCCTGGAGGAAGGGAGGGGGGCCAGTTACTTTCCCTGCCCTTTTTTTCAGACCCCCAGTCGGCCTACTGTGCCTCAGCGTAAGGTAGGAAAGAGTGCCTCCATGGGGAATTTGTGGTGGTAGCAGGGTTCTGAGCAGACCCAGGGTGTTTACTCCCTGAGTACTCAGGAAGTACCCAGAGTAGGTGCTCAGTAAATATCTGCTGACTGACTGAATGAACTCTAACTCCATGTCAAGCACTGTAGGGGGTACAACGATGAATTGGCCTCCATCCCTGACTGTAGCAGAGAAAGAGGGATAAGACAAGCACATAAATAACTGTTACACACGACAGAATGTGATAAATGCCTTGGGAGATGAACAGCCAATTGCTCAAAGAGCTTGGAGGAGGGACGCTCACATCTGGCAATGGTGGGGGGAAGGGACTCTAGAGAAAACTTCCTGCTTGAGGTGACATTCGAGCTGGTTTTGAATAGGGACGGGGTTTCTACAGTGGCTCAGGAATGTTTGTGTGGTGGGGGTGGGGAGTCAAGGCAGGCTGCATTCCAGGCCCCAGCAGCAGACTTAGGGCCAGAAGTCTCCCTTAGTATATCCTCAGAGAGCACAGAGAACTGCAAATCAGTGATAGTCCTAGAGCCTCACTATAACTGCGTGTTTTCAACCTCCATCCCACCATGCCTTGATTTGAGACCCCCTACAAGTGGCCAAATGGACTTAGCTGGGCTGCTTGCTGGCTCATGGGCTAGCTAGCCCAAACCAGAAGTGAGAGCCAGTCCTGGTGGCCTTGCAGACATTTCCTCATGAAAGCCTTTCTTCCCAGCTCAGCTCTTATCTGGGAACAATAAAGGTCCTCAACTCTGGGAGAAGGCCATGCAGGGAACAATAGTTTCTGGCTCACTTCATCCATCATTCATGTGGCTCAGATAGACCATTGCTGAGCAGCAGTGGGGACGAGTTGGGGGAGGGGGAGGGCACATTATTTTGCATGAGATTGTTCATTGGGCTGCCCCAAAACTACACAGTGGGGAATTGGGTAGCGACATTCCTGGGTGTGCTATACATAGGCATGAGCCTGGGCATATAATCCAGCCCTTTCTCTTCTCTCTGCCTCTTTGTTTCCTAATTTCTGTCCAGAGGCAGTTGGTTGCTGTTAACTGGTAAACTGAATGGTTTCACTGGACATGGGACAAGATATTGGATTCATTTCAGCAGATATTTTCAAATATATTATCTCATTGAATCTTCAAAACAATTTTATAAGTTGGAATTATTATTTTCACTTTACAGATGAGGAAACTGAGGGCCAGAGAAGTTAAGCAACTGCCAAGGATGCAGATAGGAAGGTGAAATTGGATATCAGGACTCCTAACTGCAAGTGACCTCAGCTGTACAGTCTGAAGGCTGGCAGTTACAAATTAGTTGCAAACGATCCAGGGACTGAACAAAGGAGAAAAAAGGGGAAATGCGAGAGTTAGGCAGCTACCAGTTAGGCAACCTATTCTCCTTGTGCCACCATGAAGAATAAGTTGATCAAGGGTGGAAAAGAAAACTCAGGGCTTCAATTCCAGTATGGAGGGGTCTAGAAGTCTCCAGAGGATAGGAAAGAGGATGGAGATGGAGCCCCCACTCATCTGGCTCTTGCCTGCCCAGGGTGCTACAGCGATGCAGCCACAGCCTGTCGGCTCTGTTCACCTCTTTAAGGTTGATGTCAGCCAAAGGCAGCCCCCAGAGAGGGACCACTTATCCTGAACAAATTTATCGTATGAATATTTGTTAATGTATACAACAGTAAGAGTCTTACTAGTATATTTCTGAAACAGATTTATACCAAAAATTAGTCTGGTTTTAATTAAAGTATTTTAACAGCTTTTTAAAAAAGATGTAATTTAAATACCACAAAGTTCACCCATTTAAAGTGTACAATTTAATGGTTTTTATTATATTTAAAGAATTGTGCAATCATCACTACAATCAATTTTAAAGATTTTCAGCTTCAAACCCCCAAATCAATATTGTACCCTCAAGCTGTGACCCCCCAATCCCTCAGCCTCTCTTACTCCTCCACTCCCCAGTACTAGGAAACGTCTAATCTACTTTTTGTCTCTAGAGATTTACCTACTCTGGACATTTCATATAAACGATATTATATGTCTTCTTTTTAAAATAGCTTCTTTTACTTAACATACGGTTTTTTGAGATTTATCCATGTTGTAAGATGTATCAATATATCATTCTCTTTTTTTTGTGGAAAGATATTCAATTATATGGATATACCATGTTTTGTTTACCCATTCATCAGTTGATAGACCTTTACATTGACAAGTATTTTTGCGGAGCCTAGGAGTGGAATTTCTGGGTCATATGCTAACTCTATGTTTAACCTTTTGAGGAACTGCCAGACTGTTTTCCAAAGTGGCTATACCATCTCTCCACATCCTCATCAATACTTGTTCTGCAATGTTGTCTTGCTTATAACCATCCCAGTGAGTGTGAAGTGGTATCTCATTATACTTTTAATTTGCATTTCCTTAATGACTCATGATGTTAAACATCTTTTGATGTGTTAGTTGGCACTTTGTATATTTTCTTTGGAGAAATATCTTTTCAAATCCTTTGCCCATTTGTAATTGGGTGATTTGTCTTTTTATTGTTGAGTTATAATTATTCTTGATATATTCTGGATACTAGGCCCTTATCAGATATCTGATTTACAAATATTTTCTCCCATTCTGAGTTGTCCTTTCACTCTCTTGATATTATCTACTAATGCTCAAAAGTTTTTAATTTTTATGAAGTCAAATTTATAGCTACTATGTATTTCTTTTGTTGCTTATGCTTTTTACTTCTTTTGTTGCTTATGCTTTTGGTATTATATCTAAGAAAGCATTGCCAAATCCAAGATCATGATGATTGACTCCTATATTTTCTTCTAAGAAATTTATTGGTTTAGTTCTTACGTTTTGGTCTTTGATCCATTTCTCTTTTATTAGGGTAGGAATCCAACTTTATCCTTTTGCATGTGGCTATCCAGTTGTCCCAGCACCATTTGTTGAAGAGACTGTTCTTTTCCCATTGAATGGTGTTGACACTCTTGTAGAAAATCAATTTTCTGTAGATGCATGGGTTTATTTCTTCACTGTCCAATTTATTCCATTTGTTTATGTCTTTCTTTATGCCAGTACCATATGGTTTTGATTACTGTAGCTTTGTAGTATAACTAGAAATCTGGAAGTGTGTGTCTTCCAACTGTGCTCTTCTTTTCTAAGAGTAATTTGTCTATTTGGGGTCTGTTGGAAGACCATGTGAATTTTAGAATTGGCTCTTCCATTTATGCAAAAAGGGATATTGGGATTTTAATGGGAATTGCATTAAATTTGTAGATTGTTTTCGGTAGTATTGACATCTTAACAATACTAAGTCTTCCAGTCCATGAACTTAGACTGTATTTCTGTTTATTTATTTAGGCTTCTTTAATTTATTTCAGCATTGTTTTGTAATTTTCAGTGTATGAATCTTGTACCTCCTTGGTTAAACTTATTCATAAGTATTTTATTCTTTTTGATGCTATTGTAAGTGGAATTGTTTTCTTAATGTCATTTTTGATTGTTTATTGATAATGTATAGAAGTACAACTGATTTTAACATATTGATCTTGTACCCTGCAACTTTGCTGAATTCATTTATTAGCTCAATAGTTTTTCTAGGATTTTGTATATATAAGATCATGTCATATGTGAATAGAGATAGTTTTACTATTTCTTCCTTAACTATGTGAATGAATTTTTCCTTCCTTCTGTTCTTCTTTCCTTTCTTCTGTACTTTCTTCCTCCCTCCCTCCCTCCCTCTCTCCCTCCCTTCCTCCCTTCCTTCCTCCCGCCCTCCCTTCCTTTCTTTATTCCTTGTTTTTCATTTATTTTATTTTTGCCTGAATGCTCTGTCTAGACGTTCCAATACAGTATTGAATAGAAGTGTCAAGAGAGGGCATCCTTGTTTTGTTCCTGATTTAAGGAGGAAAGCTTTCAGTCTTTTACCATTGAATACGATGTTAGCTTTGGGTAGGTTTTTATTTTATGCCTCTTACCGTGTTTTTTGTTTGATTTTTGTTTTTGAGACAGAGGCTCACTATGTTGCCCAGGCTGGAGTGCGGTGCCACGATGATCTCAGCTCACTACAACCTCCGCCTCCTGAGTTCAAGCGATTCTCATGCCTCTGCCTCCCGAGTAGCTGAGATTACAGGCATGCACCACCATGTCCAGCTAATTTTTGTATTTTTAGTAGAGACAAGATTTTGCCATGGTGGCCAGGCTGGTCTCGAACTCCTGGCCTTAAGTGATCTGCCTGCCTCAGCCTTCCAAAATGCTGGGATTACAGGCATGAGCCAGTGTGCCCGGCCATTTATCCTGTTTTGAAAATTCCCTTGTTTTCCTCATTTGCTGAGTGTTTTATTATGAAAGGTGTGAATTTTGTTTTTTGTTTGTTTTGCTTCATTTTCAAATGATCATGTGGTCTTTTTCCTTTATTTTATTAATATGACATATTTCAGTGATTGATTTTCATATGTTAAACCACCCTTACTTTCCTGGGATAAATCCTAATTGGCCATGGCATATATTCTTTTAATATGCTGCTATTGAATTCAGCCTGCTAATTTTTTCTTGAGAATTTTTACATTTATATAAGGGATATTGATCTGTAGTTCCTTTTCTTGTGATATCTTTGGCTTTGATATCAGGGCAATGCTGCCCTCAGAGAATAAGTTAGGAAGTGTTCCCTCCTCTTCAATATTCTGAAGAGTTTCAGAAGAATTGGTATCAATTATTCCTTAGATATTTTGTAGAATTCACCAGTGTAGCCATCTGATCTTGGACTTTTCTTTATTGGGAGATTTTTTTATTACTGATTCAATGTCTTTATTTGTTATAGGTCTATTCAGATTTTCTATATCTTGAGTTCATTTTGGTAGTGTTTTTGTTTCTAGGAACTTGGTTCTCTTATAATTTTTTTAAAATTTCTGTAAGGTTGGTAGCAATGTCCCCACTTTCATCTCTTTCCTTTTTTTTTTTTTTTTTTTTGAGACCAGATCTCACTCTGTCACCCAAGCTAGAGTGCAGTGACACCATGATAGCTCACTGCACACTCGATCTCTTGGGCTTAGACAGTCTTGTTGCCTCAGTCTTCTGAGTAGCTGGGACTACAGGCATGTGCCACTATGCCTGGCTAATTTTTTTTTTATTTAATTTTTTGTAGAGACCAGGTCTTGCTATGTTGCTGAGGCTGGTCTCTAACTCCTGGCCTCAAGTGATCCTCCTGCCTCAGCCTCTCAAAGCATTGGGATTACAAGCATGAGCCACCATGCCCATCCCCTACTTGCATTTCTGATTTTAGTAACTTGTGTCTTCTCTTTTTTTTTCCTTGGTCAGTCTAGCTAGAGATTTGTCAATTTTGTTAATCTTGTCAAATAACCAACTGTCAAGTCATTGATTTCCTCCATTTTTTTCTATTCTCTACTTCATTTACCTCTACTCTTTGTTACTTCCTTCCTTCTGCTAGTTTTGAGTTTAGTTTCCTCTTATTTTTCTGGCGTCTTGAGGTGTAAAGTTGATCTTCTCCCTGGTTCTGTCCATTATTGAAAGTGGTAAATTAATCTGTTTATGGTAAGCCCTAGAGCAACAGTTAATATGTAAATAATATAGTAAAATATTTATTTTTATTATTCAAAATAATTTTAAAAATCAAAGTGCTATGATAGAAAACATTCACTTAATGCAAGGAAAGCATAAAGGAGGAATAGAGAATAAAAAGCTATGAGACATATAAAAACAAAAAATAAAATGGCAAATGTAAACTCAATTATATCAATAGTAATCATGATATTAAATATAAATGAATTAAACAATCCAATCAAGAGGTAGAGATTGTCACACAGGATCCAAAAAACAGTGTAACAGTATAACTACATGCTGTCTCTAGGAGACACTCTTTAAATTCAAAGATACAAATAGATTGAAAGTAAAAGGATGGAAAAAGATATGTCATGCAAACAGCAACCTCAAGAAAGGTGGAATGGACCAGGTGCAGTGGCTCACACTTGCAATTCCAGCACTTTGGGAGGCCGAGGTGGGAGGATCACTTGAAACCAGGAGTTTGAGACCAACTTGGGCAACATGGGGAGACCCCAGCTCTACAAAAAATAAAAAATTAGCCAGGCATGGTTGCACACTCCTATAGTCCAAGCTATTTGGGAGGCTGAGGTAGGAGGATCACTTGAGCCCAGAAGGTTGAGGCTGCAGTGAGCCATGATCATGCCACTGCACTCTAGCCTGGGCAACAGAGTGAGACCTTGTCTCTAAAAAGAAAGAGAAAGGTGGAGTGGCTATATATATACACATATATATATACATATATATATATATATATGTATATACATATATATATGTATATATATATATGTGTATATATATATATATGTATATATATATATGTGTATATATATATTATTATTATTATACTTTAAGTTCTGGGTTACATGTGCAGAACATGCAGTTTTGTTACATAGGTATACACATGCCATGGTGGTTTGCTGCACCCATCAACCCATCACCTACATTAGTTATTTCTCCTAATGTTATCCCTCCCCTAGCCCCCCACCCCCAACAGGCCCTGGTGTGTGATGTTCCCCTCCCTGTGTCCATGTGTTCTCATTGTTCAACTCCCACTTATGAGTGGGAACATGCAGTGTTTGGTTTTCTGATCTTGTGATAGTTTGCTGAGAATGATGGTTTCCAGCTTCATCCATGTCCCTGCAAAGGACATGAACTCATCCTTTTTTATGGCTGCATAGTATTCCATGGTGTATATGTGCCACATTTTCTTAAAACCCAAAATCCTGTGTTTTGACAGGGCTCTCTTTGACTGAACACAGCCAGCTGTTAAACCCCACTAATTGCTGGCTGATTGTTCTATTGTTTTCAAAAATCCTTAAGGGCCTAAATTGTTCCAAAAACTGGTCCAATCAAATTCTGGCACCTTTGAAGCATAGTTCCCTAGATCAGTATTTGAGATTTGTTCTGATACCAGGAGGGCTCTTCTCAGCTGTCTCTTCTCTGTTTCTCTCCAGTGAACTAGCCAGCTTACAGTTAAGCCTGTATCTCCAATGAATATATTATTCTCCTACCAATTACCTTTTGCCACAGTCTCCACTGTTTTTGAGAACATCTCCAAACTCTTACATCTTTCATTCTCTTGATGGTGTCTTTCACAGAACAGAATTTTTAATTTTAATGAGTCCAGTTTATTAACTATTTTTTTTCATGGATTGTGCCTTTGGTGTTGTATCTAAAAAGTCATTGCAATGTAAGTTCATAAATTTTAACAAATGTACCACTCTGGTGCAGGATGTTGATAGTGGAGGAGATTGGTTGCATGTATATGGAGACAGGGAGTGTAGGAGGTATATGGAAACTCTGTACTTTCTACTCAATTTTTCTATGAACCTAAAACTGCTCTAAAAAAATTTTATTAATTTAAGAAAAGTTTAAATCCCTAGATGAAGATAAGGTGTCAAAATTACAAATAGACTAATAATCGAAGTTTTCAAAAAGCCATCACCATACACCAGGTCATTTACATGTTCTCTCTCGTGTTATTGTCTGGGAGTTTTATAGTTTTGCATTTTACATTTAGGTCTGTGATCCATTTTGAGTTAACTTTTGTAAAGAGTATAAAGTCAATGTCTAGATCTATTTCTTTTGCATGTGGATGTCCACTTGCTCCTGCAACATTTGTTGAAAAGACTATTTTTGCTCCATTGTTTTACCTTTGCTATTTTGTCAAAGATCAGTTGAGTATATGAGAGTATATTTCTGTGCCTTTTATTCTGTTCCATTGATCTACTTGTCTGTTCATTTACCAATAACACACTGTTTTGATTCCTGCAGCTTTATAGTAAGTCTCAAGGTTGGGCAGTGTAAGTCCTTCAACTCTTCTTCTCCTTCAATATTGAGGCGGTTATTCCATGTCTTTTACCTCTCCATATAAACTTTAGAATCAGTTTGTTGATATCCACAAAATAACTTGCTGGGATTTTGATTGGAATTGTATTGAATCCATAGATCAAGTTGGGAAGAACTGACATCTTGACAATGTTGAGTTTTACTATTCATGAACGTAGACTATCTCCCCATTTATTTAGTTATTTGATTTCTTTCATCATAGTTTTGTAGTTTTCCTCACACAGATCTTGTACAGATGATATTAGATTTATACCAAAATATTTCATTTTCTGTGAATGCTAATATAAACAGTAATTTTTAAAAACACTTTATTGATGTATGACATACAAAAAGCTGTGCATATTTAATACACGCAACTTGATGAGTTTGAGATAAATATACACCAAACATATGGAATGCTTCGCAAATTTGCATGTCATCCTTGCACAGAGGCCATGCTAATCTTCTCTGTATTGTTTCAATTTTAGTATATGTGCTACTGAAGCAAACATAATACTAATGAATTTTTAATTTCAAATTCCACTTGTTCATTGCTGGTATATAGCACCGCAATTGACTTTGTATATTAACCTTGTGTCCTGCAACCTTGTATAATTGCT
The DNA here is from genome assembly GCF_000001405.40 of Homo sapiens. Lineage (NCBI taxonomy): Eukaryota > Metazoa > Chordata > Mammalia > Primates > Hominidae > Homo > Homo sapiens. The sequence continues at coordinate 71,966,187 of NC_000023.11, forward strand.
TATTAGTTCTAGGAGTTTATTTATTGATTCTTTCAGATTTTCTGCATAGATGATCATGTCATCTGTGAACACAGACAGTTTTATTTCTTCCTTCCCAATCTATTTACCTTTTATTTCTCATTGCATTACCTAGGCCTTCCAGTAAAATGTTGAGAAGCAAGTGGTGAGAGGGGACATCCTTGCCTTGTTCTTTGGGAAAGTTTCAAATTTCTCACCATTAAGTATGATGTTAGCCATAGGTTTTGTGTAGATGCTCTTTATAAAGTTGAGGATATCCTTTCTATTTCTAGTTTGCTAAGAGTTTTTATCATGAATGAGTGCTGGCATTTTTGTCAAAAGCTTTTTCTGCATCTATAGATACAATCGCTATTTTTCTTTACTAGCCTATTGATGTGATTGATTACATTATTTGATTCTTGAATCTTGAACCAGCCTTTCATGCCTGGGGTAAATCCCACTTGGTTGTGATGTATAATTATTTTTATACATTGCTGGATTCAATTTGCTAATATTTTGTCGAGGATTTTTGCATCTATATTTATGAGAAATATTGGTCTGTGGTTTTCTTTTCTCGTTATGACTTCATCTGATTTTGGTCTTTGGGTAATGCTGGCTTCACAGAATGAGTTAGGAAGTGTTCCTTCTGCTTCTATCTTCTAAACCAGATTGTAGAGAATTGGTATAAATTTTCCTTAAATGTTTGACAGATTTCACCAGTGAACCCATCTGAACTTGGTGCTTTCTGTTTTGAAAGGTTATTAATTACTGATTTAATTTATTTAATAGATATATGACTATTCAGATTATCAATTTCTTTTTGTGTAAGCTTTGGCAAACTGTGTCATTCAAGGAATTGGTTCATTTCATCTAGTCTATTGAATTTGTGGGCATAGAGTTGTTCTTTGTATTCTTTTATTATTCTTTTGGTGTCCATGGAATTTGTACTGATGTTCCCCCCTCTTTCATTTGTAATATTAGTCATTTGTGTTCTCTTTTTTTCTTAGCCTAGCTAGAGGCTTATTGATTTTATTGATCTTTTAAAAGAAGCAGCTTTTGGTTTTGTTGATTTTTTCTCCAATGATTTTCTGCTTTTGGTTTCATTGATTTCTGCCCTAATTTTTATTTCTTTTCTTCTGCTTACTTTGGGTTTAGTTCGCTTTTTCTTCTATTTTCCAAAGGTGGAAGCTTAGGTTTTTCTTCTTTTCTAATATATACATTCTTCATTTCTAATATGTACATGCTATAAATTTCCTTCTAAGCACTGCTTTTGCTGCATCCCTCAAATTTTGATATATTTTCATTTTCATTTAGTTCAATATATTTTGTATTTCTCTTGAGATTTTTTCTTTGATCCATGTTTTATTTAGAAATATATTGTTTAATCTCCAAGTATTTCAGGATTTTCTAGACGTCTTTCTGTTATTGATTTCTATTTCAATTCCATTGTAGTCTGAGAGCAGACATTATATGATTGCTATTCCTTTAAACTTGTAAAAGTGTGTTTTATGGCCCATAAAAAAGTATTAACTGTTGTCAGATTTATCCTCACTGAGCATCCAACAATTCATCAATTACAATTCAGGTTTTCCTACTCCAGTACTGATTTCTGTTCATGAGTTTCTCTTCCCATGAGTTGTGATTCTCTGTGTTCATCTGTCTGTCTCTAATTTTGAGGGCAGAGGTTTGCCCTGTGACCTCATTTCTCTGATTAATCTAAGAAGAGGTATTGATTTTTCAGTGTGTTCAGCTTTTTACTTGTTAGGATGGGGAGCGACTTCTAAGCTGCGTGCATGTTAACCGGAAGTCAATCTTTTTTTTTTTTTTTAAGAGACAGGGTCTCTGCCCCATTGTCCAGGCTGGAGTGCAGTGGTACAATCATAGCTCATTGTAACCTCATATTCTTGGGCTCAAGCAATGTTCCTGCCTCAGCCTCCCTAGTATCTGGGACCACAGGCACACACCACCATGCCTGGCTAATTTATTTAATTTTTTGTAGAGATGGGGGTCTTACTATGTTGCACAGGCTGGTCTGGAACTCCTGGCCTCAAGCAGTCCTCCTACCTTGGCCTCCCAAAGTGCTGGGATGACAAAGAGCAGTGGCATGAGCCACTGCTCTTCACACTGTCATGCTTGAAGTGGAACCTGCCACTTCATTTCATACTGCTGAATAATATTCCATTCCATCTTATAGCTATACCACATTTTATTTATCCATTTACTAGTTGATACACATTTGTGCTGTTTCTACTTTTTGGATATTATGAATAATGCTGCAATAAATATTTATGTAATGTGAGCTCTTTCTGCCCTTTTTTGTATGGCATCCTTTGATGCACAAAAATTTTTCACCTTGATTAAGTTTAACTTGTCAATCTTTTTTTTTGCTTGTGTTTTTGGTGTCATATGTAGGAAATCATTGCCTAACCCAATATCATGCAGATTTTCTTCCATGTTTTATTCTAAGAGTTTTATAGTTTTAGCTTTTACATTTAGTCTATAATCTTCTTTAATTTTTGTGTATAATCTCAGATAGAGGTCCTACTTTATTCCTTTGCATGTGGCTATCCAGTTGTTCAGAATTATTTGTTAAAAAGACTTTTCTTTCCCCATTTAATTATCTTGATATCTTTGTCAAAAATCAGTTGACCATAATTTTAGGGTTTCTTTATCATCTCTTGCTTATTCAGTTGATCTAAATATCTAGTCTTGTGCTAGCACCATGCAGTCTTGATTATTGTAGCTTTGTGGTAAGTTTTGATATTGGAAAGTATAAATCCCCCAAGTTTGCTGTTCTTTTTCAAGAACATTTTGGCTATTCTGAGCCCCTTTCATTTCCATATGGATTGTAGGATCAGCTTGTCAACTTCTGCCAAAAAAGATAGCTGGGATTTTCACAGGGATTGTGTTGAATCTGTAGATAAATTTGGGCCATGTAGCTATCTTAACAATATTAAATTTTCTGATATATGAACATGAGATGTTTTCCCATTTATTTATATCTTTTAAGATTTTTTCAACCATGTTTTCTAGTTTTCGAAGTAAGAAATTTTTACTTCTTTTGTTAAATTTATCCCTCCTTTTTTTTTATGCTTTTGTAAGTTGAACGGTTTTCTTTTTTTCTTTTTTTTTTTTCTTTTTTTTTTTTTGAGACAGTCTCGCTCTGTTGCCCAGGCTGGAGTGCAATGGCGCAATCTTGGTTCACTGCAACCTCCACCGCCTGGGTTCAAGCGATTCTCCTGCTTCAGCCTCCCCAGTAGCTGGGATTACAGGCACCCACCACTGCGCATGGCTAATTTTTGTATTTTTAGTAGAGACGGGGTTTCCCCATGTTGGCCAGGCTGGTTTCGAACTCCTGACCTCAGGTGATCCACTCGCTTCAGCCTCTCAAAGTGCTGGGATTACAGGCGTGAGCCATCACGTCCGGCCAAATGGTTTTCTTAATTTCATTTAGCAAACTTGTTGAATTTGTTTATTAATTCTCATAGATTTTTAGTGGTTTCCTTAGGATTTTCTATATACAAGGTCATATTATCTACAAATAGAGATAGTTTTACTTCTTCCTTTTTAATCTGTATGCCTTTTGTTTCTTTTTCTTTTTAAACTAATTGCTCTAGCTAGAACCTCCATTACAATGCTGAACAGAGGTAGTGAGAACAAACACCCTTGTCTTAGGGAAAAGCTTTCTGTTTTTCACCATTAAGTATGGTATTGGCTGTGGGTTTTTCGTAGATGCATTTATCAGGTTGGGATGTTTCCTTCTATTTCTAGTATGTTGAGTGTTTTTATCATAAACAGGTGTTAGATTTTGTCAGATAGTTTTCTGCATCTGTTGAAATCAGCGTGTGGTTTTGGCCCTTTATTCTAATGATTTTTAATTCATTTTCAGATGTTAAACCAACTTAAAATTCCTGGGATAAATCTCTTTTGTTCATGTATAATCTTTTTTATATATAGCTATATTTGATCTGCTAGTGTTTTGTTGAGGACTTTGCATCTATATTTATAAGGCCTGTAGGTTTCTTTTCTTGTGATGTCCTTTTCTGGCTTTGGTATCAGAATAATGCTGGCCTCACAGAATGAGTCTGGAAATGTTTGTTTCTTCCCCGTTTTTGGAAGAGTTTGTGAATTTTTCTTTAAATGTTTTGTAGAATTCATCAGTAAAGCCATCTGGGCCTGGACTTTTTTATGGGAAGTTTTAAAATTATTAATTCAGTCTCTTTGTTTGTTATAAGTCTATTCGGATTTTCTATTTCTTCTTGGGTCAGTTGCTAGAAGCTGTTCTTTCTAGGAATTTGTCTATTTTATCTAAGTTACCGAATTTGTTGCCATATAGTTGTTCATAGTATTTGTTTATTTCTCTTTTTATTTCTGTAAGGTCAGTAGTGATGAGTCTTTTCTAGTTTTCTTTTTGTCAGTCTAGTTAAAGATTTGTTAATTTTGTTCTTTTTTTTTTTTCAAATAACCAACTTTTGGTTTCTTTAATTTTCTCTACTTTTCTAATATTTATTTCATTTATTTCCTCTTTTATTATTTCCTTCCTTCTTCTTGCTTTGAATTTAGTTTGCTTTTCTTTCACTCGTTCCTTAAGCCATTTTTGCTTTTTGAATTTTCTCTTGTAAAGAGTATCACTCTGTCACCCAGGCTGGAGTGCAGTGGTGCAGTCATTGCTAACTGCAGCCTCCAACTCCTGGGCTCAAGCAATCCTCCTGCCTCAGCCTCCCTAGTAGTTAGGACTACAGGTGTGCGCCACCATGCTGGGTTAATTTTTTAATTTTTTGTAGAGCCACGGTCTTGCTATATTGCCCAGCCTAGTCTCAAACTCCTGGCCTGAAGTGATCTTCCTGCTTCAGCCTCAGTTTTGCTTTTTGTTTTCTATATGTTTCACATCTTTTTTTTTTAACCTCTGTTCCTCTTTTACTGCCTTGTTTTGCATTAAGTATTTTCTAGTGTAGCATTTTAATTCATTTAATTATTTTTTAACTTTTTAAAAAAGTTTTTTTCTTAATTGTTATCCTAAGGTTTATGATATACACCTTAACTTGTCAGAATCTACTTCAGATTTGTAGTAAGTTAATTCCAGTGAGACACAGAAACTTTATTTTTATATAGCTCCCTTCCCCATTTTTGTGCTATTGTTATTATATGTATTATGTCCATGTGTGTTACAAATCTAACAACACTTGGTTACAGTTATTACTTTATGTAATCTTATGTCTTTTAAAGAAGCTAATAGAAGAAAAGAGAGCATGGATATATTTATAGAGTTTAAAAAATACTAACCTTCTTAATTACCATTGCTGGTTCTCTTCATTTGTTCCTGTGGATTTGAGTTACCATCTAGTGTCATTTCCTTATTCCAGTGCAGCTCTGTTCCCAACAACCTCCTTTACCCTATTGTTGTCAAATATATTATATTTTTATATATTTTATGGAAAACAATGCAATTTTATAGATATTGTTTATGAAATTGCTTTCTAAATTATTTAAGAAAATAGGAAAAATATGTAATTATTCTTATATCATTACCTACATAACTACCTTTACTGGAGCTCTTTGGTTATTTGTGCGAATTTAAATTGCTGTCTCAGCCAGGTGTAGTGGCATGCACCTGTAGTCCCAGCTGCTTTGGATACTGAGGCAGGAGGATGGTTTTAGCCCAGGAGTTTGAGGCTGCATTGAGCTATGATTATCCCACTGCATTCCATCCTGGGCAACAGAGCGAGCCCCCATCTCTTAAAAAAATTGCTATCTAATGTCACTCCCTTTTAGCCTGAGAAACTTCCTTTAGTGTTTTCTGTAAGTGACAATGGATTCACTTAGTATTTGTTTCTATGGGAATGTCTTTATTTTACTTTTTTTTTTTTCTGAGATGGAGTTTCACTCTTGTTTCCAGGCTGGAGTGCAATGGTATGATCTCGGCTTACTGCAACCTCCACCTCCCAGGTTCAAGCGATTTTCTTGCCTCAGCCTCCCAAGTAGCTGGGATTACAGGTGCGTGCCACCATGCCTGGCTAATTTTTGTATTTTTAGTAGAGACGGGGTTTCACCATGTTGGCCAGGCTGGTCTCAAACTCCTGACCTCAGGTGATCTGCCCTCCTTGGCCTCCCAAAGTGCTGGGATTAAAGGCATGAGCCACCGCGCCCGGCCTATTTTGCTTTCATTTTTAAATGATAGTTATGCTGGGCTTAAGGGTTGACAGTTTGTCTGTTTGTTTGTTTACTTTCTGCATTTTGAATATGTCATCTCAATACCTTCTGCTCTCCGCTGTTTCTGTTGAGAAGTTAGCTGTTAATCTTATTGAGGTTTCCTTGTACATGATGGATAAGTTAAGTGTTTCCTCCTGCTTTCAAAATTTTCTCTTTGTCTTTCAATACTTCATTATTTCAGCAACTGTGATACATCTGGGCGTGGATCTCTTTGTCTTTATCCTGCTAGAAGTTCATTGAGCTTATTAGATGTGCATATTAATGTTTTTAATCAAATTTGAGTTGTTTGAAGCCAGTATTTCATTAAATATTTTGTCTGTCCCTATCTCTGTCATCTCTCCTTCTGGTACTACCACTATGTATGTAATATGTTGGTGCACTTAATGCTGTCTTACACTTCTCTGAGGCTCTGTTCATTTTGTTGTTGTTGTTGTTCTTCAGACTGAAAAATCTCTATTGCCTATCTTTATTGTTGTGTGTGTGTGTGTGTGTGTGTGTGTGTGTGTGTTTGGCTTGGAGACTGCTTTCACAGGTCAAGAAGTTTACAATTTTGCTCCATGTTCAACAAGAACTATTACTTTAGTTTTCTCTCCAGTCATTCCTGAGAGGGCCTAGTCTTAGGCATATGTACAGTCTTTCAGACCTCCAAGGATGAGTGTGATTTAATTTTAAGCCTGGCTGCCTAGGAGTGGGCCCTGGTTTAGGGTAGCTTATTGTTCAGTCAGTGATTTGTCACAGGTTGTGAGCCAGTAAGGCTGTCCTTTGTTGCTTGAATTGTGTGTGGCTTGAGGAATGTTTTGCAGTCTGTCCCACGTCCTGCCTTGATTGCTCCTGAAGTAGGTGCAGCCTAGTGCATGTGCACAGCCTTCCAAGTCCATAGGGATGAGTATGATCCCATGAGGTGTCTTCTTAGCTGTTTCTTTCCATGGTTTTCTCTGGCAACCTTCTGGCTGGTCTGCCATTTTTCTTGTTGCTACTAGTTTCATGAAGCTACCAGCCGTCTTAACTGCTTGCCGTGAAGATCTCCATTGTTTTCGACAGTGCCCTCAGGCATGAACTTCTCCATGCTCTGTTCTAAATAACGAGCCCCCTTAGGACAGAACTGTGGAGCTCTCCATCCTTAAGGCTTGCCTTCAGGGTCTGCCTCTAAGCCACTGCCCTGGAGCTGGGGGTGGGGAGAGTTCCTGGTTCTCCTGGAGTGACACCCCTTACTCTAAGAGTGGGTACTGGGGAGGTGGGGAGGGGATAGGAGTCCCTGATCTTCTCAGCTTGCCTCTCCCAGTATGGAGCTTGCATCCTATTAGCCAGCTGTGGTAGGATGATTGAGGCCTAGCATTCTTGGCCCGTTGTGCCTGGGGTAAAGATTCTGCCCTACAAGCTGGGACTGGGTGGGAGAAGGAAGCCCAGTCCTCTTGGCCACTTTCACCCAGAATAGAACTTCTGCAATACTGAGCTGGGAGAGATGAGACATGCTCCTGGAGTGAAGCTGAAACCCGTAGACTTGGAGCTGGGGAAATAGAGAACCTTGCTTTCTTGGCCACACCCATCCAGAACAGCGCTTCTGTAACATGGAGCTGGTGAGGGGCAGAACTGGAGCAGGTCATGGCTCAGATGTCACAGACTGTATCTGTTCTTACCAATATTTAGTAGATTTTCTTGAATAAATGTTTCTCCACTTACTGTGTGCTCTGAGGAAAATTTCCAGAGACTTTAAATGGTTATTTAAAAAACTTTCACCAGCGAAATGATTGTTTCACTGAGGAAAAGCATCTACTTCCAACACAGCCATTCTGTAAGTCCTGTCCCCTTACTGAAAATTGTGACAGTGGAAAAAAATTTTTTGGTGTGGGCTTCTCTGTATATCATCTCTACTAGAACTCAATTAAGCCCAAACTCAAGATTTTATTCAGGAGGAAAGAAAGCATATAGAACAGTGAAATGGTGTTACAATGTGAGGCTTACTTTAAAAAAAATAAAGAGTTTCAGACTTATCACATAAATGTTGACGTTTTGCAAAGTAGCTATTCTCCAGAATAAGGCATTAATCAGAAGGGGAAACAGTAGTAATTATGTGTAAAACATTCTGATCCCTGGAGCAGCAGAAATAATCTCATCCCTGGGAACCCTTGTGGGTTAAGTAGGGCCTTCTCTGCTGTTGCTCCAGCTATGGTTTTGATATTTCTTTCTAATTTTTTATAGAGAAAAACTATCATCAGTAAATATTGGCAAGAGCACGCAAAATAGCCCCTCATCTGGTCTCTAGAAACATACAGGCTGGGTCCACAAATGCAGAAAAGCAGATTGTGACATTGCTGTGACTTTGAACTGCTTTAGTGATCCCTTCCATGCTGACTGTTGGCAAAAGCTCGTTTTCCTTCTCTCTGCCTTGCTTTCTCCCTCCCTGAACAATAGCAAGGCTGTGGAACTCCTACCTTAATGGAAAGTGTGATAGCGCTGTGCCACTGGGACAGATACCTCCTTTGGATTTGATACCCTCTCCTCAATTGTATCTCTTCTTAGCCTGCTCATCCCCACCATTTTATCAATGGAATAGTCAATTTTAAAGAAGTATGGGACTCCAAAGAGAAGATTCAGCCATGGCAGCTGTCACTTCTCTTCCCCCTTGTTCAGCCTGTTTGTGTCTTGTTTGTGGACATCCACTGCTCCTTAGTGCCTAAAGCTGGCAACCTCATATGCTGGCCGCAGGACTACTGGGCTGGAGAGGCAGATACCAACCCATCTGTGCCCTGGCGACACTCCGCTATTTGCCTTTGCAAGAGAAGTTCACACCGAGGAGTGACTGCTGGAGACAATTACCACCACAGTGGTGACCTGGCCTTTCAGTTTCTTACCCTGAACTCCTCTGATTTACTCTCTCCATCATTCATACACCCATTTTTATCAAGATATCACTCTTTAAATCTCTGTTGGGAGCACAACCTCTCTCCTCCCACAGCTTCCCAGCACACCTGCAGTATGGTCTCTTGGCTTTTGCCCAAACATTTGTATTTTAGACACTGCTTCTCCACACCCCACACTTGTCTCTCCGTCTCTCTCTTCCTTTCCCCTCTCTCCCCATCAGTAAATGCTTTCAATTGCTTCTCTAAAGAGCCTATACCCCGTGATACCCTCCTTTCCTTGACCTTAGACCCTTCTTATTATGACAATTATTATCTCCAGGCCCATTCCCTGCCCCTTCCCCTGGCTGTTTTCTCTCCTCCTCCTGTTGGCTCTGAGCTTGCTTTCTTTATAGTGATGGTACTTTTTTTCTCTCCCAAACTAGCTCCTTCCTCATCACCATTCCTCCCAGCATCCTGGTTTGCAGCAGTCAGGTGAAAGAGAGAAGCAGGTCCCGGAGGGTCTTGGGGCATGTCCCTCTCTGTCTCAGGGAGAAAGCTGCTGCTGGCCCTACCACTAGTATCCTGTGAGAATAACAGCCCAGTGCTGCCAGAACCTATAGGTCTTCAAGAGAAGATAGAAACTCCAGATTTTAATGTAAACTGTCTCACTTTTAAATGTTGAAAACTATTCTTTTTTTCCCCAAGAACCTGGGGAAAGTAGCAAAACCCCCCACATCTCTGGGCTAGATTTAACTCCCCTATCTCCCACATTAACTCAGTTGCCCAGTTCTGGAAAGCTGCCTGCTAAGGACATATCCTCCATTTCACTGGCCCACTGTGGTCCCTGCCTTTAAGCCTTGTCACCTGGATGACTATAATGGCCACCTAACTGGTCTCTCTGCTTCATGCCCCTCCCCGCCCAGTCTACTGTATACAACATAATTGCCTCAAAATAACAGAGTCTTGTGGTGAAGGGCTTGTACTCTGGGATCTGGCTGTGTAGATTTAGTCCCAGCTGCCATTTATAAGCTAGGTAATCTTGGGCAAGTTAGTTCACCTTTCTGAATCTCTGTTTCCTTACCTGCAAAATAGGAAAAATAGTTATACCTCCTCATAGGCCTGTTGTGAGGACTTAGTAAGCCTGTTGTGAGGACTTAGTAAAGAACCATGCCTAAGCTGGAATAAGTACTCAATAAATGTTAAACAAAATTGTGTCATCCCCTGTTGCAAAGACCTCCAAAGGCTCCAATGCCTCTTAAATACAGTTTAGCCCCTTTGTCTAGACATTCAAGACCCTCTTGATCTGGCTTCAGCCACACTAGGCTCCTGTCTTATTAATTTTTTTCTCCCCTGCAGTGCTATATGTTCTCACTACCTCTACACTTTCATCCCCCGCAGTAACCTGTGAGGCAGCTGCTATGATTATCCTCATTTCACAGATGAGCAAACTGAGGCTAAGTGTCCTGCCCAAGGCCTCCCGACCTGGAAGTGGAGGAAGCAGGATTTGACTCCAGATCTGTCTGACTAAAGCCTGTTGTCTTTCCACTAGACCGTAGAGAGGGAAAAACACACAGTGACAGGAAGACATGAGAGAGACTTGCGATTCACTTCTCCCTAGGGAAAACCACAGAGCATTGTTTTTTCTCCATGAGAAACCAATCTGAAAGAGTGGTGTAACCATGTGAGAATGATACGGGGTGGGTTGGGGCCAGGATATGCTGATGCTTGTGAAAACTGCTGAAGTCAGCACAAGGGACTTTTAAAACTAGATTTAGAACAAGTTGCAAAGCAAGAAAGGATTGGCCAGCTGCTTTGGGGCCAACAGGGTAATATTACTTTTTGGCTCCTTTTGTAACAGGTGTGGTTAAGCTCTCCCTTAAAGGCTTTGGCAAGATGAGGTTAGCATAGCAGTTAGGTGCCCCAGATGGAGAAACAGAATTCTCAGGTTCAAATCTCCATTTTGCCACTTAAATCTGTGTAACCTTGGAAATGTTATGTCTCGTTTTCTCATCTGTAAAGTGGCAGATAATAATAACACCTACCTCACAGGGTTGTTGTGATGATTAAATAAAATAGTACATGAAAGCTCTCAGAACATTGCCTCACACACAGTAAGTTATTTTATAAACAGTAGCTAGTATTTGTCCTTCATGAATATATGTGCTCAAACTTGGTGGCAGTCTCTCTCTCTCTTTTTTTTTTTTTTTTGACAGCGCCTCACTTTGTCATTCAGGCTGGAGTGCAGTGGCACAATCTTGACTTACTGCAGTCTCAACCTCCTGGGCTCAAGTGATCCTCCCACCTCAGCCCCCCAGTAGCTGGGACTACAGGTGTGTGCCACCATGCCCAGCTAATTTTTTGTAGAGACAGGCTTTCGTCATGTTGCTTAGCCTGGTCTCAAATTCCCGAGCTCAAGCGATCCACCCTCCTCGGCCTCCCAGAGTGCGAGGATTACAGGCATGAGCCACCGCGCCTGTCTGGTCTCTCTTCTTTCTTGACCTATTCCAAAAACCAAGACCATGGCCGCACCTTCTATTTGTAGACATTTAGAAACTTTCCAAAGTGCTCCAGACACCTCATTAGGAGGATGGTGGAAAGTTTCTGAAATCTTAAACAACTTTCTAGAAGGAGGTGACCATACTCTTTTATCCCACCTCCCTTATTACATACTGCTTGCATTTGTACAGCCCACTAGTATAAGTGCACAGACTCTGGAGAGGGGTGGCCTGGGTTCAGATTCCATCCTTGCTACTTACTCTCTGTGTGGCCATGGGAAGTTACCTAACCTCCCTTGACCTCAATTGTCTCATGTGTAAAAAAAAGAGATAAGAATAACAACTCTATCATGGGGTTGTTATGAGGATTAAACAAATTAATTCATCTAAAGTGCTTAGCGCAGTACCTACCACATAAGAAGCCTTAATCAAAGTAGCTGTTCTCATTACTATTAGAAAATAAACTAAGAAATCATTAGGCATCCCTTAAACTTCTCTTTTAGGTTTTCCTTTACTAGCTAGTTCTCACATCACCTTACATTCTCAGCCCCTGATTAGAGCACTCGCCTTTATAAGGGAATCTTGGACTGCCGTCATATCCCTCCCTTGGACCTGCCAACCCCTGCCCTTGGGTGGTGCTTTATACCCAACTGCAGCCATAAGGCTCTCATTTGGTGCCAGGACTCTGCACAGAACAGCTTCTGAGGTAATCCTCCATAGACTGTCAAGCCCAAAAAGCCACTCGCTATAGGTCCTTAACCTCATTCTGCATAGGACTAGAAGAAAGATGTTTCCCAGCCAGACACACTTTATTCAGTCATGGAGGAGTTGAATGGCACCCCTGCATCAGATCAGAAGCTGCTGGCACATTCAGTACTGCTATTCAGGCTACTGCTTATATTTCTGTTAGGCTGGCCCTGGCCCTGGCATCATTTAGCCTATCTTGGGCTCACATCTTTTTTTTTTTTTTTTGAGATGAAATCTCCTATATCTGTTGCCTCTCATTTTACTACAGAAACTTGTCAAGGTTTTTTTTTTTTTTTTTAATTATACTGTAAGTTTTAGGGTACATGTGCACAACGTGCAGGTTTGTTACACATGTATACATGTGCCATGTTGGTGTGCTGCACCCATTAGCTCGTCACTTACATTAGGTATATCTCCTAATGCTATCCCTCCACCCTCCCCCCACCCCACAACAGTCCCCAGTGTGTGATGTTTCCCTTCCTGTGTCCAAGTGTTCTCATTGTTCAGTTCCCACCTATGAGTGAGAACATGCGGTGTTTGGTTTTTTGTCCTTGCGATAGTTTGCTGAGAATGATGGTTTCCAGCTTCATCCATGTCCCTACAAAGGACATCAACTCGTCCTTTTTATGGCTGCATAGTATTCCATGGTGTATATGTGCCACATTTTCTTAATCCAGTCGATCATTGATGGACATTTGAGTTGGTTCCAAGTCTTTGCTATTGTGAATAGTGCCACAGTAAACATACGTGTGCATGTGTGTTTATAGCAGCATGATTTATAATCCTTTGGGTATATACCCAGTAATGGGATGGCTGGGTCAAATGGTATTTCTAGTTCTAGATCCTTGAGGAATCACCACACTGTCTTCCACAATGGTTGAACTAGTTTACAGTCCCACCAACAGTGTAAAAGTGTTCCTATTTCTCCACGTCCTCTCCAGCACCTGTTGTCTCCTGACTTTTTAATGATCGCCATTCTAACTGGTGTGAGATGGTATCTCATTGTGGTTTTGATTTGCATTTCTCTGATGGCCAGTGATGATGAGCATTTTTTCACATGTCTGTTGGCTGCATAAATGTCTTCTTTTGAGAAGTGTCTGTTCATATCCTTCACCCACTTTTTGATGGGGTTGTTTGTTTTTTTCTTGTAAATTTGTTTAAGTTCTTTGTAGATTCTGGATATTAGCCCTTTGTCAGATAAGTAGATTGCAAAAATTTTTTCCCATTCTGTAGGTTGCCTGTTCACTCTGATGGTATTTTCTTTTGCTGTGCAGAAGCTCTTTAGTTTAATTAGATCCCATTTGTCAATTTTGGCTTTTGTTGCCATTGCTTTTGGTGTTTTAGACATGAAGTCCTTGCCCATGCCTATGTCCTGAATGGTATTGCCTAGGTTTTCTTCTAGGGTTTTTATGGTTTTAGGTCTAACATTTAAGTCTTTAATCCATCTTGAATTAATTTTTGTATAAGGTGTAAGGAAAGGATCCAGTTTCAGCTTTCTACATATGGCTATCCAGTTTTCCCAGCACCATTTATTAAATAGGGAATCCTTTCCCCATTTCTTGTATTTGTCAGGTTTGTCAAAGATCAGATGGTTGTAGATGTGTGGAATTATTTCTGAGGGCTCTGTTCTGTTCCATTGGTCTATATCTCTGTTTTGGTACCAGTACCATGCTGTTTTGGTTACTGTAGCCTTGTAGTATAGTTTGAAGTCAGGTAGTGTGATGCCTCCAGCTTTGTTCTTTTGGCTTAGGATTGACTTGGCAATGCAGGCTCTTTTTTGGTTCCATATGAGCTCTAAAGTAGTTTTTTCCAATTCTGTGAAGAAAGTCATTGGTAGCTTGATGGGGATGGCATTGAATCTGTAAATTACCTTGGGCAGTATGGCCATTTTCACGATATTGATTCTTCCTAACCATGAACATGGAATGTTCTTCCATTTGTTTGTGTCCTCTTTTATTTTGTTGTTGGGCTCACATCTTGCCCAACATCAGCTGTTGTCAACAACACCTGTGCTCATCTAATCATTTAGCTCAGGTGTCTCAAGCACTTTTTACATGCCAAACAGTGTGTGTGTGTGTGTGTGGGGTGTGTGGGGTGTGTGTGTGTGTGTGTGTGTGTGTGTGTGTGTGTGTAGTGTGTGTACATATGTGCATAAGGATAAGTTGAAAGAGTCAATGAACAGAATGAAGCCTACTTGCAATCCAGTGCAGCACTGTGAGTCTGGGCTTTGGAGACAGATGGGCCTGATGCAAATCCTAGCTCTGCTTCTTGTCAGTTGGGCAATGTGGGACAAGTTAATCTGTCTTACTTTGATCAGCTATAAAAGGAGGATAGTAGAAAGATATACCGTGAAGAGTTACTGCAAAAATAAGAGGTAGCATATGTGAGTGCCTGATAGAGACCTAATCAATGATTTTTGTAATTATTATTTTCCCTAGACCCAATTCTCAACTAGGGTGTTGCCCCTTGAAATTAAAAAGGAGAATCTACATGCAAAAATGAATAATTTGGACTCCTAACCTTATATCATGTACAAAAGTTAGCTCAAAGTGGATCAACGACATAACTGTAAGAGCTCAAGCTGTAAAACCGTTAGAAGACAGTGTAGTTGTATATCTTTGTAACCTTGAATCAGGCAATGGTTTCTTAGATATAACACCAAAGGCACAAAAGACAAAAGAAAAACTAGGTAAATTGAACTTTATGAAAAGTAAAAAACTTTGTGCTTCAGAGGTTACCAAGAAAGGGAAAAGACAGCCCAAAGAATGGACAAAAGTTTTGTAAATCTTATGGCCAGGTACAGTGGCTCACGCCAGTAATCCCAGCACTTTGGGCCAAGGCGGGTGGATCACTTGAGGTCAGGAGTTCAAGACCAACATGGCAAACATGGCGAAACCCCATCTCTTTTTAAAATACGAAAATTAGCTGAGTGTGTTGGCACACACCTGTAGTCCCAGCTACTCAGGAGGCTGAGGCACAAGAATTGTTTGAACCCAGGTTGCAGTGAGCAGAGATCGTGCCACTGCACTCCAACCTGGGCAACAGAGCAAGACTCTGTCTCAAAAAAAAAAAAAAAAAAGAAGGTTTGCAAATCATATATCTAGTAAAGAACTTGTATCCAGAATATATAAAGAACTCTTAAAACTCAACAATAAAAAGACAAACAACTCAATTTAAAAATGAACAAAGATCTGAATAGACAGTTCTCCAAAGAAGATATACAAATGGCCAACAAGTACATGAAAAGATGTTCAACATCATTATCCATGAGGGAAATTTAAATCAAACCACATGAGATCCCACTTCCCACCCAATAGATTTGTTGTAATCAAACATACAAATAATAAGTGTTGACAAGGATGTGGAGTGACTGGAAATCTCAAATACCACTGGTAGGAACATAAAATGGTGCAGCCTCTATGGAAAACAGTACAGCAGTTACACAAAAGGTTAAACATATGACCCAGGTTACCGTATGACCCAGTAATTCCACTCTTAGGTACATACTCAAGAGAAATAAAAGCATATGTCCCCATAAAAAAAAGCTTGTACATAAATGTTCATAGGAGCATTATTTGTAATAGCCAAAAGATGGAAACAACCCAAATGTCCTTCAATGTGTGAGTGGATAAACAGTTGTGGTATATTCATATGATGGAACCAGTCATAAAAATGAATGAAGTACTGATATATGCTACAACATGGATGAACCTTGAAAACACTAGGCTAAGCAAAAGAAGCCAGACACAAAGCCCATATACTGTATGATTCCATTTCTATAAAATGCCCAGATTAGGCAAATCCATAAAGACAGAAAATAGACTAGTTGTTGCCAGGGGCTGGAGTGGGGAGGATAATAGAGAGCTAATAAGTTAGGGTTTCTTTTGGGGGGTGTGATGTTATGAAATATATATTTGGTCTTTGTCTCCATTTCCTGGCATACAACTCCGAAAATCCTTGGAGTCTCCAAAGTGATGTCTTTTTGTATGCCTATGAGTTGACTGATGGTTGGGTAGCCCAAGAATAGGGACTGGTCACTGGAAAGACCAAGGCATGAATAGAGGGTTGGGACTTTCAGCCCAACCTCCAGGGACGGGAGAGGGGCTGAAGGTGAAGTTGATCACCAATGGCCAATCATTTAAACAATCATGCTTACATAATGAAGCCTCCACAAAAACTCAAAAGAACAGGGTCCAGTGAGCTTCTGGATAGCTGAACACGTGAAGATTCATGGAGGGTGGCCTACCCAAGTAGAACATGGAAGTTCTGTGCCCCTTCCCACATACCTTCCTTGCTTGATGCATCTCTTCATCTGTATCATTTTTTATGTCCTTTATTATAGACCAGTAAATGTCAGTAAGTGCTTCCCTGAGTTCTGTGAGCTGCTTTAGCAAATTAATAGAAGAAAAGAGGGGGTAATGGGAACTCCAATTTGAAGCTGGTTGTCCAGAAGTTCCAGAGGCTAGAACTTGCAACTGGTGTGTGAAGAAGGGGGGACGCAGTCTTGGGGACTGAGCCTTCAACCTGTGGGATATGATGCTATCTTCAGGTAGATAGTATCAGAATTGAACTGGAAGACATCTGTGTCTACTGTAGAATTGATTGCTTATTTGGCGAATGGGGAGAGAAAATCCCACACATTTGGTTACAGAATTTTCTGTGTTGATTGTTGTTGTGGTGTGAGAACAGAGGAAAAACAGTTTGTTTTTCCACTATCACCGGGAAATGATCTAAAATTCACTATGATGATGGGTATACAACTCTGTGAATATACTAAAAAGCCATTGAATTGTCTGCTTTAATTGATTGAATTATATGCTACGCGAATTATATCTCAGTATAAATTTTGCTTGGTGCTATGTCTCACGCTGGTAATCCCAGCACTTTGGGAGGCCGAAGTGGGAGGATTGCTTGAGCCCAGGACTTCAAGACCAGCCTGGGCAACATAGTGAGACCCCACCTCTACAAAAAAAAAAAAAATTAAAATTAGCCAAGCCTGGTGGCACACACCTGAAGTTCCAGCTACTCTGGAGGCTGAGGTGTGGAGATTACTCTAGCCCAGGAGCTTGAGGGTGCAGTGAGCCATGATCACGCCACTGTTCTGTAGCCTAGGCAACAGAGTGAGACCCTGTCTCTAAAAAAAAAATAAAACTGTTAAAGGAAAAAAAAGGAATGAGAAAGGAACTACCCAGAGCCACCACAGTGGACTTGAAAAAGTTATGGTTATTTCTTGATGATAAGCTTAACAAGGGGTGGATTATTCATGCCTCCCCTTTTTAGACCTTATAGGGTAACTTCCTGATGTTGCCATGGCATTTGTAAACTGTCATGGTGCTGGTGGGAATGTAGCAGTGAGGATGACCGGAGGTCACTCTCATCGCCATCTTGGTTTTGGTGGGTTTTAGCCAGCTTCTTTACTACAGCCTGTTTTATCAGCAAGGGCTTTATGACCTGTATCTTGTGCCGACCCCCTATCTCATGCTGTGACTAAGAAGGCCTAACTTACTGGGACCGCAGCCCAGCAGGTCTCATCCTTATTTTACCCAGCCCCTATTCAAGATGGAGTTGCTGTGGTTCAAACACCTCTGACATTTCCCCCCTCACTTTTATAAGAGAACCCTTAATCCTAAGGGTTGCAGAGGGACAAAGATCCATCTTCTAATGAATAGCGGTGATGATATTCCTGTCTAACTATTAGATCTCTTGC
This sequence comes from Homo sapiens, assembly GCF_000001405.40. Classification (NCBI taxonomy): domain Eukaryota; kingdom Metazoa; phylum Chordata; class Mammalia; order Primates; family Hominidae; genus Homo; species Homo sapiens. Next base: position 71,984,183 of record NC_000023.11, read on the forward strand.
AATCAGGGTAGAGAGGAGCTCAGTCAGAAAGCATTGGTATGTCATGGGCCATTCACAATTCTGAGTTCTGACAAAAGGTGATATCTTGAAGATTAATAAGTATTCAATGTAAGAAAACATTCGGTAAGCTTATCCTGCATTCCTACACAAAGAGTACAACAGCAATATATTCCACAATAGTAAAGCAAAATAAGTAAAATTGTCCCTAGTAAACTAAATTAGAAAGCTTTCCATGAACTAGGCATTTGTTGGAACCAAGCTAATATGGGGTTGCTAGCCAATTTCAATATGTGCCCAGAATTGGAATACTGATCCAGATTTTTACATTACCCATCCCTCTTGTTTCTTCTGAGAAGCAGTCAGAGATCACTGGATGATTCACAGGAATAAGCAGAGTCAGTATAAATTGCAGAAAAATACTTAAAAACAACTAATGAGACTAAAAGCTAATAACAGGTATACCACAATTCTTGAAACATAATTTTTTCTCTCTCCAGTCTCCCATTTTTACTAAAGGTAAATCATGGTAAGACTGATTTGCTTTATTATACCTGGTTGGACTGTTTGTATAAAGTGCAGCAAGAATAATTATTTTTCACATAAGCCCTTTTTAAATTGGCTTTAATGGAGCTCTATTTCTTTCCTTTTTTTTTTTTTTTGAGATGGAGTCTTGCTCTGTCGCCCAGGCTGGAGTGCAGTGGCACGATCTCGGCTCACTGCAAGCTCTGCCTCCCGGGTTCATGCCATCCTCCTGCCTCAGCCTCCTGAGTAGCTGGGACTACAGGCACCTGCCACCATGCCCGGCTAAGTTTTTGTATTTTTAGTAGAGATGGGGTTTCACTGTGTTAGCCAGGATGGTGTCGATCTCCTGACCTCGTGGTCCGCCCACCTTGGCCTCCCAAAGTGCTGGGATTACAGGCATGAGCCACCGTGCCCGGCTGATGGAGCTCTGTTTCATAGATGGAATCTCAGATCTTTTTAAAGCCGAGCCCAGCCATGGATTTGTGCCCTCAAATACCCATAAGTTGAGTAAATCCCTCTCCCCTTGAGGTCCCAAGATAACTTGGGGCTCCTGGGCCTGTCAGAAGGTGACATTCTTTAAACTTACCACAGGTCAGGAACCTTGTACAGGAACTGTGTAGACAAGGTATGAGGCCAGTTTCCCAAGGGGCTTTTATTGGCTCTATAAGTCAAGTTTGATTCCTTAAAGGAAAGCACACCATTCCATTCAAAGCCTTGGTAAAATAACCAGTTTCTCAAATTGTGTCCTGTTGCAAAAGAAAACAGATTCTTATTGCACTTATGCAAATAACTATTGCTATAAGTTAAGAACACTCACAACTAGTTTCCAAATTCTGGAGAAATCAGGTAGAGAGAAACAAATATGCTCCAAGTTTTATTCCCAGGAATATACTTTACTCAATTGTTAAAAGCTGTAAATAGCTTAAAAGAAAAGTTTCTTTGACTCTGAAAAACAAAACAAAAGGATCCGCAATGCTTTAAGCTAAGTTAAAAAAGATTGCTTCAGTCTTCTATTAGGTCAGTCCATTCAGTCAACTCCTGTTCTGCTTTATATTCATGAACATTTCAGCTTTCCATGAGTCTTGAAAGTTTTTCCTCTATTCTAATGTCATAATCTCCAAAGTTATTAGAAACCTGCATTCAAGAACACCTGTTAGAGTCCTGTAGCTGATTATAAACCACCTTTTAAAGAGGATCAAAACAAGACAACAATTGCCTGTGGATGACAAAATGTCTTAGGGCAGCCACAGCCAAAAACATGATTGACAAAGAAATTTGGTTACCTCTACGGCACACAATGATTTTATGTAATAATTATAATTATTACTGATAATATATGCTAAGTTATATTAGGATTATAAGAGTTTCCCATAATTTTGAACACATACCAATAACATATTTCTAGAAATACAGCCCAAAAAAGCCAAACACCATCTTATATTTGAGAATGTTTCCTGTATGACTTTTATACCAAATAAGCCAAATGTCACTTTTGGACTTTAGGCAACCTAATATCTAAAAGATTAATTAGGTCAGAAAAAGTCATAGTTTATAATTTCACTTTGGAAAGCTTATCAAATATTAAAGGCTTAAGTCACTTGATATTATAAAAAGAATCCCAGGTCACCGTAAGTCACTCATTTAACCAAAATGATAAATATTTTAAAAAGGCAAAACCCCATACTCACTAAGAGAGGAGAGAATCAGCTTTCTAAACAAGACCCAATAAAGACAGCATGAGGCCAATTGAATCTTGAATCTGTCTTTTCTTTTTCCCCTCCCTTTTTCCCTGCCATTTATCCAAAGTCATAGACAAAAACCTTTCATTATCTTTTCATATTATGTAAAAATCTTTTTTGAAACAGAAAACCAAATTTCATATTTGCATTAGTGCATTTTTCATGCCAAAGCTAGTTTTAAATAACATTTTATAAGTTTATCCAGTTTTAATTAGTTTGACCATAAGGTATGATTTTCATAAACCTCTTATAACTCTTTATAATTTTTGTTAAACAGATCAATCTTCTAAGAAAACCCTGTTATTTGGACACGTGGGCCCAAATTCTGGCACCAAATCAGTATGCTTTTAGTCCAATGTTCAGTTTATGGAAAAACTGAATACCCCTTTAATTTGAGCGAATATGTTCACACACAGAATTTCTTTTACAAGATTAATTTTTCACAAACCTTCCATAACTTGCTCAAACCTTCAGCTTTATCTTATCTAACTTAAAACAATCCGTTAACCCTTTAATCTAGGCAAGAAAAAAAAATCCACATTCCCATGCCTTTTTATAATCTTTTACCAAAAACACATTTCACTTTCTTTACACACTTTGCATGTAAAACTGTTTCTTTAAGCTGGGCGCGGTGACTCACGCCTGTAATCCCAGCTACTCGGGAGGCTGAGGCATGAGAATGGTGTGAACCCAAGAGGTGGAGCTTGCAGTGAGCTGAGATCGCACCACTGCACTCCAGCCTGGGCGACAGAGCGAGACTCCGTATCAAAAAAAAAAGAAAAAGAAAAACTGTTTCTTTAGTAGTCTCAAATACGTGTTACACGGTTAATTCTTAGCAACTTTTACTTTTGGTGAAAAGCTTGGCTAGTAAGCCATTGTAGTTAGGTACCAGGTCTGGAGTCTAGAACATCAGACAGAAGTACAGATAAAGGCTGACTCTTTCCAGCATACGTAGGGGGCATGGCTGTCCATATGTCCCCAGGCCTTATCTAGAATCTAATGCTCCAAGGTAGTAGGTAAATTGAACAATTTTCAAAAGTCAAAGAAGCAGTTTATGACCTTAAAGCATTTAGCAAAGCTAGTATGTGACCGAATTTAGACCAAATGTCTAAATTTTGAAGACATTTTTATTTTACCAGTAACCTTTAAAACTGTTTTTATTTCCCAAAGATTACTAAAGTCACATGAACCAAAAGGCTTTGTACTTTTACTTTTCTGATAAAATATTTGATTTAAGCTCTTATTTTTAAACCAATTAATCAAAACCCTTTTATACTACACACACAACACATATACATACACAGACAGACAGAAGATAAAAGAGTCATTCCCTAAGCCAGGAATTGAACCCTGAAGCCAGGCCACCACGGTGAAGACACAAAGCCTTAGCTACTGAGCTACAGCACTGGGAAGTTTCCATTTCTCTTCCTAGAAGGAGCCTAGAACAGCCAATTTTGAACTTGCAAAAGCTTTTAACTGCTTGAGATAATTTTAAGGGCTAACTATAACATGAAACCCCAAATTCCTGTCCACTGGATGATGGCAACCAAGAGAAAGTACTGCCACGTGGTTACAAGGTTAAGCTCCCAAGGACATTTTTCAACATGTAGTCTCTGGCGAGACAGTCGCCCTGAGTAACAGACAAGATAAGAAATGGAAAAGAGAGAAAGAAAGAGAGAAAAACATTGCTGCGGCAGGATGGGGAAGGCGAGTTGCTCACGGAGGCCAGAGAAAGATCCACCCATTGCAATGCCACTGAAAAGTTCAGGTTTTGTTGAAGGGATCTTTTTTGAAGGTTTTGTTTGTCAAAGGGATCTTTTCCAGCATTCCCATCAGCTCTCAAGTTTCCCCCTTTAGGGAGGAAAAAGCTCCCCATGTCCAATGATCCTGTATATACCTAATCTTGTCACCTACAGCCATCAGCAAAGGCAGATTAATTCAAAGAGAATAGCAGTTAATAGTAGTGCCAAACTCGTTCTTAGTCGAGAGGGACTTTACTGAGAGGGATCTCCAACCCCCTAAATCTTAGAAGGGACTCTAACGCTCCTAAGTTGGGCTTCTAACCCAAGGTCAGTCAAGCGTCCTTGACTTTTATTAAGAGGGGTCTTTAACCTTCTCTGTCTTAGGAGAGACACTAACTCCCCTAAATTGGGCCTCTAACTCAATCCCATCTTTTACACTGGTAAATGCACCCCACTTACCCAAAGTCGGCCAACTGGTGCTGCAGACTATTTCCTTTGGGTTGGGGGTCTCCTCAGTATCGTTCCTTCAGGGTTTGCCAGAAAGATGTTACCAGAAAAGGGTCCAGATCCAGACCCCAAGAGAGAGTTCTTGGATCTCGCGCAAGAAAGAATTTGGGGTGAGTCCATAGAGTAAAGTGAAAGCAAGTTTATTAAGAAATTGAAGGAATAGGAGAATGGCTACTCCATAGGCAGAGCAGTCTGTTTACCAATTTCTGGTTATCTGTTGACTTCCTGCCAAGCTAGTTAAAGATTTAGCACCATTGTCTAACTCATCACTATTTTGTATTCTTTTTTGGTTACCCCAGTAAGCTATGCAATATACTAACACTTTCTATGTTTTTGTTCCATCAAGTATGAGCTGCATCTTTTGAGTCCCCACTTGGTAGGCTAAGGTAGTGGCACCCTTCTTCTTCCCCTCAGCTCTGTACCCCACCCACCCTTCTCACCAGGTGGTGCTTTGGCAAAACACTTGGTCCTTATTTTGAAAGACCTTGTCTTTAAAAATACAAAAAATTAGCCGGGCGTGGTGGCACGCGCCTATAGTGCCAGCTACTCGGGAGGCTGAGGCAGGAGAATGGCGTGAACCCGGGAGGCGGAACTTGCAGTAAGTCGAGATCGCTCCACTGCACTCCAGCCTGGGCGACAGAGCAAGACTCCGTCTCAAAAAAAAAAAAAAAAAAAAGGTGGAAGATGTGAAAGATAAAACTAATTTTTATTAAGCATTTACTATGTGCCAGGAACTATGCATGCATCATCACATTTAATCCTTATCGTAGTCCTGGGAGGGAAATATCATAATTGCAATTTTAGAAATGAGAAAACTGTGACCAGACCATGCATCTGGTAGGGGGTCAAGCTGAGATTTGAAGCAAAGTTGAATCCAAAGCCCCTACTATTTTTTCCAGAGCCCCAAGCATCCTTCAACTTCAGTTTCATCTGCAGATTTTCAAGTCTCTTTTCTGTAGCGAAGGCTTGGACTAGCAGTCTTTAGCTATTTTTAGAACCCCACAGTGATTCCTGCTCATTCACCAATGCTGCAGCCTCTTCCCAGAGGGCAAAGAAAAGGGTGACTTGAGAGGAACCTGAAGGCAAATGAACCATCCCTATGGGGTGTGGGGAGAGTAGATCATCTGGATGGGTTTGCTGATTCAGTTGCATGCCTGGCAGGCTTCTCTCTACCTCGTGGCTCGGGCATTGAGCTTTGGAAGCCAGTACAGAAGTCCCACGTGGTCCCTGAGGTGACATGGGAATCATTTTACCGCATCACCAGGGCTCCGCCTGCCAGCATGCTGCCTTTGATTTGAGAAGCAAATACAGAATTTTGAAGATTGTAGCTGACTCAGACCATTGTTCTGGCATTGCGGTCATAGACACATGTGGGAAATTCCCAAATTGACTTTCCCACAGAGCTGCTTTGGAGTGGGGGACAAAAAGAGTTCGGGGGCGGAGAATGTATTTTAGTTATTTATTTGATTAGTGCTTGTTAAATCTTTGGACTGTTTCAACTAGAGGCACTGAATGGGATTTCCCCAGGGGTCACTTCTGGGCATCTAGAAGAGTCAAGAGGTCAAAAGGCCCAGACTCAATTTTCCATACTGAGGAAGGAGAGGCTAATAACATAAAACAGACAGTCCCAGATTCTTTCTATTGGTCTACAGGCTGCTGTCACAGAAAAACATTTGGACGTTCCCACCCACATACTTTCCCCCAACCCATGTCCTCTGGGTTCTCCCTCTCTGTTGGCGATCCAGCCATCCAGCCCACCTAGGAGTCATCTTCATTCTACCATCTCCTTGCCTCATAACAACCCTTCTCCTTCACCCGTGGGCCACCCCTTCTACACACACACACACCCATACCCAAGACCACCCCGCTCACACTGTTGATTTGCAGGGTCTTACACATTCACCCTTTCTCCTTTCTTGTTAGTGACCTCCAACCTCATCACCTCAGGCCTACTACTTTCTGTGCCTCCAGTTACACCTCCCACAACACTGGCCTGGCCCCAATCCATCTTGTCAACACTGCTAGATGAATCTTCCTGCAGAACAGCTTTCCAAGGCCTGCTCAGACTTCCCCAAGGCTTCTCTGCTGCTTCCAGCATAAAATCCAAATGCCTCAGCCTGGTTTTCGAGACCCCATTCTACCTGCTCTCTATTTCTATTTCCAAGCTCTGTTCTTGCCACTTCCCTACTGGACTGAGAACTTCTTGAAGATGAAGAACAAGCCTGGCTAACTACTGGGGCTGTGACAGGACAGGAGAGTGTCTAGGACATTGGGAGTCAGGACCTGTTTGCTGAGGGAGTGAAGGAATGAAAGAATGAGCGTGGTTAAGCCATCACAAGACTCATTTTGCCAAATAGTTGTGCAGGGTCCTCTGTCACTGACCAGTTGGGTGACCTTGAATAAGTCCCTTCCTCTTTCTGGGCTTCGTGTCTTCAACAGGTGTCTCAAACTTGCAGCTCTTGGGCCCAAAGGGCCTGCAAACATGTTTTGTTGGTTGGCACATTAACGTGATTTTGAATGCCTTTCTGGAAAGCGTGTGTGCTGTGGTTCCCCACTCTTCTCCCATTTTCTTACACCTCCCCACCTCCCTTATTTTCATTAGCTGCTTGGTGCCTAAAGGCATTTACATTTGTGACTCTTGGATTAGGTGGTGTTTACTCACCTTTCAACTCTGGCGTGGCTGGAATTCTCTGTTTGACCTGCTTTGAAATGAAAATTGCAAGTGCTTTGCTTAAGTGATTCCCAGTGTCATCTAATATACAGCAGTCAGGCCAGACTAACTTTGCCTTCCCAAAACAGGCCACCAAAGAACAGTGGAATATGCCGTTAGTATTTCTGACTTTGGCAGTCAGCTGCAGAGGGAGATTTTATTCCATTGAAAATAATTGTCTTTACATAGCCCAGCACAAGTGGTGCCCATTTATAGACTAGAAAGGACCAAGCACAGCGTGCCTATTGGCAGCCAGCTGGGCCTATACAGAGGGCACTGGTTGCAGGCACAAAGTGTGAATTTAGCCCAAGTTGCCTAGCCCAGTCCTTTCCAGAACAAAGTGCTGAATGAGGGGTGTGTGCTAGAAGCATTTCTCTCTCTCTGTCTCTCTATGTCTCTCTGTGTGTCTTTCTCTTTCTCTCTCTCTCTCTCTCTCTCTCTCTCTCTCTGTCTTTGGCTGTCAGTGGCCTAGTTTGCACTAAGACTCCATAGAGATACGCACAGAGGGCAGGGAAGATCAAGGAGGCATTCTCATCACTGGGTTCCTTTGCATTAGCCAGGCCCAAGGGCCACATGAGTTGCAGATCTGCCTGGCCACAGGCAGGCAAGGCACAGCTCACTGGGAGATGCTAGACAAACACAGCAGCTGCTGGAAGGCACTTGCGTAGTCTGGACAGCAACTGAGTCCCACACATTTGGGCAGCATCTGGGTGAAAGGTACTGGGAGGTGGGCAGAGAGGGCTGGTGTGGGTGTATGTGCCCATCACTGGGCATAGTCAGGCACTGGGTCAAAGTGGAAGCACTGATGACCTGTGGAGCCAAATGGCTGCAGTCACTGGGTGTATGTAGAGCCTGGGTGTCCCCAAAATCAGTGTGGAGGGCGTAGAGGGGCTATTCAGTTAGGGACACATAATAACATATCCACCTGTATGTAGCAGTTGTAGGCATCTGAGATAGTGGGTGGGGTGGGGAGGTGAGGAAGGAAAAGGGGAGAAGAAAGACTGTTTCTGACTAAGCTGTTTCATGTGTCCAGAACAACTGCAGGGAGCTTCCTGGGGGAAAAAGATTGACTATGTATCTTTGTCTCCCTGTTTCTGCCCTTTCCTGCTCTGCTGCTTAGGAACTCAGGGAGACAAAGCCCTAGTACTGTTTGTCAAAGTCAAATAGAATGGATAAAGCAAACTTTCCAAAGAAACTTTATGGAACACATTTCAAAGCCCTGGAGAAGCAATTTTAGGGTTTTTTGTTTTGTTTCTTTCTGTTTTTGGTTTTCTTTGCATGACTGCCACTAACTTATGTCAGCAAGGCGTTAAGTGAGACACTTAAGATCATTGCGGCTGCCAGGGGAAGTGGGTACACCCGCTTGTGGGGCTGTAAGACAGCACAGTCGCTGAAGGGCATTAGAGCTGGGCTGGGTTGGGCTAGGCTGTGGCTGGGACTGAAGACCGTGAACACAGCGGGACATGATGTGGTGTTGGTATGACTGTGGGTGTGCTGTGTGTTATGTACATGTTTGTGACAGCACTGAGGGACCTGGCTGTAGCTGTAGTGTGTGGATTTGTTCCGTGTAGCTTGAAACCAGGGTGCTCTGGCAGCGACAGGAACAAGTATGGGCCACAAAGCCAGAGAGCCCCAGTGTCAGCTAGATGGGAGGGGCGGGAACTTTTCTCACCTTCATTTCCACATAGCCAGCTGGGCCTGTGTCTCTGGCAGTAGTTGCTGGTGTCTGAAGGCTTTTATTCCACCTCTAACTGGCCTGCAGTATTCCAGCTGGAAGCCGTGGAAGCCCACACATTGACTTGTGCCGTTTCTGGCACACTCAGCTACCCCCAGTGGCCTGGAAGCCCAGCTTTTCCTGCATAGCCCTTGGTTGAAGACCCATACCTGAGCCTTATGTTCAGCGAAAGGCCTTATCATCACACAGTGAGGCTTCCTGCTAAAATGCAATCGCCTACTGAGATGGGAGCCATGGAGGGGATTCTGGGGTTGCTGTTCTCTATCTTTTGAGTAACTGGGGGTCAAGGTAAGCCAAGCCCTGGCCTGGTCTGCAGCTGCTGTCTGCACACTGCCCAGCCTCTCCACCCACTTCCACCATCACAAGGAGAGCTCTTGAGTACCCTGGAGGGTCTGAGGTAGACATGATGGTCCTGTAGGTGGTGGGCATTTGGGTTGTCATCCCCATAGCTACTAACCAGCTGGCCAGGCCTGGCATGGTATGGAGGCTCTGTCTGAATGAGCCAAGGATGCTCCGTCTTTAGCAGCAGGACTTTTGAGCAGTGAGAAGGCACTGGGGTTCCCTGGCCAGAGGAGGCAAATCAAATGCACGCAGGGCTACACTCCCCACCTGCCTCCCAGCAGGTACCATAAGGGTGAGAGTCGGCCAAGTGTAAGACAAGTCACGGTGTGACCAACCATAATGCCTGTCTTTTTACATTACTTTTGAAAACACTATGCAGGCCAAAACCAAAAAAAAAAAAAATATATGGCCAAACCAAAAGCATCTGCAAGCCACATTCAGCCTTCTGGCTGCCAGTTTGTATCAAATGTGAAAAGCAAAATTTAGTTGTACATCACTGAGAATTCTTTTGGCCTGGTGAACTCTTTCTTGGTCTTCCACATCTAGCTCCAATGGCATCTCTGAGCCACTTTCTCTGACCCTCTCCTTAGGCCAAACAAATGCTTCTCCTCTCTCTGATCCCTTAGTATCTATTGTAACATATTAGTATATTCATTCATTCATTCAATAAACCTCTATTGACTACTCTGGCAAAGGTAGTGCTGGGGTTACAGAGATGAACAAATAAGAAATAACCCCTGCCCTCGAGAAGCAACCAGCCTGATTGGAGGAAAGATGGGAGGGCAGACAGACTGAGAGATCCCTGAGGGAGGCTCCCTCTGTGTGTGTGTGTGTGTGTGTGTGTGTGTGTAAAAGTTGAGGAAGGTAGGCTTCGGGTGAAAAGGAGATGGCTCAGCCAGGTGCTGGAGGAACAAAATGAGTAAATCAAGCTGAAGAGGAGGCAGGGCCTTACTGGCGCAGGGAGCCCCTGAGCAGACCCCTGGAGTTATGGATACCAATGGCATGTTCACGCCCCAGTGTGTTGCCCTATGTGACTAGTGTTTAAGGAATGAGGACAAAATAATCTATACCTCAAACCCCTGAGGCATGCAGTTTACCTGCATACCTGCACATGTACCCCTGAACCTAAAATCAAAGTTTAAAAAAAGGAATGAGATGCTGTAAGTGGCTGTGGATCTTGGCTTTTTGTCCTCTGAAGGCAATGGGGAGCCACCTGTGGGTTTGGAGCTGGGGAGTGATGAGTCTGATCTCAGCTTTGCAAGGCCCACACTAGAGCCTCCACGTGTTAGACAGTCAGGAAGTGGGGCGAGACTGGTGATGGGGGGCCAGCCAGGGAGCTGTGTCCCCAGTGCCTGGACCTGCCCACTGCATACTTGCTGAGTGAGTGAGTAGATGAATGAGGTAGGAAGGGATGTGGAGAGTGGCTGCTGCCCCCACCCCTGTTTGGCAGGGGTGGCTTTCATAGGCATCCACTTGGGCATCTCATAGGCATCTCAGACTTGACCTATTCAAACCAGACCCCTGGCCTTGCCCCCCAAACCTGCTGCTCCTGCAGTTTTCACCATCTCAGTTAATGGCAGTCTCAACTTTCCAATTGCTCAAGACCCAAACCTCAAGGTCATTTTTGACTCTCATACTCCACATCCACTCCATTAGTAGTTTATGTTGTTTCTACATTCCAAATATATCCAGAATCAAACCACTTGTTACCACCTTCAAGATCTGTTCTCCTGTCATCTCTCACCTGGGTAATTATTTGCAGCAGCCTCCTGACAGGTCTCCCTGCCTATTCCAGCTTGGATCCTCTATGCTCTACTCTCAGCACAACAGCCGGTGTGATTCAGCAAAAACATAAGTCAGGTCATGTCCTTTCTCTGCTCAAAACCCTCTACTGGATCTCTATTTCAGATGAAAAGCCAACGTCCTTACAATGGCCCACAGGCCCTGCATACTCTATCTGACCCCCTGACCTGTAGGACCTCACCTCCTGCTCTCCTGCTACTCCTTCTGCACTCTGCACCAGCCACACTGGCCTCCTCACTGATCCCCAAACAGCCTCCAGGGGCTTTGCATTTGCTGTTCCCTCTGCCTAGAAATCTTTTCCTCTAGGTACCTGCGTGGTTCACTTCCTCACTTCAGGTCTCTCTACAAATGTCACCTTCTCAATGAAGCTTTCATTGACCATCTTATTATAGAATAACACCCCCAGCCCTGCTGGTCCCCTGAGCCCCTCCGTTGTTTCATTTTTCTCCAAGCCAGTTATTGCATTCTAACTTACTACATATTTTACTCATTTGTTTTATTCATTGTCTATCTCTCCCCACAGAATGTAAGCTTAATGAGAACAGAAACTTTTGTCTGTTTTCCCCTGTGGTATTCCTAGTGCCTGGACCAGTGCCTGGCGCATGGGAGACACTCAGTAAGGACTTATGGGATCAATGAATAGGTGGACTGTGGGGATCGGTGAGGTTGTCCTGGGCTATCTCAGGGCCATGTGATCTGGGATTCTCAGGAACAGATCACGTAGGGGAAGGAGAGAGCCACTGGACTGTAGGAGTTAGCAGGTCTAGCCAGGGTGACCTTGGGCAAGTCCCTTCCCCTCACTGTCCTCAATTTGTCCATTTATAAAGCAATTTATAATTTGATGTGATTGTCTCTAAGGACAAGCATTATGAGCCTCTGGGGGCAAGGTGGGGGCCTGGCCAACTGGGCTGCCATTCATGCCCCCTGGGCATGAGGGCAGAGATCCTCACTCCTGCAGTTCCCCATTTCTTTTTTGACTTCTTTCAAAGCGCCATCTTATCTTCACCCCACATCTATAAACATACCATGTCACAGCTGTTCAAATAGTGATGGGGCGGTGGCTGCCAGTCAGCTTCATTCAGCCAGGCCAGCTGTGCTCCCTGCAGTATGCCTCACTCTGGCTTGAAGGCCTGGGCAAATCCAGCAGTGGGATAGCATCCACCCCATTTTTCAGAGCAAACAATTCTATCACACCTGCCACACAGGTAGGCCCATCGCTGGAGCAACCTCACCTCCTCTCCTAGACCAAACTCTGTAGAAGAGTCTGGTCTGGTTTGGGCCAAGTGTTTATCAAGCATTTGTTACATTAAATTTTAATCCTTATGCTAACCATGTGAAGTAGGCATTATTAGACTCATTTTCAGAGGAGAACATTGAGTCTCAGAGGGGTTAAGAGTGCTGCCCAAGGTCCCATGCAGGACCTCTTCCCCCATGCAGGAGTCTCTTGGAAATCTGCTGACCAAGGTCTAGGAGGCTCACCCATGGTTGGAGCAATGAGACAGGCAGAAAGGATGCTTCGTTCTTCCTTCAGCTCCATCCAGGCCACAGGTGGAGCCTAAGTGGTGGAAAACAGGCCAGCCCAGATGGAAGTCATCACTATCCCACTGGTTCCCTGAGGGCTGAGCAGGAGGGAGGCGCCTTCCCGTCTTGCCCTGCCAGGAATGTGGGGCGTCCTGAGAGGCTGGGACCAGTGAGCAATGGGGGCGGTGTGCGAGTTACTCCATGTGATAAACTATTTTCCTTTCTCATTCCAAGGATCAGAGAGCACTTGGTGAGCTGTTCTTTGTTCCAATGGAAACAGAATATCAGAAAAGCCCAGTGGGGGACAGTCAAAGTTTCCTTTGTCTTCTTGGGCTAGGAGGCTGAATGGGAGGACTGTGGCAAGGTGGGTGGGGCAGGGCCACTACAAGGGCAACAAATCGGTAGAAGGGGGATCAGGACAGGACTCTACGACAACAATGGGGGAAGAAAAACCCACAAAGAGCTAAGAACGTGCCAGTGGGGAGGCCTTACAGCCTCCCTCGTGCAGCCTTACTCTATGTGGATCTGCTAAGTCTGACAGTCTCCAGCAAGGGGCTGGGGAGTCACAGCACAGCTAGTGCTCTCCTGGCCCAAGATGTGCCAAAGGCCACCTCCAGGACCACTGCCCTCCACACGTCCTCTGAACTCCCTGGCCCAGTCTCTTTACTGCCCCCATAACACAATGTGCTTCTACCAAGAATGATAGGAATTCAAATTTATCGAAGTCTTTGAAAGTTTGCCAAGCACTTTCCCATAGCTCTCCAGGAGGCAGAATAGCCTACTGGTTAGGAACACAGGCTCAGGGCCCATACTGCCTGGCTCTGCCATTCCACTGCTGTGCGATCTTGGGTAAGTTACTTAGCCTCTGTGCCTCAGGTTCCTCATCTTTAAAATGGGAATAATCACAGGATCTACATCTTAAGGCTGTTTTCAGATTAAGTTGGCTAATGTTTAGGCTCCCTAAAAGCAGAGATTTTTGTCTTTTATTCATTGCCATGTCCCTAGGGCCTAAACAATCCCTGGCACCTGGCAGGTACTCAACAGATATTTATTAAATATATATAAAGGGCTTAGGATGGGAGCTGGCACTTAGCACAACAAGTGTTAGTTTTTGTTGTTATCTTTTGCATTCTCACAATAGTTCCAACAGGAGCATTCTGAATTTCATGCATGTTAGTGTTGCTCCTCCTTGTAAGGTTCAAGTTCTAAGTCAAGGTACTGAAGGAATATGCAACAGACTTAAAATGGAGGGCAAAAGTTTGGGCCACAGAGGATTAGGAGTACAGCTGTCAAATATTAGTAAAAGCATTCGTTCATCCATTCATTCAGTCATCTATTCTACAAATATTTCACAAATACTCCTAAGGGCCAGGCCCTGAGCTGAGAGCTGGGGATGTATTGAAGACAAGATAGACAAGGGTTTCTACATTTGAGGAGCTTAACTTGTAATGGAAGGAGACTAGCAAAAACAAGTAAAGATCTAAAAAGCACTTATTAGCACTTATTCAGATAGCAATAAGTGTTATGAAGAAAATCAAGTAGTATAATGGGATAGAGAATGGCTGGGGTTGTGTATGTGTTGGGGTTGCTTTAGTTTATGGTCAGAGAAGGCATCTGAGGTAGGAACACTGGCACTTTTCTGGGGCGTCTTGGTCTCAGGTCAAGGACCTCTGTTGAGAGTTGGCCTGTGACACCATATCATCACCACCTCATCCTTCTGCCTAAGGCAGGGGTAAGCTGCTCAGTGTAGTTCTGGGGATCTTTACGTGGAGGTTTAGTGTGAAGGGCTGGAGAGAAGGGGGCTATGAACATGTGGCGCCTGCATAGGAAGGTTCTGGCATTAGTTGTCCTCTGGCAAAACCTATTGGTTGCTCTAGGTTAAACGATGGTCAGTGGCCTTTCAGCTCCCCCTTCATCTTTCTGCACTCTCAGGGAGGAGGTGTCTGGCCGTGGGGTCCTCTCCACTGCTGATCTATACTCAATGCCCTCATGCCCCATGCTCATTCATGACACCACCTTCACACATGCAAACACTGCCTCATCTTTCAAGATAGCTCAGACACCATCACCAGTCACACTGGAGGGCCCTTATTCATTACCTGTTTGAGCATCTCCAGAGCATAGTATGGAATGGATACCTAATAGGTGCTTAATAAATGAAGGAATAAATGAGTGACTGTTGTTCCTTCTGCTTCCTCAGCTGACTGGCTCATTCCCACTCATGCATCAAGACTCAGCTCACACATCATCTTACATGAGAAGCCTCCCTCAACCTCCTTGTGTCTGACCTGGGGAGCTCTTGTTCATCCTTGATGTTCCCCTTGACTTCCTCAGCCAGAATTTGGCCCTCCCACCTCTGAATGCTCCACCACATTCTATTACCCTCTATCGTATCCATCGCTCTACAGGCACTGTCTGCTACTGTCCTGTCACCTCCCCTAATCTCTGATTTTCTCAGGCAAGGACTGTGTTTTGGTCATCTCTATATCCCCAGCACTAGCCCCTAGAGGGCGCTCAATAAATATTTGTGAAATTAATGGGGAAAAAACCGTGAATGAATTGTTTGTCAATTTTGCTTAGAGTGGTGTGCTGGGGCTGGCTTGTAGTGGTTTGCGAGAATCAATTGTTAAATATTTAGGAAACGTATGAGCCAGTTGTTAAATACAGCCATCATTAAAAATTAAATTATATGAGAAAACAGAAGACAAACTGAAATTGAGAGACATTCTACAAAATAAATGACCAACTAAATACAATATGGGTCCTGGATTGGATCCTAGAATGGAAGAAAGACTTCAGTAGAAAAGCTGGTGAACTCCAAATAAGTTTGTACTTTAGTTAATGTTGTACTAAGTTTAATTTCTCAGTTTTGATCAATGTTTTATAATTATGTAAGATGTCAACATAAGGGGAAGCTGGGTAAAGGGTACACAGAAACTCTCTGTACTGTTTTTACAACTCTTCTATAAGTCTAAAATTATTTCAACATTTAAAAAAAAATTGTCAAGTTCCAATACTTCTTGGTTGTTTCACTTTCTTCTTACTCATTAACATAAATGAAAATATCAACCATCATTCATTTAGGAACTGCACTTGCTCTTCTGTTATGGCCGAAGTTTGGCTATTGATATGTGTTCAGCAAAAATCAATGAAAGCATTATGGGAGAATCCATTGGTTATATGGAATTTATAATAAAGAGTATTATATATTTCAGTATTATCTGTAAATTGAGCACTTCACATTCTTATATAAGTAAATTTATAATAAACCTATGTATGTATGTGTATATTTATATATACGTTTGTGCATTTTTTTTGAGAGCTGGTTGCTGAACACTTACCAGAACACCACCGGTCCTACATATGAATTATGATCTCATCAAACACATTGAAGGAAAGAAAAGAACATTGCCCAGCACCTTCTCTGTGCGAGGCTGTACTATCCCTTTGTGTTCATCATTACAGGTGCTCTTTACCTCAACTCTATGAAGTGAGGGTATTGTGGTCTCCATTTTACAGATAAGGATATTAAGGCTAAGAGAGGTTAAATGACTAGACTAAGGTCAAGTATTGGTATACAGTGAGCCAGCATTAAACTACATTCATCTGAGTCCAAAGCCAATTGTATTAGTATCATATTGCTGCTGTAACACATTACCGCAAATTCAGTGGCTTAAAACAACACAAATTTATTATCTTACAGTTCTGGAGGGCAGACGTCTGAGATTGGTCTCACTGGACTAAAATCAAGATGCTAGCAGGGCTGCATTCCTTCTTAGGACTCTACGGGACAATCCTTTTCCTTGCCTTTTCCAGCGTGTAGTGGCTGCCTGCATTCCTTGACTTCAAAACCAAAAGTGGCCATTCGAGTCTTTCTCACATCCCATCACCCTGATTCTGCTTCTATACATCTCCTTCTCTGACTCTGACTCTCCAGCCTCCCGCTTTCACTTTATAAAAACCCTCATGATTACATTGAGCCCACCCAGATGAGATGGGCAGCTTCTCCCCATTTCAGTCAATGTCAGCTGATAAGTAACTTTAACTCCACCTGCAAACCTTAGTTCCCCTTGTTATGTAACTGAACACATTCACAGGTTCCAGAGGTTAGGATGTGGACATCGTTGTGGGGGCTATAATCCTGTCTATCACCCTTGTGCTTTTTCCATGACCTTCTCCTGCCTCACCTGTCATTTTAGTGGTCACAAAATCTGATGTGGGGCCTATGGAATTCTTCCTGACACCTGCATTGCCACACATCTCTGTGCTCTCCCTTTGGAGTAAGATGCCCCTTTCAGTCATTCACCCAGCCAGTCAGACAGCCTTGTAGGGGAATGGCTTCTAAATCCTGGGGCTTTTAATCGTGGACATATATTTTACCTATGTTCTTACTAAAGTGTTTTAAAAAAATACTTTCCAAGATTTTTGTGCATTCCTGGCTTTTTACTTCCTTTCCACAGTGCTTATATGGTGCCAGAGCCCTCCTTTCCAACATGGCTGGTTTCGCTGTGCTACGGTTTACCCATTCCCACCTTCTGGACCTGTTTCTAGTCAGCAGCTAGGATCATGCATTATTTATTTGTTCTTCTCATAGACTTTTACATTGCCTTCTTCTGGAAATGGCCCTGGACTTAACTAAAATGTACTTTTCCCACCCCTGCCAATGAGGTATATGTCTGTCTGTGTTTACTATTTCTCTCTGACTGGCTTCTCAGAAACAGACTCTCTAAGTAACAGTTTCCCATCTTCCCTTGTTTCCTCCACACTGAGATCCCTAATTCTTGTCACGAGAAACCTCCTCCACTGAGACCAACCGAATGGCCAGAAGTTGCCCCTCCCCCCAGGAAGCCTTAACAGCCAGACCCATCTCTTCACCGCTTGTGAGCTCTGACTACAACATTCTTGTCTCTACCTTCAGTCTTGTCAACAGCTCTTTGCTCCTCCTTTCTACCTGTCAGACTTACACCCATACTTTGGGGCCCAGTCTGAATCCTACCTTAAGGTAGGCTCACCTTGAGGAAAACTTTCCAGATCATCCCAGCCCAAGGGACTCATGTCCTCTGTATGTGTCTAGGACTTATTGTCAGCAGCACTTATTTTGACAAATTTATCATCTACCATTATGGAGAGGTTGCAAACTGTTGGCTGGTGAGCCAAATAATAATGCCCACAGGTGTATTTTGTTTAGTCTGCATGTGGTTTGTTTCTTTTTAAACTATGTGCTAACATGTAGCAATTAGTAATCTTTCCATACAATCTGGATTTCTAGCTTCTTTGAAAAACAGAAAAATCTGGTAATACTGGATCTGTATGCCCCCAAGACAGTAGTTAGCTAGATTGGCATGGCCGGGTGGCAGCTTCCACTTTAGATGGAGTATGTGCTCTCCAGCTAGACACAGTCCCCACTACTCCGTATTGTCTCACTCCAACCTCATTCACTCATTTATAGTACCTTCCTGGCTCCTAAAGGCATTTGAGTTATCTGACATATTTCACACCTGCCTAAGTTTCCAGCTATATTACAGTCTCTTAGAGGAAAGAAACTTTATTTTGAATTTATTTTGCTTCTTTTATGCTGCTGTGGACATAGTAGATGCTTGATCAATATTGAGAGAAGAAATAATTTTACTCTAGATAATTCTACAGTGTGTTAGAATTTACTTTTGCTGCAAGATAAAGCTTTATAAATGTAACATCTATTAAGAGAGTACCATGTACCCGACTCAGTGTCAGATGCCTCGGAGCAACTTTGTGATTAGTGATATTGTTCTCATATCACAGATAAGGAAACCGAGGCTCAGAGAGCCTATCCAGTAGGACTGGAGCTGTAGATCTGGTAGTCTCTGTGGTAAGAACCAAAGCCTTTGTTCCATGAGGAAACCTTCCTAAGTATCAATGCTGGAAGCAGAGAGGAGCTTCCCCTGAGGCTCTCTGGTAAAGTTTGTTTACAAACTCACAAACTCTGAGACTTAATTTGGTTTGGATAGAGATTGAGCATTTATTAAATGCTTATTGTGTGCTGGGTATTTACCAAATAACTGCACTTATTTTTGGACTATCAGGAATTCTGAGCATCCTAGGTAGCCCACTGATAAGATGAGGGAAATACACATAAATAGACCCTAATTGCTGATGGGATTTGGAACCCATTTGGTGAGTCACATTCAATTGACAGAGTGCCCACTGGTTCCCTTGTCCATATGCGCACAGAGATTGTGCTATTCCCTCATGCTGTCACTGGTGGTACTGACGTGTGGTGCGGGATGGGAAAACATGGAGAAATTATGCGTGTTTAATTGCACAGCAGCAAGCAGAAAGGAATGTGAGTGCCAAAGACTCCCACTGAAGCAGAAATCTGGTGTCGTGTGTTGCTGAACAGCTGCAGGAAAATTTGTCTGGACCTTTGGAGGCAGAGAGGTGGGTTTGCCATACTTTGGTTCTGAGTAACTTTGAGGGCAACGAGGATTTATAGGCAGCAGATATGTACATCTAGAAGTTTCACTCTGGAGCTTTCACCTGGTTTCTTTGCTACCCTATCCCTTCCAGCCACCACCAGTTCAAGCCATGGCTAGGAGCAGAGGGAGATAGGAAGGCCTCAGCCCCAGGGCCACTAGGTTACTCCAGGTTTCATGTGTCCACAGCCCTGCTTAGGGCCACCAAAATGCTCAGGTTCAGCTGGGTGGGCTAAACCACCTAGAACTGGGTTCAACTCTCTCCTCTATTCCTACAAGTATGGCCTTATGCAAGTCACTTAATCTCTTCAGGCCCAAGTTTACTTCTATGTGTGAGGAGTCAGAAGGTGATGTTGCGTGGGGCCTGGCCCATATCTTAAGAGATGGATCTATGTCCATAACACCCTGAATGCTCCCAATCTCATCAAGAGATGGGATCTGTAAGCTCTATAATGATTCAGTTGAACAATAAACTATCATAGTCGTTACTCTGTATTGCGGGCCTGACAGACCCTATGCTAAGCCATTCATCATCTCTTTAATCCTTAAAGGAAAGATTAAAAAAATCTTGAGTTAGGAGAGGAAGAGTGACTCATGGAAGGTCACCCAGCTAGTAAATAACAGAACCATCATGAGCTCCAAGCAGAGCCACTCTAGAGCCAACGCTTCTAACCACACCACCTGCCTGGCATTAGTTCCACTTCACACATGAGGAAACTGAGGTTTAGGAGGCATTATTATCAGGGGCAGGACTTGGGTTTGCAACTTCTGTCTCTTTTGTTTAACTTGCTGTGTCACTTTGGACAAGTTGCTCAACCTCTCTGAGCTTTGGTTTCCTGATTTGGAAAATGTCAGAGTCCAAAGCCTCTGGCAGCAGTGAGAAGCAGTATCCTGTGGGAGATGGTGGAGGGGAGGGGCTAGGAATGTCCCGGAGACAGAGAATGAGAAGACATGGGTGTGACTGTGGCATTATGAAGTGGAGGCAGATCTGGAACGGAGACTTGCCAGAGTGAATGTGCCTGGCTCGCACTGCCTATTTAGCAGCCGTCCTGTGAGAGCCCAGATGGGCCAGGTGGGCAGGAATCTGGCCAGGCTCCACAGGCACACCCACACCGTGAGCTGCTGTTGCCACCTAGGGGACAGGCAGTGACCAGGGGCCCAAGTTTGGCTGTGGCTGTGGCTCAGCGGCTGCACATTCCCAGTCTCCTGCTGGTTTCCGGAGCGGAGAGGGATGGCCACGGCTTGCTCCAGGAGTGGGGAGGGGAGTAAGGAAAAGCAGTGAGGAGTGCTGCCTCTGGTTTGGGAGTTATAAATAAATCCATCTGGAAGTGTTTGGGGCTGTGGGAGCCTGAGGTCGGCCCTGCAATTCAGGCCATGTGGTGCATATTTCCATTCACACCAGAACCACCCCCGCAGCCCCCTACCGCCCCGCCCCAGTCCCAGGGGACTGTCTGCTAGGACCTGTCCGCTCCGGCCCAGGAGAGCTGGGCGAGAACCTTTCAGGCCCCAGTTTTCAGCCCCCACCCCCACCTTCCGCTCCTGGCAGCCCAACTTCAGCAAGATAATGTCTGAGAAAGTGCTTCAAAAAGTTTTATGTGCTATCCAAGTGTTGGTTGAATGAATGAATGAATTTTCAATTCAGCATTTAGCTTGTAAGCTCCCCTTGCTGGGAAGGGGCCCCTTGGTAGTTATGGAAGGCGAGGCATTCTGGACTTTTAGCCTCCATCTCAGGATCACGTTTCCCACCCACCGAGCTAAGGCAGGCTGAGATACAAATGCATATTGCCCAAGTTTTGTTCATCTTTCTATCCTCAGCACCAAGGGTAGCGCTCAGTAGGCATTGGTTATATGAATGAATGAGTATCTATATTAATTTTTTTAAACAACTTTTGTAGAGACAGAGGTCTCTCTTTGTTGCCCAGGCTGGTCTTCAACTCCTGGCCTCAAGGGGTCCTCCCGCCTTGGTTTCCCAAAGTGCAGGCATTACAGGCATGAGCCACTGCACCTAGTCCAATTTGTTAATTTAAGCAGCACTTATTGCACATCCTCATGTGCAGTGCACTCTGCTGCATGCTGAGATCACAGTGGAGAACAACATAGAGTCCCTGCCTCATTGAGCTAGTGGTCACTGTGTTTCTTGGTGAAAGTACTATTGTTGCTTGGGGTGAGTCAATTCTTTGCAGGGTGGGATTCTGTGCATTGCAGGATGTTTAACCTCATGATTCCCTGACTCTAAAGGCCAGTAGTTCCCCGGAGTCATTTTGAACAACCAGAGATGCCTCTAGACATTTCCAAATACTTCCAGGGGACAGGAGAGTGCAGCCCTGGTTGAGGGCCACTGTGGAGGAACTTGACAATGGGGCGTGAAGCAAGGCAACCTCCAAGGTGTGAATGTGTTGAGTCCTCTGAGTTCACTTATAAATTGGTGGTTTAGAACTGGGGAATCACGTTTGCTTTATAGAGATGTAAGATGATTCATCAGTGGCTGGATTAGGCCCAGAAGCCCATAATGTAGCTGAGTTACATGGTTCTACCAGACTGGGTTAGTGCTGAGGGGCAGGCATCGAGATGGCAATTTCGGACATGTTGATGAGATGATTACTTGAAAATGTCCAGAAAGTAACTAGAATCTGATCCCAGGGGCAAGTGAGAGGTCAGCTCTCAAGATATAAATTTGGGATAAGCCCACGTTGAGGTAGGAGTTAGACCTGAGGCCCAGGTTCCATTAAGGTTATCCAGGGAGAAGGTGTTGGGAAAGTTGCAGAATGACTCCAGGATAAGTCCAGAGGTAGAGAAAGTAGGCCCCAGTGGTATCTCTTCTCTGCCTCCTCATTTCTGTTCCCATGGTTAGCACCCTGTTTCAGGACTTCAATTTGTGACAGGACCACTGCAGCAATCTCCTTACTGGCCTCCTTTCTGCTTTTGGTCTCTCTGCCTGTCCGAATTTTCTTTTTAAAACATGGCTTTCATCATGTCCCTTCCCAACATTCAACAAGTCCAAACTGCTTAGCCTTGCATTCTCACCCACTGCGATCCAGCTTCCCACCAACCTGACACATCTTTGGTGAGTTGGCTCCGCGTTCCCCTTTCCAGGTTCATGGTTTATCCGTCTCTCAGACCTTACTGTGTGGCTACACAGAACCCCAAATACACACTGCCTTCCTCTCCTCCATGCTATCTCCACCCCTGGGATGCTCTTTGACCCTCTTTCCATTTGGAAAAATCTCACTCAGGCATCAAGGCCCAGTGCAAGTCTCCTGCATTTCCCCAACCCCTCAGAGGCAGGCAGATGCCTTCCCACCTCTGTGCACCCTCCTCTCCAGCTCTCGCTCTGTTGCCCAGGCTGGAGTGCAGTGGTGCCATCACGGCTTACTGCAGCCTTAACCTGCTGGGCTCAAATGAGCCTCCTGCCTCAGCCTCCCGAGGAGCTGGGACCACAGATGTGCCACCATGCCTGGCTAATTAATTTTGTAGAGAAAGGTTCTTGCTCTGTTGCCCAGGCTGGTCTTGAACTCCTGACCTCAAGAGATCTTCTCACCTTGGCCTCTCAAAGTGCTGGGATTACAGGTATGAGCCACTGCTCCTAGCCATCCAGTTTTTCGTATACACCATGGGACTGCAAGTCTCTCCCACAAGACTCTGAGGGCAGTGACCATGACTCGTTTTGCTCTGCAATTCCATTGCCCAGCCCAGTGTGAATGGACAAGAAAGTGGGGCTGAGGATGGGCTGGTATGGCAGGGCAAAGAGGAAGTGGAATGGTCTCTTTCAAACCTCACCATGGATCTACTTGAGCCACTTTTACCTGCTCTCTCCCTACAAGTACTGTCTTTGGATGAGGGTTTGTGGAAGAGCTAGGAAAGAGAAGGAGCCAAGGCAAGGGACAGGCAGAGGGAGCAGCGTGGAGAAGAGAGGAGATGCTGAGAGGATGAAAGAGAAAGAAAGTGGGGGAGAGCAAACGTCTGCATTGGTGGTTCACATACATAAAGGATTCAGGTATGGTAGAGTGGAATAAGAAAACATTTGGGATTCTGAAAATAAAATCAGCTGCTTTGGCAGGTCAGCTGAATGTACAGTTAATTAATAGGCATTAGTGCCCTTTGGTGCTAAGCTGTGCATGGAACCATGTCCTGCTGGGATCAAATGGCAGCTACCCGGGGATGCCCTTTTAATAAAGAGCAGAAAGCAGCACTGCCATGTAAGAGCTGCAGAATCCCTCAGAGAGTTCTTCTTAAGGGCACCAGGGACCACTGGAACCCCAGAGTTGCCCCACATCACTGGCCTGGCTCTTGCCAAAGAAAGGTGGGCATGAGAAGAGAACTAACACATACTGAGCAGCTAGTATCCCAGGGGCTATGCCAGACACACAAAAGCTCATTTGATCTTTACTGCAACTCTGTGAGGTAGCAATTAGCCCTGTTTTACAGATTAGAAAATCAAGGTCCTAAGGAGGGTTAAGAATCTTGCCCAAGGGCACACCGCTTGAAAGTCTTGGATCCCAGATTCCAATGAAGGTCATCCTCTCCCCTTGATGAGCGGGCCAGGACCCAGAGGTTGGCAGCAGTTTGCTCTCCATTCTGGCTGACTTTGGCTGTGGGGCTGATCTCTTTGGATTGATTTCTTTGAACATAAACAAAATACCATCAGTTTTTCCTGGCTTTGGAATGAGCCCTCAGAATCATGTGCTTTTCTCCAGTTTCCAGCTGGGTGCCTTTGCTGGGGGAGTTCGTGAATATGAAGCAACAGGTCTCATTCTGAGAATCAACACTGTGCACCAAAAAATACCAGGGTACTTTTGCTCCCAGGAGGTATTTCAAGCTGGAGGCTTTCAGCCTATGGGGCCAAGTTTTCCATTTTTTCTTCCCTTTCAATGACCTGCATATGATTGACAGTTGCCTGTTTTCCCAGGAAAATTATAAAATCTTTATCAAAATATTGGCACCTTTGAGTTGTTGCCCACACTCTGTTCTGACTGACTGTGTGACCCACGTCCCTATCTGCTCAGTGGTTGGACGTGTTCTGTCTGCTGTCAACCTGTGAGTCGGTGAGTAGAGGACAGGAGGTATGGACAGGACAGGCTGCGGACAGTGTTTTCCAAAATTCTGATGTGACATGTTTAAGCCAATTCGTGGAGGAGCCAATGGAGGTAGAGTGGCTGGAGCCAATAAGGGGTTTAGAGCAGGGGACAAAATGGCACCCAGCACCACCCCATGGAGATGCGGCTTTGGGGTGGGGTAAGTTGGCTAGAAAACCGATGATGATCGTTTTCTGGAGTTGTTCTGGAGTCAGGAACAGTCTAGAAACCCTTTGAATTGAACCTTGGCACAGAGTTGTATGTCCCACACATGTGATAGGGTATTAGGATTATCATGCTGCATGCAAGACCTTCTGAAATCTTGCTGCATAACAGAACTTTCAGTCATACATAATGACATGCTGAGGAATAAGTTGCTCGTCTTGAGTTTGGCCTTTTGCCCTGGTCATTGTAGTGGAACAGGATTTTTCTTCACCACCTTCAAAATCGATTCAGAATCTGGCTACTTCCTGCCACCTCCACTGCTATCACCCTAGTCCATGCCACCATCGTCTCTGGCCTGGATTATTTTAGTATCCCTGTCACCAGTCTCCCAAAGTGATGCTGTGAAAACATAGTGTGAGCATGTCAGTATCTGCTCAACATCCTCCACTTGCTCCCCATCTCACTCAGATTCAAAGTCAAAATCTTTATAGTAGTCCACAAGGTCCTGCATAATCTGGTCCCCCTTACCTCCTTGACATGATCTCCTACAAATCCCATCGTCTGCCTCTCCATTCCAGCCACACTAGCCTCCTGATCATTCTTTAAGTTTTCCAGGTACATTGTATTTGCTTTTCCTTCTGCCTGGAATGCTTTTCCCCAGTATATCAGGAAGGATCCCTGGAGGGAGTGCTCACAGGAACTGGGAAACGGTTGCTGTGTGGAGAGAACCACCTGACGGGAGCTATGGCCTTTGGCAGAGGGATGCCGCCAACTCATGGTGACCCTGAACAGAGAGAGTGGATGACTAAATACCCCAATCTCACTTTTCCTTTTTCTTCTGGTTTCTTTGCAGGTGCTTCCCATTGGTCAAACCTAACCCGAAGCCAGAGGGCAAGGGAGCCTGTTGATGCCATCCACACAGGTCAGCCTACCAGGGTACAAGCTGTGTGGAGAAGGGTGGAAAAGATGTGGACAGACAAATGGAAAATGTCCAGAACAACTGGATATCTTTGTAGTTGGCTCCCTCACTTCCTTCACATCTCCACTGGAATGTTTGTTACCTTTTCAGTATGTTTCAGTTTGTTACCTTCTCAGTTTGTTACCTTCTCTGGCCACCATTTCTAAAATTTCAAGCCCCAGCCCTCAACACCTCATATCCTCCATCCATGCTGTTTGTTCTTCCTAGCACTTAATACTATCTGACATGTACTTTATTTATTTCCCTTGCCTATCGTTGGCTCTCCCACTAGAATGAGAGCTCCATGAGGGCAGGGACTTTGTTCTGTTCACTGCTATAGTCAGTGCCTAGGACAGGACCTGGCACAGAGTAGGTGTCCAATAAATTGTGAATGGATAAATGATTCACAATGGATAAATGATGTACTCTCTGGGGCCACTCTAGTGAGTCTGCTCTCAGCCAGGCACAGCTGGATGTAGGTTACCAGTTGTTACTCATTCCTGCTGTTCACAGTTTCCTCTAAAGAGGCTCAACTGCTGCCATGTTTTCAGGTCAGCGGGTGGCAAGGCCTTTGCTGCCTCCGGTATTGAAACTTGCACAACAGTTTGTTGACTTGAATCTTATGGAAATTGTTGCTGCATTAATTGGCATGGACTGAGCTTTGTGTATTATTTAAGTTGTCATCAGCCACAGTGGGTAGATTCATAGTCATAGGGGCACTGGTTCTTCCAGGTGGTTCTTCCATACCTCAAAGGTAGCCTTGATTGCTAGTGGGCCTATTTCCAAATTAGGAGGCTCAGTAGCCACTTCCTTGAGGCTCACGGGCAGGGGACCTGTGAACTGGGTCCTATGACCACAGTGTTGGTGACACAGGGATAGGTGAAATCAGGATAAGCAAAACAGATATGCATTTCTAGAACAATGTAGTTGTGTCCAGGCTGATGTTTTTATTATACAAATAACATAGGAATAATATTCTTGTTGTGAAAAAAAATCAATTCAGCTACAATTCAAATCTCTATCTCTCCGGTCCCACTCTGCTCCCCGAAGGTAACCACTGTTATCAGTGGAGAGTGCCCACTTTCTTCCAAATCTCTTTCTGTGCATACACAGTTTGGTTTTATGTGGGTACTTAAAAATAAATGGTGTCACACCATATATACTAATCTGCTTTTTTTCACTTAGGAATATGTCTTGGAAACCTTTCTGTTTTAGGAGACATATGGATCTAGTTCATTCTTGTTTTCTTAATTAAACTTTTAATTGTGATTAAATTATGGATTCACATGCAGTATAAGAAATAATACAGAGAGGTCCCATGTACCCTTCACCCAGTTTTCCTCAATAATCACTTCTTGCAAAACTATAGTACAATATACAAGCAGGGTGTTGCCTTTATACAGTCAAGATACAGAATATTTCCATCACCACAAGGATACTTCAAGTCATCCTATCATAGCCACGCCTATTTCCCTCCCACCCTAACCTCCTACTTAACCCCTAGCGACCACTCATCTATTCTCCATTTCTAAAATACAGTTGTTTCAACCAGGTTATGTAGTAAAATAGAATCACACAGTATGCAAACTTTAGGGATTTTGTTTTCAGTCAGCATAATTTTCTGGAGATCCATCCAGGTTGTTGCGTGTATCAATAGTCTGCCCCTACCCCTTTTCCAATAATCTGCTCCTTTTTATTGCCGAGTAGTCTTCCATGGCATGGATGTATCAAAGACCGTTTATCCATTCACCCACTGAAGGGCATGTGGGTTATTCCCAGTTTTGGGCTCTTATAAATAATGCTGCTATAAACCTTCACGTAACAGGTTTTTATGTGGAAATAAGTTTTCATTTCTCTGGGATAAATGCCCAAGAGTACAATTGCTGAGTCATATGGTAATTGCATGTTTAGTTTAAAAAACAAAAAACAAAAAACTGACGGCCAGGTGCGGTGGCTCACACCTGTAATCCCAGCACTTTGGGAGGCCAAGGTGGGCGGATCACGAGGTCAGGAGATCAAGACCATCGTGGCCAACACGGTGAAACCCCATCTCTACTAAAAATACAAAGATTAGCCAGGCGTGGTGGTGCGCACCTGTAGTCCCAGCTACTTGGGAGGCTGAGGCAGGAGAATTGCTTCAACCTGGGAGGTGGAGGTTGCAGTGAGCTGAGATCTTGCCACTGCACTCCAGCCTGGATGACAGAGCGAGACTCCATCTCAAAAAAAAAACAAAACTGGCAAACTGTTTTCCAGAGCGGCTGTACCATTTTACATTCCCACCAGCAATGTATGAGGATTCCAGTTTCTTGGCATCCTCATCATCATTTGGTGTTCTCACTGTTTTCCCTTTTAGCCGTTCTTCTCTAGGTGTGAAGTAATATCTCATTCTGGTTTCAATTCTCATTCCCCTAAGATTAGTGATGTTGAACATTGTTTCATGAGCTTCTTTGCCATCTGTATATCTTCTTCAGTGACTTGTCTATTTATGTCTTTAGCCCATTTTCTGGTTGAGTTGTTTGAATTTTTAACTGTCGAGTTTTGACAGTTCTTTATACATTTTAGATACCAGTCCTTTGTCAGACATATGGTTTGCAAACATTTTCTCTTGGTCTGAAGCTTTTTCTCATCCTCTTAACAAGGACTCCATAGAACAAAACTTGCTAATTTTGATGAAGTCCAATTTATCAATTTTGTTTTTTTGGATGTGTTTTGGTTTTCAAGTATAAGGTCTGGCTTATATGGCTAGCTTTAGATTCCAAACACTTTCCTGTTTCTTCCTAAAAATTTTATAATTTTACATTTAAGTTTCTGATCCATTTTGTTGATTTTTTTTTTGTATAAGGTGTGAGATAGATTATATCATTTCCTGAGGCTGCCGTAACAAGTAACTGTAAACTTGGTAGCTTTAAACAACAGAATGTATTCTCTCATGATTGTGGAGGCCAGAAGTCTGAGCTTAAGGTGTGGGCAGGGTTGCACTCCCTCTGGAGGCTCTAGGAGAGGATCCTTCCTTGTCTAGTCCCGCTTCTGCGGGCTGCCAATACTCCTTGGCTTATGGCCATGTCACTGCAATCTCTACCTCCATCTTCACATCATCATCTCCTCTGTGTGTCCGTCTTATAAGGATACGTGTCATTAGATTTAGGACTCACTTGAATCCAGAATGATCTCCTCATCTTAATTATACTTGCAAAAGCTCATCTTCCAAATAAGGTAACATCCCTAGGCTCCGGGAATCAGGACGTAGACGTATCTTTTGGGAGGGCACCATTCAGCCCACTACACAGGTCAAAGTTCATTTTTTGGTCTATGTCCAGTTGCTCCAGCACCATTCAAAAAGGCTATCTTTCTTCCATTGAATTGCTTTTGTACCTTTGTTGAAAATCAGTGGGGCATATTTGTGTGGGTCTATTTCTAGGTTCTCTACTCTGTTTCATTGATCTGTGTGTCTGTCCCTCCACCAATACTACATAGTCTTGATTATTGTAGCTACATAATAAGTCCTGAAATTGGATAGAGTGATTCCTCCCACTTTATTCTCCCTTTTCAAAATTGTTTTGGCTATTCTAGTTTCTTTGCCTTTCCATATAAATTTTGGAATAAACTTGTCTATGTTTAAAATATCCTCCTGGAATTTTGATAGAGATTGAGCTAAAACTATACATAAATTTGGGGAGAACTAACATCTTTACTATGTTAAGTCTTCTGATCCATGAATGTGGCATATTTCTTTCTCTATTTAGGTCTTCTTTGATTTCTGTCATCAGCATTTTGTAGTTTTCAGCATATAAGCGCTATACATATCTTGTTACATTTACACTTAAGTATTTTGTTCTTGAGCAAGTGTAAATGGCACTGTATTTTTAATTTCAGCATCCATGTGTTCATTGCTAGTATATAGAAATACAATTTATTTTTGCAAGCTTATCTTGTATCCTGCAACCTTGCTAAGCTCACTTATTAGTTCTAGGAATTGTCTTGTAGATTCCTTGGGATTTTCTATGTAGACTATAATGCCGTCTCCAAATAGGAGCAGTTTTATTTATTCTTTTATAATCTACATGTTTTATCTTTTCTTTTTTCTTCTTTTTTTTTTTTTGCCTTATTACACTGGTTAGAACTTCCAACACTATGTTGAATTAAGGTGGTGAGAGCAGAGATCCTTGCCTTGTTTCCAATCTGAGGGGGAAAGCATTTAGTCTTTCAAGCATTGTGTTTAATGTTAGGTATAAGTCTAATATTGCTTGATCCAGAAAAAAATATATATATATTTGGTGTAAGTTGTATGTAGATGCTCAAGTTAAGGAAGTTCCCTTTTTGCCCTATTTCTCAGAGTTTTTTTTAACTTATAATAAGTGTTAGATTTTATCAAATGCTTTTTCTGCATTGATTAATATGATCATGTGATTTCTATTAGTTTGTTACACTGATTGTGTAGAATTAGCATACAATTCTTTAAACATTTGGTAGAATTCTCCAGTGAAACCATCTGGACCTGGAGATTTTAAAGGGAGTAGTTTTAAAATTATGAATTTCATGTTTTTAATAGTTATAGGGCTATTCAAATCATCTATTTCATATTTGGTAGATTTGGGAAGTTTATATTTTTCAAGAAATTGGTCTGTTTCATCAAAGTTGTCAAAGCATGTAGCATTGTTCATAGTATTCCCTTATTACCCATTTGATGTCTGAAGGCTCTGTAGTGATATTCATTTCCTTCCTGATATGAGCAATTTGTATGTCTTGCTAGAGGTTTGTCAATCTTACTGATCTTTTCAAAGAAGCAGCTCTTTATTTCATTGATTTTCTCTATTTTTCTATTTTCAATTCTGCTTATTTATGCTGTTATTTTTATTATTTTCTTCCTTCTGTTTGCTTTGGCTTTATTTTGCTCTCCTTGTTCTAGTTACTTGAGGTAGGAACTTAGATGATTGATTTGAGACCTTTTTTCTTTTATAGTATAAGCATTTGGAGCTATAAACTTCTTTTTAAGCATTGCTTTAGTTGCATCTCATAAATTTTTCTATGTTGTATTTTCATTTTGATTCAGTTCAATGTATTTTTAAAATTTATCTTGAAATTTAAATTTTCATATTTGACCCATGGGTTATTTTAAAGTGTGTTGTTTATTTTTCAAGTTTTAGATATTTTCTTATCTTTCTGTTATTGATTTCCAATTTGGTCACAGAATACATTTCATTTGATTTCAATTATTTTAAATTTGTTGACATTTGTTTTATGACACAGGATATGTCTAACATGTTTTGTATTCCATGGGCACTTGAAAAGGATGTGTACTCTTCTGCTGTTGGATGAGATGTTCTATAAATGTCAAATCAAATCCTGTTGTTTGAGGGTGTTGTTGAGTTCCTATATACCCTTGCTGATTTTCTATCTAGTAGGTCTATCCCAGATGCCTGCTCAGCCTTCTCTGACTTCACCCCAGTGGGGAAATTTGGGGCACCTGGTTATAGCTTAGCAAGGGTGAAAAGCTATGTTTTCAACCCCTCCTTTGCTGGTGGGGTTGGGAACGGGACCACATATTTTTTTCTGTGGTATTTGGCTAAAGAATTAGTGTATAAAAATTTCTGTCTTGGTAAGAGAGCATGATTTTTAAAAAATCTGCCCCTGTTGGTATTTTCAGTTTGCAGACTTTTTCAGCTTCAACTCTGGGATATATGAGGCAAAACAAAAATCCAGGGAACTCACCACATGCCGTTCCTTGAGTCCTGAGGTCTCTTGCAGGTGTACATTCTTCTCTCCACCTCCTCTCCAGTCTTTTTGTGTTCATTTTATATATAATGCTCACGGTTTTTTGTTGTGCTTTAGAGGGAGGACCAGGGAAAAGTATGTCATTCCATCTTCCCAGAAGCAGAAGTCCTAACTTATTCTTTTAAAATGTTATGTAACTTTGCAGAGTATGACTTTTATCAGGATTTATTTAACTATTCACCCATTGATGAACTTTTAGGTTGTTTCTTAATTGTGGTGGCTAACACAATCTTTCAATAAACATCCATTCAATAAACATTTGTGTACACGTGCAGGAGTTTCTTCATGATAGATGCTAAGTGGCGTTGCTGGGTAATAGGGGATGCACATTTTCCATGTTAATGGGTGTTGTCCAATTTCTACCCATAATGGCTGTGCTCCACCCAGCAGTGTATGAGAGTAGCAGTTTTGCTCAACTTCTTGACAACACTTGATAATAGTCAGACTTTGAGTTCCGAATGTAATGAGTGAAAGATGATATCTGGTGGTTGTTATCATTTGCCTTTCCTTGATTCCCAGAGGCTGAATATCTTTTCAAATGTCTGTTGGCCATCTGTAACTCTCCTTTTGAATTACCTGTCCATATACTTTGCCCATATTTATTTTGAGTTGTTTACCTTTTTATTGATTTACAGAAATTCTCTATATATTTTTATTGTTCTTTGTCTAATACATACATTTCAAATATATTTCCCCAGTTTATTATTTGTCTTTTAACTTTATTGATGGTGTCTTTTGCCTAAAAAAAAATTATTCTTTTGTGTAGATTCAAATTTGTCAACCACTCCCTCCTGGCTTTTGGGTTGTGTTTGTGTGTTGTTTAAAATGACTTTCTCCATACCAAAGTCACAAATATATAAATCTCTATTTTTCCCATTACAGGTTTCTATTCTTTTTTATATTTAGTTGTTTGAGCTATGTGGAATATGTGTGTGTATAGTATGAGGTAGGGATCTCATTTAATTTTTATCAAATGGAAAGCTAGTTACTTCAGCACTATTCGTTGAATAGTCCATTCTTTCACCACTGACTTATAAATGCAGCTTTTATTATTTTATTTAACACCTTTACATGAGTTGGCTTGAGAGCTCTCTGTTCTCTTTCACTCATTTGTCTACTTCTGTGCCAATGCCACACCCTGTTAATTACTGTAGATTTGATACCTTGTATAATGTCATCCTTCATTTGTTCTTTTCCCCAAAAAAATTGTTTTGGCTCTTCTTATACATATTCTTTTTCACATGGATTTTAGAATCAGTTTGTCAGGTTCTGTGAAAAATTCCTCTGGAGATTTGATTGAAATAGCAATGAGATTATAGATTAATTTAGGGAGACATCTTTTCTCCTTTTCTCCACACAACTTTTTCTCCTTCAGAAAGACCACTGGGGCCTGCACGAAAGATGTTCAGGGGTCAAAGAACCCACATAACCCATCCCCAACACACACACACACAAACACACACACAGAGACACACACATTTGTGTCTGTGTATTTGTGAGGACCTACACTTCAGGCTCTGAGGGTAAATATTTATTATAAACAGAGGCTCTGGACACTTGCTCTGCTGTTCAGTGGTACTTCCAAAGTAGGGGCAACTCTTCCTTTTCCTGATCACAAACAAACCAACCCACCAAAACTCTGGCTTGATTACATACCTTGTTGAACTTCACAGAAGGGAGTGAAGAGTGGACCAAGTAGAGAAGCAGCATATGGTAACATTAGGAGCCAGTGGGGCTGTGCTGTTTTATCCAGGAGAGCCCAGGGTGACAGCAAGTTATCATGAATGGTGGAGGATGGGAAGTACCAGAAATTAGGAGTGGCCCCTGTTCCATGCTGGTGTCTGTGGGTTGGGGTCCTGTGGAACTAGGAAACAACCCACCCCAGAAGGGTGCACTCATTCATCATGCCCCTCTATATAGGGGAAGACGGGCTGGGTAGCAGGGCCTATTGGGCCTGAATGTTCTGGATAGACCAAATTGTGGGTTCAGAGGAAGTTCTAGCTACCTTTGGGTCCACTGCTGACATAATACTCTCCAGTTCTGTGGAGATTTTGTCTTTGTGGGGTGCTGACACCTGGATACATTACCCTTCTACAATACAGCCATGCTACCTGCCCAGTGGTGTGTCCCTTCAATGTTGCCAGCTGGCAGCAGGTGCTCGCAGCCAGCTGCACAGGTGTTGATGCCTGGCCTCAAGGTGGGACTGCCAGAGCAGCTCAAGCTTCCCACTCAGGTGCTCCAGCAAATTGTAGGCCCAGAAAGACATTCAGTAGCGTGAGGCAGCCTTGGAGTTAAGCTGGAGCCCTCCAGACTTTTCCCAAGGAGGAAGTAGGGGCTGGCTTAGGGGTTCTGTGGTATGTGCAGATGCTGTCTGGGCAAGCAGCACTGCCCTCACCTGTGTTCCAGCTAACAGGATGGACACTGCACCCAGATATCTGCGTTCTCCCCCTACAAGGTCATGGTCCTCAAGGCAGGAATGGGGTCTGAGCCACCAGCACTACTCTATGGACCTAACTGTCTAACAAAGCTGGCAAAATATTACTCAGATAGAAGGCAGAATCAATTGTAGTAGATACCTGAGTAGAAGTACAAAGTGATGTATGGATTTTAATTGCCCCACTTTTTGAAATCCGATCTATCACTAAGTCCTTCCCATTCCCAGATCTGTAATCTTTTTTTTTCCCCTCATTTTCCTGACTCTAATTTAGACCCTGCTGAGCCTGCTGGGGTCTCAGGTGCTACTCCTCCAATCTGTTTTCCTTTGGTGCAGCTTTCGAACTCACAGCTCTGATCACTGCCCTCTGCCCTATATAATCTAAAACATATTTACAGAATCAAGCCCAATGCTTACCTGACTTTCTTCTTAAATGCCATTTATAGCTTTTCTTTTCTTTCTAAAATGGTAAATGTTTATTATGGTGCTTGACTTTCAAGGACCTCTATGAGGTGGTCCAACCTACCCTTCCTTTGCTTGTGTGGGGGTGAGGACCTGGGAGGTTAGGGGGACCATGCAGCTTGATGCTATGGAAAGCACACCTCGAGCTCTGGAATCAGAGGTTACTGGTTAATCTAGGCCCTCCCCTGCTTCTTATCTGCTTGACCCCGGCCCTCGCCTCACCGTTCCCCCGCCCAGTTTCCCTCTTGTTAAGGTGGTGTGATAAAAACGACCCCTATCCCGGGTTAGAGGTGAAAACTCAACGCGACAAGTGGAGGAGAGCGGGCTTTTAGCGCCAGAAGCTTCCATGATGCCCAGGTCCGCGGGCAGGGCGAGGGCACGGGCCGGGGAAGCAAGCGTTGCCGCGCCGCTACCGTCGGGGGCCGGCCCCCGGGCTGCTTTTCGTGCGCGGAGCAGCTCGGCCAGTCACCAGGCGCGTGCGGAGGCGGCGAGCCTGCGAGGGCGGCCGGTGCGGGCGCAGCCGGCGCGATGAGTCACCATCCCTCAGCACCTCCGGAACACGAGGCTGCTTGGAAGCAGCCGGGCCCCCGCCCGCCCTCCTCCCCCGCCCCGCGGAGTGGCGGCGCCAGCCCGATGCCCGGCAGAGGGCGCTGCAGTGCGGCTGCGGGGCCACCGGCCCGCGCTGCTCTGGCTGCCAAAGGCCGGCGCTGCCTTTGGCTCAGAGGGAAAGATCGGGGCCCAGGGATGGGGTGCGTGAGGAATGAATGTTTCTGCAGTGCCAGAGGTGGCTCTGTTTTTGATCCAGAAACGAAATGGACTTCAAGATTCAGACACTGGGCAGAGTGATGGGGCCGACACGGCCCCTACTGGAGAGTGTCCAGTCTTGATCGCCCCAAGCTTTTGAGCAGGGATGTCCTGTCCGAGGCTGGTGTCGTCCCCACTCTCGCCAGAGAGGATCTGTGATAGGATGAGTCTCGCCTTTCCAAAATGAATCTGCCTAAGGACCCAGTCCTTGATCTCCTCTGTGACCTCTTTCACCTGAGGTGATGGAGGTTACGAAGATTGGAGCTGTCTGCAGTGGAGCGCAGGAGAAAGTGCACAAGCTTTCGGGTGACCAGGGTTTCAGTGCCAGCTCCATCATGAGATTGCTGTGTGACCTTGGTCATTTCATTATTCATTCATTCATTCAGAAAACACTCACTGTGTCACAAGGCACTCACGGTGAAGGGAAGAGAAGGAGGCCAAGCCTGTGGAGACAATTGCCCTGACCATAAAATAGCTTAGGCCAGGTACAGAAACCCGACACGTAGGTAAACACTGGCTGAATGAACAAATGCGATGATTTAGTCACCACACACTAGGGCAGAGATTTTTGGTCACTTATGCTCCCGAGTACATGGAACAGTGCCTGACACACAGTGGGTGCTCAGTAATTTGTCGAATGAATGACAGAGGAATGTACTGAGTGTTCTGTGAGCACAGCAGAGGCCACCTAACTCACAAGATTCTGTGCTGTTTGAACCGAGTCTTGAAGGAAGGGTTGGGATTAGTTAGGCAGACAAGGGCCAGATGGAGGGTGATACAGGCAGAGAACAGCCTGTGCAAAAGCTAGGAGTCCTCAGAGTTCTCACCTCTCTGAGCCTCAGTCCCTCCTGTGAGAAGGAAAGGATAGGGCTGGCTCTGTAATTTCTCAGATTTTTCTAGATCTAAGGTTCTCAGATTCAACAAATGAATCCAGTTACCCTAGTCAGAGCCTGACCAGTGCTGGGCAGTCCAAGAGACTCAGGTTTTGACTTTTGACTCAGCCCATCTGCAGAATAAAGGCCTGGTGATCTCAGGCACCCCTTCTCCATCTGCTTCCTCTGTCTTTCACCTTAGAAATCTCCCCTGAATCCTATCCCCATAGGATAAACTATCTGCAGCACAAAAGTCAGCACTTACTTGTATTCTGCCATGATTTTTCTTCGTGTTATTTTTTGAAATAGTCTTTATTTACAGATTTTTACACTAACACAGGCTAATTGTGAAAAAACAGGAAAGTACAAAGAAGAACATAAAAACTCTCCGTAATTTCACTACCTGGCATAGTTCCTTGATTTTTTTATGCCTTCATTAAAATACACACACACACACATACTTCAGCTCACACAGCAGCACTGACACAGATCGCTGTGAGTCTTGTGTTCCCAGCAAAAGCATGAGCTGGGGACAGTTCTCTCTTTCTCTCCATTAGTTTGTCTCTGATGGGAAGAGATGTTGGCTGGGACCCCAAAACTCTGACTCTTTAACCAGCTGCAGATCATCAGGCTAAATCCTCAAAGAACATACTGCTCAGAGGACGTTTCAGTCTGAGGCAGGGCTCTGGACGCAAACCACTATATGGCCTCTTCTTCCTTCCTGGAGTTGGGCTAGGGTTAAGCTAGATTATGTGGGGGCCACTAGCCCTGCTTTGGTCCAGACCAGAGACAGTGCTGAGCAGCTTTCTAGGGAGGGGGGAAGGGAGTGCTCTGGGATTTACTGCCCCACCTGTCTGAGAGAAGCCCCCAAAATAAACCCATAACCCTAGCTGACTTGGTTTCCCTTGGCCCCTGCCGTTTTAAAGCTCCATCCCCAACACAGTGGCTCCTTTTTTGCCCTGGTTCCTTGCTTTTCAATGTGTAACCCATGGACCAGTGACATAGAAAACAAGATCTCTAGATGATGGTTTGTATGTTGACTCTGAGAAGCAAAGTGCAGATTCTGTTTCAGAAGGTCTGGAGAAGAACCTGAAATTCTTCATTTTGTAACAAACTCTCAGGTAATGGTGACATAGCTGGTCCACAGACCACACTTTGAGTAGCAAAGATCTAGATTCCTCTTTTGACCTTGTCTTCTCTGAAAGTGAAAGGGCAGGGGAAACTCCCTAGAGGTGAGGGTGTGTACACACACACACGCGTGCGCATACACACACACACACACACACACACACACAAATATTGAGGACTATGTTCTGGGTGTTCAGTGAATGCTTGCCCTGTTAATGCAGAAAGCTGAGGAGTGAGAAGACTTAAAGCTGTGTTCCCACCTCTCCAATCACTTATTCATTTCAGTGATGATAGCATCAGTTTCTCAGTCACCAAATGGAATTGGTTCCTTAGACATTTTTGCCCTGGCTCTGCCTCTATTTTCTTATTGCTTCTATTCTCAGACACTTCTCATCTATCCCCTGCCTTCCTGTCTGTGGTCCCTTTCCCTCCAGTTCACTGCCTGTCACCCAATTCTTGTTACCCAAATCCAACTTAAAATCACTGGACGTGTGTGCTTCAAGGGAGAGTAAGTGGGCAGAGAAAGGGAGCTTCTCCTCAGGGCCCAGGTAGGCCTTCAAACTTCCCTTACTCTGAATCTATACTGGGGTAGCATTATTATTCCCTAGGAAACTGAGGCTCAGAGACATTGAGTAACTTGTCCAAGGTCACACAGTGAGGAAGTCAGAATTGAGATACGAATCCACATCTCTTTAGTTTTAAAGCCTGGGCTCTCCACGATATCATCCCTTCATCTTACTCAGGGGGAAGATGAAGATTGGGTGACTTAAGGTCATTCAGGGAGTCAGGGATGGGACTGAGGCTGGAAACTCCCTTCTTCTGACACTGTAAGTAAATTTTCATTCGGTAGCTCCTCTGCTCAGAAGCCTTCAGAGAAACCCTCTTGCCTATAGAATTGAAACTTCTGAGCCTGACAGCCAAGGCTGTCATGGTGCCCCTGCCTCAGCTCGGCTTCTCCTTCTTCCCCAGCACTTTACTTGGCATGTGGAGGTGCTAGACCATCTCTCTTTTCCTCACCTACCAGTGGGGTTCTTCCCTGAATCCTGTTCCTCCCTAGCCTCAGTCATGCCTTAGAATTCCTCTACCATGGTGCCTCTGCTCTCTGGGATATTTTCTCGACCTCAAACACCCAGGCACTCTACCTGCTTCTCAGAATCTTTCCCATGCTTCAAGAGCATAGGTTCTCACCCCTCTGGGAAGCCCCCCACCCACCAAAGCTGCCCTGAGCCCTTAGAGCCTTGAGCTAGGAGCCTGTCACTTTAGCAGTGCTGCCGCCTGTTGGTGGTTTGAAGAGCTCCACCCCAACTCACAGATGAGGCCAATAAATATTATTATACTATAATAAGCCTCTGCAGCTATACCCCATGGCTTGAAGAACTATTTCCAGAATCTTTCTTCTCCATTCTGAACTTGCTTTCATTACTTTAATGTCTCAACCCATTTGGGCTGCTGTAACAAGATACCATGGACATGTGGCTTAAACAACAATTTTTTTTTTCTTACAGTTCTGGAAGCTGGGAGTTTTAAGATCACTGCACCCATAGATCCGGTGTCTGGTGAGGGTCCTCTTCCAGGTTTGCAGATGGCCCCCTTCTCCTTGTGTCCTCACTTGGCAGAGAACAGAGAGAGGAAGCAAGCTCTCTGATGTTTCTTTTTGTAAGGGCACTAATCCCATCATGAGGGATCCACCCTCAAGAACTAATCACCTCCCAAAGGCCCCATCTCCCCGTACCATCTCACTGGGGAGTAGGGTTTCAACATATGAAGAAGGGTGCACAGACATTCAATCCATGACACTTAGTGTGTCTAGGTCCTAGAGACCGTATCTGGTTTTCACAACTTTCCCAGCCCTGTTAGAGTCTGAGGCTTAACTTAATCCCCACTTTTTGATCCTAGATGCTGCTTCAGATCACCCCACCTCCATGACTTACCTATTATACCTTGCACCCAACAGCTCTTTGCATTCCAGCCTGGATACAGTACCCCAGGTCCCTGCTTGGCCTGAAAGGAAAGTCAAACATGGCTGCCTGGTTATCCATTCACTATTTCTACTACTTTCTAGATCTTGTCTTCATAAGTAAACTCTAAGCTCCTGGAAGGCAGGACTGTCTGTGTCTTATTCTTTTCTTTATCCTTTGCAATACCAGCATTTTCTTTTATTCATTCATTTATTTCTTAAAGACTGAATGTTCATTCTCTGCCAGGCTTGATACTAGGTGTTGGGGCAGCAGAGGGGAGACAAATATGGTCTAATATATTCTAGTAAATTCAAGGCAACAGGGAAGTCCAATGACATAAGATTGGCAAATTGACTTTGGGCCCAGGCCAGTAGAAATACGTGTGAAAATGGTTGGGGAACAGGCAGGGCCTGCCTATGCCTAGAACAGATAAGGAAGAAAATCAGGCTGGCGGATGCTGGAGGCCTGCTTCAAGAACCTTGGGGAGAAATGGGAGAAGGAGATGGAGTATTGTCTGCTTTTTCCAAAATGAGTGCCTAGAAAGGGAAGTGGCAATTATGGTCCTGATGAAAACAATATTTCCAGTTGTTACCTGAAACAATAGGATCTGGGGGTGTGATTCTCAGAGGTGGGTGATGTAATGGGAATAGCACTAAACTAAGCTTTCTAGCCCTCAAATTCCATGACCCTTTGACCTGAGTTTTGGTTTCAGCTCTACCTCTTGTTCACTATCAGACTTGGCTAGCTCCATTCCCCTGGCTCAGCCTCAGTTTCCTCCTCTATGACATGGCAGGATGTGGAGTGGGGTGGTGAGTGAGGAGCTTGGACTCAGGGACTGCAAGCTTCCTCTGAGCTCTTGACATTCTTGGCATGCAACAGGAAGAGAAGCATGGATTAGGAAGGTTCTATTGGAGGTTGAGACTGGAGGCAGGGAGGCTGGTGGGGAGGCCGAGGCAGCAGTGCCAGTAGGAGTAGAGTGGGAGAGGGCCTGAGCCAAGGCAGGAGCTGACAGATTGGTGACATATTTAGGAGGAAATGGAACCGACGGGAACTGTCAACTGATGAGATGGTGAGGATGAAGGAGGAGGAACCAAAGAGGATGGAGATTTGACTGTGCCCTAGGAGGCCTGAGGGAGAGGAATCTTGGGTCCCAGGCCTAACACTGCCAACAAGCTTCCATGTGACCTTAGGGTCTCTTTCTGTTTCAGTTGCCACATCTGCACAGTAAAGAGATGGCTCTGATGCTCCCTAAACCCCTCCCTGACCCCTAACAACTATAACAAATTAGGGAGCGCTGTGGGTTTCCAAATCAGTCTTTAATTTGTTAGAAGTTTGTAGGAAAATTCTGAACTCTTACACAGGAAGCTGAGATCTATGGTAGGGCTTGTAACTATAATGGTTTGGTGGTGAGGTAAGGACAGCGACTGAGGCTACAAATGGGGCTACCAGGAGAGGCCCTGGGGACTTCTCCTCAGGTGAAGCCCAAGAGTTGGCAGTCCTTGAAACACGGGCTTACTTCTTGACCTAGGAAGATGTGGCCTTGGCAGTATTTTAAAGGAGACATTTGAAGATCCCAGATCCCAAAAGAATACAAATGGCACAGTACTCTGCATGGTGTTTGAGCCATTTTTGCTGGTTCATTAACTCATTTCATCCTCACAGGTACCTTCATTTCACAGATGAGGACGGGCACAGAGAGGCTGAGTGGGTGGTCTAGATCACATAGCTAAAGAACAAAAGAGCACACAAAGCTGTTTCTGGGGCAGTAAGCCACAGTGCTATTAGCAGCATCTGTGACTGTCACTACTAGAATCACAGCTATTTTCATATCACATTACGGTTGTGGCAGGGATCTCAGAAAATCATCTATGCTCATCACCACTTCAAAATGATAATAGTCATTAGACCCACTGCTTGATCGTGTTATATTGAAGGTGTTAATCAAGAAGCACATATGACTATATTGTAAATTGCATCTCAAGATACAGTAATCAGTTTCCTTTATAATCCTAGGTAATTTATCTAATACATTTAGAAGCATTTTTTGAAATATGCAATACATTGTTATTAACTATAGTTGCCTATGTTGTGCAATAGGACACCAAAACTTTTTCCTCCTCTCTAACTGTAACTTAGTGCCTATTGACCAATGTCTTAGATTTTAAATATTCTCACACATAATAAATGTGTGATAAATGATCATAATGATACCTATTTGAGGTCATGGATATACTAATTTCCCTGATTTGACCATTCCACAATGTATACATGTATCAAAACCTCACAATGTACCCTATAAATATATACAATTATTTGTCAATGAAAAATAAAATAAAACTTTAAAAACACAAAATAATAGCTACTATTTTCTACCCCCAAAGATCTCCCACCTATTTTTTTCCTAGAAAGGGTCCCTAAGCCGTGCCAGACTGCCAAAGGCATGACAAAGGGGTCCACGCCATGGCCTAGAAGGCACTCCTGATAGAGGGTGGGCTGGAGGCTTGGCCAGGCTCTGTACCAGGCACCTCACCTATGCACTCTCACCTCACCCTCCCAACTCCAGGAACTCGGTGTGATTATCCCACTTGACACACAGGAGACCAGCGCTAGACAGGAGGGAAGCCTTGTCTACAGTCACCAGCATGTAAGTGCGGAGCTGGGACACACATCCAGGTCTGTCCGACCAGAGTCCATTTTGTAACCACTGCAGCTCTCTGTCTCCTCTGGAAGGTGACTGCCAGCCCTTAAATGGAGTTCCCTCAAAAACAAATGACCCATTTAGGGCAAAGGACACCTGAGTGGAAACTAAGTGACACCATTTTTTTCAGCCCCAGTGCACATTTCCAGACCTGGGGTGTGGAATGAGGGCTCTTCCAGGTATGAAGGGAACGTCTTAGAGCAGTACTCGGTTTGATGCTTGGCAGCCAGGGCATAGTGGTTGATGGCCAGCTGCATGCCTGAGTTCAAATCCCAGCTATGCCACTTGCTGTTTGTGTACTCTTGGACCCATTGCTTAACCTCTTGATGCCTCAGTTTCCTCAATGTAAAATGAAGTTACTGATAATATCTCCTAAGGTGGTCCTGAGGATTCAGTGAAGTAATACACATAAAGCACTTGGCACTGTGCCTTGAGCTGTGGTGTGAACCAGTGCCATTATTTTCTCCTAAGAGAGTAATGCATGAAGGAGACTCAGGGCTCCTGGAAGACCT
This sequence comes from Homo sapiens, assembly GCF_000001405.40. Lineage (NCBI taxonomy): Eukaryota > Metazoa > Chordata > Mammalia > Primates > Hominidae > Homo > Homo sapiens. Next base: position 72,026,091 of record NC_000023.11, read on the forward strand.
TTGACGTCTATTAACCCTTTGTCCCTTCCCCGTCTGTTATCAGGGTCTCCCCTGCCCGATTCCCTGATGTATAGACAGCAGGAACCTTTAAATCCAATGTTCCCATCTGTGGCTGCACATTAATATCACCTGGGGAGCTTTTGAAATGGCGCTGCCCAGGCCTCATCCCAGACTATTGGAATCTGACTCTAGGGATGGGGATGGAGTTGGAGTATTTTTTCTGCAGCTCCTCAGGAGATTCTAAAGTGGAGACAAAGCTGAGAACCATGGCCTCAGAAGGAAAAGGGCCTGTGTGCTGCTCTTTGGGGACAACAAGGAAGGAAGAAGAAACTCAGAGATCATGCCCTGCTCTGCAGACAGGATGAAAAAGAACAGAAGCCCAGGCATGGGGAGGAGGTGGGCAGCTTTAAGCTTTAGGAAACAGTGGGAGCTGGAGCCTGCAGCAAGAAAGAGCTATGGGGAAGGCACCACAGCCAGAGGCTGTCCCAGGCCCTGCCAGGCCAATGGCCTAGGTGGTTTTCCTGCAGAAGGAAATGGGAAATATGGAGGTGAGGGCGAGATAAGGTTGTAAGGATGTACTCACAGCCTCTTTCTGCACCCTCAAATGGCAGATCCTGATAAGTTGTTAACACCTTGTAAGAAACACGAGAGACAGTCTGTTCCACCTCCTCCCCTGGCACACATACAAAATGACTCCCCATCTACCCACTCATAAGATCACATCCGGATTCCACCATCACCCAACCCAGCAGAAAGTCCCACCTCTGGTCTCTGTAAATATCTGCCAGCCAGAGCAGTACAGCATGCCAGGGTCAGACACCAGTTCCCCAAGTGTGCTACCTTTTGTTATAAGAGGAGACTTCAGCAACTTGGGAGCTGGGCAGGGCTGCAGTGATGATCTTTTCAATGTGTGAAGAAGGGAAACTGTGTTTGAGAGGAGAAGAGGAAAGTGGTTGGCCTATGGTGCCACAGGGAGTAGCAGAAGAGACAGGATTCCCTGTCCAGTGCTCCCTTCCCTACACACCCTGAGACTTCAGCTTTGGTCCCTAATCTGCCAGTGCCAGGAAACTGGCCCACTTCCCACTACAGCCCTGTGGCTCTGACAGGGTCTCTCATGATATCCAGCAGAGATCTTGAGTCAGCTGCTCTGAAGGAACTTCCAGTAAGGCTCCAGCTTGGAGTCTGGATCAGGAGTTGGGGCATGGGGCATTTTGAGTTTCGTGCTTATGTTGCCTTCCCCCCATCTTTTGCTCCTGGACATCTTTTGGCTAGGTGGGGTTTTCCTCACTCCCCACCTCCAAAGCGGAGACTATGTCTTTAAGAAAGGACGAGTCAGAGCCGCGGGGATCAGTTTCAAGCAGCCCTCAGAAGGCGAATCTGGATTGAGTTTAGGAAGAAAAAAGAAGGGGTTAGCTTTGGTCCTGCCTCCTTTCCTTTCTCTCATTTGCTCGTCTCTCCTCCGTCCTTCGTCTGGAAATTTGGTGAACTTGGCCAGGAGGTTCCAGAGCCCAGGGCTTTCCCCAGCAGCCTCGTCCTCTCACCTGGTCCCTCCTTCAGCTCCTGAGCACACAGTTTGGAGGACAGCTGGACAAGTGGCTGGAATGAGTAGGTACGTGGTCTGGACATTTTAACCTTCACCCTGTCAGGGAAGTCTGGGGAGTGTCCAACACAGACCCTGTGGGAGGCGGAAGGGAACTCTCAAGACCTCCGAGAACCTTGGTAACCGAGGCAGGAAGGAGATGGGTGGGCTTTGGTGACTCCACTAGGGGTTTTGTATTAAGGGTCAGAAGGAGGCTTGGTCCATGCAGCCTGGCCTACCTCCACCCTCGTGAGTTGCCTACCAAACCCATGATGGGTGGGAGTTTAGGAGTGTGAGGTGTTGAGTTTGCTGCTGCTGCTGCTGCCGCTGCTGCTGCTGCTGCCACTGCTGCTGCTAGAGGAATGGAGGCCAGAGGGTGCTAGGAACCCTATGAGAAAAGCAGATGGCAACATGTCCAGCCCCAGCCATCTGTGACTCTGGTGGCATGGAACCACTCAGCTAAGGTGAATGGGATTCAGTCTGCTCCAGCTGCATGTGCAGTGGGCCAGGAGCCACTCAAGGTCTTCTTGGGCTTACTTTTTTCAACTTTGTTGGATGACTACAAGCAAGGCTTTTAGCTTTTAAGGACTTCAGTTTACACTTCAGGGAAAATGACTTAATGCTACTCAGCTGAAAGGGGGAAGCACAAAGGAAGAGGTAGAGAAGGCAAACTGGGTTTGTGATAGAGATTCAAGGAGAGCTCGAGATTTCTGTGAGCTCAAGGATGTTTTCCCCTATTATTTTAGGAATAATTCATTCATTTATTTGTGTATTTAATCAGCAAGCATCAGTTAAATGCCTATTGGTGCCCGTCACTGGTGTCAGGGAACCAGCAATCCAATATGGCAGCAGGTCCTTCCGCCTGGCCTCCTTCCCCAGATCTCTACTCCTCCCTTTCCCTCACCCCTCAGCTGATTTGAGAGAGGAAGGGGCACTAGCTTCTAGTGTACTGAGGTGACATGATAAGGTCATGATAGGTGCTGACATTGTTGGCACTAGAGTGGGTACATCTCATTTGACAACACTCTCTCTTGAAAGAGATTTGGGCCTGGGTCCCAAACATTACCTCAGCCACTGGGAAGGATTTTGAAGGTCAGGAAACAACAGGGATCCACAAGTTCAGCCTAACCCCTCCCTGACAGAAGGGGTGGCCCAGGCCTTCTTTGGACATTGTCGGTAGAGCTGGGCCCCTGGTTGGGTCCTCAGCATCATATGTGGACCAAGCGTTGTTTGGATTTGCCAAGAACATCTAAGGACTTTGGTCTTTGTGATTTAAGTAAGTTGTCATAACTTGGGCAGGAGGCATGCTGGGATCTCAGCCACCTGGCTGTTGGGGAAGGGATAGGGTTGGGAATACTGGCTCTTGGGTGGTCCTTTGGGTGTGGAAAGCTTAGGCATGGCATAGACAAGCATGTATGTGTGTATGATATAGGAAGTATCCCCCAGGAGAAAAGGCCCGGCAAAAGCAAGGCAGAGTCTAACCCTGTCCAAGTAGGGTTGGGGTTCAGGACTGGAGTCATAACTGGCAGCTCACACAAGGACCTAATGCATACAGAGGAAGGGCAGTGAGACCAATGCCAGCGCCTGTGTACTCTGCTCTCACCCTGCTCAAGCAGAAATGGGAGTGGTGGAGCCAATGGGTGAGCTTCATGACTTCAGCTGAGAGGGCTGAATTGGCCTGCTCGGGGCTGCCACCACCCTACTTAAAAACAAATCCTCATAGCCCAGCTACCACTGCACTGGGTGTTTGCGACTGAACTGGGCTTATCTAAAGGGTTATTTGTGAGCCTGGAAAAGGGATAGGGAATAGGCCATGATGTCCTGAGGCTATGACAGTAGCACTTTGCTAACTTATCCTTGTCCACCCTTCCAATCCCACTGTGGCTGCTCCTGCCTCCTCAGGAAGGGATACCTCCAAGCTCAACTGCCCACTCCTGCAGGTAGGCCTACTGCCCTCGCACATGCTCTGCCCACTTCTTGGATTGCTGGGCTCTGGCTGCAAGCCCTCAGAGCTCCTGTCATTCCTTTGCAGAACAAAGCAGCTACTCCAAGCAAGTGGTGCAGAAGGGTGGCTGGTGGAGGGGAGGCGGAGAAAATGTCAGGGGCTTATGTCAGGAAAGTTGAATGCTTGCCAGCAGCTGGGCCTTCCCATCTAGGGTGACTTCATGAAAGAAGCCCTTGAAAGATTGTTCCCTCTCCCTTGTAAGGGTGCATTTTTGGGAATCACTTTGTTTTCCTCTCCATTTTCTCTGCAAGTCTGATTGTTTGAGGAGAGCTAAACGTTATGTGTACTATTAAAGAAAAAAAAAGTGGAGAAAACCACCCCTTAAATGTAAAGCTGAGTAATTTCAGGAAAGGAATCCAAGGGAATGAGGTTTCTGCCCAAGTATGGGAAAATATCCATCCATCTCCCCACTTAATCAGAAAAATGATCTGCCGAATAATGAGTCATGCTGCCTGTCAGCAAACAGCACTGACCCTAGCCACAGAGCCAGGAATAACAGAGGTGAGAGATGACAGTAGCTATGACGAAGAAAAGACATGAAGGGAACTGGATTCCTGCTGCCAGCAGCTGTTTGGCTCACCTTTGCCCCGTCCTGTGCAATAAAAAATGCACTGGACTGGGCTGTGTTATTGGTGACACTGATCAATACCACTGGGGTTCATCTGTGCATTCTGATAAGTGGGGTCTCCGCAGGGGGCACTCAGAATCAATCACAGCTTTGTGCACAGTCTGGGAGTTCTTTTTTACTGAGGAAAGCATATATACAGTAAATTGCATAAAGCACACTGTAAATGTACATTTCAATGAAGTTGTATATGTATATGTGTGTGTGTGTGTGTGTATACATCTGTGTGTAACCACCACCCAGATCAAAATATAGAACATTCGCAGCACCCCAGAAGGCTTACTTTTGCCCCTTCCATTTGGTATTTACACGCACCAAGTGCTGCAATCAAATGTTTGTGATCAGTGGCATGCTGGTAAATGTTTAACAACCAGTTCTGGTGTGTGTAATGGGGTGCCCTGCTTTGTAGCTTTTGCCAATTTTGTGGTATAAATATTCCTGCTATGGCTAATTTCGAGCTACCAACAGTTTAACAACTGGCTCACAAAATTATGAAAATTTAACAATTGGCTCTGGTGAGCCAAGCAGACTGGCTCCAGCACATCACCAGTTGTAACAAAGGATTAAAGAGAGCCAAGTCCACCCAACTACCCAATGCAGGTAGGAGTGGGCTCCCAAATACTCCCAGTTCCAGCCCCCTTAGTGAGGAGAGAATCGTTCATAGGATTTAAAGTGATCTCCAGCTTCTTTTATGCAGCAGACATCGGTTGTGTCCCTACCTTGTGGCAAGCTCTAAGGTCACGAACATGAGTAAACCATGGTTCTATCCCTCAAGGAGCTTACATAATTTAACACTCGGAAGGAGAGGCGGACGTGTGAAGGTATATGTGCAATAAAGAGTTCTAGGGTCTGTGTAGGAGACTGCATGGGGCTTAATTGAGGGCACCAAGGAGGGCTCATTTCTGCCTTTGAATCAGAAATACATCTCTTATTCCACTTTGCTTTGGGAGGTGTCTTGGGGCCGAGGAAAAGAGCATCAGACTCCTACACACCTGTTTTGGATCCTGGTTCCACCTCTTCCATGCTGTGTGATCTTGGGCAGGTCACTTAACCTCTCTGAGCCTCAGGTCCCATATCTATAGAATGAGAGTAATTGTAGTACCTACCTTACACAGCTATTGTGAGTATTAAATGAGCTATTTCATGTGTAGCACTTAGCACACATAAGCACTTACTAATTATTAGCTTTAATTAGGAATTATTAGCTTCAATTAAGAATTATTAACAACTAGCTTGGACAAGCTTTGAACCTCTCTAGGACTCATTTTCATCTGTGAGATGGGATTAAAGTGCCAACCTTGTCAGTGTTGTCATGAGAATTAAATTAGATCATGTATGTGAATTGTCTGGCCCAGAGCTGGTTCTCAGCAAATGCTGGTTTGCCCCTTTCCTGCTTTCTCGCTCCTTTCCAACACACTGGCTTAAGACCTCGCTTGGAAAAAAAAAAAAAAAAAACCAGTTCTGACATGTTAGGAAATAAATATATCAAGTGAACACATTAACCCTTTTTAAAAGCTTTTTATTTTGCAATTTTAGACTCAAGGGAAGTTGCAAAAAAATTTACAAGGTGGATCTGGTGACCCTTTACTCAGTTTTACAATGTTGACATCTTACACAACTGGGAAAGTGATGTTGGTACAATCCGCAGAGCGTATTCAGGTTTCACGTTTTACATGTCATGTACTCTGTATATGAGTGTGTATATCATTTCAAACAATTTTATCACATGTATAGATTTGTATAACCATCACAATTGGGATGCAGAACTTCTAGTAACTGGCCACTGAAGTAAAAAAAAAAAAAAAAAATAAGCCAGGCGCGGTGGTTCATGCCTGTAATCCCAACACTTTGGGAGGCCAAGTTGGGCGGATCACCTGAGGTCAGGAGTTCAAGACCAGCTTGGACAACATGGCGAAACCCCATCTCTACAAAAAAATATAAAAATTAGCTGGGCGTTGTGGCAGGGACCTGTAATCCCAGCTATTCGGGAGGCTAAGGCAGGGAGAATTGCTTGAACCCGGGAGGCGGAGGTTGCAGTGAGCTGAGATCATGCCACTGCACTCCAGCCTGGGCGAAAGAGCGAGACTCAGTCTCAAAATGGTAATAATAATAATAAAAAGGAGATGCAGAACTGTTGCATCACCACAAAGATCTTCCTCATGCTACCTCTTGGTATTTGTACCCATCTACTACCCACTCCCCTCATCAGCTAACCCCTGGTAAGCAAGAACCTATTCTTCATCTATATGACTTTTTTAATTTCAAGAATGTTATGTAGGCCGGGCATGGTGGCTCACACCTGTAATCCCAGCACTTTGAGAGACAAAGGTGGGCAGATCACTTGAGGTCAGGAGTTCGAGACCAGCCTGGCCAACATGGTGAAACCTCATCTCTACTAAAAATACAAAAATTATCCTGGCGTGGTGGTGCTCACCTGTAGTCCCAGCTCCTCGGGAGGCTGAGGCAGGAGAATTGCATGAGCCGTGGTGTCAGACGTTGCAGTGAGCTGAGATCACACCACTGCACTCCAGCCTGGGCGACAGAGCAAGACTCTGCTCTTAAAAATAAATAATAAAATTAATCAATCAGTTGGGCATATTTTGTGGGTCTATTTCTGGATTATCTGTTATGTTCCATTTATCTGTTTATCTATCTCTCCACCAATACCACACAGTGTTGATGAGTGTAGCTCTATAGTAGGCTTTAGCACTGAGTAATTCCTCCAATTATTCTCCTTTTTCAAGATTGTTTTAGCTGTTTTAGGGCCTAGTGCCTTTCCACGTAAATTTTAGAATATAGTTGTCTATATCTATAAAAAGAAAAACGTTGTGGGATTTTAATAGGAATTGTATGAAGCCTATAAATCAATTTGGGAAGAATTGACTTTTTTTTTTTTTTTTTTTTGGGAGACAAAGTCTCGGTCTGTCACCAGGCTGGAGTGCAGTGGCGCAATCTTGGCTCACTGCAACCTCCGACTCCCGGGTTCAAGTGATTCTCCTCCGTCAGCCTTCCAGGTAGCTGGGGCTACAGGCGCACGCCACCACGCCCAGCTAATTTTTGTATTTTTAGTAGAGATGGGGTTTCACCATGTTGGCCAGGATTGCCTTGCTCTCTTGACCTTGTGATCCACCCACCTTTGGGTCCCAAAGTGCTGGGATTACAGGCGTGAGCCACCGTGCCCGGCCTCTGAATTGACATCTTTACTACGTTGAGTCTTCCAATCCACGAACATAGTATGTCTGTCCTTTATTTAGGCCTTCTTTCATTTATTTCACCAGCATTTAGTCATATTCAGCATAGATATCCTATACAAGTTTTACACATAAGTGTTTTATTTTCTTTGGAACAACTTTAAATGGTATTATGTGTTTTTAATTTGGTTCCCACCTGGTTAGTGCTAATATATAGAAATGCAGTGGTCTTTTCTGTGTTGATCTTTTATAGTGCAACCTTGCTGAAGTCATTTATTAGTTCTAAGAGTTTTTGTGTAGATTGCTTGGGATTTTCTATATATATATAATTATGTCGTCTGCAAATAGGGACAGTTTTATTCCTTCCTTTCCAATTTGTATGCCTTTTCTTTCTTTTTCTAGCCTATTGCACCAGCTAGAGCTTCCAGTATTATGTTGAATAAGAATGGTGAAAGTAGACATCCTTGTCTTCTTCCTAATTTCAAGGAGAAAACAGTCTTCCACCATTAAGTTTAATGTTAGCTGTAGGGTTTTGTTTTTGTTTTTTGTTTTGTTTTGTTCTTTAATAGATGTTCTTTACCACGTTGAGGAAGTTCCCCCACTCTTCCTAGTTTTCCAAGAGTTTCTATCATGTATGGGTGTTGGATTTTGCCAAATGATTTGCTGAATCCATTGATTGGATTATATGGTTATTCTTCTTTAGCCTGTTGATGTAGTAGATTACATTGATTTTTCAAATATTGGGTAAGCCTTGCATTCTTGGAATAAACCTCCACTAGAGTAAAATACCCACTTGGTCATGGTGTATAATTCTTTTTATATGTTGCTGAATTCTATTTGCTAATGTTTTTAAAACATTTTTGTGCCTATATTCATGAACTATATTGGCCTGTAGTGTTTTTATTTGTATACCGTTTTTGTCTAGTTAGGTATCAGGGTATAATACCTCATAAATTAACTGAGGAGTGTTCCCCCCTTTTCTATTTTCTGTAAGAGACTGTGTAAAATTGGTGTTAATTTTTCTTTAATGTTTGGTAGAATTCTCCAGTGAAAGCACCTGGGCCTGGACATTCTTTTTTGGAAGCTTTTAAAAATTGTAAATTCAGTTTTTGAAATCACTATAAGATTTCACATTCAGATTATTTATTTCTTGATTGAACTTTGGTAGTTTGTGGTTTTGTGATATTGGTCTATTTCTTCTAAGTTGTTGAATTTATGAGTGTAAAGTTGTTTATAATATCCTTTTAAAGGCTTCAGAATCTGTACTGATAACCCTGTTTCATTCCTGACATTGGTGATTTGTGTCTTCTCTCTTTTTATCTTTGTTATTCTTACTAGACATTTATCAATTTTATCAATTTATTTGAAAATGAACTTTTGTTTCATGGACTTTTCTCGATTGCTTTCTTATTTTCAATTTCATTGATTTCTGCTCTCTTTATTTCCTTTATTCTTCTTACTTTGGGTTTATCTTTCTCTTCTTATTATTATACATTCTTATAGATATGAAGCCTTTCTTCTTTTCTAATGTAAGGATTTGGTGCTATAAATTTTCCTGTCAGCATTGCTTTAAATGCATCCCACAAATTTTGATATTTGTATTTTAATTAATTTTCATCCAGTCCAATATATTTTTAAAATTTCCTTTGAGTCTTTCTCTTTGATTCATGGGTTGTTTAGAAGTGTGTTGTTTAATTTCCAGGTGTTTGGAGATTTTCCTTTTATATTTTAAAAATTGACTTGTAGTTTGATTCTCTATGTCAAGAGAACAGACTCAGTGTGACTTCAAATATTTTTAAGTTTATTGAGATTTTTGCCTTGGTGAATGTTCCATGTGTATTCTGCTCTCGTTGGGTGGAGGGTTCTTTGTATATGTCAGTTACATCTCTCGGATTGATTGTGTTGTTGAATTCTTCTTCTCTTTGATGATTTTCTGTCTAGTATGTCTATCAATTACTGTAAGTGGAGTGTTGAAGAACCCAACTATAATTGTGGATTCATCAATTTGTCCTTTCAGCTCTCTCAGTTTTTGCTTTTTTATTTTTATTTTTTGACACGGAGTTTCGCTCTTGTTGCCCGAGTGAAGTGCAGAAACTTTATCTACCTTTATGCCCTTTTAGCCTCCCTTATTTATAATTATCTTAAATATTTCCTCTACATACATTTAGAACCACATAAGATAGTATTTGCTTCAACCATCAAATATAACTTAGAAAATTCAAGTGGAAAAGAAAAAATCTATTGTATTTACCCATATTTTTGCTTACTGTGTTATTTCTTCCTTCCTGGTATTCCAAGATTCCTTCTTTATTGTTTCATTTATGTTTACAGCAGGGGTCCCCAACCCCCAGGCCATAGATCGATACCAGTCTGTGGCCTGTTTGGAACCGGGCAGCACAGCAGGAGGTGAGCGGCAGGGCAAGGAAGTATTACCACCTGAGCTCCGCCTCCTGTCTGATCAGTGGGGCATTAGATTCTCATAGGAGCATGGACCCTACTGTGAACTGTGCATGCAAGGGATCTAAGCTGCATGCTCCTTATGAGAACCTAACTAATGCCTGATAACCTGAGGTGGAACAGTTTCATCCCAAAACCATCCCCCTGACTCCCATCTGTGGAAAAATTGTCTTCCATGAAACCAGTCCCTGGTGACAGAGGATTTCCTTTAGCCATGTTTCCAGGGTAGGCCTGGTAACAAAGTTTCTTAATTTTTCCTTCTCTGAGAATTTTTTGATTTCCCCATCATTCCTGAAGGATATTTTCACTGGATATAGGATTCTGGGTTGACAACTCTTTTATTTCAGGATGTGAAAAATGTGTCATTTTTTTCTGGCCTCCATGGTTTCTGATGAGAAATCCACTGTCAGTTGACTTGCTTTTCCACTGTGAGTAATCATTATTTCTCTCTGACTGCTTTCAAAAGTTTTTATTTATTTTTAATAAAGAAAGTTTAATTATGACTTGTCATGAATTTCTTCGGGTTTATCTTACTTGGTTTTACTCAACTTCTTGAACCTGGAGGTTTGTGTCTTTTGCCAAATTTGGGAAGTTTTTAGCCTTTCATTAGTCAAATACCTTTTCAGTCTCATTTTATTTCTCCTCTCCTTCTGAGGCTCTGATCATACAAATCTTAGATCTTTTTTTTTCTGTCCCACAGCTCTCTAATGCTTTGCTCATGTTTTCTTTTCAGCCTTTTTTTCTCTCATGTTTATATCATGTAATTTCTGTTCCTCTATCTTGAAGTTCACTGATACTTTCCTCTGTCTTATTCTTTCTGCTGTTGAGCCCATCCACTGAGTTTTTAATTCTGTTATTTTATTTTTCAGTTCTATAATTTCCAGTGTGTTCTTTTTGATATCTTCTATTACTTTGGTGAGCTTTCCTATTTTTATTTTTTTCAAGAGTATTTGTTGAAGCACTTTATGATGAATGGTTTAAAACCTTTGCCCAATAATTCCAACATCTGACATCTTGGTGTTGATATATGTTGACTGTCTTTTCTCATTCATGTTGTGATTTTCCTGGTTCTTGATATGATGAGTGATTTTTAAATTTTTATCCTGGACATTTTGGATATTATGTTAGGAGGCTCTTATTTCAGTCTCCTATTTCAGTAGGCAGGCTGTTTAGGTTTAACATGTAGGATCGGCTGGGCACAGTGGCTCACGCCTGTAATCCCAGCACTTTGGGAGGCTGAGGCAGGCAGATCACAAGGTCAGGAAATCAAGACCATCCTGGCTAACATGGTGAAACCCCGTCTCTACTAAAAATACAAAAAAAAATTAGCCAGGCCTTGGTGGTGGGCGCCTGTAGTCCCAGCTACTTGGGAGGCTGAGGCAGGAGAATGGCATGAACCCGGGAGGTGGAGCTTGCAGTGAGCCGAGATGGCGCCACTGCACTCCAGCCTGAGCAACAAAGTGAGACTCTGTCTCAAAAAAAAAAGAAAAAAAAACATGTAGGATCTGGCCTACTTTTGTGGGCTGTGGTTCCAATGACAATTTAGTTTTTGGAGTCCTTGCAGTGCTATTCTGGTCTCCTTTGTACATCTGGTGCAGCTGCAGCTCCCTAACTTGGTCCCTACTGATGCTTCACACAGGGGCAGAATGTACTTACCCAGGACTGATGCTGGTAGGTGGGGGTGGAAGATACCAGGCCTGTGAGGGAAGAAAGCTCTTCCCCTGGCCAGGTGCCTGTGAAACTGTCACTTGATTTCTACCAGTGCCCCCAGTGTTGGCAGAAGGTTCTTTCCTAGGCCTCTCACTGAGTTCCTCTAGGTAAGGGATGAGAGATACCGTGTTGCAGGGCAGAGGGTGCCTCACCTGGCCAAGTCTCTGGATAGCCTGGTGCCAACAGAGCTCCCATTCTATCTCTGCCAGTGCCACCAGGGAAAGAAAGGCCACCTTCTGTCACTGGGTGGAGGGCTGGGAGACATCAGATCTGGGTTGCCTTCTGCCAGTGAGTGGAGGGTCGAGAAATGTTGATCAACCCCCTTTTTAACACAGAATCCAAAATACCAAAAGCTCAAAGAATCCCTATTTGTTTCGGCAGCACAGGACTCATTTCCAGGTGCAAGGTATGAGAGTGGGGTCTGGGAGTCTGGGACCTAGTCACATTTCTTGTCTTTGGACAAGTCACTTTGCTTATCTAGGCTCAAGTGTCTCTCCTCAGCAGAATAAGTTGCAAGTGGCACCTCCTTCCCACGGTTGTGTAAAGGTTTAAATGAGCTGTGGTCTGAGATGCCGCAATCCCTATGCCCGCTGTGCAGGCCCTTAACAAAGGGGTATGGGTAAAAGGTTGAGGCAGGGCAGCCTGAAACATCTTCTTCTCCACATTTTCAAAATTACAAACTCTTTCAACTCTTTATAAACAGTCAATTATAAACTCTTTCAAACTCTTTATAAACAGTAAAGTAGGGAGAAAATGTCAGATCTTCACATTTTGCCACATTTGCTTCAGATCTTTTCTAAGAAACAGGTCATTATACATCCAGTTGTGAGCTCTGCCCCTACCCTGGCCTAGAGGTAGCCAGTGTCCCAAACTGTCTGTTTCCAATTCCCATGCATGTATTTATATTTTACCACATACATATACATCTATAAACAGTATATAATATTGTTTTGCATGTTTTAAGCTGTATATAAATGGCATCATACTGTGCATACATGTTCTGCAAATTTCTCTTTTTATGCAAATTTAGAGTGTTATGATTGGTCCAAAAGAAGACTGGCCAAGCAATAGAGATTAGACATGATATTCATGTAAAGGCATTTGATATGAGTAGAGAGCAGAAATGTGTGAATAAAGATATATAATAATATAAGAGATAAAATAGGACATAATGGTATATATAGGAGATAAAGATATCAAGGTATATAACAACATAGGAGATAAGACTAAGTAAGAGAACCAAGAAAGCAGAGAGGGTGATTAGCTGTGAGAAAAAAAACATACAGAGGCCAAGATACCAGTTTGTAGAAGCAGAAGTGGATTGGCTGCCCAAAGAAGCCCTTAGTTGAAGGACCTTTTCTCCTCTGCTTTCCTTTCCTTCCCTTCCCTTTTCCTTCCCTTCTCTTTTCTTTTCCTTTCCTTTCCTTTCCTTTCCTTTCCTTTCCTTTCCTTTCCTTTCCTTTCCTTTCCTTTCCTTTCCTTTCCTTTCCTTCCTTGTCTCTCTTTATTTCAATTAGGAAAGGGAAAGTGATCTTGTGCAACACGACTCTTAGGGATAGTTGGGAGGATTAGAGTAGTCTCAACCTGAATTTGCGGCTTGTGTCTGAACTTTCTCTTTTTAACATTATGCTTTTGAGATTTATCCATGTTGATACACGAGTTAGAGTTTAGTCATTTTAACTGCTGTACACTATTCCATGTAATGGCTGTACCACAATTTATTTAACCATTTTCCAGTTGTTAGACATTTAGGTTTCCTCCAGTTTTTCCCTGTTTATAAACAATGATGCTATCAAATGCCTCTTGAAGCATTTGAGAAAGTCTACAACTTCAAGTTCAGTCAAGTGTAGTGGCGTACACTTCCAATCAATAATCCCGATGATGTGGTGTCTGTAGGAAATCTTGGTAAGGTCCATTAACCACAATCTGGCCCATTTTGGTTGGATGGGAGCTCGTTGCACCAGGTCAGCTGCGTCCTGTGTGGAGTTGTGGGTATTGAGGACTCAGCCAGAGACCCCATGATACGTTTAGGACTCATGTGTGCATCTTCTTTACTCATTCTCAATCCCTTGGCCTCATCTCATCTCATTGTGGCCTGTTAAAAGTCCTTTAGTCCCTGTCACTTTCGTGTCCACAGTCTGCAGTACATGACATACCCTTGGTGTCCCTCCCTCTGCCATTCTTCATTTGTTAGCCTGCAGCCCTGTGGCCCCAGGAAAGGGGAAGGGCCTAACATTTATTGAGCTCTACTCTGTACCCCAACACCAAGTTAAGTGCTTTTAGATACCTCGTCTCATTAATGGTCCCAGCCACCCTTCCAAGTAGTTATTATCATTTCCATTATAGAGATGAGGAAACTGCCACCAAAATAGGTTCAGCAAGTGCAACATTCATACCTATGGGATGGGGATTGGTGTGAGGCAGAGTTCAGCTTGGGGCTACAGGCAGCCTTTGATCGAGGAATTGAGTTTATCTCTCTCTTTGGGGTTTTGTTGACCATCCTGTAACAGGAGACACTCCTGTTAGGGAATGTGCCCTAATGTTCCCTTGACAGGGTAAGCCCAAGGAATCAGCGCTGGATGGGAACACAGATCATATCCATGCTTTGGGATCACAGTTCCACATTTCATTTACCATACCCTCCCACTCTCTCACACACACATACTCTCTTACTAACTCAGACTAACAAACGGCCCTAACACTTATTAACTGTGTGAAATATGTCACTTGACCTAGAGGTACCTTGTTTAATCCTCATTCACACTCTGTAATGAAGTATCGTGATTTCCATTTTTTTCAAGTTTGGACATTGAACCTCAGAGAGGTTAAGTTACTTGCCCTGGATCCCAGAGCTAGGATGTGCTGGAGGCCACATTCTAAACGAGAATGATGTGGGTGGTCCCTGGAGCACTCCAACCACAAACTGAAGTTCAAGTGTCACTCTCCATGGTCAGATGAGCTTCGTTATTTTATTCCAGGAGCATCCCCTGAGCACGTGCAGTGTGCCAGGCTCTGTGCCAAGCACTCAGTGCCAAATGAGATTGACTCCACAGAGCTGTCACTTTGGGGAAATTAGAAATGCTCTGATGCCACCCAACTTGCTTCTGGCCCTCATAAAAGAAAAGTGCTTTATAACTCCCTGTTCATCCCTTGAGTCAGTCAGTCATTGTATCACTTACTCAACAAGCATTCGAGTGTTCCCTGTGTAAAGGCCCTGCGCTAGGAGCTGGAGATTCAAAGATGAGGAATGCCCAGTCCCTACCCTTGAGAAACACATAATTTAGAAGCAGAAACAGACATATAAACACATAATTATAATGCAGTGGATAAATGATGACAGAGCGTTGGGCTAGATGTAGTGAGAATTCAGAGGAGGAAGTCCCTAACTTTGCTTGCATGAGTTAAGGGAGGCTTCCAGGGGAAGGGAGGTTTCAGTTGGGTCTTAAAGGATGGATAGATGTTTTCTAGGTAGGCTGTAGGATGGCATTGCACACATAAAGGCGAATATGGAAGTCTGTTTTGGGAACAGTAAGTAGCTGATATAAATCAGGGATCTCAGCTGAAGGCTAAGAGGGCCCAGGAAGTTAACATAAGTGAGTGAAGCAGGTCACATACAAAGATCCACACGAACATTATCAGTGGCCCTCCGTGCTCAGAGTACCATAGGGATGTGTGCGGACCGTGGGAAACTGGAGAGTCTGCACCCTGTCTAAGGGAACAGCTGCTGCTGAGCTCTGCTGCTAGTTGTCATATGGAATTACTGGCCCAGTGTTGCTACATTTTCCAGTTTTACAAGAGATGCCAGAAATCCAGATTTCTAAAATGTAAAATATTGTCGCTTTTCAACATTGACAACGATTTCACATTTGTAAGCTACACCATCAAAACATGTCTTCCAGCCATTCCTCTGCAGCCTCAGGAGAGTGGAGGGGGCTGGAAAGAAATGGAACTGGGAAGGGAACCAGGGCCAGGCACCCTGCTCTTCTCCTCCGCACACAGTCCAGACCCTGGGTGATGCAGAAGTTCAGCCACCTGACTTTCAAAATCTGCTTTTGAACAGAAGACAGCACAAATAAGGTTTAAGAAACTGGAGAAGAAAACAATCAGGGGAGGGTTTCATGGCATGTCCCTCTTTCCCTTTCTGGGTCCAAATGTTTTATGTATGGCTCATTTACTCATTGGATTCTGGCCCCCAGCTATAAATTCTCTGCAGGCCATGGCTGGGGTGGGATGAAAGCTAAAGGAACATGAGAACGGTGAGGTGAGGTCGTGCGCTCGGGAGCCACCCACGCTGGATGCTGCTAGCCTTCTGTTTTCCCGCAACCCTCAGGTCTGGGTTTCCCTACAAGGTCTGCCAGCCCTGACAGAAACAGCTGCTACAGATCCCAAGTGCTTTCTCTCTGCAAAGCAGGAATACACTGGCCTACAGTGGAGACTGGAAGTGTCTGGAGGCCTTGTCTGGGGACAAGGGCCTTGCAGGCATCATGGATGAAGCCACCCTCTCAGGCCCTGCCCCCAGATGTTCTACTTTTCTATCCCGATCTCTCTCTTCAATCCCTAGTCCCTGTGATTTCAGCAGGAAAATATCTAGAATTGTGTTCAAACCACAGGGTCAGGCAGAGTGAACTTGTTTTTGAAACAAAAACCTGAAGCTCTGCTCTTTGGGCTCTGAGTGAATGTGGCTCTGCAGTGGCCGGCAGCCCGGTGTGCTACCTCTGCGAGAGATTGGCAGTCCCAGTTCACCCCCATTGGGGTCTAGGATGAACCAGTCACCAGCTAAGTTTCTGGCCTCACTGCTTCCTCACGCCCTACCCTGCCTCATGTCCACTTCCTCTCTGAAGACAGGACTCAGTTGTTCTCTGTCTTCTTTGCTTGTGAGTTGGTCCTAGCTCCCCACTCTTTTTCAGGCCAGTAGCTGCCTGGGGTGTAAGGGCTAGACTAGGGTGGTGTGTCCTGGAGCTAGAAGGGGGGTTAGAACTGGACCACACCTAATTGTCGGCAGTAATGGGAGGAGCTTGAGGCAGAGGATTTAAGAGGCAGACTCTTGGGAAGAGGCTGAAAAGCAGAGTGTCTGGCCAAGAAGACAATCCCTGAGCCAAAAAAAAAAAAAAAGGAGCTGCAAGGACTTTGTAGAGTAAGCAAGGAGCCTTGGGCCTGGATGGAAGATGTGGGCCTATATTGTGTGCCCGGTGCATTGTAGGTGCTTTGTTGAATAAATAAATGAAGGAAGGAATGAACCAGGTGTAGACATGTAATTTAAGGTTCTCCCACACCCAAGTCAGGTAGCTTTCCTGTTCAGAAGTTTTTGGTTACCCTCTCACTCCCCACACATCTGTTCTGTGCCAGGCCTGGACTAGGTATGTAGGGTGGCGAGGCAAAGAGAGAGGGGAGTGGGACTCAGTCCTGCCGCTGAGGTTCCCACAATTGATGTGGGGAAGATGGGCATGGCCACACACAGCTGCAATGCGCTGTTTCCTGACTTTTGTGAGTCTCAACTCCTGCAGACCTGCTACCTCTTTCTACAGCCAACTTACTAGCACTTCCTTTACTACCCTAAAATGAAACTCCTAGAAAATATAACCCATGCACACACATAATTTCACCCTGAAGACACTGCTTGAGGTCTCTGCAAATTGAACTAGGTTAAACTTTGGACATCAGTATCAATCACATGCTAAATGTTATTAATGATATTATTAATATTAATATATATTGCTTATTGAGAATGTCCTGTGTTGCCAGGTACTTTCTACATATTGTTTTAATCTTTGTACTAACTCCATGAGGTAGACAATGTTACCATCCCCATTTTACACACAAGGAAAGAGAGGTAATGAAAAGTTTCCTTAGGAAATTGCCTGAAGCCACACAGTAAATGGCTGAGCCGGGATTCGACCCCAAGCACTCTAGCCTCAAACCCGTACTCTTTCCATGATACTTTGCTCCCTCAGAAACAGCTTCTTTAGTACAGACCCTTTTCTTAGGGGCTGCCATGCATCAAAATACCCTGAGACCTCCTCTTGGCCGATGTGGTCCCTGTCCCTCTTGAGCCACACATGTTGATTATTCTGGCAAATATTTACCCTCCATTTTACCTGGGTTCTACTTTCCTGAGCCCTTGTTTTTCCCCCTCTCCAGGCAACTGGAAATTCAAGTTTTAGGTAGGCTATTTCTTAGACAGGAGTGGAGATTCTGCAAGTACTAAATAAACTGACCAAGCCACGAGGAAACCGGCTGAGTCCTACGTGAGAACATGAAGGTGTGGGTTTGTTCTGCCAAAGTTTATTGGACTCCCCTTTATGTCATACACTCCCTGTGTTATATTGGGGATACAGAAATAAATGAAGCTTGGTCCCTGTCCTGAAAGCTACCAGGCTAGTTGAGAGGACGGTGGGGAGTTATTTTCAGAGGGACATGGCCAGTGCTGTGGTCACGGGAGAGAAGAGGATGGAGCTGAGGAAACACAGGTCAATGTTAAGCCCAGCAGACTAGAACCCAAGGCAGGATTACTGGCACAGTGGGCAAAGCGAGTGCAAATCAGGAACCTAAAGAAGTGGAAGCAGATGTTCAGGGCCAATATGGCTACAGTGGAGGACATTGTGGCTTTTTGGATTCTTGCTTGCTTGGGGCTCACTTGAGACAACCAGATTTAGGGCAGCTGACTGAATCCAGATTCCACCCAATTTTTGGAATTCTTCCCCCTAATCAAGTGGCAGGGAAGGTCCTGCTCCTAAACAAGAACTTACAACCACTTCAGCATGAGCATCAACCAGTATCCTTGTCAGGTGGCCCCCATTCCTCTACATTCCTGGATGGTTTGGGATCCCACAGAACTCTAATGATTACATAAGAAGAGTGGCCCGCTCTCTCCGGTCCATGCCTCCAAGATGACAAAGAAAAGAAGGAACAACAGTCATGCCAAAAAGGGCCGCGGCCACGTGCAGCCTATTCGCTGCACTAACTGTGTCCGATGCGTGCCCACAGACAAGGCCATTAAGAAATTCGTCATTCGAAACATAGTGGAGGCCGCAGCAGTCAGGGACATTTCTGAAGTGAGCGTCTTCGATGCCTATGTGCTTCCCAAGCTGTATGTGAAGCTACATTACTGTGTGAGTTGTGCAATTCACAGCAAAGTAGTCAGGAATCGATCTCGTGAAGCCTGCAAGGACCGAACACCCCCACCCCGATTTAGACCTGCGGGTGCTGCCCCACGTCCCCCACCAAAGCCCATGTAAGGAGCTGAGTTCTTAAAGACTGAAGACAGGCTATTCTCTGGAGAAAAATAAAATGGAAATTGTACTTAAAAAAAAAAAAAAAGAAGAGTGGCCCAAGGTAATTTTCTAACTGATGTGGCACTGGCTGCATAGCATGCTAGAAGCCCCCACGTGGAGCTATCTGGCCATCAGGGTCCAAGCTGACACTGGGAAGAGGAGCTGGAGACAACTAAGACCCAGCAGCCTTCCCAGCATCTAGCACACATAACAGCCCAAGTCAGGGCATGAGAAGCAGTCTGAATACAATGTCAAGAGTCACAGGGGTGTGGGAAACACTCAAGGCAGGTCTGCTACAGATGACTGTACTTGGGGAGTGCAGGGGAGCAGGGTGAAATAGCAGTCCTGGGCATACAATGGGAGGGATTAGCAGAGTCCCAGCAATGAGGGAAGGAGGGGCTGGCAGGAGCCAGACAGACCAGCGTGGCTCCCCAGCTGCCAGCTGAGGCTCAGGACTAGGTGCCAGGTCCCTTGTGGTGGGGTTGCTGGAGAGACCAAGGATGTTGGCCCGACACACAGTGGCCAGTCAGGAAAACCAGCCCCTCGTGGCAGGGGTGGAGGGGTGGTGGGAGGTGGGAGGCCCCCGTGGCCTCTGGGGCTCAGCTTGCTTCCAGGCTCAGAGGCATCACCCAGGGCAGCATACACTATTTGCAGTCCCCCTCTTATACCACTTTCTGAGGAGGGAACCCCCCAGTCCCCGGTCAGACTGGATTCACTCTGATTCCAGAGCAGGGCCAGTTGAGCAGGAAGAAGGGCTTTGACCTTCCCTGCTTACGGAGACAGGCCTTGGCCAGGCAGAGACTGACATATAAATAGCTTTTTATTCACTCAGAGCTTTAAGATGACCATGTGTGCCTTTTCGTATTGTGTACAGACCGCATACCTATGGCCCGCACAATTTGCATTTGTGCAGGGATATGGCAACAGTAAAAGTCTGCCAAACTGCTTTCATTTTTCTGATATGACTGAGAACTTCCCAGTGCCAAGGGCCCAAATGGGAACTCCCCCAGTTTTCTTAAGCTCCCTTCATAGACAGGTATAAACACCTAAACAGAGCTGCAGACAACCCCCACTCCCTCACCCTCATTCAGGGAGACAGTATCATGTTCATGGCCAATGAAAATCAAGACTGTCTCATGGAAACAGAGGGGCTCACCCGCATTGGTCCTGGGATGTTGCTAAGCACTTTCATTGGTCTGTTTCCCCGAATTCCCTAGGTCCTGCATTTCTAACCTTTTAAGGTTTGGAGTTTCTTTGCTCCTAGGCCGGCCCACAACCTCGTCTGATAGGTAAAGGACAGAATCTCTTAGACAACACCAGGCAACCTGTCTTCCCAGAAAAGTACTAAATGGCACTAGACTCTAAAATTCATCCCTAAAATTCTAAGAGCCATAAGGCAGCTCCATATACTGAGTAGAGGCATTGACCAGGCCAAGGGCTGCAAGTGGCAGACAGCTTGTGCTTCCCAGTTCCTGCATCTTTAAAACAAAGAGAAAAATACTCCTTGTACCTCCTGAGGGCTGATATGAGAGCAAACTAACTAATCAGAGTGATCACGATGCACTTTGCCAATATAAAAGTGAGCCGGCAGTGCTCATTATCGCTAAGGAATCTAGCCCATTTCCTCCTCTTCCTGTGGTTACTAATGCAGAAGGCTTATTAAAGTTGAGAGTCTGGTGGTGCTGATAAATGGGCCATGCCATCTGGATTCTGGCTCCCAAGTCCTAGACTGAGGATTATGCTCTCTTCCCTGGGGACATTTCAAGGACGGACACTGCAGAGAAAGGTTTCAGGGATCACCTTTGCCATGTGTTTCTGGTTCTCGGTGTCTTTACATTGCTGGCAAAGCACCTTTTGCTGGCCCAGAGCAAGATTCAGATGGAGCAGATAAATGAGTTGCCGCTGTGCTGCACTGGGCTGGTTTCTCTTGTAAGTCTTTTTTCATTTAAGCCCCCAAACAACATTATTAATTTGGTATTGTTATTAGTAACAACAGAGTTGTGCAGATGGAAAGACTGAGATTCAGAGAGGTTAAGTGACATCTCCAAAGTCACAAAGCTAATAAGTGGCAGAGCCGGAATTAAAACTTAGGTTTGTTTAACTCAAAATGCACTGTGATGAGCACACACAATAGCTGTCATTCACCTTGAAGGTGGTGAAGTTAAAACATGGTTGCACCCTTATTTCCCCTCCCAGCACCCCCACCCCTGGCCACAACATACACATCTCACTTCATCATCCTCTTCAGCCACCATCCTGAAACCATACCTAGAAGCCTAGTGCCCTCAGCTTTCCCCAAAGGGTCTCCACACTCATGCTCTCCTTACCTGTATTTGAGTTTTTATTTCTCAGTGGTTGTTGTGGCAAGGAGGCAAGGGAAAAGGGAGCTATTACCTATTGTGTTTCCCAGTTTTGCAGACTTTGCTCAGTAAACTGTTCCACGGAGGCCATCGACATTGGAGGCTGACTTACTATGTTCCCATTCTCAGGGACTTTGTCTTCTCACAGGGAGCAATGGCTATGGCCCAGGAATGAAGCTTTCCAATAGTGGAAGTTTAGGCAACAGCCACTGGGTGACAGAGAAGACACTCTGGAATCTTTCTCTTGCTCCCCCAAATCCTATCTGCCTATACTGAGACTGGTCCTGACTGTGAAATTTTTAGCTCAATAGTTGTCTCCCTAAATTGGGTTCCAGGGAGTCCATATGCAAATGTTTCCTGATGAGAACCATCAGGAGATTTCTCCCAAACATTGTGAGGCCCAGAGTGCTGGGCTGGGTATAGAGAAGGGTGGCCTCATGCTATGGTACAGCATTGTGCCAAGGCCAGCTCCTAGGGCTAGCAGCCTTTGAGACTGCCCAGTCAGTTCAGATCAGTGGAGCAAGTCTAAATAGGGCAAAGAGGAGGCAAGATGGGAAGCCAAGAGTGTCAGGAGGTAAGGGTTGCCAACTCCACTAAGCAGAGGGATGTACTCTGAGGGCTCCAGGAGCCAGCCAGGCAGTGGCCAGAAGCCTTCTTGGTAGGGCCTCCATCCTGAGACAAACCTTGGTTCCACAGATAGCTAACCCAGACCTGTCTGTCCACACTGGTTCAGTGCCATTAAGAGTTCACTGCCCTTAACTGTGCCTTTCACACTCATGATGATAACAATAATAATAATAATAATAATAATAATAATAATAATAAAGCAACATTTTGAGTGCCTACTATATGGCAGGCATTACACTAAACATTTATTGGATTAACTCACTCAGTCCTCACAATAACCCCATAAGGTAGATACTATTTTCTCCCCCTAATAAAGATGAGGAAGCTTTTTCCTAATTCTCCTATGCATCCGAGGAGGCATGGAGAGATTAAGTGAGGTTCCCACACTTGGGTTCAAGGAAAAGGTGGTTATTAGGAAGGAATGGGAGCCAGAGTGCGTGTGGGTAGGGGTAGCCTTTAGAAAAGTTGAAGGACATGTTGTCACGAAGGGGAAGATGCAGATAACTTTATTGTTTGGGGAAAAGTGACAGAGCTCCTGTCCAATGGCCACCACTTTCTCGGAATTCAAGAGGCTGCATTCTCCTGCTTGAGAAAAGGTGACATAATGCCACTGGGGTCCTGAGGAGAGTGCTGATGCTCTATCCCCACTGTTTGCATGTGTCCCAGCCCAGCAGACTCAAAAACTCTCTCTGGGATGCTGGAGTTGGGGTTAGAGGGCATTTCTCCTCCATGGTGACAGGAGAAATGTTGTCAATATTTCCTGTAGGCAACACCAGGGCGGGGCAGCAGCTTGTTTCTGGCTTCAGGCTTCTTGGACTTTACTCGACCTGTTTCAGGAAGGTAGAAAAGCGTGTGCCTCCCTGTCTGAAGCAGTCGAAATGTTCCTGATTAGAACACAGAGTCTTTGCACACAGAATAATATTCAAGGCCAGGCACAGTGGCTCATGCTTGTAATGTCAGCTACTCAGGAGGCTGAGACAGGAGGATTTCTAGAGGCCAGGAGTTCAAAGTTATAGTGAGTTATGCTTGCCCCTGTCTGTAAAAATGAGGAAGAAGGAGGAGAAGAAGGAGGAGAAGAAGAAGAAGAAGAAGAAGAAGAGGAAGAGGAAGAGGAAGAGGAAGAGGAAGAAGAAGAAGAAGAGGAGCAGGAGGAGGAGGAGGAGGGGAGGAGGAGGAGGAGGATTCAAAATTCACCTGAGAACTTGTTGCTGTCTGTTGGCTTCTTGCCAGGGAAGGCCCTGCTGTGATCCAGGGCAAAGTGGACTGGCAGGGGCTATGAAGCAGGGATGGCAGCCAGAGTGATAACAGAGTGCTCCCAGCAGGTGGCGAGGGGCTGCAGAATGATGAGAGACTAGAAAGAACCTGGTGGCCCAGAATGCGGATCTGGGGGCCAGGGCCTCGGTGTGTGGTTCTGCAGGTTGTGCCCTGCGCAAGCTCACCCAAGTGAGTGGGGACAATCCAATAGTCAAGACCTTTATCCTGGGGCCACTTTTTCCTAATTCTCTCAAAGGCATTGCAGCTCTCCAAGCTGTACATCTAGCAGGAGGAGGCACCTTATGAATTCCCAGTGCCCGGAGTGGGTGAGACTCCCCCCAATTCCCTTCTTTATTCTCTCTGGTGTCCATTTTGCTTCCCCAAACCCCCTCATACCTGTTCCTACTCATGAGATTTTCATGTTTTAGGGGCATGTCTTGCCTAAGCCTCCTGACTCTTTATTCTTCCTGGAGCCTCACTCCTCTATAACTCCATCACCCTTTTACTGCCAGTGTCTCAATCCAGGCCCCCGGTTCTTACCTCAGGCAATGATAGAAATTATCTAGAAAACATTGTGAGTGCCTGCTTTGGCACACCTGAAATCTGGTCACTTAAGCAATCAAGATGAGGAAGAGCTGGGAACGCTCAAGGCTCCTCCCATCCACCTCGTGTCACTCACTGTTCCCTTTCACTTACACATGTTTACTGAGCATCTAGTATGTATCAAACACTGTTCAAGGCTTTGGTGACACAACAATTCACAAAACAAGCATAAATAAATCCTCTAGCTATAACTAGCTTCTAGTTGTAGTTATAGTTCTGGTTTTGGTAGGTTATGTTCCCTTCGATTTCACCATTCTTCTCTCTTGGTCTGATGCCCTGAAAACCCTCCTCCTCTCTCTCCCTCCAGAAGGCCTCGTGGTACTTAGACACCCTGCAGGGATGAACTGTTTCTCACATGGGGAACATATGTGTAAATTTTGCTCTCCAAGTGCCTTTGCATCCGGGTCTGGCAAGAGTTCCAAATCATTGTTCTCCACCTTGGATCCACTTTCGTGTACTATTTATTGTTTTTTTGACTGACAGCCAGCAAAGGCGGGTAGGGGCAAGGGTGGCAATGAGCCCAGGCTCTGAAACATAGCATTTATTAGGAGCTGTGGGGTCATTTTTCCTGTTATTTTTCTTGATTGTGGCTGTGTTGTCCTTCAGTAAGTGTCTGTAGGCTTCTATTTGCTAGATGAGGTAGTGGCCGGCTCTGTCTCTTTCATTCCTCCCCTTTTTTCCTTTTTTCTTTTTTGCTTAAAAAACACTAAGGAAAAATGTCAGAAGATAATGTAGCAAATGCCTATGATAAACATGCATATGAACCACCCAAAATGAACAAATGTTAACATTTGCGTCATGTTTGCCAGCAACTTTTTCTAGCAAAAGAAAACATTACAGTCCAGGCCTGGTGGCTCATGCCTATAATCCCAGCACTTTGGGAGCCTGAGGTGAGTGGATCACTTGAGGTGAGGAGTTTGAAACCAGCCTGGCCAATATAGCGAAACCCTGTCTCTACTAAAATACAAAAGTTAGGTGTGGTGTCACACGCCTGTAATCCCAGCTACTCAGGAGGCTGAGGCAGGAGAATTGCTTGAACCCGGGAGGCAGAGATTGCAGTGAGCTGAGGTTGCGTCACTGTACTCCAGCCTGGGTGACAGAGCAAGACTCCATCTATCAAAAAAAAAAAAACAAAACAAAAACCAAACCAAACCAAAACCACGTTACAGATGCCACCGACGTCCCTGCATTCTCCTCCTCAGTCCTATTTTTTATTGTCTGGGCTGTGATGCAAATCCAGGCTATGTTTATGCATCCATAAATGGTATGTACTATTTGGTTTTGCACTTTTAAAATTTGTCATAAGTGCTATTATACTACATGAAGTAACTCTAAAATGTGCTTTCTTCACTCAGTGTTATGTTTTTTGGTATCTGTCCCTTTTACACCCATAGATGTAGTTTGTTCATGTTAACTGCTATATAGTATTCCATCAGATGAATAATAAAATTGATTTCTTAATCCACTACTGATAGACACTTAGATTATTTCTATTTTTTACCATTACCAACTATGTTACAATGAACATTCTTGTAGATATTTCCCCATGCATGTACAGAAATTTTCAGTTGTATGTACCTAGAAAGAAGTCAAATTGCTGAGTTGAGGGGTATCTGTAGATATTGCAAAATCGCTCTTTCAGATGGCTATACCGATGCACAGTTCTGCCAGAAATATCTGAGAGAATCTGTTTCTCTACAGCCCCATCAACATTTCACCCTAGGCCCTCCCACTCTGTTCTCACAGTGACCGAGTTTCCTAGACACTGTCATACCAGGTGATCATCTCCTATCCAGCCCTCCTTCCTCTTGCTTCTCCTACCTCACTGCCAGATCAACCCTATTTAAGGTTTCCTTCTCCACAACATGTTCCCGATCTACTCCTCTGGCTGGAATTTAAGGCCCTCCACAGATGGATCCAGGCAACCTTTCCAACATCATCTCCTGCTGCCTGCCCTCAGCACACACTCAGGAAGTCTTTGGTTCCTCCAGATTCTTCCACTTGCGGGTCTCTCTCCAACATGTCCCCACCTGTTGCCTGCACACCTCTGGTCCTGCCACCATTCTCTACACCTAGTCTCAGTGTTCACTTCCACCTAGGAAAACCTCATTCATTTCTCACAACTTGCCTCAATGACAGCTTTCTTGGAAGCCTCTCCAGATAACTCCAGGCAGAGTCCCCCTCTCAGCTCCCACTGTACTTTATATAGCATTTATTTCTCTATTATAGTATTTATCCCAGCAGCTTATACAAATCAGACATAAAGCCTCTTGACTCTTTTGCTTGGAAAGTAAGTGTAACCAAAATGGATCTCGTTTTCCTTTGTTGCTTAGAATTCCTTCAACAAACTAAACAAATGTGTATTACATACCTACTCTGCACTAGGTGCTGAGTGGTGGCTGAGCCAGATGAGGCTCCTGGCTTTGTGGCACTTCCAATGTGATGGGGTGAAGGGTGACATGCGTGGTTATCATCCTCTGAGAAAGTTGCCCTCCTCAGTCCTCCGAGGCACACCTGTCTGACTGGATGCTCAATTCCTAGTTTCTGTCCCCAGTGCCTGGCACCAACTAGGGGCCTCAGGGCGAGCTTGCTTGCATGGCAGGTCGGGCATTAAAAGTCTTGGACAGTTGAAGGAGGAGAACCATATTTCAGATAAGTCACAGAGGTGCCAAGAGGCCAGGAGCCTGTGACCTTCAGGCCAACCGCCCTGGGAGTTGCCTGGGAGGCCACATGATTTCTGGAACAAGGCAAAGGGTCTCAACTGAAAGAGATGGGCTTGGGGATGAGGGAGGAGATGGAGTAAGGACCTGGCTACATTGCAGTCCTCCCCATTCCTTCCTCTTCCAGTCCAGCTTCCCCCATGTCCCTCTCATTCCTCCAGGAGCACACGACACTCTCGCCTGGTCTATCCAACTTAGGCTGACCACCCTGGTGGTTTTTAAATGAGTCATCTTCCTGTGTTTGGGAAGGGAAGACCCCCTCCAGGTTGCAAATGAAAAGGGTAGGTGGGGGCCTCTCCTGAGCCATCCCTCTCTCCACCCCTTTCTTCACCCTCTGCTCCCCCCAGCCCCTCTGTAGACATTCTCTGGCCAAGCTGCTAACAGAAAAGGAGGATTTTCTGTGTTACTAATATGTTAACGGTGCAGCTGTGACTCAGCCCTCATGCCCTCTGTAGAAGGAGGCTTGATTTCCATTTGCAAAAGGCAATAGGGATCTGATGAGAGTCTTTCCTGTGTGGAAACATTTCCTGCTCTTGCCCAGTCGGATTGGCACCTTATTTAAACAGCCATAACAATACATCCTAAATTGGGTAAGGGAAATGGAAAACAATGTTGAGAAGAACATAATGACCAGAATTGAATGTGAGCCTTGCCTCGTTAGGATTTGAGTGCAGCAAACCAGGAATTAGGAGCCTTCTCTCTGGTCTAATCAGCTGCTTCACCCCGCGCACCCCAGGCTTCTCAGCCATTTCTTCTGAGAAGTTAGGGGGCCCATCCTCTCACTGGATTCTTGCGACAGTCGCCTGACCAGTTTGCCTGTCTCCATTCTCTCCACCTCCAATCTTCTCCATTCTGGGGACAGGACGCTCCATAACTCCTTATGACCTCTGGCACAGTTTCCTAGAACTGTGTAAACTCCACCACACTAATTGAAATGCCTTCAAGAGGTACAGATGAACTTTTCTTTTTACTTGAATGCTTGCATATTTATTTTTCTATATATGAGAGAAAAGTATAACCAGCATACCTGTGAAATCCATGATTTCACAGAGATATTATTGCTGAGAATGAGGCTGAAGTTCAGAATCGTAGACTGGCAGAACAGAAAAGGGCCCGAGGGATCATCTCGCCATGCACATGTCTTTGCCTTCAGTTCCAATTTTTGTATGCTGTCTGACTACATCTCTGCGTGCTGACCTCCTACCCAACCTTCAAAGCCCATCTCAAAAGCTGCTTCTTTCATAAGTTACATGTTGTCTCTCCCAATAGACTGGGAACTGTTTGTAATACGCTCCTCATTTTGGGGTCCACTCCTCCACCCCCATCTCATTCCCAGCACATAATTGGCCTCAAGCAATGTTTGTGGAAGAAATTAATACTCCTACCATCTACAGCAACACAGAATAAGTCTGCTTCTCCTTCCCAGAACCTGAGCTTGGGATAGACACTCACAGCGAGCTCCTTGGTGGGGTCTCAAAGAGAGTGGGTGAGTTCCTTGAAGGCTGCTTGGAACCAAGGACTCCACCTAAGGACTTGGCCATCATGAAGAGAACCTCACAACTCTTCAACAAGGCCTCACTGAACACCTGCTTACTCTGGGCCAGCTCTGCTGTAGGTGCCAGGGATACTCCATAGCCCTCTCTTCCAAGGAGATGCTGCAACGCTTTCTCTGCCATACTCCTCTGTCTACACTGTGTGGGTGGGAAGTAGAGCCTTCCTGCTTGCATATGTCAATGACAGGTTCCAGTACTATTTTGACAGGTTGTTCCAAAATGATTGCTTTTTGATTGGTGCAGTAAGCTTTAGGAAACCCCCCAATCTCCACTCCCATCTCTCCAGTGCAATAAGCAGAACATTTTCAAACTCTTCCCTGGGCCACTTTAGCTGTTGTCTGAGCTGATCCGCATTCTGTCGTTCTTAATAGCTTCCCTTTCAGAGAATGACATGCTCTTCTGGACTCTTTCTCTCTCTTCTGAAATAGAGTTGGTTTTTTCTTGATTAGAAAAGTAAAATATGTGTGTCTGTTTACTTATTGGTAAAGAGTTTGTTACTTAAAGCTCTTTATATAGTAAAGATATTAACCCTTTTCTGTCCTATGCTGCAAATATCTTTTTCTTTCCCAATTTGCTATTTTCTCTTTGATTTTTGGTTTGTTGTGCTTTGGGATGTGCTAACATTTTTTTAAATGATGCTGCCAAATATGTTGACATTTTCCTTTGTGATTTTAATGCTTAGAAAGTCTTGCCTCCTCCCAGACCAAATAAATACTCATCTATATTCTCCCCAAGTGGCGAGGATGACATTCATCGACCTCACCCCATTTGAGTTCTTTTGGGATCCCCTTTTCTAGCCTCCATGATGCCCCTCCCCCTGCAGTTAGCACAATTTTTCTTCAGTTGAGGCACAAAGCAGTCATTAGGCTGGAGCTTTAAATATGCTAATGAGATCACCCTTTCCCCCGTCACTCTTTCAGCCCCTTTGTAAAAGGACAGCTTGGGGTGGATCCCTTTGCCTGTTGTCCCGTCTCCCGCTTCCTAACCCCCTTCTTTAGCAAGCGGGGAGAGAAAGAGAAAAAGGAAAGTGCTAACTAACTTCAAGTATTGGAGGCTACCTAGATGTCACTCCATTTCCAGTGTACACTTTTCACCTCTCCTCAGCAACTACATTTTCAGTTAGGTCCGAATCCAGAGCTCCCAGTTAATGGAAAGTCCCTGCGCATCTAAACACTCAGACTTGAGCAAAGTCACGCAGCCAACAGCCCGAGTTCCCCAGCAACCGCCAGGCCGGGCTTGCTGCATCTTCTCCATCACTGGCACGGTTGCCATGGGAACGCGAGCGCTAAATTACTTTGCGTGTTTGGAAGCTGAAGACCTCAGCTTTGACGCATGTAGCCCAGAAATCGATTGACCTCCAATTAGGTTTTTGTTGTTTTCTTGAGGCATCTTTCTGTTTGTGTCTTGCCTATGCCTCTTGAGGACTGTGTTGGAGGGAGATCTGAGCATTTAGCTTAATTTTTGTAAAAAATTATTTCCACCTTGACTTATTCCAAAAAGGGTTTAAGGTGGCTTATAAGATACATCCTATACTTGGAGAGAACCTAAATTAGATGTAAGGGAGGAAGATGAGGCAGAGAGAAAACAAGGGTAACTTGTGAAGAAGTCGTGATAGAAAGTGAATTTCAGGAAGTCCCCTCTTGATAAATGTGGGTCCCAAATTTGACTTTAACCTTTCATGGCAGATAACAAAAAGGGAGGTATGATCAGTTATAAGATTCATAGATAAAAGCAAATCAACTGCTTAACAGAAACGCAAATGTTCCGAACCTTGAGACTAAAAATCTACTTCTTTACTGGAGATTCTAAAAAAGATGTCACCTTTTTAGTCCTATCACCTAGCATATTACTTGAACAGATGAAAGCATATTCTAACCTTGGTAGGTGGTTTCTTTTATCAAAACTTTCCACTTTTGTTATTGTTGTTGTTAAATAAGTAAATTGCTTTTTTTGTAATGGCAAAATAGAAAAAAATCGTGTAAATAACCATGGAATACTATGCAGCCTTTAAAATTTTTTACGGAATTATTACCACCTAGATTTGGCCACCATTAACCCTTTTTTTAAAAGCGGACATTTTCCCATGTAAATCAGTACCTCCTTTCTGCAGGACAGTTGGGCAATATGTTTCAAAAGGCCTAAAAATGTATACATCCTTTGATGTGGCAATTCTACTCTTAGAAATGCATACTAAGGGAATAATCAAACGAGTGCTAGAGATGCATGTACAAAGATGTGCATCAAAACATTGGTTATGATGTAAAGAGAAAGGGAGAAAATTCTGTGTTCCCTACAGTAGGTGACTGGTTATGTAAACTATGGAGCATCCATATAGTGGGGCATTATGCAGCTGTTGAAAACAAAGATGGAAGTGTCTATTTACCAACAGGCCTCCTAGACTATATCAAGCCTCACCAATATACTCTCTCAGCACCCTGTACCCTTTATTCATTGCAGTTGTTATTGCTTCATAATATATGTATTTGTGTGCTTATTTAACGTCTGCGCACACACACACACACACACACACACACGCTCACACACAGACTGGCATGTCCATGAGGATGGAAACTAAGCCTGTTTTACTCCTTATTGGTATCCCAAGTACCTTGGTATGTAATAGATAATAAATATTATATTTGTTGACCAATGGACTGGCTGAAGAAATGAATGAAAAATCAAGGCCACCAGGCATTCAATTCTTCAATTTCCCTCCCATCCATCCCAGACTTCCCTCAATCTCCAGCTGAGCCATCAGTGCTGCCTACAAATACTTTTACTTTTGTCTGGTCTCTATGGCAGCTGCTTTACGCCTTCCCTGGCTCTTGAGGCCGGACTACCTACCATCTCCTACTTTTAGACGATGATATCATCTCTTACTTCCCAGAGAAATTGGGAGCCAGCAAGTATGGAGTCCTTCAGTGCCCTTCCCTACCAGGGCCTGATTCTGTGAACTTCAGACACCAGGAGGCCATTGGGAACCCAGGCTGGAGCACGTTGGGTAGATTGCTAGAAGGCAAAGCCAGACATCCCTGCCCACTTCTCTCTGTGAACCTCTCTCTCTAGCAATCCCCTTTCTTTCTGCCATCAAGCCTCTTGAAAAGGTACTTTATTTTCTGCCTCCCATTCATTCTGTCCTTGTTTGCATTCAAGGGCACAGTTAAGTATACTGTTGTGCACACCATTATCTATCCATGCAAGGTCCTTAAATTTTTTTATCTTATTTTTCCTTTCATCTCTAATCTCCACTCCCAGTTCCTCTTTAATGGTTTGATACATGCTGTTGGAAATGTCTTTGAAAATTACATAGTGTTTTCTGTGTTTATGTGCTTTTAATTTACATAAATAGTATTGATCCATAGATCATATTCTGTTTCTTTTTTCCCTCAACCCTCTGTTTTGAGGCCTTTCGGTGCTGCTATGTGCACATCTCGTTGATCACTTCTGTCTGACTTGGCACTCATCCACCACATTTTACTTCTCCCTTCCTCTGAGACTGTACATCTTGGTTCTGCCAACTGTCCATGACCACAAATAATGCTGCAATGAACCTTCCTCGACTTGCTCCTAGGGACCTGGGCAAGAATTTCTCTAAACCAGAGATTTTCAGAGTACAATTCACAGACCCCTCAGAGTTTCTGAGACTCTTTTGGAGGATGCTCAAGGTCAGAGCTGTTTCTACGATAACACTAGGACACTATTTGCCTTTTTCATGAGGTTGATTTTTGCACCATTTGCAAAACTGTTGCCACCTTAGTGTGAATCAAGGCAGTGGCACCAGCCTGTACTAGCAGTCATTGTATTTTGTATTTTTCACCACTACATACTCAGAAAAAGGGGGGAAAAGCCACCAATCTTACTGAAAAGTAGCTTAGATAAAGCAGTAAGAAATGGCAATTTTTATTAAATCTCAAGCCTGGAGTTGATGTCTTTTTAATATCCTGTGTGATGAAACAGGAAGAACACAGAAAGCACTTCTGCTGCATGCTGAGTGAGATGGTTGTCTAGAGAAGAGCACTGTGCAATTGTTTGAGGTGTGAGCTCAACAGGCCTCCTTTTTCCTGGAACGTCATTTTCACTTGAAAGAACAATTGACAGGTAAACTATGGTTAGTCAGACTTGAGTATTTGGTGGACATTTTTCTCAAAGATGAACAAAATGAGCCTGTTGCTTCAAGGAAAACAGCTCACAGTATTTGTTACCAAAGATAAAACTTGAACTTTCAAGTGAAAAACAGAATTTTAGAAAACTTGTTTCTGGCACCAGGGGCTTGACAGCTTCCCAGTTCTTTTTTTTTAAATTGTTATTAATTTTTTTTGAGATGGAGTCTCACTCTGTCACCAGGCTGGAGTGCAGTGATGCAATCTCGGCTCACTGCAACCTCCGCCTTCCCGATTCAAGCGATTCTCCTGCCTCAGCGTCCCGAGTAGCTGGGATTACAGGCACGCGCCACCACGCCCAGCTAATTTTTGTATTTTTCATAGAGACGGGGTTTCCCCTTGTTGGCCAGGATGGTCTCGATCTATTGACCTCATGATCCACCCATCTCGGCATCCCAAAGTGCTGGGATTATAGGCGTGAGCCACCGTGCCCGGCCAGCTTCCCAGTTCTTAAAGGCTTTCTCTGCCTGCCCCTTAACTCTTTATGATCTGTTAGGATTCTCCAGTTCCTTGTCCAGAAAATCCTCATTGTAAAGGACACCAGGATTGCTACCTGACCTGGCTTGCTAAGGCCCTATGCATGAGAGTGGACACTGTCTTTGTCCATCACATTGCAGGAGTGATTTGGTCTGCATGTCAGGGAGCTGCACAAATGTTGGACTACTGCACAGGAAGGCTGCCATTGCAGAGCAAGGCAGAGACACAGAGTTGTGACACAGAGTTTCAACATCAGTGCTCCCTGTTCTTCCCATTCTCCCCACTCAGACTGGACCATCTCACCTGCTTTTTGGCTTCATATACTTCCAAGACCTTGTGACTGCTCCATTTGTATTTATTTCCAGCTCTGAGCTCTGGATCACATATCTTTACCACCCTCTAGACACACAAACTGTGTCCCAGGCAAGCTCTCTCCTCCTCATCCCTGCACCTGCTGGTTTTCCAGGGTTCTCTAACTTAAGGAATGGCACCACCCATTCTATCTCCATATCACCACCATGGTCTATTCTCCCTGTCTGGCCCCACCGCTCCACCCTGAGGCAAGCCTTCATCATGTCTCATCTGGGCCCCTTCCAGAGCCTCCTAACTGGTGTCCCGGCCCCTCTCCAATCAGCCTTCCACATTGCAGCCACCCTACTGATCTTCAGGTCACTCCCTTGCCCAAAGCTTCTGTGGCTCACTATCACCTTCAAGATAAAATCCACACCCATTCTCATGACATTTAAGGCCTCCCTGGTCTAGTTCCAACTACCTCATCTTCTACCTGGCTATACCAGATCACTTATTTTTCTTCCCAAATACGAGAAACCCTCATACCTTTATGCTGTTGCTCAAAACGTCCTCTTTGCCTAGAATGTCCTCTCTCCAAACCTCATTTTACTGGCAAATGTTGCTTCATTCTTTTCGAGTTCGACATCACCTTTTCTTGATGCCCTTCCCTTCCTCTGAGGGAAGGAATTCAGTTCTGGGTGCTGACAACTGGCAATGAATGGATGGCTGGGGAGTGAAAGGGGATTGCATCAAATGATGGCTGGGGTGGTTGAGGTTGCAGAATTTGAGCTGATCCCTAAAAGGAATAATCTTAATGATAACTAACATTTACTGAGCACTTGCTATGCACCAGACCTTGCTCTATGCACTTTCTATGCATTCTCTTTCAGTCTCATTCTCTAGCAACCCCAAACTCACTGTATCCTCACTTTAGAGATGAAAAAACTGAGGGCCAGGGTTCTATCAGCGGTTATGAAGCTTTACTGAGGGGCGGCTTGGTGATCTGCAGCAGAACACTTTCTTACCATAAATAGCAGAGTAGGGATAGCATCTAGAATCACTTGCAATTATGTCTGTCTTTCACACAAAGGGGAAAAAAGTGCATTTGACCTCAGAAGCATGAGGCCATGTGGTGAAGCACAAAGACTAGTCTTTGAAGTCCATCTAGCTGTGTGACCTTGAGCCAATTTCCTGATCTCTCTGAGCTTCAGTTTCCTAAAGTGCGAATTGAGGATAGTAATAGCTCCATTGCAGGTTTGTGGTGCAGATGAGCTATGAGGAATGCCAAAGAATCCAGCATGGTGTTAGGTACATAGAGGGGCTCTGTCAACATCAATTCATTTTTCTCCCTCCCCAGTGTCTAAGGAAAGAAGTGTAGTATGGTGAAACTCACACTACCTCAGAAGTCAAAGGAGTTGTGGTTTGACTCTGGCACTAGTAAGGCTGTGCAACCCTCAGCAAGTTACTTGCCCTCTCTGGGCTTTGGTTTCTTCCTATACTTGTAACATAAAGAAGTTTTGTTTTACAGCAGTTGGGTGTTTCCATTTTCTGTCATTGAATTGGGAAAATGATCAGGTCATGCCAACCTGGGATGCTGCGTGTTGTGGAAGTTAGGCATATCTGACAACGGGAAATACTTCCTGAAGACACAGCCTTCGGACCCCTGGTTACCTAGAAGGGAGCTCAGGACTCCTCATCGACAAACATAAAACCAGCTCCCTGCCCACTGCCCAACCTCCAGGAGATGCCCCCACAGGCTTGTGTGAGCCCAAGGCAGGCCTCAAGCTGATTCAAGGGCCCAGCTGCCCGTTGCCATGGCAACATTCCAGCTCGCTTTGCATAGTGACAGGGATGCTAGGCTTTGCTAACAAAGTGCTCTGTA
Organism: Homo sapiens; assembly: GCF_000001405.40. Taxonomy (NCBI): domain Eukaryota; kingdom Metazoa; phylum Chordata; class Mammalia; order Primates; family Hominidae; genus Homo; species Homo sapiens. The sequence continues at coordinate 72,060,856 of NC_000023.11, forward strand.
AAGGACTTCATGTCTTTGGCAGGGACAATTCCGCCTTCTTTTTCACATGAATAACTCTGGGGGCTGTGAGGAGGGATTTGGCAAGTCACTTCCCCTGTCTTGGCCTGCGCCCTTGGGTTTTCCTTGAAGGCACAAGTTGGCAGCTTTTTATTTTTCTATTTCCAAATATACCATCACTACCCTCCTCCTGACCACTCCCCACTCCAAAGGAAAGAATGGTTTTTCCCTTACTTAGAGCTCTGGTGAACTCGGTGTGTTTATGAAAATGGAAGGAATGGACTGTTCGAATCACTCACATACCCTTGGCTGATTGCTGGATCAAATTGTCCTCAATCCCTTTTTCTTTTTTCGGAATGCCCAATGTTTTTCAGGATTGAAACAGGAAGACCCTATATTGTCCTGGTGAATTACTCCCTGGAGCAGGAAACATATTTGGAATCCTGAGTAGGCTGGGAAGGAAGCCAGGCAGACCTGGGTGAATCCTGCTTTCATCACTTACAAGCTGTGTGATCTTTGGCAAGTTACTTAACTTCCCCTAATCTCAGTTTTCTCATACGTGCAATGGGGATGGTAATACAGCCTTCATGGGTATGATGGTGAAATTGTTATGAGGTTTAAATATATCTTATGCTTGCCTGCTTCTCTCTGTTTCCGTCACCCTGATCCTGGCCCATCATCTTTTGCCTGGACTACTACGATAGCCTCCTGCCCATTTCTACTGGAACTTCCCTCCAGCCCTTTGTTTACATAGCAGACATGGTGGTCTTTTAAACATTTAAATCATATCCTGTCGCTCCCTTGCTTAAAATGCTCTAATGGTTTCCCATTGCACTTCAGATAACATCCACCTCTTACCCCCTACCTCTTCCACCCTAGACATGCTGGCTTCCTTTCCATTTCTCAAAGACATCGAGGTCCCTCTCACTTCGTGGCCTCATGGCCTTGGCACTTTCTGTTCCCTCTGCCAGCTCCTTCTCAGGCTCAGTTCTTAGCTCGGAGAGAACTTCTCTTACCACTCATCCAAACTAGCTCCCCATGCCTGCCCCATCCCTTGCCATCACACATCACCATGCTGATTTCCTTCATGGCACTTCTCAGGAACTAGTCCTACCTTGATTATTCGTGTACTTGGTTATTGTCTGTCTCCTCTGCCTGGATTGTAAACTCTTTACATCTGCCTCATTAACCTCTATCACCCACTGCCCAGCACAGGGCCTAATATAATAGGCTCAATAAAATCTATTGAATGAATGAATGAGGTAGGTAGAGCATTGAGAACAAAGCCTGAAAGATAATAGAGTGCAATACATGTTTGTTACTTTCTTTTTGTCTTCTTCCATCATCTGGTTGTAAGGCAGAGGGTGGTGTGCTAGACCTGTGGCCTCCAAAGTGGATATATCGTCTATTAGGGTGCAAGGAGAAAATATTAGAATTTCTATTAACAGTCATCTTTATCATATCCTAATTTCCATGTTTGTTTATGTTTTAAATTTTATAAAACTGATTAGCACAGTAGTACATATATATGGTTTATACATAAATATGTATATATGGGAGTATAGGCTCAAAAATACTTGGAGACCACAGCTGGTGGGAAGCAAACTGGCAGACTGTTGGCAGAATGTGAACTACAGATAGGTTGGGTTGAGTCAGCAGAGAGGTTTCCCAGATTGGAGGTTGAGTGCCTTGGGAACAGGGTTGGGGGTGGCCAGCATGCATGCTCCAGGTCTCCACCACACCCTGTGGCTTACCCTAGCCTACTTCATTCATGGCCCTGTCCTTCCTGACCATTACAGGCGTGTGCATTTCCAACCCTAGAGAGGGTTTCCTTTGCAAGTCTAGAGAACCTTCTATTCTGGAAATTGGTGCTGGTCGATCCCAAGGGGGAGGTATGTGGGAAAGACTGAGGCCTAGGAGCCCCCTGTGGGCAGCAGCTGGGGCTTCTCATTCTTGTGTCCTCTGTAACCAGAATAGTACCTGGAACAGAGTGGGTGCTTGGATCATCAGAGAACCTGCTTGTTGACTAATATCAGTGCATAGGACAACCCCCTCTGAGTGTCTGAGCTGAGAGGACCCTCAGGAGGTAATTAGGTTCATATGTTTCACTGTCCGGATGGAAACTAAATGGGGCTCAAAATGGCCAGGGCCTGCCCAAGGTCATAGAGCCTCCCGCCAGCACTCTTTCCCTTGTGTCTGCGTCTCTGCTTAGCCTCTGGGGTGTATGCTTATTCACGATCCAGGCCTTGGCTGGTTCCACCCCCTTGGCCTTGGCCTACTACTCTTAACACCAGCTCTCAGAAGGCGTTCTGGCTTCTTACTGGGATAGGGGCCAAAAAAGAAAAACATTTCCCAAATCATAATTCTACAGCCTCCTGCCTCCCCCAAACTCACTTTCTATGTAACTAATCCCCGTGTTCCTTGGCCATTAATGACATCACTGCCTTTCTGGTCACTTTGGCCCAAAATACAAAGTGTTCTACCTCCCTTGAGTAGGGGCTACTATGTGTCAGGCACTTTCTAAAAAATAAACTTTGTATGGGCAATTAACATACAAAAAAGCCACACACGTTGATGAATGATCACAAATTATACACACCCATGTACACACTTCCAAGGCCAAGAAGTTGACCATGCCCAGGACTACAGAAGTAACCCCTCAAAGCAGTTTTTAACCATCACTGCAGATCTTTTGTCCAGCAGCCTTGAGGAAGGTATGAGTAATTCAATCCAATTCACAGATACCAAATTATTTTTCTTTAAACCAACTCATTCCATTCTGCCTCGAATAGTCAAGAAATTACTTTTCATGCACTCAATTTTCCCCTGTAATTTTTATTAGAATCTAGTATACATTAGAATAAATATGTGACTGTTAAACTTTAAAAGATCATCCATGTATTTCTAAAATTCCTCATCATACTATCACCTCACATACCACTAGCACAATGTGTACTGCATTTGGGGGAATACTGTACCGTGGGAATTAACTCAAGGGGAAGACTATTTACGTTTGGGAAGATCAGAAAAGGCTCAAGATGGACCTGAGATCTGTAGAGAGGATATGGCTATGCAGAGGTGAAGTCGATTCTGGCTGTCAGGCTCAGAGAAAGCTTCATGGGGGAGGAGACATTTGGGCTGGGTCTTGAGAAATAAGTCTGACTTTTCACAAGCAGAGATGGAAGTGGAAGGAAAAGCATTCTAGGCAGAAGGAATAGAACCTAGAGAACACTTCATCAGGGCTAGAAGAGAAGTTTATGTTTCAGGCTTGAGGGACTGTGCCTGATGTGCAGTTGGAAAGTGTCTCCGGGCCCAGGGTTGAGTGAGTTTGCTCTCTTGGGGCACACAACACACAAGCACTATGAGGGGTAGCCGCTGGCAGGCTACAGCCCACTGGAGTCAGAGTCAGAGTGTGTATTAGAATTCACTTTTCCTTATGGAACTTGCACCTGGAAATTCCCCACACCAGATTAGAGCATGTGCAGGTTATGGCAGATGGGATCAGCAGAATGAAAAGGAGACAGGCTTGGAGTCAGCCTAACTTGGGTTCAAGTCCCAACCCTGCCACTTACTAGCTCCATTTTTTTATCTAATGTCTGTCTCCGCATCTTCAGCTTAGGTCCTAATAATCCACACCTGACAGGGTGGTTGTGAGGAGTAAGAGCATGACTAAAGTGACAGGGGTAGTTCTTGTCCCAGCTCTTGGGTTCCGGGGGGCAGTCCAGAGATAGTACCACCTGCCGCACTTCCCTGTCCACCCACTTTGACATCCCTGAGTACAGAGGGGTACAGCCAGTGAGGTGGTAATGATGAACCTTAAGCTGTTTCACTTTGGGGACATGGGCCCCTGAGTTGCTTCTTTCGGGCCTCAGACTTCTCTGTCTCCTCCCCTGGTGTGCCTAAGGCACCAAGTAGGGTGGGGGACCAGCCAAATGGTGAGGCCTGGCCCTCCCTCTCTCTTTGATAGAACTGGGTGCTCCTGGCTGGGCTTAGCTTGAAACACAGGCGAAAAAGAAAGAAGCCATTCTTCCCCAAACTCCAAGTGAAGACACCACAGGGAGTTCAGCCCCCCTCCTAAAGCCACCATGCCTCCCTCCCTGAGCACAGTGCTCAGTGAAAAGGCTAGCCAGCCTTTCCAGACCCTCTCCATAGGCAGTGATCTTACAGCAGTGAACCCATCAGAACAGCGCCTCCAGCACCCTACCCAACCTGGATGTGCACCTTGATGAGTAGAAAGGGATGAGAAAAATTTGAGAAGACTCTTGGGTTGGTGGGGGAACAAGGACCAAGCATGTGGAGCTTTCAGAGGGATCATCAAGGAGCAAAGGAGGGCTGGGAGGAAGGAGAGGAAGGAAGGTCTGCATGAGCAGGGTAGCTTGGCCTGTGCCCATGAATGGGCAGACACTAACTGAGTCATCCTCTGTGCAAGGCCCTCCACAAGGCACAGCTTCAAACACCCAAACTTTGGCCCATCCCGCAAAGAATTCATAAGTTGCTGGGGCAGAGAAGGTTCATGAATACGTGGAAGATTTGGAACAATTCCAGGACATCTATGTTTAAGGACAAATGAGAGGCTCAGCCAGCCAGAACTGAAGGTATTGAGAGGAATTATCCCTGCAGACTGCTAGTAGGGATGTGTGTAAAGAGGGCTTTCAAGGGGTGATGGGATTTGGGCTGAAGCTTAAGGAGCAGCCTGTAGGGTTTGGGAACAGCAGGTAGAGGCGGTGAGAGGGGATGGGAAGCACTGTTTAGCAAGCACCTACTATGGGCCTGGTGTCGTTTAGCTCATTTCAGCATTATCTCATGAAAGTCTTACAGCAGCTTACAAGTTAGGTGTTTTCATTCCCCCATTATACATGGAAAATGGAAGCTGGGGAGGTTAAGTAAGTTGTACAAGGTTACACAGGTAGAAATGGCAGCATGAGGATTTGAATCTAGGCTTCTCTGACCACAAAGCTTTTCCCTGGTGGCTTTACCATGAAATGATAAGCCACAATGACAAGATAAAGAAGAGAATGAGTAGCCCAGATTGAATGGGCAGAGGGGTCTGTTTCAGGGAATCAAGAGAGAGGAAGCAAAGAGGTCAGATGAAGCCGGTTCTGAGTATAGGCTGGAGAGTGTGGACTTGACACTTTAGACAACAAATCATTGGAAGGTTCCAAGCAATGGAGTGATGTGGTTTGATTTATGTTTGTAAAAGCTCACTCTGGCTGCTGTGTCATGAACAGATTTTAGGATGCAGAGGTGGAATCAGGGAGCCCACTGAAGAAGATATTCATTGAAGGGGTCTGGGGAAGGATGATGGTGACTGGGACCAGGGTGAGGGAAGTGGAGATGATGCCGTGAAGTGCTCCAATTTGAGACAGTTCTAAGGAGCAATTTACAGGACTCAGTGAATGCGTAGGGGAGGGAGAGGAAAGCATAAAGATGTCTAAAAGCATTCCTCATCCAATTTAGATTATTAAAAAAGGATATGGTGGAGAAAGCACTGAATGTGGAGATAGACGGGGGTCCAAAACCTGGCTGCACCATGTACTAGTTGGGTTCATTTAGTCCAGAGGGAGTATGTGACTCCCAGCAGATCCTTAAGCATCTAATGGGCTATGGCCATGGGGACACTGGTGCTTGGGTGAGAAAAGCTCCAGGGGCCACAATGGGGCTTACAGAGAGGAGGAGGTGAGGACATGGGACACGAGATATAGGCTTCCCAAATAAGAAGCTCAGATGAGAAGAGGAGAAGAGTGGTGAGGCAGAAAGGACAAGGGAGAAAGGAGGGGTTCCGCGTCTGCTCTTCTCTTTTGTTGTTCTTCCTCCAATGGGAACATCTTGAGCATGGGTGTAGGCCCAGTGGAAGAAGCCAGTATGGACCTTGGCTAAGCTGCCTCCCCTGTCTTAGCCTGTTTAAGTATCTGTGGAGTAGATTAAACTAGTATTATCTACCTGACAGGGCTGGTGTGAGAACAATATGCAATGATGGTTAAAAAAACTGCTTTGAGGCTGGATGTGATAGCTCACAGGTGTAATCCCAGTACTTTGGGAAGCCGAAGTGGGAGGATCACTTAAGCCCAGGAGTTCAAGACCAGCCTGGGCAACATAGTGAGACCCCATCTCTACAAAAAATAAATAAATAAATAAGGAAAATTAGCTGGGAGTGCTGGGGTGCTCCTGTAGTCCCAGCTACTCAGGAGGCTGAGTTGGGAGGATCACTTGAGCCCAGGAGGTTGAGGCTTCAGTGAGCCATGATCATGCCACTGCACTCCAGCCTGGGTGACAGAGCAAGACCCTGTCTCAAAAAAACAGACAAACAAACAAACCGCTTCAAGAAGGGCTTCTGTAGCCCTGGTCATGTTCAACTTCTTGACCTAAGTAGGGGTACACAAGTGTGTCCAGGTTGTGATCATTCACTCATTCCTCCTCCCCACCACCCCCATGCCTTTACTCCCCAAACTCTTCCAAAACATACCTGTTCCTATTCAAGCTTCCTCATGTTCCTGGAAATATAATCCAGGGTCCCAAGTGCACAACCCAAGCAAATTCAATTCTATTTTCACTTTCAGGATGTCCCATGCATTCTAGAATCATCTCAAGTTGTCATGGTCCTGTCTTTTCTAGCCTCTCTGAGCTTAAAGTCCATGTTTACAACCTTGAAGCTACCAAGACTCATACCTAGGACCCATCACAAATGGATAAGAGGTCAGGAACCAAACATTCTCCAAGCTTCAGTTATTCACTTATCACCTTGAAGATTTTTGCTGTGTTCAATCTTCATGATTTTTATCATATTCATAAATGTATTTTCCCAAGATGCTTCACTTCTGGCCCTTCATGCTTGCTCTGGGACCTCTATTTCCCAAGCCCTCTTTTCTGGCCTCAGATCGATCCCCTTGGAAGCCTCACATTCCACAGTGAGCTGCAAAGCCCAAGCATGGGTCACACTATCCTGTGATTCCTCTCTATAATTATCTGTTGCCCCCACTAGGCTGAGACAGCCTGAAGTCAGTAGCTTGAGAGATGTTTGTGGAATTGTTGAAGAAAACTGAAGAGACCCTTGAAAGCTGGAGACTCAACAGGAGAGGTTCCTAGCAGGGGTAATATTCCAAACAGTTAACAGTGTGTCCTTCCCCTTTCTGTTTCTGGCCAACTGTTCTTCATCTTTCATGACCCAGTCCAAGCATCACCTCCCCTGGGAAGGTATCTCTAGACCTTCCAGACTGAAGAAGCTTCTCTTTGATAGTCTCACAACATTATTGATCCTTCTCTGTATTGTCATGGCCTTTGGACATGTCATTCACACCCTCCTAGGCAATGACTGGCACCTCTATCTCCCCAACGCTCACACAGAGCCTGGCCAGAGCAGATCCCTGGGAACTGCTGAAAGAATGACTGAATGACTGGGCAGGTGAGTGGGCAGATGGATGTGGTGATCCCACTTTAGATCTCTTGCCCCAAAGTCAGAAAGCTCTGCTTTCTGGATGGCACAGTGCCCCAAGTCTTCCAGGCTGAAGCTCTAGCCAGACCCACACCCACAGTGCTTTGTGGCCATGACTATTACAGACAGGCCCCCTGTCCCAGTGAGCAGAAATCTGATGACATCAGCATTGAGCAGTACCACCACTCGCCTGAGTGAAGGCACTTGAGGCTGTCTAGCTCTGGCAGAGTTGGTTCCAGGAGCCACAGCCCTTCCTCACAGCCAGGCTGCTGGGGCTGGAATGGGCTGCTGAGCTAGCACCACCTGCCCGGTGTCGCTTATCCCAGAGGGCTGCAGCACTCACAGTGAGCGGCTGCGTAAGTGTGTCCGTGTGTGTGTGCGTGTGTGTGTGTGTGAGAGAGAGAGAGAGAGAGAGAGAGCGCATGTATTTGCTGTGGGACTCATGGAAGGAGCCCTCTCATTGGCTGCCAAGGGTCCCAGTTCCAGTCTGTGAATCTCTGGGCTGCCAGCTCTGCCCTCCCCTGGGAAGGCAAAGCAGGAGAGGGAGGGGAGAGTGGAGTGAGGCTTCAGGTGTGTCTGACAAGGAAGCAGGTACACCTGGTGGCCACACTGGGCATTCTTGTGGCATCTGGCTGTGCTAGCTCCAAGTCTGCAGCCTGACAGCTTTGTGCTCTGCCCAAATTTTCCCAGATTTCTGTTGGGACTGGAGCCCAGAGCTCATTGGCAGCTGTCACTTACAGAACTGGATCCATCCCCCAGTGGAGCAGGGAGCTGTGTCACTTAGAATTCCTGGGTAGCACATTCCTTCAGTAGACCCTGTCACACTCCTGGATTAGGCTCTGTTATTGGCCCCGCGCTCCTGCAAGCTTCTGCAGACAGAGTGAGCGAGTGAGCGAGTGAGTGAGCCAGCGAGCGGCAGCAGGAATGACAGCACTGAGAGCAGAGACAGCCAGGGACGGTGAGGGCGGGCGAGTCGGGTCCCGGGGGGTGCCTGTGCTGGCCCTTTCTGCAGAGGCAGATGAAGTGGGGGCCACTTTCAGGGCTTGCTAGGGTTTCTCTTGGAACCTGGGCTGCTCGACCCGAGTGGAGCACTGAGCAAGGGGGAGGGGGAAAGGGAGGGGGAGAGAGAGGGAGGAAGAGAGAGAGAGAGAGACTGAGAGAGACTGAGAGAAGCTCCTAGCAGGCTCTAGTCCAAGTGAGAGGCTCAGATCTGTACAATTCTGTGCCAGGGGCACAAGTGGGATTTGGAAGAGCCATGTGTGTGAGAAGCAAAGCTGAGGTGATGTAAGCACCTGGGGAGGAGCACAGGCAGAGGAGGAGGAGGAGGAGTAGGAGGAGGAGGAGGAGAAAGAGGAGGAGGAGGAGGTGGCAGCGGCCGCCGCGGTGGCTGCCAGTCCAGAGCAGAATGATGGGCAACTCTCACCACAAGCAACCGAGGAGTAAAAGCCAAAGCAGGATGCATTCAGCAACAGGTACTCTTTTCCCTTCCCTCCTTTTCCGGGGCTCCTACAGCCAGGGCCTCCCAGCTGCTGCCATGCGGGGCCCCTGACCCTTGGCGTGACTTGCAGGGGCTGGCAGGGGGCAGGGAGAGAACCCGAGGGAAATGAGGGTGAACTTCCAGCTCCCCTGCTCCTGTGACAGGCTGAATTGCATAAGTCAGAGCATCCTGAGCTGGGAGGGGCCAGCCCCTTCGCCGGCAACCCTGTGTAGCCTCTGGAGGGTGGCTGGAGTGTCAGAGAAGTGAGCAGCGTGCCAGTGACTGAAGTTCATGGCTAGGACTGTGCTTTCTCCCTGGATCCAGTAGGCAGAATCTTGGAACCATGCATGGCTTATCCTTTACTAGCCGAGCCTCCTTTGTTATTCAAACCTTCGTCTCCCCCCACCCCAGCCCCCATACCCGCCCTGAACATGTACACCTACACCTCTCCTGGCTCTACCTCATATGCTGCATGCATGGAATGATCCAGACAAATCTGTTTCTTGCTGTGTAATGCCCTGCCCCCCACCACCCTGCCCCAGCCCTGACAGAGCTCTCCTCATGCATGGGCGAGAAGAGCATTTGCCGGCCTTGAGTTTGTTGTTCCCCTACCTCTGGGTGTGCTCTGCTTTGCCCCTTCCTTGCCCCTCTCCAGATATGGACTCAAGGGTGCTGGCATAGTTCTCCCCAACAACTCCTTCCTGGATGCTGACACTGTGGAAATCAAGGTCTGCAGACAACTTTTCCTAGCTCACCTTCCCAGGCGGTGCAAGAACAATTTGGAAGCAACTTCTCTTCATCCATTCACCCATTTCCACCAACTCTTACCCTCCTATCTACCCCTTGGCCACTTGAAAGTACCTTCCACTGCTACCTGGGGTTAGGCTTCATGCAGTAGGGTCACAAGTACTTTCTCTCTGTGCCCTCCTCCCTCTGTCTTGGTGGAGTTCCCTCTCCTCCTTTGTCAGCACCCACCACCCCCACCACCACCACCACACACACACACACCCTTCGCATCACACAGAGTCCAGGAGGAGCCTGCAGTTCCCTCTGTGCCTGTTTGGGAAGCTCTCATTCACCATTCGGGCCTGTGAGAAGGAAGGAAAAGTTTTTGCCAAGTTTGACTCACGTTTACCATAAGAAAGCAATAAATGGATTGTTGTCTTGCCAAAAGTGTGCCATGCTCCGGCCCAGAGGGTTGCCTCTGCCTCCTTCTGGGGACTCAGCTGGCTATGCAGTTGAGGGTAGTTGTCCAAGGCCAGCCAGTCCCAGGGGCAGCCCTACAATGGGATTCTTACAGGGCGTGGTGGGGAGAGAAGCTACAGGAAAGCAACTTGGGATATGCTGGCACGCAGGGTAACTGTTTCTGGAGCCCGCCTGTCAGAGCAGGGCTTTGTTTGGCCTCCTATATGGGCTGAATTTGGGTCTCTGTGGTGGACTGAGCCAAAGAATAAAAATTCTGAGCATTGAAGTTTCTTTGGAATCTTTCAGGGACATACTCTTCCAAGGCCACCATTAGGTGAATGGCCCAAACACCACCTCAGAGTCTCCTGCTTCTCTGCCTTGGAGCTGAAGGCTTAGGACCTGCTGGTATTACATGGAGATGCTCTGTGCAGCCCAGTACAGAAGCTTGAAGATAACTTTTTACATAATTGCTGATGTGACAACTTGGGACAGTTACTGGCTATTGTGTCATTTCTTAGAAGTTGCTTTGTATCTTCAATGCCAGCTCCAATCCAGGGTCATCCTAGACGTAGTAGCTATGGGAACAGCCTCTGGCAGCACGAGGAGGTGGCCTCATAACTGCTTCTCCCTCCCTCTCCCTTCCACCTCTTGGTCCTCACCTTACCACAACACCACACCTTCTCACTCACAATCCCTAGGTGATCCCAGAAGCCCCGATTGAACACTCACTCCCACTGGGCTAAACTTGTGCCACTCTTTCTCTTCTTGCTCGCTTTTCTCTCTTCCATTTTCGCTTAGTGACCCCACTGTCTTTCCAGTAACCCAAACTAGCATCCTGGTAGTCATCCTTCACTCCTCTCTCTCTCTCCCTCACCACACACTTTACAGTTTTCACTCATCCATCTATCTGCTCATTCATTCAAAAAGTATTCATTTTCGAGGCCTCCTCTGAGACATCTGAGCCCCTCTCTTATCCTACTGTCAGTGTCCAAATCCAGGCCTTTGGTCACTCTCGCTTATTCCAGAATTGGGCTGTCTGCTTCCACCTCTGACCTTCTCCTGGGCACGCCCAACACAGCCACCAGAATGAGCTGTCCCTGTGCTCCCTTGCTATGAACTCAAGTCTTACTAATTGGGGTACGAGAGATTACGATTGCTCCCCAAGTGTGGAGTGGATCTCAGGTGGCCCAGGGGATCATTGTAGTTGTAACAGAGAAAACTCTTTTTGCCTTTCAAGTTCTGTATATATTTTAATGTGTATTCAAAAAATATATAACTAATACATCAAACCCATGATTTCTCATATTTTTTTAAATTAGGGTAAGGTTAAATGTTTTTAAAGCGAGTCTTTTTGAATAAAATGATTAAGTAAATAGTAGAATAGGAAGCACATGGAAATGGCAAAAGTTGGGAAACTGAGATACCAATGCCTGAGGCTTGAGAAGCACCCATTTCTAGGATAAAGTATGTTTTCCTTAGCACAACTTAGAGATCTTTCATGATTGGGCCCCTCCTACTTCTCCAGCCTCACCAGCTATCATTTCTCACCTTGAACTTGATCCAGCCATATTGAATGAGTTGAAGGTCTCCAAATGCTCCCATTCAGCATTACCATGCTTTCACTAATGCACTTTTCTCTGCCTGGAACACCTCCTCCACCTGCTATCTTCTCCTGACAGTTTTCTCTTCAGCCTTCAGAATCCTGATCCTGTGTTTCCTCTTCTCTGAAACTGTCCCTGACTGACCGCCTTCCTTCATACAAATTAATTAATAAAGTTCATCACCCCCTCCTCGGTACTAAATTGATACCTTTTACATAATTTTATCATTGCTGGTATTATCATTTTTATACTTGTTATTGCATGTTTATCTCCTCCTAGTAAAATGTAAGCTTTTCTAGGGCAAGGGCTACAATTTGTATACCAAAGGGTGGGAAAGAACCCTTGACCAAGACTCAGAAGACTTGGGTTCCGGTCTCTCTTACCCAGTAACCTGCAGGGTGATCTTAGGCAGCTCATCCACCTCTGCTACCTCTGTCCTTTGGCTATAAAAAGCTACAAATCCTCAGGGGGATCCTTAGCACATTCCCAGGGTAATTGGGAAGATGCGATGTGAGATAGCTAGGAAAGCTTTTGAAAGTTGAAATTGCTTTTCAAACGAAGAAGGGTGATTATGATTGCAGAGGGAGGAAACTTTTCCCAGAGGCTGGAGCCAGAAGTAAGCCCCACAGGTTTAGGAGACTGTGGAGGAGCAGCCAGGCTGAGCTGCAGCAGGGAAAGGATGAGCAAAACCAGCCACACAGCCAGTAAGGGTGAGGGTGGGGGCGGGGGGGAGCGGGGCAGTCGCAGCACGTGGAAGCCCAACAGGACCTTAGAGCATAGGTTGCTTTAAGACTGGAAAGCCTTGTCTGCCAAGCTCATGAGTTGGGATTGAGTTCTCACCAACTCTCACCTTTCGCCTATTGAGTGAGTGTAGCCCTGTCACCCTGTGAATCTGTATGTGGTGGGGAGGGGGATGCATGCTAGCGCCACCATCACTATACAGCATACGCATAGCTGTGCATATATGGACCAGCTGTTTGAACTAGCATCCCATAGAGAAGAGAAAGAGAGTTAATATCCATCATGCACCTATTATATGCCAGCACTTTTCATCCACAACTTTACTTAGCTCAGAGAAACCACCAGGCAGGGATTATTGATGCCATTTTACAGATAAGAAAACTGAGACACTAAGGGAGAGCTGCCCCATGATCCAATAACAAGGAAGTTGTAGAGCCAGGATTTGAGCCCAAATCTGCCTAATTCTCAAGCCTGTGCCTATTGCACCATACCATGTGCTTCTCAGCATCTTTGCATCTGTGACAGGCATTAGTAACCCTGGAGACTGGATGTGGTGGAAGGAGGGGTCTGGGCTTGCTTGTGGTAGGGCTAGCAAATCTCTATGGCAACAAGGGCTGCAATGCCCAGCCTTGTAGAAGTCCCACCACATATCGTTTGATGGCATATTTGTATTATTGGAATAACTGAACTCATTGGGGACTCCATGCTGGGTCCAGAAGCTAGAGCCAGGGATTCCTGAGGTAATAAGAAAGTAGAGGATTCTTGAATTTAAGCCTAAACCAGGTTAGGCTGAGAGAGGCTTCAGATCCAGACGACTGGTATCATGCTGGTTTCCAACATCCCTCTCCCCGCAAGCAACCGAATCAGCACTGTAAATACGGTGGCCTGTGCTTCAGGATGAAAATGAGTCCACCATTCTCTTCTCTGTACCTAAACAAAATGAGGAAATCATCTCATTACATTTGCAAGGCATTTTTATAGTTGACCTGGCTCTTTCATCTTCACAAGTTTATTGAATTCTCACATCCTCGATTTCAGTATGGTGGAAGCTAAAATGGCAGAGACTTATAAGGGAGTCCATTGACCCCTATCCCCCTGGGAGCTTCTTCCTAAAGACCTATTTTCTAGTCAGACTTAATGAGTCCATTGGAAGGTATGGAAGAAGTTAAAATTCTAGGCCACCGAACAAAATATTTCCTGGTGCCCTCCTCCCATGACTGAGAGATGTGTTGGAGGCAGAGGCACAGGCCCTGGGGATTGGGGCCAATCGTGATATGCCCACATTTTCTGGGCCAGAACATAGAAGGAAACAAAAAGTAGGTGTAAAAAGAAAGGTACAATGGCCACCCTAATGTCAAATACAAGGGGAATGGCAAAATAAAGATGTTGCATCCAACTTCACTGAAATATGGTAGACCATGAAAGCTAATTATGAAGACTTGAGCAACATGAACAATGCTTATAATAAAGTGTAACATGCAAAAGGCAAAACACAAAACTGTTTCTATGCTGAGCTTCACAAACCCTGCAGAAAGTATGTCTGCACATGGCCAATAATTGGAAGAGAACTGTGGAAAAATCAAAACTTGATTTATTGTGGGTGGCAGGCTTGGTGGATTTTTCTTTCCCTTAGATTTCCATTAATGTTGTTATAATGTTGTTTGTGCAAAGAATAATAAAAACCATTAACACATACAACAATTACACTGGGAAATCATTCTGTCAAGCTGAGAGACCAAATCATATCATTTCCCTGAGCCAGCAAACACACTCGGAAGACATAAAGACAAAATTAGGTACCTTTTTGGAGAGAGGCAGCTACAAGGAATGGGGAGAGATCATGAAATTAGTGTGGGAAGCTGCACGTTTGAACTCAAGTTCAGATCCTTATGTTAGAGAAAGCTGTTTCACCCCTGTATCCTCAGTTTGTTCATCTGCAATGTATGAATGTTGATAATAATAGCCTGAGGAGCAAATGATCTGGGACATTCTCAAAGACCTTGTGAAGTGTAAAATGCTGCATATTGTAAAACCTTATCATGGCATGTGTATGGATGCTTTGAAACAAGAGTGTTAGATACTGTTTTCCACTGTCACACCCAGTTGACAACAAAGCCAGCCTGGGCCTGTGCTGCTGGGTGGCTTCAGTTAGCAACCACCTTGTCTTCTCTCAGTGCTGGGTGCCATTGAAATCTGATTAAGCAAGCAAAGCTTTCTAGTTTTCGCCTTGGATGGGAAATCATCAAGAAAATGTTGTGGGTTTTTCTCTTCCTCTAAAATGCTTGAACTCTGAACATGGTGAAGACCTCCACAGCTCTTGGATTCTCAGCTAGACTTGGCCAGTTACAAGCTGTGTGTCTTCAGGCAAGTGACCTAAGCTCATCGAGCCTCCTTGGTCAGTTGGAATTAATAGTGCCTACCTCATGGGGTGGTTGTGAGGATGAAATCAGGTGCTGCATGTAAAGCACCTGCTATGTAGTAAGCAAGGAGCGTGTGTGAGCTGCTCTTGTTATTGCTCAAGATGATCAGGGTAAGAAGGGTCTCTAAAAATCACCTGAACCAGGGGTTCTCAATGAGGCGGTGAGAGGGATGTGGAGGGGGTCTTGGGGGAGCACAGTGTGTGTGTGTGTGTGTGTGTGTGTGTTGTGTGTGTATTTTTTTTTCTGAGACAGAGTTTCACTCTTGTCACCCAGGCTAGAGTGCAATGGCACGATCTCAGCCCACTGCAGCCTCTGCCTCCTGGGTTCAAGCGATTCTCCTGCCTTGGCCTCCCAAGTAGCTGAGATTACAGGCATATGCCACCACGCCCAGCTAATTTTGTATTTTTAGTAGAGATGGGGTTTCTCCATGTTGGTCAGGCTGGTCTCGAACTCCCGACCTCAGGTGATCTGCCTGCCTTGGCCTCCCAAAGTGCCGGGATTATAGATGTGAGCCACCGAGCCCAGCCGAACACAGTGTATATTATATATGGTCATGCATATTATTATTTTTGCATGGCAACATTGAAAAGTCTTCCACGAGAAAAGCAGATTTTTTTGTCTCCATTATGGTGAGACCCAGGTATTTTAGTAAAGGTGAGGTGTGTGCTTAGAAACCACTAATCTCCCACAAACCTTTCATTTTATGGATCCACAAAAGTAAGGTGACATTCCCAGGGTCATGCAGCTACAGAGATCAATAGGGGCAACAGTCCAGTTTCTTTCCCCACCACTGCCACCACCACTGCCCAAGAGTTGTTCTTATGACCTCTGGGATTTCCTCATTAACAGAGTAGAGACACCCTAGGCCACATGGTCATGGCCGTACAGCCATTATCAAGCTGGGAGAAACCAGACAAGGCTCTGACATTGAAAAGAGGCAAAAATGATGCTTGAGACTACAAGGAAAGATGTCCTTGGTAGGAGACCCTGCACACTGATGTGTCAGCTCCTCATCACCCCTAGGCAGTACTTTCAAACAATCTGGGCTAACGTGGCCTCCTAAGTGCCATCTCCAGTCATGTGGAGTAAATTGTCTTTGATGAAACCTTCATTTCTCTCAATAGCAGATTTTCTATTTCAAAAGTCAGTTTCCTGTCAAAATCTCCCAGAGCACAGACAGAGGGGTGTGGGGGTCCCAGGAGCAGGGTGAGGCTCCTAATTGCTCCCCACCATTCGGGTGGAGTGTGTTCTCTGAGTTTTGTTTTTGGCATTAGGGAGGGTAGCACAGAGCCACCTCTATCAATTCCTTTTGTGGAATTCATAGGCCTGGTCAGGGTGGGGTGCAGGTGGGGTGCTCTTTGGGCCCTTTAAGCTTGTCTCAGAGATGTGCAATCCCCTCCCCGATGCCACACAGGAGATAAAAGTCATGCACTGCCCCTGTGGAATATTCTGACCCACCTAGCAGCCTGGGGCCCTGCTTCTGCTTCTGGGACCTGGCTTTGGGGGTTTCTAGCTTCCCAGGCTGAGCTCTTCACACTCCCCCCACCTCCCCACTGTTGAACACTGCCACTTCTGGCCTCTCCCCTGCCAGAATCTTGACTATCCCAACCCTGCACCATAACCGTCTTCCTGGCTGGCTTGGGGGATGGGAGCTGTCTGCCCAGGGTACAGAGCGAGGTTGGAAAGGTTGAGAGTCATGATGCTCAGAGCCAGAGGTCACACTGCTGGTTCTGAGGATGAAGATGGCTCCCCACCGCCCTCAATTACAGGTCTCCAACCCCAGAAACATGAGGTCTGTGTCATGGAAACTTATATACACAGCCGTTTCCCCACCCAGGGACAATAGCTTACCATGACTCCAGCCCAAAGAACGCCCAAACCTGAGTTGGGGGAACAAAAGACAAATATGGACTGGGACTCTAATTTGTGGAGTCTTCCCATCTCAAATAACATGTGGCTCTGGCCATGTGCAATGTGCAATGGCAGCTCCTACCACAGCAACAGAAGCCACCTCCAGCCCAGAGGGATCCGGGGTGAGATGTGACTGTGAAACAGGATGACAAACTCAGGTATGTGTGAGGCAGGCCAGAGACAATAGCCAGTGGGAGAGCCAAGCCCAGAGTAGGAGCAGCAGTGTTTTAGAAAGGTGGCCCTCCTGCGCCTTAGAGGGAAGGCCCAGGGTACCGGTCAGAAAGGCCATAGGAGGACTGCTAGGAAACACGGGCCAGCTCCAGCAGGGCTTCTGTGGAGCCAGGCAGTAGCTTGAGCAGTGGGCAGATATTTACTCACAGAGTCAACATAGCAACTTTATGGCACAGGTCCTTTTATTAGCTCCTAAAGGGCATATATAAATGAGAAACCGTAGACTACATAAGTGATCTATAGATTAGAAACTGAGGCTCAGAGAGGTTAAGTGACATGCCCAAGGGCACACAGGCTGTAAATGGTGAGGCTGGGATTTGAGCCCAGGCAGTAGGGCTCCCAAGTCTGTCTTCTTAGCCCCTATGCTAATCTGCCAATGTGAGGGGGGTAAGAGTCAGGCTGTCCTTGCTTTTAGCCCACTAGCTGGGCTTTAAGACTGGACTTTCCTAAAAACTGGTGCAATGGTTCTCCACCTGGGGAGATTTGAAGCAGTATCAATGCCTAGGCTCCACCCCTCAGAAGTTCTGGTTTAATTGGTCCGAAGTGAAGTTCAGCCTTCAGAGAGTACAGAGGGTAGGGTGGAACTGCAGTTTTCACAGAAGCTCCTCAACTTAAAAACACACAGCATCTCTCCCATCCTGACAAACATCTGACTCCCTTCTCTAGTTCTGCCTCTCCCTCCAGCTACGGCCCTCTTTCCTCTCTAACCACAGCCAGACTTCCTGAGAGGTGTCTCCCCTCCCCTCCCATTTCCCTCCTTAACCTGCTGCAGTCTGGCCTCCGTGAAGCCATCCTTGCCAAGGTCACCCTCTGAGTGGTGCTAAAGTGAACAGTGCTTACGCCTCGGACTACTTAACTTCTTGAATGCATCTAACCATTCCTTGCTCCTGGAAACTAACCCTCTTCCCAGCTCAGGGACACAATGCATTCTCCTTGTCTGGGGATTTCACCTCAGTCTTTTTATATGGCTTCTGTACCATGCTGTACAAATACATTCTGAAGGTAGGGTCTCCAGAGACCCATGCATGAGCCCTGGCCCTGCCCTCAAAGAGTTGAAAGTCTTTTCAACGCAGATGGCTCTGGCCATGTGCGAAGGTAGACCTCCATCTTGAGCCTTCCTTCAAGCTGTTTCCTTGTCTTTCTGTGTCCCTGGCAAAGATAGAAAAGAGAGTAAGTCTCACGCTGAGTCTCTTTCCACCCTGTGAGCAAGAGCCAATGATTCCTCTCTTCCGATTAGAAGACAGTTACTGGAACGAGGGCTCAATCCATCGCCCATGCTCATTTTGCCAATGTAGTCATTTAGTAATGAAGAACAAAGAAGTCCCTTTGTAAGGAGCTTCTCCCACATGCGATTTGTTTCCTGGGTCCTTGTCCTTCCAAACAAAGAGAAACAAATTGGAACAAGATATGTTTTCAGTGTTTGAAAGCCAGTGATTCTCTTGTGCTTTGTGCACCAGGAAATAGGCTTTGCTGGAATCTGCAGTCTATTGGCGGAAGTGTAGGTAGGTGAAGAGGTAGGGAAGATCGGCAGGGTTCTCCTGATGCCACGAAGAGCAAGCTGGATGACCCCAAGTCTCATCCTTTAGCTGTTGGGCCTTGGGAAAGCCCCTTTCCCTTTCTGAGCCTCAGTTTCCTCCTGGATTAAATGGAACTAGTTGTCTTTAGCTCCTCTGTGGTGAGGATGATAGGAGATGACCTCTATGTGCTGTAGAGTAGGCCATTGCTAGGCGTTGGGGGAAATTGAATGGAATTGCATCCAGCCGTAGTTCACAGACTCGTTCCAGGCCAAGAGAGAAAGTGTGTGTGTGGAAGAGAGACTTGCAAAAAACAAGGCCTATCCCTGTGCACGCCTCTCCTCTGGGAAGGAAGGGGCCTGCACAGTGACAATAGACCAGGGGCGCTGACTCAGACAGCCAGTTCCTGTTCATTTCCCCTCACTGCAGGACAGCCGCTGAGCGGGAGGTCAGCCCTCTGAGGGGCTCTGACTCGGGCCTTTGGCTGAGAACCTTACCTAGAGAAAGACAAGCCCAACTCACAGTAAACTTCCCTCGCCTGTCCGCTGTGACTGGGCCGACGGGTCCAGGGTGGCTGTGGGTGGAGTGCAGCGGGGTGGAGAAAGAGAGAGGAAACTCACTTTTGAATCCTCAGTTGCTTTCCCTAGGCTGGGCTGCCCAGGAACAACTTCAATGGGCAAAGGAGTATGTGATCGATGGGACCAAGGTGCTGGGAAACGGGGTTCAGGAAAGTCCCTGGGCACCCACTGAGGAGCCTAGGGACAGGGTTTGGGACAGTGTGGAGCCCGTCGGCTCCCTGCCCCCAGTGTGGGCTCAGCACACACTTTTCTCATGTGGATTCTTGGTTATCCACACCGCTGGGATGGAGAGAACTGACTCTGTCACCCTCTTCTGGATCCGGGGAGGTGAGTCGTTGGGGGAAGAAGGGTGCATGCTCAGCAGAGGGGAAAAGGGAAGGAACTGGGGCTCATGGAGGAGGAGGAGCTTTCTGCACTCACAGCTATGCTGAGGCAGCCTGGGCTGCTTTGGGAGGGAGTGGGACTGCGTTCTAGAGGTGTGCACAGAGGGGCAGGATGGCCACTTAACCGAGATCCTCTGAAGGGAATTCATAATCGGATGGCTTTGGAAGACAGGGTGGATGTGATCACATCCCAACCCTGATATTCTGGGATCCTAAAGGATTAATAAAAGTGATGGAGGAATTCTGCACGTGTGTGTGTGTGTGTGTGTGTGTGTGTGTGTAAGAATTACTGCACCTCTTACTTCCTCTACTCTTGTCCCAGATTCTGAGGCCTTGTCCCTTCGGTGGTAGAAAATTCCATCTCATTCAATCCATCTCATTCAATCTTGGGGCTTTATTTGCCTCCTGGACTCCTGCTAAAATGCTGAATTTATTTTTGCAATACCAAGGCATGTAGGCAAGGAGAGGCAGGAAAGGGGTTCCTGTCACTGGTCTTCTGTACACACAGGTTGCTACCAAGGGACCAAGAGCTTTCTAATTGCAGTTCAAGCCAGACCTCCTGGCAGTAAGGCAGAAGCAAGTACAGGGCCCTGTGCCACACTAGGACCCCTCTCTGGCTTCTGTGAAGAAGACTAGCCACGTGGTGGTGGGGGAGGGGGCGCGTGATGCCACAGTGACATGCCCTTGAAAATGTCTGGAAGCTACTGCTTGTGGAGGTAGCTGGCAGGACAGACTGAGTCCATGCTGTGTCTCTGGAGTTTTAGTTGGCCCTTTGCATCAGGCGTATGCTCAAAAGCAGTTTATGAGCTAAAGTGGTGACGGGACCAAAACCGAAGTCCCATGAGGACCACGTGCTGTTTGGCATGGAGAAGAATCAGAGGAAAGTGATCTTTGGTCTTCAGGTCTTTGAGGGACTGTCACTGGATGATGGGAGTAGATGCGGTCTGCGTGGGGCCTCAGGAGGCAAAGCTGAGGTCTGTAGACAAGGAGGAACTTTCCAACAGACCCTCCATGGGTGCAGTGGCCTGCCTTGAAAAGGAGCCAAGGGTCTTGGTAACTTTTGCAGGTTACTTTTTTCACAGAGACACAGAGTGAGCCCTAGAGAAGAAGGGCATGTAGGAGCGAGCTTTCTGCTTCTGAGGGAGAGAGAATGGGAAGGAGGGGCCACCCTCACCTGGGATGAAGGCCCAACACCCCCCTGACCTCCACCTTCACAACTTCTCACCTGGTTTGGCCTCCCTCATCTCTCTCCCTCCTATGGGGCTCCCTGCTTCCACTCTCCAGCCCATTCTCCACTCTGCAGCATGAGCGAGCCTTTAAAAAACAGACGCAGCTGCTCAAAATCCTGTGATGGCCTCCCATGGCCCACTGGTGAAAGTCCGGATTTATTTCTCTTCTCTATTGCCTCCTTTCTACTCTCTAAAAACAGAGCTGAGATAAGATCGTTTCTCACTCTAACACAGCTCTGACATTTCATAAATCTTTGTCCTAGACAACTGGAAAGGGCTATATTTAACCTTCCGTCCTGTAGCTTTTAATGGAGGGACTTGCTTCAGGCACTGCCTTCTAATGCCACAGGAGACCAGAGTTTTTCTTTGTTCTCTACCAGCAGAGCCGCGACCTCGACAGACAGAGGCCACAGCTGGCCTCTCCCTCCAGTGAGACGCACAAGTTGCTTGGCCAGGCATCGGCCCTAGAGCATCCACCTTCCCCTGTCTCTAGGTGAAGGAGGTCCCTGTCCCACCCTGTGAAGTGTGACCCTTCAACTTTCTTATCTGCATATACTTGAAAGACTCCTCATTAACCCCATAGCTGAGATAAGTGGGCCAGGTGAGCACAAGAATAGGTCAGACAGGGCCTGGAGGTATGGGCTTGGGAGTCTGGGCTAGGGGAGGGAGCCAGAGAGAAGAAAATGTATGGTCAGGAATCTGGTTGCGCAGGGTGCAGGGGCGAGGGTGGGGAAGGAAGCAATGCTAAGTAATGTACCAGGCCTGTGCTAGGAGCTTTGCATTAATTGCCTCCCCTTTCCTGCCTCTCCTTGCCTACATGCCTTAGTATTGCAAAAGTAAATTCAGCACTTTAGCAGGAGTCCAGGAGGCAAATAAAGCACCAAGATTGACTGAGATGCATTGTCTTTGCATTGATTGTATTGGTTGTGTGATCCTCACAAAAACCCTGTGAGGTGGGTACCATCCTTACCCACATTATACTCCAGTGAGGAGGCTTAAGTGACTGAAATGACTTACCTTAAGTCATACATAGTTAGGAAGCGACAGAACAGGGATTGAACCCAGGCCCATCAAACTCCAAAGCTTAGTTGCTTTGCCCAGTCCCAGGATGTCCCTGGCTGACCTGGCACTGCCCTTTGGAGCAGCTCTGATGTGCTGGCCTCTCTCATTTCCTTGGGTTTCTTTTATAAACACTTGAGCCTCTGGTAGGTTCTTTCCACACTGCCCATCACACAGGCCTCAGGCCCACCGCCAACCTCGGCCAGGCTGAAGAGCGCAGCAGTTTGATATCTCTGATGGTGCCCCATGCTCTCAGGCCTCATGGGCTGGCTTCTCCCACATTCTGTACTCCAGCCTTGCAGATAACAGCTACTGGGATCAGTAGCCTAAAACAATGAACTATACTATTGTTTTTTTTCATGTTAACAGTTCCCTAGACTGCTAACACTAACCACCTCTGTGGCCTTGGACAAATTGTGTCCCTTCTGTGGTCCCAGCTTCCCCAGAGTGGGAAGATAAGACACTCTCTCTGGCCCTTCTGATTCAAAGAGTCTAGGATTCCCAGGGTCCCCCTCTCTCCAGCCCCACCGTTGCTGGTTCCCCCCTACAGTGTTGGGATGAGGGTAGCCAAAGGCACTGGTTTGGAAACCTTCGCTGAGCCAAGCAATGGCTCCAGAGCCAATGGCCACAGCGACAGAGTGGCAATAACAACCACATTTGTAGGCTACTTTAGTGCTTACCAACTGTTTTCACAGTCTGCGAAGTGGCAGGGAGGGAACTCCAAGGCGATTTTAATGGCACATAGTACATCTTTAAAGAACATTGAATTACATGGTGAGAAAATGATTCTCTTTTCCTTCTCTTTCCAGCTTTCTGATTACATCAAGGACAAGGTCTCAGTGTGGTGCTATTCTTCAACTTCTGTAATGCTTACTAATCTTCTTTTGTAACAAAGCTAGAGCAGGCCTCAGGCTCAAAGACATGGACAGGCAACAATATCTACATAGAATTTAATTACTCTCTTCTGTTCTCATTGTATTTCTTTATACAGCCACTTTCTATTTATGGCAAGTGATACTCCTTTTGGTTTTGGTTATGGTTTCCATATAGAATTTCTTTTAATATAGATTTATTTGTTTAAGAAAAAAAAACAATTCACTTAGAGAAAAAGATTAAGTGAATTGTAAATAGAACCAGTGGTGCCTACATACAGCAAAACTTGTGAAACTGGTACCCTAATGGCCAAAACTTGGGGAACACTGGAATGTGGCATTCACTCAGCAGGTGTTTTCTGAGCACCAAGTTCCTAAGGCCTAGAAGGCCCTGCACGATCTGTCTCTACTCTTGTCCCAGATTTTATTGCCCCTTACTCCCCCTGCCCACACACTGTCGTGCCTTCCAGCATGTTGCATCCTTTTTCTGGAATGTCTTTCCCATATCCTTGCCCACTCATCAAACCTCAGCTTATCCTTCAAGACTCAGTTTAAATGGCACCTCCTCCAGGAAGCCTTCCTTCAAATCCCCCAGGTTAAGTTCAGCTTAGCACCAGGTTCATGTCTCTATTGTAGCATCTCTCACATTCCCATCATTCACTTACAGGCCTATATCCTCCACCCTTGGTTGCCAATGCATTTTATAAGAAAAGCTTGAGAAGAGAGGGGGAGAGAGAATATAACTGTGAGTGAGGCCTATGTCAGTGACTGGTCCTGGGGACTATCACAGCTCCTGGTGTCACTTGGAATTGAGGCTTTCCAGATGCCAAGCCAGAGCCTGCACAGGCCACAAACCCAGCCTGGGGTCTGCAGGTCACATGCGGGAAGTTTATTGGGGTACTGCTAGGATCAGCATCTAGAGTCTAAGGGAAAGATGCAGGACTGGTTGGAGGGAGAAATTGGACTATGATGCTGTCCTAATGACAGCCTCAGCTGACACTTGGGGAGCTCTGGAGCTGGGTTGGTCCTTTAGAGTTGTTCTGAGTCAGGGTGAGGGGACCAGTCCTTAGATGCAGGCTGCCCCCAGGAGGAAGCATAGCCTTGAGCAAAGCATCTCTGTCTGAGGAGGTAGCTGGGCACTTCCCAAAGAGGGCCGTCAGCCAGCAGCAGTTCCGCGGCTGAGGGAATAAGGCCTTCAGTCCTGAACGGGAATCTGGGCACACATCACAGTGTCCACCACACGGGTCTGGTCAGAGCCTCTGGGGCTTCAGTGCTGAGGAGGCAGCGAGGAGAGAACAGTGGTTTGGAGGGCAGAGTGTGGCTATCAAGAGCTGGCAGCTGGTAGGACCTAGTAAATGTTTGCTAAAAGACAGAATGGCTGGGTATGATGTTCCAGTCACCGGGCTTACAGGCAAGGAGGTTACAGAGGCAAACAAGTCACAGGGAACTTCTGGTATCACCAGGGCGACAGATATAAAAAGGGACTATTCCAGAACAGTGCAGTAAGTGATGTGATGTGTACCTGTGATGTGTACCAAAGACCAGGTTTCCACAGCACTTTGTTCGTGCTTTTCTTGGAGGCCTTCTATTATGACCCTTCTAACAACCCTCTAAGGCACGAATTATTGTCCTCACCCTAAACATATGAAAACAGAGATCCAGGGTTTGCTTTAGACCTCACTGCAAGTCAGACCCCCCTGGCTGGGATGACCCCCAGCACAGCCTGCCTTCATAGCCCAGGCCCTCTCCCCTGTACCACCCAGCCCCTCTCAAAGACACATGCAGTTCTTTGCTTATTACATATATTTCATCTTGACCTAGCCCTGCAAGATAGCAAAATAAGGGTGTCAGAAGAAAGTAGGTTTTTACCTTTATTTTCTTAACCTGCCCGGTATGCTTTCAGAAATAGATATATTCGGATCATATTTATAACCATGACATTCTTTTTTAATCTGGTTTTCTTTTTCCTGCACCTTCTTAACCACCTGTGAAATTCATCCATTGCACTCATCTGCTCTTCCATATCTTGTCTCAAACTTGAGAAAACTGGGATCAAAATCCAGTTAGTTCCTTTTGAGCTGTAAGGGGGGAAATACAGGTATTTTAAAATGTCAGCCTTATTCAAAAAAGCAAAACTTTCTTGGTTTGAAACACTAAAAATGTGTGAGACCAAGAACACCTCTGATTTTCTGTATGATCACTGCTCTAGGAGAAATTCTTTGTTTTTTTTTTGTTTTTTTTTTTTGTGGGGGGGTATAGTTTGAAGAAAATACCACATAGAGGCAACTAAAAATCCTCTTTGAGGAGTTGGGTCCCAGGCAGTGCAGCTGCTCCCTACTCCCTCCCTACCACCCGTATGCTGCGCCCTCTCCCCCACCTTTGTGCCCACCCTCCTCCTCAAACTCCAGGCCAAGTCCTTTTTCTCCTCTTCCTTCCCTGCCTAAAAGATTCCTCGGGGCCTCCTTCCCTGTCAGATGCCAATGAAGACAAATTTTGAGGCTGAACAAAAAGAATTCTAGCATCTCTCCCAATGGGCCTCCTTGTGGTCTGCCTGGTCCCAGAGTTCACCTAAAGCACAGCTTTTCTCTAGAGCTTTCCTAGCAGAAGTCATAATGCTGTAGGGAACCAACAGTTGTTTTGTGTTCCAGAGGAGAAAGATGTTCCAGCTTCATATGTTCCCAGCAATAATAAAGATACACATGTTCTGTAGCCCTCACATGACTTCATTTCCCATCACTACCACAGGACCCTAATTAAAAATTTCCTTTCTCTTTGGATCTACCAAAATATCTTGCTGGCCTCGTTGGTTAAACAAGGGGGCCCTCATTTCTCATACTTCCTTATAGGGAGATGCAGTAAGTAATGGGGGTCACAGGGAGGCGCAGGGGTCGGCTTTCTGCTGTAAGGGTTAGCAAGGTAGGCTGGGCTTGGTGGCTTACGCCTATAATCCCAGCACTTTGGGAGGCCAAGGCGGGCAGATCACTTGAGGTCAAGAGTTCAAGACCAGCCTGGCCAACATAGCAAAACCCTGTCTCTACTAAAAATACAAAAATTAGCTGGGTGTGGTGGCAGGTGCCTGTAATCCCAGCTACTCGGGAGGCTGAGGCAGGAGAATCACTTGAACCTGGGAGGCAGAGGTTACAGTGAGCTGAGATTATGCCACTGTACTCCAGCCTGGGAGACAGAGTGAAACTCCATCTCAAAAAAAAAAAAAAAAAAAAAAAAAGCAAGGTAAATAAACCACCCTTATCAAGATGTAATTTTCAAAGGGGTAAAAACATGAGTCTCATTCAAATGTATAATGATCACGTGTCAAAGATTTATTTAACTCATTACAGTAAAGCTGATTTTTTAAAAAAGATACGAGAGTTAAACATAGAATTACCTTGAAAAGTTAAACATAGAATTACCATATAACCTATCAGTTCCACTTCTAGGTATATACCCAAAAGAAGTGAAAACAGAGACTTGAACAGGTATGTTCAGTTGCATGAATGTTCATAGCACTGGGCTGTGAGAGGGCCTGGGCTATGAAGGAAGGCTGGGCTGGGGGTCATCCCAGCCTGGGGGGTCTGACCTGCAGTGAGACATTATTGACAATAGCTGAAAGGTGGAAACAACCCAGATGTCCATTGGCAGATGAGTAGAGAAATAAAATTTGGGATATCCATAAAGTGGAATATTATACAACCAAAAAAAGGAATGAAGTTCTGACACATGCTACAATATAGTTTAGTCTTGAAGACATTATGCTAACCGAAAGAAACCAAACACAAAAGAACAAATATTGTATGATTCCACTTATATGAAACATGTAGACCAGACCAATTCAGAGAGACAGAAAGTTGACTAGAAGTTACCAGGGCCTAGGAGAGGGAGAAATAGGAAATTACTACTTATCAGTTACAGTGTGTCTGTTTGGGGTGATGAAACATTTTGGAAATCCATAGTGGTGATGGTTGTACAACATTGTGAATAGGTTTCATGCCATTGAATTGTACACTTAAAAGGGCAAATTGTGTCTTACGTATATTTTACTGCAACAAAGTAGTTTTAAAAAGGTGTGAGAGACTTCACAAGAATGCTGGAATAAGATTTAAAAGTTGGGGCCAGGCGCGGTGGCTCACGCCTGTAATCCCAGCACTTTGGGAGGCCGAGGTGGGCAGATCACGAGGTCAGGAGTTCAAGACCAGCCTGGCCAACATGGTGAAACCCCATCTCTACTAAAAATACAAAAAAATTAGCCAGGCGTGGTGGCACGCACCTATAATCCCAGCTACTCGGGAGGCTGAGGCAGGAGAATCGTTTGAACCCAGGAGGCGGAGGTTGCAATGAGCCAAGATCGCGCCATTGAACTCCAGCCTGGATGACAGAGCAAGACTCCATCTCGAGAAACAAACAAATAAACAAAAAAAGTTGGATACAAAACTGGTTAGTTCTGGCCGGGTGCAGTGGCTCACTCCTGTAATCCCAGCACTTTGGGAGGCCGAGGCGGGCTGCTCCCCTGGGAGGCCGAGGCGGGCTGCTCACCTGAGGTCGGGAATTCGAGACCAGCCTGACCAACATGGAGAAACCCCGTCTCTACTAAAAATACAAAAATTAGCTGGGCATGGTGGCGCATGCTTGTAATCCCAGCTACTCGGGAGGCTGAGGCAGGAGAATAGCTTGAACCCGGGAGGCAGAGGTTGTGGTGAGCTGAGATTGCGCCATTGCACTCCAGCATGGGCAACAAGAGCGAAACTCCATCTCAAAAAAAACAAAAACAAAAACTGGTTAGTTCTACAGAGTAATATAACGGTAACCTTTGTGGCTGCCTTTTCTACCGGACAGAATTAATTTTCATTTCTACCAGACAAAAATCATTTGCAACTTCTCCTTCTTCTACAAGTTAACTTTTAACTTTACCGAGTCTGGAACTTAATTAATAGGGAATTGTAAGTCAAACAGCTGCATGGATGGTGCTCTCACATGCTCCTAAAAGGGTATCAGTGATATTTTTTGCCTTGTGGTTAAGTTTTAGATAATTTTTCTTAACACCTTAAATAACACATGACAAAGCACAACTCCCACATGGGTCTCCGTGAAATGGCCTTGACTTTGGCTTCAAGGCCTGACTCTTCTGGGCATTAACACCTTAGTGACATTTTCTGGGGTCCCTTATGAAGCCTACTTCAGTCCATACTACACATCACCACCAGACTGACCAGGCTGCAGTAATCTGTGATTGCACCACTGCACTCCAGCCTGGGTAACAGGGAGACCTTGTTTCAAAAAATCATAATAAAAAAAAAGAAAGGAAAAAGTTCGTCTGGGTACCACCTCAAATCGCTTTCATTTCATATTTGATTGTGTTCTAATTCATTGGTGCGTTGGCCTCACATGAAGACGGCCTTTGTCTCCTTCCAGCATGCAGCCCTGACCTAAGCACTTGGCAAGTCCTCACTACATACCCTTCGGATGGCCGATTGTCCTGTCCTCTTCATAAGCTTGCCATCAGAATGCTGATGACTTTCCCTTTGCCCCTTTACTGTGCACAGAGTCATTGAAAACACATTTCCTGTCCTCCAGGGACTTATATTCTGACTGGGGGAACAAAAGCAGGTGTCCTAGACTAGTCAGGAAGATCTAGGTTCCTCTAGATCACTTTCTACTTGTGTCACCTTGAACAAGAAGCCTCCCTACCCCTCAGTTTCCTCATCAATGAAATGAGAATAATAATGTCAATACTTGCCTTGCCTACCTCGTGAAATGGACAGGAGGATTTGTTAAAAAAAAAAAAAAGTAATAATTGTGGAAGTGCTTCGTAAACAAAAGAGTGATTATTCACATTATAGTTAAATGATTCTGTGGAAGTTAACTAGCAATACAAGATAGCCCAATAAAGAATGTCACAAGGCAGCTTCCCAAGCTCAGAATGAGTCCCTGGGGTACTCACTCGCTAATGGGCAAGAGGATTCCAGAGGGCTTGTAGGAGGTGGCTGGGTCTATAGCGTGAGTGAAAGGAAGTTCAATATACTAGGGGTGGAGTGGGGAGGAAGCAGTATCTAGGTGCATAGAGCATGAGGGAAGCAAATTGAATAAGTGAAGAAAGATGAACACCTGCTTGGGGCTGGGGAGGCATCCCAGTGGCCTTTCCAGAGGAAAGTGTGAAGGGGCAGTGGGAGAAAAGGTGAGATGCAACCACAGCAACACCCAAGCCAGGCTTGGGAGCTGGGTCTGTCTGCTCTGAGAAGCCACTGGGGGATCTGGGATGGAGGAGTGTAGAAGGAAACCAAGTTTTAGAATGCAGATCCCTCTAAGAGTGGGACTTGTTATCCTGCCTCTAATTTATCATTTGTGCATTTTATTGTAAAATAAAATACTAACTTATTGTACAAAAAAAAAATCTAAAGTGAATCAACAAGTATTTAGGGTAAAAAATGAAAGTCTGCCTTTAACTTGACCAATTCTAGTCTTTTTCGAAGACTACGCACAGTAACAGTGGGGCTCATATCATCCCAGAACTTTTCCTATGAATATGCCTGCATGTGTGTTTGTATTTATATCTTGTTTTTGTCGTTGTTGCTGTTTGTTTGTTTGTTTTGTTTTGTTTTGTTTTTGAGACTGGGTCTTGCTCTGTCACCCAGGCTGGAGTGCAGTGGTGCAATCATGGCTCACTGCAGCCTCGAATTCCCAGGCTCCAGTGATCCTCCCACATCAGCCTCCCAAGTAGCTGGGACCACAGGCACACGCCACCTCACCCGGCTAATTTTTTGTATTTTTTGTAGAGACAGGGTTTCACCGTGTTGCTCAGGTTGGTGTCAAACTCCTGAGCTCAAGCGATCCTCCTGCCTCAGCCTCCCAAAGTGCTGGAATTACAGGTGTGAGCCACCGTGCCCGGCCGTATCTTTTTACATAAATGGAATTATTTATGTATTTTACACCGAGCCTTGATTTTTAAAACTTAATATGTCTATGGACATCTTTCTATGGCAGAATATATCTTCTTTTCAATAGTTGTATAGTATTCCTTAGTAAGAACGTACCACAATTTATTTAACCAATCCCCTATTGATGAGGAATTCTGCAATTAATTTTGCTTTTGCTTATTACTATTACATTTTTAAAGTACTATATGTCTGTGGAAAGAAATTCAACAGTGTAAAAGACTATTTCATGAAAAAAGTCATTCTCCTGCCTACCCCTAACCCCCCATCCCCACTTTAACAGCTCCTCCCTCAAGAGGCAAACACAGATACCAGTTTCTAGTGTCATTCCCAAAATGACCTGTGCATATACAAGTGTATGTGAGTGTGTGTGTGTGTGTGTGTGTGTGTGTGTGTGTGTATGGAGAGGGGGTGGGGAAGAAAGATAGAGAAAGATTTTTAATGTAACTGATGACATACTATACACAACATTCTGCACCTTACTTTTTTCACCTGACATTGTATCTTGGAGAACATTCCACATCAGTACATATCTTAGCTACATAATTATTATTAGTGGCTGCAGAGAATTCCATTATATGGCTGAACCACAATTTATCTGACCCGTCTCCTACTGGAGTTGTTGCCAGTATTTTGCTGTTACACATAGTACTCCAATGTTCATGTGTTCTTTGTTCATGTATCTTCATATGCACTAAATCTATACTGGAAAGAAGTGGAATTGTTGGGTGAACAGGAATGTGCATTAAAATTTTTGACAGTTAGCCGGGCGCAGTGGCTCACGCCTGTAATCCCAGCACTTTGGGAGGCCGAGACGGGTGGATCACCAGGTCAGGAGATCTAGACCATCCTGGCTAACATGGTGAAACCCCGTCTCTACTAAAAATACAAAAAAATTAGCCAGGCGTGGTGGTGGGCGCCTGTAGTCCCAGCTACTCAGGAGGCTGAGGCAGGAGAATGGCGTGAACCCGGGAGGCGGAGCTTGCGGTGAGCCGAGATCGCGCCACTGCACTCCAGCCTGGGCGACAGAGCGAGACTCCGTCTCAAAAAAAAAAAAAATTTTGACGGTTAATGCCAAACTGCCCACCAAAGAAGTTGTTTCAGTTGACCCTGCCACTAGCTGTATATAGGAGTGCCTATTCCTCCATATCCTCTCTCCGCATCACAGCATGTGATAAGCCTTTTAAATGTGTGCTTGGAGAGCAGGATGAGAACCTGAGGTGGTGGGGGTGGGAGTGTGGTCAGGGAAGGCAGAGATTTTCCAGTTGTTCCCCATGAGTATGGTTGAGGCTCTCACAATAGCCCAGCGGTGGATGTAGCCCACAAGTGTTGTGTCCCCAAGACCTTAGGTGTCTAGCAGCACTCCAGGATACCCATGATCCACAAACCCACGTGGTGCAAGTCCTAGAGTGTCAAAAGAGATTCTTTGATCCTTACTACCCTCTTTCAGCTTCATGCAGAACCATTTCTGAATCTCAAGCCAGGACTAGGAAGCCTGGATTGGAAGCCAGTTTGCTGGCAGAGGGGGGCCTCCAGCAAAATGTATTTTAATTCACTGTCACCACATGCATGCACACATGAACACACACACACACACGCACCAAGAGGACCAAATACAGAACTCAAGATCCAGGTTCAGAAGTGCAAGCTTGTGCCTTGTGAAGCACAGCTCTTCATAGTATGAGTTTCCAAGAGCTGTAGGTTAGATGGCCTGTTTCAGGTTGCGAGAACAAAGGTGTGCTTCCGTTTCCTTGGGCGATGGGACATAAGTGTAAGAATTAATGCATAAGTGAACCCCTCCCTGGCAGCCACTGCTCTTCACAACTGATGTCTCAGGAGTGCTGGACAAGACTGCTCCCCACGACTTTGCTTTCCCCATTCTCCATGGCTCTGCTACTGCTGTCTCCCTGGGCTTCTCCTGGGTTCTGGGCCACCTCACTGCCTGTGCTCCTCTGTATGTATCTGTCACATACACGTTCCCCAAGAGAGGGGTTCTTATTGGGTCAATTGGTCACTCCACCTTCTGGAACATTCTTATCAGCCTGAGTGCTCAGTGCAAAGCACCTCACGGGCCTCTGGGCACCCTCAGACCCAACTGAAAGATGGCTACCCTTGACTCAGGCCCAGGCTGTCTGGTGTGTCCATTTGTGACCTAAAGAACAGTGCCCGGCACAGAGTAGCCACTCAACAAAATATTTACTGAATGAGTAAATAGTGATCCAAGATTGAGGAATCCCTCTGTCAACTCTGTTCAGGAGGAGGCTGTGAGTGAGGGAGGCATGGGGAACATTGTTGGATTCCTCTTTGATATTTTAGACTTAAGGCCAAATTCAGCAAATTCATTAACTGCATTAATACTTCTATCTCCAAAGTGAAGTATTGAGAAGAACACAGGCTTTGTAACCCAACAGATCTGAGTTCAAATCCTGACTATCACTAACTGTGGTGACCTTGGGCAAGTTTCTTGACTTCTCCATTTCCTTACCAATAAAATGAGGCTTATAGTATCTCCCTTGCAGTGTTGTTATGAAAACTAGTCCAGACAAAGAATGCAAAGCACCCACCTCAGTGCCTAATGCATAAAGACATTCAAGAAGTATTATCTGTTGAGAGGATTCGTGTCATTTTTCAAGTTAAACTTCCTGACTTGTGTCTGCTAAGCTCCTGGTAAATGCAAGTGTGCTTGTGTTTCTAGAGATAAGTTTGGACTTCTCAAGTCAACACACAGCCAGGTACCACAAATATGTCTACTTCTTGATGTTCACAACTAAAGGAAAAAGCCTTTTATTTCTCTTGTTCAATTAGCTTTGAGACAAGGCAAGCCATCTCATCAATTTGCTAATATTGCTTTCAAATATTTATAAAGTCTGTCTCCTTATGATGGTTCTATAACCTGAGTTCTAATCTATTCTCTGGACTGTTTACCCAGATATATTGGAATTTGTTGCCAGGAAAGGTGGTTTCTCTGCAGATGTAGAACCTTGGCCAGGTCCCTACATGGCAGTAGTCAGGTTATCTCCATCCAATACACAAGCAGTTACCAGTCATTTCCTGAATACCTGGCCTTGTGCTGTGAGCAACATTATTTCTTCAATCCAGGAGTCAAGGAGATGGCTGAGAAAGGGCCTGCTTCCTTCCAAAGTCCAAGGTATTCTATAGGGTGGGTGACCCACAGGTTGTCTGCCTCACCTTCCATTGATAGATGTTGAGGATGCTTCCATTTTCACCTTATTACTAGCAATGGAGCAATGAACATCCTTGGACTTATATCTGTGTGCGTGTGTGTGAATATTCCCCTAGTATAGCTTGCTTGCTTTCTTTCTTTCTTTCTTTCTTTCTTTCTTTCTTTCTTTCTTTCTTTCTTTCTTTCTTTTCCTTTCTTTCTTTCTTTCAAAACCTACTCTTCTCTGTTGCCCAGGCTGGAGTGCAGTGGCATGATCTCAGCTCGCTGCAGCCTCTACCTCCTGGGTTCAAGTAATTCTCCTGCCTCAGCCACCCGAGTAGCTGGGATTACAGGTGTGCTCCACCACGCTTGGCTAATTTTTGTATTTTTAGTAGAGACGGGGTTTCACCATGTTGGCCAGGCTGGTCTGAAACTCCTGACCTCAGGTGATCCACCTGCCTTGGCCTCCCAAAATGCTGGGATTACCGGTGTGAGCCACCGTGCCCAGCCCTAGTATAGCTTTATGAAAGTGCAGTTACAGCATCCAACAGTGTATAAATAGTTACTTTAAATAAGTACCAGAATATTACCCTCAAAAAGGCTTAAGAAGTTACACTTCCACCCTTTACCTCGGTTATTGCACTCCTAGGTCTATACCCTAGAGAAACTCTGAGACAGGTGAATGATGGCATATATGCTGTGAATGTTCATGATGGCAAAGAATGGTATGGACAATTTGATGCAATTTATACAGTTTAAGAACATACAACCCATACTGTATAGTTTATTGTTTATGAGCACATACATAGCACATTTCAAAACATGCAGGGGGCTTTGACTCAAGCTGTAGTATTTTATTTCTTTAGGAAAAATGTTCTGGGGCAAATAAAGGGAAATGAATTTGTTCCTGATATTTTTTCATATGCTTGAAAGAGTTCGTCATCTAAAAAAAAAAACAAGACAAGAAAAAGGCAGGGCAGGTTCACAGCCCCTCCAGAGCCCACCCTTTTGTTCAAGGGCACCTGGTACATCAGAGAGATGGATAACCTCCATGGGAAGAGACTTTGCACCCCAATTCACTAAGAGCCCCTTCTCTCCCAGACATCAGTATAAATCCTTAGGATCTATTGCTTGAGTAACCTTATGATTCTCGACTTCCAGGCCCAAGAGAATGATAACCAAATTTTTGCAGTTGTCACCCTAACACTGGGACCTGCCTGCCTGTCCATCATGGAGCTCTAAGTATACTTGAACCACATGTGAGGAGTAATTGGGGCAAATTTTAGATTCAACCCTGGATTTGGCAATGCCCTTTACCATGAGCCCACCATTGCAACGCAGGGTGCAGTAAAGCAAGAGCATTGCAAAGCTCTTTCTGAAACCAGAATTTTGCCATAATGCCTCCTGCTAACAGTGTTGCCTGATTAGCAGACACAATGGGACCATCAGGCCTTATCAGCACCACTTGGTCTAAAACAGAAACCAGGAAGGGCTGTCTCTCAGTGCTTGGCCCCTGTTGCCATGGCCCCTGTTGCCATGGTTCCCAAGCACTTTTGCTTATGATTTCTCTCAATCGCTTATAGCATCCATCAGCAAGCAGGACCTAGAAGCTCTTTCGGGCAGACTGAGAAGAAAGCTGTAAACAGGAAAGATAAGAGCAAGTAAGGGAAGTAATTAAACGAGCAAACAAGAAATGTAGATGGAAAGAATTTGGGGTGAGGCCCAGAAAACAGCTTTTGTTATGTAAAAGAAATCTTCTTGAGATGTGATAGACCAAGGTGTCTGGGTCAGAATTTGCCAAGAAGTGCCCATTATGTAGCTGCCATGTGGTATAGGTACAGCAACTCTGTGCCCTGGATTTTCCAGAAAAGTCCCAGTTTCAAGTATTTTATTCTGTTTGTCAGACCAAGAATTCTGATTTGAGATTCAGAAAATAAGGTCACTGTAGTTAGAGTAGTCATCCAGGAAAGCCTGATTTAGAATCCATTGTCCTCCCGGGCTGGTTGGCAGGGAATCCCCACAGGACTTGCCTCTAGGGCCCTGAAGGCCTGAGTAAAGTAGCCCCTTATACAGCCAAGAAATATCAAAGTGCCTCTCAACTCCATGCCCTCCACACTCCCGTAGCTCTCTGAGGGGTTTAGCCAGAAAGGCATGGGCTTTTGACCCCCATAGACCTGGATTTCAATATGCTCTGCATTAACTCTGCCAACATAGGCAATGCTCTGAGCCTCAATTTCCTCATCTGCAAAATGAGAGCAATAACACAGGGTTATGACAGGGTTATTCTGAGCATCAAATGAAGTTTTTGTTACCTTTAAAGCACTGTACAAATGTGCACTGCTAAAATCCATTCCTTCATTCAACAAATAAGTGTCTACTACATGCCAGGCATGAGGCCAGGCCTGAGATTACAGTGGTCATCAAAACAGACAGGGTTCCTGCTGGCACCCTGAGCTTTCAGGTCACAGGGGTAGACATATTAGCCAAAGATCTCCTCATCCGAGGTCCAAGCAGAAGGGAGATGCAGTAGGGCTGCTCTTTTAAAAAGCTGACTGTGGCTGCTTCGTAGAGCCAGAGGGCAGGAGAGGGGGCTGGGAGGCCACTTAGGAGACTTCTGCCTGCAATAGTGGCTTGGTCTAGGGTGGTGGCAGTGCTGATGGTAAGAAATGGCCAGATTCTGGACAGATTTGGTAAGTAGAATCAACGGAACTTGGTGACGGACTAACTTTTGGGAGTGAGGAAGAGGCAAGGAGATATTTTAGCTAACTGTGTCCCCAGGACTTGGGCCACTGGAGCCCATAAAGCCAATCCCAAGGCTGGTGAGGTACAATGTATGGAGGGTCCATTTCTCCTTATCTCGCCTCTGTAGAGCAGTATGATGTCAGTCCTTCAGTCCAGAAATCAGCTTGCTAGACTTAATCTGAAAAAAGCATTTAGTACTTAAAAATTGTATAGGATAATATATGGCATTCTAGCTTTATGTTGAACGCAGAATTCCTCTTAAAGGTAAATTGTTTGCTTCCAATTTTTAAGTTGTTTTAAAATTGACAAATGTAATTATTTGTACATATACATGGGGTATACAGATAATGTATAGTGATCAGATCAGGGTAATTAGCATACCCATTATCTCAAACATTTATCATTTCTTTGTGTTGGGAACATTCAGTATCCTCCTTCTAGCTATTTGAAACTATATATTATCATTTGGGTTTTTTAATTCTTTCTTCTTTTAGAGACTGGGTCTCACTGTGTTGCCCAGGCTGGACTCAAACTCCTGGGCTCACGCGATCGTCCTGCCTCAGCCTCCCGAGTAGCTGGGACTACAAGCACATGCCACCATGCCTAGAAATGATACGTGATTTTTAACTATAGTCATCCTGCAATGGCATAGAACACTAGAACTTTTTCCTCCTCCCCAGCTGTAATTTTGTATAATTTAACAAATCTCTTCCTAGCCCTCCAATTTTTGAATGGGATATTACTTTAAAAATAGCTGAGTTACCATTAACTTAGGATGCTGAAAACGTTCTTCAGTCTAGGTGATCTCTTCTGGGACCAACATATGTTCTTTGAATTGGATTCCTTTCAAACCTTGGGCCCAGTAGTTTTTGTACCAACAGGTTGGAAGAGAAGAGGGCCCAAAAGGGGAAGAAATGGGAAGGGCCACAGACAAACTTAAGTTTCATAACAGTTAACCACACTTAACCGCAGTTAACTATGCTTTACAGCTTCCAGGGGAATTTCACATATATCATTTGTTGTCATATTCTGCAAATTCAGGACCATGGCTGTCTCCTGACTCCCCGTCCAGTGTTCCTGCTACTGATTGCACTGCCAGGTTCTTAACTTTTTGGGGGAGAAGGGGGAGGGGAAGGTCTCTCTGTGATAAACAAAAAAGTTCCAACAGACATTCAAAACCCTTCTTTATTCTAAAGAATTTATTCCATTTGCATTGAGAAGGAGTGTAAAAGAAAATTTGGTATTTTCCCACACCACTTGTCCCCTACACACATCAACAGGTCTTTCATTTCTCAGTTCTTGCAGACCCACCCTTCGGAAGCTATTATCTGCTTGACAGTCTGCTGAGACCTCTTGTCTTTCTTCCTCTCTCAATTAAACTCTAAGGACTGAGGTTCCCATCTGCCCTGGAGCAAACACATCTCTTGTTATACCTGTTTTCCAGAAGCTGGAGAGCTTTTTTCCTTTCTCCAACCGCTATAGTTCTCTTTTCAAAACACTTAAACCCTCTTAGTGATTTTTAACTGCAGGTGGCAATTAAATTGGTTTCCCAAACATGGACCAAACCTTCTCTCCAGTGCCTCCTGCATTTACCCTGCCTCCACCCACCCTTGAACCAGGAAAGAAAAAAACACACAGACACAATTTACTGAGTTATTGTCCTCTCTTCTGTGTAGCCCTCTCTTAACATGAATGTGGCAAAATTGCTAGGAAGAAATGGTAGGATGTATTTCCACTAGGTAGGTCTCTTTCTCCACAGCGGCCATCTTTGATTATTGTGTCTGGAATCGAGCAGTACCCAACCAACATGGTGCCCTTCCTCAGGCTCTTCCTTGGCGGGAAGACAGAGGCAGCAGTTGAGCAAGGGGAGCCAACAGAAGTGGAATGGCTCCTCATTCATAGACCCTTGTGGGTTTTGAAGGAGAGAGGAAAGAGAAGGTTTGGAAAGAATAGGACAGAAAGGGAGGAATAAGAAAGAGGAAGTTGGCCGGGCGCGGTGGCTCACGCCTGTAATCCCAGCACTTTGGGAAGCCGAGACGGGTGGATCACGAGGTCAGGAGACCGAGACCATCCTGGCTAACACGGTGAAACCCCGTCTCTACTAAAAATACAAAAAAATTAGCCGGGCGTGGTGGCGGGCGCCTGTAGTCCCAGCTACTCAGCTGGCTGAGGCAGGAGAATGGCGTGAACCCGGGAGACGGAGCTTGCAGTGAGCGAAGATTGCGCCACTGCACCCCAGCCTGGGTGACAGAGCAAGACTCCGTCTCAAAAAAAAAAAAAAAAGAAAGAGAGAAGAAGTTGAAAGGGGTGTTTACAAGTGGAGGAATAGAAATAAAGCTATGAATTGAATAATAGAAACTCTGATTTTTAAAATTTTATTTTATTTATTTTTTATTTTAATAGTTTTATGTTACGTAAACCATTATATGTTATTTTTAAATATATGAAAATAAATATATTTAATGGTTTGTTATTGTAAAATGACACGTTTGTTGTTAAAATTTCAAATAGTACTGGAGAGTTTCAAGTGAAACATACATGTCAAAATCATCTAGAATAACAGTTACTTGTGTGTCCTTGCAAACTTATTCCGTGCATATATAAGCATCTGTGTGCTTTTGATACACAAATGAGATCATACAATACATACTGGCCCATTCCTTGCCCATTTTTTTCAACTTACCAATAACTCTGCAGTTTTCTAGTTTCTACTCAAAGAGATATCCTTCATTCTTCTTAATGGCTGCATATCATCCCCTTGTGTAGATGCACCATGATGTGTGGAACCCATCCCTTGTTAATGGACATTTAGGTAAAATAGAAAGTCTAGCACCACACTATCCAATAGAAATATAATGTGGGCCACAAATGCCAGCCACTTATGGAATTTTGAATTTTGTCTTAGTAGCTACATTCCCCTCCCCAGCTGATTTGAAATGCCACCTTTATTATATCCTAAATGCTCATATATACATAAGTTTGTTTTGAACTATTTTATTTCATTCATCTATTTGCCAATTTTGGCACCAGTATCCCCTTGTGTAGGAATTTTTTTTTTTTTTTTTTTTTTGAGACGGAGTCTCACTCTGTCACCCAGGCTGGAGTGCAGTGGTGCATTCTCGGCTCACTGCAACCTCTGCCTCCCGGGTTCAAGCAATTCTCCTGCCTCAGCCTCCTGAGTAGCTGGGATTACAGGCCCCCACCACCACACCTGGCTAATTTTTTATTTGTATTTTTAGTAGAGATGGGATTTCACCATATTGGTCAGGCTGGTCTCAAACTCCTGACCGCATGATCCACCCACCTCAGCCTCCCAAAGTGCTGGGATTGCAGGCGTGAGCCGCCACGCCGGCCACCAGTATCCCCATTTCTAGTAGCCACATTTAAAAAGTAAAAAGAAAAAGGTGAAATTAATTTTAATAATATATTTAATTTACTCCAATATATCAAAAATAGTGTCTTACAATGTAATCAAATATTAAAAATTATTAATGGGATACTTTACATTCTTTGTTTCATATTCAGTCTTTGAAATCTGGTGTATGTTTTACACATCCAGCACATTTCAGTTCAGACTGCCAATTTCAAGAGCTTAAGAGCCACATGTGGCTTCTGGCTACCGTATTGAACAGTGGAAGTTGAGCAGGCAGAGAGATTCAAAATGTCACCTGAGCTGTGTGTCTCTGTGGTTGGTAGGAATGGATTAGAAGGTCAGACATTGAGGACAAAATCCTCAACTTCACCACTCAAGGCAACTCATGAAGCTTCTCAGGGTCTTGGTTTGTGGACTCCAATAAATTCAACGTATGCTGGTTGAGTGCAGACCAGAACAGCCGAGCCAAGTACAGTCAGGCCTCGCTTCACAATGGGGATACGCTACGAGAGAAATGCGTCATTAGGTGATTTCCTCATTGTGCAAACATCATAGAGTGTACTTACACAGACCTAGATAGTGTAGCCTGCTGCACACCTAGGCTATATGGTACAGCCTATGGCTCCAAGGCTACAAACCCATACAGCACGTGACTGTGCTGAATACTACAGGCAGTTGTAACACGATGGTACTTATCTGTGTATCTAAACATAACTAAACCTAGAAAAGATAGAGCAAAACTATGGTATCATCTAATGGGGCCACTGTCATATATGCAGTTGTCATATATGCAGTCCATTAAGCAGGGGTCCTCAACCCCTGGGCCATGGACCCGTACCAGTCCATGACCTGTTAAGAACTGGGTCACACAGCAGGAGGTGAGTGGCAGGCGGGCGAGCATTACCGCCTGAGCTCCACCTCCTGTCAGATCAGCAGCGGCATTAGATTCTCATAGGAGCAGG
The DNA here is from genome assembly GCF_000001405.40 of Homo sapiens. Taxonomy (NCBI): domain Eukaryota; kingdom Metazoa; phylum Chordata; class Mammalia; order Primates; family Hominidae; genus Homo; species Homo sapiens. The sequence goes on from NC_000023.11 coordinate 72,100,649, forward strand.
AACCCTACTGTGAGCTGTGCATGTGAGGGATCTCAATTACTTGCTCCTTATAAGAATCTAACTAATGCCTGATGATCTGAGGTGGAACAGTTTCATCCTGAATCCATGCCCCCACCCAAGTCCGTGGAGAAATTGTCTTCCACAAAACCAGTCCCTAGTGCCAAAAAGGTTGGGGACTGCTGTGTTAACTTACATGCCATTATGTGGCATATTGCTGTACAAATGGCCCTGGCCTTTCCACAAGCCGTAGCATGGCCACAGAGATATAGAAAGAGCCTGAGTGCTCACGAGGTGATTATCTGAGGTCTGTCACAGGTTCCCCTTTCTTTGCTTTCAGAGGCATCTCTGTTCACAGCGTCTCATCACACTCAAAACCCAATGCCTGTTTCCTTTTTTTTTTTTTTTTCAAAAGCAGAGTGTGTGGCAACGGGGCTCTGAGGAAATCCCTACCACTGTGGTTGGGGAGGGTGTGGTGTGAAGAACCCACATTGTGGCTTACTCAACTGTGAGATCTTAACTCTGTGGCCCCAGAGCCACTGTGCTCCTGGGCGGCAGTGGTGACAGCCATGGCGGCACAGCTTAGAGCCTGGAATGGTAAGCATGGGCTCAATTGCATCCTGCAAGAAGACTCGCATCAGGGTTTGAGCTCGGGGTTTGGTGTCTGGGTGGGTGTCGGCAGAATGGGAGGAGGCAGGTGGCTGGAGAGCACTGGGGACAGGTGGAGCAGCCAGTTTTGCCCTGGCCTGAGTCAGGCCAGGTTTGGGAAGCATTTGGACTCCACAGCAGGCTTGGGTGCTCGGCCCCTGGATTGACAGGAAGCTGAGAAATGTGATTATCTCCCACGGGACAACATGCTGTCCCCAAACAAAGGTGGCGGTCGCATGCCCACTGCCTAAGTTCTAAACGAGCCCTCCCCCAGCCTTTTCTCCCCAAGCTGGCCAGCTACAAGACCCAACCCCATGGTGGAGCCGAGGGTTCAGAGCAGCTAGGCACAGGAGAAAGGAATTTCCTCCTGTGGCTGCCTGGGAGGGAGCTCTTTTTCATCGGCCCCACCTGCCAGCTTCCCCATTACCAGGCCGAGGAGTGGAACACCAGCATTCCTTTTCCCTTCCTACTGCTGCCTCCTCCAGCCCTGCAGCCTAGAAACTCTCAGTGGTATCAGACTCCTGAAGCACCAGGCAACAGCCCAGCTTCTTTCTGCTTGGTCACACAAGCTGTGGCCTCCCAAATCATGCCTGGGCTAGGAAGACAGAGCAGTGTCACAGGAAATCTAAGTCCCATGCACATGGTGATCTCACCCCAGCCTCTACTGCTTCAGCCCCCTCCTGAGGCTGGCCAAAGCGTAGAAGCCCTGCTGATTAAGCCTCTTCCCTGAATGTTGGCAGCCTAGGCTCTGCACTAACTTAGCACCTAGTGCAGAGCCTGTCACGTGCATGGGAGCTACCCAGTAGCATTCTCTTGGACGGATAAATGCATGGGTGAATTAACATGCTTTGGATATTGTCTTTGTTGTACCTCCTCAGGGCTCCCAAAGCCTTAAAACTAGAACTTGTCACCTCATCACTTTAGAACCTTCTATTTGCAGGCATCTATGCACCTGCTGATCTCTCCCACTAAGAAAAGGTGACAAGAGAAACCAGCCAGGGGATTCCTGAGGGTAGTCTAGGAGTCTCGAAGCCTTGCAGTGGTCTTCCAGGCTGAATCATCCTACCTCGAGAACCAAGAGCATGAGAGTTGGCATCAGACAGACTTAGTTCAAGTCTCAACCCTGCTATTTCCTGTATATATAATCTTAGTCAAAAGTCATTTCACCACTCTTAAGATTTAGTACTCTACTCTGTAAAATGGGGCTAAAAATACCTACCCAGCATTATGGTGAGGAATAAATGAGAAAATGTGTTAGGTTGAATCCTATGAAACTGTCCAAAGCATTTAAATGCCAGCAAATTTGTATGGTTCAACCTAATATATAAAGTAGCCTTTATAAACTATAAAGTATAATAAATAGCCCTATATAAGTATTCATTATTCTTAACAGATATAATTTGTAAGTCACAGAATATTGTTTCTTGCAGTATTAGTAATCCCTTTCATCAGAATACAGGTCAAACTAACAGAAGAAGCCACTTATCTGACAATCGTGGGCTGCAGGCATTTCCTGGAGCATTTTGGCCTGGGAAATAGGGAGCAGGTATTTTTAGGAAACTAGACTGGTTCATGGAAAGCAATGGAGGTGAACACCAGGGTGACTCGTGACAGCTCCTACCTGGAAATGATTAACCCGCAAAAGCACAGTAGGAGTTGGCACATTCTCTTGCCCCAGATGGGAGTACCCACTCCCTAGCTCCAGTAGCAAAGCAGAGGCTGCCTAGGACAAACATTCCTTCCCGGGGGACAGAGCCAAAGGGTCCTAGGCCAGCAGACATCTGGAGGAAACTAAAAACAGCTTCTTGCCAACTTTTCCCTCCCTAGTGGCAGCTATCAAGCCCAGGTAGCTCCTCTTGACCTAGCAAAGTCCCACGCCTGGGAAAGCTTGGATTTGGAACTGATAGCTGCAGTGGCCACAGTGGAGGGAGTGGGGGAAGGTTCTCACCATATTATGCATCGCTCCCTCAATCCCAATCCTAGATGTAAAGGTCACTGGGATTTCAGGCCAGAGGGGACTGGGAAGAGTCCAGAGAAGTGCCCACAGATTTGCTCTGCCTCCGTTGCTGGCACCCCAGGCCAAGGACTACTGAAGCACTAAACAAACAGTTATAAACTTCCTAAGCAGTGTTTCTCACCGAGGGCATCATGGCCCTTGTGGGTAAGACAATTCTTCATTGTACAGGACAGTCCCATGCATTGCAGAACATTTAGAATCTGGTAGCAAGGTAAGAGTAGAGCTGGATGAGTCCCAGGTCCAAGGTTCAGGAGAAGGATCCAAGCAGAGTAGTGGCCTCTTCACAGCTCCAAATGGCACCTTGGTGAAGGCATCTTCAACTAGATGCTCTACAACTAGCTTGATGGCTGTGCACTACCCCATGAGCCAACTGACTGGGTAATCTTGGTTGGGCCATCAGAAACATGTAAATTCACTCAGACAGGGCCTGGGACTTGAGAGGAGAAAAGCCAGAGAAGATACCCTCCCAGGGCTGCCCATGGGCAGGCAGTGCTCTGCACAGCTCTTAGCCCCAAGCCCTGGCCAGCCTGTGGCAGAAGGTCCATGTGGAGAGTGAGGCCGACTTGACCCAGTGCCCGAGTACCAGTTTCCAGCATCAGCCAGGATGGATGTGGGATGCGTGACATTCATTCAGGGAAGTGTGAATATCCAATTTGAGCTACAATGTGGACTCCCCATAGCACAGAAGTGCTTGACCAGGAGTTCATTTACTTAAATGAGAAAAAAATTATAACTTTGTCTTCATTAACCTGTAATTGAAAGTTAGCTTTCCTTCCATTATGAACACAGGCCACACATCACAGTGGCATTAGCCTGTGACTTTGTCTCGAACAGGAGCCACAGATGTTTTTATATCTCATTACTGCTGCTGCAGGTGCCTTAAATTACTGTCCCATTCACGACTACTTCAAAATCATGGCAGTCACTGGACCCGCCACTAGCTCATGTTACTTAATGTGTTAATAACGAAATGCATATTACTATGTTGCAAATTTTAAGACATATATAGATAACTTTAAATGCAATTGACTTCCTTTGTAATCCTATGTATTTTATTTTGTGCTTGTAGAAACATTCCAAGTAGAGGCCCATAAGTTTCATTAGGCTCCTGATGGAGTCCAAGCCATTAAACTGTTAAGAAATCCTGGATTAGAGGGTTGTCAGGAAATCGGCCTCATTTGAGTCAACAAGGAAGGCCTTGAGTATGAAGATAAGGAGCATGGGCATGTGTTCTGCTCACATTGAGGGGATGCTAAAGGTTTCTGAGCAGGAGGTTGCCCAAGGTGACGCTGAGGTCTCCAGCCTGGGATTCATTAACAGAAATACAGAAGTCAGGAGGAAGAGTGGATTAGGATAGCAGGAGAGGTTCTATTTTAAGTATATTAAATTTGAGACTAAAAAAGTGGGTATCCAGGTGAAGATGTCCACCAGGCTCTGAGAAATGCAAGTGGGCAGACTGGGAGAGTGGCTGTGGCAACAGGAAAGAGTTGAGGATCATCCTCTGAGATGATCTTGGGGCGTTTGGAGTGATTGTGCTCAACAAGGAAGAAAAGGCAGGGAGAGAAAAGAGGCCAAGGCAGGGAATTGTCATAGGCTGGCATCTCCAAGAAACAGATTTGGAGATATTGATTTGCCTGCAAAAGGTTTGTTGGGAACTGCCTTCTAGAACAGCACCTGTGAGGGAGCAGGATCGGTCAGAGACAGGAGTTCACCTGCAGTGTGGGCACACTGGAGACCTCAGTTGATAACATGGGAAGCTCTGGAGCTGAGATGCTCTTCAGATGGCCCCAGTTGAGGCCAGGCAGCTGGGCCTTTCTTCCCCCACCTCCCACCCCACCCCATCTATTAACGAGATCTTGGATGCAGGCTGCCCCCCAGGAAAGGGGTTGTTACCTTGGAGAAGAGACTCAACCGTGAGCCATGGACCAACACCTCTGGTAGCTGGGGGACTGAGTGCCTTGGTCCTGAATGGGGGATCAAGCAGCTCAAGGTCTGGTGTTCTAGTCACTCAGGAAATGCAACTGGCTCCCTCCCACCCTGCAGGCCTCTGGGCAAGTCCCTCCCTGCAGCCCAAAGCCAGGTATAGGAGTCCCAGGGACAGGGAGTCAGGACCTAAAAGGAATTTGAGTCCTTGATGCCTGTAATTCAGAGTCCTCAGTCTTTCCCCCAACCTCTCTCACTTGGGGCTAAGATAAGTGGGATGAGGTAGGCGGAAGTTGGAGGGAACCGTGCCGTTGTCATCTTCTGCACAGTTTGTTTATAAGAGGTTACCAAACTAAGCAAATCAGCCACCATGGAAACAGTCTCTGTGGCTTTCACATCCCTCCCTTCCTTCTGGGGTGACCTGCATCTCAAAGAGGGATGTCACCACAGTTGAGGTTACAGGTCTGCTCACAAGGCCTGTGAGCTACCCAGGAAATGCAATACTGTTATAGCCACCAGGTGAAAGAAGGTTGGGCTTCATTTTTAAAGAGAGAAATATAAAAACTTGACTTTCGATTTTGACGTTCATGTCCTTACGCCAAAAAATCAAACCAAATAGCAACTGAACTGACTACGTGTAATTTCCCCCAAACCTTTGAAATTTACAGTAGCTCTAGGAAACTTGAATCCATGAGGCCGGGCGCGGTGGCTCACGCCTGTAATCCCAGCACTTTGGGAGGCTGAGGCGGGCAGATCATGAGGTCAGGAGATCGAGACCATCCTGGCTAGCACAGTGAAACCCCGTCTCTACTAAAAATACAAAACATTAGCCGGGCGAGGTGGCGGGTGCCTGTAGTCCCAGCTACTCAGGAGGCTGAGGCAGGAGAATGGCGTGAACCCCGGGGGGGCAGAGCCTGCAGTGAGCCGAGATCGCGCCACTGCACTCCAGCCTGGGCGACAGCAAGACTCTGTCTAAAAAAAAAAAAGAAACTTGAATTCATTCATTCATTCCCTCATTACACACACACACACACACACACATACACACACAAAGGTTCTGAGTTTGCAAGATGATAGGCTGAAAGACCAAGTGTGGCCTGAAGTTCAGGTTTTTTTGTTCTGCATGGTTTAAAAAACGAATTTTCCACACTCAGAAGTGCAGCTTAAAAATAAATAAACAAATACCATCTCATGCCAGTTAGAATGGCGATCATTAAAAAGTCAGGAAACAACAGATGCTGGGGAGGATGTGGAGAAATAGGAATGCATTTACACTGTTGGTGGGAGTGTAAATTAGTTCAACCATTGTGGAAGACAGTGTGGCGATTCCTCAGGGATCTAGAACTAGAAATACCATTTGACCCAGCCATCCCATTACTGGGTATATACCCAGAGGATTATAAATCATGCTACTATAAAGACACACACACAGATATGTTTATTGTGGCACTATTCACAATAGCAGACTTGAAACCAACCCAAATATCCATCAATGATAGACTGGATTAAGAAAATGTGGCACATACACACTATGGAATACTGTGCAGCCATAAAAACAAATGAGTTCATGTCCTTTGCAGGGACATGGATGAGGCTGGAAATCATCATTCTCAGCAAACTATCACAAGGACAGAAAACCAAACACTGCATGTTCTCACACATAGGTGGGAGTTGAACAACGAGAACACATGGACACAGGAAGGGGGAACATCACACACCGGGGCTTGTCGGGGGGTGGGGGCTGGGGGAGGGATAGCATTAGGAGAAATACCTAATGTAAATGACGAGTTGATGGGTGCAGCAAACCAACATGGCACATGTGTACCTATGTAACAAACCTGCACATTGCACACATGTACCCTAGAACTCAGAGTATAATAAAAAATAAATAAATAAAATTTTTTAAAAGGCCGGGCGCGGTGGCTCATGCCTGTAATCCTAGCACTTTGGGAGGCCGAGGTGGGTGGATCACGAGGTCAGGAGATGGAGACCATCCTGGCTAACACGGTGAAACCCCGTCTCTACTAAAAATACAAAAAAATTAAATAAATAAATAAATAAATAAACAATAAATAAATAATGTAAGTTAGTTCCCAATGCACTTTCTTAAAAAATCTTAAGATCTGGTCCCAATGGATGAATCAGCTAATACTAAGGGGTTTGGCCCCCTTGTGGGTAGGCAGGGAGTTCCACGGTTCACGGCAGGGCCCATTTAGCCTGCTTCTCTCTTTGGTGTTACCTGCCTGGGCCCTGCCAGTGTTTGTGCTCATGAGCCCTTGATTTGGCTAAGCTGGGTGCTGAGGTTACACAATGATAGATGATGTCATTGCTCTGCTCTGCTGTCTCCTCTGCCCTCAGGGCTCACCATCTCGTGGGGAGGACGACTCATGTGCACCAACAGACAGAAGACAGAGTCCCGGGGGGGTGTTGGAGGAAGGAACAACCCATGAGGAAAAGCGAAGTTGGGACAATGTCATAGAGACTCTAGGAGCAAGGGTAGACTTCTACTAGGTGGAAAAGAGGGCAGGGGTGGGAGAACGGCATTCTAGAGCAAAGGAACAATTCAGCTGATGAATGGTGCTCCTAAAGGAAGTGGCGCATGTGAAGCGGAGAAGAGGCAGGGGCCAGAATGGGAAGACCCTGTCAGCCAGCCTGAGGAACTGGCATTTTATCCTGATGGTTTTGAGGCAGAGGGAAGAGCTGATATGACTTGTGTGTGTCTAGAAGATGACTCTCTTGGCCCCGTGGAGGCTGGATCGTAAGAGAGCAAGATCTGAGGGAGGAAGAGCAGCAGGTAGGAGGTTCTTGTAATTGTTTAGGTGAGAAGTAACAGGGCTTTGATTTGGAGAGGTGCCAGTGAGTGGGAGAAGGAACAGATTTGAGAGGGAGTTAGGAGGTCAGATTGACAGGTCTTGGTGATTCCTCAAGGTGGAAAGTAAAAACCGGGACCCAGTGGCACAGTGGTGTGCAGTGTTATCCTAGCCATGGCAGTAGCTGCCCTTTGTTAAGGGTTCTGGAGCATTTGCAGTACTTGCCCTTACATTAACTCACCCCAGCCTCAAAGTCAAAGACACCAAACTTCTGCCTGTCCACAGGCTTCGTGCAGCACTTCCTAGGTGCCAGGCTGAAGTGTTGCCTTCACATTCACTCACTGCGTCATCACAACTTCCCTAGGAAGTAGTTACTATTCTTACGTCATTTTACAGATGAGGAAACAGAGGCCCATAGAGGCAACGTGAATCTCCCAGGGTCACACAGCTGATAAGCGACAGAGCCAGGATTTGAACCCACATCGTCTGCTCCAGAGCCTTCGCTCTGCTGCCTGGGGGCGGGACCAGAAGAGTGGTCACTGAGCACAGAGACCTTCTGCACACAGAGCAGCCTGAGCAAACTGCAGCAGGCTAGTAGTGTGTGCATCCCACACATTTCTCCAGTGAGCATCTAGACGTGAAATCCCGAGGCCTTGGATGGGCTTTCTAGTTCCAGAAATTTGAGGACATGCGGGTCCGGCAGGGAAGAAGGAAACGCTGAGCCCAGGTTGCCGGCACTGTAGGCAGTGAAGGAGAGCAGTCAGGTCACACCACACAGTTCCCTTCCCCGCCCCAGACCATAGACCCTCCAACAGCTTTCAGGTATGTCGAGCATCAAACCCCAATTCCTGACCGCAGCCCATAAGACTCTGAAGTAATATGGCCCCTGACCACCTCTGTGACATCTTTTCTTGCCATGCTCCCCTCATACATCGCACATACACTGGCTCCTTTCAGTCATCCTTTTCCACCCCAGGGCCTTTGCATTTGCTGTTTCCCCTGCCAAGTGTGCTCTTTTTCTCTTTGTGCGGCTGGTTCCTTCTTATCATTCAGATCTCCTCTGCTTTAGTGTGAACTCCGTGAGGGCATGGACTGTGTCTGTCCTGTTCACTGTTGTATTCCCCAAGCTTATGGGCCCAGTACACAGAAAGGGCTAAGTATTTGTTGAATGAATGAGCTATTTTGGTACCTGCTGTGTGTCAGGCACTTTACAAACATTAATTCGTTTAATCTTCAAAACAACCCTGTGAATTAAGTGTGATTGTTATTCCCATTTTATAGATGAGGCACTGGGAGGTGACTTGACTTGCCCAAGGTCACAGGGCTTAGGAAGAAACAGAGCTGGAACTGGAACTTGACTCTTGACTTATGCTGGCCCCCCTAAACACATTGCTCCAAAGTGTGCATTCAGGCAGGTTTTGTTGTTGTTTGTTTGTTTGTTTGGGAGACAGAGTCTCATACTGTCGCCTGGGATTGAGTGCAATGGCGCGATCTCGGCTCACTGCAACCTCCGCCTCCCAGGTTCAAGCCATTCTCCTGCCTCAGCCTCCCAAGAAGCTGGGATTACAGGTGGCACCACCATGCCTGGCTAATTTTTGTATTTTTAGTAGAGACGGGGTTTCACTATGTTGGCCAGGCTGGTCTCGAACTCCTGACCTCATGATCCGCCCGCCTCAGCCTCCCAAAGTGCTGGGATTACAGGCATGAGCCACCTCACCTGGCCCAGGCAGGGTCTTCATTGAGAAAGGCTGGGGCTCTGTCCTTCCGTGTGCTGCTTTATATGGCTAACTTAAACTTCCCCAGAAAGGAATTGAAGCAATTCTGGTGGCCTCTCAGCTGGGGTTGTTAAACACCCTGGTTGTTCCACCTTTTCATTCTTATTTATTAAAAACTCCACAGAGTTAGAGAAGTTCTTCAGAAAGCAAAGCAGAGTTCTCTGCTCAATGAGAAAGTCACCCCATTCCAGTAGGAGATGCAGCCAAAACCCACAGGACGGGGCATCACCCCAAGGATGCCGGGAACAGAGGGGTGAAGTGCTTTTCTCTGGTCCCATATTTTCTCCACCAGCTTCTTAGTTGCCTAGATCCTTGCTGCTCAAAGTGAGGTATGAAGACCAGCAGCAGCAGCAGCATCACCTACGAGAGTGTTAAGAAATACAGAATCTCAGCACACACACCCCCGCTCCACCTACTGCGACAGAACCCGCGTTTTAACAACATCCCCAGGGGATTTGGTGATTCATGTGCAAAAAAAGTTTGAGAAGCACTGGCCTAGAAGACAGCCTCTGAGAATGACCTCCTCATCACCAGACTGGGAGCTCCCTAAGGACAGGGACTGTATCTCGTTGTGTCCTCAAGGTCCCCTGCACAGTACCAGCCACCTAGTAGGTACTCAGTCGTGTTTCTTGAATGAGTAAATTTATGAAGGAATCTAGTCACATACAGCCAGCTTAGGCACAGATAGAATCATTTACTATGCATGTTTGCAACCCTTTCCCCTGCCGTGACCCCCTCCAGCAAGCTTTCCAACAAAGAAACCCAACCCCAGCCCCGGGACACTCCTTCTAGCCTGTGGTCTCAAGAGGGAGGCCCAGCAACAGGGAGTTGGTTTCTGTAGGCCCTAGACTTTGGACAGGACGCTGAACGGCTTGTCCCCTCCTTGTTTCTTCCATCCTCCCACCTAAAAAAAAAAAAAAAAAAAAAAAAAAAACCCAAAGAGGAACTTCTAAGGTGCCCACACTGTTTATTGCTCTCTTTACTGAGGCCATGGCCTCCTCAGCACACACGGCCACCACAGTCCCTTTCCCACATCTCAAATGGCCCCCTGGAAATTCGAGTTCCTCCCAAAGTGCAGAAGGTGCTGTCAGGTGCTGGCTACCAAGCCCTTGCTGCATGTGGAACCAAAATAAACCCCTGTTGATATGGAAACGGGTTGAATTATTTTAAGAAAAAAAAATTGCTCCTTCATTAAATCGCGTTGTTATGGCAACCGGAATTAGGAAAGTAACTTGGCCATGGAGGTTATGTGCAATGTTTTGGGACTGAGAATTTTCAGAATAGTGGAAAACAGTTTGTGAGTGCATCTCCCTGCCCCGGACTCTGCCTGGAAGAGGAGGATGAAGGCCAGTTGAGCATCTGGCCGGCCACCCTACCTGGGTGGACTTGTGCAGGGTGGCTGGGGGCTGCTCTCAGGGGCCGAGCCTGCAGTGATGCAGGCTGAGGCCATAAAGGTTTATGTGGGAAAGACAGCTAACTGGGCGGAGGATGTCCGGACCAGAGGTCCACCACTGTCTGGGTGTGCAAGTAGTCCTCCACTCTGCTGCAAAAAGAGTGTCCCAAATTCCTGGAATTAAAGAGAGGTGGGAGGCTCAAATAATAATAATAGCTACTCTTTATTGCGTCTTTACTGTGAGCCAGGCACTGCACTAAGAAGTACTGGACACACTCATAGCAACCCAGTGAGACATTATTATTATCTCAGTTTTGCAAATATAGACTGAGTCTTAGCTCAGTGAAGAGACTTGTCCAAAGTCCCACAGTAAGTAAGTATAAGGTAAATTAAAGAATTGCAGCCATAGCAGCAGCAGCAGTAGCAGTTCTGTAGTAGCATTTTAGCAGCAGGGAGGGGCTACACAACCCCTTGACATACTCACACTCAGTCCTCCTCAGAAGCAGGAGTGGATACTTGCAAAGACAGTAGGTTGAAGTGAGATTCACTCATTTATTCATTCAACATGCATTTAATGACCACTTGCCATGCGCCAAGCACTGTGTATATGCTGGTGACCAAGACAGACAAGATCCTTGACCTCAGGGAGCTTACAGTCCAGGATAAGGCAAACAGACAGTCATCAATGAAACCACTTACCAAGAAAAGCTTCAAGTAGTGGTAAGTGCTATGAAGAAAAGTAAGCAGAGTGATGTGGCTAGGGTGACTAGGATCAGGACACCATAGCAAGATCAGGGGTCTATCTGAAGAGGTGATATTTGAGCAGAGACCCAAATGAAGGAAGGAAGCAAGCCATGTGAAAATCAGGGAAAAGAGTGTTACAGGCAGAGAGAACAGCCAGTTCAAAGGTCTTGAAGTAGGAATGGACCTGGCATGTTTGAGGAGCAGCAAAAAGGCCCCTGTGATAAGAAAAGAGCCAGCAAGCAGGGAGAGGCAGAGGCCGGATCATTCAGGCCTTATAGATCATGGTAAGGACTTTGCATTTTAGTCCTGTGTGATGAGAAGCAATGGGAAGATGTGCTGGGGAGCAACGGGATGTGATTTACTTCTTTCTTTACTAATAGCTTTCTTGAGATATAACTCACATACCATGCAATTCACCTATTTAATGCATACAATTCAGTGACTCTTAGAATATTCCCAGATATGCACAACTGTCACCATTTAATTCCAGACCATTTTTATTATGCCAAAAAGGAGACCTTTTTCTCATTAGCAGTCACTTTCCACTTTTGCCAACCCCTACCTCTCCCCAGCCACTAGTGACCACTAATCAACTTTCTGTTTTGATGGATTTGCCTAATCTGGACATATCATAGAAATGGAGTCATATAATGTGTGGCCTTTTGTTGCTGGCTTCTTTCACTTAGTGTAATGTTTACAAGGTTCATCCATGTTGTAGCCTGGATCAGAACTTCATTCCTTTTTTTTTCTTTGAGATGCAGTCTCGTTCTGTTACCCAGGCTGGAGTGCAGAGGTGCGATCTTGGCTTACTGCAACTTCCACCTCCTGGGTTCAAGCGATTCTCCTGCCTCAGCCTCCAAAGTAGCTGGGATTACAGGTGCGCACCACCACATCCAGCTAATTTTTGTATTTTTAATAGAGACAGCATTTCACTCTGTTGGCCAGGCTGGTCTCAAACTCCTGACCTCAAGCGATCCTCCCACCTCAGCCTCCCAAAGTTCTGGGATTACAGGCATGAGCTACCATGCCCAAACTTTATTTGTCTTTTTATTATTGAGTTATAAGAGATCTTTATTATATTCTAGATACAAGTTCCTTAACAGATACATGATTGGCAAATATTTTCTCCATTTCTGTGGGCTGCCTTTTCATTTTCTTGATGGTGGCCTTTGAAGTGCTAAAGTTTTCAACTTTGATGTAAGTTCAGTTTATTTTTTCTTTTGTTGTCTGTGCTTTTGGTGTCATATCTAAGAATCCATTGCCTCATCCCTGAGTGACTTTTGAGGATGATTCCTCTGGTTGCTGTGTGGGAAACAGATGGGAGGTGGGGTTGCTCAGTAGCTGGCAAGAGGAGGGGTGCCACCTGCCGTGAGGGGTGCTCTGTACACAGCTTGCCGACTCCCCTGTGGACCAAATGCTGAACCCTGCTGTTGTGCTAGACCCCTATTGACTTCAGTAGGGATGGCACCAGGTTCAAGAGGCCAAAGAGGAGACCCATAGCCAGCAAACGAGACATAGGGTTTTATTAGAGGGAACTTACTTACAGAGATGATCCAGTGGGAGCAGGCTGGACAGGAGAACCACAACGTCTTGCAAAAAGCATGCAGTTTATATGGCACCTTCACTTAGCACCCTCCCCCAGCAACCGCTATGTGACAAACCTCATTTCTTAAGTTATTGCTGTCAGGTGCGCCTACCATACACCTGCAAAGTGGCCTGGACCCAGGCACAGACATCAACAGGCTGGTTTCGTTTTCCTACATTTCTCTTATGCCAGTCCCATTTTCTGCTCCTCTCCTGGTTTGAACCTGATTGGGCAATTCAGACATTTGGAAAGAGGCTCAGAGCCAGGTCAGAAGGTGATCTGGATGGTCTCTTGGTGCCTGGGGAGGAGCCCCCGTCTGGCTCAGTGTGGGGCCTGAGAAGAGGTCCTTCCTCTTTCTGACCCTCAGTTTCCACATCTCTTCTGTATGAGGGGCTGGACTAGGGCCTCTGACTGCCCACAGGCTTCTGAGTCTTCATTTTCCCATTCTCATAGGGAGGCTGAACATGGCTGGCAGAAAATAGTTATTGTGGTAACGAGAGAGAGTTGAAGTAAACCACAAAACAATGTTTACAGTATGATTCCATCTTTGTTTGGCATAGGAAAATTTCTGGAAAGATATACCCAAGGTATCAGCCGTGGTTGCCTCTGGTGTGTAGGATTATGAATGTTCTTTCCCTCTTTCTGTTTGTTTGTACGTTCTGATTTTTAACTATGTTAAGCATGTTTCGCTTTTGTAATAAGAACAAAAAAGAAAAGCATAACAGAAAAGCATGACAATTTTTAAAAGAGAGAATTGCCTAGAAGCCATTAGGAAACAAAGGGAGTGGGAAAGGTAGCAGCGGCCTCCTCTCTGGAGCAGGCCTCTGAGCCATGCCCGAGCCCACGAGAGAGCATATGTCAATGCGCCTCTCACACTGCAAAGGGCCCTTCCTGCCAGAGGAGTTTGGAGGCCCCAGGAAGCCGACCCTGAGGCAGAGATTAGTGTGCAGGAAGTTTGTTAGGGGGCCCTTGGGATCAACAACTGTGGAAAGTGGGTGAGGAAGCAGGATTATGCAGAGGGAGTAACGTAAACTGCAACAAAGGTCACAGTCAATCCAAAGGGGAAGCTCTGGAGGTGAGAAAGCCCCACAGAGCTGCCCTGAGTTGAGGTGAGGGAGCCACCCTGGCAAGATGTGACATTGGACAAAGTAATCCCCAAAGAGGGCTAACAACAAAATGCCTTCTGGCAGCTCAGCCAACATTTAAGAGAATAAGTTGTTTATCCCTGAGGTGGAACCTTGGCGGCACATCACAGTGTCCACTATAAGAGGACTGTTTGGCAGAGGTGACCTCCATAAAGGCAAGCCAATAGGCAGATATGAGGGGAATTTGGGAAGAGGAAGAACTCATCTTTGAACTCAGAAGCCTGGCTTCATCTTCCACTCCGAGCTGTGATCTCCATTCCTGATTTGTCTCCTCAGGCAGTGACCTTTGAAGCAGCGATAGGCCAATTTATGATTCTTTAATTGCCCTGGAATGCAGACAGGGTGGAATTATTATTGGCCTCATTTTGTTAATATAGAAAGCTAAGTTCAGAGGGAACACACAGCGAGGTCGTGATGAGGCAGAGTCTCAAAGCCAGGTCTGTCCAACTCCATGTCCCAACTTCTTTCCCTGTTAACACAGCTGCCCAAATTTTCAAGCAATTTGGGTTGTGGTCAGATGGACAAATCCGTTCCTCCTCGTTAACACTGAACCAGTTTGTTCTCCATGTCCGGCAATCAATTTTCAGATGAGCTGGTCCCAATCCTGCAGATTACAAAGTCAAATTTGACTCAGTTGATGCAACCTAAAGGGCCCCTTACTGTCCTGAAAAGCTGCTGTCTTTGGAGGAAGGTAGAGCTGCCTCCCACCAAGAACAATCCTGAACCTCCCGAAGTTTGGTGGGGGCGGGGGGGGGGTGCGGGGGGCGTGAGAGGCTGCAGGGAGACTGACTGAGTTAATCCTGAGTTAATCTTATTAACCTATGAGATCAATTGGCTACAGGCGCCAGGCAAGTGACAGCACAGGCATTAATTCAGCAGCGGCCAGGGCAGCCTGACAGCCAGGAACTGATTTATCAGGGCTTTTAATGGATGGGATTGCATTTAGCTAATTGAGTCTGGGGCTGGCACGGATAAGACAACCCCCTTGTGATATGCAACTGCTCAGTGGATGTCCTGCCATTGTGGGGGGAAGGGTGACAGAAGGAAATAAGAAAGCACATGACAAGGAATGCTCCCTTCCTGGCCACTGTAAGGGCTGGTGTTGGGTTCCAGGTATCTCTAACATGTGAGCCACTAGTGTAGTGTAGGGCAGTGATTCTCAAAATATGATCTTTGCACCAGCAGTATCCCTTGGGAACTTGTTAGAAATGTAAATTCCTGGGCCTTCCCCAGGACATTCAAACTCCTAGACAGTTTGAATGTCTAGGAGTGGGGCCCAGCAATTCGTGTTTTATCAGGCTGTCCAAAGAATTCTGATGCACACACTCAAGCTTGAGACCCCCTAGAGGAGTTATGAGTGCAAACTCTAGTACCAGGCAGCCTGGGTTATAGTAACTGTGATGTCGGACAAGCCATCTAACCTCTCAGTGTCTCAATTTCTTCATCTGTAAAATGAGGGAAATAATAGTACCTGCTTCATAGGGCTGTCATGAAGATTAAATTTGTCAAGTGCCTAGAGCAATGCCTGTAGTAAGGGCTATATATATATAAATGTTAACAACTGTTATCGTTGGAAATAATGGAGCCTGGGACTTCTGTCTGCTCCCTTAGTATGACAGTAATTCTAACTGGATCATAAAGTTTCCTGTGATTTGATAAGTAAAAAAATATGGCACAAAATTTTATCTTCACTGCGATTGTACTTATGTAAAAATACTTATGCACATAAACAAGGTGAAATTATGGATGGTTTCTTTCTCTAATCACAAACCTTTGAAATGTGGTTAAATATAATAGATCTTTGAGATCCAAATATTAAATAAATTCAGATGGACAAGAAAAACATATTGAATCACAAGATAAGCAATGGACAGAGTTGAAGTAGAGGCTACTATAGAGGACTCATGATAAAGGACTGCGTGCGTGGGTCCCCACTCCACTCAGGGGCAGGGGCGTGGTTCTGGGCTCATCAGGTTACACTGGAGAAAATCAAGCTCAAGTTTCCTCAAGGTTAGAAGGGAGGAGACGTGAGCAAGAGTGTGGTCCACCTGAGGATGCTTAATAACAGTAGCAAGGATGGCTGGCCCCAGTGAGGACAGCTAGGGGGTGCTCATGGGGTCTCCCTCATCCTCAGGGAGGGAGAAAGAATCCAGCTAAGAACCAGGGTGGTCTTGGAAGCTGAGAAACTTGGCTAGCTGTTATGGGAAAGTCTGACTATTTTTTGAGAGTGCCAACTAAATCTCCATCTATAAAGGATAAGTACAACTAGTCAGTAGGTTTTTATCTCCATTTTGCCACCTACATATCTATAGGTACCAGGGTCTTACAGATTGGGCTGTGAAATCCTGGCATAGGGCCAGGAGAGCTGATTTCAAGATCAAGACCCAGGTCAGATGATTGGGGTGGGCATGTGGTGAGCTTGAAACTTCACATAGGCATGCTACTCTCAGCCCTATTTTCCCCTTTAAACTAGAACAAAGACACTCTAGTAAGAGTTTACTGAGGTCTGAGTATGGGGCTTGTCTCTATAGTATATATCTTTGCATCCCAGTAACCAGTTTACTTTTAAATGGTAGCATATCTGTTGATACATAGTCACTATAGGATCTAGTATGATGCACTAGAATTTCTGCAGTTTATCACAGCTGCCCTGATCACATTTTGTGGCCATTCTTTTGATGCTTGAGTATGATATTGTGGTATGTTTCTGACTTACCAAGGTTCTTTTCTGATAACAACTTTATTAAGACATAAAACATGTGCAAACCACACAATTCATCCATTTGAAGCATACAATTCACTGGGTTTTAATATATCCAGAGTTGCACAGCCATCACCACAATCCATTTTAGAACAATTTTTCATCCCAGAGAGAAACTCTACCCATTATCAGTCACTCCCCATTTCCCCTCAATCGCCTCCCCAGCCCTAGGCAACCACTAATCGACTTTGTGTCTTAATGGATCTGTCTATTCTGGACATGCCATAGGATCAAATCACTGACTATGTGGCCTTTTGTGACTGGCTTCTTTCACATAACATGATGTTTCAAGGTCCATCCATGTTATAGCATGCGTCAGTACTTCATTCCTTTCTGTGACTGGATAATTCCATTGTATGGATAGACCACATTTTTATTTATTTATTTATTTATTTATTTATTTATTTATTTATCCATTCACCAGTTGATGAACATTTTGACTGCTTCCACTTGTTGGGTATGGTGAATAATGCAGCTATGAACATTCATGTTCAAGTTTTTGTGTGGACATATGTTTCCAATTCTCTTGGGTACATGCCTAGGAGTGGAAGTGCTGGGCCAAATGGTAACTCTGTGTTTAACATTTTGAGGAACTGCCAGACTGTTTTCCAAAGTGGATGCATCACATTACATTCCCATCAGCAATGTATTAACACAAGGGTACCACTTCCTCCACATCCGCACCAACATTTGTTTGACTTTTTTATTATAGCCATCCTAGTGGGTGTGAAGTGGGATATCATTATGGTTTTTATTAGCATTTCCCTAATAACTAATGATGTCGAGCATCTTTTCATGTGCTTGTTGGCCATTTGTATATAGTACTATCTTTTGAGAAATGTCTGTTCAGATCCTTTGCCCATTTTTGATTTGGATTATTATTTGTCTTTCTCCTTTGATTTGTAAGATATTTTTATATGTTCGGACACAAGTCTCTTATCAAACATATGATGTGCAAATATTTTCTCTTATTTTGTAGGCTGCCTTTTCGCTTTTTTCTTGAGATAGAGTCTCTGTCACCCAGGCTGGAGTGCAGTGGGACCATCATGGCTCACCGTAGCCTCGAACTCTTGGGCTCAAGCAATCCTCTGCCTCAGCCTCCCAAGTAGCTGGTACTACAGGTGCACATCACCATGCCCAGTTAATTTTGTCTTCCTCTTGTAGAGACAGGGTCTTGCTATGTTGATCAGGCTGGTTTCAGATTCCTGGCCTCGAGTGATCCTCCCATGTCAGCCTCCCAAAGTGTTAGGATTACAGGCATGAGCCACCGTGCCTGGTTTCTTTACACTTTCTTGATGGCATTATTTGTGAACAAAAGTTTTTAATTTTGATGAAGTCAAATTTGTGTTTTTCTCTTATGTTATTTGTGCTACTAATGTCATATCTAAGAAACCACTGCCTAATCTAAGGCCTTAAAGATTTATACCTGTGTTTCCTTCTATGTTTTATAGTTTTAGCCATTACATGTGGGTCTTTGACCCATTTTGAGTTTAATTTTGTCTATATATGAGAATGAATTCCAACTTCATTCTTTGGCATTTGGATATTCAGTTGTCCCAGCGCCACTTACTGAAAAGATTATTCTTTTCAGCATTGAATGGAATTGGCACCCTTGTCAAAAATCCATCAGCCATATATGTATGGATTTATTTCAGGACTCTCAATTTCTTTCCACTATATGGATCTATATGTCTATCCTTATGTTAGCAACACACTATTTTGATTACTATAGCATTGTATAAAGTTTGACATTGGGAATTGTGAGTCCTCCAACTCTGTTCTTTTTAAAGATTGCTTTGACTGTTCTGGGTCCCCTTAATTTCCATATGGATTTTAGGATCAGGTGGTCAATTTCTACAAAGAAATTGGAATTTTGATAGGGATTGCATTGAATCTGTAGATCAATTTGAGGAATATTGCCATCTTAACAATATTAAGTATTTTGATCCATGAACATGTCTTTCCATTTGTTTCCACCTTTAATTTTGTATCATGTTTCATAGTTTTTAGCATACAAGTTTCACGCCATGTTTGTTAAATTTATTGTTATGTGTTTTATTCTTTTGATGATATTGTAAATGGAATTGTTTTCTTAATTTCATTGCAGGTTGTTCATTGCAAGTATACAGAAATATAATTTTTAAATTGATTTCATGGCCTTGCAACCATGTTGAACACAATTATTAGTTTTAATAGTTTTTTAGTGGATTCCTTAGGATTTTCTATGTACAAGATTATGTCATCTCTGCAAATATGGGTTACTTCTCCCTTCTAATCCATATGCCTTTTATTTCTCTTTCTTGTCTGACTGTTCTAGCTAGAACCTCCAGTATAATGTTGAACAGAAGTAGGGAAAGTGGATACCCTTGTCTTGTTCCTGATCTTAGGGGAAAAGCATCCAGTATTTCACCTTTAATTGTGATGCTGTTGTTGGTTTTTTATAGACGCCCTTTGTCAGGTGATGGAAGTTCCCTTCTATTCCTAGTTTGTTGAGGGTTTTTATCATGAAAGAGTGTTGGATTTTATCAAATCATTTTTAGTCTATCGATATGGTGTATTACATTAATTGATTTTCAGATGTTAAAACAATCTTGCATTCCTGGGATAAATCCCACTTGGTCATCGTGTATGATCCTTTTTATATGTTGTTGGATTTGGTTTGCTAATATTTTGTTGGGGATTTTTGCATCTATACTCATAAGAGATATTGGTCTGTAGTTTTTTCGTGATGTTTTTGTCAGTTTGGGTATCAGGGTAATACAGGCCTCATAGAATGAGTTGAGAAGTATTACCTCCTCTATATAGCTTGTGAAGAATGGGCATTAATTCTTCTTTAAATGTTTGGAAGAATTCACCAATGAAGTCATTTATGTCTGGGCTTTTCTTTGTCAGCAGTTTTGATTACTACTAATTCAACCTCTTTGCTTGTTATTTGTTTATTTGGGGTTTTGATTTCTTGTCCAGCCATCTTCAATAGTTTGTGTCTTTCTAGGAATTTAAGCATTTCATCTAAGTTGTCTAATTTAGTGTCATACAGTTGTTCATAGTATTCCTTTATAATCCCTTTTGTTTCTGTAAGGGTGATTATAATGTCCCCTCATTTACTTCTGATTTTTGTAATTGGGGTCTTCTCTCTTTGATTTTTGGTCAATCTAGCTAACCAAATTTCTTTTGAATTCCCGTTTGGCCCTCCGCCTCCTTCTGCCTATACTTGAGAGCCTTGGCCAACCTAAGAACATACATATATGTCTTTTACAGTCAAGAAAATGAGTCTTTTCTACACTCCTGCATGTGGAGCTCTCAGCCTGAACCTCCAAAGCATATTGTTATGTCTCCTCAGCTAACTGAGGCAGATTCATTCTGAACCAGCTTCTTTATTAGCCAGTGGCTATGGTGCATGAGGCTGTCAAAATTCTACCCTCTCACTGTGGAAATTAAGCTGCAGCCCTTTTAGTATATGGCCACCAGCCAAGTGTTGCTCATTTGTGACTAAATATGAGGGCCTGGGGAAGAGCAGAAGGCAGCAGGCCCTGGCCAGCCAGGACCCCCACGCAAGGCATTGTGGATACGCCTGGGGCCTGCTCTTCGTGAGTGCCACTCGCTTTGAGTCTTGAATGGGAACAGAGGCAAGTTAGAAAAGCAGAGGCCTACTGCTGTTTGGGCCATATGTCTCCTTGGTCACGGCACCCAGGACTGTGCTTCTCTATTTGGCAGGGACTCAGCTGACAGACGGTAAAGTCAGGAAGTCAGGAAAAAGAATTGGGGATTTTGGGCAAGTGCTAATTCTGGCTAGTGTTTTGGGGTCCCTGGCCCAGTTGGTCATCTTTCCCCTTCCCTCTGCAAGCCCTAAGCCTGGCTAGGGTGCTAGTGTGGAAACATTCATTAGTTCTGAAGATGTCTTAGAGCCACATGTCCACTTAAAGATTATTTCCAGACTAATGAAAAATCTGTGTGTGCAAGCAGGTCCCCATTTTAAAATGGAGCAAAGCCCACCAACATTTCCATGGTAAGGAAATGGCAACAAATCAACTCTTTGGGATGAGTATGTAGTGAGCTTGAAACTCAAACCAAGTGTGACCGCCTCAGCCCCACCCTGGGCTGCTGACTCAGGACCAAGAGGAAGAGGGAGCTGCCAGACTTCACAATTTCTGTAAACAGTTCTTGAAAAAGAAACCACACACTTGTCTTTCTGCCAGCCCCCAGCTTGTCCCCGTAGCTGACAGCGCTGCCATTGTCTTTTCTCTGACACCCTAGGGCAGGGCTTCTTAACTTGAGCTCCATGGACCTCCAAGGGGTGTGTGGAGAGAATTTAGAGGGTCTACAAACTTGGATGGGAAGATTAGTTGATCTTTTCTCCATGAACCTCAAACAACAATTTAGCATTTTCTCAAATTAGGAATGTAAGTGACAAACCACAGTAGTGTTAGCGGTATCTGTGACTTTATCACCAACAGAAATCACAAATATTTTCATATCACATTACTGTTGTTGTAAGTATCTCAAAAAATCATTTGTGTTCATCACCACTTCAACATTTCTAATCTATAGAATTGCCACTAAATCTTGTGATTTAGCGCATTATGAAAGTAGTAACACAACTAGATCACAAAATTTAAAAAATATTTTTCTAACCATTTCGGTATGATTGTTTGCCTTTGTGATTCTATGTATTTTATTTTATGCACGTGAAAACATTATTCTGAGAAGGAATCCGGAGGTTTCACCAAACTACCAAAAGCGTCCATTACCTAAAAAAAGACCAAGACCCTGCCCTGGATCTTGGAACTCTCCTGCTCCATGGGCCTCACTTCTGATCCACAGAACTTTGCCTATCTTACTGGAGGGGTCAAAAGCACTTGCATGTTAGTGCTGTGACACTGGTCAGGAGAAACTTTCTGTGCCTAGTTTCTTAATCTGCAAAAGGCAGAACAATAACACTACCTACCTTATAGGGTTGTGATGATTCAATGGGTTAAGAAATGTAAACCACTTAATGCCCAATACACGGTAAGCACTATTAGCTATTTTTGTTGTTATTGCTGGTTTATATCAATCATCTCATTAATATATGCTATTATTATCTCAATTTTCAGAAAAAGGAAACTGGGGCTTAGAAAAGTGAAATTACTAAGTCAAGGGAACACAGCAAGGGAGTGGCAGAGCCAGGGTTCAAAGCCAGGTCTATGTGACTCTCAAGCCCAGTGGAGGTCACTCTTTAGCACACTACTGAGAGGAGGTGATGTCCCTCAGAGAAATGGAAGCCATCAACAGGGTGCTCGCTGGGAAGGAGCAACTCTGCAAGTTCCTGCTTTGTCTCCCCTGCTTTCCCTACTGTCCACACCTCCAACCTTATCTGGGGGGCTCCTAGCTCCACGTGCATACCATCAGTCCTCAGTCAGGTCTCAGGGGGCCAGTCCTCTTTCCAAAGGCCATTGCCAATGCAGCCTTCATCTGCAAAGAGGACAAGTCCATGTTCTCCCACTGAACCACAGTCTTGCAGTAACAAATTCACTTTGGAGTCATGGACCAGCCTCTGCTCCCAAGTAGATCTCAAGCCTCACAGGCCAGTGGGGTCGGGGTTAGAGGGCCTGAGGGGAACTCAGAAGGGCAGGGGCTTGTCTGGGGAGTGGAGGCAGTTTCGCGGAGGAAGTGGTCTTGGAACTGAGGAGAACATTGCCAGTTGGAGTGAGGCCAGGAATGTTCATGAATTTTTAAGGGAAAGGGAATGGAGTGTGCAAAGGCCCAGAGGCATGCAAGGGCCTCGTATGTACAGAAAAGCAGGAAGTAATTCAAGATGTCTGAAATTTGGGCTAAGTAGAAGAGGAAAGAAGGATAGCATAGGCAGATGAGATGGCATAGATAATTAATGAGCAGATAGGGAAGAAAATGCCAAAAGCAGGTCTACAAGTCTTCCCACGAGGAAGGAGAGCCATTGAGGGGTTTTGTAGAGGAGCAGCAAGGCCAGGTGTGTGAATTCAAAGGCCCACGGCCCCCACCCCCAGGCATGTTGAAGGTGGACCTATTAGAACAGGTAGAGACTAGAGCCTGCTTCAGTAGCTCAGGTGAGAGAGGAGGAAGGGCTGAACTGTGGGTGGAGAGGTCATCAATTTGGGGACACTCTTTCTGGCAAGCCTCACAGCCAACAGGCCTCATCTGTATGATGCAAGAGGTGAAGGAGACCACAGTCGCTGGAGGCACCCGCCCTTCTCTAGCTTGGTCATGTGAGGAGATCCTACAAGGCAAGGCTTCCCCAGGCCGTGGGACCTTCGCCATGAGTTCACCTGCTGACATCTTCCCTTTTAGCCTCTTTCTCACCCGAACAGCCCACTGCAAGAGCAGAATAAAAAGCCTGGGCCCTACTTTCCCACACAAACACACCACCCCCACCCCCCATCAGGAGAGTTGCTGAGGCGAGGGGCCCCGCTCTACCCCATGTGTGGCAGGCAGGAAGGGGAGAGGGGACACAGGGAGCAGGTCAGGGCCTGCTCTCTGTCAAAGGAAATATCCACCCTCCTAAGCCTTTAAGAAACTGTTTTCTTCCAAGTAGGTCCCGCTGTTACCAGGGCAACCGAGAGCCCTGGTATTTGTGTTTCTGTCTTTGGAGTCCCTGGGGAGAAGTGGCCTGCCGAGCTTTCCCTAGTCTGGGCAGGATACAGGAAGTGCTGGCCGGAGGTGGAGCCCACTCCCCACCTCCCATTAAGGGGGTGGTCTCTTGCCTGATTAATGCCTGTCCTTATCCCCTGGAAGAGTCCACCCCCACCCTCAGGAGCCACTTCTGGCGGTCAAGGGCACAGGCTTTGGCTCCTATGGACCTGGTTTCTCGGGGGCAGAATTCTGCACCTACCTTGTGGCACATCTCTCTCAAATGGGTGTCACCTGCTGTCTGAGGCAGGTATCCAGGAGGGGCAAGCTCACATCAGACCATGGTACCTGCTGAGGGATCGTCACGCATGCTATGTTTCTTGATCACTTACTTTGTGCTAGAACTGGATCTGTGGGTCGGTTCTTGCTCCAGGGAGCTCTAGGGGAAGGCTCAGAACCAAACTGGCCATTAAATGTCACACGGGCTAGTTAGTTCCCAAAGCTCTATGCTGCTCTAGGCTGGGCTGTGTTGGATGTTAGAATTGCCTAGGGAGCTTTCTAGATGTAGACATTCCTGGAGATTTTGTTTCCAACGGCGTGGGTGCAGGTGGGGAGTAGAGGTTAAGAGCATGGGCTCTGGATGTCAAACTGCTGGGGTTCACAGTCAAACTCGGCAAACAGGGCAAGTGACCTCAAGCCACTTGCCTGATTGGTTTCCTCACTTACAGAATGAACGTGGGGAAGTCACAGCTGTTTCACAGGCAGCAAGATTTTCCTTGCCTTCCTCCATCGCTCAGCCCAGGAGAGGGTTTTTAGGACCCTCGCCATCCTTGTCACCCTTCTACTGTCTTCCTTCCTTCCTTCCTTCCTTTTATTCTGATGTTTTCTTACTCCTGGCAAGCCAAAGGGCTTCTGTGAGGTGCAACTTTGTCCCCTTCCACAGGGCAGCCAGGGCCCCAGGTGGGCCCTGCCCATCTCAAGGATTTCACATTGCTATTGCAGCAGCCCAGGAAAGCATTGGCGCATCTGACAGCCAGGTCAGTCTGTGATTCTGACCGATCTCCTGTCAATTCACATCCTCAGATTTTCATTTTCACAAGCTTCTTCTAAGCCACATCTCCCCCACTTAGGCTTCTGCAGTTGCTTTTCTGAACCTGACTGCAGGATCTCAGATGAGCCCCTAGTAAAGGTCATTTCAGTGCATCCTTCCAGGTTAGGGAGAGTTTTTTGGCCCCTCATTCCCTTTTAGAGGACATTAGAGGACATCTTCTAGTCCTCCAAGCTTTGTACCACCTGCAGATGCCCTTAGCAGGCTGCCTCTAGGTCTCCATCCAGTGGCCCATTTATTCACTCACTTCTTCATTTATGTACCAAACTAGGATTGAGATTCTACTGTGTACCAAGTAGTGTGCTGGGCCCCAGGGACTCAACAGTGACTAGACAGATCAAGAAGCCATGGCCCGAGAGGGGATGAGACTCATGCCAGAGCCCATATAGAGTCAGCAGCAAGGCTGGACTGGAATCCAGGGTTCTTTTCCCCATTCCCACAGTGCTTCCTGCTTCAGGGTTGGGGCAAGGCTGACTCTGTTTGTCTTTTTTTCCACCTTCTCTGGCCATAACACAATCTGGGCTCACCTATCACTACTTGTGATGTCATAAGAAATCCCCTGGGTGCTGGAGACCTTGTCAGGCACCCTGAAGAGTACTGGGGAGTCCTAGTGCTCACTGATGAAGCCCACGACCCCATAACCCTGTTCCTCCCTAGAAGGGGCAGTCAACCACATACTTAGAACTGCCACCTGGCTGGTTCCCCCAGAGCTTCCAGAGATGGTGCACCTGATGCGTGCTTCGTTGCTTTGGCAAAGACCCAGAATCCAGGCAGGTTGAGACTTCAAGCTTGTCAGGAGTCTCTCCTGGGAGATAGCAAGCACGGTGTATTTGAGTTAAGAATGTATATGGGTTTGGGAGTCACGAAGACCTGGAGTCCCCCATATGACCTAATATCTCTGAGATTCAGGTCCCTCAGCTCTAAAAGGAGACAGCATCACCTGCCTCACTTAATTGTGGAGATGAAATGATGTTGGCGAAAGTCCCTGGCACATGGTCAGAAATACCATGGTTTCCTCCCTCCCTCCCTTCCTCTTAAAGGGACAAAGCAAATGTGCCTCTGAAACCAGGGTTTGTTTCCCCCACGGGAATCCTGCAAGCTGGAGGCAGGGGGGGTAGGACAGGGCAGAACTAGGAGACCAGCCTGGCCTGTTAGACAGCAGGGCCAGCGGAGTGGGGGCAGAGAGGTGCTAAGTGTCCCCAGAGCTAATGGGCAGCTGCAGGGCTGTGACAGAGCCACTCACTAGCTGTCAACCTTGGGCCAGTGACTTCTCTCTAAGCCTCAGTGTCCTCATCTTTAAGATGAGGGTAAGGGTAGTTAGTTCTTTCCCCCCAGGATATCATTATCAGAATGAAATAAGATAACAGATGTGAAGTGCCTGGCACAGCACTCAAAAGCAGCAGAGGCTTAATGAATGTTCCCACCCACTTCCCCTGGAAAAAAAAAAAAGTCCAATTCATGCTGGGAAACTTGGGCAAATCCCAGAATGGGATTCAGTTTCTTCTGACCCCACAGTCCGTGAGGAGCCATGAGATCTTGCTTGGAGGGCCTCTTACATGGACTGCTCTGGGGACTTGTGATTCATCACCAGCTAACTCACTGGTATCCCATAGCGCCACCTAGTGCCAAAAAGCGGAAGGGCCCTCCCCAGCCAACCTGGCCTCTTTCTCTTCCTTCACTCAAAGTCCCATGCATGCCCGTGCGTGCCTGTAGGGCTGGGCCACCCATAGTCCCCGGGAGAACGAATGCTATTTTTCAAGATGCCCAGTGCTTCCACTTCCCTCCCAACAATTTCTTCCATCCACAAATGCACAGAACTGTAGACAGGTCCCTTGAGCCTCACCGGCCCTTGGTTTCCTTGTCTAAGGATTTCAAGACTTCAGGGTAGGGTTGACTCCGGCAGGGGACCTTGGAAGTACCCTATGCCTACTCTGTACCCATCTATGCTTGCTCAATAACAAAGAGGCACAATCTTTACACACCCTTTATATTTTTATTGAGGAGAGAAAGCTTTAGCATACAGAGCAGCTTCTTATCTTCACAACACAGTAATGCAACAATAACACATGTATTCCAAAAGGGTTTCCTCCCGAGCCTCTGGGAGACCTTGGGCTGCCTTCATACCCCTGCATGCATCCCCTCCCCCCACCCCTCTTTCAACCCAAGAAAGCTCCCAAAGCCCACAGTTCCTCTTACAGCTCTTATGGCTGTTACATCACAACAAATATTGAAGATCTGGGAAAGGAAGGAAGAGGGTCAAAGGGAAGCCCAAGCCCCTCCTGCCCCAGAGGGTGGAAACCAGCTCACTGCTCATCTGCTCTATCCCTGGCTGTAGCTCTGAGGGTTCAGGGTGAGAAGCACCATGGGAACAGGCAGGACCTGTGCTGAAGGGTCCCTGGAAGTGTGGGTTTAAGGCACCCGTCCTTCACACTTCTCCACAGGGACATGGGGCAGCAGGGCCAGAGTGTTGACCATCAGCAAACAGGGTCCACTGCCTCGAAGAATAGCAGGTCCCCTCGAAGAATAGCAGGTCCCCTTCTGGAATGCACTCTTGAGGAAATCAGATAAAATCAGCTGAAAAACAGACAAAATTTTCTTTACAAAGTTGTTTACTCCTGCCCTGGTGGGGATGGGGAAAACCAGACAATTGAAAGGTCCAACAAATTAGGAGAATGCTTAAATGAATTATTCAGTATGCATGACTGCACAGGTGGCAGCCATTTTAAATCCTGCTGATCAAGAACTGGCAGGGTGATCTCAGCTTTGACAAGACATAGCAAGAACACACTAGAAAGGAAAGCAGCAAAGTGTTAATAGTGCTTGCCTCTGTGTGGTGGGACTCTGAATGGCTGGGGGGTTTTTGTCCTCATAGTTTTCTCTATTTTCCAAACTTTCTTTAATGATTATGTATTACTTTTCTCTTTGGAGAGAGGGGATCTTTTTAAAAGGTAGCAACAGGTTATAGGAATCCAAATCCACTGATCCCCAGGCTGAGAAACAAAAGCGCTAATGAAAAGGGCATCTTACCTCCCACTGATGAATAGAGACCTCACCAGAAACCAGTCAGAGGACTGGGTTTCTCTGCGACTCCTCTTCCTCCAGCTTTTTTCTCTTGCCTCCAGGCCCAAGATCCTAAGGTCCGCCTGAGATTATCGGTCAGACTCCCATGAGGAACAGAGGTTGAATTTACTATGCTTTCTTCCCTTTGGCCACAAACCCTGGCTGCACTTGCTCTGCTGCCAGTCACTGTGCAGAAAGTCCAGTGTCCAGGGGCAGTTCAGGCCAGCAGTGGATTTGGCTGGCATTTTATGGCCAAAACTGACATAGTAAGTGTGTGTTTTTCACTGCAGAAGCAGTGCTTTCTGGACTCAAGGCAAGCAGTGGGTCTCTTTATAAGGGCACCTGAGTTTGTACCTAGAAGTCCCAGGAGTTCCTAGGAGGCAGCCACCCTCTTAAGCTTTACTGTGTCACTGAAGCACAGCAGCAGGCCAGGGGTTGGCCCCCATGAGGGGTCCCAGCTGTGAGGCCACGGTAGGTGCAGCCTTCCTCTCTCCTCTCAGAACTAAGGGTTCCTTGAAATTGAAGGGAGCTCAGAGCAGGCCATGGGCCCTCTCTCTGTCTGTCCCAGAAGGAATGGCCAATCAGGCCTCCTCTGCAACTCCAAGGATAGAAAGTGTCCTGCAAAGACCTTTGACTGGGGGCTGCAGTCCAAGGCCTGGCAAGGGGAGAAGACCACCATCCCTAAGGAAAGAGTCACTCTTTACAATGGCAGAATGATCGTTGCTGCTTCTTTCTCCTCCTCCTCTTCTTCCTCCTTCTCCTCTCCGGAACCCTAACTGGCTACCCTTTAGGCAACATCAAGGAAAGTTGTGGAGCCTGCAATGTTGGGCGCTGTCCACCGGGGGTGCCCAGGAGGGCAATGTGGTGAGAGGAAAGGGCTCCAGATGTGTGGCAAGTCAGTCCAAGAGCCCTGATACAGGAATCTGTGCAAAGGTAAACTCAAGTGCTGTAAGTGGAACCAGCCTGCACAGTCAGTCAAGGGCAAATCTCCGTCAAGTTGTCCATTTGACATGTGGCTTTGCACACTCTCACTGGGCTAGATGTCGGGTCCTCTTCCAGGCCCTCTGCTGGAGGTGTGGCATGAAATGAGTGTAGGATTCTAGGGACATTTCTGGATACCATCCTGCTCACCATCGATTATATCTAGCAACTGGCCTCAGTGGCTTTAGGAGTTCAGGGTAGCCTGTCCTCTTGCTCATTGGGGCAGATCAGTGAGGCATTGGGTGAAGTCCTGGTGGGTCAGTCAGAGAATAAAACTGTAGAACATAGGGTGAAGAAACGCAGGAGAGGTGAGGGTTAGGAACAACCAGAGGGGAAATACAAGAGGGTGACCAGTTCATTTATGGGAACAGGCCCAGAAACTTGCTCTCCAGCTCGTGGCCGGACTGAGCAGAGTACATGCCAAGAGGGCAGCTATTGCTGATCCCTCCTTTCCCAGGTGGCCCTGGTTGGGCACACGTCGCTCTCTGGTCACGGTTGCAAGATGGTCTGGAATTCTGCAGGTCTTCTTCAGGTTCTGCAGGTCTGAAACTCCCTGAAGTCCTGGTCAGCAAATGGGGCAGGTATGGCAGCAATAGCAGGGGCGGGGGATGCAAAAGAAGGGTGTGTTCTGGGTGGCCATCTGGCCCCAGCACTCAAACTCGAATTCGGCCACGAGCAGCTCGGTGGCCCCCCTGTCTCGGAGTGAGGCGGAAAAGCACAGGGGGGCGTCTTCGAACTTGGCGTTGTCCTAAACGACCTGTGCGGCGAATCAGTTGGGGGGAGCTGTAGAATGGTGAATTGGTGCCTGGAAGGCCTTCCAGAAGTGGGACTCGATTCTGGTTCCTCCGTCTGCTAGGCTGTATTATGGGAGGTGATGCACCCAGGAAGTTTTCGGCGTGGTAACCACTTGTGGGGCCAGAAGTCTGGGATGACGCGTGAACAAAGGTCGGCTCCATCTCCATCAGCTCATCTAGGTCATCATCTTGGGCCTCATCCAGTGGCTCCTCCTCCACCTCACCATAGGTCTCCTCAGTCCCTGGATCCTGCTGTGGCTCTCCTTCTGGTTTCTGGCCCCCATCCTCATCTTCATCTTCTTCATCCTTACTCTCTCCTTCCTCCTCATTCTTGTTCCTTATCTCCTCCTCCTCCTCTTTCTGTTTCATTTCCTCTTCCTCCTCCTCCTCCTTCTCTTCCTTCTTCTTCATTTCTTCCTCCTTCTTCATCTCCTCCTCCTCCTTCTCCTTCATCTCTTGCTGAAAAGCCCTCATGCGCTTCCTCTGGTCCTTGGAGTGAAGCCTGTGCCTGCGTGCCTCTTGGTCTTCATCTTCACTGTAGTACTCTTCATCTTCACTTTCTTCCTCATTGGGACTCGGAGCAAAAGGGAAGATGATATTTCGAACTCCAGGGAGCGGGATAGGCTTGGGAACGCGCACTTTTCTTTCTATCTCCACACATTCGAGAATCAGCTCATCCAGGTCGGCCATTTCTGTTGACCATAAGAGCTCTTTGCGGAAGAATTCCGACAGGCCTTTGAGGAATTGGTTTTGGAGGCGGCAGTCATCCCAAGACAAGAATTGGGCCAGGAACTGAAAAGCATCTGCATAGCTGCCGAGGGTACAGTGGCCCTGCTTGAGCTTGCGAATGGCCTTTTTAGCCACACGTGGGGGGATGGGGCCACAGAATTCCTTACGGATTTCATCCAGGAAGCGCGGGAAGTTGGCATGCAAGGGGCTTCCTTCCTGGGTGACCGAGATGGCCCAGTCCTTGGCTTCGCCAGTGAAAAAGGAGATCAGAAAGGCCACCCGCTCGGCGCCCCCGGGGAAATGAACCTCATGGTCGGCTATGAAGGTCTCTAGCTGCATCAGGAATTCAGCCAGGTAGACTGGGTCTCCTGAAAAGGGCTCTATCTCAGGCCGCTCCAGCGGTGCCAGAGGGGGTTGCGGGGGCGGTTCCTTTGACGCGGGCGGAGGCAGCGCCGGCGGGGGCGGGATGGGCAGCAGAGGGGGGTCAGCGGGCCCGTCGGGGGTGCTGCGATCCTGGATCACGTTAATCAAAAGATCATCCGAGATACAGTCGGGCTCCGCGCGTGGGGGAGGCCGGCACAAGAAGGGCAGTTCTCCCCCGGGAATGACTTCGATCTCACTGAGCGCGAACTCCAAGTTCTCCTCCGCAAGGACGGGCACTATGGGTACTGGCCAGCGGATGTAGCTGGAGACATTGCCCCGCAAGGAATTAACCTCGGCCAGGGCTCTCCCGAGCTGGAGGCCCAAATTGGCATTCTCCCCGCGAAGGGCATTTAATTCTTCGCGCAGGGCCACATTCGCCATGCGGAGGCTGTTGAGATTTCCTGACGCCTCAGACATCTCGACAAGCCCAGGGGCCCTGGGGCTCCGTGGTGGGGAAAGGGGAACTGGAACTACGGGCGGCCGGAGGAGGCCGAAATGCGGCGGCGGGGCTCGGGAGGGACCGAAGTGCGGCAGCGGGGCACGGGCCAGGCCGGGCCACACCCACCGGGGCGAGCTCGGAGGGCGGCGCTCTGGGCGGAGGGCCCGGCGGCTCGGCCCAGGGCGCGTTACCTCGTCGCCGGGGCCGGAGAGGGCGGGCGGAGGCACGGGGCCCGGAGGCGCCAGGCGGAGGATGCGGGCGACACGGTGGCGGCGGCGACCGCGCGACCGGGCGGGCGGGCGGGCAGGGGCGAGCGGAGCGGGAGGGAGCGGACTGCGGCAGGATCTGTCGAGGAAAAATCTTGCGGCCGGCGATTCCCCGCCTTTTAAGCGCAGCCTCGCACTCCCCCCACCCCACGCAGGGGCGGGCCTTGGGGAACCGCGGGCGCCCACTGGCCGCCGCGCGCCGCTCCCCTCCAGCTCGCCTGCGCCTCTCACTGACTCTCTCCTTCCCTAGCTGCAGCTAACTCGGGTCGGGAAAATGCGACAGCGACTGCCCACTCGAGGTCGTCATGGCGACAGCCAGTGAACGTGTTCCTCTCCTCGGGCAGGCCCCCGAGTGTAGAGGAGCTGCTTCGGGAGGCGCAGCTCAATCTCCAGAGCCTGTTGCAAGGTACCGAGAGGGAGGGGGGCTGCGGCCGGAGCCCAGAAGCGAGATGCGCAGCGGCAGGAGGGAGGCAAAGAAGAAAGAGGACAGGGACCAGCAAGATAAAGACAGAGAGTTTAAAAACAATCGACAAAGCAGTTTCCAGCTTTCACCTTTCAGCCTAATGATTCTGAAAGAGGCTATTTCCAGGGCTGTTTCCCCCCATCCCCAGCCCCTTTTTTCAGCTCAGTAGCCCATGGGGAAACAAGGACAGAGACTGAGGCAGGGCCATAAGTTATGCCATTCACCGAGAGCTGGGTGGGAGACTCCCACAATGTGGGCCTACATTCCCTCCAGCCCCCCTCTTGCCACATCGCCCATGCCTTTGGGATCCTGGCACCAGAAGACAAAGGGGGCATCTGCAGGATCTCCCACTCTGGGCTTCACTCACTCTGCTCTTGCAATAACCCCTGGATAGCTACTGCCTCACCAAAGTAAGCCCAATACACAGCACCCAGAGGTCACCTATTTTGTCCCCCCTAACCAAGCCTGAGCTTCTCGATGTAAAGAATCACATCTTGCTACCCTTAGGTTTCCAGAAGCACCTGGCACAAGGCTGGATTCCCTCCCCACCTGCCAAGAGGTGCTCAGTGGATGTTGAGCATGAAAAGAGGTCTTGTCAGCACTCCTTTATCTATACTAATAAAGGTTAACTCTAATGGCGAATAGAAAACTGCTGATGGGCCACCAACAGGATGACAGCCATAACCCCCACCCCCTACCAGGGCAGTGGTGACCTTGGAAAAGCAAGATGCCAAGGGACACCATGAGCCTTGTGTTCAGATAACAAAGGACTTGCCACACAGAAAAAGAGTCGATGTGCTCTGTGTTGCTACCATGGCAGAATTAGGACCAGTGGGTGGAAACCCAGAAGGAGGCACATTCCACCTCCAGATAAGGAAGAACTTTCTGACACACCTGACAGCCCCAACTGTCCGTGGAAGAAATGAGCTGCCTTGGGAGGGAGGGAGCTCCCCTTCCCTGCAGGTGTGTGCGCTGAGGCTGAAGAAACACCTAGAAGGGCTGCTGAGGAGGGAGTCTGGGCACAGAATGAGGCGTTGGACCAAAGAACCCCAAGAGCAACCCCAAATCTCTGTGATTCTGAGTCTTTGTTCAGTGTACATACAGCATGAATGTCCCTTCTCTACTCTCACTTTCTTCATGTATTCTCATCAAATTCATCACTTCAATCAACCCTATTCAAATCTTGTGCATCCTTACTCACTGATGATGCCGCTGAACTTCTGCCTCTTTTATGCTGTTACCTCCTCCTTCCCTCTCCTTCACCTTAGCCCTCCTAGACCTGACATCACTTACAGCGGGACTAAGGTGCAGGGAACACGGCCCACAAAGGCTCAAGTAAAAGTTCTTGACATCCAAGAAAGAACTCCAGATTGGACTTCCTGGTGTAAATCTCTTCTTGCTTCACACAGGTCATTTCCTTGGTAGGGTCGCAGAAAACCTTAAGAGCTGCAGGGCTTCAAAGAGAGGAACTTGCAGTCCAAAGTAGCAAAAGGTGTCTGCATTCTGAGCCTCTTTTCGTAACTGAGCACTCAAGGTGGGGATCATTGAGATAAGGGCTTGGTCCCCAAACCACCACAGCATGAATTTATTGACTTTCTCTTCTCCTCGATCCTCATGGTCCTGGGAAGCAAGCACTTTTCCATTTCCAAATCCAGTGGCTCAAACACCTGGAAATAGCCTAAAGAAAATGCAAGTCAGGCCTGGCAGCTAGAGCAGGAGTCCTGGCTCATGGCCCTTCCCCGGCCCAGCGCTCGGCCATGGCACCCTAGAGTGTGTGTCTCCACTGTGCTATTTTTCAGAAGAATATGAGGAACAGTACTCGGAGGCCAGACTTGTGGGGCAGACCTTCCGCTCTTCTGATGAGGCCACTAAGCCCACCCCCAACCCAAGGCCCCAGTCTGCCAGGCGTCTGGAGTTTATATTGATGGTGAGTTGCCTCATCCCCCACCTGGGAGAGCCAGCATGCACCCACTGACAAGAGACCTCCAGCTGCTTACTTTACCCACTGGAAGCTGCTCAGCCCTGCTCACCAGCAGAGCTACCCTGAGGCCCCACTGGGATAGGCCCTGCACAGCAGGTGCCTGGCCTGGTGGCCTGTCCACGCTTTCCTGCCTCCCAGACGAAGCCTCCAACTACCCAGCCTAAACAGCCACCCTATGGGCACTGGCTCATTGCCAGGCAGGAATACACCCTTTCCATCACCTTCTCTCCCAACAGCCTACAAAACGGCAGCTGAGCGAGGATGAGACTACCACCCAGGGTGTGAGGGCCCCCGAGGCCTCCCTGAGCCTGTCTACCACAGCCGACAAGCAAACTGCCTGGAATAGCCTTTTCCCTCTGCCCATCCTAGAGGAGAAGCGGTGGCCTCAGCTTTGCTCCACGCAGTCTGACATTGTGCCCATCAACATCTCTGGTAGAGTTGCTTAGCACCGCCTTTGTCTTCTTCCCTTCATGCCTCTACAGACCATCCTCTTTGATGCACTGGGTATTGGGGGAGGGAAGTGAGACTTTCTTTGCTACCGGCTCACCTTGCGCTGTCACGGTCATGGCTCTTGCCAGGGAACGGAGGCATGCAGAAGAGGGGGCGCTGGCTGCTCTTTCTTCACCCCCTCCTGGCACTGCCACCCTAACTGAGACCATTTGATAGCAAGCAAAATTTTCTTAACAGAAAGCTCCAAAGCCTTATGAACTTCTGTGCTCTTCAGAGCACTTATGGAAACTTAAAGTTTGTGAGTTCTGTTTGGGTCAGGGCAAGACAACTTCTTGTGCCCAGAGCTGGGTTTGGAGTACACTGATAAGAGTCGGAGCAGGAGAGTGGGGTTTGGAGTGCTGGTGGTAACAAGGGAGGAGTACACCTGGGCACAGACCAAAGGCCTGGTAGCACTTTCACTGGACACTAGTCTTCTAGCAAGGTGGGCTTCTTCAACTTGTTTGGCAAGTTTTCAAGAAAAGAAGTGGTAGAAAGGTCCTAAGGCCAAAAAGACCAAAAGGGGACCCAGTACAATTTTAAGAGTGGGGAACGTGCTGTATTATATGTAGCCCAGCTGGCTGTGGCTCTGGGGGCATGTGGCACACTATACCATGCTCACTATTAATCCATGATCTACACTCCATCAGCTGTAAGGGGAAGAGAAGGAGGGCCAGTCATTTGAGAAGGAGATAGGGCCAGCGACATGATGAAACCATGATCTCAGTAACCTAAAGGGATCAGAGGGGTCCTGTGAGCCAGCGCCAGCCTGTGCTCTGCTGGGAAATGTTGATGAAGATGATGAGGACAGCTCTGGCCACATGTGGCAATGCTCCCTGGATATGGGGTCCTCCACTGTCACTGGCATCATTTCAGAAAATCAGAGGCAGGAAATACAGCCCACAGCCTAGGGAAATATACCAAAAGGAGTGAGGGCTGATGAGGAAAGACTCCAGAAGTGATGTTGAACATTTTGTGTCTAAATGTCTATCTTGGCCAGGCACAGTGGCTCACGCCTGTAATTCCAGCACTTTGGGAGGCTGAGGTGGGTGGATCCTTTGAGCTCAGGAATTCAAGACCAGCTTGGGCAACATGGTGAAACCCCATCTCTACCAAAAATACAAAAAAATAGCCAGGCGTGGTGGCGCACACCTGTGGCCCTAGCTACTCGGGAGGCTGAGATGTGAGGATTGCTTGACCCCAGGAGTCAGAGATTGCAGTGAGCCGAGATCACACCACTGCACTCCAGCCTGGGTGACAGTGAGACTTTGTCTCTAAATAAATAAATAAATGTCTGTCTTCCTCTCAATGAGGCTGTCCCTGAGCATTGCCCACAGAGCCACTTGCTGAGGTGTCTGTGAACGTGTGCAGCTGTGTGGCTGGCTGAATGAGAGAAAGGGAGGGGGAATCACAGACCTCGCCCCACCACCCTGCCTTGCCTTGACTCTGACCCAGCCATTTCCCAGCACCCAAAGACTGACCTAGCACTTTAAGAGAAATACAGCTCTAAAAAATTTTTTTAATAATATTAAGTAAGGCATATTATTGAGGAAATATTCCATTTTAATTGTGTTGAATTTGAAAACATTATCAAGTCAGTAAACAAACTGAATTAACAGATATTTTGAAAGTACCATGTAACTCAGATGAAGTGATAACTATAATCTGTGTCAATAATTTTCCTAAATTGAAAAGCCAGTGCCAGGAAAAAAAGAGAGAGAGAGAAAGAGAAAGAAATAGAGCTCAATCACCATGCTGTGAGCCAGCTTTGGTAAAATGTGACCAGGTGACTGTAGGACAGACTATCAGGCATCTTCCTGGATGGTGGAGGGCAGTAGGGCAGCCTCTTGGAGACACTGGCCTCACCTGGCCCATATAAAGGCCTTCTCTGAGAAAAGATCACAGTCAAGCAGCATCTAGTCCCAGTCCGCTGCTCTACACCAGTGGTTCTCACCCCTGGCTGTACCTCTGAATAATCACTTGAAGACTTCTAGAAAATGCTTCTACCTGAGCCCTACTCCCAGAGATTTCAGTGTTCTGGGGTAAGGTCCAGGTGTTGCAGTTTCAAAAGCTGCCCAGTTGAGTTTAATATGTAGCCCAGGGTTGAAAACCACTGCCCCAGGCCACCTAAAACTTACAGGCAACCTGGGTGCAGCCTGGGAAACCCAGCATGCATTCCCAGGGCCAAGTTGGGAAGGATGAGGAAGAAGTGCCACCTGCCTTGGATGCTATTCATGCTTATCACGACTGCCATCATTCTCTTCTCTCAGGCCAATTTCCACCGTGCTTTAAACAGAAACCAGGATGCACCCAAGTGTCTTTATTTTGGCTACAGGGCAGCAGTTTGATAAACATGCAAGTTTGCGACACTCGTTGTTTAACACAGAGACAGCCGTGAACCCCAAGTCCACCCTGAGGCGGAGGCGGACCATTATTGGATTCTCTAACTTTTCCCAGCGAGACCAAGGTGACCCCACCACAGCTGATTCCCCAGTCCCTTCCCCTTACCCACTCCTGCCAATCCTGCCACCCAGGTGGTACTGTGGTGATGGGGAACAGGAATAATTGGGTGGAGGAGGGGGCCTCCGGATGTCCTGAAAAAGCCAATATGGTAATTAAGAATAGCTAAGGGCCTCTTGTCAAGGGTGGCAACTGAATATGGAGAGTAGGTCTTCCGGGCTAATGAATCCATTACATTATTGTTTCCCATTATAAATGTAATACAACCAGATATGCCAAATTTAGGCAAATAGATGAAGAGAGAGGGTTCCTCACCATCATCTTAACAGAACCATTACTACCATTAAGTGAATGCTGGCCAGGAGCACAGACCAGGGAGATAGCAGAGGGTAAGAGCCCTGGTCTTTCCGCTTACTAACCAGGAGACCTTGGCCAAGTGACATAACCTCTCTGAGCCTCAGCTTCTTCATCTATAAAGTGGGGATAATGATACTGACATGGTGGAATTAGCATGAAGATTAGCGTTATTGTATGTAACTTGCCTACCATGTGCCTGGTACATAGTCAGTGTCCAATAAATGGTGGCTATTGTTACAAATTCTCATAGCAGTAGTAGTTATAATAATAATAATAATGACATGACAGTATTAATTGTTTGTGTGTATGAGAAAACCTTTGGGGATTTGGAACATCCAAACGGTTTCCTCACATCCGTAGATTATCCTCAGCCTCTTATGTTGCAAAGCCTAAAAGTGATGGGTGCGAACAATGCAACCAGACTCTTAGCTTTGCATCTTGGGCATGCTCCAGAGTCATTGCTGGAGCCAAACGTCACACCATGCCGTCCTTAGTTCGGAAGCCTCTACTCTCATCTCTAGATGGATGAATGCTGAGGTCTGTGATGGTTTCATGAGCCTGGGGTGAAAGTATGGGGAAAATGCAAGGTAATCCCACGTGACACTTCAGCTCTAAGAGGAATAATCAAAGCTGGAAAGTATTTGGCAGCCATCTGGACC
This sequence comes from Homo sapiens, assembly GCF_000001405.40. NCBI lineage: Eukaryota > Metazoa > Chordata > Mammalia > Primates > Hominidae > Homo > Homo sapiens. The sequence continues at coordinate 72,138,235 of NC_000023.11, forward strand.
ATTCAAGGGCACCGTATGTCTCACTGTGGGGTGATGGGCAAGGACCCAATTTCCCCAGCATCTTCATCCATGGAAGGGAAGAACCAAGGAATTCTGACCAAGCTGTTGGCAAATGCTTCTTGGCAAAAAGTTGGTGCTCCTGTCTCAAAACAGCTGGTGGGAGATCCCTTGCTGTAGCACTCATGTCCTGTGTTTATTTCCTCCAGGTCACAGCAACAGCCCAGCAGGCAGTGTGGCCCACTCTACCACCTCCGACATCAGGCCCAGTCACTCAGTTCCAGAAGGGGTTCATGGAAGAGTTGCAGTTGGTCAGGATGCTCGGTTCCCAAGTCTCACCTCGCCAGTACTGAGAACTCCTTCCAGTGAGCCGGACGAACCTCACCAGGCACGGAGTGGCCCAAACCCTCCTGGCATGGAGAGCATGGGAATGGTGTACAGTGTCCCCAGTTCTTGCAATGGACCTACAGAATCAACCTTCTCCACTTCCTGGAAGGGAGATGCTTTTACCTACATGACTCCAAGTGCCACCAGCCAGAGCAATCAAGTCAATGAAAATGGGAAAAATCCTTCCTGTGGGAATTCTTGGGTCTCTCTAAACAAAGTCCCACCTCTGGTTCCTAAGGAGGCTGCTACCCTCCTTGTCGCTCGTGATAACCCAGCAGGATGCAGTGGGTCAGCTGGCTACCCTGAGCGCCTTATTCAGCAAAGGCACATGCCCGAAAGACCCTCCAAGATTGGCCTTCTGACCAGTGGGACCTCGAGGCTGGAGACAGGCCCCGGTGGGGCCAGCAGATTCCGGGAGCGGTCACTGTCTGTGCCCACAGACTCAGGCACCACAGATGTGGACTATGATGAGGAGCAGAAGGCCAATGAGGCCTGTGCCCTGCCTTTTGCCAGTACGAGCTCTGAGGGCAGTAACAGTGCTGACAACATTGCCTCCCTTAGTGCCCAGCAAGAGGCCCAGCACAGAAGGCAGAGGTCCAAGAGTATCTCACTTAGGAAGGCCAAAAAGAAGCCTTCCCCACCCACACGCAGTGTCTCACTGGTCAAAGATGAGCCAGGCCTCTTGCCTGAAGGTGGGTCAGCACTACCCAAGGACCAGAGGCCCAAGAGCCTTTGCCTCTCCTTGGAACATCAAGGACATCACTCGTCCCACCCAGATGCTCAGGGTCACCCAGCTATTCCAAACCACAAAGATCCAGAAAGTACACAATTCTCCCACCACTGGTATCTTACTGACTGGAAGTCTGGTGACACCTACCAATCCCTGTCCAGCTCCAGCACTGCCACTGGCACCACAGTCATTGAGTGCACCCAAGTTCAGGGCAGCTCAGAGTCTCTTGCCTCACCTTCCACCTCCAGAGCCACTACACCTTCCCAACTCTCCATTGAAGTGGAGGCCAGGGAGATATCATCCCCGGGAAGGCCCCCTGGACTGATGTCACCCTCCAGTGGCTACTCCAGCCAGTCGGAAACACCAACACCCACTGTTTCCATGTCCCTGACCCTGGGCCACTTACCCCCTCCAAGCAGCAGTGTCCGGGTACGTCCAGTGGTACCTGAGAGGAAGTCATCACTACCCCCGACGTCACCAATGGAGAAATTTCCCAAGTCACGGCTATCATTTGACCTACCACTGACCTCTTCACCCAACCTGGATCTGTCTGGGATGAGTATCTCCATCCGAAGCAAAACTAAGGTGAGTCGGCACCACTCAGAGACAAATTTTGGCGTCAAGCTGGCCCAGAAAACTAATCCCAACCAGCCAATCATGCCTATGGTTACTCAGTCCGACCTACGTTCTGTTCGCCTGAGGTCGGTCAGCAAGTCTGAGCCGGAAGATGATATTGAGAGCCCTGAGTATGCCGAGGAACCCAGAGCAGAAGAAGTCTTCACCTTGCCAGAGAGAAAGACAAAACCTCCCGTAGCTGAGAAGCCTCCGGTGGCCCGGAGGCCTCCAAGCTTGGTCCACAAGCCACCATCTGTTCCTGAGGAGTATGCACTAACTTCACCAACCTTGGCTATGCCCCCCAGGAGCTCAATTCAACATGCGAGACCACTCCCTCAAGACAGCTACACGGTAGTGCGGAAACCAAAGCCCTCCAGCTTCCCAGATGGCAGAAGCCCAGGGGAGTCAACAGCACCCTCATCTCTTGTTTTCACGCCTTTTGCCAGTTCCTCTGATGCTTTCTTCTCAGGAACACAGCAGCCTCCCCAGGGAAGTGTAGAGGACGAGGGCCCCAAGGTGAGGGTTCTGCCTGAAAGAATTAGCCTCCAGAGCCAGGAAGAAGCTGAGAAAAAGAAAGGCAAGATTCCACCTCCCGTACCAAAAAAACCCAGCGTGCTGTACCTGCCTCTCACTTCTCCCACAGCTCAAATGGAGGCCTATGTGGCAGAACCAAGGCTGCCTCTCAGCCCCATCATCACCCTGGAGGAAGACACCAAGTGTCCCGCCACCGGCGATGACCTGCAATCACTTGGTCAAAGGGTGACTTCAACTCCTCAGGCTGACAGTGAAAGGGAGGCAAGCCCTCTGGGTTAGTAAACTGTCTGCTGGCTTTTTCCTTCAGTCACAGGAGAGATGAGGGTGAGAATGGAGTGCCAGAGATGGAAGCAGATGCCCCAGAATAATTATCCTGATCCCAAGTCAGTAGCGGGCACCCTTTGAGGGTTTGAGTTACTCTAAATAGGAACCACGGGCTGGCCTTACTGCCCTTGAGATCAAGACTAGCCCGAGGCAGATCTCCAAGGCCCAGTTTAGGCCACTCTCCCCTCTAAATCTCTAGTGCTGAGATAATGAAATCAAACTAGGTTCTAGCACCCTAGGACTTCAGCATCCCACATCCCTAGCCAAGCATGCATCCTGTCTTGGGAACTACTCCACCTCACTGTACAGTACTTTTCATTGGCTGCAGTGAATTTAGTTCCCTACATGGGACCCAGTACCCCACCAGACTGAGTTCAAGTGCCATGGCAGGCTCGGAGCCATCTGAAACAACGGAATATGTTGCCACCAGCAGCCTCTTTTTGTGCCTTCCGGAGGAAAGGGAGCTCACTTTCTTGGGTGGTTTGAGTTCTTTGGCTCTTCCTGGAACCATAAACATAATACATAATGCTTCTCATCCTTTCTTTTTCTGTCTCTTTTTGTTTTAATTGTGGTAAAGTACCCATAACATTTACCATCTTGACCATTTTTAAGTGTGCAGTTCATTCGTGTTAAGCACATTCACATTGTTAAGCAACCAATCTCCCGAACTCCTTTCATCTTGCAAAACTGAAACTCTGTACCCAGTAAACAACAACTCCTCCTTCTCCCTCCCCGCAGATTCCTCCCTCCAACCACCATTCTACTTTCTGTCTCTATGAATTTGACTCTAGACACCTCATATAAGTGGAATCATACAGTATTTGTCTTTTTGTGACTGGCTTATTCCACTAAGCTTAATGTTGTCAGGGTTCATCCATGTTTCTCATTCTTTTCTGAACCCTTAACACCAAAAATCAAAATCTCATGGCCTTCTATATGCAAATTTGGACTTTCAATATGAGTCAATTATGACTAAGTCAAGTAAATAAATCAAAGCCCCAGGTAGTTGTAGAAAACACTTCCTCAGACTCCACAGGCTCCCCTCTGAGATTCAAATAGGTTCCACTCTCACCCACTGGGTGGGAGTCACTAGTTTAGATCACTCCCAGCTCCTTCATTTGGAGAAATGATATACAGTGTTTAAAACAAGAGAATGCTCGGGCCACCTGTTATAATGACAAAGACATGACAGAATAGGGACCCACGCTGATCTTCACCACTCACTCCACCTTGGGCAAATCATTAAGCTTCTGAACTTCATATTCCTCCTCTGCAAAATGGAGGTATTAAAAATCTCCACCCTGCTGCCCTCACAGAGTTGCTTTCACCATCAAATGAAATAACATATGAGAATGTGCTTTGTCCTATCTACTGTGGTCAAAGTCATTCCTTTTGGTTTTTTATGTCTAGGGAGTTCTGTGGAACCAGGCACCGAAGAAAAAAGTTTAATCAGTGATAAAACAGCTGAATGGATTGCAGAGGATGATGATGACGTGTTTGTGGCTTCACGCACAACTGAAGATTTATTTACTGTGATACACAGGTCTGCACCAATTTCCTTAATTCTAATTGCAATTGCCTTCCCTTTTTGTACTTAAAGAAAACCTGCTATTCCACATTGAAATCCTAATTGTAAAAGAAAAAGAAAAAAATTAAAAATAAGAAAAACTGCTACCTTTAAGCAGCCATTAGAATTGCACCTGGAGGCTAAGTTCAGATACCCACATATGTGAGCGCAGTCCAGGGCCTCGCATCTCAAATTCACTGACATCGTTGGGTAAAGTGGAGGAAGGGAGGGGAGAGGAGGACCAGGTGCCGAGTGAGAGGCCCCTCGTCTCCTAGCAACCACTTGGCCTATTGTGGCTCCATCTGCTCTCTCTTAGCTCTGTCTATAGTCAGAGACATTTAACCCTTCACAGAATTCCTTGTATCAAAAAAATCCCATCAAGAGTTGAAGTGGGGCACCAGGCAGCATATCAAAACAGGAACTTAGGAAAAGAGGAACCAGATGGGGACCAGTTATTGGACAGGGTTACAAGGCAGGGGTTCAGTGACAAGAAAACTGGGAAGAGTTTATTATTGGAGCTAGACCACCAGTCCAGAACAGGATCAGTCCCCAGGCTGTCCTGATTCAGAGTCACTGAGCTACTAGCCTTGACTCCTGAAATTCGTCCTTGGTCCCAGAACCTGGGCAGGACTGAGGCTACAGGCACAGGACAAGTGACTCCAGCTGGGGGCATTGAAAGGAATATGGGGACGGGAGGGCCCAACAAGGGACTCTGAGGATTTAGAGGTGAGAGAGAGAGAAAGCAGGTCAATACGGCTGCTTGCAGGGCTGCCGCCTGGATTGTGTCACAGGCATGGGGGTCTGTGAAGCACTGGTAAATGTCTGCTGCATTAACTCACTCAGACCAAACTTTCTCTTATCTAGGTCCAAAAGGAAGCTGCTCGGCTGGAAGGAACCTGGTGAGGCCTTTGTGGGTGGCAGAACGAGTTCCCACTCACCAATAAAGAACACAGCTGAGTCTCCAATCAGTGAGTCTACCGCCACTGCAGGGTCAGGCAGCAGTGCCAACCTAGATGCTGGCAGAAATGACGATTTCAAGGCCTTGCTACAGAAGAAGGGAAGTAAGGCAACTCCAAGGTCTCGTCCCTCAGCAGCTGAACTTCTGAAGACCACTAACCCACTGGCTCGGAGAATTATTGCACAATTTTCAAAAGACTATGAAACCACCGATAACCCCAGTACCTAAGCCCTGGGCTCAACAAGCAGGGTTTACTTACTAAACTTGAGTAGAGAAGGGGGAAGAGAAAGGGTCTTTAAACAGAACCATGGGAACAACAGAGCCTACATTTCTTTTATATTAACTCACACTCTGGACAGCAGGAGAGAGGCTACTTCATCTAGAGCTAAAATCATCTGGCACTTAATCATCTTCAGACATTTTTATGTTTTCATACTTATAAGCTTGTCATGACTGACTACCGAGTTTCTTCTTATTTTCCCCCAGTGGTGTGCACTAACTAAGAAGAAATTTTCAGATGTCAGGGCACATGTGCCACTTTTTCAATTCAGTGACCCGGCTGCTCCATCCCTGGCTCCTGTCACTGAGGAGTGCAGTGTGAGAGCAGATTGGAGGCTGCCAAACTTGGGGGGCATAGGGTGCCATTGCTTATTATTCACTTTCCTAGGGAGGCTCTGATGGCCCTGTGTGCAAACACAGAAAGACTCTGATGCCTCCTCAACCACAGTTTAGCTTTCCCCTGCGCTCACAAGAGGTTTGCAGGGTGCACTTATTTCGGCATGAGGTTGATTGGATGGCTTTTGTGGTGCAAAATATGACTGTGACTCTGTCCTGAAACTTAATGCCTTTTTCAGTTTGATTGTCTACATGGAGATCAGGGTGATAAGTTTCAATAAACATATAGACGCCCCCCCACCCACCCCCATTAGCTAGAAAAGACCAGGACTGGGTTGCTTTAAATGAACCAAGCTTGACCAACAAACAAGACAGCCATTTGTTCACTCAGATCTAGCCGAGGTAACTCACAAGTGCACCTTGAGATCCTCCATGTGTCTGTCAACAGCGATAGGCAGGATCTGCGCCCAGCTCATGCTGCATTCTAAGAACTCTCATTTCATTTGCATATAAAATTCATTACAGGAAGTAATTAACTGAAGGAACAGCATCATCAAAGGCTCAAGGATAATGGAAAGTAAGTGCATCTTGCCCCCCACCAGTCAATTCAGATCGTGGTTTGTGGTTGGTTTGGTTTTGTTTAAAGGAAGTCCGACTCTGTTCCAAAAACCAAGAACATATAAACTAAAAGGATCTATCCAAAATCTAAAAGGCAGTCTTGCCAGTTGCTATGGCCCATAATGCACACACACACACACACACACACACACACACACACACACACAAAAGGGCTACTTTTTGCCATTTAGGTTCTGTGTTTGACCAGCTTTCAATTAACCTTGCTGGGGGAGAGCATAAGAACCTGGGTAAATGGCATACTGAAAGAGCTTCAGAATAATCATTGCGACCCCTCCCTGCCCCCACCCCCCACGAAGCTTATAGGCACTAACTATTCTTGTCAGCTCAATTTTCTAAGCAGAGCAAGAGCAGTGATTCATTTGATTTTTGTATGCCTGATTTCTGGGAGGTTGGGGAGGAAGACAAAGCACTGAGCAAAGAAAACCTGCTGACCAATGATGGAAAGTTAATTGTCTACTGTCTTCAAGAGGCAAAAAGAACAGTTGAATGAAATTGTAGCCTGCTTCACAAAGAGAGTTCCCCAGCCCCTTCCTACTTCACCCCTCACCCAATAGATTCAATGGTCAACCTCCTGGAGGATGCAGTAAGGTTCCAGAGACAAGCAGATCTCAACTTTGATAGGTCGTATTGCCCAATGAGAAGCCACCTTTTAGCTCAACTGCCCACACTCCAGCTGGACAGAGCAGCTGAAAAACCACACTAAGTACTGAGAAAACTTGGGCCTCTCACAAGAGAAGCCCTAGGCCTAGGCCCTTTGTTGTTATAGTTCTGAATCTGAGACTTCTGGAAACAGGCCAGGCCCACCAACTCCCTTGCAACCAGCACTTCGACACTTAAAATAATAAAACAGCTAGGCTCAGTTGCTTTTGAAAGTACTAGAACTACTTGGTGTGAAGTTCTTAACCAAATTCCAAATTCCAGGGATTTTGCCCAAAATAAAATCAATTCATCCCTGGCCTCAGTTTATATATGAATGCCACATTTGTCTGCTCCAGACTTAGAATTCCAAAAAACAGACATTTTCCTCTGTAGTAAATGAAGGAGCGTTTGTGCTTTTGCTTAGCAAAAATGAAAGGACACCAGGGTCTCCTTGGGAACCATTATGACTGGTTGAACGTTAAAGCTGAGTATGGGACTCACATAGTATAGGCCTTGTTACTTCTGTGGACTTTTCTGGAAGTTTCTTGTTTACTACTTCTAATGGGTTTTGCCTCTCCCCTCACCTTGCTACCTCTGGAGGTTTTCCCAAAAGATTCTGAACCTGAATTCTCAGACACCTTGATGTTTGTCAGTTACCTTTAGTCTTGTTTTCCTCTACAATACTCTATATGCCTGGAATTTTTAGAATATCTTCTACATCATCACTGTGGCCCACGCAGTGGTGTTCCCATTAGCACAAGAGGATTTGGGGCAGAAATCATATGGTCAGAGAGAACATTTAAGACCGGAAGTATTCATTTAATTTTTTAAATTAATTTTTTGTAAAGATGGGGGTTTTGCTATGTTGCCCACGCTGGTCTTGAACTCCTGAGCTCAAGCGATCCTCTCGCCTTGGCCTCCCAAAGTGCTGGGATTAAAGGAGTAAGCCACTGCACCTGGCCTCATTTAATATTTTGCAACAGGTAGACGTCCCAAATAAACAACCAAACTGTAAAATTTCTACTAATCACTAATTAACAGAACACAAAGCATCTTCCCCACTCCTAACACTCAACCTCTCTCCTACCTTTGATTATCATAACTCCACTCTCTCTCCCACCCAGGCACTTACCACAATGTTTGCTGCCTTCTGCACCTACGCTGCTGAGACTGGAGAAGAGAGGCTGAAAGCCCCTCTCAGAAAGGCTTGCAGAGAACCCACCACTACTACAATTACTAGTATAAATAATAATGATAATAATTTTTGAAGGTGGAATAGAGAAGAGATTTGAGTGAAATGAAGTTGGCCCTAGGAGCTCAGCTTCCATTTCAAGTCGTCCCTATCCTCTTTTTTCCTCCCCATTCCAGTTAGTAGCAACAGATGGCTCTGCTAGCCTGACTTTGATCTAGTCACCATCCCCAGGAGCGGAGGTTAATTGTTAACCAAGGATGCTTTGCATTTGGTGGGTAGTCAGTACATGTTTTTGAGGGTAGTTATTCTTGGTACAATAGCAAGCTTTGCTGGTGTCTCCTCTCCTTATCCTGTACTACTTGGCCTGCCTCAGCTCCTGACTGGGCCTCCCCCACCAGCCCCAACTTATTCCTCAGCCCCAACTTATCCCTCAGCCCCAAATCCCATGAACTGCATCCCTAGCACAACAACTCACCCATAAAGGAAGTGAGACAACAGGAAGCAAAATAATTAATGTTAGCTTAATGACCACAAACTGACCAGTTGATCTGGATAAATTACCTTGAACGTGCAAAGACAGAGGAGATCCTACCAGGCTCTCCTAACAAGCACTGCACCTGACATCCAGTGTAACTATCTGGACAACACAGACCCGATTGCAGTCTCTCTGTACCTGTCAGTCTGAGCAGATCTGTCCACGCACCTGCCCTCTTCCTCATCAATGAACAAGTTGGGAAAAAGATGAGTTCATGCTCAGTGCTCTGTTCCTCACTCGTTCCACCTTCCATTATCAAGTCTGTGACACAATGGTGAGCTTTCGCTTTAATATGATTTGCTAGGGCCAGGACTAGGGTGAGGTGAGCGAGGCACCTAGGGCGTAAAATTCAAAGAGGTGCCCGCTCTCAGGGCCATGCAAGTGCCTTACCCTCGTCCCAGCCCTGTGATTTGCACTCTTTAAAGTAATATCAGTTTATCTTCTTCCTATGAACAAGTATAGTCCTTCTGATTTGGGGTCGGGGGTTAACTCCCTATCTCTTGTTGCACCAAATATTTTATTGCTACCTATTTTTCCATTGCTATAAGTCTTTGTGTGCCTATACATTAAAGAATCTTTAATAGTGTTAATATCGGAAAACATAGTTGATTTCTAAGTAATATGCTCCAGGTGGCAAGTTAACACCCATTTCAGCAGGGATGCTCCCAAGGCCAGCCCTTCAACAAAAGAGTGACTGAGTTGACGGTCTGTCACCAGGATCCTCCCTCTCCTCTTTCTGCTCCATTCTCCTAAACCTTGCTTCCCAGCACCAACTCTCTTCAGTGCCTCCTACTTCCTTCTCCTCCTAAGAAAAACCTGCTCTCAGGAAAGGGATAAATTCATTTACTTTGAGATTATAAGGCTTAATGCTACCTCTTTTGAGGGTCAGTTGCATTTTAACAAGGGAAAAGCCTTAAGCCAATGGAATGAAGTTCTACTTGCAGAATGTTAGGCATCAACTAGTTGTAGAAGTGTATTTTTCACCATGGAAAGGCCAAATTCCCTGACGCCTAACTCCAGAATATAGAAAATATCTTAATCGCCTGGAATCATTTGAGTTACTAGCTGATGGTCAATTAAATTGTCCTGATATCCAATGCTATTCAATATGGTTACTACCAAGGGACTCTCAGAAATGGCTACTAAAAGCCACTGAGAAGGCCTAGATCATTCATATTGTACATTGACATTTTTACATAAATGGAATTAATACTACTTACCATTTGAGTAAAGAACACAAGGAATTGAAGAGTCTGTGAAAATATGTCCTGTTTGTGAAAGGTGAAACTGTCCAATCCATGTCCAATCAATGTCAGTCGTCCAGTATTGGTGGTGATTATTAAACTTATTGGAGGTACAACTTTACCTCCAATAAGCTTACCTTTACAAGCTTCTGCTTTCCCTGCTTCATCTCTGTTATGGGCTATCAGTCCAGCTTGGTGTGAAAATGAGACTATATCTATACCACAGCCCCCAATCCTTTCAAAGGCTTTGCATGTATTTCAGCTACAAGTGACAAGGATATTAGGGATTTAAAAGGATAAGAGAGTGGGAAAGATGTATAAGGAAGTGCCTTTGTCAAAAGGCAGCAAAAAGTATAATGATATAAACATAATATGAAATAAGCAAATTTTAGAATACTTTGAAACAGATTTATAGAGGAATACATAGTAAATAGTTATAGACACACATTTGGGGCATTTTTAATAAGGTTAGCAAGAAGAAATTTGCATGAGTAATGAGCAATGTGAAATGGGCATTATACTTTTGTTCAGTAAAGCCCAAAATCTAGGCCAATGGTTCTCAAAGTGCAGTTCCAGGAGCAGCAACAGCAGCATCCCTGGAGAGGGAGAAAGAGAGAGAGAGAGAGTGTATGTGTGTGTGTGTGTGTGTGTGTGTGTGTGTGTGTGTGTATGTGCATTCCAGTGATGTTACTCCTTCAAGCCCCTGAATCACTATAGCCACGACTCTCCAACTGATTCCAACCTTTACCATTATTCTGGCTCTCATCATAAGGACCAGTCTCTGGCCAAGAGGTGTATATTGTTATCTTGGTCAGGCATATGTTTGCTTGGTTTTAAGAAATTATCAGATTGAGGAGTCTCATGTTTTATGGGACTCCGGTGCATATGCTCGAAAAAAATTAAAAAGAACTTATCATATTGGATCAACAAATTGCTCAACCTGCAAAATCTTTGATTAGACTTAGCCAGCCCATCTGGCCTGCTTTGGGTTTAAAAAAAAAAAAAAGATTTTTTTTAACTCACAAATGGAAAAAAGGGAAAGGTGTTAAGTTTGTTTGGTATTGCCAGCTCTTAAATACCTGTCTTTACCGTGGTGGCTGTTCTCCAGTAAGGCTCTGGCAGAAGTATATTTGATTTTAAGATTTTTGCCTAAATAGTAGAATTTGATAGCAACGAACTCCAAAACAAAATCTGAACTGGAACAACTAGTTAACCCCTCTCAGCCTCTTTGTAATGCCAAGCTTTATAGACATTTATTCCTTAGGTGGTCTTGAGCTTTTTCTAACATCCAATTTTATAAAATGTTGTGCATGCAAACGCAGCATTGTGCTCATTGTACAAGTCACCTCAAACTCATTCCTTCCCCCATGTGTATCATGGCGAAGAAATATCAATATATGTATGTGCTGAGGTCTTCTGATGAATTGTAAATTACAAACCTTTTCATTCATTTTTAAATGAGATATATTTACCCTGGCTAGTGGTTAAAGTTTTATTCTTTTTATTATATTTCACTGCTACTTTTTTCTACTGACTCCAAAGCTTACTTTGGGCTATATTTCTTATTTCTAGATTGTTGTATTTATCTTATTTCTATATTTATCTGCAGTCTTGGAATGTTAGAGCTGAAAGGGACCAACCTCTCTCATTTCACACATGAGGAAGCTGAGGCCCAGAAAGGTCAAATAACTTATATACAAGGTCACACAGTGAGTCAGTGGTGGGGCCCAGCCTCAATTCCAGGTCTCCTGCCCTTGGGCCCAATCTGGTTTCATTTAAAGCACTACAATTTATAGAAGACCCACAGCTGGCTTCTACTTTTATGACACATGAATTTCCCAGGTATTTCAATGAACTAATATATATGCTTTAAGGGAAAATGTTCAAGAGTTCTTTAATTCATTAATCCAAAGACAAATTGGATTTTCAGTTTATAAACATTAGTTTCCCTCCAAATTCAATATGTGCACCCTACTTAGTACAATGGATGTTTTCCCTAAAAGTTGTGTGAAAAATGAGTTTTTTAGATATCAAGTATCATTTTTTAGAGGTAAACTTCCTATGTAAGGGAACCTTCTGGTGACTTCTTTTTGAAAAACCGAGATTCCTCTTGTCATTGTCCCATAATGTCTCTACTTTTTTTAGTGCAAACTTTTGTATTTGGTGTTTATTTAAAAGTAGGGTACAACCCAACCAATATTAGCTTTCCCAGAGTCTACTTTAGCCTTCCCTTCTTAATCTTTATGAGAAATTTTCAGACTGTTAAATGCTCATGAGATATTTAGTTGTGTTCTAGAAATTTCACCTGGCTTGATATTCTGTCAATCCCTGGGCTCAAATTCCAGCTCCATCTTATCAAACAATAACAGAATTCCCTAATCAGTACTAAGCTCCGCATGCAGTCTCTTTTCCAGAACATTCTTTGCCTAATGTTCCTTAGTGTGGCTCTCTCTTTAGTTGGGGCCTCCTTCCTTAGTACATGCATACCTTACTATTCTGTGGAATTGCAAGCCATGCATCTTTTAGAGCCACACTAGTCAAATTGATTGGCATTTCCATTTATTTTCCATTGTTCCCTTGTTTCTCCTGGACTTCCTCTCGTTTCTCTTTTCGAGGATGCTTAGAGGCTTCTCACCAGAGATTGGTGAGGTTTCCCCCATCATCTAGATGGGAGATTGACAAATTCTGTAAAGGTTAAGACAGTAACTATTTTAGGCTTTGTGGGCTACATGTGGTCTCTGTAGCACATTCTTCTTTGTTGTTGCTGTTTGTTCATTCGTTTGTTTTGCAACCTTTGGATAATGTAAACCACTCTCTTTTTTTTTGACAGAGTCTCTCTCTGTAGCCAGGCTGGAGGGCAATTGTACAATCTCGGCTCATTACAACCTCCACCTCCCGGGTTCAGGCAATTCTCCTGCCTCAGCTTCCCGAGTAGCTGGGACTATAGGTGCGTGCCACCATGCCCAGCTAATATTTTTTTTTTTTTTGTATTTTTAGTAGAGGCAGAGTTTCACCATGTTGGCCAGGATGTTCTCGATCTCCTGACCTTGTGATCCGCCCACCTCGGCCTCCCAAAGTGCTGGGATTACAGGTGTGAGCTACCGCACCCTGCCAATATAAACTATTCTTAGCTCATGGGCTATGCAAAGCCTTAGGCTGACCCCTGATCCAGACTGTCTTCTGAGACAAGCATTTCTGTGAGCTGCCCCATGTGATAACTGAGTTGTGCAGTAGCTGATGTGGTTTATTGCCTTCCCATCTACTGCATTGTCAGACCAGACTGACTGCACAGGAGCAGGTGGAGGGGGGCTGCATATGCCAACCATTACTCTTCAATAGAGTGTCCTTCATGAGCTCTCTCTCTCTCTCATTACTGACTACCTCAGTGTAGAAACCCTCATTTTTTTCCCCAGACCTATCCTTGTTACCCAATGTGCCTCTGCTTCCCTGGGTTTGGGATAAACTGGAAGGAGAGAATTTCTGAGTTCTCTTACTTATTTTGTTCCATAACTTCTCCCTCATATCTGTGGTTGGAGACTCCCACCCTTGTCCACCCTTTCCTGCCTCATACTAGTATCATGAGTTTAGGGCTGTCGTTGGAAAGTCTGGCAGCCCAGGCCATAGGATTCCAGTTCAGCCTACGATTTCCTAGGGAAATCACCAGGTTCCAAAGGCTGGTTTTTAAACCTAGAATATCCATGTATCCATTTCCTAATGCAGTTTGGACCTGTTCTAGACAGAGCACTCAGCCTTAGCAAGAAAACCAATGAGGTGCAGAAGATATTCTGTGCCCACAGTTTTTCCCTGCCTTCTGGACCCTCAGCCCCTGGGATGGGCTCCTTGGGATTGCCCATGCAACAACACAGCCACAAGACATTCAGCACACCACCTCCTCCTGTGTTTTGAATCTCTAAATGAATTCTGTTCTAAAGCTTCTTCACGTCTCTCTCCATCCTGCTCCCATCTCCACCTCTAATGCTTCTTGGGAGTCTGAAGCTCAGATTCACATTTTCACATTTTCTCGTATAAACGTTGTGGGATAAGAATGGATGATATGTATGTGTCTGTGTGAGTTTGGTTTCTCAACCTGGACTGTGAGGGCTAATTCACAAATCACACCATACATGCGTGTGTGCATGCGCGCGCGCACACACACACACACACACACACACACACACACAGTCCAGCACCCTCATCAGTTCTCTGGTTTAGGTCCAGATCTGATGGGACTGGTCAAGAAGGGGATGGTGGGGGCTCCTGAAGCATTTGCCCTTTCTTGCCTCTTGAGACCTTCTTTCCATTGGCAATTCAAAACAGGCTGACATACAGAGGGCTAGCACTCTAATTTGATGTGGACTCAGCCACTCAGACCTAGGTCTCAGGCTGCAGCTTATCCTAGCTCAGCAAATTGCTTCTTAGAATCTTTAGCTTGATTTCTGTCATTTGAGCCCAGGGATCTACCCACTTACTGAAATCTAAATTTTAAAAAATCAGTGATGAAAGTAATTTTCAGGATTTCCCTATTTAAAAGCATCCATGAAACAGTTCCTTTATGCCTTCTGTTTAGGATTTCCAGAATTAGGAAGGGAAACCAGGCTTGTGCCTTGGATCCAAAAGCAGCAAAAATACTACACTTGCCAAAAGCAAACTGAGGAATGAGCATTGGCCAGTCCTAGTATGCAGTCAAGAGGTGGACTTTTGTTAAGTTAGCCCTTACCATTTAGTGCTTACTGAATGCCAACAATGCACTTAGAAAAATAAGGGAGACAAGAATTTACAGACCATACCCTAAACTGGAAGGTACAGGAAAGACACATCTCCTAGAGCTGGGAATGTGTCCCTAACATTTCAAGAAGAAGCAGAAAGTAGGAGAGATCACGATCTCAGTCTTTTTAGGATTCCAACACAAAATGGAAGGGAGCCCTCTGTGGGGTGATATTACAAAGGGTTTTTCTTGTCTTTCTTTAAAAAAAAAAAGGCATTCCTTACTGGCTTGCTACCAGCAATTGAACTGTATTCTTTATATAGCTAGAGCTGTTTGTGTCTTCTTAAAATAAACTTTTTCTGTTAAAATCATTTTCTGTTTCACCCTCTGGTTTTCATTGTAGCAATGATACTTTTATTCAGACACTCAGCCCAGTTTTGAGCATGTTTAACCATCCACACGAGTATGGGGCCCACACACATTGGCTTTGATGCTCACGAACCTGAGAGCTCAAAACAGCTATGTGGCACAGAATGTCCTGCAGAAACCTGGCCCACTGAGCCATGGGCCTAAAGGCAGGTAACCCATGTTCTGGGACTTCATTTCAGGGATTTGAGTCCAGCTGTTCATGGAGTCAACAAGGGGGAGTGAGCAGCCATCACCAGGCCTGAGGGGAGGAGGCAGCCTTAGCAACTATCCCCAGGGCAAAAACTCCCTCTGTGTTCTCTAGCTCAATAAAGTCACCCAGCAAGGCAGACCAGAGTGAGTCTGGGCTGGGAGGGAAAAATCCCAAACCAAATGTGGTCCAGATCATTTCCATCCCTCAAGAAGGGTATGGTCCCACCATGCAGATGGTGACAGCCATATTTGAGAGTCAAATCTCATCAAAAGAAGAAAGGAACTTTGTTCTCTATTCCCAACTGTCCCAGGCCTCTAAGGCTGAGGTTCTTGTAGCCAGCATCCCTGTCTCCCCAGGCCCCTGACACCACCCGGCTGCTCTTCCAAAAGATACACCAGAACTGGAAATAGCTAGAAAACCTACAAGGGAAGGGAGAGGGGCCAGGGCCACCCTCAGACAATAGCATGTGTTTAAGTTGGAGATGAAGGTCAGAAAAGGAAGCTAGCTTGAGGTGGGCCTCATGGCAAGCAGTCCCTTGGTAGAACCCTGCAGTTCAGGGTCTGGTGTTCACTCCAGCAGGTTCAGAACTCCTTTGTACCTGTCTTAGTTCATTTTCTGTTGCTATAACAGAATACCATAGACCGAGTAATTAATAAAGAAAAGAAATCCACTTGTTTCTTACAGTTCTGGAGGCTGAAAAGTCCAAGGACACGTTGCTGCATCTGGAGAGGGCCTTCTTACTGAGTCATAACAGGGTGGGGGACATCACATGGCAAGAGAGCAAGAGCATGCCATCCTAGGTCTCTCTTCTTCTTATAAAGCCACCAGTCCATCATGCCCGCACCACCCCCCCGCACTGCCACCGAAGACCAACACACAAATTTTGAAGGACACATTCAAACCACAGCAGTGCCACACCACCATAAGCTGATGAAGCTTTTAAGGATTTACTCACACTGACCAAACTCACAAAAGACAGGTCCTGGTATGTTAATTAACAGAAGAGAGAATATACCTCTCAAACAAAGGTCATAAACAGGAGGGCTGCAGGCTGAATTGAATTCACATACATTATCTAGAGTACACAGTGCTGTTTGTCAATTTTTAAAAATTTAGGGGACTGGGCATGGTGGCTCACACCTGTAATCCTAGTACTTTGGAAGGCCGAGGCAGTTGGATCACCTGAGATCAGGAGTTCGAGACCAGCCTGACCAATAAGGTGAAACCCCATCTCTACTAAAAATACAAAAATTAGCCGGGTGTGGTGGCAGGTGCTTGTAGTCCCAGCTACTCGGGAGGCTGAGAGAGGAGAATTGCTTGAACCTGGCAGGTGGAGGTTGCAGTGAGCTGAGATCACGCTGCAGCATTCCAGCCTGGGTGACAGAGCAAGACTCCGTCTCAAAAAAAAAAAAAATTTAGATGGAGCACAGTCTCTCCAATTTACCTCCCACCACTCTCTGTTGCATCAAACCCAACCAGCTTCATTCCCTTATATTATCTGTCAGGTCCCTGAAGGCATATGAGTTTTTGACCCTTACATTAAGTTGTCATCACAGGTTGAAGTACCCAGGAAGCACATGCTTAGATGGAGTTTACTGTGTGGGATGTTTACTAGGGAATGCTCTAGGGATCAATATCTGTGGAAGAGAAAGGAAGGAAACAAGATTAGACAGGAGGCAGCTGGGCAAGGTGGCTCACACTTGTAATCCCAGCACTTTGGGAGCCGAGGCGGGCAGATCACCTGAGGTCAGGAGTTCGAGACCAGCCTGACCAACAAGGTGAAACCACATCTCTACTAAAAATACAAAAATTAGCCGGGTGTGGTGGCAGGCGCCTGTAGTCCCAGCTGCTTGGGAGGCTGAGAGAGGAGAATTGCTTGAACCTGGGAGGCAGAGGTTGTAGTGAGCTGAGATCACGCCACAGCATTCCAGCGTGGGTGACAGAGCAAGACTCCGTCTCAAAAAAAAAAAATTTAGATGGAGCCGTCTCTCCAATTTACCTCCCACCACTCCCTGTTGCATCAAACCCAACCAGCTTCATTCCCTTATATTATCTGTCAGGTCCCTGAAGGCATATGAGTTTTTGACCCTTACCTTAAGTTGTCATCACAGGTTGAAGAACCCAGGAAGCATATGCTTAGATGGAGTTTACTGTGTGGGATGTTTACTAGGGAATGCCCTAGGAATCAACATCTGTGGAAGAGAAAGGAAGGAAACAAGATTAGACAGGAGGCAGCTGGGCAAGGTGGCTCACGCTTGTAATCCCAGCACTTTGGGAGCCGAGGCGAGCGGATCACCTGAGGTCAGGAGTTCAAGACCAGCCTGGACAACATGGCGAAACCCCATCTCTATTAAAAATACAAAAATTAGCCAGGTGTGGTGGTGTGCACCTGTAGTCCCAGCTACTCGAGAGGCTGAGGCATGAGAACTGAACCCAGGAGGCAGAGGTTGCAGTGAACCAAGATTGCACCACTGTACTCCAGCCTGGGTGACTCAGCAAGACTCTATCTAAAAAAAAAAAAATTAGGAGGAGAAAAGAGTAGCAATGCAGGTGTCACAAAGCTTCTGCTCACTCAATGGCTGGCTCTGGCATTCACATGACCTGTCCATTGTCCTGCATTGGGCCAAAGGGCAGGCCTTCATATCTCCGCTTCAATAAGTCATTGGCTCTAGGCCATGCCATGAAGGGCTTGACCTTGGGTGAGATGTCTGTCTCAAGCTGAGGCAATCTCTGAAGGAACTGATAGCTGAAGAAGGCTCTTTGCTGACACCACTTTCAGCAGCTGGCAGTAAATCCTCCCTTGAAGGGGGATCTTGGTGACACAGTTCTTTGTCCATCACAGGTGTCTTTCTCCCATGAATAGTGCAGGCGAAACACTTACAAATCCTTATTCTGATTCCACCCCCACCTTTCTTTTTTTGAGACAGGGTCTTGCTCTGTTACCCAAACTGGAATGCAGTGGCACAATCATGGCTCACTGCAGCCTTGAACATCTGGGCTCAAGCAATCCTCCCTCTTCAGCCTCCTGAATAGCTGGGATCGCAGGCATGCACCACTACACCTGGCTAATTTTCAAATTTTTTTGTAGAGATGGAGTTTCGCTATATTGCACAGGCTGGTCTCAAACTCCTCGGCCCAAGTGATCCTCCTGCCTCAGCCTCCCAAAGTGCTAAGATTACAGGCGTGAACCACCACGCCCATCCCAATTCCCTCACCTCCTCCTTACTTAAGACCAATTACACTTCATTTTATTAGGTTTGTAGCTTTCTTCAATTGTCACCATCTTAGGACACGTGCTAGTAGACTTTAAATAGACTTCAGTGTTTCATAAGCCTCATTAGTGCCTATTAATAAACTCTCTCCAAGGACATGTCATGTCACATATGCAAATGGCTAAATCAGTCCATCACAAAATACCATGAATAAAATGTCACTAGCATCTATCAGGCACCTACAATTGGCCAGGCATCGTGTGCTCCTCCATCCACTTGTTTTATGCTTCCATTCAACAAACGTCTAATGAGCTCCTACAACATGCTGGGCAGAGCATTAGGAGCTGAGGGTAGAGTAGTGACTGAGGGAGACACCATGCCTGCCTTTATGGAGCTTACCATCCAGTGGAGCCACTGCTGAGACCAATTCACATGGCATCCCTGGGAACCAGGACCAATGGTCCTCATGTTCCTGTTATCTAAGGGCCACTACCCTGGCTATGAACTCCTCTGGTCAGCACTTACTTCGTACTCTGCTCTGCTACCCAATTTTCCCTGCTCCTCTTCCTCCCATCGTTTTCAACTGTGCCTTCCTGGAACCCCAGTTCCAGGGTGTCTTAGTCCATTTTGTGTTGATAGAATATATGAGACTGGGTAATTTATAAAGAAAGGAGGTTTCTTTAGCTGACAGTTCTGCAAGCTGAGAAATTCAAGGGCATGGCCTTGGCTTCTAGCAAGGGCTTTTGTGCTGTGTCACAACATGGTGAAGAAGGTCCAAGGGGAAGTGGATACGTGCAAAGAAGACAAAACCTGAGTGGCATCCTGGCTTTATAACAACACACTGTCACAAGAATTGATCCATTCCTGAGAGAACTCATCCAGTCTCACCAGAGTGAGAACTTACTATCACCAGATCAGCACCAAGCCATTCATGATGGAGCTGCTCCCACGATTCACACACCTCCCACTAGCCCCACCTCCCAACATTTGGAGATCAAATTTCAACATGAGTTTTGGTGCAGACAAACAAACTACATCTAAATCGTAATATTCCAACCCTGGGCCCCCCAAAACTAGTGTCCTTCTCACATGCAACCTACAATAATTCTATCCCAATAGCCCCAAAAGTCTTAACTTGTTCCAGCACCAATGTAAAAGTCCAGTCTCATCTGAGACCCAAGGCAAGTTCCTAACAGCTATAAGTCTGTAAAATTAAAAATCAAGTTATTGGCCAGCCGCGGTGGCTCACACCTGTAATCCCAGCACTCTGGGAGGCTGAGGTGGGTGGATCACGAGGTCAGGAGATCGAGACCATCCTGGCTAACATGGTGAAACCCTGTCTCTACTAAAAATACAAAACAAAATTAGCCGGGCATGGTGGCAGGTGCCTGTAGTCCCAGCTACTTGGGAGGCTGAGGCAGGAGAATGGCATGAACCCGGGAGGCGGAGCTTGCAGTGAGCCAAGATCGCGCCACTGCATTCCAGCCTGGGCGACAGAGCGAGACTCCGTCTCAACAAAAAAAAAAAAAAAAAAAAATCAAGTTATTTACTTCCAAGATACAATGGTTGTACAAGCATTGGGCAAACACACCCATTCCAAAAGAGAGAAATTGGACCCAAAAAGGGGGGTAACAGGCCCATACAAGTTCAAAATCCAGCAGGGCAGACATTAAATCTTAAAGCTCCAAACTAATCTTTTACTCTGTGTACCACTTCCTAGGCACACTGGTGCAAGGAGTGGGCTCCCAAGGCCTCGAGCAGCCTTGCCCCATGGCTTTGCTGAATACCACCCATGTGGGTGCTCTCACAGGTTGGAGTTGAATGCCTGTGGCTTTTCCAGGCTGAAGTTGCACACTGCCAGGTGGGTCTATAATTGTGGGGTCCCCATGGCAGCCCTACTCCCATGGCTCCACTAGGCATTGCCTCATGAACACTTTCTGTGGAGGTTCTGCCCCTGCAGCAGTCTTCTGCAGAGGCTTTCCAATACATCCTCTGAAATCTAGGTGGAAACTGCCAAGCCTCCATGGCTCTTGCATTCTGGGCTCTCACAGACTTAATACCACATGGAAGTCACCAAGGCTTATGGCTTACACTCTCTGAAGTGATGGCCCAAGCAGTACCGGGAGCCATTGAACTTCAACCAGAGTCAGAAACAATGTAGCAGTGATGTGAGGAGCAGCGTCCTGAGGTGGAGCAGGGGCAGCAGTGTTCAGGCCTTACCCCAGAAACCATTCTGTCCTCTTAGGCCTCCAGGCATGTGATGGGAAAAGCAGCCTCGAAGATTTCTGAAATGCCTTCAGGGTCTTTTTCTCCATTGTCTTGGCTTTAGCACCTGGCAACTTTGGTTTCCTCTCCTGAAAATGCTCTTTTCTTCTATGCCATTTGGCCAGGCTATGCATTTTCCAAATTTTTCTGCTGTGTTTCCCTTTTCTCCAGAAATTCACCATAAGCAGTTGGAAGTAATCATGCAGCAGCCTGAATACTTTGCTGCTTAGAAATTTCTTCCACCAGGTATTCTATTAAATTCCATCTGAGATGGAGCAGGGATTTCCTGCCCCTGCCAGTTCAATTCTATAATAAGCCTTCCACAGAGCATTTGGGCATAGATGTAGTTCGTCCAAGTTCTTTGTCAATTTAAGACAAGGATGGCCTTTACTCCAGTTTCCAACATGTTGTTCCTCATTTCCATCTGGAACCTCACTAGAATGGCCTTTACTGTCCATATTTCCATCAACATTCTGGTCAGGACCATTTAACCAATCTCTGAGGAGTTCCAGACCTTCCATAGTCATCTTGTCTAATAAGCCCTCATCAGAATCTTGGTTTTTTCTAGCCTGCTCTTCCAAATTCTTCCAACCTCTGCCCATTACCCATTTCCAAAGCTGCTTCCACATTTTTAGGCATTTCTTATCACCAACACTGTACTTCTCAGTATCAATTTTCTGTCTTAGTCTGTTTTGTGTTGCTATAAAAGAATACCTGAGTTTTTCCGTCCACTACCCCCATCCCCCCAGCACCACTTTGGCTGCCCTGCGCTCACTCTGAGCTCTGGGCTCCTGCTAATCTAGCGCCGCCATTGTCTCCCTTCAGCCGTCATCATGATTATCTACTGGGACCTCATCAGCCACAGTGAGATGTTCTCTGACAGTTACATGAGCCAGGAAATTGCAGACGGGCTGCGCCTGGAGGTGGAAGGGAAGATAGTCAGTAGGACAGAAGGTAACATTTTTGACTCGCTCATTGGTGGAAATGCCTCCGCTGAAGGCCCTGAGGGCAAAGGTACCGAAAGCACAGTAATCACTGGTGTCGATAGTGTCATGAATCATCACCTGCAAGAAACAAGCTTCACAAAAGAAGCCTACAATAAGTGCATCAAAGATTACATGAAATCAATCAAAGGCAAACTGGAAGAACAGAGACCAAAAAGAGTAAAACCTTTTATGACAGGAGCTGCAGAACAGATCAAGCACATCCTTGCTAATTTCAAAAACTACCAGAAAACATGAATCCAGATGGCATGGTTGCTCTGCGGACTACTGTGAGGATGGTGTGACCCGATATATGATTTTCTTTAAGGATGGTTTAGAAATGGAAAAATGTTAACAAATTTGGCAATTACTTTGGATCTATCACCTGTCATCATAACTGGCTTCTGTTTGTCATCCACATAACACCAGGACTTAAGACAAATGGGACTGATATCATCTTGAGTTCTTCATTATTTTGACTGATTTATTTGGAGTGGAGGCATTGTTTTTTAGAAAAACATGTCATGTAGGTTGTCTAAAAGTAAAATGCATTTAAACTTAAAAAAAAATACCTGAGACTGGGTAATTTAGAAAAACAATAGATTTCTTTATCTTGTGGTTCTATAGGCTGAGAAGTTCAAGGGCATGGCCCTGGTTTCTGGCAAGGGCTTTTGTGCTGTGTCACAACATAGTGGAGAAGATCAAAGAGAAAGTGGACACATGCAAAGAGGGGAAAACCTGAGTGGCATCCCGGCTTTATAACAACCCACTGTCACAGGAACTAATCCATTCCTGAGAGAACTAATCCAGTCTTGTGAGACTGAGAATTCACTCACTCCTGCAAGACTGCCACCAAGCCATTCACGAAGGATCCATCCCCATGACCCAGACACCTCCCACTAGGACCCACCTTCCAACATTTGGGGATCAAATTTCAACATGAGTTTTGATGGAGACAAATAAACCACATCCAAACCATAGCACAGGGACTGCTAAATACCCCAACAACAGAAATAGAAAGCTCCCCTAAACACCTTCTTTAACTGAGACCTGGCTGTCTCCTGAGAACCCCACTTCGCCTGTAGGCCTCTCCTCAGAGATTCTTTCCCTCCCGCAAATACTTCTGCATCTGGAGGTGGAGTGGGCCCCTTCTTTGCTCCCCACTGCACCTTCCAGACCATGACCACTGTACCTCTCAGGCACTTCCCTCCATTCTATCCTTTTGCCCACCCCCTAGTCTTGCCCAAATCCAAATCACTTCAACATTCATGTGAAAGATCTATCCCACTTCCCACACTTCTTGTTTCTTCGGCCTACTCACCTCTGTTGCCCTCCCTTTCTGCTCCAGTCACCCACTCTCAGGGCCCCAAGTGGATCTTGCGATGGCCCAGAACTGCTGCACCATTGAAATCTTAACTTCAATCCCCACAACCTCACATCTTTCTAACTTTCCCATCTGATTACTTCATTACACTGTTCAGCTTTGTTGAGACTTGTATGAGCTCATCACAAAAGAAGAAATCCCAATGTCCAATAAACATGGAAATGTGCTTAACCTCATCTACTGTCAGGGAAACGAAGAATGAGGGAGAATGGGGCATGAGGAAGGAGCATGAGAAAACTTTTTGAGGTAATAGATATGTGCATTATCTTGATTGTGGCTCTGGTTTCAAGGATGTTTACTAATCAAATCGTCACTTAAAACGTGCAGTTTGTTGTACATCAATTATATATCAATAAAGTTGTAAAATATACACACACGTATGGCCCGGTGCAGTGGCTCACACCTGTAATCCCAGGACTTTGGGAGGCCGAGGTGGGTGGATCACCTGAGGTCAGGAGTTCGAGACCAGCCTGACCAACATGGAGAAACCCCATCTCCACTAAAAATACAAAATTAGCCGGGCATGGTAGTGCATGCCTGTAATCTCAGCTACTTGGGAGGCTGAGGCAGGAGAATCGCTTGAACCCGGGAGGCGGAGGTTGCAGGGAGCCGAGATAGCACCATTGCACTCCAGCCTGGGAAACAAGAGCGAAACTCCGTCTCAAAAAAGAAAAAAAAAGTTATATACACACACACACACACACACACACACACACACACACACACCAACAACATACCATTTCACATATGCCAGACAGGCAAATTTTTTAAAGTCTGATGATAATTAGTGTTGAGGAGCAGAGACCCTCATACACTGCTGATGGGGCTACTGATTGGTTCAACAACTTGGGAAAACAATTTGTCATTATCTATTAAAATTGAAGATACACATCTCCAAGAACCCAGCAATTCCATTCCTAGGTATATATCCTACAGAAAAGTGTACATAGCTTTACCGAAAGATTTATAGGCCGGGCGCGGTGACTCACACCTGTAATCCCAGCACTTTGGGAGGCTGATGTGGGCAGATCACCTGAGGTCAGGAGTTTGAGACCAGCCTGGCCAATATGGCGAAACCCCGTCTCTACTAAAAATACAAAAAAAAAAAAAAAAAAAAAAAAATATATATATATATATATATATATATATATATATATATATATAGCTGGGATTACCGGCGTGGTGGCACGTGCCTGTACCCAACTATTCAGGAGACTGAGGCAGGAGAATCGCTTGAACCCGGGAGGCGGAGGTTTCAGTGAGCTGAGATCACACCACTGCACTCCAGCCTGGGCAACAGAGCGAGACTCCATCGCAAAAAAAAAAAAAAAAAAAAGAAAGAAAGAAAGATATATAAAGGTTCAAAGCATCATTATACATAACAGCCCTAATTGGAAACAATCCAAAAGTCCATCAAGAGCAGAATGAATAAATTGTGGAATGCTATACAGAAACGACAATTAAACTACAGCCACGGCCAGGCTCCGTGGCTCACGCCTGTATTCCCAGCACTTTGGGAGGCTGAGGCGGGCGGATCACCAGGTCAAGAGTTAGAGACCAGCCTGGTCAACAGGGTGAAACCCCATCTCTACTGAAAATACAAAAATTAGCCAGTCTTGGTGGCGGGCACCTGTAGTCCCAGCTACTCAGGAGGCTGAGGCAGGAGAATCGCTTGAACCCGGGAAGCAGAGGTTGCAGTGAGCCAAGACTGTGCCACCGCACTGCAGCCTGGGTGACAGGGTGAAACTCCGTCTCAAAAAAAAAAAAACCTACAGCCACACACAACATGTATAAATCATGCAAATATGAAGTTGAGTGAAAGAAGACACAAAGGAATACATACAGTGTGATTCCATTTATATAAAGTTCAAAAACAAGCAAAACTAAATTATTGTTTAGGAATGCACATATAGCTAGGTGCATGGCTCTGCCAGTAATCCCAGCACTTTGGGAGGCCGAGGCAGGTGGATCACTTGAGCCCAGGAGTTCAAGACCAACCCAGGCAATGTGGCAAGACCTCCATCTCTACCAAGAAAAATACATTATTTAATATATTTTAAAAAGTGAATGCACATGTAGATGATAAAACTAAAGAAAAGCAAGGCTGGGCACTGTGGCTCACACTTGTAATCCCAGCACTTTGGGAGGCCAAAGCAGGAGGATCACTTTGAGGCAGAATAGGGTCTGGAGGCAGGAAACCTAAGGGCATTTCATGCTGACTTCCTAGAACTAAATTGAAAGGAAAACCCTAACTTTCCACGCCTAACTAACAAAAGTACCAGAGGCTATACCCTTTGCAAACCTCCACCTTTTCTGCAGACGGAAAATTGAAAGTACCTCTGATTAGCTGCTTTTTGCAACCAATCATATGTTTGCATAGGAGTATAACTTTGTGACTTTACTTCAGCCTCTGATTGTTTGCTGTCCACAACCAATCAGACTGACTGTGGGCCAAGTCTTCATTTGCATAGACATGCAACTTTGTAACTTCACATCAGTCTCTGATTGCAGGCCACCACTTCATTTACATGGGGTAAACAACAAGTGACCAATGGGAAACCTCTAGGGGATATTTGGACCCCAGAAGATTCTGTATCCAGGGCCCTTGAGCAGCTGCTCAGGCCCACTGCCACCCTGTGGAGTGTACTTTTGTTTCCAATAAATCTCTTGTTTTTGTTGCTTCGTTCTTTCCTTGCTTTGTTTGTGTTTTGTCCAATTCTTTGTTCAAAACGCCGAGAACCTGGACACCCTCCACAGGTAAGAACTTGAGCCCAGGAGTTTGAGACCAGCCCAGGCAACATGGTGAGACCCTGTCTCAGTAAAAAGTAAAAAAAAAAAAGGCCGGGCACGGTGGCTCACACCTGTAATCCCAACACTTTGGGAGGCCGAGGCGGGTGGATCACGAGGTCAGGAGTTCAAGAACAGCCTGGCCAACATGGTGAAACCCCGCCCCTACTAAAAATATTTTTAAAATTAGCTGGGTGTGGTGGCACATGCCTGTACCCCAGCTACTCAGGAGGCTGAGGCAGGAGAATTGCTTGAACCTGGGAGGTGGAAGTTGCAGTAAGCCAAGATGGCACCACTGCACTCCAGCCTGGGTGACAGAGCAAGACTCTGTCTCAATTAAAAAAAAAAATTAGCTGGGCATGGTGGCATGTGTCTGTTGTCCCAGCTACTGGGGAGGCTGAAGCCAGAGGATGGCTTGAGCCCAGGAGGTTGAGGCTGCAGTGAGCCTTGATCACACCACTGCACTCCACCCTGGGTGACAGAGTGAGGTCCCGTCTCAGAGAAAAAAGAGAGAGAGAGAGAGAGAGAGGGAGAAAGAGGCAGAGGGAGAGAAAAGAAAAGCAAGCAAGTTATTATCATAAAAGTTAAGAGATTGGCTACTTCTAAGGATAAATTGTAATTGATAAGGACACATGGGAGATTTTGGGGGTGCTGGCAAAGTTCTACTTTCTGACCTGCATGGTAGTCACACTGGTGTTCACTTGTAACTAATTTTGCAAGTGTACAAACTATACATTTGTTTTAAGCACTTTTCTGTGTGTATATATGTATGTATGTATGTATGCATGTTATATTTTACAATGATAAATATTCTTTTTTTTTTTTTTTTGAGATGGAATTTCGCTCTTGTTGCCCAGGCTGGAGTGCAATGGCGCGATCTCAGCTCACCGCAACCTCTGCCTCCCGGGTTCAAGCAATTCGCCTGCCTCAGCCTCCCGAGTAGCTGGGATTACAGGCATGCACCACCACGCCCACTAATTTTTGTATGTTTAGTAGAGACAGGGTTTCTCCATGTTTATCAGGCTGGTCTCGAACCCCCAACCTCAGGTGATCTGGCCGCCTCGGCCTCCCAAAGTGCTGGGACTACAGGCATGAGCCACCGTACCCGGCCTACAATGAGAAATATTCTTGAGGACCCAGGATACAATTCTGAGTAACACCACATATCAGAGAAGGCTGCAGAAGACATCTCCTTAGGAAACAGACAGGGAAGGGGCAGCCAGAGGCGGACGGCAAACCAGTAGAGCAGAGTGTTAAGGAAGCTCAAAACAGAAGCTTCCAAATTCTCAAAAAGAGAGTGGACAACCGTGTCAACCCTTATGCACCCCTGCTCTGTGGGACACATTAGAGCACAGCCAACAGTCACCAGCCTGTGTCCTTGCAGCTATGACAGGAACACTCTTGCATCATAGAAAAATGAGCAAAGGCACAAACAGAGAAGAAGAAATACTATTAAGAGGCAAACATATGGGAAAATGTCTACACTTCCTAATGAGCAAAGACACACTAAATTGTAAAAACTGAATGGCCAATTATAGTAGCAAAAATTAAGGGGAGGCAGAAGAAATTGCAATATGTCAGGCTGGAAAGAATACCAAATTGATGCACGGTTACTGGCTGCTAACACTATGAATAAATACCACCCCTTTAAAATAAAATCTGGCAATATGCAATAGGAAATTTTAAATGCTCATGCCGTTTTACTCAGTAATCCTACTTCTGGGCCTCTATACTAGGAAAATTACGCAAAGGAAAGAAAAAGTCGGTGTGAATGAGTTTAGAAGTGACTCCCAAATCTCTTTCTCCAGCCCCAACCACTGTCCTGAGCCCAATCTGTGTATCCAGAGGTCCACCTGGCATTGCCACTCGCATGGCTAGTCTGCAACTCAGAGTAAATATATATAAAGTGTAAAATGAACTCCTTTGTCCCTCTCAAACCTGCTCTTTCTCAAATCTTTACCTCCCTAATAAATGGCACCACCATCCATGCAACTGCTGAAGCCCAAAACCGAAGAGTCATTCTTGATTCTTCCTTTTGCTCACCACCCACTTCCAATTTGCCACCAATCTTGTTGGCTCAATGATTAAAATAAAAAACTGTGATAACACAAACTGCTGGCAAGTAGGTGGAGAAACTGGATCACTCATACATTACTTGTGGGGATGTGAATTAGTACAGCAACTCTGAAAAAAGTATGGCAGTTTGTTTCAAAACTAAACATGCAATTACCATACAACCCAGCAATTACACGCTTAGGCAATTAACCCAAAGAAATTAAAACTTATGGTTGGGGGGGAGTGGGGGTTTGAAAGAAGGTCTTGCTCTGTCACTCAGGCTGAGTGCAGTGGCACAATCACAGCTCACTGCAGCCTCCACCTCCTGGGTGCAAGCGATCCTCCCACCTCAGCCTCCCAATTTTTAATTTTTTTATTTTTTAGTAGAGAGTAAGGGTCTCACTATGTTGCCCAGGCTGGTCTCGAAATCCCGGACTCAAGCAATCCACCCACCTTGACCTCCCAAAATGCTGGGATTATAGGCATGAGCCACCATGCCTGGATGAAAATATGTTCACACAAAAACTTGCACATAAATGTTTATAGCAGCTTTACAGCCAAAAATGAGAAACAACCCAAATGTTTTTTTAACAGGTGAATGATTAAACAAACTGTGGCACATCTATAGCATGGAATACTAACTAGTCAGTAATAAAAAGGAATGAACTGCTGATATACATAACTGGAATGAACCTCCAGAGAATTATGCTGAGTGAAAAGGTCAATCTCAAAATATTACATATTGTATGATTCCATAACATTATTGGAATAACAAATTTACAAGGATGGAAAACATATTAGTGGTTGTTAAAAACTAGGGAACGAGGGAGGGAGGGAGGTGCTGTGGCTATAAAAGAATATCATGAGGGATTCTTGTAATGAGATTATTCTGTATCTTGATTGTGACGGAGGTTACACAAATCTACAACATGGTAAAATTACATCGAGTTAATACACAAATATACATTTGAGTGCATGTAAAACTGGTGAAATCTGAATAAGATAGACGGATTGTATCAATGTTAATTTCTTGTTTGTGATACTGTACTATTGTTTTGCAAGTTTCATTGAGTGAAACTAGACAAGGGGTACACATGGACTCATAATTTCTAACAACTGCATGTGAATCTACAATTATCTTAAACGGCATTTTTTTTGTTTTTATTTTAAAAGTAGAGGTGGGGGGGTTCCACTATGTTGCCCAGGCTGGTCTCGAACTCCTGACCTCAAGTGATCCACCTGCCTCAGCCTCCCAAAGTGCTGGCATTAAAGACGTGAGCCACTATGCCCACCCAAGACAATGATTATTAAAATGCAATTTGAAAATGGGCAAAGAACATGAAGGGACAGTTCACCAAAGTTATCTACAGATGGAAAATAAACACATGAAAATATGTTCAACATCACTAGCCATTAGAAAATGCAAATTAAGAACGCAATGAGATACTACTACACACCTATTAGAACAACAAAAATTAAAAATAGTGGCAATACCAGTTGGGTGTGGTGGCTCATGCCTGTAATCCCAGCACTTTGGGAGGCCGAGGGGGGCAGATCATGAGGTTAGGAGATCAAGACCATCCTGGCCACCTGGCCATCGAGACATGGTGAAGCCCCGTCTCTACTAAAAATACAAAAATTAGCTGGGCATGGTGGCATGTACCTGTAGTCCCAGCTACTCGGGAGGCTGAGGCAGGAGAATTGCTTGAACCCAGGAGGTGGAGGTTGCAGTGAGTCAAGATCATGCCACTGCACTCCAGCCTGGGCGACAGAGTGAGACTCTGTCTCAAAAAAAAAAAAAAAAAATAGTGACAATACCAAATGCTGGTAAAAATGCAGAGAAATAGTTCACTCACATAATTCTGGTGGAAATGCAAAATGGTACAGCCACTCTGGAAAATAATTTAGCATTTTCTTTAAAAACCAAACATATACTTACCGATTGACCCAGCAATTGCGCTCTTGGTTAATTAGTCCAGTAAAAAAAGTTTATGGGCTGGGTGCGGTGGCTCATGCCTGTAAGCCCAGCCCTTTAGGAGGCCAAGGCTGGTGGATCATTTGAGCTCAGGAGTTCGAG
This sequence comes from Homo sapiens, assembly GCF_000001405.40. Lineage (NCBI taxonomy): Eukaryota > Metazoa > Chordata > Mammalia > Primates > Hominidae > Homo > Homo sapiens. The sequence goes on from NC_000023.11 coordinate 72,168,298, forward strand.
ACCAGCTTGGCCAACATGGTGAGACCCCATCTCTACTAAAAATACAAAAATTAGCCAGGCGTGATGGTGTGCTCCTGTAATCCCAGCTACTCGGGAGGCTGAGGTAGGAGAATCGCTTGAACCCAGGAGGTGGAGGATGCAGTGAGCCGAGATTGCACCACTGCACTCTAGCTTGCGCGACGGAGTGAGACTCCATCTCAAAATAAAATAAGTACATAAAATAAAAGTTTATGTCCACACAAAAACCTATACATGAGTGTTCACAGCACTCTAATTTGCAATAGCCAAAAACTGGAAATAACCAAACTGTCCCTTAATAGGTGAGTGGCTAAACAAAGCGTGGTACATCCAAACCACGGAATACTACAGAATGAAATATTAATATGTGAAACAACTTGGACAGATCTCAAAGGAACCATGGTGAGTGAAAAAGGGCAATCTCAAAAGGTAACATACTGCATAATTCCATTTATGTAACATTCTTAAAGTGACAAAATTATAAAGATGGAGAACAGATTAGTTATTTCTAGGGTTTAGAGATGAAGATGATGGGATAGTTGTGTTACTGGTGGAGGGTGTCCAGGTTCTTGGCATTTTGAACAAAGAATTGGACAAAACACACAAAGCAAGAAAAGAATAAAGCAACAAAAGCAGAAATTTATTGAAAATGAAAGTACACTCCACAGTGTGGGAGCAGGCCCCGAGCACAGGGGCTCAAGAGCCCAGTTACAGAATCTTCTGGGGTCCAAGTACCCCCTAGAGGTTTCCCATTGGCCACTTGGTGTTCACTCCATGCAAATGAAGTAAGTACGCAATCAGAGGCTAAAGTGAAATTACAAAGTTGCACTCCTATACAAAAGAAGACTTGGCCCACAATCAGTCTGATTGGTTGCAGAAAGCAACAATCAGAGGCTGAAGTGAAGTTACAAAGTCACACTCCTATGCAAACATCTGATTGGTTGCAGAAAGCAACCAATTAGAGATACTTTCAATTTTCCATCTGCCGCGCAGAAAAGGGGCACGTTGCAAAGGAAGTAGCTTCTGGTCCTTTTGTTACTTAGGTGTAGAAAGTTGGGGTTTTCCTTTTGATTTAGTTCTAGGAAGTCAGCGTGAATTGGTCTTAGATTCCCTGCCTCCAGACCCTTTTCTCCTGCCTCAGTTTTGTATCTTGATGGTAGTTCCATGGACCTACACGGGGCATCAAATGACATAAAACCATACACACATATTATGTCAGTGCCAATTTCCTGGTTTTGATATTGTACTATAGTTACATGAAATGTAACCATTTGGGGGAACTGGGTGAAAGATACCCAGAACCTCTCTGTAGTATTTTATAACTTCCTGTTAATCTATAATTCTTTTAAAATAAGAATGTTTAAAATGAAAAAGATAATTGACTATTTAAAGCAAAAATAATTACAATATATTGTGAGGTTTATGACGTAGATAAGTAAAATATATAACAACAATAACACAAAGGTCAGAGGAGGGAAATGGAAGTATACCTTTGTAAGGTTCCTATGCTGTAGGTGAAGTGGTATATCATTTGAATGTATAATATGAAAAGTTAAACATTAATTAATTAATTGATTGATTGATTGATTTTTGAGATGGAGTCTCGCTCTGTCTCCCAGGCTGGAGTGCAATGGTGTGATCTTAGCTCACTGCAACCTCCGCCTCCTGGGTTCCAGCAATTCTCCCACCTCAGCCTCCTGAGTAGCTGGGATTACAGGCACGCATCACCACGCCCGGCTAATTTTTTGTATTTTTAGTAGAGACAGGGTTTCACCATGTTGGCCAGGCTGGTCTTGAACTCCTGACCTCAAGTGATCTGCCTGCCTCAGCCTCCAAAAGGGCTGAGATTACAGGCATGAGCCACTGCGCCTAGCCAAGTTAAAGATTTATAATATAAACCCTAAAGCAACCTCTAAAATAATAGAACAAAAAGTTATAGATAATAGCCAACAATGGAGATAAAAATGAGTCATAAAAATACTTGGCCAGGCATGGTGGCTTACACTTGTAATCCCAGCACTTAGGGAGGCCAAGTCGTGATGATTGCTTGAGGCCAGGAGTTTGAGACCAGCCTGGGCAACATAGAAAGACCTCATCTCTACAAAACATTTAAAAATTAGCAGGGGGTGGTGGTATGTGCCTGTAGTCCCAGCTACTCAGGAGGGTGAGGTGGGAGGATCCCTTGAGCCCAGGAGTTTGAGGCTGCAGTGAGCTATGATTTCACAACTGCATTCCAACCTGGGTGATAGAGCAAGATCCCATCTCTTTATATTAAAAAAAAAAAAAGAAGAAGAAGGAAGAAAGAAACTCAATCTGAAAGAGGGCAAAGAAAGAGGAAAATGGAACAAAGAACAGATGGAACAAAGAGAAACCATATAGAAATCTAACCATATCAATAATCACATTAAATGCAAAGCATCTAAACACTCCCATTCCAAAGGGAAAGACTGTCATATTAAGTAGAAAAAGCACAGAGGGCAGGGCACAGTGGCTTATGCCTATAATCCCAGCACTTTGGGAGGCCAAGGTGGGAGGATCATTTGAGCCCAGGAGTTCGAGATCAGCCTGGGCAACACAGCAAGACCCCATCTCTACAAAAAATGTTTAAAAAATTAGCCAGGTGTAGTGGCGCATGCCTGTAGTCCTAGATACTTGAGACGCTGAGGCCAGAGGATCACCTGATCCCAGGAGTTCAAGGCTGTAGTGAGCTGTGATCACACCACTGCATCCAGCCTGGGTGACAGAGTGAGACTCTGTTTCTTAAAAAAAAAAAAGTTAAAAAATAAAAAATAAAAAAAAATTTTTTTTAAAAGGAAAAGCACAGGACTCAACTATATGCTCCCTGAAAAAAAAAGCCCTCACTTTGGTATAATGACACAAACAGGTTAAAAGTAAAAAGATAGAAAAATATTTACCATGCTAACATGAATCAAAAGAAAGCTGGGGCTGGGTGGCAGTGGCTCATGCCTGTAATTTCAGCACTTTGGGAAGCCAAGGCAGGTGGATCACTTGAGCTCAAGAGTTTGAAACCAGCCTAGGCAACGTGGTGAAATACCATCTCTACCAAAAATGCAAAAAAAAAAAAAATATATATATATATCCTGGCGTATATATATATATATATATATCCTGGCATATATATATATATATCCTGGCATATACATACATATATATCCTGGCATATATATATATATATATATATATATATATATATATATATATCCTGGCATATATACATATATCCTGGCATATATATATATATATATATATCCTGGCATATATACATATATCCTGGCATATATATATATATATATATATATATATATATATATATCCTGGCATATATACATATATCCTGGCATATATATATATATATATATATATATATCCTGGCATATATATATATATATATATATCCTGGCATATATATATATATATATATATATATATATATATCCTGGCATATATATATATATATATATATATATATATATATATACCCTGGCATATATATATATATATCCTGGCATAGTGGCATGCACCTGTAGCCCCAGTTACTCAGGAGGCTGAGGTGGGAGGATAGCTTGAGCCCAGGAGACAGAGGTTGCAATAAGCTGTGATTCTGTCACTGCACTACAGCCTGGGCAACAGAGCCAGACTGTCTCAAAAAAAAGAAAAAATCTGGAATGCCTAGGTTAGTATCAAAGTAGATTTCAGAGCAAATATCACCAGGGATCAAGAAAGTGATTTCAAAATGATCAAATGGCCAGTTCATCAAGAGAACATAGCAATCCTAAACATTTGTGTGCTTAATAATACAGCTTCCAATTATCTAAAGTATCTAAAGTAAAAACTGATAGCGCTGAAAGGAGAAATAGGCAAATCTACAATTACATTTCGGGATTTTAATACCCCTCTGTTACCAAATGATGAAATAAATAGACAGAAATTTAGCAAGGCAGAGTTTGGTTAACAGACACTGAAGTACAGCTAGATAGGAAGAATAAGTTCTAGTGTTCTATAGCATTATAGAGTGACTACAATAAACAACAATTTATTGCATATTCTCAAATAGCTACAAGAGCAGATTTTGAATATTCTCAACACAAAGAAATGATAAATGTTTGAGGGGACAGATATGCCAATTACCTGATTTGATCATTATACATAGTATGCAGGTATAGCAATTTCACACTGTACCCCATAATATGTGGAATTATTATGTGTCAATTAAAAATAATTTTTTAGGCCGGGGGCAGTGGCTTACACCTGTAATCCCAGCATTTGGGAGGCTGAGGCGGGCGGATCACGAGGTCAGGAGATCGAGACCATCCTGGCTAACACGGTGAATCCCCGTCTCTACTAAAAAATACAAAAAAAAAAAACAAAAAAAAAAAAACAGAAAAAAATTAGCCAGGCGTGGTGGCAGGTGCCTGTAGTCCCAGCTACTCGGGAGGCTGAGGCAGGAGAATGACGTGAACCTGGGAGGGGGAGCTTGCAGTGAGCCGAGATGGCACCACTGCACTCCAGCCTGGGCAACAGAGCCAGACTCCGTCTCAAAAAATAAATAAATAAATTAATAATAATAATAATAATAATTTTTTAGGCCAGGCTCATTGGCTCATACCTGTAATCCTAGCACTTTGAGAGGCCAGTCGGGCGGATTGTCTGAGCTCAGGAGTTCGAGATTAGCCTAGGCAGCACGGCGAAACCCCGTCTCTACTAAAAATACAAAAAATTAGCCAGGTATAGTGGTTCGCACCTGTAGTCCCAGCTACTGGGGAGGTTAAGGCAGGAGAATCGCTTGAACCTGGGAGGCGGAGGTTGCAGTGAGCCAAGATCATGCCATTGCACTTCAGCCTGGGCAACAGAGCGAGACTGTGTCTCAAAATAATAATAATAACAATAATAACTTTTAAAAAGGCAAAAAAGGCCAAATGAATAAATTAAAAACAACAACAAAAATAAATTTACGAAGGATATGAAAGAATTCAACAGCACCATCAGCCAAAAGGATCCAACTAACATGTACAAAACCTTCCACTCAACAACGGCAGAGTACCTATTCTTCTCAAGTACATGTGACGCATTTACCAAGATAGACCACATTATGGGCCATAAAACAAAACTTTACAAATTTAAAATAATAGAAATTATACATCGTTGGGGATAAGCATAGGGTACTTCGGGAGCACAGAGGAGTGTCTAGCCCAGCCTGGGAAAAAGAAGAGAGTCAGGGAAGGCTTCCAGGAAGGAGGTATCATCTGAGCTCAGTCTTGAAAGGTAAATAAGAATTAGCCAGATCAAAAATAAGGGAAAGCATTCCAGGGAGAGAGATCAGCATGGAGTCTTAAGATAGGGCCTGTAAATAGTAACTTTATATGGTTGCGCCCAGTGGAGACTAGCAAGAAATGAGGCTGCAGATGTCAGTATAATGGGCCCTGGGCCTCCAGGTTACAAAGTGAGATAGTGTCCTATCAGACAATGGGGAGTCACTGAAGGGTCTTAACTGGGAGAGTCACAGTATCAGTTCTGTGTTTCTAAGAGCTCCCTCTGAGATGCCGCAGAAGGTAGTTTGAAGAGAAGGTGAAACTGGCAGCAGAGGGATCAATGTTCCGATGGTCTAGAGAATATGCAGAAGGCTATGGCAGTGGCGGGGAGGGCAGGGGACAAGCCAGAGGTAATTAGTGACTCCTAGTTAACATTATGACAACTGAAGTGTTTAGGGATGGAGTGTGCTGATGTCTGTAACTTGCTTTGAAATGCAACAAAAATAAGAAAAATTGATGGGTGAATATGTGATAAAGCAAATCTAGCAAAATGTTCACTGTTCACCATAAAATTATGGGGGGCAGGGAGAAGTGTTGTTTAGGAGGCAGAATCCACTGAACATGGAGACCAGTGCCCAAGGCTGAGGATGCAGAAGACCTCTTCCCCAGCAGCTCCCCTCTTCCTTGTCTACAGTACCCTGCCCACTGTCCCCCACCCATACTATGTTCCTTCTCCTTGCCTCTGTGCTTCTGCAGCCTGGAAGGTCCAGCACCGCAGGCAGAGGAGAGCACATTCCAGGTTACTCATAATAACATACTGATGCATAAACCAAAGCTTATTTATGTCCCATGTTGGGGGTATAACTTGACCCTGTGGCCTCTTGCACAGTGTCCCTAAATGCCTCAAGGTCCCTGGAGGGCTGATTTGGTGAACATGCTCTCAGAAAAAAGAGAACTGGATGTTCTTAGATTTCATTTAGGGGATGGCAAAGCCTGGAGTAGCATGGCATCATGGAGAGGGTACCAACTTGGAAGTCAGACAGACGAGTTCGTTGCCCAACCTTACCACAGACCCTAGCTAGCTGTGAAACTTGGGGCACATTTCTTAACTTCTCTGACCCTATTTCTTCAGCTTTAAGGTGGTAATAGAGCTGGGTGGGGTGGGTCACACCTGTAATCCTAGAACTTTGGGAGGCCGAGGCAGGCGGATCACTTGAGGTCAGGAGTTTGAGACCAGCCTGGTCAACATGGTGAAACCTTGTCTCTACTAAAACTACAAAAATTAGCCAGGCATCGTAGCAGGCACCAGTAGTCCCAGCTACTCGGGAGGTGGAGGCAGGAGAATTGCTTGAATCTAGGAGGCGGAGGTTGCAGTGAGCCGAGATTGTGCCACTGCACTCCATCCTGGGTGACAGGGCGAAACTCTGTCTCGAAAAAATAAAAATAAAAAAAGATGGCAATAGTAATATTTTCCAAATAAGGCTGTTGTGAACTCTAAAAGAGATCACGAAGGGAAAGCTCCTGGCTCATAGTACGTGTGCAATTTGTGTTGGTTGTTTTCCACTGTCTTAAGTGAACACTGCCTCTAAAAAACAAAATCTACCTCATGAGATACTGGTATAGTAAGGTCTTCCAGAAACTGTAGTTCTTTTGCTTAGATAATGCTGGACAAACACAGATGGAGCCTTCTTCTCTGAAGTCCTTTTTGAAAAACCAGTCACTTAAAGCTTCATTACCTAGTATGAAGTGGGTTAGAAAATTCTTTGGCCACTCATCATGCTACCTGACTTCAAACTGTACTACAAGGCTACAGGAACCAAAACAGCATGATACTGGTACCAAAACAGATATATAGACCAATGGAACAGAACAGAGGCCTCAGAAATAATACCACACATCTACAACCATCGGATCTTTGACAAACCTGACAAAAACAAGAAATGGGGAAAGGATTCCCTATTTAATAAATGGTGCTGGGAAAACTGGCTAGCCTAATATGTAGAAAGTTGAAACTGGATCCCTTCCTTACACCTTATACAAAAATTAATTCAAGATGGATTAAAGACTTAAATGTTAGACACAAAACCATAAAACCCTAAAAGAAAACCTAGGCAATACCATTCAGGCCATAGGCATGGGCAAGGACTTCATGACTAAAACACCAAAAGCAAAGACAACAAAAGCCAAAATAGACAAATGGGATCTAGTTAAACTAAAGAGCTTCTGCACGGCAAAAGAAACTACCACCAGAATGAACAGGCAACCTACAGAATAGGAGAAAATCTTTGCGATCTACCCATCTGACAAAGGGCTAATATCTAGAATCTACAAAGAACTCAAAACGAATTTACAAGAAAAAAAAAACAACCCCATCAAAAAGTCGGCAAATGGTATGAACAGACACTTCTCAAAAGAAGACATCTATGCAGCCCACAGACACATGAAAAAACGCTCATCATCACTGGTCATCAGAGAAATGCAAATCAAAACCACAACGAGATACCATCTCATGCCAGTTAGAATGGCAATCATTAAAAAGTCAGGAAACAACAGATGCTGGAGAGAATGTGGAGAAATAGGAAGGCTTTTACACTGTTGGTGGGAGTGTAAATTGGTTTGACCATTGTGGAAGACAGTGTGGTGATCCCTCAAGGATCTAGAACTAGAAATACCATTTGACCCAGCAATCCCATTACTGGTATATACCCAAAGGATTATAAATCATGCTACTATAAAGACACATGCACACGTATGTTTATTGTGGCACTATTCACAATAGCAAAGACTTGGAACCAACCCAAATGTCCATCAATGATAGACTGGATTAAGAAAATGTGGCACATATACACTATGGAATACTATGCAGCCATGAAAAAGGATGAGCTCATGTCCTTTGCAGGGACATGGATGAAGCTGGAAACCATCATTCTCAGCAAACTATCACAAGGACAGAAAACCAAACACCGCATGTTCTCACTCGTAGGTGGGAATTGAACAATGAGATCACTTGGACACAGGGCGGGGAACATCACACACCGGGGCCTGTCATGGGGTGGGGGGCTGGGGGAGGGATAGCATTAGGAGAAATACCTAATGTAAATGATGAGTTGATGGGTGCAGCAAACCAACATGGCACATGTATACCTATGTAGCAAACCTGTATGTTGTGCGCATGTACCCTAGAACTTAAAGTATAATATTTAAAAAAAGAAAATTATTTGGCCACGGACTGGACTCACGGAGACACATCAGTCATATCAGCAATATATTTAATATTAATACCTATGTCCATTTGCCACGAAGAGTAGTTATTTTTATAGGTGGCTGATTTCATCCACTATGTACTGATTTTTTTCCTGTCTTCATTTTCCAAACATGACCTTTTCCTGTCCTTGTTCCCAGAGTCTGGGGCCTAGAGCTGCCTATGCAATGACCATCTATGAATGGGATCAACTAGATCTCTGTGTTTTGTTGCTTCAAGCTTTCCCCTGCAGAATAAGCTCTGCTGGGATCCCAAATAGGAAAGAAACTGTGGTTCTTTGGCTGTGGAGCAGGTCAGGTGGGGCAGTGTGTGAGTCTGGGCCAAGGTCTGTGAACCTCTGTCCTGGGAAGAGGGCTGCCAGCTTCTCTTCCTGATTTTCCTCAAGTAACGCATAAAAGAATGAACCTGATGAGGTAATTAGTAGAAAATACAACTGGCAGCCATTGCTGGCTGAGTCGCAGTGCACACTCCAGCAGATGTTACCATAGTTTCAAGGCTGAATTTTTCTCCTCTTTTCTCCCCCTGACCTCTCTCTTCAGTTAATTTGTCACTCTGCTCCACAGACCCCTCCACAGTCTGCCTCCATAGACTGGTGCAGACTTAACCCTGAATAGAAGCTGGCTTTTCTATGATTTGCTTTTCAAATTACGTTTATTGTCTTTTTCTCTTGAATAAAAAATAAGTGTCAAGTGATAGAATATAATATAAACTGAAGAAAATGAAAGTTAAACTCACATTTCAGAATACTTAAAATTGTATCCTAATACCTGCCCCATCTTTTTGTAATCATACTGCATAGTTGAGATCTGTCTTAAAGTGCTCCTGACCTTGAAACCTCCAGCAGGCCTATGCCCATTCTTTTCCCCTTGGAGCTGTTGGCCTTCAGTCTTGCTTGAAAAATGCAGCCATGGACACAGGCTTATTATCATTGTTGCTGTTATTATCTGCTGGAATGCACAGAGCTCTCACAGTGTTCCAGGCACTAAGCATTTGCTAGGCACATCAGCCATTGACAGACATTGGCTGTTCATTGGGATCGGAACTCTAGTTTGCTTCATTCCTACTTCACAACTGCCATAGCCAGTGGTCACAGGAAAGGCTCTTCCCAACGAAAAATCAAAAGTAGGGTCTCCCTCTGATGCCGAGCCAAGGCTGGACGGTGCTGCTGCCATCTCGGCTCACTGCAGCCTCCCTGCCTGATTCTCCTGCCTCAGCCTGCTGAGTGCCTGCGATTGCAGGCGCACGCCGCCACGCCTGACTGGTTTTCGTTTTTTTTTTGGTGGAGACGGGGTTTTGCTGTGTTGGCCGGGCTGGTCTCCAGCTCCTAGCCGCGAGTGATCCGCCAGCCTCGGCCTCCCGGGGTGCCGGGATTGCGGACGGAGTCTCGTTCACTCAGTGCTCAGTGGTGCCCAGGCTGGAGTGCAGTGGCGTGATCTCGGCTCGCTACAGCCTCCACCTCCCAGCCGCCTGCCTTGGCCCCCCAAAGTGCCGAGATTGCAGCCTCTGCCCAGCCGCCACCCCGTCTGGGAAGTGAGGAGCGTCTCTGCTTGGCCACCCATCGTCTGGGATATGAGGAGCCTCTCTGCCTGGCTGCCCAGTCTGGAAAGTGAGGAGCGTCTCTGCCCGGCCGCCATCCCATCTAGGAAGCGAGGAGCGCCTCTTCCCCGCCGCCATCCCATCTAGGAAGTGAGGAGCGTCTCTGCCCGGCCGCCCATCGTCTGAGATGTGGGGAGCACCTCTGCCCCGCCGCCCTGTCTGGGATGTGAGGAGCGCCTCTGCTGGCCGCAACCCTGTCTGGGAGGTGAAGAGCGTCTCTGCCCGGCCGCCCCGTCTGAGAAGTGAGGAAACCCTCTGCCTGGCAACCGCCCCGTCTGAGAAGTGAGGAGCCCCTCCGTCTGGCAGCCACCCCGTCTGGGAAGTGAGGAGCGTCTCCGCCCGGCAGCCACCCCGTCCGGGAGGGAGGTGGGGGGGGTCAGCCCCCCGCCCGGCCAGCCGCCCAGTCCGGGAGGGAGGTGGGGGGATCAGCCCCCCGCCCGGCCAGCCGCCCCGTCCGGGAGGGAGGTGGGGGGGTCAGCCCCCCGCCTGGCCAGCCGCCCCATCCGGGAGGGAGGTGGGGGGTCAGCCCCCCACCTGGCCAGCCGCCCCGTCCGGGAGGGAGGTGGGGGGGGTCAGCCCCCCGCCCGGCCAGCCGCCCCGTCCGGGAGGGAGGTGGGGGGATCAGCCCCCCGCCTGGCCAGCCGCCCCGTCCGGGAGGTGAGGGGCGCCTCTGCCCAGCCGCCCCTACTGGGAAGTGAGGAGCCCCTCTGCCCGGCCAGCCGCCCCGTCCGGGAGGGAGGCGGGGGGGGGGTCGGCCAGCCGCCCTGTCCGGGAGGGAGGTGGGGGGGTCAGCCCCCCGCCCGGCCGGCCGCCCCGTCCGGGAGGTGAGGGGCGCCTCTGCCCGGCCGCCCCTACTGGGAAGTGAGGAGCCCCTCTGCCTGGCCAGCCGCCCCGTCCGGGAGGATGGTGGGGGGGTCAGCCCCCCGCCCGGCCAGCCGCCCCATCCGGGAGGTGAGGGGCGCTTCTGCCCGGCCGCCCCTACTGGGAAGTGAGGAGCCCCTCTGCCCGGCCACGACCCCGTATGGGAGATGTGCCCAGCGGCTCATTGGGGATGGGCCATGATGACAATGGCGGTTTTGTGGAATAGAAAGGCGGGAAGGGTGGGGAAAAAATTGAGAAATCAGATGGTTGCCGGGTCTGTGTGGATAGAAGTAGACATGGGAGACTTTTCATTTTGTTCTGTACTAAGAAAAATTCTTCTGCCTTGGGATCCTGTTGATCTGTGACCTTATCCCCAACCCTGTGCTCTCTGAAACATGTGCTGTGTCCACTCAGGGTTAAATGGATTAAGGGCGGTGCAAGATGTGCTTTGTTAAACAGATGCTTGAAGGCAGCATGCTCGTTAAGAGTCATCACCACTCCCTAATCTTAAGTACCCAGGGACACAAACACTGCGGAAGGCCGCAGGGTCCTCTGCCTAGGAAAACCAGAGACCTTTGTTCACTTGTTTATCTGCTGACCTTCCCTCCACTATTGTCCTATGACCCTGCCAAATCCCCCTCTGCGAGAAACACCCAAGAATGATCAATAAAAAAAAAAAATAAAAAATAAAAAATAAAAAAAAAAAAAAAAGAAAGAAAAATCAAAAGTAAATGTTCCTCTTGGGCCTCTTGGCCATAGATAACCTGATGAACACAAGGCTACGCTGTCATCGTCAACACCCAATCCCAACTCCCCCGCCCCTCCATCTCGCAGCCGAACTTGGAGAATTAGTACAGGTGCGGGATCCACTTCAGAAGTGGCAGAGCAATGATCCCCTCACCACTAGATGTGTCCTCCGCAGTTGATCACTCCCAATCCGAAAACAAGGAGTGCCCAAAATGTGTCCAGAATTTAAAGCAGCCAAACATAAGAGGGCTCCATGTTATGTCTTGAGTAGGGAATGAGCACAGTCTCAGAAACACCTGATTCCCTGGTATGAGCATGAAGCATCTCCAGGTCCAGCAAGGCTGCATCCAAAAACTAAACTCTGAGCTGGAAGACCTCTATATTCTGGCTGGTAGTGGCAAGCTAGGACAGCTCTCTCATGGACTGGAGGAAACGCCCTGACATATCATATACAAATTATTGATGGTGGGAGGGATTGTAAGGGGAGAAAAAGTGTGTGGGCACAAATTCAAAAATCATTTATCTTAGGCAAACATTATTAATATGAGCAAGCCATCATTTTATGTGCTTTACAGATATGAACTTGTTTAATTCTCTTAACACCTGATAGGATAATAGTAGGTACTATTATCATCAACTCCATTTCACAGATGATGAAACTGAGCCAAAGAGAGGTGAAGTAACTTCCTCAAGGTCATGGAGCTAGTAGACAGATGTGGAGCAGGGATTTGAAACTGGGCAATCTGGCTCCAGAATCCATGCTTTTACTACACTATGCTGCACCATTATGGAAATTTTGGAAAATACACAGAAACAAACACGATGACCTGTATGCACTAGCACCACTGGCCACATCTTGCTCTATAGCTTTCCTCTCCTTTATATTCATATAACATACAATACATTACATATACTTCTTTTACAAGGAATCATATTCTTTATCTTGGTCTTAAAAACATTTCCCCTATCTGTACACACAGCCTTACAATCGTTATTTTGAATGTTGTATAATATCTTCTTGTGTGGCTAAAACATTATTTAAGCAGTACCCGACTGAGGAGCACTCAGACTGCTTCCAATGTTTCTCCATGACTGAGCTCTGCAAGACGCAAAAAGGTGACAGGCTTTTTTAAAAACTACCTTTTGAACCTAATTAGCTACAACTGCAGAATAAAATTAACAAACGAAAAACTGCCAGGGAGGGCAGCCCTGTGTGTAGGAGGAGACAGCGGAAGTTGGCCGCCACCACAGTACTCCTGCTTCCCTTTGTCTGGCGGCCCCGCGGGATTGGCCAGAGCTGGCGCCGAGGGACTGCAGAGCCACCCACCCCCGTGGCTCCTACTGCGCACGCGTGAAAAAAGCCAGGTTGAGGGGAACGGGGGAGCTTCGGGCGTAGAGTGTGGGGAGTGGGGGATCTGGTGCAAATTAGGGTGCGTGAAAGAAGTCACAAAAAGCGCAGAGGCCAGGCTTCCCGCCCTAATCCGGCCTTTGTCTCCGCCCCTCTGCCTTTGTTTCGGCCCAAGCGTCTTATTGGTCAGACATCTTCAGCCCCATTGGTCCAAGAGCCAAAGGACGGGGTCTGCCCCAAGCTGTGCCTGCTTCCGGAGCCGCAATAAGAACGGTCAATTGAGATGCGGCTTTCAGGCATTTGTTTAGGACATGCCCATGGCGGGGCTTCTAAAGGGGCTTGTACGGCAACTGGAGCGGTTCAGCGTTCAACAACAAGCTTCCAAGATGCCGCCCAAAGGAAAAAGTGGTTCTGGAAAAGCGGGGAAAGGTAGAGCGGCCAGAGCGATCAAGGAGAATGGGGGCGGGTGAGGAGCGAAGGGAGGGAACAGACAGTCCATCTCCGGAGTCCGGGACGGACGCAGCAGGTAGCCAGTGGCCCCACAGTGCTGCCATCGATTACATCTGTAGGAATACATTGGGCTACGGTTCAGGGACCGTCCTAGTGGGTAATGGAATCTGATGGGGATAGTTCCTCGGAGGCGATGACTTAGGGCTGCTATTTCAAGGGGTTATTAGAGCTCTAAAATTGGGTCTTATCAAAAGCCAGCAATAGGAAGTACACATTGGTTATGGTCCTTAAAGTTCACTTTAATGCTTACAGAATGACATGCCCACCATCGGGGAAGGAATCATTCATCCATTGAACAGAAATGTGTCAGGCAGAGTGCTAAGCGCTGAGGATACACAAATAAGACAGAAGGCTGGGCGCGGTGGCTCACGCCTATAATCCCAGCACTTTGGGAGGCCGAGGGAGGATGGATCACGAGGTCAGGAGTTCGAGACCAGCTTGGCCAACATGGCGAAACCCCGTCTCTACTAAAAATACAAAAATTCGCCAGGCGTGGTGGTGGTGCGCGCCCGTAATCCCAGCTACTCGGGAGGCTGAGGCAGGAGAATCGCTTGAACTCGGGAGGCAGAGGTTGCAATGAACCGAGATCGCGCCACTGCACTCCAGCCTGGGCGACAGAGCGAGCCTCTGTCTCAAAAAAAAAAAAGAGATTTTGGCCTTAAGGAGCTCCCGAAGTAGTGAGGAAGATAAAGGCTTAGTGATCATAAAGCACTGTACTAAATGTAGTGTTGAGGGATGTGTATGGGATATAATAGAAATTGAGGGAAGTCCTTCATTTAGCTGGGGAACAGGGAACGGAAGACTTCCTGGAGATGAATTAGGCAGGTCAAGATGTGCATTGAGGGTAGGTTAAAGCATTCCTTACTTGGGGTCCAGCAGCAAAAGCACTGAGGTGAGAAACAGCATGATGTGTGCAGCGTAGTGTTGCTGGAGCAAAAACTCAAGGCAGAATGGCAAGTGGTGAGAATGAAAACAGAAACAAAGACGAGATCATGGAGAGTGCTATATATTCTGCTAAGAAGGACAGTTAAGGATCAGAAAGACCTGTAAGGAGATTGTTGTGGTAGTCTTGGTGAGAGATGATGGTGGACTGACCTAAGGGAGTGGCTGTGGGAACTGAGAAAAGAGAAAAGATTCTGTAAATATTAGGATGTGAAATAGTCAAGACTTGGTGATTTATTGGGTTGGGGAGGGGTGGTGAGGGAGGATCAACGATCATTCTGTTTTCTGGATTGGATTTCTAACCTGTTGCTGGTCCTGCAGGGTAACATCAAGGATACATGAGGAGCGGGGATGAGATTGATGAATTCACTTTCAGATAGATTGGCTTTGAGGTGTCTGTGGGACATCTCAGTGGAGATGTAGTCAGGAAGTGGTTGGATATTTGAGTCTAAAGTTTGAGGGAGAGGTCTAGACTGTACATGTAAGTTTTAGGAGTCGCTAACTTATAGATGGTAGTTGAGCCCATTAGAGTGTATGCAATTATCCATGGAGAGTTTATAGAATGAAAAGAGCAGAGAGCAGAGGATGTGATCCTAGGACAGGCAGAGAAAGAGGCAGACAGATAGAGGGAGTGCAGAATGGTGGCCAGAGGCTGGAGAGACCAGAATGTTTTAAAGAGAGAGGGTATAGTCTATCAAGAACAGCAGATTTGGAAATTAGAGGTGGCCTTGGGTAAAAGTGGTTTCAGTGAAACAGAAGCCAGATTACCGTGACTAGAGAACTGACTGGGAAGTGGTAATTTGGACTTCTTGGAAAGTTTTAATTGAAAAGCATGGAAATGGGATGGTAGATAGAGAAGGACAGAGGATTAAGAGAAAGTTTTATTTTCTTTGCTTCTTTGGAATGGGGAAAACTTGGGAGTGAAGCTGAAGGATCCAGTAAAGTAAAAGAGGTAAAGGTACAGAAGAGTGAGATTTAGGAGAAAATGGAATCCAGGACCTAGGGGGAGCAGGGACACCTTATGCTTGAGGTCATAGGAAAGGAGATGGAGGGGCAGGGACTCAGTAGGCATCTTGAGGAGAGTGGTAAAGGTCTGGAATATCGTAATGGAAGAGGGAATGAAACACAAAAGAAGTGCCTTCAGGGCTAGGAGCCTGACTAAGATCAAAGGCCATGAATTTGTAGACTACATAATCTTCACAGTCTGATTTACCTAGTACTATGCAATTGGCACAATATAGGATTGAAAAGAGCTAGGTGCAGCCTTAAGCCATGGTTGAGGTTTTGTTAGGCAGTTATGATAGGAGGATAGCAACACCAGGGAATTACAAGGGCCAGTGGGAATGCAGTTCAGATGAAGGAACATGGGGTCCAGAGTGGGAAGGGAAAAAGAAGTCTGGTGGCCTAGGTGAATGTAGCAGGACGAAGGGACTGGGGTCAAGGGAGAGGTTCTGTGAAGTTAAAGAGCAAGTATTGTGGGAATGAGACATGAGGAAGCTGGAAGAACAGGAGGTTATAGCCAGAGACTGAACTAGTTCTGAGTGGCACAGTTCCATCGTGTGCCCCCGGGGCAGGTAGCTTGGAGTAGAGAGCATGACATTCGGGAAAGAGACCTAGAACTGAGATTCCCCAAGATAGATGGTGAGGTCACTCAAGGTAATGGCAGGAGTGAGGGTGGAGAGGAAGCCCAAAGCTGATGCCAGAGTCGTCAGGAAATCAAAGGCAGTGAGGTGGCAGTCAGAAGATGACAGCATCCAGCAGGGAAGAGGATGGGATAACTGGAAGGCATCATCATTCAAGAATGGATCTATAGCAAACCCAGTTAGGAGTTTGATTTAATAACACTCCTTTGGCAGTAACATTTTTTTAGGGTTTTGGTAGTCAGTATTTGGGGTTTTCAGTTTAATCAAACATTTATTAAAACACCTTTTGTGTGCCAGGCATTGTGCTAGGCTTGGAGATACTAAGACAAGCAAGATGGAGACTCTTGCTTAAAACTTTTCAATGGCGGCCAGGCGCGGTGGCTCACGCCTGTAATCCCAGCACTTTGGGAGGCCGAGGCTCGCAGATCACGAGGTCAGGAGATCGAGACCATCCTGGCTAACAGGGTGAAACCCTGTCTCTACTAAAAATACAAAAAAAATTAGCGGGGCGTGGTGGCAGGCGCCTGTAGTCCCAGCTACTCGGGAGGCTGAGGCAGGAGAATGGCATGAACCCGGGAGGCGGAGCTTGCAGTGAGCCGAAATCGCGCCACTGCACTCCAGCCTGGGCGACAGACAGAGCGAGACTCCGTCTCAAAAAAAAAAAAAAAAAAACAACTTTTCAATGGCTCCCTATTACGTCTAGGATAAGTCCCAAGCTCCTTAATGGGGCCAAAAGGCCTCAATGCCCTGACCCTCAGCTACCTCCCTCAGGCAGGCTCATCTGAGTGCACTCCCACCTCAGATTTGGCTTCATCCATACAATTTCTTACACATACCATGTCGTTTCCCCCATTCTGGAGTGTCTCCTCATCCTTTCTTTGGCTAACCAGCTCCTACTCATCCAGGAAACCTTCCCTGGCTGGCTCCAGTGTCCCTCTGTGCTTCCACAGCCCCCTGTCCATAACCATCTCTGCATCTCCTGCATTCTCCTGAAATGATCCGTCTTCCTCACTAGAATATGAGTTTTCTGAAGGAAGGTACATGGCTTGTTCATCTTTGTACTCCCAGTGCCTGGAACTCAGTAGTTGTATAGGAAATGTTTATTGAACTGAGCCCTTAATTCAACTGTAATTCTTAGGAACATCAGCCTCTAGCAGTATGTAGGCTGCCATTGACACAGAAGTTACCATAGTAGTAAAATGACATACTAGTAAAATGTAAGATGCTGCTAATGGTTCTAGGAAGACATCAATAGGCAATGTAGTAGACTCTAGAAATTTGGACATGAATGTATTCTTTAGCCAAAAATGGGTAGTGGGAAATTTGATCTTTTTAAAAAATGTATTCTTAGAGATTTTACTTACTGGAATTGTGATGCTTGAACACATAGTTGTGGTACATGATAGAACTCTTACAAGAACTTAGGAGTCTGCCCTCAGAAGGCAGGGTGTTAAATTGGATGCAAAGAATCTGGGCCAGGCTTCCGGAGCTTTCATTCACCTATTAGCACACTCATTTGTGTATCCATTTTCTGTGAAGGGTTTATATAGGGCACAGATTTCCTGTTTGAAGAAAGATGGGTCAGATTAATTTAGCTTGATGTTGTAAAGCAAGCTTGTCCAACCCACGGCCCACGGGCTGCATACGGCCCAGGATGGCTTTGAATGCAGCCCAACACAAATTTGCAAACTTTCTTAAAACATTATGAGATTTTTATTTGTGATTTTTTTTTTTTTTAGCTTGTCAACTATCATTAGTGTTAGCGTATTTTGTGTGGCCCAAGATAATTCTTCCATTGTGGCCCAGGGAAGCTGAAAGGTTGGATACCCTTGTTGTAAAGTGTCTGGCCGAGTTCCCTTTTGAAGTGTGGCGTTATGATGGAAATATCCACTCCGGTTGTGTGTTGGACCTTTCTGTAAACATGGAGGTGCAGTTTAAATGAGTACCTGTCATCTCTTCTCTAAAGGGGGAGCAGCCTCTGGGAGTGACAGTGCTGACAAGAAGGCTCAAGGTCCCAAAGGTGGTGGCAATGCAGTAAAGGTGAGTTACTGGTTCCTTTTTTTCCATGTTAAATATAAATTCTGTTTATGTGTTAGTACACATAAAAGACAGAATGCTTAACTCATTCTAACAGGCTAGCCTAACACTGGTATAAAATCAAAATAACACAAAATTGTAGCTGGGCGCACCTGTAATCCCAGCACTTTGGGAGGCCAAGGCAGGCAGATCAGCCTGGCCAAAATGGTGAAACCCTGTCTCTACTAAAAATACAAAAATTTGCCTGGTGTGGTGGTGTACACTTGTAATCCTAGCTACTTGGGAGGCTGAGGCACGAGAATCAAGAATCGCTTGAACCAGGAGGCTGAGGTTGCAATGAGCTGAGATTGCACCACTGCACTCCAGCCTGGGCAACAGAGTAAGATTCCATCTCAAAAAAATAAATAAATAAAAATAAATTTTAAAAAAATGGAAAATATAGACCAGTCTTGCTTATGAAAAGTAATTCCCTTTAAATATTTTGTCATGTACTTTCTCAGATACCCAGAATTTCTTTATAGTTTTTTAGTATTGTTCCTTAAAATGCATTAAGTTAGATCTTCCCAGTAATTGAGTTATTTCTTAGGACAAAATAATATTTTATAAAACCAAGAGATTAGATAAGTGTTAAAAGTCCTCTGCTGAATAAACAGGCAAGGGTGCAGGTCTCTTTAGAAAGCTTCCCCACTGGTGAGCCACAAACCAGGGTCTTGACCATGAAAATGGGGGCAGGAGAAAATCAGCAAATAATTACTTGAAATACTTAACCTAGCCCCAGAGGAGTATCTGCTGGGAGAAAATTTAATCTGCAAACTAGTAAGTGCTATGTAACAAGGCAATTTCCATGTTTTAGTCAGGATATGGGAGGCTGTACTTTGATTCATTCATTCAGTAAGGACTTAGTGACATCTGCCCTGTGCCAAGCAATGTATTAGGCTCTGGGGATTTTTTATCATGTATTTATTTAATAAAAAAGTAAGAGATGGGCCAGGCACAATGGTTCATTCCTGTAATCCCAGCACTTTGGGAGGCCAAGGCACGAGGATCACTTGAGCCCAGGAGTTTGAGACCAGCCTGGGCAATATAGCAAGACCCTGTCACTAAAAAAGTAAAAATAAAAAATCAGCCAGACGTGGTGGTGCACAACTGTGGCCCTAGCTACTCAGGAGGCTGAGGTGGGAGGATCGCTTGAGCCCGAGAATTTGAGGCTACAGTGAGCCATGATTGTGCCACTACACTCATCCTATGCAACAGAGCGAGACCCTGTCTCAAAAAAATAAATAAAAAGTAAGAGATGGTCCTTGTTATCACAGGCTACTTGGGAGCAGTTAGGTAAAGATATGTATTTCATTGCTGTATGATAAGCATAGCAGTGGAACTGCATCATATAAATTCAGCCATACATGTGTAGCCTAAAAAAGAGAGATCATGTAAATGGTGTGGACTGTTCTGCCCACTCTTCTATTCAATGAACCTATGCCCCACAGAGAGAGAGAGAGATGAGAGACATGCACCTGCTTTTCTATAGTTGCCCTGAATTCTTGTGTGAGCATCCAATCATGTGAAGTGGGGTTCTGGTATCCAAAGATAAGTTTTCATAAAACATAGCCCCTAAATACAACCCAGTTACTTCATGTTACAAACGGAGTACAGCGTTCCTGGCTATGTCTGGGCTTAAATGAGAGCTGACATGCTGGTCTCCCATATGACATCTTCATAAAGGGATATTCTAGGGTAATTTTGGCTATATGCAGTTTTCACCTAATATGTTTTCACAAGCATCTAACCTAAGAGACTGTTGCACTGCATATGGCTTTAGCTACTTTTTTTTATTTTTTTTTTTGAGACGGAGTTTCACTCTTGTTGTCCAGGCTGGAGTGCAATGGCACGATCTCGGCTCACTGCGACCTCCGCCTCCCAGGTTCAAGCGATTGTCCTGCCTCAGCCTCCCAAGTATCTGGGATCACAGGTGCCCGCCACCGCGCCCAGCTAGTTTTTTGTATTTTTAGTAGAGATGAGGTTTCACCATGTTGGCCAGGCTGGTCTTGAACTCCTGACCTCAGGTGATCCATCTGCCTCGGCCTCCCAAAGTGCTGGGATTACAGGCATGAGCCACCGTGCCTGGCGGCTTTAGCTAATTTTTTAAAAACTTTGTTTTGTTGTTTTTATCTTTGTAGAGATGGAGTCTCGCTATGTTGCCCAGGCTGGTCTTGAACTCCTGGCCTCAAGCGATCCTCCCGCCTCAGCCTCCAACAGTGTTAAGATTATAGGGGCATGAGCCACCACACCTGGTGCATGTGGCTTTAAAGAGGCACCTTACCCTCTCTGGAAAAAAAATAAGTTCAATGTGGCCACTCATGAGATATATGGAAAGGAGTGGCACGTTATTCACTAGGAAAGTAGATTAGGGTTAAATTTGTTTTTATAAAGCCTTTTATTTTGAGATAATTATAGATTCACATGCAGTTTTAAGAAATAATACATCTAGCTGGGCATGGTCGTGTGTGCCTGTAGTCCCAGCTACTTGGGAGGCTGAGGTAGGAGGATTGTTTGAGCCCAGGAGTTTGAGGCGGCAGTGAGTCAGGATCACGCCACTGCACTCCAACCTGGGCAACAGAATGAGACCTTGTCTCTAAAAAAGAAAAAAAGAAAAAGGAAAAGAAATAATACGTATTCCTTTGTTTCTCCCAATGGTAACACCTAACAAAACTATAGTACAATAGCACAAACAGGATATTGACATTGATGTAGTCAAGATACAGACAATCCTACCACTACAAGGATCCCTCCTCTTGGCCTTTTATAACTATACCCGCTTCCCTCCTGCCCCACCTCTGCCCTCTTAACCCATGGCAGCAACTTATCTGTTCTCCATTTGTGTAACTTTATAATGTCAAGAATGTTATATGAATGGAATAATACAGTATGTAACCTTTTGGGATTGGTTTTATTCACCCAGTATAATTCGCTGGAGATTTCATTCAGGTGGTTTTGTTTATCAATAGTTTATTCCTCTGTATTGCTAAATAGTACCAGTTGAGTATCCCTAATCCAAAAATACAAAATACAAAATGCTGTAAGATCTGAAACTTTTTGAGCGCTGACATGACACTCAAAGTAAATGCTCATTATAGCATTTCAGATTTTGAATTTTCAGATTAGGGATGCTCAACTGGTAAGTTTAATGCAAATATTCCCAAATCCGAAACACTCTGGTCCCAAGCATTTTGGATAAATGATATTCAACCTGTATCCCATGATGTGGAAGTGCTGTAGTATGTCGAACCATTCACCTGTTGAAGGACAGCTGGGTTGTTTCAAGTGTTTTTTGAAGGCACCAGTCGGTGAGGGACCCTGGGACCCTCTGGCCTTTTAGGGTTCAGCTCCTTTCACATTCTGTCATTCTGCTTCAGACCCCACCCCTGTGCCCACACCCTGCCCTTTTGTCGCTATAAGCTCTGCAGATTCTGAGACCCATCCACTGACCACAGCTTCCCTCCTTCCCCTTCCCTTCCTGCCTCCGCCAATCCTGTTCCTCTGTTCTTCTCCTCACAGACCCCCAAGCCCTCAAGCCCACCCTAATCTCCCCACTTTCTCCTAGGCTTCATGTTTGTTTTCCTATCCCCTGCACACTCAAAATTAGGCCTAAGGGCTTGATCATTGGATTGAGGAGGTCCAGTTTTTCTTTTGGCCACCTCCCTGCATCCACCTCCCTGCTACTCAGGATCAATCCAATGGTCTACTTTCTATGCACTTAAAATTAGATCTATAGTTAGAAGAGAAGAATTCGAGTGGTTCTAGTATAAAGAAAAGACAAATATTTAAGGTGATGGATATTCCAAGTATACTGATTTGATCTTTACCAATTATATGAATGTATTAGATTATTGCATTACCTTGAAACTGTACATCTACTATGCATCAATAAAAAAGAAAGGAAGGAAAAGAAAAGAAAAGAAAAGATTTCCTTGAAAACGTCTAGCTGGGGGCAACTTAAATATTAATACTTGATTTTTAATAAGTATGTAAATAAAGTATTTACTAATAATTCCAATATGAGTATTATATTTGCTTATAGATGAACTTATTTCAGTAGCTTGGCTCAAATTTGAAACAGTTACTTAAGAAAGAAAAATTCAGCCGGGCGCCGGTGGCTCATGCCTGTACTCCTGGCACTTTGGGAGGCCAAGGCTTGCGGATCACCTGAGGTCAAGAGTCCAAGATCAGCCTGGCCAACATGGTAAAACCCCGTCTCTGCTAAAAATACAAAAATTAGTCGGGTGTGGTGGCGGGTGCCTATAATCCCAGCTACTCGGGAGGCTGAGGCAGGAGAATCACTTGAACCTGGGAGACAGAGGTAGCAGTGAGCCGTGATCACACCACTGCACTCCAGCCTGGGCAACAGAGCGAGACTCCATCTCAAAAAAAAAAAAAAAAGCTCCCCAGAACTGCTGGGCCCTACTGGAAAGTCACACAGCCTTGGGGATTGGGACTACTAATACTTGGTCTCTGACTTTACCTAGGCCCTCAGTGCTGCTCAGCAATCCTTTACCGCCCACCTGTAGCCATCCACCACCCCACTCCCATCAGTCAACAGAGAACTTCATTCCATGGTTCTCAACCCTAGACGTACATCAGATTCGCCTAAAAAAATACGAGTGCCTAGGGTCTCATCCCAGACCAACTGCATCAGAATCTCTTGGAGGGGGGCCTGGACTTTGATAACTTTTTTAGAAGGGCTGGGCTCTGTGGCTCATGCTTGTAATCCTAGCACTTTGGGAGCCCGAGGTGGGTGTATCACTTGAGGTCAGGAATTCGAGACCAGCCTGGCCAACATGGTGACACCTTGTCTCTACTGAAAATACAAAAATTAGTTGGGCATGGTGGCATGCGCCTGGAATCTCAGCTACTCGGGAGGCTGAGGCAGGAGAATCACTTGGACCCGAGAGGCGGAGGTTGCAGTGAGCTGAGATTGCGCCACTGCACTCCAGCCTGGGCGACAGAGTGAGACTCCATCTCAAAAAACAAAAACGAAAAACTTTTCTAGAATTTCTGGAGGTGATTCTAATATGCTGCCAGGGTTAAGAAACACTCATCTAGTCTCACAGCGTTAGTGTGAGGATTTAATGAGATAAGTACTCATCAACTTTTAAATGTTTTTATTATTTTAACAAGAAAGTGGAAACCAGACCCATTGTCAGGAACTCATTGGCTTTCAGCCCCCTAGCAACAAAGTTACCTCCTCACCTTTTTTCCTTTAAGGCTAATTTTTCAAACCGTGTTCTGAATACCAAACCTTGCTCCTTCATTTATCTCTACCCTCTTTTTTGTTCTGTCTTCAACCGGTTTTTTTTTTCCTAGGTCTTTCCCTTCATTCCGAAAATATGCCCAGGGACCTTTAAAATTCGTGGGTTTTTTTGTTTTTGTTTTTGTTTTTGAGATGGAGTCTCACTCTTGTTGCCCAGGCTGGAGTGCAGTGGCGCGATCTTGGCTCACTGCAACCTCCATCTCCCAGTTTCAAGCGATTCTCCTGCTTCAGCCTCCCGAGTAGCTGGGATTACAGGCATCCACCACCACTCCCGGCTAATTGTTTGTAGTTTTAGTAGAGATGGGATTTCTCCATGTTGGCCAGGCTGGTCTCCAATTCCTCACCTCAGGTGATCCGCCCACCTCTGCCTCCCAAAGTGCTGGGATTACAGGCCTGAGCCACCTCGCCCAGTGTAAATTTCGTATTTACATGTCTTCCACTTTTTGCCTCTAGCCAGAGCCCTTTCTCCTTTTCAAACAAAGTTAGTTTGTTTGAATTACCCTCCCACTTGACATTGTTTCCTCAGTCAGCCTGCTGTATTCTGGCTTCTGCACTTAAACTCTTCTGAAACTCCTTTTTCTGAGATCATTGTTCCATCATTGCACAATGTATTATACTTCTTACCTGATGTCTCTGCAACCCTTAACCCTTGTTGACCATTTCCTCCTTGAAACTCTCTCCTGCCTTGGTTTGTTAGCACACGCTTCTCTCCTACCTATATGGCCTTTCCTTTTTATTATGCTTTTTTCTTTTTTCTTTTTAAGAGACAGGTTCTTGCTCTGTCACACAGGCCGGGGTGCATGACATGCAGTGGCATGATCATAGCTCACTGCAGCCTTCAATTCCTGGGCTCAAGTGATCCTCCTGCCTCAGCCTCCTGAGTAGCTAAGACTACAGATGTGCACCACCATGCCCGGCTAATTTTTTTTAAAGTTTTTGTAGAGATGGGGGTCTTACTATGTTGCCCAGACTGGTCTCAAACTCCCATCCTCAAGGGATCCTCCCACCTTGGCCTCCCAAAGTGCTGGGGTTATAGGTGTGAGCCACTGCGCCTCGCCCCTTTTTATTACACTTTTTGAGTTCTTTACTTGTTGCTTGAACATTGATAGTCTCCAAGGTTACTTTAGCTTTCTTTCCTCCTCTTCTCATTTTCATCTCCTTCCTGGTAACCTCATGAATTCCACACTTCAGCTGCCACCTCCATAGTCATCACTCCCAAACTCTTTCTGTAGCTTGGCTCTCCAAGACACAGCTGCACTGTTGCCAGTTCGTTGGTCACACTTGCAGACCCCACAGGAATGAAAAACTCTTTGTCGCACTGTCTAAACTAGAATACTCGTTTATTCATTTATAAAATGGTGGACGGTATCCCCTATCTGTGACCACGAATGCAGTGTACATTTTCCCAGGAATTGTATCAGACAATCACTTTGTGAGTATGGAAGCAGAAACAAGGAGGCAATCTAGAAGCTGTCTCTTAAAAAAAAAAAATTAACTGTAAAACAGCCTCAGGCAGGTCCTTCAGGAGGTATTCCAGAAGAAGGCATTATCATAGGAGATGACAGTCCCATGCATGTTATTGTCCCTGAAGACCTTTCCATGGGACAGGACATGGAGGTAGAAAACAGTGATATTGATGATCCTGACCCTGTGTGGGCCTAAGCTAGTGTGTGTATTTGTGTCTTAGTCTTTAATAAAAAAGTTTAAAAATTAAAAAAAAAAATTTTAAATAGAAAAAAGCTTATAGTGGCTGGGCGTGGTGGCTCACACCTATAATCCCAACATTTTTGGGAGGTTGAGGTAGGCAGATCACTTGAGGTCAGGAGTTCAAGACCAGCCTGGCTAACACTGTGAAACCCTGTCTCTACAAAAAATACAAAAATTAGCTTGGCGTGGTGACACGCGCCTGTAATCCCAGCTACTCAGGAGGCTGAGAGACACAAGAATCGCTTGAACCTGGGAGGCGGAGGTTGCAGTGAGCTGAGATTGTGCTACTGCACTCCGACTTGGATGACAGAATGAGACTTCATCTCAAAAAAAAAAAAAAGAAAAAAGCTTATAGAATAAGGATATGAAGAAAGAAAATAGTTTTGTACAGTTGCACAATGTGTTTGTTTTTTAAGCCAAGTGTTATTAAATAGAGTCCAAAAGTTTAAAATTTTTTAAATGTATAAAGTTAAAAAGATATAATAACCTAAGGCTAATTTAATATTGAATAAAGAAAAGTGTTTTATAAATTGTAGCTTACATGTATAGTGTGTATAAAGTCTACAGTAGGGGACGGGTGCGGTGGCTCATGCCTGTAATGCCAGCACTTTGGGAGGTCAAGGCGGGTGGATCACTTGAGGTCAGGAGTTCGAGACCAGCCTGATCAACATGGTGAAACCCCGTCTCTACAAAAAATACAAAATTAGGCCGGGTATGGTGGCTCATGTCTGTAATCCCAGCACTTTGGGAGGCCAAGACAAGCGGATCACCTGAGGTCAGGAGTTCGAGACCAGCCTGACCAACATGGCGAAACCATCTCTACTAAAAATACAAAACTTATCCAGGTGTGGTGGCGCGTGCCTGTAATCCCAGCTATTAGGGAGGCTGAGGCAGGAGAATCACTTGAACCCGGGAGAGGGAGGTTGCAGTGAGCTGAGATCGCACTGCTGCACTCCAGCCTGGGCGACAGAGCAAGACTCCGTCTCAGAAAAAAAAAAATTAGCCGCTAGCCAGGCGTGGTGGTGCATGCCTGTAATCCCAGCTACTCAGGAGGCTGAGGCAGGAGACTCACTTGAACTAAGGAGGGGGAGGTTTCGGTGAGCCAAGATCGCATCATTGCACTCCAGCCTGGGCAAAAGAGCGAAACTCCATCTCAAAAAAAAAAAAAAAAAAAAAAAAAGTCTACAGTAGTGTACAGTAATGTCCTAGGCCTTCATATTCACTCACCACTCACTGACTCACCCAGAGCAACTTCCAGTCCTGCAAGCTCCATTCATGTAAAGTGTCCTATATAAGTGTACCATTTTTTATCTTTTATACTATATTTTTACTGTACCTTTTCTATGTTTAGATACCCAAATACTTAAACCATTGTGTTACAGTTGCTTATGGTATTCAGTACAGTCACATACTGTACAGGTTTGTAGCCTAGGAGCAATAGGCTATGCCATATAGCCTAGATATGTAGCTGGCCATACCATCTAGGTTTGTGTAAGTACAGTGTTATGTTTGCACAAAAACAAAATTGCCTAATAACTCATTTCTCATGTTTCCCTGTAGTTAAGTGACGCGTGACTATAAGTGATTCTATTTGAATGTGAAATGAGAAATCCTGCGAAACAGCTATCTTGACAAAATCATTTTCAAGGATAATAGTGTTTTTTTAAATCCATGGCTTTATGTAAACATAGGTCAAATTTGAATACTTCAGTAGGGTTGGGCGTTCTTAATATTCAACCTATGATACCTTTTCAAAGTGTGGAATTGTGGGGAGGCTTATACATTGGGTCTCTTTTAGTAAGAAATACTTCCTGGCCAGGCACGGTGTGCTGACACCTGTAATCCCAGCACTTTGGGAGCTGAGGTGGGCAGATCACTTTAGGCCAGGAATTTGAGACCAGCCTGGCCAACACAGTGAAACCCATCTCTACTAAAAATACAAAAAGTTAGCTGGGCGTGGTGGTGCGCACCTATAGTCCCAGCTACTTGGGAGGCTGAGGCAGGAGAATTGCTTGAACCCGTGGGTGGAGGTTGCAGTGAGCCAAGATCGGGCCACTGCACTCCAGCCTGGGCAACAGACGGAGACTCTGTCTCAAAAAAAAAGATAGAAATACTTTCTAGCAGGTTTTTTCTTATCCTCACTCTGATGAAATAATAGCTAGCCGTTGGTCAATGGTAGCTGCATTATCTCAATCTTCACAATCCTATGAGAACACATAGGTCCCGTTATCATTGCATCTTGATGTACAAATGGAGAAACACTTGGAGGTTTAAAAACATGCGTAAGTTCAGCCAGGCATGGTGGCTGACGCCTGTAATCCTAGCACTTTGGGAGGCCGAGGCGGGCAGATCACTTGAGGTCAGGGGTTCAAGACCGGCCTGGCCAACGTGGTGAAACACCATCTCTACTAAAAATACAAAAATTAGCTGGGCGTGGTAATGGGTGCCTGTAATCCCAGCTACTCGGGAGGCTAAGGCAAGAGAATTGCTTGAACCCGGGAGGCAGAGGTTGCAGTGAGCTGAGAGCACACCACTGCACTCCAGCCTGGGAGACAGAGTGAGACTCCGTCTCTAAATAAATAAATAAATAAAGCCTAAGTTCATACAGCAGAGTTGGGATTTGATTCTAGGACCACAGCTCTCAACCCGTATCGTGTTTCCTCCTCCTGTTAGCATGAAGGTATATGGTAAAAGATGGGAGCTTCCCGGCCGTGAGCGGCGGCTCACGCCTGTAATCCCAGCACTTTGGGAGGCCAAGGCGGGTGGATCACGAGGTCAGGAGTTCAAGACCAGCCTGGCCAACATGGAGAAACCCCATCTCTACTAAAAATACAAAAATTAGCCAGGTGTGATGGCACATAGCTGTAAACCCAGCTATTCAGGAGGCTGAGACAGGAGAATTGCTTGAACCCGGGAGGCAGAGGTTGCAGTGAGCCGAGATCACACCACTGCACTTCAGCCTAGGTGACAGAGCAAGACTCCTTCTCAAAAAAAAAAAAAAGGCGGAGCTTCCCACAGCCAGGTGCCTATTTTCCATCTAAATCAGGACTCTGAGACATTGTCTTAATATGGGGAATGGGATTGTGGTTGTTGTCCTGGGCAAACTTCCAGGATTTTTACTTGCTATGAACTAATGTGTTTTTTTTTTAACTGGTGGGGGTAATCCAAATGTAACCACTGTACTTTAAGGAGTCATTTGGGTCTCCAAGTATTACATGAATGTACTTTTTCCTTGCAGGTCAGACACATTCTATGTGAAAAACATGGCAAAATCATGGAAGCCATGGAAAAGTTAAAGTCTGGGATGAGATTCAATGAAGTGGCCGCACAGTATAGTGAAGATAAAGCCAGGCAAGGGGTATGTTGCTCTTATTATTTATAATTTTCTCTCAAGGTAAGAAAGCAAAGTAAAAATGACAAATAATAAAATAAGATAAAAATTCTCCATCCTCCACAGAAGAAACACAGAAGTAGGGATCATTCCTTTGTTCAACCATTGGTTGTAGCGATATTTTGGTTTAAAGATCTCAAAAGCAGAAATGTCCAACTTGTAAATAGTAGAATAAGGGTCATCTATGTCAAAACCTATGCATGACCAAACTTGCACGGCTAACTTCAAAGTCCAGCAGTGTTGAGAGTACTTATGTGTTCAGTCTAGTTAGACTTCTTCTACCTATTTGTCCTTATTGAGCCTATTCCTGTATTGCTCTTAGGAATATACCTCGTAACCTTAGCAAAATGTTGGGAAATTCTCTCAAGCTACAGTAGAACTGTTCCCTCTTCTGGGCCACTTGATATCACTTATCTTTTGGGTTTTTCAGGGTGACTTGGGTTGGATGACCAGAGGGTCCATGGTGGGACCATTTCAAGAAGCAGCATTTGCCTTGCCTGTAAGTGGGATGGATAAGCCTGTGTTTACAGACCCACCGGTTAAGACAAAATTTGGATATCATATTATTATGGTCGAAGGAAGAAAATAAAATCATATGAAAGACTGAATAAGTTTTATACATTTTGTTTCTTTAAAAGGTATTACATATTCTTTTGAGCTGGAGCTGCAAGGAAATACAAAAATTTTTAAAAAGAAAAGATATTGGATGCTCCTTGTATTCTGTGAAAGCTCTAAGTATGGGTTT
The DNA here is from genome assembly GCF_000001405.40 of Homo sapiens. Taxonomy (NCBI): domain Eukaryota; kingdom Metazoa; phylum Chordata; class Mammalia; order Primates; family Hominidae; genus Homo; species Homo sapiens. Next base: position 72,197,683 of record NC_000023.11, read on the forward strand.
GTAGGTGTAAGAGAGGGTGGGGCTAAGTGAATGTCAACTGTAGTAGGTATTCAGTCAGTCTTTCTCAAAGAGAAGTCAAGCAGACTCCCTTTAACCTGTATTCTCTTTCCTCCCAGAACTATATCTGACTCTCAGTCTGTCCCATAAATTAATTCAGAAACCATCTTCAGGGGAAGCAGATATCAACTCACACTATTCACACAACTGAAAATATTGGGCATCAAATAGATTAGTGTGTGAGAATCATAAAATAAGTTCCTAGACAACATTTGTTTTACATGTTAGTCAACTCTGATCTTCCAGGACAGGTGGTATTAGCTCCACTGTCTTAACATAGTACGTGGCACGTTATGCCTTTCAGTGTTAACTCCTTTCTTTTTAAATAAATGTTTATTGGAGGAAAAAAGCACTCAGTTGTTCCATGAGTTGTTTTGTACTAGACTAACCGAGTGCTGGTTAAAGGGAGGGATGTCAGCATAAAAATGTCATTCCCTCATCTTCAGTGTATGGGTTACATTAAGACTGTCCTTTCCAGGGCCAATGTTCTGTGCATCTAAATTTTTAAAATTTAAAATGCCATATTTATGACATATAAAAAAGTATAAAGATTACTAATATAAATACTATACTGCTTCAAAAATAAAACTTTGCCAACACAGCTATGTGATTCTTAACAGATTATTTTAACACACTGCCTTCTCTCCCTCAGCTGCATTTGATATTATACCCACTTATATAATGGGAACTTTACCTAGATACCTGACTTTCCCACTTGAGAAGAGTTTCTGAGCACCTCAGTAGGTTATGCCTCCATGAGATTTTCCCCACGGAGCAGATATGCCAGTGTATACAGAGAAGTTCAAATAGATATAAGATGAAACTATGGCTGGGCCCAGTGGTGTGCGCCTGTAGTCTTAGCTACTTGGGAGGCTGAGGCAGGAGGATCACTTGAGCCCAGGAGTTCTGGGCTGTAGTGTCCTATGCCAATCGGGTGTCAGCACTAAGTTCAGCATCAATACAGTGACCTCATCTGGGCACAGTGGCTCAGGCCTATCATCCCAGCATTTTAGGAGGCCAAGGTGGGAGGATCACTTGAGCCTTGGAGTTCGAGGCTGCAGTAAGCTATGACCATGCCCCCTGCACTCCAGACTTCAGCCTGGGCAACAGAGGCCCTGCCTCTTAAAAAAAAAGAAAGAAAAACATGGTGACCTCCTGGGAGTGAAAGACCAGCAGGTTGCCTAAAAAGGGGTGAACTGGCCCAGGTTGGAAACTCAGCAGGTCAAAACTCCGGTGCTGATTAGTAATGGGATTGCACCTTTGAATATCCACTGCACTGCAGCCTGGCCAACACAGTGAGACCCCGTGTCTAAAAAAAAATTTAAAGCTGAAACTACATGTTATTGATTGATTTTTTTTTAATGATTTATTGACATGGGGTCTTGTTACGTTGCTGAGGCTGGGCTCAAATGACCCTTCTGCCTCAGCCTCCCTAGTAGCTGGGACTACAGGCAAGTGCCACTGCACCCTGCCTACGTGTACTTTGAAAACTACATTAAAAACAATGTCTCTAGGCTGGGCACGGTGGCTCATGCCTGTAATCCCAGCACTTTGGGAGGCTGATGCAGGTGGATCACTTGAGGTCAGGAATTTAAGAAGACCAGCCTGGCCAACATGGTAAAACCCCGTTTCTACTAAAAATACAAAAATTAGCTGGGTGTGGTGGTGCACACCTGTAGTCTCAGCTACTTGGGAGGCTGAGCCACAAGAAATGCTTGAACCCAGGAGGTGGCTGCTGCAATGAGCTGAGATTATGCTACTACACTCCAGCCTGGGCGACAGAGCGAGACTCCATCTCAATAAAATAAAATAAATAAAATAAAACAATGTGTCTAAATAAGGGCAGTAAATTCTGAAGAGCTGTATAGGCATGAGACACTACCAAGCTAGAGTCCTTTGCTTGGGACATTGACTTGCCCAGGATACTAAGTGAATACCTATTGCACAGATGTCACCACAAAGGAAAGAAGCGAGAGTGCTGAAAGGTGGACTAGAAAAAGCAAACTAAATTCTGTGGTATGGAGAGAGAGCAGTTATAGCTAGCCTGTGAGAAAGTAAGGCAGGAATGGACCTCTGACACCAAGCGAACCTTTGGGAAGTTAGCTTTTGATTGACAACTAAGATTCTGAAAGAGTTGGTAAACGGGCCAGGCAGCGCGGCTGACGCCTGTAATCCCAACACTTTGGGAGGCCGAGGTGGGTGGATCACTTGAAGCCAGGAGTTCAAGACCAGCCTGGCCATCGTGGTAGAATCCTGTCTCTACTAAAAATACAAAAATTAGCTGAGTGTGGTGGTGTGTGCTTGTAGTCCCAACTACTCGGGAGGCTGAGGCAGGAGAATTGCTTCAACCTGGGAGGTGGAGGTTGCAGTGAGCCGAGATTGCGCCACTGCACTCCAGTCTGGGCAACAGCAAAACTGTCTCAAAAAAAAAAAAAAAGAGTTGACAAATGAAAAAAATTAAGGATTTATACAGATTTATATACATTATAGCATATGCATTTAATTCTGCTTTAAGACATCTCTGATTAAGTTCAGTGTTTACAGAACAAACCTTATTCATTGTAAAATAATTGCAAATTAAAATCAAAATAAGATACAAGTTCCCTCTTTTTATGTGTCAGATTGGTAAAGTTCAGAAAGTTTAACATTGTTTGGTAAGGGTGTGGGGAAACAGACATTCATCCATTCATTAATGGTGGAAATGCAATTATATCCTCTGGAAAATAGTTTGGCAATACCTGTCAAATTTATAAATATACCCTTTGACCCAGCAACTCCATTTCTAGGAAGGTATACTATAATCATATGTATAAAAGATACAAGGATATTCATTACAGCATTATTTGGAAACAAACTGAACACTAACAATAGATTATGATAAATTATGGTATATCCCTCAATAGAATATCATGCAGTTATTTTAAAATTTAAAATGAGGTACAGAATAGTGTACACAATACACTATCACTTGGGTAGCAACATAAATATATACACATATGTACTTGTGCTTGTACATCATAGACTGTCTCTGGGAATGGGAATCCAGAACTCCAGGACAGGAGGGCAAGAGATTTTTCACCTCACACCCTTAGATCAGGGGTCTTAACCTTTCATTTGTGCCTTGCAGCCTTTGGCAGTTTGCCCAGCCTATGGATCCCTTTTCAAAATGTTTATTTTAGGCTGGATGCGGTGGCTCACACCTGTAATCCCAGCACTTTGGGAGGCTGAGTAGGGCAAATCAGTTGAGGCCAGGAATTCAAGACCAGCCTGGGCAACATAGTGAGACCCTGTCTACAAAAAATTTTAAAAATTAGCTGGGCATTGTGGTGTGTGCCTGTAGTGTCTGCTCTTCAGGAGGGAGGCTGAGGCAGGAGGGTTGCTTGAGCCCTAGAGTTAAGGCTGCAGTGAGCCGTGATCTCACCACTGCACTCCAGCCTGGGTGACAAGAGCGAGACCCTGTCTCAAAAAAGAAAAAATGTTGACTTTAAGTGCTTAAAGTAAAATACATAGGATTACAAAAGACAGCAACTATGTTGAAATACAGTAGTCCAAAGTTTTTAAATTGTGGCTGGGCACAGTGGCTCACGCCTGTAATCCATCCCAGTTCTTTGGGGGGCCGAGACAGGTGGATTGCCTGAGCTCAGGAGTTCGAGACCAGCCTGAGGAACATGGTGAAACCCTGTCTCTACCAAAAATACAAAAAATTAGCCAGGCGTGATGGTGGCGCACACCTGTAGTCCCAGCTACTCCTGGCAGGGGCAGGTAGGGCTGAGGTGGGAGGATTGCTTGAGCCCAGGAGGCGGAGGTTGCAGTGAATCAAGATTGTGCCACTGCACTCCCACCTGGGTGACAGAGTAAGACCTCGTCTCAGAAAAAAAAGTTTGTAATATGTGTGTGTGCCTCTTTATTAAATACCTGGTAGTAGGTCTAAAAAGCACTGTGACTTTGCAGTAATGAATATCAATGGCATTTTGAGATATCTGCAATAACCCCAAAGTCTATGTGATTTCTACTGGTGACATAACATGTACTGCTAATATTTCTGCAGTTTATGCGTACATTTGTTAACAGTGGAGGATGTCCAGGTTCTTGGCATCTTGAACAAAGAACGAAACGCACAAACAAAGCAAGGAAGGGACAAAGGGATTTATTGAAAACGAAACTACACTCCACAGCATAGGAGCTCAAAACACCCTGTTAGAGAATTTTTGGGAGTTTAAATATCCCCTAGAGGATTCCATTGGTTACTTGGGGTATACCCTGTGTAAATGGAAAGGATGACGTGAAGTTACAAGTCATTTACTTGGCCTACGCCCTGTGGAGAGGATATTTCCTGTCATAGCTTTAGTGTGAATCAGCCTTATGTTCCCTGCCTCCAGACCCTATTTTCCTGCTTCACATTCATGATGAAAGGAAATGCTATATTTCAGCTACCAGACAGAGAAAAGATAAAACTTTTTTTCCTATCCAAATTCAGACACCTGACTTCTTCTACCCATGAACCCCAGGTTAAAAATCCCTGCCATGGATACTGTTTGAATATGAGCATGTATTTTTTTCCCCAAACAACAGAATTTGTCATAGTACACACACACTTGAACAGAAAGAGCATTGCTATTTTCAGTGAGAAATATTCCTAGGACTTAGACGCTTCACTGTTCAGATCAAATGGATATAGGCCGCTAAAGCTTCCTTGAAGGCAAATACATTGTGTGGATTTTTTGTTTTCTACATCAGGGAAGAAAGAAGTTTATTAGCTGAATTTTCACAAACATTTTTGTGTGTGGTAGAAGGGACAGAAAAACAAAGATGTGTAGGGCGCAGCTACTCCCTTCACATCATGGTGGGAAGCACAGGGAAATGGTAAGCTGAACTCAGATGCAGACTGTGAATTGCTTCACAGTTAGTTACACCAGTATTTCAAAAATAATGATATATATTCAATCGTATTACCCTAAAATAGTAATAATTGCTTTTAGTAAGAGCAAAATTTTGTTCCATCAATAACCTGAAATTCAGCTTCTTTTGAACTTCTGTAATCTCTTGTAATATACATGAGATTATTAATGTGTATATACATATAATTTACAAGTAACTTTTATATGTATGGGATATAATAAAAATAAATATTTGGTCTTTGTCCCTGGTTCCTGGCATATAGTTCCTGAAAGCCTTGAAATCTCAACTGGTGTCTTTTGTATGCTAATGACATAGCTTGTGGCTGGAGGCCCCTAGTAGCTTCAGGATGGGGGCTGGTCACCAGAAACAGCAAGGCATGATTAGAGGGAACGTTCAGCCCTAACTGCAACCTCTGCAGAGGGGAGAGGGGCTGAAGATGAGTTAATCACCCATGGCCAATTATTTTATCAATCATGCCTCCCTAAGGAAACCTCAAAAACCTTAACAATGGAGTTTGGAGAGCCCTGGATTAACATCAAAATGTTGGGAGGGTGGTGTGCCTGGAGGGCATGGACGCTTAATGCACCACCCCCATACCTTGCCCTACACATCTCTTCCATTTGGGTGTTCCTGAGTTGTAGTCTTTATAATAAGCTGGTAATAGTAAGTAAACGTTTCCTGAGTTTTATAAGCTATTCTAGCAAACTATTAAACCAGGGGGTGGGATGGGACGGTCATGGGAACCCCTAATTTGTAGCCAAGTCAGACAGAAGTGTGGTTAACATGGGGACCGAACACTTGCCACTGACGTCTGAAGTGAGGGCAGTCTGGTGGGACTGAGCCCTTAAACTTGTGGAGTCTGATGCTAACCCTGGGTAGTGTCGAAACAGAATCGTAGGACACCAGTTCAATTTTGAATTGGAGAACTGGAGAACTGCTTGATGTGGAAAACCCCCACATTTGGTGTCAGAAGTGTTTTGAGTAAAAACAGCTCAGTGTATTATAGTGTATTCATTTACACAAGGTTAAAAATCGGTTTCACCCCAACCATGTCACCACAGGGAAGTCACGGCCTCACTGATCACTGAGCCTGTTTCCTCACATGAAAAATGGAAATGCTATTCTCCCTTCACCTCAAAAGATTATGGTAAGGCTGAAATGAGAAACCTGTGTGGAGTGCCCAACACATAGTACGTCATCAAGGATAGTCCACTTCTCTGGTGACAGAGTGCAGCGTGCTATACTGCAGTTTATCTTTCTGCAAGGGAACCAAACTCCTTTTCAGTCTACAATCCAAAGATAGACTGTGATAATATGTGTCAGAATAGACGAGATACCTGGTTTGGTGAAAGGGAGAACACAGTTAATGGTGCATTAAGAATGGCTAAATGGTCAGCAGTGACTCCAGGGCAAGCTACCAGTGATAAAGAATCCTAGCACCAGGTACCTAGCTCAGCTTTCTGCTGTTCCAGTTTAGTACTCTATCCAAAATGCTGGGGACCAGAAGTGTTCTTGATTGTGGAGAATTTCCATACACATAATGAGATATTTTGGAGATGGGATCCAAGTCTAAACATGAAATCCATTTATGTTTCATACACACATTATATACATAGTCTGAAGGTAATTTTATAATTACTTTTAACGATTTTGTGCATGAAACAAAGTTTGTGTATGTTGAACCATTTTATTACCCTTTGTAGGCAGGCTTGCATGGGAGAATCTGGGCCTGTGTGGAAAGGATATATAGTAGCTGAAGGGGTCTAACAGAATCTCTTTTCTCTTGGGGATGCTGAGTAAACAGTGTGTTATACACCTTCATTTTGACTGTGACATGTCACATGACATCAGGTATGGAACTTTCCTCACTTGTGGCATCATGTCAGCACTCAGAAATTTTCCCCATTTTGGATTGGATTAGGGATGCTCAACCTGTATTAAGCTGAAAGCATGAAACAGCATGTTCACAAGCATATCTTAAGATCTGCCAGTATCATCTCAGTGAAACAAAGTGGATGGAAAACACTTGAGAAAAGTAACTTTAATTTTCTTATCTGAACTGTTATATACAAAGATGATCACTTTCAGAGTAAAATTAAGAATGACCAGAATAATTTTACAAAACTTTCCAAGAAACAACACAGTTAAATTTATAGAATATGCCTAAAATATAAGAATATTCAAGTGAAGAAATATTAAGCTAGTGCTCAGAATACCAGACTATGGAGTGGGGGGCGTTGCAGGGCAGAAGTTGCTTTTTGAGATCTTTCTTGCCTTAAGCCTGAATGCTTCATGTTCCCAAAGAATCCAATTATGGGAACAAAAATTCCCTCATATTCAGTTTCACTTTAAAATACAATAAACAGGTTACATTCTCAATTGTTATTAAGTTGCTTATACAAACTTAAAGTCAAGAGCATAACTTCAGGATCTGCACTTTTTATGTCAAGCGCTTTAACTAAGCAGTTTAGGGCCTCCTGGATTTTTCCACACTCTTTTAGTTCTTTTCCACGCTTTACAAGAGTCTCATAGTCATTTGTAGCCTCTGCCGCCTTATCCTGGGGAGAACCAACCAACTGTTCACCAGACAAAGGCTCAGGGGCACCAAGAGAGGTCTCTTGAGCTAGAGCACTAGGCTTAGACGTCATTAACCAGCTGGACTTGTTTTCTGAAGACAGTGTTTCTCCGGAAGGATCCTCTTCTGTATACTTGGAGGCTTCGCCACTGCTTTCCTCCACCCCTTCTTCTGGATAATCTTCAGGACCCTTTGCTTCACTGCTGTCGTCAAGTCTTTCCTCCATGTCCTCCACGTGGTCTAAAACCATATTAATAAGAGACCTCCTAGAAGCCAGAGATCTTCTAGAGTTCATAGACTTATTTACACTACTGGGTATTTGAGATGAAAAGAACCTTCCTGGTGGACTGATGTCATTTTTGGGAGTTGAAGCATCAAATTGTTTCACAGATGAGAATTGAAAGAGAGATGTGTTGAATGGATTTATGCTTGAGGTATCTTTAAAAGAATCATCTTCATCTTCGCCATCTGAAACAATCCTTCTAGCTTTACTTCTGATTTTTGCTTTAACTACTACTTCTTCTGGTTCATCGTCTTTCTCAGAAAACTCCCAACTGAGACATGTTTTGCTATGCACAAACCCTGCTCTGGAATTAGGTGCAGAGCCACACAAGCTATTTTCTTTCTCAACATGCTCTAAAGACTGACTGGAAAAATTTTGTCTGTTGTCTGCTGAGTCTTCCAAGAAAAGATTGAAATCACATGCATACTGTGGTGAAGATGCTGAAGGTTCCTCTTCCAACTTGGCCTCACTTGCTTGAGCATCCTGCAGTGCACTATGGGATGCTGAAAGGTCATCAGCTATTTCAATAATGGATACATTTGATTCTGCATTTTGACTTTCATTTGTTATGGAAATAATGGGCCAAGGATTGCAATGACGTAAAATCTCATCATCCTTTAGTTGATCTAAATTTGGCCCAATATCAGCTTTGGTTGATTTGCTAAGTACATAATTAAAACTTTCCAGAGGATCCTCTTGCAGTGCCTCTTGCTTAGGCCCCTCTTGTAATGTCTCTTTTTGTACAGCTTCATTTTTAGTTGCAAAGCTTTTTTCCATTCCCAATGAAGAGTTAGTACAAAGTTCTTCTACACTTCCAAACCCCTTTGGTAAAGTAGCTATAGAGTCAGCACTACCTGTACCTTTACCATCTTGCAAGGTGGTAACATTCACCTTTATACTGGAGAGATCTTGTTTCTCACCCTCTTTGGGCAGATCATCAATGACTACACTTGCCATTTTGGAACTGATATCTTCTTCCTGAGTATGATGAGTACTTAGAAGAGGTGAAGGCTGAGGCTGTGGTTTATTCAATTTAGGGCATTTCTTCTTTGTTGAAGAAGGAAATACAGGTTCTCTTAGCCAGGCCCCCTCATTTCTAGTTCTTTGTTGTTCCATCAGGAACTCTTTATTTTGAGACTCGAATTCAACGAGGAATTGAGCTTTCTGAACCCTTTGTTGAATATAGTGAGATTCTTCTACCACATCAAGCTCTTCTTTAACAGACAGATCACATGTGTACATCAAATCATGGTCTGAGATTCCAGCTATCCCCAAAGACTGCAGGTAGGCAATATGTTCATCTAGTTTTATATCAGATTTCCTCTGAGCAGCATGCAAAGACTGAAGCTGCAGCTGGGTTACAGAGTTCTGAAGATCCTCGATTGTAAAGAGCTCTCTTAATTCTTGTTTACTAAAATATCGGAAAGGGTTCTTTTTTTCACCAGTAGTTTGTCTTATTAATGAGTCCTTGAAAACCTGTCTTCTGTATATTTTTTCCTCTACAGTCCCACAAGTGATTAGCCTATAAACCACAACATTCTCTTTTTGTCCAATTCGGTAAACTCTATCCACAGCTTGAGCATCAGTTGCAGGATTCCAGCTAGGGTCAAAAATGACCACTCTAGTTGCTGCAGTTAATGTTAAACCGACACCACCTACTTGAGTGGTAAGCAGAAAAACAGAGTAATCTTTATTTTGCTGGAATAAGTTAATTCTTTTTTCTCGTTCCAAAAGATGAGTAACTGTCCCATCGATTCGCAATGTCTTAAAGTGCCTATTCTTTAAGAGGCGTTCAATGATGTTTAGAATTTGCCTCGATTGAGAAAACACCAGAGTTTGATGTCCCTCATCTCGCAGCCTCTTAAGTAGGTCCATTAGGAATATCATTTTTCCAGATTCTTCCATCAATGTGTCATCAGTTACTTGATCAATATGGTCCACATCTGGGGAATCTTCCCCCTCATTTCCATCTTGAGCAGAGAATGTCCCAAGATTTAGCAAACAACAAGCCCGTGCAGACAGCAGCCTAGGATGATCACACAGCTTCTTTAAGACACCTAGCTCAGCCAAAGGTGAGCGCGTCTCCATTAGCAACTCCTTGATATGATCTAAAGACACAAATTTCCTGTATATTTCTTCTTGTAAAGGCACAAGTCGTATCCAAATAATTAAATCATTTTTCCTGGAAAGGGAAGGCATTTCACAAATGGCATCAACATCTGGATTCTTTTCATTAAGTCTGGCCTCTGGGTTGCTTGACTTTTTCTTCTGTACGTCTTCTTTAGTCCTCCTGAGAAAATAGGGTTTTATGATTGCCATTAAGTTTTCAGATATTTTAAATCCCAAGGCTTTTTCTCCTGGGGTAGCATCCTTCTCTCTTGCTCTAGTAATAGGATTTTCATACTCCATCTTAAAAGTTTTTAATGTTCCCAGCAGGGACCCTTGACAAGCAAAATCAAATAGGGACCATAGTTCTTGTAAATTATTCTGGATTGGGGTTCCTGTGAGGAGGAGGCGATTACTTGCAGGAATAGCACGAGCACATATTGCTGACTTAGTAGATGAGGTTTTTATTTTATGTGCTTCATCGAGGATGACATAGTCCCACACAAACTCTTGGCCCCTAAAGCTTGAAAGTTGCTGCCAGTTATTGATTAACATTTGGTATGTAGTGATAATAACACCATTCCTTTGCTGAATCCGATTGAGGTTTCTGGTCCGTTCATCCTTGCTAGGACCATGAAAGGTTTTGACTCTCATTCCTGGAGTCCACTTGATGAATTCTTTTACCCATGTGTTAATAAGATTGGTTGGCATGATCAGCAGCACATGATTCACAAGTGATGCATCAAACATACCGGAAAGGAAAGCAATGATTTGAACAGTCTTCCCTAATCCCATATCATCAGCCAATATACCACCTTTTCTTCCATCCCTATACAGGCTATAGAGGAAAGCTATGCCTTCCTTCTGGTGCTCAAAGAGTTGGTTGTGCAGTTCTCGATAAAGTAGCAAGCCAGAGTTGCACACATCTGTAAATTCATCATCTCCCTGTTCTGCCAACTCCTCCAAGGCTTCCTGTATTTTTTGGATTCTGCTCAGCACTTTTTCATTGGGAAAAATGTCCTTTGCCAAATTGAAAAGTTTAAATGCTTCTTCCAGGTCTCCATTCTTAGTTGCTTCTTTGGCCTCTTTCACATATCTATAGAAAAAAAAAGAAGAAGAGGAGAAAGGAAACATTGAACATTCAGTCTAAGAATGCTTTAGAGTTCATTTTAGAATCCAAACTGCAGCTGGACTTTTAATATCCTCAATTCAGGATGGGAAAGATTAGCACACAAGATGCCAATGAAAGCTGGCGTCACTTGAGACACAAACAAATATCCACCAGATGCTGCCAGCAACACCTTCAGGCACTAGTTGTGGAAAATGAATGTGCAAAGGTTATTGGTTCCACAGTATTTTTTTTTTAATTGGCACCCATAAGAAGTATGAAGTGATATTTTTTGTAAAACAAACCTCTATGTGTAGGGGCATGGAAACATGGGAACCTCTCTGGCCTTATTTTACTGGACCTCCATTTAACAGTATTGATCACTCCCCTCCCCTCTTAAAATTCCCTCCTTTCACGAGATTCCTATAGATTCCTTCTGGTTTTCCTCCTCTTCACTGACCATTTCTTCTGTGTTCTTCCTCCCAGAGGACTCAGTCCTAGGACCTCTTCTCACTCTTTTTAATCTCTCCTCAAGTTTTCCCAGAGCTTCCGCTCCCACCTATGTGCTCATGACTCTCAAATCACTCTCTCCAACCTAGAGCTGTCCCTCAAGCTCTACTCTAGACCCATATTCCAGCTGCCTTCTGGACATCTCCACTTGAAATCAAATTCAATTCATCCCAAACTAGACTCATTATTTCCCCTCTAAAAACGTGCTTCTCCATTTGTATGGTACTAAATAACACTACCATCTATTTAGCCACCCAAACTTCAAATCTGAAGAGAATCCTTGACCCCAACCTAAATAGGAGTCATCCTTGTCCTTTCTTTTTATGCCCCACCCCCAGGCCAGGCAGTCCCAAGTCCTACTAACTTTATTTCCCAAGTTATAACCACCTTCTTTCCATCTCTACTACCATTACTGTGGCCCAAGTCACCATCATCTCTGGCCTGGATAACTGCAGCTTCCTACATAAACTGCTCTCCCTACATAAACTCTTGCCCCTCCAATACACACTCTATATAGCAGCCAGCAATACTGTCTTAAAGCATAAAAGAAATCATGTCACTCCTCTGCTTAAAATTCTTCAGTGGTTTATGGTCAATTACTTTCAGTAAGGGCGCCAAAATAATTCACTGGGGAAGAAGTCTTTTCAACTGGATATCCATGTGCAAAAGAATGAAATTGGACCCCTACTCATACCATACACAAAAATTAACTCAAAATGGATCATAGATCTAAATCTAAGGGCTAAACCTACAAAACTTAGGAAAAAATATAGGTGTAAAAATCTTCATGACTTGGATTTGGCAATATCTTAAATATGATGCCGAACACACAAGCAACCAGAGGGGGGGAAGAGATATACAGGGCCGGGTGCGGTGGCTCATGACTGTGATCCCAGCACTTTTGGGAGGCCAAGGCAGGAGGATCGCTTGAGGTCAGGAGTTTAAGACTAGCCTGAATAACATAGCGAGACTGTCTCTTAAAAAATAAATAAATAAATAAATAAATAAATAAATAAATAAATAAATGGAAAAAAGATATACAGATGGGCACATGAAAAGACTCTCAACATCATTAGTTGTCAGGGAAATGCAAACCAAAACCACAAGGAGATACCACTTCCCATTAGGATGGCTATAACCAACAAGTGGGAAAATACCAAGTGTTGGCAAGGTGTGAAAAACTCCCACTATTGATGGGAATTATTAAGGGTTCAGAGCTGCTTTGGAAAGCGGTCTTGATCTATGTTCTAGAGCTTGAAGGAAAAAATAACATTCTTAAATTATTAGATTATTTCCAAGTTCCTGAACTGGTAACCTACCCAGTATCCTGAAACCCCTATGAAACCTGGGGTTCTGTGTAACTCTAGCCAGGCGTCTTTCCCAGAGACTAAAGTGCTGTCCCTGATCCTTAGCTCTGGGCCAGAGTCCCCACTAATCACACACGCCAGCCTTTTAAATGGCAACTGTGTGCCTAGACTTCTTAGCACCAGCCTAAAATACTTATTGCTGTGCTCTACCCACCCTCTGGAACCCCCATTTGTCAACCTCTGCCTGAACCACAACGAGAGTTTACAGTATTCCTTGGATATCACTGCTTTCTGGCTGGGTTAAACCGCTGCTGTGAGCCAAGCTGCCTTCCCCAGTCCCTGGTCCACCCTAGTTAGCAGGTCTGTCTAACAACTGCATCTCAGCTCTTCCTTTCCCCTCAGTCTATTCCACCAATTAAGTTGGACCTAGGATGGTATTCTTTCCCTACAATGGAATCAGGAGGAAAAATAAATGCTTTTAATAGCACTGCCCTGGATATCTGATTATTTGCAAGACTAGAATGCTTTTTACAATGCAGTTTGATTTAGCCACTTAACTTCTAATCACTTCCATTTTTCAGGGCTTGGAGGGAAAACATGTCCTTTTTATTGCTAATGTAATGATTTATCCATCTATAGCACACAGGATCCCTAATGATCTGGATAACTTAGCTAACACTTCATGGGCTCAAGTATTTTTCCAGAATTGCTCCCCTATTTTCCTTGAACATAGGCAGGGAGAAGCCAGGCCTGCTTGGGAGCCAAGAGGACAGGGAGGAGTAACCAGTTCAGGACAAAGAACCATAACCCTCAAGCAAGAGAACAAGGAGAAGAATAGTGCTAGAGTATGGGGTGAAATGTCAGTTTTTAATTCCATAGGAATGGACAATAAAAACAAAAATTTTATGTTTAAATGGTTTTACCTGAAATTATATGACTAGAGCATGTTTCTCTTTAAGGATTATTTTAAAGGACATCTAATCACCTCCCACAAGGTGTCTCCCCAAACACGTGAGGATTACAGTCTGGATTACAATTCAAGATGAGATTGAGGATTACAATCTGGATTACAATTCAAGATGAGATTATGGGTGGGGTCACAGCCAAACCATATCAGTGGCACACACCTGTAGTCAGTCCCAGCTATTCAGGAGGCTGAGGCAAGAAGTTCGCTTCAGCATGGGAGGTCTAGGCTGCAGTGAGCCATGATCGCACCACTGCACTACAGCCTGGGTGACAGAGCAAGACCCGTTTCAAAAATAAAAAAAAAAAGAAATATTATATACAAACAACTCCTGGAGGAAGGTGATACAACAATTAAACTTGGGCTACAAAGTCCTGTTACCTGGAAAGCTACACTTTCGCTGGCAAAACTGCCCAGTTGCTAACCCCCTGGGTCATAACCCCACCTAAAGGTCTCTCTATAAGAAGCCCTGCCCAAGTGGCCATATAAAATCATCTCTGTGGCTGGGCATGGTGGCTCATGCCTGTAATCCCAGCACTTTGGGAGGCTGAGGCGGTTGAATCACCTGAAGTCAGGAGTTCAGGACCAGCCTGGCCAACATGGTGAAACCCCGTCTCTACTAAAAATACAAAAAAATTAGCCGGGCATGGTGGTGGGTGCCTGTAATCCCAGCTACTCGGGAGGCTGAGGCATGAGAATCACGTGAAAGGCGGGGGTTGCAGTGAGCCAAGATCGCACCACTACACTCCAACCGTGCACCACAGCGAGACCCCATCTCAAAAAAAATAATAATAATAATAATAAAATCATCTCTGCCCCAAAGCTATTTCCTCAGATGCAAACATTTTCCTTGACCATAGCCAATTAACCTCTCAACATCTAATCCACCTCCCTTTGGAACTGGCTGATACCTTGAGAAACCTTTCTTCTCCACAGAGGGTCTGCCAGTTCAGATGCTGAAAAGTTTTTCTATCTGGAGAAACCCATAAGCCATACTATTAGACCTATGCCCCAAAGAGCTAAGCTAAGTTAAACACACAGTGTTTACAAATGAGCAGCTGAAAAGGCACACAAGCTTAAGTTGCAGAAGACACACACTTGATTTTCCTTGCTATGGAGGGCCCTTTAGAACATTCCCTACAAAGTTATTTTAGAATGTGAAGAGACAGCTGGGAGCGGTGGCTTGAGCCTCTAATCCCAGTACTTTGGGAGGCCAAGGCGGGCAGATTGCTTGAGCCCAGGAGTTTGAGACTAGCCTGGGCAACATAGTGAAGCCCTGGTCTCTACAAAAAATAGAAAAAAAATTAGCCGGGTTTGGTGGCATGCGCCTAGACCCAGCTACTGGGAGGCTAAGGTGGGAGGGATGGCTTGAGCCTGGGAGGCAGGGGTTGCATTGAGCTATGATCGTGTCACCACTGCACTCCAGCCTGGGCTACAGAGCCAGACCCTGTCTCAAAAAAAAAAGAATGTGAAGAGACAGAGAACTGAATGCAAAGACCCTAACTCAATAAAACTTTGTTTTCTTCACATGCAAAACAATCAGAAATGCTCTTTGTTTTGTAATCTGGCCACCAGCCACTAGGCCCATATAGGGGTGGAGGAGCCTAGACCTGCTAATCTCGGCGCATGTGAGTGGGGTTATTGCTGTCCTCTCAACAAGAACCCAGTTTTGAGAGACAGGACTTGCTGGATTTCCTAGGCTGACTAAGAATTCCTAAGCCTAGCTGGGGAAGGTGACTACACCTACCTTTAAATACAGGGCTTATAACTCAGCTCACACCCAACCAATCAGGTAGTAAAGAGGGCTCACTGAAATACAAATTAGGCTAAAAGCAGGAGGTAAAGAAATAGTCAAATCATATATCGCCCGAGAGCACAGGGGGAGGGAAAATGATCGGGATATAAATCCAGGCATTCGAGCCGGGAGGGGCAACCTCGTCTGGGTCCCTCCCATTGTATGGGAGCTCTGTTTTCACTCTATTAAATCTTGCAACTGCACACTCTTCTGGTCTGTGTTTGTTACGGCTCGAGCTGAGCTTTCGCTCACCGTCCACCACTGCTGTTTGCCACCGTTGCAGACCCATCGCTGACTTCCACCCCTCCAGATATGGCAGGGTGTCCGCTGCGTTTCTGATATAGCAAGGCGCCCATTGCCGCTCCCAATCGGGCTAAAGGCTCGCCATTGTTCCTGCATGGCTAAGTGCCCGGGTTCGTCCTAATCCAGCTGAACACTAGTTGCTGGGTTCCACGGTTCTCTTCCATGACCCACGGCTTCTAATAGAGCTATAACACTCACCATGTGGCCCAAGGTTCCATTCCTTGGAATCCGTGAGGCCAAGAACCCCAGGTCAGAGAACAAAAGGCTTGCTGCCATCTTGGGAGCGGCCCACCACTATCTTGGGAGCTCTGAGAACAAAGACCTGTCCGTTAACAGTTTCCCTATACTGATCCAGCTCCTGGAGTATCTGCTCCCTGACATGTCTCTATGTCCAGTCCCCTTGTCAAGATGCATGTAGATGCATTAGACACAACAGATGTCTTTTGATTCTCCATCAAAATCAATAAAACATAAAACATTTGGATAACATAAAAATTGCAGGTGACCTGAATGCCAGTATTGAAAACAGGTCCATTTAAAGCCCAAGTCATGGCAGAGTAGGCTAGGAGGATTCCTTCCTTTTGGCTTCACTTTCAGGGATGGTCATTTTAATTAAGGTGGGGATCATTTTAAAATCACATATAAACACAAACAATATTATTAAATAGTGATTTCTGACATAAATTAGGGAAAAATGTGGTTCACATTTCAGTCAAACAATATTTAATAATTAGCTTTTCCCTGCTTAGCGCCATTTATAAGACAGGCATTTAAGAGTCAAAAAAACAAACAATGTTGCTTTACTCTTAATAGCCAAAAACTGGAAACAACCCCAGCACTTTGGGAGGCCGAGGCGGTTGGATCACCTGAAGTCAGGAGTTTGAGACCAGCCTGGCCAACATGGTGAAACCCATCTCTACTAAAAATACAAAAATTAGCCAGGCATGGTGGCAGGCACCTGTAATCCCATCTACTCTGGAGGCAAAGGCAGGAGAATCATGTGAACCAGGGAGGCGGAAGTTGCAGTGAGCCGAGATCATGCCACAGCACTCCAGCCTGGATGACAGAGTGAGACTCCATCTCAAAAAAAAAAAAAAAAACAAAACAAAAGTTTAGGCCAGGCACGGTGGCTCACACCTGTAATCCTAGCACTTTGGGAGGCCGAGGTGGGCAGATCACTTGAGGTCAGGAGTTCGAGATTAGCCCTGCCATCATGGTGGAACACCATCTCTACTAAAAATACAAAAATTAGCCAGGTGTGGTGACGGGTTCCTGTAATCCTAGCTACTTAGGAGGCTGAGGCAGGAAAATCGCTTGAACTCAGGAGATGGAGGTTGCAGTGAGCCAAGATCAAGCCACTGCACTCCAGCCTGGATGAAAAAGCAAGACTCTGACTCAAAACAAACAAACAAACAAAAAAACCCACCAATCTGTGATATATTCATACAAAGGACTCAATAATAGAAAAGAACAAACTACTACATGTATGAATTTATACATGTATGAATCTCAAAAACATGCTGAGGAAAAGCCAGGCATAAAAGAGTAGCAACAGTGTGATTTCACTTATATCAAGTTCTAAAATAGGCAAAACTAACATATGGTGGAAAACATCAAGACAGTGGTTGCCTCTGGAGGTGGAAAATGCCTGGGAAAGGGCGTGAGGGCACTTTCTGGGGTGATAATAGTATTCTATATCCTGATAGGGGTTTGGGTTACACACGTGTATGCACTTGTCAAAATTCACCAAATGTACACTTAAGATTTGTGCATTTCTTTGTATGAAAATTTTACTTTAAAAGAAAAAAACTAAACAAATATTGAAATCCACTTAATAGTTTATATGCTGAAGTGTTTAGGGGGAAGTACCCTGATGTCTGCAATTTACTTTGAAATGTATCCTAAAAAAAGAAGATGGATTGATGGAATAGATGCAAGAATAGGTATGTGATAAAGTGAGTATAGTAAAATGTTAATAACAGAATCTAGGTGGTAGGTGAAAGAGACTAAAAAGACTGCTTTGCCAATAGACTGCTGCCTATCAATTTGAAGGCATACAAAAAGCAAGATTCATAACACGCTGCGATTTGGCTTCTTACCTAGCACTCTAATGTAACTGTTCTCACCAAGGACACCAACCTCCATATTGCCAAACTCCATGGACAGTTCTTAGTCTTTATCTTTCTGGACCTTTCTGCTGTGCTTAAAACCACTGATAACTACATCCCTCCTGAAGTTTTCCCTCCCGCTTGGGTTCAGTGGCATACAACCCTTCTCCTAGATTTCTTCTACCTCACTAACCATTCAAGATGCTCAGTCTGCATCTTGAATTCCTCTCCATCCACATATCCCCTATAAAATGTTGGCATTTCTGGGGATCTTTTTGTTGTCAATGTCCTTCTGATTCTATGTACATTTCCCAGAAGATTTTATCCACGGGAGTGCCCTGTACTAGGTTAAATAGAGTCCTCCAAAATTTCATGTCAACCTGGAGCCCGTGAATGTGACCAGGACATTGCAGATGTTATTGATTTAAGATGAGATCATACTGGATTAGGGTAGGCCCTAACCTCATATGACTAGTTTACTTATAAGAGGTAAACTGAGACACCGAGACATAGAGAGGAGAATGCCACATGAAGATGGAGGCAGAGAATGGAGTGACGCATCTACAAGCCAAAAAGCTCCTAGGATTGCCAGTACCACCATAAACTAGGAGAGAGGCTTGGAACAGATTATTTCTCAGTCTCCAAAAAGAAACCAACCCTGCTGACACCTTGATTTCAGACTTCTAGTTTCCATAACTGTGACAGAATGTCTAGGTTTTTTAAAAAAATGTGGTAAAATACATATAACATAAAATTGCCATTTTAACCATTTTAAGGGTACAATGGCATTGATTACATTCACAACGTGTAATCATCACCACTATCCTTCTCATGATACCAAACAGAAACTCTGTACCCATTAAGCTATAACTCCCCATTTCTCCCACCCCTCAGTGACATCTAATCTACTGTTTGTCTCTGTGTATGTGCCTATTCTAGATATTTCATATAGGTGGAATCATATAGTATTTGTCCTTTTGTGTTTGGCAGGTTAACCAGATAACCTTGGGCTAGAAGATTAAGGAGCTGGAGGTACTAAAGGTCTATACCCATTGTAAAAACCCCAAAGTATTTGTCCTTTTGTGTTTGGCAAGGTTAACCAGATAACCTTGGGCTAGAAGATTAAGGAGCTGGAGGTACTAAAGGTCTATACCCATTGTAAAAGAAATTAACTGTCCCTGGAGAATTTTTCATTTTTAGTTAGACTTTATTCCAAAGGGTCAGTCAGGATGTTAGCCACCAAATGCTCCCCAAAAATAATAAAACTTCTTTCTGCTGAGGAACATTGGCTGGTAGGATACCCTCTAGATGCCAAAGCACATCTGCTATGCCAGAAAAAAGGATAATTTTGGTTTTGGCATAATTACTGTTATGCTGTTTTTTTCCGGAGTGATTAGCCAGCAGGTTCAGCTGCTTTCTGAGGGCATGTTGTTAGCATGTAGGAGGATGCTTCCTTCCTGTTTATTCTGGCAGAAGGGTATTTGCCCAGTTCAACCAAAAGCAGCACTAAAATGTTCAGGTCTGATTACAAAGGAGGAGTTCAACAACCCTGCCTGCTTTTACTCACTTTGAAATCAGCTTTGCTCTTCCTGCCTGCTTGTATTCTCTTTATGACAGGGTATAAAGGACCTAAAAGAGCAAGAAGAACCTTGGGTCTCTTTTGAGCCATATAGTTTGGTCCAAATAGTTCTTGTCTGAGGAATCCAAAGCCAATAACCAGATAATAAATATTACAGAAAGCCTTACGCTTTTTTCAGTGATTGCTCTTGTAGGTGAAATAGAGTACGGAGCTGACAGTGTCAAGCCCCAAACCAAAACTTGTGTAGGCTCCTATCCTAAGAGGCCCAGGCCACCATTAAATTGAATATTCATGTTTTATACATTTTATTTATGCATATATTGTGAAATATACATATCTTATATTTCACAATAAAAGTTTTAAAGAATGTTACTTGCCCACCCTAGTGGCCAGGGGATAAGACCATTACCAGAAGGTGGACATGAAAGCTTACTGAGCAGAAAAAAAAATAAAAAAAAACACAAAAAGAACAAAATACAACAGCAACCATTATTCCCTACACATAAGCAAGTGCCTGAAATATGGGCACTCCATGCTGTTCCAGGAAAGAACAGTGTAGAACTCTTGCTTCTATTCCATTGATCTATATCTATACTTATGCAAGTACCACACTGTCTTGACTACTGTAGCTTTGTCGTAAGTTTTGAATTTGGGAACTATGAGTCCTCTAACTTTGTTCCTTTAAAAATTTTCTTTAAATAATAGAGATGGGGGCCGGGCGCGGTGGCTCATGCCTGTAATCCCAGCACTTTGGAAGGCCAAGGCAGGCGGATCAGGAGGTCAGGAGATCGAGACCATCCTGACTAACACGGTGAAACCCTGTCTCTACTAAAAATACAAAAAATTAGCTGGGCATGGTGGTGGGCGCCTGTAGTCCCAGCTACTCAGGAGGCTGAGGCAGGAGAATGGTGGGAACCTGGGAGGCGGAGCTTGCAGTGAGTCAAGATCGCACCACTGCACTCCAGCCTGGGCGACAGAGCGAGACTCTGTCTCAAAAAAAAAAAAAAAATTAATAATAGAGATGGGGTATTGCCATGTTGCCCAGGCTGGTCTCAAACTGGCCTTAAGTGATCCTCCTGTCTCAGTCACCTGAGTAGCTGGGATTACAGATGTGAGGCACCACGGTCGGCTAAACTACTCTTTTTCAAGATTGTTTTGGCTATTCTGGGTCCCCTGTATTTCTATATGGCTTTTATAATAGTTTGTCAATTTCTTTCTCTTTTTTTTTTTTTTGGAAACAAGAGTCTCGCTCTGTCACCCAGGCTGGAGTGCAGTGGCACGGTCTTGGTTCACTGCAACCTCTGCCTCCCAGGTTCAAGCGACTGTCCTGCCTCAACCTCCCGAGCAGCTGGGATTATAGGCGTGCACCACCCTCACCTGGCTAATTTCTGTATTTTTACTAGAGACGGGGTTTCACCATGTTGGCCGGGCTGGTAGCTCATCAATTTCTACAAAAAAGCCAGCTGAGATTTTCTTAGATGTGGCATTAGAATCTGTAGAACACTTTGGGAAGTATTGCCATTTTAAAGATATTACATCTTTCAATCCATAAACACAGGATATCTTTCTTTTATTTAGGCCTTCTTAAATTTCTTTCAACAATGTTTTATAGTTTTCAGTATCTAAGTGTTGCACCTCCTCGTATAAATTTACTCCTAAGCATTTATTTTTGTTGCTATTGTAAATGGAATTGTTTTGGCTGGGCACAGTGGCCCACGCCTGTGATCCCAGCACTTTAGGAGGCTGAGGTGGGCGGACCACCTGAGGTCAGGAGTTCGAGACCTGCCTGGCCAACGCAGTGAAACCCCGTCCCTACTAAAAATACAAAAATTAGCTGGGTGTGGTGGTGGGCACCTGTAATCCCAGCTACTTGGGAGACTGAGGCAGGAGAATCGCTTGAACCCAGGAGGTGGAGGTTGCAGAGAGCAGAGATCGCGCCATTGCACTCCAGCCTGGGAAACAGAATGAGACCCTGTCCCAGAAATAAATAAATAAGGCCAGGTGCGGTGGCTCATGCCTGTAATCCCAGTACTTTGTGAGGCCAAGGCGGGAGGATCACCTGAGGTCAGGAGTTTGAGACCAGCCTGGCCAACATGGTGAAACCCCATCTCTACTAAAAATACAAAAATTAGCCGGGCGTGGTGGCCTGCGCCTGAAATCCCAGCTACTCAGGAGGCAGAGGCAGGAGAATCGCTTGAACCTGGGAGATGGAGGTTGCAGTAAGCCGAGATTGCGCCATTGCACTCCAGCCTGGACAACAGACTCTGCCTCAAAAAATATAAATAAATAGACTAGGCGTGATAGCTCATGCCTGTAATCCCAGCACTTTGGGAGGCCAAGGCGGGCAGATCACTTGAGGTCAGGAGTTCGAAACCAGCCTGACCAACATGAAGAAGCCCCGCCTCTACTAAAAATACAAAAAAATTAGCGGGCGTGGTGGTGCACGCCTGTCATCCCAGCTACTCAGGAGGCTGAGGCAGGAGAATCACTTGAACCCGGGAGGCAGAGATTGCAGCGAGTCAAGGTTGCGCCACTGCACTCCAGCCTGGCGACACAGTGAGACTCCGTCTCAAAAAAAAAAAAAAAAGAACCTCCACTATAATGTTGAATTATAATGTGAAGAGAAGTCGCAAGAGCAGACAAACATCCTTGCCTTGTTCCTGATATGAGCGGGAAAAGCCTTTAGTCTTTCACCATTAAGTACAATGTTAGCTATGGGATTTTTGTAGATACCCTTGATCAGGTTAAGGAAGTTACCTTTTATTCCTAGTTTGTTGAGTGTTTTTGTATCACGAAAAGGTGCTGGATTTTGTCAAATGTTTTTTTCTGCACCTATTGAGGTAAGAAATGTGTTTTTTGTCCTTTAGTTTTTAGGCATGTTAAATCTGATATGTCTATTATCAAGCAGAGATGTCAACCAAGCAATCACATATAGGAGTATGGAGTTCAAGAGGTCAGGACTAAAGATAAAAAATGTAATAATCATCAAAGAAATGCAAATTAAAACCACATTGAAATATCACCTCATTCCTGTTAGACTTTCTATTATCAAAAAGATGAAAGATAAGTGTTGACAGAGCAGGAGCATCGGCATCTTGGACAGGCCCCTCATTCAGCGGGAGCATCGGCATCTTGGACAAGCCCCACATTCTAAAGTTCACCTTAATAAAAAACCACCTAAATCTAAAGGGCATCAGCCTAATGGCTAAGGTCAGCATGACCATAAACCACAATTAACATCTCCAACCAGAAACATTCCAAACTCCTCCCTGACCAGAGACATGCTAGCCCCAAGATAACCCCCCTCTGGCCAGGAGGATGCCAGCCTTGAGATAACACCCCTCTGGCCAGAAAGATGTCTGCCCCAAGATAACCTCCCCTCCTCCCAGAGAGATTCCAACCCCGCCATAAAACTTCTCCCTCACACAGAAACATTCTAAGCTTGTGATAAGCCCCCTCACCCTAAAACCAATATATACTGTTAGTCTGTAAGAGAAAGCACTCCTGACCAAAATTGGCCAGAAACCCCTCTCAGGTTTTATCTAAAGTAAACCTGCCTCTAACTGTCAAGCATTTGTGTTTCTTTTCTCTTTCTTTAACTCTTATATTTGGTGCCGAAATCTGGAACAGGTGCTGGGGGCAGAGGCTCTCTTGCAACCCAGGAAGCAGTGGGCAACGGCAGCTCATCATAAGTTAATTCCTGGATCCTGAGGGTCTCTGGTCACCTGCCCCGTCTTTTCTCTCACTTCATTTTTGGAGCGATTTGCATGAGGACAACTAACCTGAAGGGGACTGCAAGGCTCTGGCCGGGGCTACTCCCCAACAAGTCTTTAAACCTTCAGATCTTGGGAATCCACCTCCAACTTCCCACAATGGGTATTTTGCCCTCTCCCCTCCTCCTCCCTTCTCTCTTTCTCTCTTCCTCATGTGGCTCTGGTTTAAGGGGCCCTTTGCCAATTCCAACTGGAACATCCAACATTGGACACTAATCCAGCCAACTGCTAAGATCTGCCCTCCTCTGGCTTTCTCACGGTACCAGGAAAAGTTAGGTCTGCCATCCCGGTCCTCAGAGGACCAGCAGGACTAAAAAGCTAGAAGAAATCTTGGGGATGCCCAGTTTTCATCTCAGCTTGACCATCCTCTTTAGAAAGAGGACGCCGGGTCTCTGTCTTTCATCTGGGGATGCCTAGAACAAAAACAGACACCCTCGGCTTCTTCTCACCAGTCCACATGGGTGCCAAACAATCCCACATTCCTACATCCTCCCCACTGGGCTGCCTCCTTCACAACCTCACCAAACTTGGCTTACCGGGAAGCATAAAGCCAAAGCATTTAGTCTTTTATTGCAACATGGTCTGGCTGCAATACACATTAGATAATGACAGCCGATGGTTGGAAAATGTCACCTTTTACTTGCAAATTCTTAGGGACCTCGACAACTTTATAACCAGGAATGGCAAATGGCAAGAGGTTCTCTACATTCAGGCTTTCTTCTACCTTAGCTCCCAACCCTCCCTATGTCAAGCTTGCACCCCTCATGAAGTCCTTCTTCTCAATGAAAATGCTGTCTGGGTCTCTCCCTCCTCCAAAAACCTTTCCTCTGAGATCCCTTCCCGCGAAAACCCTTCCTCCAAAACCCCTTCCCTCGAAACCCCTTCCTCTGAAACCCCTTTTGACCCTGCAGATGAACCCCCTTCGTATTCCCATCCCCCTGGTTCTGCTCCTCATCCTTCCAAACCCTCCACCCCAGGGGGCCCTCCTGCCCTCAAGCCTCCAGCCCCAAACCCCACTCCTCCTCCTTCTCCACCTGTTACCCGTTCAAAAGCCACCAGTCAAACCACCCCAGCCATTCTCCCTCTCCGGGAAGTGGCTGGGGTTGAAGGCATTGCTCGTATTCACATCCCTTTCTCCAAGTCTGATTTGTCACAAATCAAACGGCAGCTAGGATCCTTCTCTGACAATCCCTATCACTATCGCAGGGAATTCCTGCACGTAACCCAATCCTTTAATTTAACTTGGCATGATATTTATATAATTTTAACCTCCACCCTCACTCCTGATGAAAAGGAGAGCATCTGGTGTTCAGCTGAAGCCCATGCAGATGAACTCCATAACCAAGCCCCTATATAAAATCCAGTGGCCAATGATGCAGTCCCCCATAGAGACACAGACTGGACTTACCAACAGGGAAACAATGGCATCAGGCGACAGAACCACATGATTACCTGTCTCCTCACGGGCATGAACAAAAATGCCCATAAGGCAGTTAATTATGAAAAACTCAGAGAAATTACAAAGGAGCCCCAGGAGAATCCAGCCTTTTTTTTTTTTTTTTTTTTTAGATGGAGTCTCACTCTGTTGCCCAGGTTGGAACGCAGTAGCGCGATCTCAGCTCACTGCAACCTCCGCCTCCCAGGTTCAAGCGATTCTCCTGCCTCAGCCTCCTGAGTAGCTGGGATTACAGGCGCGTGTCACCACGCCCAGCTAATTTTTGTATTTTTAGTAGAGACAGGGTTTCATCATGTTGGTCAGGCTGATCTCGAACTCCTGACCTCGTGATCCACCCGCCTCGGCCTCCCAAAGTGCTGGGATTACAGGCATGAGCCACTGCGCCCGGCCTGAATCCTGCCCTTTTCTTATCACATCTCACTGAAGCCATGCTAAAATATACCAATCTGGATCCAGAATCTAGAGAAGGGCAAACTTTTCTCCACTTCCAATTTATTTCCCAATCTGCCCCAGATATCCAGAAAATATTACAAAAATTAGAGGAAGGTCAGCCGGGTGCAGTGGCTCACGCCTGTAATCCCAGCACTTTTGGAGGCCGAGGCAGGCGGATCACGAGGTCAAGAGATCGAGACCACCCTGGCCAACATGGTGAAACCCCGTCTCTACTAAAAATACAAAAAAAAAATTAGCCGGGCATGGTGGCAGGCGCCTGTAATCCCAGCTACTTGGGAGGCTGAAGCAGGAGAATCACTTGAACCTGGGAGGCGGAGGTTGCGGTGAGCTGAGATCACGCCATTGCACTCCAGCCTGGGCAAAAAGAGTGAAACTCTGTCTTAAAAAAAAAAAAAAAATTAGAGGAAGGTCCCCAAACATCTCAGCAGGACCTCCTAAATGCGGCCTTTGGAGACAGTTTTGCTCTTGTTGCCCAGGCTGGAGTGCAATGGCGTGATCTTGGCTCACTGCAACTTCTGCCTCCCAGGTTCAAGCGATTCTCCTGCCTCAGCCTCCCGAGTAGCTGGGATTACAGGCATGCGCCACCCCACCCAGCTAATTTTGTATTTTTAGTAGAGACGGGGTTTCGCCATGTTGGTCAGGCTGGTCTCAAACTCCTGACCTCAGGTGATCCACCCGCCTTGGCCTCCCAAAGTGCTGGAAGGCCTTCCGTGTCTTTAACAACAGAGACAAGGAACAAAAAATTCAAAAAGACAAACATGTCTGGTTAAAATACCAGATGCTCACCTCTGCTGTCCAAAGGTCAGTTACACAAAAGCCTCCAGACAACCCCAAGGGAAACTCCGTCACCTCTCTGGAAGTGTCACCCTGAAGTGCCACATCAGGGTTCCAATGTGGCAACCCTGGACACTGGGCAAAGGCTTGTCCTAGCCCCTGGCCCCCTACCAAACCGTGCCCAACTTGTGGTCTTTGGGGACACTGGAAAATGGACTGTGCCCAATGGATACACCCTCCCTGTTCAAGTGTAGCCCTGTGAGGCCCCCTGACCATCACAGGAGGAAATATCTTCACTGCTGGTACTGACAACGGAAGACTGAGGGTGCCTGGAATCCTTCACCCCCACATCCAGTGAGTCCATGGAACCCAGGGTAATTGGGACGGTATCCAGTAAGATTATTTCCTTTCTCCTGGATACTGGGGCGAGCCTATCAGTATTAACTGAATATCAAGGCCCACTAGAATGTTCATAATTTTCTGTTGTTGGCATGAAGGACATACAAGAACTTCCATACAAAACACTGCCTCTATACTGCTCATTTCAGGGAGTCACTCTCACTCACTCTTTCTTGGTCATTCCTCATTGTCCCACTCCTTTACTAGGAAGGGACATCCTACACAAACTAGGGGGAATCATTCATTCATCGGCCCTACATCAAAGCCACCCTTACTTATTATTATGTCAAGAAAAAAACCCCTCCTCAGACACTCCACATCAAATAGACTTAAAACCCAAATTCCTGGCTCACGCCTGTAATCACAGCACTTTGGGAGGCCGAGGCAGGCGGATCACCTGAGTTTGGGAGCTTGAGACCAGCCTGACCAACATGGAGAAACCCTGTCTCTACTAAAAATGCAAAATTAACTGGGCGTGGTGGTGCATGCCTATAATCCCAGCTACTCGGAGGCTGAGGCAAGAGAATTGCTTGAATCCGGGAGGTGGAGGTTGCAGCAAGCCAAGATCACGCCATTGTACTCCAGCCTGGGCAACAAGAGCAAAACTCTGTCTCAAAACAAACAAACAAACAAAAAACACCCAAATCCCTCAGCCAGGTAAATCCTATAGTATGGAACACTGACTCCCCCATAATAGCTACCCACCATTCTCTAATTCAAATCTCACTAAAGGATCCTAAGCGCTACACAGTGGTCCCACAATATCACCTCAACCCTAATGGATTACAGGGACTCAAGCCCATCATCTACTGACTTTTGGCTGCCAATATTTTAATCCCCACCCATTCTCCCCATAATACTCCTATTCTCCCAATCAAAAAACCAGATGGCTCCTATAGACTGGTTCAGGATTTGTGATAAATCAACTCCACTGTTGTTCCTGTTTATCCTATTGTTCCCAAACCCCTACACCCTCCTATTGCAAATTCCTCCCAACACTAGCCATTTCTCAGTATTGGACCTCAAAGATGCTTTTTTTACTATTCCTCTACATCCCTCCTCTCAAAACCTTTTTGCTTTCACTTAGACCGACCCTGACATAGGCTACTCCCAACAACTTACCTGGACTGTCCTCCCCCAGGGGTTTAGGGACAGCCCTCACTATTTCGGTCAGGCACTTCAATTAGACCTCTCCCAGCTACATCTACAACCTAGCATCTTGCTTCAGTACATGGATGATTTACTTCTTTGCAGCCCCTCTCTAGAACATTGTATTCAACACACCACCAGGCTTTTACATTTTTTGTCTGAATGCAGGTACCAGGTGTCCAAAAAGAAGGCCCAATTAACCTCTCCAAAAGTCTCATACCTAGGATTAATGATAACTCCAAATACTTGAGAAATTCTGCCAGCATGAAAGCAAAGCATTCAACAAATCCCTTTTCCTAAAACAAAAAGGGACTTACTTTCTTTCCTCGGATTAGTGGGATATTTCTGATTATGGATAGCAAATTTTGCCATTATCACTAAACCCCTTTATGAACACACAAAAGGCAATCTTGACCAACCACTCACTCCCACTCCAGCCCTTTATCATGCTTTCTCTCACCAAAAACGTGCCTTATTACAGGCCCCTGCTCTAGGCCTTCCAAACCCCCTGAGATCCTTTCGTCTATATTTACACAGTTCTCATAATCAGGCCCTTGGACTATTAGCCCAACCCATGGGAGACTCCCTCCAACTGGTAACATATTTTTCAAAACAACTAGACCCCATTTACAAAGGTTGGCCCCTTTGCTTAAAAATTTTGGTCACAGCCCCTCTAATTATCCCTGAGGCACAAAAACTCACATTCTACAAACCCCTTCAGGTATTTTCTTTTCACAGTCTGCAAAATATACTCAGCCATAAGGCGCTAAGCTCCATCTCATCCTCCTGCATGCAGGCCTTACATTCACCTCTCCTTCAACACTCTATCTCTCTTCATAGATGCTCCCCCCTTAATCCTGCCACTCTTTTGCCTTCAGGACCAATTTTAGACACTGACCAACACTCATGCTTGAATTTAATTGAAAGTTCTCTCACCATGTTCTACCCCCTTACTTCCACTCACATAAAGCAAGCCCCAGATTGGTTTATAGATGGCAGTGCATCAGAAAACCCTTCCCTCCAAGCAGGGTATGCTATCATTGAGGGATATCATGATGATACCCACCTAGAAGAGTCGTAGAGGCTGCCCCCTTGCCTTTGGGCATATCCTCCCAACAAGCAGATTTATTTGCCCTAATAAGAGCACTAACCCTAGCAAAAAGTACACAAGTTAACATATACACCGATTCTAAATATGCCTATAACACCATCCATTCCAATGCCCAAATTTGGAGCGAGCGGGGCTATGTCACGGCTAAGGGATTTCCTATCATTAATGGAAAACTCATCACTTACTAAAGGCAGCTTTACTTCCAGAAAAGGTTGCAGTTATCCATTGCAAAGGACATCAATCAGATAAAAACCACATTCCAATAGGAAACCGTGAGGCTGAGTATTGGGCAAAACAAGCCTCAACCAACCATCCAATCCCCCAATACCTATTAAGCCTCATACAACATATCCCCTCCTTTTATCCAGAACACCAAATACAGCAACTAATCACAGCGGGGGCACAAGTCAAACCCCCATACTGCTTTGTACAAAACAAATTAGTCCCATCTGACCCTGAAGAAACTGCTCTTTTATAGGACATTCACAACCTCTTCCATACTAGCCATTCCCCTTGACAACATTTCTTAAGCTCCCATATACACATAACCCCAGATATAAAGGAACAGCTAAAGGCCATTTCCCATCAATGTTCTACTTGCCAAAAGGCTTCACCCTACTCCAACACTAAATCCCTTTCTTTCCCAACCCATCAAGCCAGGGGACACCTTCCAGGACAGGACTGGCAAATTGATTTTACCCATATGCCCCCAGTTAAAAAGGTTCGGTTTCTTCCAGTTCTCATCAATACCTTTTCAGGATGGGTCGAGGCTTTTCCCACAACCAACAAATGGGCTTCTACTGTCACCTCCAAATTAATAATGGAAATCATACCCAGGTTCAGGGTGCCTCTTTCTTTTCAATCCGACAATGGTCCTGAATTCATCTCTCAAATTACTCAACACTTGCACCAGCTCTACATATCACCTGGAAGCTATATATCCTCTATCGACCTCAATCTTCAGGAAAGGTTGGAAAAATGAATGGCATTCTAAAAACCACCCTCACCAGGTACTCACTCCAAACTCTTAAAGACTGGGTTACACTTTTGCCTTTGGCCCTTCTAAAAATTTGGGCATTCCCACATAAACCCTTAATGCTCAGCCCCTTTGAACTCATGTATGGGAAACCACTGGCCCCTTTTGTTCCACCTCAGGGTCAAACACCACCTCTACCAACTCCCCTTGTTTCCCCTCTTCTGTATATTATCCGCCATTTCATTTGGGAATATGCTGACAAATACCTGCCACAACCCATCACTGACTCCTCTAATCCCTTCCTATAGCCAGAAGACTGGGTTCTCATAAAAGATCCCAGTCCTACCCCCAATTCCCCCCTCACACCTAAATGGAAGGTGTAAAAAGTAAAGTAGAGGTTCCTCTTCAAAGACTTTCCTCCCCACCTAATTAGGAATAAATAGTAACTTCTCTTAGAAGCAAAATTTATTCAAAGACCTGTGCTAACATCCTTAAATATCGGCCAGCCGTAATAAAGAAATCAATGTACTTTATGTTCTTAGCTCCTACAATTTAGCCTAAATATTTGCCCTGGCATGCTTATACTAGTCCAAGCAAACATTAGGTCATAGCCTGTTCCTCTTCCTTATTTGAAGGTGTTTTTACCTTTCTCAGCATTCCACAAGTTACTTCCTCCTTCCTTTGTTCTCCTCTGTCTTTGCCTCTTTTAAAAAGTTCTAAGTTGCTAGCCAATCGGGACAAATACAGAATGTGAGGTCCCGTTCCAGCCAATGGAAACTGGACACAGCAGTAGGGTGGAAGCGTCAGTTTATAAATGACCCTGTCTCCTTTGTTCGGTGTACTCTCATGGCAAAACTGCTGGCGAGGGTGCTCTTTCTGCAGAAAGTAAAAATGGCCTTGCTGAGGAAATTAATTTTATGTTCAAGTGCTATTTCTTTATGGCACCAGGGAACAAACATTTCTAACAAAGGGACCTTACCAAATCATTCTTACCATACCCACAGCAGCAAAACTCCAGGGACTCCCCAACTGGTTTCATTATACTTCTCTCAAGAAAACAGACTTCCCTTTGCCACATACCCAAACAACCAAATCCAAAACCCCTTCAGCCTTCTCTTGTGTCTCCACAGGACCCACTTCCCTTTGCCTCACCCGAATCTTGGAAGAAAAGGAAGAGAAATTCACCTAAACCACTTATGTCTCTTTCTCTCCCAAACTTTCACTGCTTCCTAATCAACCTTGTTACAGTCCTTCAGCGGTACCCTTACGAAACTCCCATTATATATCCTGATCAGCTCTTTACTGTTCTATGGGACCTATGGCTTCAAGGAACTTTCCAGGACTTTACTCTTACCCAAATAACCTTTTTCGCTTTTTGCTTGTTTTTTTTTCAATACAAATACCCTAAGTACATCAACCTCACCAATACAACCACTTCTCACTGCTCTCAAGCTCGAACTATAAACCTTACACAATCCCTCTTGCTGCGAACTAACTCTTCCTTTGCTCCTGAATGCTGGATGTGCTTATCGCTGTCTTCCTCAGCCTACACAGCCCTTCCTGCATCCCTTCATGACCTTTTAGCAGGGAGCATAACCCTAATTTATACACTCCAAAAGGGAGCTTCCTTTCTTGAAAGAGCTGACACCCTGGTCGGCAATTATCCTACTTCCAGGGCCAATCAGGCTAACAAATTATTTCAAACCTATTACAACTCCCTGCAACGCCTCAAGCCTCAAGACTCTCCCATTAAAGGGCCTATAACTAAACACACCCCCCTTTTACAACAAGCTTCACTTTGCTTTTCAGCCTCTGAAGGAAATCTCCCTGTAGGATCCTTAACACCTAACCAACGCAACCGTACTATCATTATTAAACACCCCTCTGACCATCAAACTAACCGAGTTAACTACCCAGTATCACCTGAAGCAAATGGAGCATTTCCGCAACTGGCTCGTTTGACAGCCTCTCTCTCAGCCAATGCCTATGGCCTAACTTGTGCTGTGCCTGGTGCCCACCTTTTTCCATGGCTCAATATCAATGGTGCAACATCCTATTGCATTAAATGTGTAAAAAGTAACTCTTCCTATATTTCTACTATAGTAGGTGTCTCCCTGGCCTCCTCCTTGTCCATTTGGAGTAATGAACCACAGGAAAGAAAAAACACCCCATGTTTAGTTCACCTACTGTCTTTCCATATCTCTGCCTGTATACACGACAAAGGCCTGTTCTTTTTGTGTGGCACCAACACATACCTTTGTCTCCCTACCAACTGGACTGGAACCTGTACCCTAGTTTATCTATCTCCCTCCATTGGACTTGTTCCTCCTGATCGACCTTTGCCCATCCCACCCATCCAATATGTTAGAAAAGGAAGGGCCATCCATGTCATTCCCTTAATAGCCACCTTGGGTATAACCTCTGGACTTGGATTGAGAGCAAGCAGATTAGCCACTTCCATAACATACTTTAAGGCTGTTTCAACAGAACTACAGAACTCATTAGAAGACACAGCCCCAAGCCTTATAAAAGTCCAAGACCTTGGCCAGGCACGGTGGCTCACGCCTGTAATCCCAGCACTTTGGGAGGCCGAGGCAGGAGATAGAGACCATCCTGGCTAACACGGTGAAATCCCATCTCTACTAAAAATACAAAAAATTGGCTGGGCGTGGTGGTGGGCGCCTGTAGTCCCAGCTACTTGGGAGGCTGAGGCAGGAGAATGGCATGAACCCGGGAGGAGGAGCTTGCAGTGAGCCGAGATTGCGCCACTGCACTCTGCTCTGGGAGACAGAGCAAGACTCCGACTCAAAAAAAATAAAAAAAAAAATTAAGAATAAAGGATTGATCAGGCTATTTGAAGAGCAACCTCATCATATCCCACAATTCCAAACTCCTCCCCAACCAGAGACATGCTAGCCCCAAGATAACCCCCCTCTGGCCAGGAAGATGGCAGCCTTGAGATAACCCGCCTTGGCTGGAAAGATGTCTGCCCCAAGATAACCTCCTCTCCTCCCAGAGACATTCCAACCCTGCCATAAAACCTCTCCCTCACACAGAAACATTCCAAGCTTGTGATAAGCCCCCTCACCCTAAAACCAATATATACTCTTAGTCTGTAAGAGAAAGCACTCCTGACCAAAAATCGGCCAGAAGCCCCTCTCAGGTTTTATCTGAAGTAAACCTGCCTTTAACTGTTGAGCTGCATTTTGTTTCTTTCCTCTTTCTTTAACTCTTACAAGTGTTGGCAAGGATGTGGAGAAAAGGGAACGCTTGTATACTGTTGGTACTATTATAAATTAGCATGGACATTCTGGGCTGGGCATGGTGCTTCACGCCTGTAATCCCAGCACTTTGGGAGGCCTAGGGTGGGCAGATCGCTTGAGCTCAGGAGTTTAAAACCAGCCTGGGCAACATGGCAAAACCCCATCTCTACCAAAAATACAAAAAATTAGCCAGGCATGGTGGTGTGCACCTGTGATCCCAGCTACTTGGGGGGCTGAGGTGGGAGGACTGCTTGAGCTCAGGAGCCCCAAGCTTCAGTGAGCCGAGATCGTGCCACTGCACTCCAGCCTGGGTGACAGAGGGAGACCCTGTCTCTAAATAAATAAATACATACATAAGTATGGCCATTCTGGAAAACAGTGCAGAGGTTCCTCAAAAAACTAAAAATAAAGTTACCATATGATCCAGCAATCTCACTTCTGGGTACTTCCAAAGGACCTGAAATCAGTATATTGAAGAGATACCTGCACTCCCGTGTTCACTGCAGCATTATTCATAGTAGCCAAGAAAAGGAAACAACCAAAGTCACCATCAACAGGATGAATGGATTTTTAAAATGTGGTATATACACACAATGAAAAATTATTCAGCCGTTAAAAGGCAGGAAATTCTGATTTGCAACATGAATGAACCTAAAAGACATTTTGCTAGGTGAAATAAACCAGGCACGGAGAGACAAATACTCCATGATCTCGCTTATACATGGAATCTAGAAAAGAAGTAGAGAGTAGAACAGTAGTTACCAGAGGCTGGGGGGATAGGGGTAGATGGGGAAAGGAGAAATGTTAGTCAATGGTACAAAGTTTCAGTTAAACAGGAGGAATAGGTTCTAGTGATCTACTGCACATCATGGTGACTATTATTAATAATAATGAATCATATATTTCAAAATAGCTAAAAGAATGAACTTTTTTTTTTTTGAGACAGGGTCTCCCTCTGTCACCCAGCCTGGAGTGCAGTGTGCCATGATCTCAGGTTACTGCAGCCTCCGCCTCCTGGGTTCATAGGATTCTCCTGCCTCTGCCTCCCGAGTAGCTGGGACTACAGATGCGTACCACCACACACAACTAATTTTTGTATTTTTAGTAGAGACAGAGTTTCGCCATGTTGGTCAGGCTGAAGAATGGATTTTAAATTTTTTCACCACAAAGAAATGATAAGTATTTGAGGTGATGGATATGTTAATTAGCCTGATTTGATCATTTCACAATGTATACGTGCATTGAAACATCACATTGTACCCCACAAATATATACAATTATTGTTGGTCAAAAATAAAACTGGTCAAGTGCAATGGCTCATGCCTGTAATCCCAGCACATTTGGAAGCCAAGGCAGAAAGATCGTTTGAGTCCAGGAGTTCAAGATTACGGTGAACTATGATGGCGCCACTGCACTCCAGCCTAGATGACAGAGCGAGACCCTGTCTCTAAAAAAACAGAAATAAAACTGTACTCCATAAACATGTATAATTATGTGTCAATTATAAATAAACCCAAAAACTTTAAAAATAAAATAAAATAATGCCAAAGTAAAAGGTTTACTAAAAAAATGTGAAAGTTCTCAGCACAGAGATGAGATTTAAAGCCAAGAACCTGGATAAGATCACCCAAGGAAGGAGTATTAAAAAAAAAAAAAAAAAAAAAAAAAGACAGCTGGGCATGGTGGCTCATGCCTGTAATCCCAGCACTTTGGGAGGCCAAGGCAGGTGGATCACTTGGGCTCAGGAGTTCGAGACCAGCCTGGGCAACATAGCCAGACCTGCCTCAAAAAAAAAAAAAAAAAAAAAAGACATGGCATTCCAACATTAAGATCATCTATAGAATTCCAGCTAATGAATACACAAAGAACGGTGAAACTAGAAAATCACGACTTTGCAGCCAGGCTTGGTGGCTCACGCCTGTAATCCCAGCACTTGGGGAGGCCAAGGCAGGCAGATCACCTGAAGTCAAGAGTTGGAGACCAGCCTGGCTAACATGACGAAACCCCGTTTCTACTAAAAACACAAAAAATTAGCCGGGTGTGGTGGCACCCACCTGTAATCCCAGCTACTCAGGAGGCTGAGGCAGGAGAATCACTTGAACCCGGGAGGTGGAGGTTGCAGTGAGCTGAGATCGCGTCATTGTACTCCAGCTTGGGCAACAAGAGCGAAACTCCGTCTCAGAAAAGAAAATCACCACTTTGTAATCTCTAATAACTGATTTGACACTTTGGGAGGCTGAGGCAGGTGGATCGCTTGAGACTAGGAGTTCAAGACCAGCCTGGGCAACATAGGGAGACCCCATCTCTTTAAAAAAAAAAACTGATTTGAGCAATAATTATCAATGGTTGAAAGCCTGATGGGTTGGTGGGGAACTGGATATTCACAGAATACTAAGCTATCCTGAACGTATTACTTCCTCATCATAAGGGGGAAATGCAACTTTGCAAAGGAGGAATCAGATTGTAATCACTGAACCCATTGATCAACCTTTCAATAGCATTATTGAAAGTAGGAAAGTCAGATGTTATATACTTCCTGATATGACACAATATAGCTACACAGCCTTCCCTATAAAGTATTCATGCCAAAAATATTGAAGCTTAATCTTATCAAGCCTTTAGTTTAAATTATAGGAGACAGAACAAACTAATGACACTACAAGGAAGACATCACACTAATTCAAATCATTGTCATAGAAATAAAAGTGGAGGGGAGGGGAGAACTGTTCTAGATTAGAAGTTCAAGAAACATAAAACCCAAATGAAGTTGTAGACCTTCTTTGGATCCTGATAAACCATTCAAAAATTTGAGGCTGGGCATGGTAGCTCACGCCTGTAATCACAGCACTTTGGGAGGCCGAGGCAGGCGAATCACTGGTCAGGAGTTCAGGACCAGCCTGGCCAACATGGTGAAACCCTGTCTCTACTAAAAATACAAAAAATTAGCTGGGCATGGTGGTGGGTGCCTGTAATCCCAGCTACTCGGGAGGCTGAGGCAGGAGAATCACTTGAACCCAGGAGGCGAAGTTTACAGTGAGCCGAGATTGCGCCACCACACTCCAGCCCGGATGACACTGCAAGACTCCGTCTCAAAAAAAAAAAATTTGAATATGGACTATGTATTAGATAATATCAATGAATTCATTTATTTTGTTAGGTGTGATATGGCATGGTGGTTTTGTAAGAATATGGTTTTTTTTTTGACCGGGCAAGGGGGCTCATGCCTGTAATCCCAGCACTTTGGGAGGCTGAGGCAGGTGAATCACCTGAGGCCAGGAGTTTGAGGCCAGCCTGGCCAACATGGTGAAACCCCATACTAAAAATACAATAATTAGCCTGGCGTGGTAGCAGGT
This sequence comes from Homo sapiens, assembly GCF_000001405.40. Lineage (NCBI taxonomy): Eukaryota > Metazoa > Chordata > Mammalia > Primates > Hominidae > Homo > Homo sapiens. Next base: position 72,233,984 of record NC_000023.11, read on the forward strand.
GCCTGTAATCCCAGCTACTTGGGAGGCTGAGGCAGAGAATCACTTGAACCTGGGAGGCAGAGGTTGCAGTGAGCTGAGATTGCGCCACTGCACTCCAGCCTGGGCAACAGAGCAAGACTCCGTCTCAAAAAAAAAAAAGAATATGTTCTTTTTAAGGAATATATACTTAAGTATTTCAGCGTGAAATGTCATATCTGGGGATTTAAATTATCTTAGAAGATATGAGGAGGAATATCAACAGAATCTGAAGCAGCAGTCAGTGAAGTAAGAAGAAAATCCGGAGAGCAAGGGCTCCTTGGAAGACTAATGAATCATGTGTTTCATGGAGAAGTGATTAACTTCGTCAAGTACTACTGGTCGAGGTAGATGAAGATTGAGAATTGACTGTTGGATTTAGTTATATGAATGTCATTGGTGACTTTGATAAAAGCAGTTTGTGTAAAGTGATGGGGTGAAAACCTGATTGGGACGAGTTCAACAGAAGTTAGGAGAAAAGAAATAGGAAATGACAAGTGTAGACAATGATATGACACCTGGAATTTTGCTGTAAAGGAAAGAGAAGAAATGGAGCAATAACTGGAAATGAAAATAGGATCAAGAGAGGATTTTTTTTTTTAACAATGAAAGAATTGGTGGGCTGAAGTCCTTATACCAGTGAGTGACAAGGGATGAGATCTTTTGCACAAATGGAGGGGTTGTGCCTTAGCTAGAAGCATGGAGAGTTCATCCATACTAACAGGACAGAAGGCAAAGAACACAGAGGGAATAATGCTGGGAAGTAGGTTGATATGGAAGAAGCTTCTGGAAACTGTCTTCTGATTGCTTCTATCAACCCAGTGAAATTGGAAGCAAGAGAGATGAGGGTGAGATGTTGAGGGTCTGAAAAGCAAGAAGGCATGAAACAGGCATCTAGTACAATGGATGAGTGAATACATTAGAGAAATGTACTATGATTGCCAGGCAGCATGAAGGGCCTGCTTGACATCGATATTGATGGATTTCAAGTAAGACCAGTCACATGATTGTTTCTTCAACCATGTTCATCTGAGAGGGCCAGAGTTGGATTTAGCAAAATGTATTAGTTTCCTATTGCTGCCGTTACAAATCATCACAAATGTTAAAACAACACAAAGTATTATCTTTTATCTTACAGGTTATATCTTGCAGGTTATATAGGTTAGAAGTCTGACACAGGTCTCACTGGGCTAAAATTAAGGTTGCAGCAAGGCTGTGTTCCTTTCTGGAGGCTCTAGGGGGAGAATGTGCTTCTTGCTTTTCCAGCTTCCAGAGGCCATACACATTCCTTGGTTCATAGCCCCTTCCCCCATCTACCGAGCCAGGTAGGATAGGTTGAATCCTTCTCACACTGAGTCACTATGACCTCCTCTTCTGCCTCCCTCTTCCACTTTTTTTTTTTTTTTTTTTTTTGGAGATGGAGTTTCACTTTTGTAGCCTAGGCTGGAGTGCAACGGTGCGATCTCAGCTCACTGCAACCTCCACCTCCTGGGTTCAAGCAATTCTCCTGCCTCAGCCTCCTGGGTAGCTGGGATTACAGGCGTGTACCACCACGTCCAGCTTATTTTTCTATTTTTGTAGAAACGGTTTCATCACGTTGGCCAGGCTGGTCTCGAACTCCTGACCTCAGGTGATCCACCCACCTTGGCCTCCCCAAGTGCTGGGATTACAGGCGTGAGCCACCACACCCAGCCCCTCTTCCACTTTTAAGCACCCTGTGATTACACTGGGCTCACCCAGATATTCCAATTTCCCTATTTTAGGGTCAGCTGGTTAGTGACCTTAATTCCTCTCTACCATATGAGGGTAACATATTCACAGGGTTCAGAAATTAGTATGTGGATATCCTCGGGAGGCCATTACTCTGCTTACCATACGAAGGCTATGGTCTTGCCAAGCCAGTATAATTAAGTGTGAAAGAGAAAAAAAATAAGTTAAAGTTGTATACAAGGAAGCCTCCACAATTATTGACTCTGAACTTCAAACTATGTAAGGAGAGAAGTGAGAACCTGAGGGGTGTGCAACAGTGAAAAGATGGAATCAATGAACTATAGGTCCCAACAATATCAAACATTTGTTGGAATTGGTATTCTAGAGGGAGTAAGGTAGAAGATGGAGAGTAGAATGCTTGAACGGTGGTGTAATAATGTAAGTGTAATAAAAAGTCTGATTCTGCTGGGCATGGTGGCTCACACCTGTAATCCCAGTGCTTTGGCAGCCTGAGTTGGGAGGATCACTTGAGTCTAGGAGTTCAAGACCAGCCTGGGCAACACAGTGAGACTTCATCTCTACAAAAATCTTTTTTTTCTTTTTTTTCTGAGACGGAGTCTTGCTCTGTTGCCCAGGCTGGAGTGCAGTGGCGCCATCTCAGCTCGCTGCAACCTCCGCCTCCTGGGTTGAAGCAATTCTGCCTCAGCCTCCCAAGTAGCTGGGATTACAGGTGCCCGCCACCATATCTGACTAATTTTTGTATTTTTAGTAGAGACGGGGCTTCACCATGTTGTCCAGACTGGTCTTGAACTCCTGACCTCGTGATGCACCTGCCTCGCCCTCCCAAAGTGCTGGGATTACAGGCATGAGCCACTGCACCCAGCCTACAAAAATCTTTTAAAAATTAGCCGGGCTTCATGGCACACACCTCTGGTATATGTTTATATGTACAGTAAGTCCTCAGTTAACGTGGTCAGTAGGTTCTTGGCAACTGCAACTTTAAGCAAAATGACACACAGCAGGCCCTTGAATGACACTGGTTCATTCAATATCATTTTGCTGCAACACTGATGAGAAAAAAATTGGTTTTGCTACGTCATTTCACTTAAAGTCAGTTTCCAAGAACCTATGGACAATGTTAAGTGAGGACTTACTGTATACACACGCACACACATCTTTGCTCACTCATGTAAGTGTATCTGTAGAAGAAAATACTACAAGTCTTAGCTTCAAAAGTAAAACTATGTATCTTAACTTTTGAATTGACTCATATAGCTCATCACACACCAGCCTGAGAGAATATAAATAAATGCTTACTCACACTATTGACTTTATTAAAATCTGGCATGGTTTTCTTGAATGGCAATTTTAAATACACATTCCCTAAGACCCAGCAATCGGAATTCCAAAGTGTACACTCAGTTACGAAGTGCACAAAAATTCACACAAAGGCTGCCTATTACAACAAAAGTATAATGGCAAACAATTGGAAAAATCTAAATGAAAGGCCTGGCATGGTGGCCCACGTCTGTAATCTCAACACTTTGGGAGGCCGAGGCAGGAGGATTGCTTGAACTCAGGAGTTTGAGACCAGCCTGGGCAACATGGCGAGACCCTGTCTCTACTAAAAACACAAAAAAAATACTTTGGGAGGCCGAGGCGGGCGGATCACGAGGTCAGGAGATTGAGACCATCCCGGCTAACACGGTGAAACCCCGTCTCTACCAAAAATACAAAAAATTAGCCGGGTGTGTTAGCGGGCGCCTGTAGTCCCAGCTACTCGGGAGGCTGAGGCAGGAGAATGGCGTGAACCCGGAAGGCGGAGCTTGCTGTGAGCCCAGACCGCGCCACTGCACTCCAGCCTGGGTGACAGAGCGAGACTGTATCAAAAAAAGAAAAAAAAAAAATAGCTGGGTGTGGTGGTGTGCGCCTGTGGTCCCAGCTACTCCGGAAACAGGTGGGAGGATCGCATGAGCCCCGGGGGATGGAAGTTGCAGTGAGCTGAGTTAGAGATCGCGCCACTGCACTCCAGCCTGGGTGACAGAGCCAGACCCTGTCTCTAAAAATATATATAAAACAACAATAGTAAAATAATAAATTGGCTGGACATGGTGGCACCCACCTTAAGTCCCAGCTACTAGGGAGGCTGGGGCAGGAGGACTGCTTGAGCCCAGGAGTTCGAGGCTGCAGTGAACTATGATCAGGCCACTGAATTCCAGTCTGGGCGACACAGCAAGACCCTGTCTCAAAAAAAATTAAAGCAGTAAAATTCACAGAGACAGAATAATGGTTGCTAGGGGCTGAAGGGAGGGGGAAATGGGGAGTTTGTTTAATGGGAGTAGTTTCAGTTTTGCCACATGAGAAAAGTTCTGGAGATGACGGACGGCTGCACAACAATATGAATGTAGTCAACACTACTGAACTGTACATTTAAAAATGGTTAGGATGATAAACTTTATTTTTCATAAAACCCAGTTTCTGCACAAAAAGATAAAATTTATGTTATGTGTACTTTACCACAATTTAAGAAAAAATTTAAATTCTCATCCCAACATTACCACGCCCCCCACCCTTAGCCAACTGGTGAATGTTTACTCATTTTTCAACGCCTAGCTCAAATGTCTCCTCTTGCCACGCCATCCCTTAGCTGACCACCCTTGTAGTTGGCCATTCCCTCTTTTATGCCAACACTGTGCCCTGCACGTACATTATACCTCTTACAGCACTTATCAAACCTAGTAATTATTGCTTTACAGATCCGTTTCCACTACTAGATTACAAACAATTTGGGGGCGGGGACCTTGTTTTACTCATCTCTGTATCCCCTAGACTTAGGGCTTGATAAGCTGAAAAGAATCAAGAAGGGCTTGATTAATTAAGGCTCCTCTGGCTTTTAAGGAGACCATACTGGAGGGTCATTTGCCCAAAAGAAGAGGCATCGGGGTCTCCTCAGGTTTTAGAAATCTGGTCAAACATCCAGAGCTGACTCCCACACCCTACTGCGAGAAGAGCGCGAGCGCGCGTCTCAAAAGGCTCCGCCTCAACAGTTCGGGTCCCCAGGAGGATCCGGGGGCCACCCCACCTCCACCCTGGGCCAGGTCGGTTAGCTAGACCCGCCCAGCGGTCCAGACATACCTTAGGTAATGAGCAGCCTGCTCTGGGCTCAAGGCCTCGGCTTCCGGAAACCTTCGGGATGCCTCCATGACCCTCGGATTGGGTTCCAGTTACCCCGGCGGGAGTTTGGAGCTTGGAGCTTGGAGCTTGGAGCTTGGAGCTTAGAGTTTGGAGCTTGAATTTCGCTCACTCCCGCCCCGCGCATGCTCTGTGCGCCGTGGAGAGGGACACAGCCAACCGACGGCCTCGCGGCCGGCCAATCCGCGACCACGCGCTGCGACGCCTCCGCCTGAGCCCCGCCCATGACGGTGGGCGCCTGCGCCTACGCGCGCCGGGAAGCAGAAGGTGATCTCTGCCTTCGAGACACGGAGTGTGCTGCCTCAGTCTGTGATCCCTCGCGTTTCAATCCAATTCAAACCATGCTGCAGCCAATTCGTTCGCGCGTGCGTGTGCCATCATTGTGAGTGGAGGAGACTGCCCGATATGATCCCAGTCATTGCGGCGACCCCTGGAGATCTCCAACGCCTGCGTCCCCCAACCATACCCTGCCCCGCATCCACAGATATCTTCCCTTCCTTGATCGCCAGTACCTGGCACTGACCGTGCTTTGAATTCAAACACCCTGGGAGGCATAGTCCCTGTGATTTAAACTAACATTGAAGAAGCGACCAGACGCGGTGGTTCACGCCTGTAATCCCAGCACTTTGGGAGACCGGGGCGGGCGGATCACGTGAGGTCAGGAGTTCGAGACCAACCTGGCTAAAATGGTGACACCCCGTCTCTACTAAAAATACAAAAAATTAGCCGGGCGTGGTGGCGGGCGCCCGCAGTCCCAGCTACTCGGGTGGCTGAGGCACGAGAATCGCTTGGACCCAGGAGGTGGAGGTTGCAGTGAGCCGGGATTGCACCACTGCACTCCAGCCTGGGTGGCAAAGCGAGACTCCATCTCAAAAAAAAAAAAAAAAAAAAAAAAGGCTGGGTGCAGTGCCTCACGCCTGTTATCCTAGCCTTTTGGGAGGCTAAGGTGGGAGGATCACTTGCACTTAGGAGTTCGAGACCAGCCTGGGCAACATGGTGAGACTCCCGTCTCTTTAAAAAAAATTTTTTTCTTCTCCACAGGGCGTTATGCTGTATTTATTTTCTTAAAAAGAGAGAGAGAAAGAGAGAAGGGTCTTCAAGAATCTCAAACCCTGGAGGTGGAGGCTGCAGTGAGCCAAGATCATGCCACTGCACTCCAGCCTGGGTGACAGAGAAAGACTCCATCTCAAAAAAAAAAAAAAAATTAAAGTTCTTATTTAAGAAATAAGTAACTAGGTTCACATACTTGGTATAATAAAAGGAAGACAAAAATAATTTAAAAAAAAAGAAGTAGTGCTGTGGTCATCATTTCTTCAGAAGCACCAACTAAGATACAGTCATTTTCAAATGCAGAGCCTAAAAAGAAGGCAGAGCCTAGAGCTTAAGGAAATGTGATTGAGTTTAAGTGGCTTGCTTGGGTGACACTAAATAGGAGGTTGTGGGCCAACAAAAATTGTCCTTGTTCATATACTGTTAAGAACACAGACATGACTCCTCAAGACACTAATTTAGCATTCAGTATTGGAAAACTCACCTATTGGCCCAGTCATACATCATATGTCCAGAGAATTTTAAGCTTTTCATAAAATTTATAGACCGTTATGAGTTAAAAGGAATGTTGGAGGCCGGGTTCAGTGGCTCACTGAACCTGTAATCCCAGCACTTTGGGAGGCCGAGGCGGGCGGATCACCTGAGGTCAGGAGTTCAAGACCAGCCTGGCCAAATGGTGAAACCCCCGTCTCTACAAAAATTAGCTGGGCATGGTGGCGGGTGCCTGTAATCCCAGCTTCTCGGGAGGCTGGGGTGGAAGAATCGCTTGAACCCAGGAGGCAGACGTTGCAGTGAGCTGAGATCGTGCCATTGCACTCCAGCCTGGGCGACAGAGCAAGACTCCATCTCAAAAAAAAGAAAAGGGTTGGGGGGAGGTGGGGGATCTTGGAGAACATGGGCTATTTTCCTGGTTTGTATGACTTTAAGGCCTTTATTAAGAGGCCTTTTAGTATACTATTATCCACATTTTTCAGATGTGGAAACAGGCTCAGAGAGATAAATTGACTTCATCTAAGCTTCCTGAGCTAGGAAGCAGCAGAGCCAGAATTCAATACTAGGTCCATATGGACACAAATCTGTGCCGTTTCGCTGTGTCACACTGGAAAGAAGAGGGCAGTGGCGGGAAATGAGGTTGATGAGGCAGTTGAAGGCCAGGTTATGAAGGAACTTGTTTACTCTGCTAAAGTGTTTGAATCACATCTTTTCCTGGAGGCAAGCTTGGATTGGGCTGTGCTATGGTCTGAATGTCCTTCAAAATTCTTGTGTTGAAACTTAATCCCCACCATGGTGGCATTGAGAGGCGGGGCCTTTTAGCAAGTAATGTCATGAGGGATCCTACTTCATGAATAAATTAGTGCCTTATGAAAGGGCTGGAGGGAGCTAGTTTAGGCCCTTTTTGCTCTTCTGCTTTCCTACCATGTAAGGACACACTATTCCTTCCCCTCCAGAGGATGCAGCAACAAGGCACCATCTTGGAAGCAGAGAGCAGCCCTCACCAGATACCAATCCTGCTGGCACCTTCATCTTGGACTCTTCAGCCTCCAGAACCATAATAAATACATTTCTATTGTTTATAAATTATGAGTTTGATGGCCAGGTGAGGAGGCTCACGCCTGTAATCCCGCCCTTTGGGAGGCTGAGGCGGGCAGATCATCTGAGGTCGGGAGTTCGAGACCAGCCTGACGGAGAAACCCTGTCTCTACTAAAAATGCAAAATTAGCCGGGCATGGTGGCACATGCCTGTAATCCCAGCTACTTGGGAGGCTGAGGCAGGAGAATCACTTGAACCTGGGAGGCGGAGGTTGTGGTGAGCCAAGATCACGCCATTGGCACTCCAGCCTGGGCAACAAGAGCGAAACTCCGTCTCAAAAAAAAAAAATATGAGTTTGAGTCTATGGCATTTTATTATAGCAGCACAAAGGAGCTAAGGATGAGTTGAGAGTCCAGGCGCCCTGGATACCCAAAGGATGAGTAGGATGAGAAGAGCAGAATAGGGGAGAAGATGTAGGAGAGAATTCTGCAGAAAGGAAAAGAGAGATGAGAGCACAAAAATCTTCATCTTGAGTCTGGGGAAGGCCATGTCTGGTTGTGCTTTGGCTCAGGGTCCACCATCATCGCTCATATCCGGGGAATTGTTGAGAACTGAAGATGAAGCAAAGCAGGCCCCTGGTGGTTGTTGTAGGCATGCCCCATTGTGGGCTGTGAAGAAAAGCTAAAGAGAACTCCCTCAGGAACCCCGGCTACCTCCTCTCTGCTTCCCAGCTGGCAGTGATGCCTAAAGGCCCTGATCACCGGGAAGGAAGGACCAACACTCGGCTTGCCTGCCCTTTGGCTATTGGATTTTCTAAGCCCCATTTTCACACAGCTGTAGGGCTCCTCCTTTAAACTCCCCAGCTCTGGCTGCTCCTCCCCTCCCCTTCGGTCCTGTAGTCTGCTTCCCTTGGGCCCTTCTTGGTGCCTTCTGGAGTCCCAGGTCTCAACCCAGGGCTCTGATGACCCAGGAAACTCCCCAGCCCAGGCTCCTAGTCCTCCTTTATAAATGGTCACCCAGGCTCACAGCCTGAAAATAAGAGAGAGATTGGGAGGATTTTGAGTGGGTAAATGGAGAGAATCAAAGAGAGTCAAAATAATAGTTACTACTATATCCCTCTTATGTGACAGGCCCCATTCAAAACACTTTACATCGATTAATTATCTGCTGTTCCTCATTATGCATCTACCCCAATCAAGGGCTCCCATTCCCCCAGCGTCTCTCAAGGGAATGGGGTTTATAAAGCTCTCCCAGCTGGGCTCAGTGGCTCACGCCTGTAATCCCAGCACTTGGGGAGGCCGAGGCGGGCGGATCACAAGGTCAGGAGTTCGAGACCAGCCTGACCAACATGGTGAAACCCCGTTTCTACTAAAAATACAAAAATTAGCGGGTGTGATGGCACGTACCTGTAATCCCAGCTACTTGGGAGGCTGAGGCAGGAGAATTGCTTGAACCCAGGAGGCGGAGGTTGCAGTGAGCCAAGATCTCACTACTGCACTCCAGTCTGGGCGACAGAGGGTGACTCCATCTCAAAAAGAAAAGAAAAGAAAAGGAAAAAGCTCTTCCTAGGCTGGGTGCGGTGGCTTACATCTGTAATGCCAGCACTTTGGGAGGTCGAGGTGGGTGGAGTTCAAGACCAGCCTGGCCAACATGGTGAAACCCCATCTCTACTAAAATACAAAAATTAGCCGGCCATGATGGTAGGTGCCTGTAATCTCAGCTACTCGAGAGGCTGAGGCAGGAGAATGGCTTGAAGCCAGGAGGCGGAGGTTGCAGTGAGCCAAGATCATGCCATTGCACTCCAGCCTCTACAAGAGCAAAATTCTGTCTCAGAAAAAAATAAACAAAAAAAGCTCTCCCTAATTATTGTTAATTTTAAAAGGGTGATAATGGTATTGCTGTTTTTTTTTTTAAGGTCCTCATCTGTTAGAAATACAAGTTGGAGTATTTTCAGACAAAATGATATGACATCTGGGACTTACATTAAAATACTCCAGTACAGAGGGAAAAAAAAGGAGAGTACAGATGAACAAAGATTGGCAAAATGTTGATAATTGTTGAAGCTTGTTACAGAGGTTCATTATCCTCTTCTCTGCTTCTGTGTATGATTGAACATTTCCATAATAAGAATTTTAAAAAACAAAACTTTTCAACCTAATCTTCAAATTACACTGAGTCATCCGCACTCACAGGCCGGAAATATGATAATGAGGCTTTGTGGGAGGGTTCAGAATGCATAAATGGAGAGATGGATGAGGCCGAATAAGAACAATAGCTATTACTTAGATAGCACTGAAGTGCCAGGCCTTGTTCTAAGGACTTTACATGCACTGTCTTTTAATCCTTAACAACAACCTTGTTAGATGGTGTATACTATTATCATCCTCCTTTTACAGATGAGGAAACTGAGGCACAGAAAGATTGAATAACTTACACAAGTTTACACAGCTTGTGAATGGTGAAGCAGAATTCCAAACCCAGGCAGTCTGGCTTTCGACTTTTTGCTCTTTAACATGATGCTAGTTAGATATAGAAAGCAGCTGACAGGTGAAGAAAAGGATTAATTCATCCATTTACTTATTCATTTATTTAGTAAATATGTGTTGAGCCTTTACAAGATGGTCACGTAAGGATCCAGGTGCTGGGGGTAGAGTGGTGAGAAAAACAGACAAGTCCTTGCTATCAAAGAGCTTAAAGTTCCATGGTGAAGATGGACTTGAAACAATAATCACACAAACACTTGGAAAATTACAGACATGAAGAGGTCTCAGAAGGAAAACTACAGGCAATTATGACAGCATACCATGAGGTATCTGACCCAATCTGGAGGGCTGGAAAAGGTTTCTCTGAGGAAGTAGCATTTGATCTAAGAGCTGAAGGGTAGGGAGGAGTTAACCAAACAAAAAGGGAAGGGAAGGGCATTTCAGGCAGAGGGAATAGCATGATCAAAGGCCCTGAGGCAGGAGAGGGCTTGATGTGTATGAAAACTAAACAGGCTAAGATGGTTGGAGCAAGCCTAGAATGCTGAGTTGAAACGGTTTTTTGGACTCCAGTCTAATGCCACAGGTAAGGGAACTGCCAATGGGAAAGAAGGAAGTGACCAGTCCAAGGTCAGACCCTGAACCTGTGACAGAAACAGTACTCAAACCTAGGTACCTTCAATCCCAACCCAGCGTTTTTTCCAGCACACATCATGGCTTCCCTGCATATGAGGAGGGAGTGCCAGCAAAATGTTGCTCTTGGGGACTGAGAATGGAAGAGTGTTTTTGATAACCAAATGAAGTATTCATGCACAAGGAGATCAAAAGTGGGTTTGGGGCCAAGTGTGGTGGCTCACACCTGTAATGCCAGCACTTTGGGAGGCCGAGGTGGGAGGATCACTTGAGCCCAGGAGTTTGAGACCAGCCTGGGCAACATGATTCATCAGACAAAAAACACAAAAATTAGCTGTGTGTGGTGGTGTGTGCTGTAGTCCTAGCTACTTGGGAGGCTGAGATGGGAGAATCTTTTGAGCCCAGGAGTTCGAGGCTGCAGTAAGCAGAGTCACACCACTGTACTCCAGCCCGAGTGACAGAGTGAGATCCTGTCAAAAAAAAAAAAAAAAAAAAAAAAAAAAAAAGGAGCCGAGAGTGGGTTTGGGGCAGGAAAAAAGATGAAATTGATTAGAAACAGTAATAATGTATTTATGAGACAGGGTCTCACTCTGTTGCCCAGGCTGGAGTGCAGTGGTGTGATCTCGGCTCACTGTAACCTCAGACTCCTGAGCTCAAGTGATCCTCCAGGCTCCAGCGATTCTCCAACCTCAGCCTCTTTAGCAGCTAGGACTACAGACATGTGCCACCACATCCACCTAATTTTTTTAATACTTTGTAGAGACAGAGTCTTGCTATGTTGCCCAGGCTGTTCTCCAGCTCCTGGGCTCAAGCGATCCTCCCGCCTCAGCCTCTCAAAGTGCTAGGATTACAGGTGTGAGCCACCAAGCTCTGCCAACAGTAAGAATTTGTGTTTCCCAGATACCTAATTAGGCTTCTCCCACCCCATTTCTAGCTAGGGTTCTTATAAAGTAGGTGGGATTTGGGGGTAGGGGATAGAAGATTGAGACTGAGGGTTTAATCTCCCAGGGGAAGCAGGAAGGAGGAGGAAAGCCATGGGATGGAGGCTGCCCCAGCCAACAGTCATCTCCAGCTCTGCCAGCAGAGGGAGCCAGAAACTGAATTTCCTAAGAATGGCAGCTGGCCTGGCCCCTGGGATGGATAAACCCTTCTTGGAAACTAATCAAGTCAGCCCAGGATGCTGTGGAAATGACAGGGACTGGGAGGAAGGGAGGGAGCCAAGAGTTAGGATTACCTGCAGGGTCTTTGCCCTAAGTTTCACAGTCTTTGATGAAAGCCTTCTAAACCTGCCTTTCGGGGTTTGGGTGAAGTGGGCACCAAAGGATAGAGAAACCTTTGACAAGGCAGTCCCACTGCACAAAACATGGCATCCTCCACTCCCTTTGGGTTACCTCAGTGGCTCTCAAGGCCTCACAATTCTGTCTCTAGCCTCATCGTCTCTCCTGAGATTTGGACCTAGATGGCAAAATGGCTATAGGACATGTCACCCCGGAAGCTCAAACTCAACATGGCACCGAACTCACCCTCTCTCCCCTAGACCTGCTCTCTCAATATTTCCCATCTCCATGAATGGCACTACCAACCCCCAAAGTGGTCCAAGTCAGAAACCGGGAAGTGTCTTTGAGGCCTGCCTCATATTTGCCCCTCAAGTTCAATTCATCAGTGAGTCGTGTTGGCTCTACCTCTAAAATACATCCCAAATCCAATCACTTCTCTCCATCTCCACTGCCACCACGGTAGTCTATGCCACCATTCTGTCTCACTTGGACGACTGCACTAGCCTCCTGGCTTGTCTTCCTGCTTCTATTTGTGCCTTTCCCCCACTATCTGATCTCTACCCAAAAACCAGAATCATCTTTCAAAAATACCAAACTGATCATGCCATGGCCCTGTCTAAATCCTTCAAAGCCCCCTCGTTTCCCTCAAGATCAAGTCCTGCCTCCTTACCATGGCTTACAAGGCCTTCCTGATCTGGCCTCTGACTACCTCTCTGGCCACGTCTTACTTCTTCACAACCCCTACACATACATGCACACGATCTCTTCTCAAACTGAACAACTTCCAGCTATTCAGATCTTGCCTCCAGGCCTCCCCACATGCAGTTTCCTCTGCCTGGACTCACCCTTTTCACCTCACTATTGTCTATTCACTCCTCTTGTCTCAGTGCAGGTCTCCCTGCTTCCAGGAACCTTCCCTGATCCTTCTCAACAAGTCATCCTCTGTGATCCCACATCCTGCCTTTATCATTGGGTTTATTCCATGGAATGTAGCTGCCTGGTTACCTGTCTGGCTCCCCCGTGATCATGTGAGCTCTGTGAAGAACATTTCTGTCTTTTTCACAGTTATACCCTCGCAGAGCTCAGAATGGTCCCTACACATAATGGCTGACCAGTAAATAGTTGTTGGATGGATGGATGGATGGATGGATGATCTGTCAATTAGTAATCCTAAAGGAGAGCACTGTGTGCTCTGTTAGAGAACTAGAATGAGGCCTTGGGTGGGAATGATATATCCAAAGACATAATGAGGACCAGAAATCAGGGAAGTGGGGAGGGCCAAGCATACCCATCCCAGCCACTTCTCTTGCCAATACTACCCCTGTCTCCCTTTTATACCTGCCTCCAGATGGACCTGGAAGTAACACAGAGGATTCTGAGTTACACCCAGGAACTAGACAGCCCTCTTCTAGTCCCTTCCCAGATCTTGTGCTAGGACAAAGCCACCCATGCTTGGCTGTGAGATGAACAGGCTCCAGCCAGAGCCCAGTGTCGCTGGACTCTCCAGATGCCCTGTACCCACTTGTTCCCCAAGTCAAGGACATTTCTGGGAGCTCCCCATGAGCTCTCCTGTAGCTTCCTTATCCTCCTTCTGCAGCAGCAGAGAAACCCTCCCTACATAGCATGGGTGCCTCTCACAAAACCTGGGGTCAAGGCTTCTCCCTGGTGCCAGCCCAAGAAGGGACTCCAAGTGGGCATCTAATCCAAATAGGCGTGGCCTTTTTCCCTTCCTCTTTGGCACTAAAAGAGACAGGTAGTAAAAACTACAAGCTCTTGAGGGCAACAGGAGGGAAGTGGGGGCAAAGGTGAAGTTTTTCTACAGCCCTTCAAAGGTCTTGGCCCCTTGCCCAGATCCAAGTCAAGAACTGTTTGTTTCAGAGAACTGGCTTCCCAGCCATCTGCTCAGAGCTTAAAGAGCCTAGGGGCCCTCATGGGATGTTCTGTTCAAATTAGCCAAAAAAGGCAGGGTGAAGACAACACAGCAGGAGGGGCCTTGACCAGTCTGGGCCTCTGAAGGTGTGGAAGGAAGGGGCAGGTATATGGCACTAGGGCACATTGAGGGTATGGCAAGTCCCAGAACAGAGAGCTCTTCTCACAGCCCAGTTCCACTGATCTTAGAACCATGTCTTCCATCCTTTGTGAGCAGCTAATTTATGCCAGGAACTTTCCCCACAACAAACAAGATGTTCTCTTGTACCAGTTGAAGGAACCAAGGATTAGAGAGGTTAATTGCCTTGCACGAGGTCATGCAGCAAGTACACAGCAGGTTCAATGAGTGTCCTCTGGTGATTGGTTGCCAAGGCTGCTAGAAAATGATTCTTCCCTTCAGTGAGCAGATAGGCAGCCTGAGGATAATAGCCAGGAGGGGATACAGAAAGTCACACTCCTTTTGCGCCTAGGACATAGCTTGCTCCATCCAGAAAAAAAAAAAAAAAAAAAAAAAAAAAAAAAAAAAAAAAAAAAAATGTCCTTATTCCTTTGACACACACTGTCTCTGGGTTGTAGAAATGGGTCAGGCACTAAGGTCAGGTTTTACATGTGGAAAATCTTAGGGTGAAGACAGGAAAAGACTTTCTCACAGTCAGAGTGTAAGAGAACAGTTCAGATGAATGGAGCTGTCCAAGAAGCCAGGCAGATATGCAGGAGAAAGACTGACAAGGAAACCCTCTCTCCTAAAATCCCCCACAGCCATGAACATTCACATGAATTGAAAAACCAATCCTCAGCCAGGTGCAGTGGCTCATGCCTGTAATCCCATCACTTTGGGAGGCCAAGGCGGTGGATCACCTGAGGTCAGGAGTTCAAGACCAGCCAGGCCAACATAGTGAAACCCTGTCTCTACTAAAAATACAAAAATTAGCCAGGCGTGGTGGTGCACACCTGTGATTCCAGCTACTCCAGAGGCTGAGTCAGGAGAATCTCTTGAACCCAGGAGGCAGAGGTTGCAGTGAACTGAGATTGCGCCACTGCACTCCAGCCTGGGTGACAGAGCAAGACTCCATCTCAAAAAAAGAAAAGAAAAAGAAAAAAAAAAACCAATCCTCAGGCAAAATTGCTAGGGGGTAAGTTTGAGGACTTGCAAAAGTAGGGGGCCTTTGGGGCCAATCTTTAGTTCACCAGGGGTTCTCAAGTCTGCATTCATGTGAGACTCACTGGGGATATCTTAAATAATAATTATGTTTGCGATATATTTATCTGACAAAAGACTGATACCCAGAATATATAAAGAGCTCCTACAAATCAATAATAAAATGACCACCCAAAAATATGAGCAAAAGAGTGGAACAGACACCTCATGAGACAGGATATATGAATGGTCAGTAAGCACATGAAAAGATGATCAACATAATTTTCCATTAGGGAAATGCAATTTAAAACTAAAAGGACATGCCTCTACATACCCATGAGAATGGCTATAATTTAAAAGACAGACAATACCAAGTGTTAGCAAAGATATGGAACAACTGTAAGTCTCATCTTTTGCTGGTGGGGGTGTAAATTGGTACAACCACTTTGGAAACCAGCAGTTTCAAATAAAGTTAAACCCAGGAATTCCACTCCAAGAGAAATGAGTATATGTGCTCACAGAGAGACTTGTACAAGAATGTTGATAGCAGCTTTGTTTCTAATAGCCAAAAACTGGGACCAATGCAAATGTCCCTGGATGCCTGAATGGATAAACTTTGGTGTATCCATACAAGGGAATACCACTCAGCCACAAAAAGAAATGAACTACTGATCCTCAGGGCAGTAGGATGAACCTCAAGGGCATTATACTAAGAGAAATAAGGCAATCTCAGAATGTTACATACTGCTTGATTCCATTTCTATGAAGTTCAAGAACAATCAAAATGAATCTATGATAGAAATCAGAACAGTGTCTGCCTCTGGCAGGGGTGAAGGGCAGTGACTGGAGAAATGGAAATGTTCTATGTTTTAATGGGGCAGTGGTTACACAAGCACCCACAATATCACAATTCACTGAACTATACATTTAAGGCCTATGCATTTTACTGTGGGTAAATTATGCCTAAATTTTAAGACTCATGCCCAGGCCTCACCCCTAATTAAATCAAAGTATCTAAAGGTGGGGCCTGGGCAAGGGCATTTTCAAAATCTCCTCAGGTGATGCTAATGTGCAGCCGGGGGTGAGAACCGCTGATAACATTACCACCACCTTTCCCTGGCAACAGTCCCTCTCAGCCTCCTGTGTTCTGGAGACTTTTCAGAGATGCCCATCAGAAAAAGTCTCTCCCACTATCACAAGCAGAGGTAGGCAAGTGGGGATAGAAGGCGAGTGAGGGTAAGTGCATACCAATATATCTCAAAGGTTGTTTCATATCAAAACATAAAGGCACTGAATTTTACACTTTAAAATAGTTAAAATGGTCAATTTTATGTTATGTAAATTTCATCTCAATTTTTCAAGTTAAAAAAAAAATCAGCCGGGCATGGTGGTACGTGCCTATAGTCCCAGCTACTCAGGTGGCTAAGGTGAGAGAATCACTTGATCCCAGGAGTTCAAGACCAGCCTGGGCAACACAGTGAGACCCTATCTCAAAAAACAAAAAAATGACCAAGAACTTCCTTAGATTTGATGGCTGCACATATTCCATTGTAAAGGTGTACTTTATTTAATCAGTCCTCTATTGAAGGATATTTTTCCCAATCTTTTGCTGTTAAAAACATAGTGAGAGCTAGGCATGGTAGCTCACACCTGTAATCCTAGCACTTTGGGAGGCAGAGGTGGGAGGATTGCTTGAGCTCTAGAGTTTGAGACCACACTGGGCAACATAATGAGACCCGTCTCTACGAAAAATAAAAATAAATAAAAACATAGTGACAATAAATATTCTGGTATATGGTTTTTTTTTTTTTTTTTTTTTGAGAGGGAGTCTCACTCTGTCACCCAGGCTGGAGTGCAGTGCCGCAATCTCGGCTCACTGCAACCTCCACCTCCAGGGTTCAAGCAATTCTCCTGCCTCAGCCTCCCAAGTAGCTGGAATTACAGGTGCCCACCACCACGCCTGGCTAATTTTTGTATTTTTAGTAGATATGGGGGTTTTGTCATGTTGCCAGGCTGGTCTTGAACTCCTGACCACAGGTGATCCTCCCACCTCCATCTCCCAAAGTGCTGGGATTACAGGCATGAGCCACCACGCCCGGCCTGGTACATGCATTTTTTTAAAAAATATGTGTGAGTGGGCCGGGTGCGGTGGCTCACGCCTGTAATCCCAGCACTTTGGGAGGCAGAGGCGGGCGGATCACAAGGTCAGGAGATCGAGACCATCCTGGCTAACACAGTGAAACCCCGTCTCTACTAAAAATACAAAAAAAAAAAATTACCCGGGCGTGGTGGCGGGCGCCTGTAGTCCCAGCTACTCGGGAGGCTGAGGCAGGAGAATGGCCTGAACTCGGGAGGTGGAGCTTGCAGTGAGCCAAGATTGTGCCACTGCACTCCAGCCTGGGCGACACAGCGAGACTCTGTCTCAAAAAAAAAAAAATATGTGTGAGTGTATCTGTAGAATAATTTCCTAAAATTGGAATTGTTGGGTCAAAGTGTATATGTCTTTCTTATTTTGCTAGAAACTGCCAAATTGCCCTACATAAGGGATAAATGAATTTACATTCCCATAAACAATATATGAAAGTGTGTGTTTTCCCCACCTTTGCTAACAGTGTTTTCCAACCTTTTGATCTTCACCCCTCTGATTATTAAAAAGTGGTACCTTGTAGTTTTATTTTGCATTTTCCCTGAGAGTAAGTCTTAACTGACTCAGATAAAGACGTTCAAGTGGAGGAGAGGGGTGTTTTTTTCGAGGTAGGGAAGAAGGCAGCTGTTTTAGTTCTGGCTGCTATAACAGAATACCATAGACTGAGTGGTTTAAACAACAAACATGGCTGGGTGCAGGAAGCTCATGCCTGTAATCTCAGCACTTTGGGAGGCTGAAGTGGGAGGCTGAAGTGGACTCACTTGAGTCCGGGAGTTCGGGGCTGCAATGAGCTATGATTGCACCAATGTACTCCAGCCTGGGTGACAGTGTGAGACCCTGTCTCTAAAAAAAACCAAAAAATTAAAAATAAAATAAAAAAAACAAACGAACATTTATTTCTCAGTTCTGGAGGCTGGGAAATCCAGGATCAAGGTGCAGGCAAATTCAGTGTCTGGTGAGGCCCTCTTCCTGGTTTGCAGACATTCACCTTCTTGTTGTACTCTCACTTGAGGGAGAACAGAGAGAAAAAGGAAACAAGCTCTTGGAGTCTTTTCTTTTTAATAAAAAAAATTTTTTTTTGAGAGACAGGGTCTTGCTCTGTCACCCAGGCTGGAATACAGTGGCACAATCACGGTTCACTGTAGCCTCAACCTCCTGGTCTCCAAGCCTAGCTATTTTTATTTTTTATTTTTTCGTAGAGGTGGGTTCTTGCCATCTTGCTCAGGCTGGTCTTGAACTCCTGGCCTCAAATGATCCTCTCATAGGCATGAGCCACTTAGTGCCTGGCCTCCAGGTCTTTTCTTTTCTTTTTTTTTTGAGACAGAGTCTCGCTCTGTCACCCAGGCTGAAGTGCAGTTGTGCAATCTCAGCTCACTGCAACCCCTGCCTCCTGGGTTGAAGCAATTCTCCTGCCTCAGCCTCAGCCTCCCAAGTAACTGGGATTACAGGCACGCGCCACCACACTCAGTTAATTTTTGTATTTTTAGTAGAGACAGGGTTTCACCATGTTGGCCAGGCTGGTCTCGAACTCCTGGCCTCAAGTGATCTGCCCGCCTTGGCCTCCCAAAGTGCTGGGATTACAGGCGTGAGCCACCGCGCCCGGTCCCTCCAGGTCTTTTCTTATAAGACATTAATCCTATTCATGAGGGCTTCACCTTCATGACCTAATCACCTATCAAAGGCCCCACCTCCTAATACCATCCCGTTTTGGGTTAGAATTTCAACATACGCCTTTAGCAGGGACACAACGCATGGTTCATAACAGCAGGTATCTTACCATGTTTCTGTTATAGTTGTGTTAGCTTTGAGCAAGTCACCAAGAATCCAAGGGCTCTTAACTGAATATTAAGGACACCCAAATGTCTTTCTTAGGTCCAAACCTCTCACTGGAGTCCCAGACTCCTATATCAAGTCCCCCTCGACATCTGACATTTCACTCTGAAAACGTCCAAAAGAGAATTATTGGTTCCCAACCCACCCTCAAACTTGACCTGCCCTGGTTTTCCCCAGCTCTACAAACGGCACCACTCAGTTGCTCAAACCAAAAACCTTGAAATTAGAAACATCATCTCTTTCCCTCATCCAGTTCATCACCAAGCCCTGTTGGCTGTCTCCAAAATACATCCTGAATCTCTCCACCTATCCCCACTCCACTGCAACTACCCAAGCCTAAGCCACCTGGAATTTACCAATGGTTTCCTAACTAGTCTCCCTATTCCCATTCCTGTTCCCCAGTCAATCTTTCTTATTAGAAAATCAGGCCGGGCACGGTGGCTCACGCCTGTAATCCCAGCACTTTGGGAGGCTGAGGCAGCTGGATTGCCTGAGGTCAGGAGTTCGAGACCAGCCTGACCAATACGGTGAAACCCCATTTCTACTAAAAATACAAAAATTAGCCAGGCGTGGTGGTGTGCGCCTGTAGTCCCAGCTACTGGGAGGCTGAGGCAGGAGAACTGCTTGAACCCGGGAGGCGGAGATTGCAGTGAGCCGAGATCACACCACTGCACTCCAGCCTGGGCGACAGAGCAACACTCCATCTCAAAAAAAGAAAAAGAAAAAAGAAAATCAACGCGGGGCGTGGTGGCTCATACTGTAATCCCAGCACTTTGGCAAGCTGAAGTGGGAGGATCACTTGAGCCCTGGAGTTCAAGACCAGCCTGGGTGACATAGTGAGACACCATCTCTACAAAAAAAAAAACAAAAGAAAACAAAACAAAACAAAAAACAACTAGCTTGGCATGGTGCTGCATGCCTGTAGTCCTAGGTAGATGGGAGGCTGAGGTGGGAAGATCACTTGAGCTTGGAAGGTTGAGACTTCAATGAGTCATGATCATGCCACTGCACTCCAGCCTGAGCAACAGAGTGAAACCCTGTCTTAAAAAAAGAAAAAAAATAAAAGAAAAAGAAAAGAAAAGAAAAGAAAATCCATTCCTCAAACAGTACCCAATAATCCTTTCAAGAAACACATAAAGCAGATCAGGTCACTCCTTTGCTTAAGACCTTTCATTGAGTTCACAACACACTGGAAATACTATCGAAACTCCTCACTGAAGCCTACAGGTCCCTGTGTGATTTCCAAATCTCACCCTTTTTCTTCAGGCACATTGGCCTTCTTTCTGTTCTTTGAACAACCATGCCCATTTCCACCACCAGGTCTTTGCTTTTGCTGTCCCCTTGGCCAGTAACACTTTCCCCTAAAATCTGAGCATGGCTGGCTCCTTCTTATCATTCAGAAATCAGCCATCTCTCCTGAGACCTTCCCTGACCCACCTTCTTTAAAGTAGCTACCCCCACCACTCTAATCCTATTTATATATTTCAGAGCCCATACCACGATTTAAAAGTATCTGTTTCCCTGTTTACTTCCATGTTGTTTGTTTCTCCTGTAGATATCAGCTCCATGTCTGTATTTTCAAAAGCCGCAATCGTCCTAGCACATAGTAGGTGCTGAAAAAATATTTGGAATTAATGAATAGTTTAACAGTACTTTCTTGTTTTCAAAGCCTTCACCTGGTAAGGATCTCAGATTTGGGGAGAGGAAGGGTTGTTTTTCAAGTCCCTGAAGGAAACAAAGCTGATTTTAAAAACTTGAGATCTGTGTCTATCCAAATAATTAGCAAAAAGTCTGATCTATTCGTGAACTAAGCTCTCCTTGACCTGCTGAGCTGCCTTTGAAATATCCTGTGTCATTGCAGGCAATAAAACAGCCTTTCTTTGTCAATATTCTCTGCTTCAAATTTCTCACTAATTCCAGCTGGCCTCATCCCAGCCAATCTGAATGACTGAAAGGCAGAGTGAATATAATTTAATCAGCGGCTCTGCCCCTGCAGGATGAGCTTGAGGTGTCTCTGTGGGCCTCATCTCCAAAAGGTGTCCCAGGGGCTGTGATTTTGCACGGAATAAAGGAGGGCCAGCAGGAACCCCGCTCTGGCGGGGGATTCAGGCAGGCACCGGCTCAGGGCGGGGGTCCGGGGAGGTGGGAGGAGTCGGGGTGGCGGCGAGGCGGGTGGGGGCAGAGCCGCAGAAAGGCAGGGAGAAGGGGAAAAGAAGACAATACCGGGAAAAAGAATAGTCGTGGTAATAATAGTCCATTGGCGGATCGCTTGAGCCCAGGAGGTCGAGGCTGCAGTGAGCCATGATCACGCCACTGAACTCCAGCCTGGGCGACAGAGCAAGACCCCATCTCTAAAAATAATAATAATAATAATAATAATAATAATAGTAATAATAATAATCATTGTAATGCCAGCTGGCCGCCGTTTTAGTTTACAAACTCTTCAAGCCATTATCTCGTTTATGCCTGTCAACAGCTTGCTTGCAGGTTCTCATCCCCGTGTCACCGACAGGGAAATCAAGGCTCAGACAGGTGGCGGCTGAGAAGGCTGCGGCCTCCCTGCCGCGTGGTGCCCTCGGCCTTTCCTGCCGCCTTCCCGCCCCTCTTCCCGCCCACGGCGCACCGCTCCCCCACCTGATCTCCTGCCATCAGTGAGCCCGGCGGCGCCCGGCCGTTGCTATGGCATTTCTGGAGTGTCAGAAGTGCCCAGGAAGCATACAAATCGACCTGCGTGAGACAGCTCTGTGCAAAACAACTTCCAATTTACTCGCAATAATTACCACCCCCAGATAATAGCCTGTACTCAGGCGGGCGAGCAGGGGGCGGATGGGGGAAGGGAGAGAGGACTCTGAGAGGCAGGGAAGGAGGCCGGGCACAACAGACAAACAGCCACGGCAAGGCTGGGGTTTCAGGGAGAGGTGGGGGAAAGCAGAGAGGTGGTGCTCCTGAATTAGGGACTGAAGAAGGCTCAGTCCTCCTAATTTGGTTCTGGAAACTCCAACGTTCTTCTGGACGGATCATATGAAGGCATTTCATTCGATATTTACTGGGCACCTTTGGAGGTGGGCACTTTGCCGGGCACCGGGAATGCAAAGGCGAAGACTCCAAGTTCTTGTAGTGAAGTGGCTCACAGACTCCTGGGAGAGTCAAACATAAAGGGCCATGATTCATTCAAGCAATACTTACTAAGCACCTACTATATGTCAGGTATTGTGTTGAGGAAAAACCGGAGAGCAAAACACACAAAAATCCTTGCCCTCATGAAGTTTAACTTAGAGTAGGGGCAGACAACACATTTTTAAAAAATAGCCAAAGTACTGTTAGTTGGTGTGTTCCAGAGAAATCAAACCAACAGGATCTCTAGATTTATACACATATGTGACATACATGTATATATTTACTATAAGGAATTGGCTCACATGATTATGCAGGCTGAGAACAAGTTCTGCAGTTGGCAAGCTGGAGACCCAGGAGAGCCAAGGTATAGCTCCAATTTGAAGATGGATGTCCCAGCTCAAAGTCGGCAGAGAAAAAGAATTCTTCCTTACTCAGCCTTTTATTGTATTCAGGCCTTCAATGAATTGGATGAAGCCTGAGGGCACCCTGCTTTACTCAGTTTACCAATTCAAATGTGAATCTCAACCAGAAACACTCTCACGACCCACCCAGAAATCATGTTGAATCAAATATCTGAATACCCCACAGTCTAGTCAAGTTGACACATAAAATTAACCATCACAGTCAAAAGGGAGAAAAAAAACAAAACAGGAGAGCAGGAATAGCAAGTGTTGGTGGAGTAGGTGTTGCAGATTGAAACAGGATGATGGGGAGAGTTTCACTGAGAACGTATGTTTTGAATGAAGACCTGAAACAAGTCGGGCAGCAAGCCATGCAGACTTCCAAGAATGTTCCAGGCAAAAGAAACAGTAGGTACAAAGGCCCTCAGGCTCTGGCATGTTGGAGGAATAGCAACTAGTCCAGGGTAGCTGGAACAGAGCAAGGGAGAGAATAGGAAAGAGCTGGGAACAGATCATCTAGGCTATATAGGCTGACATTAAGGACTTAGACTACAAATGAAACAAGAGTCACTGAAGGACTTTGAGGTAGAAAAGTGACATGATAGCTGGGTGTTGTGGCTCACGCCTGTAATCCCAGCACTTTGGGAGGCCGAGGTGGGTGGATCACGAGGTCAGGAGATCGAGACCATCCTGGCTAACACGGTGAAACCCCGTCTCTACTAAAAATACAAAAAAATTAGCCGGGCGTGGTGGCATGTGCCTGTAATCCCAGCTACTCTGGAGGCTGAGGCAGGAGAATGGTTTGAATCCAGGAAGCGGAGGTTGCAGTGAGCCGAGATCGTGCCACTGTACTCCAGCCTGAGTGACAGAGCGAGATTCTGTCTCGAAAAAAGAAAAGAAAAGAAAAGAAAAGTGACGTGATTTGACTTGTGTTGTAACAGAATCCCTCTGGCTTCTGTGTGGTGAATAGACTGTGTGGGGCCGGGGGGAGGGCGTGATGGGCAGGGGCAAAGTCATTAGGAGCACTGCTAGGAGCAAAGGAGCAGTAGAGTACCATTGCTGTAACCCAGATGAAAGCTGATTGGAACTTAGACCAGGGTGGCAGCTAGGGAGATGATGATAAGTGGTGGATTCTGGATATATTTTGAAGGTGGAGCCAAGAGTATTTGCTGATGGATTGGACATGGGGTGGGAAGAAAAACAAAAGGAGTTGAAGATGATCAAGGAGGAAGGTGTCTTGGGGCAGGCAGTGTGGTGTGAAACAGAGAGTTCAAGTTCATAGGGACTCGGGAGTTAAGTTGGGCTATACCCCTGCCCTTCTTAGCTGTATGACCTTGGGCAAGTTGCTTTCCATTTCTGAACCTGAGATTCCTCTTCTGTAGGAGTACACAGGGCTGTTGTGAAGATTTAATGAGGTGATTATGTAAAACCCCAGTTCCACGGCTGGCACAGACTAGGTGCTTCCTGAGCACTTGCTGCTCCCTTGACCTTCCTTTTCTGAGGAAGCTGGAAAAGCCTCGTAGCAGAGCTGAGGTTGGAGGCAGCTGGGAAGGATGAGTGGGGCTCTGTTAGGCAGAAAAGAGGTGCATGGGGCTCATCCTTCACAACAGGCAGGAGGAAATGAAGCCAATGGCCAGGCAGGCCTTCGTGGAAGTCTCGGGTTGGGGAAAGCTGCAGGAGGACAGGGTGTGGAGACTGTGGACTGTGTGATGGAAAGGAAGTCCTGTGCAAGGAAAGGAACCCCAACAGAGAGGCGTGAGGAGATGAGAGGTCCACCTCCTGCCTCCCCAGCTCTGCCTTGGATCGGCCCTGGCCCAGAGGACCTTTGAAACCTTCTGAGTTACCGGATGAAGCAGGTCATAACTATGGCACACAAAATTCCCAGCATGCCGAGGAGTTACTGAGGTTTGTGTTTGTGTGAATCACACAGCAAACATCTGTCTTGGCCACTGGCCAGAACAGGGCTCCCCCCACAGCCACACGCACACTGATTGCAAACATATGGCCCCCAAGGAAGAGACTCTCCAAAAGGCCTCGTGAACCATCTTTGCATTCTGGCCTGAATCGCCCCAGCCCTTACTCCCTTACTCCTTGTACAAAAGCATGAATCCCCTTTATATGGGACTGTTAGACCCACACTGAGGAAACCCTACCCCCACCTCCAGAACCACAAACACTAACTCCTCACCTCATGAGGGGCTCTGACATCAGAATGCCTGGGTTCCCATCCAGCCCATCCCTATTAATTGTGTGAACTTGGACCAGGTTCTTGACCTCTCTGAGCCTCATTTTCCACCTCTGCGAAGAAGGATGTAAATGATACCTCCATCACAGGCTTGATGCAAGGCTCAAATGGGATTATCTGAGAGTAAGACTCAGGGGCTCTAAAAAATTTGGGTTTTACCTTGTCCCCTGCACCCCCTACTCAATACTCCCACTACCATTACGTGATTCAAAATAAAAATTATACCAAACTGTAAAGAGGGTAAGAAATGCTCTATAAGTTCCCGCCAGAAAATAAAAAAAATTTTTTTACAAAAGGGTAAGAAAGTCTAACCAAGGTCTGCTTTTTCCTGTGATGACTACTTTGATGGAGTTATTTGAAATCTCAATTATCATATTATTTTCCAAAACACTTTTGTTGTCATCCCTGCTTTATGAATGCCCTAAGCATTTTTAGTGAGCAGTTAGGCCCCAGAGAATATGGACTTGGAAACTGTAACTGGAAACAACACATTCTTGTTGGCCAGGATCAGCTAACACTCAATAGAGTTTACTACTTTTTTTTTTTTTTTTTTTTGAGACGGAGTTTCGCTCTTGTTGCCCAGGCTAGAGTGCAATGGCATGATCTTTGCTCACTGCAACCTCTGCCTCCCAGGTTCAAGTGATTCTCCTGCCTCAGCCTCCCAAGTAGCTGGGATTACAGGCGCCCACCACCATGCCCGGCTAATTTTTTATATTTTTAGTAGAGGAGGGGTTTCACCATGTTGGTCAGACTGGTCTCGAACTCCTCATCTCAGGTGATCCACCAGCCTCGGCCTCCCAAAGTGCTGGGATTTCAGGCATGAGCCACCATGCCTGGCCCAGAGTTTACTATTAATAGTCGCCAGGGAGTGTTCTAATACAGTTTATCCTCACAACAAAACCTATGAAGTTGGTACAATTATTATCCCCTTTTACAGATGGGAAAGCTGAGAATCAGGGGTGTGAATTGACTTGCCCACTATCACAGCTAGTGAATGTTGGTGGGGGTTTTGAACACTGGTACTCTGGCACAGAGGCCATATCCTTTTTTTTTTTTTTTTTTTTTTTTGAGACAGAGTCTCGCTCTATTGCCCAGGCTGGAGTGCAGTGGTACAATCTTGGCTCACCGCAACCTCCGCTTCCTGGGTTCAAGCCATTCTCCTGCCTCAGCCTCCTGAGTAGCTGGGATTACAGGTGCTTGCCACCATACCTGGCTAATTTTTTTTCTTTTTTTTTTTTAGTATAGACGGGGTTTCACCATATTGGCCAGGCTGGTCTTGAACTCCTGACCTGAAGTGATCTGCTTGCCTCAGCCTCCCAAAGTGCTGGGATTACAGGCAGAAGCCACCGCGCCTGGCCCAGAGGCCATATCCTTAACCGCTATGCTGTAGTGTCTCTTCAACAGTTGGATCAAACTACTGCCACACATATAAGAGCCTTGTATTCCAAAGGGGCTGGGCTGGGTTAAGAGAGTGGGATTGGTTGTTTGGGTAGCTCTCCCCACAGCTGGAGACCCAGCCCCAAGTCTTCATCCTAGCTGCAAAGATACGAGAGTGCTCAAATTGGCAGTGGTGCCGCCCGGTGTCCTTCCGAGGGGAGGCATCTATAAATGAGACGTTTGAATCAAATGTTTTCCAAAGGTCCTTTCAGTTCAAGGAGCTGAAGGCCCAACTTTCCCTTGGGCCTGCCAGCTATCTTCTCCTATGGGAGCAAGCAGGCCCTTTGCAGACCCTTTCACTCTGTCCTCCCTCAAATAGTGGTGTGCATCAGGGTATCCTTGGCCCTTGCCTATCTTACTTGGAGGCATGGCACGCCTGAGAGACCTCATCCCTCCAGGGCTCCAGTTACCTTCTTTATCCTGATGCCTAGTCCAGACCTCTCCTCTGAGGTTGAGAACCATCTCTCCAACTGCCTCCCAAGGCCCTCCTCCTTAGTGTCTCCCACGTATGTACCTCGCCCTCTACCTGCAGTGTGAACTCAGTGGGTGTCTCTCCCCGGACCTCTTCCTTTTTTCATGTTCTTTTCTACAACTGGCTCTGCCACCTACTCATCCATTTGCTTAAGCCAGAATTCAGGCAGTCATTCTCAAGTTTTCCTTGCTCTCACTCTCCACATCCCATCAGTCACCAAGGCCTGTCAATTTTACCCCCTACAAATTGCATGAAACCAATCCCTTCTTTCCGTCCCCATGGCTGTCTCTCTAGGCCAAGCCACACTACCTGAGAGCTGAAGTAAAAGGCAAAAGCCTTCCGCGGCCCTCTCTGCCTCTATTCTCTGCTTCCATGAGCTGCTTTCACCGTGCAGCCAGAGAGAGCTTTTTAAATTAAGCAAAATTTAGCCGGGCGCGGTGGCTCATGCCTGTAATCCCAACACTTTGGGAGGCCGAGGTGGGTGGATCACCTGAGGTCAGGAGTTCGAGACTAGCCTGGACATGGTGAAACCCTGTCTCTACTAAAAATAAAAAAATTAGCCGGGCATGGTGGCAGGCACCTGCAATCCCAGCTACTCGGGAGGCTGAGGCAGGGAGAATTTCTTGAATCCGGGAGGCGGAGGTTGCAGTGAGCCGAGACGTGCCATTGCACTCCAGCTTGGGTGACAGAGGGAGACTCCGTCTCAGAAAAAAAAAAAAAAAAAAACCAAAATCTGGGTGTCGACCCCCCTGTCCAGAACTCATGGATGACTTTATTTCTGTTTGGATTAAGTCCAAATTTTTGTACATGTGTAATGAGACCTAGTGCTATTAGGCAAATCATTTTACAGGATGGGTTCTGGAGTCCCTATAAGCCTCGATTCTAATGTAAGGCCAGCCATTTCATAGCGAATGCGACTTTCGGTATGCTTTTTAACATCTTGAATCTTCAACTTTCTCATTTGCAAAGTGGGAGAACAGTACCTCCCTGGTAGCGTTGTTGTGAGGGTGAGAGAGGAGAGAGGGCATGTAACCTGCTCAACTTGGTGCCCTGCACCTAAGCACTTTAATCACTTGCTGCCAATTAGACCTGGTTATTATAAAGTTGTCAGTACCAGTAATATGATTTATTGATTTAATCAACTAACGATTACTAATTGTGATATGATGGATTTGTTATATTGTATTATAAGTTATTATTGTGAGGTTATGATGATATTAATTTGGATTCTGTGATGATCTCTCCAGCCTCGCCTCTCACAACTTCCTCCCACCCCTCTTCCCTTGCCTTTACTTGTCATACACCCTCATTCCCAGGTGTTCTTGTTTTCTGCCATCTCTCCCTGGAAAGTCCTTCTCTCCCCATCCTCTGAGTCCTCCAGCCCCCTTTTATCTCTCTAAGTCCCTTCAGATGCTTAAGTCAGCTCAAGGCACCAATTCCTCTGTGAAGCCTTCCCAGACCCTCCCCCCAAGACCTGTATAGGTGTCTCTTCTATGGGCCTCCAAGAGCACCTCGTGCTTCCCTTCTCAGACCACCTATCACAACATATTTGTGATTATTTACTTGTCACAGTCCTGGACTTAGGTCGTCAGTTTGACAAAGAGCTCTTATCACTGTATTCCAAGTTCTTAGCGCTCTGCTGAGCACGTGGTTGTGGTTCGATAAATGTTTGCTGAATGAACAAGAGATCAACCTGGCAGCATTCAGCGCCCCACCCCATGACAATCTGCCCCCTTCAAGGGGGTCTGAGGCCCCGAGCCAAACCTCTTCAAAGCCAAAAGCTGCTGTGTCTGCCCTAGAAGTATTTCTGTCCTTCAGTTCATAACCTTCTCACTTCCTGTGGGCTTAGTGAAGGTGTGGGCATTTTTCTTCACCAGTAAAATGGCAAATAAGCCCAATTTTTCAGGGTCGTGGAAATTCACTGCAAGGAGGAGCTCTGTAAACTGCAAAGGGCTGCATGTAGCACTTAATGATGATCAGACACAATAAATGTGTTGCTCTTTGGCTCAACTCTTGTCAAGACCCCATGCAGACAAGGGCCCTCCTGTTTATACAGCATTATCTCTAGCAATCAGGTTACAATTGATTGACATTATCACTTTCTTTATGTTTGGCAGATTCCCAGCCTGCAGCAACATGCTGGTCACCATAGAGACCTGAGAAGCACCCTCATCTCATTGGTATCATATTTACAAACCACCCCTTAAAGTGGATTATTTTGCAGATGGCTGATCTCATCTATTCAATGTTGATTCTATTAGTTCCAATTTCAGAAGGTGACATTTTCTGACTTTGTCCCCTTAAGCACAAACAAAAACTATGGATTTTTGTTTTTGTTTTCAGAAAAGAGAAAGTACAAGGTGTGCTTGGGGAACAGCAAGGAAACCAGACAGATGTGGGGGCGGGTTTGTAGGGGAACTGCTGGATGTACCTCATTAATTTGTTCATTTGTTCAGCACCCACAGGGTGCCAGTGAACGGGCTAGGTGCTGGGGATAGAGTGGTGAACAAGATGAGCCTTATGCACCTCACAGTCTCCTGGGGGAGACAGCCAAATAGACAATTTTAATACAATGTGGCAAATTCTATGATGGGAAGAAGAGAGAAATGGTGTGTGTGAGTCCCTCACCTTCCCAGAGGTTTCCCAGGGGAAGCAACGTTTCAGCTGAGACCTGAAGGATGGATGACAGTCCACCAGAAAAAAGTTAGTGGAGCGGGGACAAGCAGGGTTGCAGAGTGGAAGAAAAATGTTCCTGTGAGAAGAAACTGTCCAAAGAGTCTGAAGAGAAAAGGGAACAGGGTGAATTTGAGGCCCTACAAGAAAAACAGGAGACCATTCAACAGGAGACGCCCAGGGAGCAGGTGGCTTTGTGGGCCTGATGTCCAAGAAAGAAGTCGTGGTGGTAAACAGAGACTTGGGATTGCAAGCTACTGTTGTCTTTCTATTGAAAAAATAGCTGAGCACCACACTAGGGAGGCCTTGCAAGGACAGCCCAAAGAATTTGAACTTGATTCTACAGGCAGTGATTTTGAACAAGAGGTTTTGAAGAGAACGTGACACACGTCAAGCTGAGCTCTAGGGAGTGGGCAGCAGCCTGCAGAAGAGGGACTAGGCTAGGAGCACAGAAAGTAGCCCACGGCAGAGGTAGCAGAAGGAATGGAGGAGTGCCCATGTGAGGGGTACTGAGGTGGCACACTTGCCAGAATCAGGGCAGCCTGCTTGGTCTCATACCAGCTGGAACCAGTTCCTACCAGCTCCCAAGGGCTAATTGTTAAACTTTCAGGAATTTTCTCAGCATTCATTAAAAATGAAAAAAAGTATCAATATTAAAAATATTTTTGCTGGACATGGTGTCTCAGGCCTGTAATCCCAGCTACTCAGAAGGTTGATGCAAGAGAAACACTTGAGGCTAGGAGTTCAAGACCAGCCTGGGCAACATAGCACAATCCTGCCTCTTTTTTGTTTGTTTTGTTTTTAGAGACAGGGTCTTGCTTTGTCACCCAGGTTGGAGTGCAGTGGTGCAATCATAGCTCACTGCCACCCTGAACTCCTGAGCTCAAGGGATCCTCCTTCCTCAGCCTCCCAAATAGCTGGGAATACAGGCACATACCCCCTTGCCTGACTAATTTTTTTTTTTTTGAGACAGAGTCTTGCTCTGTCGCCCAGGCTGGAGTGCAGTGGCGCGATCTCAGCTCACTGCAAACTCCGCCTCCCGGGTTCATGCCATTCTCCTGCCTCAGCCTCCCGAGTAGTTGGGACTACAGGCGCCTGCCACTGCGCCCGGCTAATTTTTTGTATTTTTAGTAGAGACAGGGTTTCACTGTGTTAGCCAGGATGGTCTCGATCTCCTGAGCTTGTGATCCGCCCACCCCGGCCTCCCAAAGTGCTGGGATTACAGGCGTGAGCCACCGCGCCCAGCAGCCTGGCTAATTTTTAAAAAACATTTTGGCTGGGTGCGGTGTTGCATGCTTGTAATCCCAACATTTTGGGAGCCCGAGGTGGGCAGATTGCTTAAACTCAGGAGTTTGAGACCAGCCTGCACAACATGGCAAAACCCCGTCTCTACAAAAAAAAAAAAAAAAAAAAAAAAAAAAATTAGCTGGGCATGGTGGCGTGTGCCTGTAGTCCCAGCTACTCAAGAGGCTGAGGTGGGAGGATTGCTTGAGCCCAGGAGGTCAAGGCTGCAGTGAGCCGAAATCAGTGCAGTGAGACCCCGTCTCAAGAAAAAAATTTTTTTTTTTTTTGTACAGGTGGGGTCTTGCCATCTTACCCAGGCTGGTTTTGAACTCCTGGGCTCAAGCAGTCCTCCTGCCATGGCCTTTCCAAAGTGCTGGAATTACAGGGATAAGCCACCATGCCCAGCCAAAAAATTCAAAAAAAAAAAAAAAAAAAAAAAAAAAAAAGCCGGGCGCGGTGGCTCACGCCTGTAATCCCAGCACTTTGGGAGGCTGAGGCGGGCGGATCCAGGGGTCAGGAGATCGAGACCATCCTGGCTAACACGGTGAAGCCCCGTCTCTACTAAAAATACAAAAAATTAGCCGGGCGTGGTGGCGGGCGCCTGTAGTCCCAGCTACTCGGGAGGCTGAGGCAGGAGAATGGCGTGAACCCGGGAGGCGGAGCTTGCAGTGAGCTGAGATCACGTCACTGCACTCCAGCCTGGGCGACAGAGCAAGACTCCGTCTCAAAAAAAACAAAAAAAAACAAAAATTCAAAAAAAAAACCCCACAAAAAACATATATATGTAAGTTTTGACAGAGCGAGACTGTCTCAAAAAAAAAAGGTAATAAATACTAAAATCTCATCACTTCCTCATTATTTTACTACATTTTACTACTCTCTATGATGCCCTTGAAGTTATTCACACCTGCTGTATCTGCATGGTGGAAATGCTATGTAATGGTGTGCTACGTTCATCTCCTCCCAACTCCTTGTTCAGTGACATGTTGGTAGCCTCAAATCAGCCATGGAAATGGGCAAACACTACAAATCAGAACTTGGCTAATTGTTTTGGTGATTGTCTAGTGTTAAGGAAGTGATGGAGAAAATGTTTAAAAATGCAGGTTAAACTTAGAAGTGTGCTGTCACTGTAGCCATTACATTGTGAATTGTACAAAAAAATTGCCAAGGGTGATGGCATGTGCCTGTAGTCCCAGGGGTATCACTTAAGCCCAGGAGTTCAAGGCTGCAGGGTGTTGTGATTGTGCCTGTGAGTAGCAGGGTGCACTCCCACCTGGGCAACAGAGTGAGACCTTGTCTCTAAAAATTAAAAAAAAAGTTAAAAATTAAGGAAATATTCTTTCAGTATTCAAGAACTATTCTCCAAGTCAGCAAAGAAGCTGCTCACATCATTGACAGATGAGTTGAAGTTCCAACATATATGTCTTTGTTGTTTCACTTTTGTCTTATTTGTTAATGCAAACAAAAATATCAACCAATACTCTCATGGGAGCTAACATTCTTTTGTCGATTGCAACCATAACCATAGGTTGGCTATGGATATGAGTTTGGCAAAAGTCAATAAAAGCATTCTATGAGAATCAACTGGCTACATGGACTTCACAATAAAGAGTTTTTTTAAATTTAATAATATTTTATTTATTTTTGAGACAGAGTCTCGCTTTGTCACCCAGGCTGGAGTACAGTGGCACGATCTTGGCTCACTGCAACCTTTGCTTCCTGGGTTCAAGCGATTCTTGTGCCTCAGCCTCCCAAGTAGCTGGGACCACAGGTGCCAGCCACCATGCCCGGCTAATTTTTGTATTTTTAGTAGAGATGGGGTATGGCCTTGTTGGCCAGGCTGGTCTCGAACTCCCGACCTCAGGTGATCCGCCCACCTCCCAAAGTGCTGGAATTACAGGTGTGAGCCACTGTGCCTGGCCCCTTTGGGCTTTAAAATTGATCTTTGTGTTTGGGGAATTTTCCAGGCTAAACAACCTGGAGCAGATGAGTGGATTTCGAATTTGGGAGAGAAAAGTCCTACCTGAAAAGATAGCATCACTCTTGGATAGCCAGTTTATGTTCAAGGGAACATGGAAATTAACTCCTTGGGTGGAGTCCCTCAGACCCAGCACTTGCCAACTTTTGGTACCAGGAACCCGAGGTCATGTCTGCAATGTACTTTAAAAACTTTTTTTTTTCCACGACACAGCCCTCAGGAGGTCCTGAGAACATGTGGCCCCCCACCCTCCCTTTTTTCTCCCAAGATGGAGTCTTGCTCTGTCACCCAGGCTGGAGTACGGTGGCATGATCTCGGTTCACTGCAACCTCCGCCTCCTGGT
This sequence comes from Homo sapiens, assembly GCF_000001405.40. Classification (NCBI taxonomy): domain Eukaryota; kingdom Metazoa; phylum Chordata; class Mammalia; order Primates; family Hominidae; genus Homo; species Homo sapiens. The sequence continues at coordinate 72,266,868 of NC_000023.11, forward strand.
TTCAAGCGATTCTCTTGCCTCAGCCTTCTGAGTAGCTGGGATTACAGGCGCCTGCCACCACACCTGGCTTTTGTATTTTTAGTGGAGACAAGGTTTCACCACGTTGGCCAGGCTGGTCTCGAACTGCTGACCTCGCGATCTGCCTGCCTTGGCCTCCCAAAGTGCTGGGATTACAGGCGTGAGACACCGCACCCAGCCACCCCTTTCTTTTTTTAAAAAACTTTTGAGGCCGGGAGTGGTGGCTCATGCCTGTAATCAGAGCACTTCAGGAGGATGAGAAGGGCGGATCACCTGAGGTCAGGAGTTCGAGACAGCCTGGCCAATATGGTGAAACCGTCTCTACAAAATTACAAAAATTAGCCGGGCATGTGGCTCACGCCTGTAATCCCAGCTACTCGGGAGGCTGAGGCGGGAGAATCGCTTCAATCTGGGAGGTGGAGGTTGCAGTGAGCAGAGATTGCACCATTGCACTCCAGCCTGGGAAACGGGAGCGAAAGTCCATCTCAAAAAATTCTGAGACGGTCTCACTCTATCACCCAGGCTGGAACGCAGTGGCATAATCTTAGCTTACTACAACCTTCACCTTCTTGGCTCAAGTGATCCTCCCACCTCAGCCTCCTGTGTAGCTGTGACTAGATGCCAGTGCCATCACACCCAGCTAATTTTTTGTATTTCTTGTAGAGTTGGAGGGGTCTCCCTATGTTGCCCAGGCTCGTCTTGAACTCCTGGGCTCAAGAGATCCTCCCACCTTGGCTTCCCAAAGTGCTGGGATTTCAGGCGTGAGCCATCCATGCCCGGCTGCAATTTACTTTCAAAGTGTTCAGAAAAATAAGATGTTTGTGTACATATACAGGAATGAAAATAAAGCAAATATGGCAAAATGTTAACCATTATTGAATCCAGCTGGTGTCTATATAGGTAATCACTGTACTGCTGTTTCAACTTTCCTGTATACTTGAGAAAGTTCATAATATAAACTACAGTAAGAATCAGTGCAAAGTTCTGAGGCAAGAGAATGCCTCTTGTGTTCAAGAAACATCAAGGAGGCCAGTGTGGCTGGAACAGATTGACTCAGAGGGAACAGGTAGATGAGGTGAGGCCAGACTGTGAGGGCCTCGCAGGTTCTTATGGCTGTGGCTCTTAGTCTGAGTTGGGATAGATGGGAGCTCATTTAGGAGCATGAGTGAGGAGTGACCTGACCTGTCTTAAACAGGATCCCATTCGGCAGCTGGGTTGAGACTGTAGGGGTCAAGAATGGAAGCCAAGAGACCCGTTATGGGTTGGTGCTATCTATAATCTAGAGTGCAGGTAAGAGTTGTTGGTGGCTCAGACCAGGGTGGTAGTGATGCAGGTGATAAGTGGTCTGATATTATCTGGGAGGAGGGCATACACTGTGCTATTTATTTGTTCCTTTATATGTTTATTATGAAAAATCTCAAAGATATATAGGAGTAGAGAGCGTAATGAATCCCCTCTATCCATCGTTCACCTTCAACATTATCAGTACATGGCCATTTTTATTTATTTTTGAGTCAGGGTCTTGCTCTGTTACCCAGGCTGGAGTGCAGTGGCAATCATAGTTCACTGTAGTCTCAAATTCCTGGGCTCAAGCTATCCTCCCACCTCAGCCTCCCAAGTAGCTTCAACTATAGGTGAGAACCAACATGCTCAGCTAATTTTAAAAATTTTTGTAGAGATGGTGGTGTATCTCTCTACATTGCCCAGACTGGTCTTGAACTCCTGGCCTCAACTCCCATCTTGGCCTCCCAAAGAGCTGGGATTACAGGCATGAACCATTGCACCCAGACTTGAAGCAAATTTCAGATTGCTTGTCATTTCTTCTGCAAATCCTTCAGTATGTATCCTCAAAGATAAGGACTCTGTAAAAAGCTGTATGATTGTGCAAAATTGAGCAATTATTTCTAAGTATCACTAAATATGGATTCTGGACATATTTTGAAGGTAGAGTCACCAGGATTTTCTGATAAAAGGAACAGGAATCAAGGATGTGTCCAAAGCTTTTGGCTGGAGCTTGATGGGGACACTATAAACAGACTGACAGGCCAGAGGGAGGTATCACTCTTCTCTATCTGGTTTAGGGAAAAGAATACAGGATTTGGGTATCAAAAAATCAAAATGGCTTTGTAAACTATCAAGTACTATATATGTCCTAGCTATTTGTTATTCTTCTTATTCAAAGCTGTGCTGCATTGTGCTGCTCTGACTCAGATGTGAGGCCTAGCCTGCTGGAGGCACAGGGATGTAAACTAAACCCGGTGAATTTCTGCTAGCTTCAGTCTGTTTCATCTCAGGACTTCTGTTTGGCTCCCTGCTGAGATGATCTCAAAGGTTTCCTTCAGCTCTAAGAATATGAAGCAAATTGGAAGGCTTAAAAAGCCTTACAAAGACACAAGCTATTTTATTTGGAAATTTGCAGCTCATTTAGATGATTCAGGGCCCTTGCGCTAAGTCCACTTGCCTGGTATTAGAATGGAAATCTTCCCCACTATGGGAAGTTGCTAGTAAAAAAAAAATTCCCGGCCGAGTGCCGTGCTCATGCCTGTAATCCCAGCACTTTGGAAGGCCAAGGTGGGCAGATCACCTGAGGCTGGGTATTCAAGACCAGCTGGACCAACATGGAGAAACCCCATCTCTACTAAAAACACAAAATTAGCCAGGCGTGGTGGCACATGCCTGTAATCCCAGCTACTCAGGAGGCTGAGACAGGAGAAACGCTTAAACCTGGGAGGCGGAGGCTACCCTGGGCCGAGATCACGCCATTGCACTCCAGCCTGGGCAACAAGAGCGAAACTCTGTCTCAAAATAAACAAAACAAAAAAATCCCTGTGCTAGTTTAACAAATACATTAAAAAATCACAAGTTTAAAATGTTGAAAAGAAATCTCCCAGGCTAGGCTCAGTGGTTCTTGCTTGTAATCCCAGCACTTTGAGAGGACCACTTGAGCCCAGGAGTTTGAGACCAGCCTGGGCAATATAGCAAGACCCCAATCTCTACAAAAAAACAAAAAATTAGCCAGGCATGGTGGTGTGCTCCTGTAGTCCCATCTACTCAGGGAGCTGAGGTGGGAGGATCACTTGAGCCTGGGACGTCAAGGCTGCAGTGAGTCATATCCTGCCACTGCACTCCAGCCTGGGTGACAAAGTGAGATCCTGTCTCCAAAAAATAAAATAAAATAAAATAAACAAAACCCCACATCTCCCTGTGATACGAGACCACAGCTGAACACACCAATTCTCCAGTTGTGCTGACTGGCTCACCAATTAACATCTAGGAAACCATCATATATGTGAAAGGAACTCTGAGGCTTCTCATTTTCCTCCATATTTGCTTTGGTCCCTTAGCTAAAATTCACATTTCTATCATCTGCTGAGCAGAGATTTTAGTACCTAGAAAGGTGCAAAGTGTAGCCAAGGATGTGTTGAGTAGTGTAGCACCAAGAGCCTACCAGCATTCAGGACCCTGCATCCAGGTGACTGGCTGGAGTCCTGCCCTCTGGCCTTTCATAGTCTCGCCTGTCTGTTTTAAGACAGGGTTTCACTCTCACCCAGGCTGGAGTACAGTAGCACAATAATGGCTCACTGCAACCTCCATTCCCCAGGCTCCAGTGATCTTCCCACCTCAGCCTCCCAAATAGCTGGGACCAAAGATGCATGACACCATGCCCGGCTAATTTTTGGTAGACAAGGTTTTGCCATGTTATGCAGGCTAGTTTCAAACTCCTGGGCTCAGTCGATCCACCTGCTTTGGCCTCTCTCAGTGCTGGGATTATAGGTGTGAGTCACCACGCCCGGCTCACCTGCCTGTTTCTGAAGGGCACCATAAGGTTACTTCTGACCTGGCCTCAACAGAACAAGGATGAGCTCCATTCTCTTGACAAGAGAACCATTCTTAAAGCAAGATACCTGGCAAGCCCACTTACACACCTTTCCCATCCCTGATTCAGGGGGGCCCAGTCCCTGCAGAAATTCCTTTTCTGGCCCAGGTACAGTGGCTCACACGTGTAATCCCAGCACTTTGGGAGGCCAAGGTGGGAGGACCACTTGAGCCCAGGAATTCAAGACTGGCGTGGGCAATGTAGCAAGACCTTCTCTACAGAAACAAATTAATTAAATTAATTTGGCATCACAGTGCGTGCCCATAGTCCCAGTTACTCAGGAGGCTGCGGCTGGAGGATCGCTTGAGCCCAGGAGTTTGAAGCTGCAATGAGCTATGACTGAACCATTGCACTCCAGCCTGGGTGACAGAGCAAGACGCTGTCTTTAAAAAAAAAAAAAAAAAAAAAAAAAAAAAAAAAGTGAATGGGACCCCAGCCAGTCATGCTTTGGCGTCTGCAATATGAATGGCAGAGAAGCCCTATGGGACCAAATCTGGGCTTCAGGGACCCCTGGGCATGCCTCCTTTAGCTGATTTTCTCTGGCAAGACCAAGTAGTCTGCTGACTCAAAGTCCAGGATGCTGCCAGGGGTAGAGATACTGCCCTAAGCCACAGTGCCTCTACAGGCCTCTTATCCACTGCTAAACCATACACCTGGGAAACAGGGACCATTTAACATTCCCAGCTAAATATGCCAAGTGACTTCACATGTTTATCTTAAAGATGTCCAAAACGCAACTGATTTTCTCCCCTAAACCTGTGATGGTGGGATGATTAAGCCTGAGTGGTCTACAGCAAGTTAAGTGCAAGGTGCTAAATGAAGGTGACCTGAGATACAGCATCTACAAGGCAGTACCTCTCAACACAGGGCAACTTTGCTTCTCAGAGGGCATTTAGCAGTGTCTGAAGTAATTTTTGTATTACAACTCAGGGGGTGGGGGGTGAATATCTAGTGGATAGAGGCTAGGAATGTTGTTAAACATTCCACAATAAACAGGACAGCTGCCCACAAATTATGTAGCCCCAAATGTTAACAGTATCAAAGTTGAAAAGCCCTGCTATAGGTGGCAAGGGAGGTTTTCGTTTTTAACAGGAAGACATGCTTTATAGGGTAACAGGAACAAGAGAGTTGGTTGAGAGAAGGTTGAAATCACAAGGTAGGATAATTGACACTGAGACTGGAGGGACTGGATTGAGGAACAGGTGTGTAACAGCAGGCCCCATGAAGCAGGGGCACATCTTCCTGAGACTGGTAAGCAAGCCTGACATGACCCGACACATTTGGACAAGCAAGAACAAGTTTATGTTCTACATCTCTGTCCTCTGAAAAACAGAGTTGAGGACTGCAGCGGCAGCTGGAGAATAAGGGCACTAAGTCCAAGGAACTGCAATGCTTTGCAACATCAACAGCCCATTTATGACCACCTTTAATGGCAACTGGAGATTTTCATCCTGCGTTTGGCAAGATGGGCACAGGAGTGGGAAAAACAGATGAGCCAGGCTTGTGGATGGGCTAGTGCAATACAGACTGGAGAAGAAAATGAGGGCAGATTTTTAGAAAGCCAAGGGAACTTAACAGGGCAGAGGGGTCCACTGTGTAGAGAAGTTCTTGGCCAAGTCAAGGCGGGGGAGATAAATACTCCGGGATTTCTTGGCTCTTTCTACTCCTTGGTTAGTTGCTGTTCCTTTCCCAAGTCTGGTATCTTCTACTTCCCACCACTAACTAAGCCCAGCCAATAACAGACTGCCTAAGCCTGCCTGAGAACTTAATCACTGTTCATGTTATACAGTAAAATAGCAGGAAACTGAATTAAAAAAAAAAACAACCCACAAAACCAAAATGCTATTAATCCTGCCACAATATTTTTAATTACGTACAAAGATCTGACATGTCACCCAGGGACCCATTTCACCCACTGCTCTGTTTGGCCGCCAGTCTTTTGTCTCTCTCTTCAGCAATGGTGAGGCGGATACCCTTTCCTCGGGGAAGAGAAATCCATGGTTTGTTGCCCTGGAAGAGAAAACAAGCAGAATCAAAACCCACCACACACCAACTCATAGTGGCTTGGCACATGCTACATTTGTCACCTCACTTAACAGAACTGAAGCCTGTTTGTGAGAGTGCTTGGCATCAGCTAGGCAGTTGCAAGACACAGATGCTGGTTACCAAAAGCACCCACTGCTTGGGTTTCTGGGGCTGTCCTATGAAACTCACCGTATGCCCTTCAGAATTAATGTCTTAGAAGTTTATTGTGCATAGCAGGCACCTACCATTTATTCAAGTGAGTCAAAGTTTAGTAGTACCTAAGGCTAATCATTATGACTCAGCCCAGCTCTGCGTGAGTCCTATCCAGAAGAGGCTTTGCACTAGGTTCAGCAGAGCCAGCCAGGAGCCTGGATGCTACAATCCCAGCAGCCACCTGCATTTACATATTTCCTCAGACTAGAGAGAAGGAAAACCCAGACTTACCTTGCCAATAACAAAAATGTTGGAAAGTCGAGTGGCAAAGCTGTTGCCATTGGCATCTTTCACGTGAACCACGTCAAAAGATCCAGGGTGCCTCTCTCTGTTGGTGATCACACCAATTCTTCCTAGGTTAGCACCTCCAGTCACCATACACAGGTTACCTAGGCAGGAAGAAATAATCTGCTTCAACTCAATATAACAAATGACAAGCAGCTCAGAGATGGGTCCAAACAAATTTTATTCCTCCTTTCCCCCCATTTGAATTTCCTCATATGGAACTGCTGCCTATGCTAGGACTCCCGGGACTCTCGTAAGAAATTTTGTGGCCAGGCTTGGTGGCTCACACCTATAATCAGTTCGAGAACAGTCTGGGCAACACAGTAAGACCCTCCTCTATAAAAAACAAACAATTTAAAGAAAAGAAATGAGTATTCTGAGCATTTGTGCCTCTGGCTATAAACACACCTGGGCGATTGGAGCAGATGGTTTTTAATAAAGATACCCAGACCCTGTGCAATTCATAATGATCTAGGCCTTAAAGAGGGTGCCCAGGTAGCACAGAGGATGCTTACCAGTGTCGAACTTGATGAAATCAGTAATCTTGCCAGTCTCCAAATCAATCTGAATGGTATCATTCACCTTGATGAGGGGATCGGGGTAGCGGATGGTGCGGGCATCATGAGTCACCAGATGAGGGATTCCTTTTGTGCCCACAAAGATCTTTCTCACTTTGCACAACTTGTACTAGAAAAATACAAGGGTTAGCCACATTCAATCCATCTCACATGTACTTTTTAACCCTATACAGGAACCATGGGTTCCCTAACTGCTGCAGATTAATTGTGACGCTGATCGTTCTTTCCACCCTCAAGTGTATGTTGCATAAAGCCCTTCTCTAGGCTCGTCCTCCTAACATCCACCATTGCCCTCCACTCCTCCAATGTAAATGCCACTCCAGTTTCCCAGGCTCTTTAAGCCTTATGGGGCCCTGGGAATTCTTCCCTTCAACTCAACTTTATCTTAATGGCTCCCTGTACATCACGACTGAGTTTTGTCTCACAAACAGCAATTACATTACCAGTTCATCCAATCAACAAATACTTCACATAGCATTTCAATTTTGGATCTCTACTCCCTGATATCCTTGAAGTAAATCAAATAATCACAGATCCCACTGGACGTGCCCTCCAGTCTGCTGTTAACAAGGCTGTGCAAAAGGAAATTAGGAGCCACATCAGTCAATTAAATTAACCTTCATTTACAGCCAATAATCCAAACAGCCCTAAACTTTTGTGTAAAACCATCAAAACAAACTGGATTAAATAATCAAAGACTGTAATCTTTTTTTAAACCTCAAACTAGTGCCTCAAGGACTGTCTGTTTCCTCCATCGACACCTTCCCCTCCCCAAAGTAAAGCTACTCCCACAAATGGAGACATGGCAAAGGGCTCCTACGTCAGGTACCCAATAAACAAGTTCCCAGAAATCATTCTCCTTGACTCTTAAGAGACACCAGGAAGTCGCGGTTCAACTGGAATTCATTTCTACCACAAAAAAAGAAAATCTGCTGAGGAAGTTAACTTCAAATGGGGGCCAATTTTAGGTATCCATCAATGCCCTACAGCTATCAGCCAGACTTTTAATAACATGACAAAAAGTTACATGTAAGACAGAATCTCATCGAATTGTTAGCTAGATATTTCCAGGTATGAGATTTTAACTAATCAATACCCACCTCATTGCAAGCAGCACTCGTACTCAATGCAGGCCCTTAGAACAAAGTAACTATACTGAGTAAAGACCCAGCTTGCTTGCCACACTCACCTTGGCCTCCTCAGGTGTAATACGATGTACAGCAAAGCGACCCTTGGTGTCATAGATCAGACGGAAATTCTCTCCCGTCTTGTCAATGCTGATGACATCTGAAATCAAGCAGTAACCGGTTACTACATACAGTGATCCCCACTACCTCATGCCGAGCAACAACCATAGCTCTCTACGAAACAAAAAGAACCCCCATGTGCCTCCCAGTTCTAATCCAACAAGGATTCTGAAGATTAAAGATCACGGCCAGATCTTCAATATTTCAAAACCCCATGACTGCATGTAAAATTTAAAAGTGAATCGAAATTTAGTTTTGAAAAGCGTTTCATGATTATTTGCATGTTTTTTATTTAAGTAAAAAACAGAGGGAAGGTCAGGCTTTGTTTCTGAGACTTGACAGATTACAAAGGTTAGAAAAATGATCAAGACAGTATTTGGATACCATAGGGCTGCCATCAATATGCGTCTCCAGAGTATTTAAAACTTCTTACCCATGAATCCAGCAGGGTAGGTTATATCAGTTCGGACCTTGCCATCGATTTTAATGAACCGCTGCATGCAAATCTTCTTTACTTCATCTCCTGTCAGGGCATACTTAAGTCTGTTCCTCAGGAAAATGATGAGGGGGAGACACTCTCTCAACTTGTGGGGACCGGTGGATGGACGAGGAGCCTGTAACGTTAAAAATGATAATCACTGTTGGGATTCACTAAAGCACTCAAACCTACCTCCTAGTCCACCAGATCCACTAACTGAACACCAAGACCGTCCATATTACACCCAACTTGGACTTTTACACAGGAGGTGTAAAAAGCATCCAAAACTATTTCATACCTTAAAGTTTTATAGCATCTTCCCTGTCAGAGGACCAGGATCATTAAGAACATGAATCCTGAGTCCATGTAAATGTACTATGTGGTATGTGGAATAAATGAGGCACAAAAATATTAAATCGATTGGAAGTGGAGGACAGCTAGATAGTATAGCTCCTTCAAGGGCAGAGGAAGCCAAGAATAGATATTCCTCCCCTAGCCTGGTCCCCAAATGAGTCCTGGGAGACACTTAAAAACAGTGGCCACGGAAATATTTATATAAGATACTTACAAACACACCGGTCAATTTATCCAGCATCCAATGCTTTGGAGCTGCCACCCGCTTCAGATGCTTCTTGGGACCACGAGCCTGAAAGTTTTAGATTGCAATGCTGTTAATCAGGTTTCAGAACAGCTTATAAAACCTAGTGTGAAACTAAACTCTTAGTTTAGTTTCATCTTCAGCAAAATGTGGACAATATTAAAGTATAGTGTTCCGATAAAACAGAAACAAACACAGTTATTTAACAAACACCGTGAGATCCATAAGCTGCAACAAGCCTTCTTATTGTAACAGAGAATATTCTTGGTTACTATGTTTCAGAACGTTTACTGATTACTATCTTTCAGAACCTTGCTAAAGTGTTTCCATGTTACTGTTTGAAACTGTATCTGCTTAGAGGTTAGGGTCTTTCAAGAACACCATACTAGTGAAACGCACAGCAACAGAAATGAGCCAGGAGTCTACCTGTGTTTCTAAAGTTTTCACAATTTATTACCGTCTGTTTTTGACACGTATGGAACAAGATTCTGACATCCGCACAAACACATGTGCTGCTCCTTCGTACACTAAAGCCAAAAGCTGACACCAATTTTACTTTAAAAAGAGTAAGGAAGCCTTTTTAATGCTGTGTCCAGATGCTTACCGGCCACGTATGGTAAAGTCAGGCCGTGCCAAAAAGGCAATGACAAAGAAAACCTTTCTCCGCCGGGCACCCCCAGCGCCCACCAACCTCGGGCTCGCAGTCTGAGCTCCTGGCCCAGCCGCGGCTCCGGCCCGGGAGGAAAAGCAGCTTCTCCCGGGATCAGGACGTATGGCCGGGTCAGAAACCGAGGCCTTCCCAACAGCAGCACCAGATCTGCGCCTCCCCAACCCTAGGCCAGCGTTCGCCCTTCGCCCTGGAGCCCGTCCCGGCCTACCACGGAGGCCGTGATCCCTTCGCCTCTGCCCGGCCATCCCCAGTAGGAATCCCGAAACCTCGGGCAGCCCCGGCCGGGGGAGGATGGAGGCGGATACGTCCTAAGAGCTCGCTAACTAAACGGCTTACCATGGCTGCGTTAGGCAAGGAAAGAGGACCTCCGTCTTCCGGTGCGCGTAGAAATTGGGGCTGGAGACTGCGCGCGCCGGATTTTCAGCTGCTCCGCCCAGCTCAGCCCTTTGCTGGCGCGCCGGGACTCTTTCTTGCCATCTGCTGGTGGGAGGTCAGAAGTCCCGAGTTGAGGAACCGCCGCGGAAAGAGGGTGTCTCCTAAGGGCGATTTCCTCCCTCCCCTTTTTCCGCCCTTCCTCCTCCCATATTTGCTGAGCGCCTCTTGTGTGCCTTATTCTGTGCTAGGTGCTGGGAATACAAAGATGAGCTACACAACATCCCTGGCCTCAAGGAGAGTTCAAAGTGAGCTTACTTCCAGTCTCACGTACAGATGATTCTACGCCTGTAATCCCAGCACTTTGGGAGGCCGAGGCGGGCGGATCATGAGGTCAGGAGATCGAGACCATCCTGGCTAACACAGTGAAACCCCGTCTATACTAAAAAAAAATACAAAAAAATTAGCCGGGCATAGTGGCGGGCGCCTGTAGTCCCAGCTACTCGGGAAGCTGAGGCAGGAGAATGGCGTGAACCCCGGAGGTGGAGCTTGCAGTGAGCCGAGATCGCGCCACTGCACTCCAGCCTGGGCGACAGAGCGAGACTCCGTCTCAAAAACAAAACAAAACAAAACAAAACAAAGAACTTGTATATAATCAATAGAATACATTTTAATAAATATTTAATGTTATTTCTTAAACGTATTTTGTCTGTCCCTTTTTTGTGTTCCCTTGAGCCAGCCAGGCAGCCCATACTGAGTTGGGAAGAGCCAACAACGTTTTTAACCCCCTCTTGCTTCTCTGCTTGAACTCTGACATCCTCCCCCTTGCTTCCTGTACAACGCATTTGGCACTTATAGAGACTCAGGGAGGAGAGAGGATATTAGAAATCGTCTGGTTATATCTAACTAAAATGTAGATCTGATCCTGCTTCGAAACTGCCCTTGGCCCTCTGTTTCCTGCCGTAAGGGAGCAGGTCTGAACTTTATCTGGCTCCATTGCTCTCTCTCCCCAATCCCAAACTTCAAAGCTCAAGCCCCACCAAGCTAGTTTGTTCCGAGGGAGTCAGCTCTTTTTGTTTGTTTGTTTGGGAGACAGGGTCTCACTCTGTCACCCAGGCTGTAGTGCATGGCTCACTGCAGCCTCGACAGACAGCCCGGGCTCAAGCGATCCTCTCACTTCAGCCCCCACGAGTAGCTGGGACAACAGGCGCACGCCACTGCACCCAACTAATTTTTTGTAGTTTTATTTTTTTGTAGAGACGGGGTTTCGCCATGTTACCTAGGCTGGTCTCAAACTCCTGGACTCAAGCGATCCGCCCGCCTCGACCTCCCAAAGTGCTGGGATTACAGGCCTGAGCCACTGCGCCTGGCTAGAGTCAGCTCTTTCAAGACTGCTTGTGGACTCGATTCCTTAGCTTGGAACTGCCACAAACAGCCAAACCCCCTTCCTGGGTACCACCTAATCCCACACCTCAGCCTTGGAAATGCACAGTTCAAGTCCCTCTGGTTCTGTGGGCTCGTGGTCCCCTCAGTCAGGGTAAATCCCTCATTCTTGCCCCAGAGGCTTGTGTTCAAACTTGGTGAGGGCACACAGCACATTAGGTAGCAAGGACAAATTTAGTTACCTGGCCTCCACCAAACTGAGCACCTCCAGGATGGAGCCTGCCCTAATTCATCTGGGCAGGCCCCTTGCCACTGAACAGAGAGCTCGGCACTGTGTCCAGCACTTGATAAATACTTGTTGAATGAATAAACGGAGTCAGCATCCCACTTATTGTGCCAAGTCCTACTGTACTATCCCTGAGAGCATCCAGCCTGTGCCTGAATTCTTCCCACCATGAGATCAAGCTCCTAACTCATGAGGTTCCATTTCACAAGTCTCTATCTGTACCATCCACTTTACCCCTCAGCAGTCTGCAGAGGAGCAAGAGAGGGAAACATTGTTGGCTCTTCTCAAGCAGACAGTATTAACCAAGCAGACAGTATTAACTAAGAGGGCAGGAACTCCTCCTTGTCTAAAACTGGGATACAATCCACAATAAAGCATGTTATAAGTGATTATTGGAAAGGATCGATTAATTGGAGGTGAGGAGTAGAGAGAAGGTGAAGGTGATGAGATAATGGAAGTTGGTTCTGAGGTTTTTAATCTGAGAGCACTGGGAAGATGGTGGTACAATTAACAGAAATGGTGGAGAAGTTGCTGTGGGAGTGGGGGGATAACCATGTGCTTTCCAGCTAGAGAGGATAGGAGAAATGGCTGGTTAGAGCTGCAGATCTCACTTAATCAAGATCACACAGCCCGTTTGGGGATGAGGGGACTTGTCTCTTGCCTCCCAGGTGAGTGGTTTGTTTTTATGCCATAGGTTATCAAAGGACTTGAGGAAATCAAAGCATCTTTTTCAGTATATTTCTCTCTCTCAATTTGTATTTATGCACAAATGACATTCTAACAACAATAAAGGAAATTTGGAAAGAGCTAAGTAAATCGCAAACAGTACCTCCCCAAACACCCTAAACACATCATCTGTATTCATTTGTTCCTCTTCCTGTTCTCTTTCTGATCGGCTTGTGTGCATGCATACTTTTACATAATTTTAGTCCTAGCATACAGACCATTTTGTATTCTGTTTTTATTATATTAGAAACACTTTCCAAGTTGCTGCATAATCCTCATAATTACTACTTTAACAGCTGTATCATATTCCATTAAGTGGATGTCCCACAATTAATACAAGTTCTCTGTTGTTGGACATTTAGTTTTCTGTACTTTTTCTCTATTATGCGTGTTGCTACAGTGAACAGCTTTTTCCTTCAGTTGAATATTTTCCTTAGAATAAATCTATTCCTTCAACCAACACTTATTGAGTGCTTACTCTGTGTCAAGCTCTGCATTATGAACTGAGGATGCAGAGATTATTAAGATCTAGTTCTTGCTCTCAAGGAACAAATAATAATATGAGAAGCAGGCTGCGGGGGTGGGGAGGGAAAGCTAGGAGAAGCTTATCGGAGAAAAAAATGGTGGTGAAGCGGGTTGTAATACAGAGGGCAGCTAAATCTTTAGGATCTTGGACTTTAGCCTGTGGGTAGACAATGGAGAGCTGTTGAAAGATTTTAAGGAGGACAGAATCAGTGTTGTGCTTTAAAAAGATAACTCAAACTCCTCCACGTAGAATGGTTTGAAGGAAATGTGAGTGGCTTGGAGGACATGGGTCAGGTCTCTGTCAACAATACAAGCAAGAAACTGAAGGCTGCTGAGACCTAGATTTGTGACTCTGGGGCTGAGGAGGAGGGGGCTCAAAGACTCAAAAGACATTGCAGATGGAGTATTGGCAGGATCTGACTGGGAAATGATGAATGTGCAGGGGTGAGGGACAACGAGGTAATTAGGATGACTCCCAGGTTTCTGGCTTGGTGACTCAGTGATGCATTCACCGGAACAAGGAGGAGGCAGAGGAGTGTGCTTGAGGAGAAGATGAGGAGATGAGTCTGAGACACAGGGCTGAGGGTGCGGGGGAACATCAGCCTGGAGATATCTTATAGACCCAGTCCTGAGCTCAGGCGCATGATCTGGGCTGGAGACTCAGATGTGGGAGAAGTGGTGCATCTGTGATTAATTCAGGGGAGTGGTTGGCAGTAACCCTTAGAAAGAGAGCACTGTGTCAAAGAGTCTGAATCCTTTTGTAGTAGCATATGTGTATTGCCAAAAAGCCTTTCTCGGAGGATTCTTGCAATTTTACTATACTCGTGCCAGCCTGGTAATCACCTATTTTTAACTTTTGCTAATGTAATTATTTTAATTTACACTAAAAAATCTCAACTAGGCCGGGTGCAGTGGCTCATGACTGTAATCCCAGCACTTTGGGAGGCCAAGGCAGGCGGATCACTTGAGGTCAAAAGTTCGAGACCAGCCTGGCCAACATGGTGAAACCCCATCTCTACTAAAAATACAAAAAATTAGCAAGGCGTGGTGGCATGCACCTGTAATCCCAGCTACTCGGGAGGCTGAGGCAGGAGAATCGCTTGAACCCTGGAGGCAGAGGTTGCAGTGAGCTGAGATCGTGCCACTGCACTCCAACCTGGGTGACAGAGTGAAACTCCATCTCAAAAAAAAAAAAAGCCACTAGTGAGGTTGAATATTTTGCCACATGCTTGTTTACTCATTCCATTTCCTCTTGTGTGAAGTATCTCTGGCCATTTATCTTTGGGGACATGTTTTTTGGGTAGATTTCCATGAATGCTTTATAAAATATAGACATTAATCCTTTGTCATACCAATTGGTTATTTTCTTTTTGGTTGTACTTTTCAGTGTACAAACTTTCAGGATTTTATATAGCCAAATCTGTTGATCTTTTCTCTTGTAATCTCTTCTTGTTCCTTCAAAGCTTAGAAAGCTGCTATCAGTTCAAAGATCTATTAGATACTCAATTCTATTTAATAACATATATTTAATTTTTTATTAACTTGGGGTTGATAAAGATAAATAGAATAAATAGAAAAAAATTATATTTCCCCCCAAATGTTAGCTAACCGACATTCTTACTATAATATATTGAATGATCTTTCCTCTGTTGTTTTGTAAAAACCGCTTTAGCATATAATAAATGAAATCACAGAGTACATGGTTCTAGTTCTGTAAGTGTGGGAATGGGAGATGAGTCTTTGAAGAGAGAACTGAGACACACGTCCCCAGCATCCTGTCCCAGATTACTAAGGAGGATAGACGTGTATGAGCAGTTCATGGTAGTAGTGTTGGAATTACAGGCCTATGCCACTACATCTAGCCTTAAACTTATTTTTAAAACAGCTTTACCAGCCAGGTGCGGTGGCTCATGCCAGTAATCTCAGAACTTTGGGAGGCTGAGGTGGGCAGATCGCTTGAGCCCAGGAGTTTGAAACCAGCCTGGGCAACATAGCAAGACCCCATGTCTACAAATAAAAATAAACAAAATTAGCCAGGCATGGTGGCCCACACCAGCAGTCCCAGCTACTCTGGAGGCTGAGGTGAGAGGATCAAAAAACAAAACAAACAAACCAAAACACAAGCTTTACTGAAAAATACTTGACATACAATAAATAGTAAGTGTTTAAAGTACACAATTTGACAATTCTGATGCATGTATACACCCAAAGAAACCATCACAACTATGATAGTGAACATGTCTATCACCAACAAAAGTTTCCTCATGTGCCTTTGTAATCCCTCACTCCAGCCCCTCCCATCCCCACTCCTATTCCCAGGCAACTGCTGATCTGCTTTCTCTGACTATTGATGAGTTTGCATTTTTTAGATTTTTAAATAATAGAAATAAATAGAAATCAAACAGTATGTACTCATTTTGGTCTAGTGTCTTTCACTCAGCATAATTATTTTGAGGCTCATCTATGTTGTTGCGTGTATCAATAGTTTAGCTTCTTCTTTTTATTGCTGACTAGTACTCCATTGTATGGATAAACATTAATTATTTACCCATGATAGACATGTGGGTTGTTTCCAGTTTGGGGCAATTACCACAATGCTGCTATGAATGTTCACATACGAGTATTTTTATGGACAATGTTTTCATTTCTCTCGGGCAAATAACTAAGAGTGGAATGGCTAGGTCATATGGTAGGTGCATATTTAACTTTTATAAAAATTGCCAAAATGTTTTTCAAAGTGGCTTGTGTCATGTTACACTCCCATCAGCAGTGTATGAGAATTTCAGTCGCTCCACATCCTTGTCAACGCATATTAAGGCCCATCTTTAGAAAACATTTTTATTGTGATGAAATATACATAACATTTTTTTGAGGCCTGGTGCAGTGGCTCATGCCTATAATTCCAGCACTTTGGGAGGCCGAAGCAGGCAGATCATGAGGTCAGGAGTTCGAGACCAACTTGACCAACATGGTGAAACCCCGTCTCTACTAAAAATACAAACGTTAGCCAGGCATGGTGGTGTGTGCCTGTAATCCCAGTTACTCAGGAGGCTGAGGCAGGAGAATAACTTGAACCCAGGAGGTGGAGGTTGCAGTGAGCCAAGATCATGCCACCGCACTCCAGCCTGGGAGACAGAGCAAGACCCCATCTCAAATAAATAAATAAATAAATAAATAAATAAATAAATAAATAAATTTATTTGCCATTTTGGCCATTCTTACATATACAATTCCTTGGCATTAAGCACATTCACAATGCTGTGCAATCATCACCACTAGCCAGTTCCAGAATTTTTTTTATTTTCCCAAGCAGAAACTCAGTACCCATTAAAAAATAACTCCCCATTTCCCATACCCTTAACCCCTGGTAACCTCTATTCAACTTTCTGTCTCCATGAATCTTCTCATTCTAAGTATCTCATATAGGAGGAATAATAAATATTTGTCCTTTTGTATCTGGGTTGTTTCACTTATCAGAATATCTTCAAGGTTCATCTACATTGTAGCATGTATCAGAATTTCATTTTTATGTCTGTTAATATTCCATTGTATGCATATGCCACATTTTGTGTATCCATGATCTGTTGATGTACACTTGGGTTGTTTCCATGTTTTGGCTATTGTGTATAATGCTGCTATGAATGTTGGTATACAAGTATCAATTTGAGTTTCTGCTTTCAATTCTTTTGGATATAAACCCAGAAGTGGAATTGCTGGATCATATGGTAATTGTATGCTTAAGTTTTTGAGGAACTGCCAGACTCAGTGGCTGCATTATTTCACATTTCCCCCAGCAATGCACAGGGTTCCGAATTTCTCCATGTGCTCACCAACACTTGTTATTTTCCATTTTTGTTTTTCATAATTGCCATACTAACGGGTATGAAATGGTATTGCATTGTGGTTTTGGTTTGTATTTCCCTAATGAATGATGTTGAGCATCTTTTCTTGTGTTTATTGGCCATTTATATTATACTTTCTTTGGAGAAATATCTATTAAAGTGCTTTGCCCATCTTTAAGCTGTTTCTTTTTAATTGGTGTTGTTGAGTTTTAGGAGTTCTTTATATATTCTGGACATTAATCCCTTATCAGATATGATATGGTTTAGCTCTGTGTCCCCACCCAAATCTCATCTTGAATTATACTCCCGTAATTCCCATGTGTTGTGGGAGGGTCTCAGTGGGAGATCATTTGAATCATGGGGGCAGATTCCCCCATACTGTTCTCGTGGTAGTGAATATGTCTCACGAGATCTGATGGTTTTATCAGGGGTTTCCGCTTTTGCATCTTCCTCATTTTTCCCTTGCCACCCGCCATGATTCTGAGGCCTCCCCAGCCATGTGGAACTCTAAGTCCAATTAAACCTCTTTTTCTTCCCAGTCTCAGGTATGTCTTTATCAGCAATGTGAAAATGGACTAATACAAGATATTTGATTTGCAAATATTTTCTTCCATTCTGTGGGTTTTTTTCCTCCACTCTCAAGTCCTTTGATGCACAAAAGTTTTACATTTTGATAACGCCCCATTTATCTTTTTCTTTTGTTGTCTGTGAAGGTCAGTCTTTGGCAATTTGAACACATACGTAGTACTATCTTATTGTGGTTATACTTTGCATTTCCTTCACGGCTAATAATGCTTAAAATATTTTCATGTGCTTTTTTTTTTTTCTCCTATGTATCTTCTTTGGTGAAATATCTGTTGAAATGATTTGCCCAGTTTTCAAAACTGGGCTGTTTATCTTCTTCTTATTGCATTTGAGAGTTGTTTATATATTCTGGGTGCAAATCCTTTTTTTAAAAGGCTAGTCAAGTGAAGCAGTAAGAGTGGAGAAGGAACAAAGGAATCTGTAACTGGTTATGATCAATTAGTTGTGAATATCACTGCACTCGGACTACCATGGAAGCAAATCCTGTATCATGTGATTTGCAAGTATTTTCTTCAAGTCTGTGGTGGTTTGTTTTCATTTTTTAAAGTGTCTTTTTTTTTTTTTGAGACAGAGTCTCACTCTGTCACCCAGGCTGGAGTGCAATGGCACCATGTCAGCTCACTGCAACCTCCACTTCCCAGGTTCAACTGATTCTTTTGCTTCAGCCTCCGAAGTAGCTGGGATTACAGGCGTGCACCACCATACCTGGCTAATTTTTGTATTTTTCGTAGAGATGGGGTTTCACCATGTTGGCCAGGCTGGTCTTGAACTCCTGACCTCAGGTGATCTGCCTGCCTCAGCCTCCCAAAGTGCTGGGATTACAGGCATGAGCCACCGCACCCAGCCTGAAGTGTCTTTCAAAGAGCAGAAGTACTTAATTATGATGAAGTCCAATTTATCCATTTTTTTCTCATATTGATTTTGCTTTTGGCATGGTATGTAAGAAATCTTTGTCTAATCTAAAGTCACAGAGATCTCCTATAATTTCTTCTGGAAATTTAATAATTCTAGATTGTACATTTAGGTCTACAATCCATTTTTGTGTTAACTTTTGTATATAATGATGGGTGTGGATAGAGGTTCATTTTATTATTTATGGATAATTGTTTTAGAATCATTGTTGAAAAGACAGTTCACTTCTGACCATTTAATGATACTTCCTTATTATAGGAAAAATTCATTTTAATCGCATAAGTTGGAGATGAATATGTTCTTGTAAAATATAAAATCATTTTTGACCACTTTCACAGCCGATCGTGCTTTCTCCTGCACGTCCTATCAGGTAACAACTCTAACAACATCCCTATGAAGTGAATCTTTCCGGATTTTTTTCTATGCATGGATATATGTATCCATATATACAATATTGTACATTTTATTTTGTTTAGATAGGATCACCCCATATGTATTATTCTGCAACTATGTTTTTGTTACATAATAGCACCTCTCAGAGATCTTTCCTTGTCAAAACATAGAGATCTACTTAATTCTGTTTAGCTGTTTCGTAGTACTGTATTCCATAGTACCACTATATCTTACTTTGTTTTACCGTCTCCTTTTTAAAAACATTTTTATTTTTTTTGAGATGGAGTCTTGTTCTGTCACCTAGGCTGGAGTGCAGTGGCGCGATCTTGGCTCACAGCAACCTCTGCCTCCTGGGTTCAAGCGATTCTCCTGCCTCAGCCTCCCCAGTAGCTCCTGGCTAATTTTTGTGTTTTAGTAGAGACAGGGTTTCACCATGTTGCCCAGGCTGGTCTCGAACTCCTGAGTTCAGGCAACCCACCTGCCTTGGACTCCCAGTGTTAGGATTACAGGCGTGAGCCACCGCACCTGGCCCCATCTCCTTATTGATGGATATCTAGGTTATTTCCTTTTTTTTTTTTTTTTTTTTTTTGAGACGGAGTCTCCCTGTCGCCCAAGCTGGAGTGCAGTGGCGCGATCTCGGCTCACTGCAGGCTCCGCCCCCCGGGGTTCACGCCATTCTCCTGCCTCAGCCTCCCGAGTAGCTGGGGCTACAGGCGCCCGCTACCTCGCCCGGCTAATTTTTTGTATTTTTAGTAGAGACAGGGTTTCACTGTGTTAGCCAGGATGGTCTCGATCTCCTGACCACGTGATCCACCCGCCTCCGCCTCCCAAAGTGCTGGGATTACAGGCGTGAGCCACCGCGCCCGGCCCTTTTTTTTCTACTATTATAAACAATGCTGAACATCTCTGAGTCTACTTTTGGTGCACATGTGCAAGTGTTTCTCTAGGTAGATACTGAAAAGTGAGATTTATGCAGCAAACACATTTATAACATTTTAATGCTAAGTGCTGTTTTTAAATGTTTTACGTATGTTCATTCATTTAATCTTCACAGCAACCTCATGGTTTTGTCCTTGAGGACAGATGAGGAAACTAAGGCGCAGAGAAGCAACTTGTCAGAGGTCACACAGCTAGTCAATAGCAAGGTCAGGATTTGAACCCAGATAGACAGGCTCTAGAGTGAAGTTTGCTGGGTTATAGGGCATAGGCATTTTAATTTTTTTTTTTTTTGAGACAGCATATTGCTCTGTTGCCCAGGCTGGAGTGCAGTGGCGTGATCTCAGATCACTGCAACCTCCACCTCCCAGGTTCAAGCAGTTCTCGTGCCTCAGTCTCCTGAGTAGTTAGGATTACAGGCATGCACCCCATGCCTGGCTAATTTTTGTATTTTTAGTATAGACCGGGTTTTGCCATGTTGGCCAGACTGATCTCGAACTCCTGACTGCAAGTGATCCACCTGTCTCTCTTCCCAAAGCGCTGGGATTACAGGCGTGAGCCACCGCGCCCGGCTGGCATTTTTAATTTTAAAGGACCTGCCAAATTGACCTCTAAAGAGGCTGTAATAAGTTGCACTCTCACGAGCAGTGTATGAGAGTATTAATTTCCCTTCACCCTCTCCAACAATTTAATCTTTTAAAATAGCATTTTTTGTGGTTATTAATAACAATGTGTAATGACACTAATATTTTTGCACTTGATCTTAACCAAAAGGCTGAGAAGTGATACACTAATATTTTTGAACTCTTACTACATCCTAGCTAAAGTTTCTATGCTTTCTCTTTCATCTCACTTTGCTTTACTTTTCCTCATACTACAATCTGCTGATATATATTAATTTCTATCTTTGTTTATTTCCTCTCTTACCCATTAGAATGTCAGCTCTATAAGAGCAAAGATTTTGGGCCAGGCACGAGGGCTCACATCTGTAATCCAGCACTTTGGGAGGCTGAGGCAGGAGGATTGTTTGAGTTCAGGAGTTCAAGACCAGCCTTGGCAACATGGTGAAACCTCATCTACACTAAAAATACAAAAAATTAACCAGGCATGGCAGTGTGTGCCTGTAGTCCCTGCTACATTGGAGGCTGAAGTGAGAGGATCCCTTGAGCCTGTGAGGTTGAGGCTGCAGTGAGCCATGATTGCTCCAGCCTGGGTGACAGAGCAAGACCCTATCTCAAAAAAAAAAAAAAAAAAAGATTTTGTTTGTCTTGTTCACTGCTATCCTCGGCACCTGGAACTAAATGTTTATTGACTAACTGAATAAATGAATTTGAAAACCATTTTACACATGAGGAAATCAAGGCTCAGAGAGATTAAGCAACTCACCCAAAGTCACACTAGCACATGGTGGAGCTGAGTTTAGAAGCCAATGTAGTTCCAGGGCTTATTTGTGCTCTTAACCATTTAGTCTCCAGTTGATATGGTTTGGCTGTGTCACCACCCAAATCTCAACTTTAATTGTATCTTCCAGAATTCTCACATGTTGTGGGAGGGACCCAGGGGGAGGTAACTGAATCATGGGGGCCAGTCTTTCCCGTGCTATTCTCGTGATAGTGGGTAAGTTTCAGGAGATCCAATGGGTTTATCAGGGGTTTCTGCTTTTGCTTCTTCCTCATTTTCTCTTGCTGCTGCCATCTAAGAAGTGCCTTTTGCCTTCTGCCATGAATCTGAGGCCTCCCAAGCCATGTGTAACTGTAAGTCCAATTAAACCTCTTTTTCTTCCCAGTCTTGGGTATGCCTTTATTAGCAGCGTGAAAACGATCTAATAGGCCGGGCGCGGTGGCTCACGCCTGTAATCCCAGCACTTTGGGAGGCCGAGACGGGCGGATCACGAGGTCAGGAGATCGAGACCATCCTGGCTAACACGGTGAAACCCTGTCTCTACTAAAAATACAAAGAATTAGCCGGGCGTGGTGGCGGGTGCCTGTAGTCCCAGCTACTCAGGAGGCAGAGGCAGGAGAATGGCGTGAACCCAGGAGGCAGAGCTTGCAGTGACCCGAGATCACGCCACTGCACACCAGCCTGGGCAACACAGTGAGACTCTGTCTCAAAAAAAAAAAAAAAAAAAAAAAAAAGGAACCGAACTAATACACCTGTGATCTGTTTTCCACTCCTATAATTACGCTATTTCATGAATGTTACATAAACAAAGTCATAAAATATGTCTCCTTTAGATTTTGGCTGGTTTTTACTCAGGATAATTTCCTTTATGTTAATTCTTTTTTTATCGCTGAATAGTATTCCATGGTATGGCTGTACCACCATTTGTGTGACCCATGGAAGCATATCTGGGTGGTCTCCAGTTTGGGACTCTTAGGAATAAAGATGCTAGGAACATTTGTGTACAGGTTTTTGTGTAGACATAAGTTTTTATTTCACTGAGGTCAGTGTCCAAGAGTGTAATTTCTGGATTGTATGGTAAGTGCATGTTTAGTTTTATAAATAACTGCCAAATTCTATGCCACAGTGGCTGTACCATTTCACATTCCTACTGGTAATGTACAGGTCATCCAATTTCTCTGCATCCTTGCCAGCATCTGGTGTTGTCAGTACTTTTTATTTTAGCCATTCTGATAAGTGTGTAGTGATATATTATTGTGGTTTTATCTCCCTAATAGCTACATGGTGTTGAACACCTTTTCATATACTTATTTGCTATCTATATATCCTCTTCAGTGAAATGTCTGTGCATGTGTTTTGCCCATTTTCTAAATGGATTTTTTTTTTTTTTTGAGACAGGGTCTTGCTCTGTTCCCCAGGCTGGAGTGCAGTGGCACAATTATGGCTCACTGCAGTCTCAAACTCCTGGACTCAATCAGTCCTCCCATCTCAGCTAGAACTACAGGTGTGCACCACCATGCCTGGCTAATTATTTTTATTTAAAAAAAAATTTGTAGAGACAGAGTCTTGCTATGTTGCGCAGGCTGGTCTTGAGCTCCTGGCCTCAAGCAATCCTCCCACCTTGACCTCCCAAAGTGCTAGGATTACAGGCATTTCCGGCCCCCTCCTCCTTTAAATTGCTTTTGCATCTTTGTAAAAAATCATTTAGTTATACTTATGCGAGTCTATTTCTGGGATCTCTATTCTGTTCCATTGAACTATGTCTCTCCTTCCACCAGTATCACATTTATTGTAGCTACATAGTAAGCCTGAGCATGGACTAGAGTGATTCCTCCCACTTTATTCTTCTCTAACAAAATTGTCTTAGCCACTCTAGTTCCTTTGCCTTTCCATAGAAATTTTAGAATAAGCTTGTGTATGTCTACAAAGAACCTTGCTGAGA
Organism: Homo sapiens; assembly: GCF_000001405.40. Lineage (NCBI taxonomy): Eukaryota > Metazoa > Chordata > Mammalia > Primates > Hominidae > Homo > Homo sapiens. The sequence continues at coordinate 72,290,160 of NC_000023.11, forward strand.
GTTTCATAGAAATTGCATTAAACCTATGGATCATTTCAGGTGTTCTTTGAATTTTTTTCTTCGGCATTTTATAATTTTCAGCAAACAGACCCTGACCAGGTTTTATACATAAGTATACATACATTTTTAGTGATGGTGAATGGTATCATGTTTTTATTTTGTTTTTTATGTGTTCATTGATAGTACAGGAATATAGAAATGTGATTGCTTTTTGTGTGTTGATCTTGTATCTTTTGACCTTGCTGAACTCACTTATTAGTTCTAACAGTGTTTTTGTAGATTCCTTGGGATTTTCTACATAGAGCATCATGTCTATCTGCAAATAGAGAAAGTTTTCTTTCTGATCTGTATAACTTTTATTTCCTTTTTTTACCTTACCGCAGCAGCTGGGACTTCTAGTACTAGGCTGAATAAGAATGATGAGAGTGTATGTTCTTATCTTGTTCCCAATCTTGGAGGAAAAACATTTTGTTTTTCTTCATTGAGTATGATGCTGCCTGTGGGGTTTTTTTGTTTGTTTGTTTGTTAGTTTTTGGAGATGGTTTTTATGAGACTGAAGAAATTCCCCTCTATTGCTGGTGTATTGAGAGGTGTTTTGGTTTTTTTTTTTTTTTTTTTTTTTTTTTTTGAGACAGAGTCTCATGTTGTCGCCCAGGCTAGAGTGCAGTGGTGCAATTTCAGTTCATTGCAACCTCCCCCTCCCAGGTTCAAGTGATTCTCCTGCCTCAGCCACCTGAGTAGCAGGGATTACAGGCACCCGCCACCATGCCTGGCTAATTTTTATATTTTTAGTAGAGACGGGGTTTCACTATGTTGGCCAGGCTGGTCTCAAACTCTGAACCTCAAGAGATCCGCCCACCTTGGCCTCCCAAAGTGCTGGGATTATAGGCAAGAGCCACTGTGACTGGCCTGTATTGAGAGCTTTTTTTTTTTTTTTTTTTTTTGAGGTGGAGTCTTGCTCCATCTGGAGTGCAGTGCGTGGCTCGATCTCAGCTCACCGCAACCTCCACCTCCTGGCTTCAAGTGATTCTCCTGCCTCTGCCTCCCGAGTAGCTGGGATTATAGGTGTGCATGCCACCACTCCCAGCTAATTTTTGTATTTTTAGTAGAGATGGGGTTTCACCATGTTGGCCAGACTGGTCTCAAACTCCTGACCTCAAGTTATCCGCCCGCCTCAGCCTTCCAAAGTGCTGGGATTACAGGTGTGAGCCACCACACCCCGCCTATTGAGAGTTTTAATCATGATCTGGTGTTGAATTTTGTCAAATGCTTTTTCTGCATTAATTGATATAATCATGTGGTTTTTCTTCTTTAGCCTGTTGATATAGTAAATTATTTCCATTGAGTTTTGAATTTTTTTTGTATTTTGAGACACGGGTGTTTTTTGTTTTTTGAGACCTCTGGTACCCAGGCTGGAGTGCAATGATGCAACCACAGCTTACTGCAGCCTCAAAATCTTGGGCTCAAGTGATCCTCCCGTCTCAGCCTCCCAAGTAGCTGGGACTACAGGCACCAGACCATCACGCCTGGCTAATTTTTCTGATTTGTTATAGAGACGAGGTCTCACCATGTTGCCCAGGCTGGTCTTGAACTCCTGGCCTCAAGTGATCTTCTGGCCTTAGCCTCCTAAAATGCTGGGATTACAGGCATGAGCTACCATGCCTGGCCTCGTTTTGAATGTTGAACCAACCCTGCATATCTAGAATAAACCCCACTTGGTCATGGTACATTATTCTTTTTATATATTGTTGGATTGGATTTGATCAAATTTTGTTTAGAATTTTTGCATCTAAATTCAGGAGAGAGAGTGGTCTGTAGTTATATTGTTTTGTATGTTGTTTTTGTCTGGTTTTGATATCAGGATAATACTTGGGAAGCATTCCCTCTTCTTTTGTGTAAAATTGGTCCTAATCCTTCTTAGAATATTTCATAAAATTCCCCAGTGAAAAAATTTTGGCCTAGAGATTTCTTTTCTGAAAGCTCTTTAATTATACAAATCCAATTTATTTAATGGTTGTAGAATTATTCAGATTATCTATTTCATCTCGGTAGAGTTTTGGGTTTTGAAGAATTGATTCATTTCTTTTAAGTTGTTGAATTTATTAGCACAGGAGTGTTTGTGGTATTTCCTTATGATTCCTTTAATAGCTGTAGGATCTGTAGTGATAGCCTCTCTTTCATTTCTGATGTTGGTAATTTGTGTTTTCTCTTTTTATTTCTGTCAGTCTTGCTAGAAGTTTGTCAGTTTTATTGACTTTTTTTCTGAAGAACCAGCTTTTTGCTTCATTGATTTTCTTTACTGTTTTCCTGCTTTCAATTTCATTTATTTCTGCTCTTATCTTTATTGTTTCCCCCTTTTCTAGTTGGTTTTGGTTTATTTTGCACTTTTTTTCTTGTTTTTTTTACGTAAGAATTTAGATTATTGACTGGACTTTTCTGGTTTTTGTTTTCTTTTTGTTTTTTGTAGAGATGGGGTCTCTTTATGCTGCCTAAGCTTGTCTCAAACTCCTGGGATCAAGTGATCCTCCTGTCTTTGAGTCCCAAAGTGCTGGGATTACAGGGGTGAGCCATTGCTCCTGGTCCCTTTTCTGTTTTCGAAATGTAAGCATTTGGTGCTATAAACTTCTCTGCTTTACCTGCATTCCACAAGTTTTGATATGTCGTATTTTCATTGTCATTCAGTTCAATATATTTTTTAGAAATTTCCTTTGAGACTTCCTTTTTGACCCATGGATTATTTAGAAATATGCTGTTCAGTTTTCAAGTTTTAAAAGACTTTTTTGTTATCTTTGTTATTGATTTCTAGCTTGATTCCATTATAGCCAGAGAATACATTCTGTATGATTTCACTTCTTTTAAATGTATTAAGGTTTGTTTCTGAACCCGCATATGATCCATCTTGGTCAGTGCTCCATGAATACTTGGAAAGAACGTGTATTTTCTGTTGCTGGATAAAGTATTCTATAAATGTCAATTAGATCCTCTTGGTTGATGGTTTTGTTGAGTTCTTCTATATCCTTGCTGAATTTGTCTAGTCATTTTACCAATTGCTGAGAGAGGGAGTTGAGCCCTCCAACTCTAACTGGGGATCTATCTATTTTGTTGTTCAGCTCTCTTGGTTTTCGCTTCATGTATTTTGAAGCTCTGTTGTTTGACGCAAACACTTAGGATTGCTACGTCTTTTTGGTGGATTGATCCTTTAAACACGTCTCTTTTGTCCTTAGTAACTTTCTTTGCTCTGAAGTCTATTTTATCTGATATTAATATAATCATTTTTGCTTTTTAAAATTAATGTTTGTATGATATATCATTTTTCCATCCTTGTGCTTTCAACCTACCTATGTTGGCATGTTTGAAGTGAGTTTTCTGTAGACAGCGTATAGTTGAGTTGTGCTTTTTAGACTTTTTTCTTTTTTTTTTTCAGAGATGGTGTCTCGCTATGTTGCCTAGGCTAGGCTTGAACTCCTCCTTCCTCAGCTGGAATTACAGATGCGCACGACCACACCCAGCTGGGTCGGGCTTTTTTTTTTTTTGGGAGACACTCTCACTTTGCCACCCAGGCTGGAGTGCAGTGGTGCGGTCTTGGCTCACTGCAACCTCAGCCTTCTGGGTTCAAGTGATTCTCCCGCCTCAGCCACCCGAGTAGCTGGGATTACAGGTGTGTGCAACCATGCCCAGATAATTTTTGTATTTTTAGTAGAGATGGGGTTTTGCCATGTTGGGCAGGCTGGTCTCAAACTCCTGGCCTCATGTGATCCACCCCCGTCGACCTCCCAAAGTGCTGAGATTACAGGTGTGAGCCACCATGCCCGGCCAGGGTTGTGCTCTTTTAAATTCACTCTGCACCAGGTGCGGTGGCTCATGCCTATAATCCCAGCACTTTGGGAGGCTGAGGTGGGTGGATCACCTGAGGTCAGGGGTTCAAGACAAGCCTGACCAATACGGGGAAACCCCGTCTCTACTAAAAATACAAAAAATTAGCCGGTCGTGGTGGCGGGCGCCTGTAGTCCCAGCTACTCCGGAGGCTGAGGCAGGAGAATGGCATGAACCCGGGAGGCGGAGCTTGCAGTGAGCCGAGATCGCGCCACTGCACTCCAGCCTGGGTGACAGAGCGAGACTCCGTCTCAAAACAAAAAACAAAGAACAAAAATTAGCCGGGCATGATGGCATGTACCTGTAGTCCCAGCTACTAGGGAGGCTGAGACAGGAGAATTGCTTGAACCCGGGAGGCAGAGGTTGCAGTGAGCCGAGATCATGCCACTGCACTCCAGCCTGGGCGACAGAGTGTGATTCCAACTCAAAAAAAAAAAAAAAAATGCACTCTGCTTATCTCTTTCTTTTAATTGGTATATTTAGTCCATTAACATTGAAGGTAATTTTTATTATGTCAGGGATTCAGTCTGCCATTTTATATTATTTGTTTTTTGTTTGTTCTTTTTTTCATTCTGCTTATTTTTGCTTGCCTTCCTGTAATATATTTTAGAATTTCATTTGGATTTATTTATACTGATTCTGAATATATTACTTCGTATAGTTTTCCTAGTGGTTGCTATAGGTATTACCATATATATATATGTGTGTGTACATATATATGTACACACACACACACATAATTTATCATAGCCAAGTGGTGTTCAAATGAGTTCAGATTGAGTAAATTCTATTGATCTGTCTTCAAGTTTACAGAATCTGTCCTCTGTCATCTCCACTCTATTATTGAGTCCATCCAGTGAGTTTTAAAATTTCAGTTATTTTTTTCATTCCATTATTCCTTTTAGTTTTTTTTTTTTTTTTTTTTTTTTTGAGAGAGAGAGGGTCTCACTCTGTCGCCCAGGCTGGAGTGCAGTGGGGTGATATCGGTTCATTGCAACCTCCACCTCCTGGACTCCTCCCACCTCAGCCTCCTGAGTAGCTGGGACCACAGGCATGCACCACCATGTTTGGCTAATTTTTGTATTAATTTTGTATATAAATTTTATAGAGTTGCATTTTGTATTTCTTTGTAGTTGCATTTTGTATTAATTTTTGTAGCTGCATTTTGTATTAATTTTTGTAGCTGCATTTTGTATTAATTTTGTATATAAATTTAATTAATTTTGTATATAAATGTTGTAGAGTTGCATTTTGTATTTTTTTGTAGAGACAGGGCTTCACCATGTTGTCCAGGCTGAGTTCTATTTTAAAGTATCTATTTCTTTGCTGAGATTTTCAATTTTTCATTTATTTCAAATGAATTTGTAATTGATTGTTGAGAAGCTTAAAGGCCCTTGTCAGATAATTCCAGCATTTGATTCATCTTGATGTTGGTATCAGTTGACTGTCTTTTCTCATTCAAACTGTGGTTTTGCTGGCTCTTGTTATGATGAGTGATTTTCGATTAGTATCCTGAACATTTTGGTATTAGCAGGTAGTTACCCTACTTAGCATGTAGGTTCTGGTCTACTTTAGTGGGCCAGTGACAGTTTAGTCATTGGCCAATGACAGTTTAGTTTTCTGAGCCCATGCAATGTTACTTTGGTCGGCTTGATTTTTCTGCTATTCCTGGGGTTTCTGCTCAATCCTTGCTGGTTCTGTCTACAGGGGCAGAAGGTCCTTCCTTCTTTGAGCTGCATATTTTTGGTGGGTGATCTTCCAGGGGAGAGAGTTGCTGAAGCCACTGTGTGTGAGTCTCCTTATGCCATTGGGTGGAGGGAAAGGAGACACAGGGCTTTGTTCCTGCTACCTATGCAGGCAAATTGGGTTGCCTGCTGGTACCCCAGTTCTGGAGGGAGCCACTGAGACAGCCCAGGACTTTGCTTGCTGCTACAAGTAGATTGGACCACTTTCTGGGGGCTTTAGTTGTGGAGCAGGGCTTAGATCTCCCCACTAGGTGTGTGTCTGGCTTCATCTTTCCCCGTCCTTTGTGTGTGCATGCGTGCATGCTTGCACGTGTGTGTGCGTGCGTGCATGTGTGTGTGTGTGTATGACTGTTGGTTTTAGGTTGCATGCCTCTTTGGCACCCAGTCTAGGAGTATACAGGAGATAAAAAGAAAACTGAGGAAGCTCACCATGTCCTGAAGTTCCTGACCTGTCTGTCTTCTTTCCTGCTTTCAGTGTCCTTTTATCATTGCTTATTGAATAATTTCTAGGGTATAGAGTTGCATTTGAAGGAGAGGAGCAGTCATTTTGTTCCAGAATCAGAAGCCCCTAGTGTAGTTTTAAATTACATTTCTTGTAGTGTGAGTGAGGTTGAGCATCTTTTGATAAGTTTTTAAACCATTTTAATTTCTTTTTCTCTATTTCATTTTCTGTGAACTGTTAATATCATTTGCCTATTTTCACATTGGGCTGGGGGTCTTTGATGTATTGATTTGTAAGAGTTGTTTTCGTATTCACTAGGAATTGCAGATATTTTCTCTTTTTATCTCAGTTTATCTTTTGACTTTGACTTTGACTTTGTTTATGGTATGATTTTTGCTTTGCAGGTTTTTTTGTTTGTTTGTTTATTTGTTTTTTTGAGACAAAGTCTCACTCTGTTGCCCAGGCTGGAGTGCAGTGGCATGGTCATGACTCACTGCAGCCTCAACTTCCTAGGTCCAAGTGATCCTCTTGCCTCAGCCTCCCAAGTAGTTGGCACCACAGGTGTGCGCCACCATGCCCAGCAAATTTTAAATTTTTTGTAGAGACAGGATCTCCCTATGTTGCTTAGGTTGGCCTTGAACTCCCAGGCTCAAGCAATCCTTTCACCTTGGCCTCCCAAAGTGTTGGGATTACAGTTGTAAGCCACCATGCCTGGCCTATTTTTTTAAATGCAGTTAAATATATCAGCCTCTTCCATAGCTTCTGGGTTTTGTGTCATTCTTAGAATGGCCTCCCTATTTCAAAATTTTATTTTTAAAAATCTCCTTTTTGGTCTTCTACTACTTTCATGATTTTAATTTTTATTTTTAAATCTTTGGCTTATCTGGAATTCATTTTGGTGTAAGTTTGGGTTAGTGTATCCAGTTGTCCCAAAGCGTTTATTGAGTAATCCATTATTTCCTCACTGCTTTGGAATGCTAATTCTTGTTTTTTTTTTTATTTTTAATTGTGGTTAAAACCACAACATAAAATTTACCATCTTAACCATTTTTATGTGTACAATTTAGTAGTGTTAAGTATATTCACATTGCTGTGCAACAGATTTCTAGAACTCTTTCATCTTGCAGAACTGAAACTCTATACCCATTAAACAACAACTCTCCATTGAAATGTTACCATTTTATCATAAACTAATTTCCCATCTTCTTTATTCTTCCTGGACCACTGTCACAGCTTTCTAGAATCACCATAATTCCAATTTGTCATGCACACCATTGCCCGATTAATTTTCCTCATGCAAGCTCTGACCTCAACTCTTCTTCATTTAAAACCTTCAGAGGCCCTCTCTGACACTGCAATTGAGATTAAACCCCCATGATACCCTTTCATTGTGCCCTGTACCTTTTCTTCCTATCACTTCTCATGATTTGTAATTTTAATTATCTGCATGATCACTTGACTACTGGCTATCTCCTTGCTAAACTTGAAGTTTCATGAGAGCAAGGACAATGTGCTTACCACATATTCCCAGTGCTTAGCATTGTTCCTGGCACAAAGTAGGTGCTCAGTCCTTATTTGTGGAATGAGAGATTGTCCCTTACCTGTGGAATAAAGTATTAACAACTGCAGGATCTGATTTTACCCTACCTCCTCTCGGTCCTCTGCTCTTTGAGGAAGTCAAGCTGTGGGACTTCCTTGACAGAGGCTTGGGTTTTCTAACATTTTGTTCTGGTTTACATCATGCCCTGATTTTATCTTTGTATTTGTGCTCCAATTGCCCCCTCATCCTGGAGGCCATGCCATCCACTCAAGCCCCCACCAGCATTGCTGCTTGATGGAAATACAGTTCATCTTTCAAGGCTATGGCTATCTCCACCACTGAGCTATGAGTTCCTGGAATGCAGGAACGGGGTTCTCTCTAGTTTGTCCCTAGGGAGCAGCACTGCTCCTGGGCTCTAGGAGGTGCTCTTGGCTACACATTTGTTCTGAGCAGCAAGCTCCTTGCGGGTAGATAGTGTTCTTTACTTGTGTACATCTGGGTACCTTGCCTCCTAGCCCCCAGGGCCTATTCCAGGCCAGGACTTGGAGTTGGCTTCAGGAATCTTCTAGTAACCTAATGAATGACTGCGTCTGGTGTGAATATGACCTCTATGGCAAGGACTGAGACTTGCCTGCCTTTCTTCCACTGTGCCTTGTGGGTTCCCTTACTCCCTCTCCTTCTCTAGCAATAAAGTTACTGACCCATGCCCTCCACATCTGCCCCTGTGCAGGGCCTTGACTCTCCCTTCAGGATGTCCCATGTCTTCTCCCTCCAAGCTCTCTGGAGAGGAGGCTGCTCCGTTGGCCACATTTCTGGCCACTGGCACCAGGAGGCAGGGTTGCCATGCCAAAGTTCCTGCTCTCCCTCCCCATTCAGAAGCACCTTCTCTAGGTTTGATGGGTAATTTTGTATGTCAATTTGACTGGGCTAAGGACATTGATTGCTGATCAAACATTTCTGTGTGTGTCTGAGAGGGTGTTTCTAGAAGAGATGAGCATGTGAATGGGTAGACTGAGGACAGAAGATCACCCTCAGCAATGTGGGTAGGCATCATCTGATCTGTTGAGGGCCCAAGTAGAACAAAAAGACAGAATAAGGGTGAATTTCTTTCTGTCTAAGCTGGGACATCATTTTCTCCTGTCGTTGGACCTCTGTGCTCCTGTTTCTCAAGCCTTCAGACTCAGACCAAGGCTTACACCATTACTATCCTCCACCTTTTCAGGCCTTCAGACTCCGATGAATTACACCACTGGCTTGCCTGGTTCTCCAGCTTGCAGACAGAAGACTGTGGGACTTCTCAGCCTCTATAATCTTGTGAGCCAACATATGTATATCTGTATATCTCTATCCTATTTGTTCTGTTTCTCTGTAGACTCTGGTTAATATACTAGAGATGCTCAGGCCATTCCCCACCATCATCTGCCTCCCAGCCACACTCCTGTCACTCCCATGATTCCAAAGCAGCCCATCCCCCTCCTGAAGGCACTGGCCCCTGGCTCAAGCTTCTCTCCACCCCAAGGGCTACTGCCATCCTGGGGGTCCCAGAGCTTATACTCATAGAGATTAGGGGTGGCAAGCTGGGGATCAGGCGCTGAATGCAGCCTCCTGACCTGTTTAGTTTGGCCAGAAGTGCGTTTTTTGAAGGCCCCAGCAGGGGAGGGACCCTGGGATCCTCTAGCCTTTCAGAGTTCGGCTCCATCCACATCCTGTCATTCTGCTTTAGCTGCCATGCCTGTGTCCACACTGCCCTTGTGTTGCTAGGAGCTGTGCAGATTCTGAGACCCTCCTTCACCTCCCTTCCTAGCTCCCCCAATCTTGCCCATGTGCAATAGATAGATAGGGCCGAAGAAGGATCCTATGACCTGGGAAGTCAGGTCCCTCCTTCCTCTCCCTTCCTAGCTCCCCCAATCCAGTTCCTGTGTTCTCCTCAGAGACCCAAGGCCCTCAAGCCTGCTCTGCTCTCCCCACCTTCTTCCAGCCTTCGTTTCTTCCTTTTCCGTTTTCCTACCCTTGCCTCATCAGCCCCCTCAAAACCCCATGTCTCCCTGTTCCCAGCCTTAGATGAATCTAACCATCTACCTTTATTGAAATCATCTTAAAAACAAGATGTTAAAAGTTGGTTAATTATTTGCTTTCCTACAAACCTCCAGAGATTCTTCCAGAGCCACAGGACTGGTGGCACTAAGGCGAAGGCTTGTTTCCAGAAGGCCCTATGGACTCTGCCTTTTGTGAACTTCTCCAACCTCATCTCCTCCCGTCCCCTCTGCCAGCCCTGTGACATAGCCTGCATGCTGAACTCCTGGTTTTCAGCCACTGTCACCCCTCTCATGCACCTGTGCCTGTTTAACAGCTGTTCCCCTCACTCATTCTTCCCTTGGCTGATTCAAGTCTTATTTCGAAAGCCAAAACTTTCTTCTGGTGGATCTACCTTTATGTAAGGACAGAGAGCAAGGCCAGCAAGGATGCACCACAAACAGATAAACAGTTGCTACCTCCGTGGAGAACCAGAGGCAATCAGGATTGAGGGGGAGATTTGGTCAAAGGGTACTTTAGCCTTATCTGCAAAGCTTCTACTTTTTACAAGGAGATTGGATAATGGATTTATTGCTTGTGAAATATGAAAACAAATAAAGCAGTTCAATACAAGGAGCCTTCCCCAGACTTCCCAGGCAGATGGAGCTGTTTCCTTTTCTGGGATTGAATAGCACCTTCCCCCTCTGTTCTAGGAAATGCTGTTTTATTATAATTTGTTTGTGCCTGTCTTTCTCCTTCTGAGATGAGGAACTCCCTCAAAGGTAAACTTCATCTAATTCATGCTCCCAGTGTCTAGCAAAGTGCCTGGCCCAGAGCAGGTGCTCAGGGAGTGCTGAATCCAATCAACGCCCCTGCTAGCACACTCTTTTGAAAGTGCTTGCTAGGGGGCAGGCCTGATGCTAGTCCTGAGAGGCTGATTAGAGTCGTTTTCAGCATTCAAGGAAGAAGGCTGTCTGGGAGTCCGAAACATGGACAGAGTGTCCAGGACATTGGGTTGTATCAACATGAGGACAAGGCTTTATCAGTGTATCACAAGGCCAGGATCCAGTGCAGTGCCACTGCCTTGCCACTTGGCATGCTTCTGAAGCCACTGCTTCCTCAGCAGTTAATTGAAAGGCAAGGGATAGATCGCCAAATGTTGAACTTGTCAAGCCTAGTTCTGATCTGTATCTCTAAGATGGAGAGGCCAGCTCAAACAGGGTGGGTCAGGAAGGTAGGAGTTAGGGACACTCAAGACCAGCTCAGAGTGTCCCAGGCTGGGAGGACTGAGCAGCTATGTGAGGAACCTGGAGAAGGCACCTCAAACCCCAGTTTAATGATGGGAGTCTCTTGCTTTTGCAATTTTCCAGAGAAATCTGAGCTCCCAGGTCACAGGATCCTTCTTCAGCCCTATCTATCTATTGCACATGGGCAAGAGGGCAAAGGAAAGGCCTTAATGGGTCAGTTGGATTGGGGCTAGAGAGTGGGTGGGGGTGGCTTTTACAGTTGGTGAAGTGTGTGCCACGTGGCCAGGAATGTGCCTTTAGACTTGGATGTGCATGTAGCAAGGAGGCTGCACAAAGGTCTGATCAGTCTCTCTTCCAAGAAAGCCCCCAACCAGCCCCTGTATGCCATGGTGTTCCTGGAGTCTTAGGGCAATGAGACCAGGTACTCCTGAGGAGATAGCCACAGTGGTGCTGGCAGCAGGAATTCAGTGAACAGCCCCCTTCACCCTCCCTTCTCCTTCCATCCCATCCAGCTCCTTCCCAGCTAGCCACTCACAACCCCGCCATGGGCCTCAGAATTGCTAAAGGGACATCAGACCATACTACACATCATTAGATCTCAATGAAGAACACCTCTAGTTGGCCCGTCTCTTTGTAAGTAACTTTATTTTTATTTACAACAGAATTGGTGGCTTTATTCCTCCATCTTTAGGGACACTTGGCATTAGCAGCTAGATGGAAAGTCCGCAGTGAAGTCAAACTCATTCTGCCCCAGCCACAGCTCCGGAAGCTCATTGGCTCGGTCCAACCCCAGTTCCACCACCAGCGACATCAGCACTTCCTCATCCACTGGGTCCGAATCGATGATAGCAGGGCTCTGGGCACCAGCAGAAGGAGAGAGTGATTCTGCCCCTCCCGCCTGGGCCCCAAAGTCCCAGTTTTGCAGGGGTCCTGCCTCCCCGGGTTGGCCTGGAGTGGCAGCAGCCATCCCCTGATACTGGCTATTAAGTTTCTGCAGGTGCATACTAGCCAGCAAGTGAGGGGCGGGGTGCAGGTTGAAGGATGGGGGTTTAGTGGGAGGGGTGGTTGTAGGAGAGCCTATTGGAGATCCCGAGGAACTAGTGGGAGCCCCACTGGCCTTGGTTCCATTTGAGGCTACCCCAGGGTAGTGCAGAATGGCCACTGCTTTGCGATCTTTCACCGCAAGGTTGGAGTAGGCCACGGAGCTCATCTCTTGGTTGGCATCCTAGAAGACAGAGAAAAGCACACCATAGTAACCCTGCTCCTGGCTTGTCCTTCACCATTCAGCAGATTTAGAAGGTTCCTACCTGCACTTCATTTGGGACTAGAGGTGGAGAGGTAGCAAGACGACCCCCTTGAAAATTAGGCTCCCACCTCAAGCATCCTTTTGCTGCCATGGCTCTGAGCACTGAGGCCAGAGCCCAGTTACAGTGCTGGAGCACCTGCCATCCTAAGTGGGTTCACTGCTTTCAGCTCCTTCCCCATAGCCTCCACCTCACCATCCTAAAAAGGGCACCTCCTGTCCCTCTTCTCAGCCTCACTTTAGTCTCTTCAACAGAGTGGTTTTGCTCCTACTCAATTTCTCTGCTCCCTTCCCTGCCATCTTTCAACACCCCTAGTGGGTTCAATCTGACCACAATTTAGGCAGAAGCTGTTCTCATTCTCCCCAGAGATAGTCCTGTTGTCTCCTCTCTGCTCAAGGACACTGGGTAATGCACCTAGGAGGGCCTGGCCCATGACCCCGGAAAATTTGTCTTTCCCTGCCTCATCTGTAAAATGGCAAAAATTACCTCCTTCGCAGGTGAGGTGCCACCCTTGACATCAAGTGCAGGCCTCGACGTTGTTGGCATTTCAGAGCCTTGGCAGAAGTTGGATAAATTGGCGGGAAGTGATGCTGCCAGCTGGAGCTGTTGTGCTGCAAGTGAGGAAGAAGCAGTGGTAAGGGCAAAAGGCTTCACTGACCAACAAAGCACTAGCAAAGCCCAAAGCAGGGCAATGCCACGCAGCTATGAGGCAAGGATGGTGACTGAGTTAGAATCAAGACCAGAGATCACCCGAGCACAGGGAGGAGATCAAGCTGGAACTTTTGCCTGAGGCAGGAAAGGTGCTTGATTCGGCCAGGTACTGCCCAGGCAGCCACCTACCCATATCACCAAGATGGGACATACTGCTTCCTCATGCAAGTGACTTCACAGTCCCAAGGTGTATGTGTGGGGGTGAGGGTGGCACTGTTCCTGGTTCAGAGGACAGGAATGTCCCTGAGTAAGCAACATATTGTCTCAATGGGCTACTAGCATCCAGGCTGGAGAGTTGGGGCCTCCACTGGGACTGGGAGAATGTGAGAAGAAGTCAGGGCAAGGAAGACCTAGAAAGCTAGAGGCTGCAGCACAGGGAAATAACAAGTCTCTAGCGCAAATGTCATGGAGCTCCAAAGCATGACCTTGGGCATGCCTGTGAGAAGCCAGGCTGATTAGGGTGGTCTGGGGGCTCTGAGGCAGCTGGAGCCAGAGAAGCTAGGAATGTGTCACTTTCCTCCATGTCTCAAGCCCCCTCCAAGACAGCCCCAGCATTGGGCTTTCCTAGGATGCCTACCCCAGAAACCTGAGTCCAGCCATTCCCATCTATAGTGACAAGTGAGGCACAGAGATTCAATGCCTTTTTAGTCAGGTAGCAGCGGTTCTGGGAGCAGAATCTAGCACCCCTATGGCCACATGCCTCACCTGACCACTGGCTAAGTCATCATACCTAGCTGGATTCAAAAGGCTTCCAAAGAAGTGATTTCCTGGCTCAAGTGCCAAAGGATAAGGGAATGAAGGCAAAAGAATACCTCCAAACCAGAAAATAAACAAACCTCTGAAAATCTCAACTTATTTTCCTGGAGGCCTGTTTACAAAGAAGAAAAAAATGTCCCATAGCTAGGCACAGTAGCACCCTCCTGTAGTCTCAGCTACTCAGGAAGCTGAGGTGGGAGGATCACCTGAGCCCTGGAGTTTGATACCAGGCTGGGCAACATAGCGGGACCCTATCTCTTTAAAAAAAAAAAGCCCCATATATTCTAGCTTTCATGATCAATTAGAGATGTAGAATTTCATATTTATAAATACCTCTTGGTCCAAAGAATCTTGAGGACCTTAAAAAGAGTCTCTAATCTTTCCAAGGAGGCTAGAATTCTCCGTGACACTCTCCACTCCGCAGCGGTCATTAAGAATCTGCTCAGACACTTCTAGAAAGTGGCCACTTACTACCTCTCTGTATCATCTTTGCATTGCTTACTTGGGTGGATGGGGGTAGGGGAGGGAAAAAATAGAGAAAGGGGTAAACATTTTTTTAAAAACATGAGGAAAAAATATCAGCTGTTGGGTCCCGCATCATTGCTTGATTGAAGCCCTGCTCCTTCTCTGAGGCAACCGTAGAAAAATATTTCAAAAGCAAGTGATCACCAGACAAGAAGTCTAACACATGTCGTCTTCAAGAGCCCTAGCACAATCAGTATCAGACAATTTTCCTGTCCTAAGAAAAATGTCTGGGGGCCCTGTCCATCTTTTCCTGTTCCTATCCAGCCTTCCCTCTCCTTTTTGCCGCTTGGTACCCGAATGTACAAAACGAAGAAAAAACAACAGGAGCAGCAGCAACAACAGCAAAACCAAAAGAGAAACATTAGAAAAATCAAAAGAGAGAACGAGCAAAAAAACTCTCTCTATTCTGATATCAGTTCGTGGGGGAAGACCATTTTACCGCGCCTCCCTCTTCAATCTGGGAGCTCCCCCAGAAGAGGCCCTGTGTCCATTCAGATCTTCTGCCTTCCATTACTGACCCACCACCCACCCTGACCCCAGCCTGGGTCTGCGCTCAATAGGCGCTCAGTAAGTGTTGTTGAATGCGTCTGAAGAAGCAATCGCATTTCCATCGGCATCCCTGGCTCTGCTTCCCCGGCTTTCTGCCCTCCTCCACCACCCTCTAGCCCGTTCGTGGGCAAAACTTGGCAACGCGGAAACGTCCCAGCCCGCTCTCCAAGCCGCGAGCTGACCACTGCGAAACGGCTGCGACAGGCGGCTGGGAAACCTAGAGCAACAAGTGCCTTCTCGCCGGCTGATGCCTGGCGGCCCCCCGGCCACCAGTTCCCAGTCCCGCTGCCCGCTCTTCGCTTCAGGCCTTCCCTTGGGCGAGCAGCCCCCTCCCGCCTAGACAGGGGTGGGAAGGGGAGAGGGAAAAGAGAAGGGAGAGGCAGGTGGGGGCCTCATCTTTAACCTGTTGGGGGACCAAAAGTTAAAATGGCACCAACCGGATGGTTCCATCTCGATTGCTATTTTCTCACTCAGAAGGAGAAATTTAAAAATCCAAACAGCACTGCGGCTTGGCTTGGACGCGCTCTAACCAGACCAGTCAGTTTCGCCACCTGAAAACTAAAGGCCCGTTGTTTGCGGACAGCTCGGCTGCCCTCCTCGCCGCATCCCAGATGGAGCCGCGGAACCGGGGGCGGCCGGGAGCATCCCTTGCACGGCGGGCGCGTGCACCCAGGCCACCGGGGCCCTGAGCGTCCGTTCCCGCAAGTGCTGTATCAGGAACTGATCTTAGAGACAGGATGGACAGGCAGGAAGGGGCACGGGGTGTCGGCCTCCGCGGCGAGTCCGCACTCCGGCGCCGGCTGCTGCCACTCTCGCGCCTGATCAACACTTACTGAGCGCCCGCTGAGCATCCGACGCGGCAGCAGGCTGAGCCTACCCCCTAGCCAAGCCGCCTGCGGTCAGTGCTAAAACCCCGCTAGGAGAAGAGTGAGAGAGGCTCGGAGAGGTGCGGTAACTTGCCCAAGGTCACAGCGCTAGAAAGTGGCGGAGCCGGGATTCGCAGCCAGGTCTCTCTGACTCCAAGTCCGGTGCTCTGCGAAGCAGGGACTCGGCGCGCGGCTCGCCAGCCCGCGTTTATAGGGAGAGGGGTGTGCGCGTGGGTGTGTGTGTGTGGGCGTGTGTCGGGGGAGGGGAGGGCTGAGGTCGACTGGGCAGTAGAGGCAAGTTGCCCAAATTCGCTAACTTCCATCCCGCAATTCCGCTGAACTCGGCCCGAAAAGCCCCCTCTTGCCTCAATTCCCCGAAGTAAATCTGAGCTTTGTGCAGCTCCGGAGCCAGAGCGTCCAGATGCGGTCCGGGAGATTAGCAAAGTCGGTGGAAGCCAAGCTGGAGAAAGCGCGGGCGCAGGGAGAAAAGGTGCTGCCGTCTCCCCGGGAGAAGCGGGCACCCGGCCCCGCTGGCCGGCAGGGGGGCGCGCTGGCAAGCGAACCCGAGCGCTGGCGGGCGGGCGGGCGGGCGGCCCCTCGCCCCCAGCAGAGCAGCTTTCCAACAGAAAGCAAGTCTCCCCAGAACCCTCCGGCCCGCCTGGCGGCCGCCCACTCCCCATACCCGCTCCACGGGAGTCCTCGGCCCCGCCGCCCAGCCCGGCGCCCAGCCCGGCGGCCCGGCTTACCTCTGAGAAGCCGCCTGCCCTGGAGAGAGGGAAGCGCGGAGCTCGGTGAGCCGCAAGAGAGGCGGCGGAGCCCCCAGCCCCTGGCACGCACGCCGCCGCCACCGCTACCGCGAACCGGTCGCGCTCAGCGCCCGCGGCCGCGCCGTTGGCCACCCGACCCCGGGGCGCCTGGGAAAAGCCCGCACCGCGCCGCGCCGCCGCTGCACCGCACAGTGCCGCGCCAAGCAGCCCCTGACCGAGCTGGTGCCCGCCCGCCCGCCCGCAGCTTCGGCGCCGGACTCCGGGGCGGTGGCGGTGGCGGCCACCGCGCTCCCTTCCCGGCGCTGGGGACCCGGCTCTCAAGCCCCCATTGCCGCCCGGAGAGCCCTGACGCACACGCACACGGCAGCAGACTGGCCTCGGCTAGGAATCCCAGGAAGGACAGACCCTTTTTTTCCCTTTTTTTTTCTCCCCTCAATTTCCACGTCTTTATAACCGGCTTAGGGCATTATTAGCACATGTCCTGGCTCGTGGGCGAGTTGGTGGCAAAATCTGAACTGGATACTCACGGAGGGCCCGCGCGGGTGCTGTGCCGTCCGCTGCTCTCTTCCTCCTCACCGAGAACTGCCCCTCGCCGGCGGACTACAAGAGGGCAGCCGGGCAGAGCGAGCTTCCTCTCGGCAGCTCAGCGGTGCCCCTTCTGCAGCTTTGCCGCCGGGCACATTTTTATAGCAGCGGCTGGCGTCTGTGGCCCTTTAAAGGCGCTCGAGCTGGTGCAGTCACCGCGGATCGTGTGAAAGCAAAGGGCCGGCTGGGGAACGGAGTCCACGCGGCCACGCGAGTCCGGCAGCCCTGTGGACCGGCCAAGGCTCCCGGGGTGGGGCTGGCGAGTCCGGGCTATGGGCAGCCCTCGCCCGGAGCCCTGGCCAGTGCCCGGCTTCTAAAGCTGTCGGGGGCCAGGGCCCGGGACACCGGCTCTCCCCACCGCCCTGCGTGGACTTGCCCAATAAATTCCACTTAGTAATTTCACTGAGGCAAAGGAGAGCCGTTAGTGTCTGTTTTCTGACCTAAATCTAGTCGGGGGCCAAAACGGGCTTCAGGGGTTTTGGGAGAGAGCTGTGGGCTCAAGGAGTGACCTGGAAGAGCGGGGCGCACACGAGACGGGGGAATGGTCATTAGTTTTCTGCAGGGCTGTCTTGGAGCCTGTCTGCCTTTTGGGGGGGCTGTACTATCTCATTCGTTGAAGAGCTGAGGCTGGGGGCTCCTTTTCCTCTTAAAGTCGCCAGATTCTGGGCAGAGTCGCATGGGGGGCCTATATGGCAGCGGTGGCTCTTCTAGAAGTTCTGAGCTGGGGTTGGGTTCGAGGGTTTCTGTTCTGTGGTCATCCAGGGCAGGAGGCTGGCAGGATGCGACCCGGAGAAATGCTACTCTCCCGGACCGTGGGGCCAGGTACAGCTCACTAGGCTCGCCGAAAAGCCAACAGTAGGCAACGGGGTACGAAGAGCTTGCCCCAGGGTTCGCGGAGATTCCTCCTGCCTTCCCACGATGTCAGGTTGTTTTATTGTAACTACATAATCATTCCCGTCTAGCAAGAATAACGTTTTGCATTTGGAGTTCGTCTTTCTTAGGTAGAGATGTTGTCTTACAAATCCTTACTGGAAAGAGGTCTGGGTCTTCTCCTTCACCTCAATTCGGATTCTTTGTGGCCAAGAAATTCCCACCTTACCACTTACAGGGAGGCCATCGGGATTACCCCTCTGTCACCCCCCCACCCCGCCCCGGCCCCGCCGCTCTTTTTTTGCTGCCTTTCAGCAACAGCGACTCAGTTTACACTGTTTATAAAACATACTCTTTAAGAAAAGGTCCTGATGTTAAAAAAGGGGGGGAGGGAATGTCACGAAGTCATTTTCACTATGTATGTGTTCTGTCTTCTTAATTGGATTTGAAGACCTGAAGTTCTCTTTTTCTTTTCTTTTTCTTTTTTTAGTAGCCCCAAGTGCCCTGCATTTGCTCTTCTAACAAAGTTCTGTTTGTTGACGGACTGACCGGCTTACCGACACAAAGATGGGAAGCAAATGGAGAGACGGATCAAGGCCCTTCCTCGGCATCTGGAGGAAGCTTGGGCGAGTGTCTTGGTCGCCAGGTAAACCCATTCTCCAGCCCTCAAGGCTGCCTTGCACAGCTCCAGTCTTTTCACTTACCCTGTCCCAACACAAACCCCGGTAGCATCCACACCCCACACATCTTCGCTGCACTTTCTCACTTTGCTTGCCAGATTGTGGGCCCTGCCTAGTCTCCCTCTGATAAAAGGCGGGATCTGTCGGCACCCTAAAGCCTTACTGCAAACCGCGTGTGAAATACACTCTCAAGTTCTCTTGGTGTTTGCCTGGGATGAAAAAAAATGTTTCTGCGAAAACTAAGTGGTGGAGAATGAGCGACTCTAGGCTTTCGAATTGCATGTTACTAATTTGAACCCCTGACCCACCCTCCCCGTCAGCCCCGGCTTGGCTCGGGAGCAGGTCTGGCAACAGCGGCAGCTTCTCCGCTGCAGGCTCCGGATCCGGGAGGTGTGGATCCGCCCTCCATCTATTGGATGGCTCCCAGGCCAATTGTTAGAAAGAGGCATATGTTCATCTCGGCTTCTGGAGTGTCTCCGGAGCAGTTGCTCAACAGCCAGCCCCCTCCCCCATCCGGACCATTGAAGGGCAGAAAAAGGAGCGCCCTCCACCACATTTCTCTGTGCCCACATGCCAGAAAGGGTCTCCCCCCTGGTGACTTCCTGTCATCTCCACTGCTTACCTCCTGGGGAGCAGGAACGAGAGGGGCTTCAAGCACTCAGCTTTGAAGCACAAAAGCCACCCCTTTCCTTTTTGGGGAGATGGGAGAGGAGGTTAGTTGCAGAGGCTGAGAGGGAGCAAAGGAGACATTTGCATTTCTCGGCAAAAATGCTCTGATCACTGACTTCCCCGTTGGCTCCAGCAGAGCTCAGAGCTCTCCGCTGAACTCTTATCTCCAACTTGGCAACTAGACCGCGAGCTTGCGAAGCAAGGAGAGGACAGGGATGGTCACCTACCGAGAACCTCTGTGCTCCAGCGCTGGGCCTGGCATGTTCCCCATCCATCATCTCATTTAATTCCCAGGACAGCCCTTTGAGGTAGGGTTTACCAAAGGTGAATGAAACAGAGCCTCGGGAAATTGCCCAAGTTCACATAGCCACGTGGCTGAGTGTTTGAATCTGGATCAGGCTGTCTGCAAAGTTTTTACCCTCAGCCCTAATCCCCGCTGCCTAGGAGGGTAAGGAGGCTGTCTAGAGTGCAGGTTCAGGGGTCAGTAGGCCTGGGTTTAAATTCCTACTTTGCCATTTGTTAGCGGTGAAGTCTTAGGCCAATGGCTTCATGCTTTGGTCTTCAATTTTCCCATCTGTTAAATGGGGATAACAATGGTACCTAATCTGTGGGGGTTGCTTAGCCTGATTGGTGCCCGCAGTGTAGTAAATGGCCAATAAATGCTGTTATCGTACTGGACCTTCTGATTATTTTCCTTTTGCCTCCCGTCCCTGCCTCAGCTCACACACTTCAGATTCAGTAATACTTGCTGAATGATTAATTTTAAAACCAGACTGAGAGGGGATGAAGGAGGTCTATAAACTCAGGGAGGAGAGAGAGAGAGAAAAATGCAGATTTCTTCTTAAAATCCCACCCTCCAGAACCAAGGACTGCCTGAGCCATATGACAGGAGTAAATTTGGGACCAAAAAAAGGTGACCACTTTTTACAGGTCAGCCTATAAACTTACAGAGTGGTCTCCAGAAACATATACTCAATACGTGTGTAGAAAAAACTTTAAAAGCACAAGTTTTTATTCAAGAATATTTACAGCAGAATTGTTGATAATAGTGGAAAATGAAAAGGAACCTAAATGTCTATGGTAAGGGTGTGTCCCTTGGTACCTTGACACACACACACACACACACACACACACACACACAATCCTGACTTTGAAAACTCTTATTCATAGGAAAATATTCATAACAAAATATGAAATAAAAAATGCTGGGTACAAAGTTGCATAAATATGATGCCAAGCTGCAAAGGGCACAAAGGGAACAAAATTAAATACTCACTATGTTTCCAATCATGTATGAATATGTACAGAAAGCGACAGTCTGGAAAATACCAAAATGATAACAGTGCCAGTAGAGTGGTAGGATTATGAGTGATTTTCTTCTCTTTTCCCCATATTATGCAATATTATTCTTATAAGTAAATATGAGTTTATAGTTAATAAACTCCATAAATATTATGTTCCCACTTTTGTTAAAATATATGTGCATAGAAAAAATATCCATAATCTCACTACTCAATTATAATCACTGTTAACACCAAAAATTGTTAACGGTGATTATAATTGAGTAGTGGGATTATGGATAATATTTTTATTTTGCTTTTCTTTTTCTGCAGTATGATTATATTACTTTCTTACAATTAAAACAGATTCATAATTTGAAAAGTACATAATCAGAGGGATCCCACTTGGGTTAAGAGTATGAATGTAAATTGAAAAAAATGAGAAGGAAGAATACTAAAATATTAAGAGTTTTATATTAGGTGGTAAGGAATTATGGGTAATTTCCTCTCTATTTTCTGTAATCTGCTTTTATTATTTTTACAATTAAAATAAAATGTACCTAAAAATAACATATACAATATGATCCCACTTTTGTTAAAAACGAATATGTATATAGAAAAAAATAATAAACTACTCCAAAATGTAGTAGTCTCTGGGTGGTGAGTTTATTAGTGATTTTTGTTTTCTCTTTCATACATGATTTCTTCATATGCCAAATTTTCTACAGTCATCATGTATTAATTTTTTTAAAAAGTGTAAAGTACTTCGGTAATGAAGTTTTTATGGAAAAAAGAGCATGTCTGGGATTTGCTTTAAAACATTCCAGTTGAGGGTGGGGGGAAAGTGGACAGGGGATATAGATTAAATAAGATGATAATTGTTGAAGATGGCTTCATTATAATGTGTTTTTGTTTATTTGTTTGTTTGTTTTGAGACAGGGTCTCACTCTGGCACCCAGGCTGGAGTGTAGAGGCGCGATCTTGGCTCACTGCCACCTCCACCTCCTGGGCTCAAACAATTCTCCCACCTTAGCCTCCAGAGTAGCTGGGACTACATGCGCGTGCCACCATGCCCAGCTAATTGTTTGTGTTTTTGCATTTTTTGTATTTTTTTTTGTAGAGATGGGGTTTCATGATGTTGCCCAGTTCTTGAACTCCTGAGCTCCAGTGATCAGTCTGCCTCGGCTGCCCAAAGTGCTGCGATTACAAGTGTGAGCCACCGCGCTGGCCTATAATGTGTTCTTTACTCATGTATATGTTTTTTAATTTCCATAATAAATTTTTTACAACTATTTTTCATATACATTATCTCTTTTAATCTTATGCTACCCCTGTGGGGTCAGTTATCTCCATTTTATAGAAAATTGAGATTCAAAGAGGTGAAGTCACTGGACCTGTAACACAACTGGGAGGCGAGACTGGGTCTCCATACTCCAGTTCCAATTCCAAGAGCCCAGGGCTCTTCTACATATCCCAGTTGCTGCTGCTCTTTAAAATAATTAAAAATAATTAACACTTTGTCTGACCATAAATGTAATTGTTCACTGCACAGAATTTGCAGGTAACAGAAAAGCACTAGGAGGAAAACATAATAATCAACCCAACTGCATCCTAGTTAACCCTCTGGTGTCTGGCGGTGCAAACTTCATCTCAGTTGCCTCTTACTCCAGAGGTATTGTGTGCTGCAAATTGTCAGTAAGAGTGGCTAGTCTTTCCTGATGGGCCACCGAGTGAAGCTGCAACTCTTTGGGGCCCCTGTCACGTGTGGGTTCCTGGGAGATGGTGGGTCCTAACTGCCCCCCCGACCCCCCTTATTTCCCAGTGTCCCCTTTAGATACTTCAGCCAGGACCACGGTTTTAGGGGAAGTCCTGGTGGCCCTTTTCCTCTTGCTCCATGTGGAGACTCTGCCCAGAAGCCCCCTTAGGATTCTGTGAGTTTGCAACCACTGTGAATATGCCTGTGCCTCCATTTCCCCATCTGGAAGATGCTAGTGAGAATAGCAGATGGGTCAGCCTCTGCCAGGGAGTGATGAGCTAACGTCTGTAGTGCTTTCCAGCCCCTCGGAGCAAGGTGCTGGATCCTTCCCGGCTCTGCGCCTGCCCCTGCCAGCCTGAGTGAGCGCCTGGGCGGCTCTGCGCCTGCCCCTGCCAGCCTGAGTGAGCGCCTGGGCCTGGCCGCTCTGCGTGGAGGGAGTGGCCGCATTCCTCTGACCCAGGCCAACAGGCTTGGACAGGCACTCACTTTTGCTTCTGTGTTTAAAAAAAAAGGGAAGAAGAAGAAAAGAAGAGAAGAGAAGATGAATTGAAGAAGAAGGGGAACAAGATCAGTTACTAGGGGAATGGGCCTGGAGAAATAGAAAATTGAGAAGAGAGCAGAGCGATCACAGGGCATCCTTGGGCACCCCAATCAGCTTCGTAGATTCTAGCCCTGGTTTCCTGTTTACACATGGGGTGGGGGAAGTTTGGAAAGGGCCAAGAATTGGGTCTAGTTGAATTGATTCCCTACTTGATTTCCTGTTATTTATGCATAATGGGAAAACCGCAAATATACAAACAGCTCAGGCCACCCGGCCTCTTGAATCCTTAGGGGCCATCTTCACAGCTCTGTCCACCCCAGCCTTCAGAGATGTCATTCCAGTGTATGTCCCTTCTCTGTGCCCCCTTCTGGCATTCAACTTCATAAGAACCCTAGCCAGTCAACGCTATCATCCCCATTTTAGGAAGAAGGGCATCGAGGCACAGAGAGGGGAAACAAGCCTAAGATGACACAAAGGGTTAAGTGGCAGAGCTGGGATTCACAGCCGGGTCTGGCTCACTCCTGAGGCCAAACACCCCCCGCTAGGCTACCTTGTTATCGGTGTCCCCCTGTTATTGGTGTCTATGCTTTTCTTTCTTCTAGAATGGATGGTTCACCACACTCATTGCAGTAAATAGTCAACGCGTATGGCCAGAATGGATGCGTGGCCCAGATCTAGGGAGAACTCTTGAGGGAGGAGTCCAGTTAGGGGCTGGGGCAGCAATCTCCAGGGATGAGGTGCAGGTGGGAGAGGGCAGCAGCAAAGATGACTCTGAAAACTTTACCCAGGGAGAAGCCCAGGGTTCAAAGGCAGGGAGGGAGAGAGGTGCTGGTGTAGAGGAGAAAGAGAAGCAGCAAGCAGGCCTGGCCCTGGGCTGTTCGGGTGTCAGCAGTGAGGCTGGAGGCCTTGGGAAGGTGTGAGGCTTTGTGGGGGAAGAGAAACTCTGCTTTAAGCATGTTTAGTTTAAGCTGTTGGCAGAACATCCAAGTGGAAATAGCTCACACACAGCCAGGAATATAGGACTGGAAAGAAAGTGAGGTTGTGTCAAAAAGAGCAATCGGCAGGATGACTTTCGGCCAAACTGTGGGGAACTTTCCCCTGCTTCTCTCCATGGCACAGAGAGGGGCTTTCTCCTCAAGGGGCCTGGGGGACACTGGCTTTTCACTGCAGCCATCCCTCTCCCCTCTCCAGCCCCTCCAGCTCAGCACAATCATGGACACGTGCTTCAAATCTCTAAAGGGCAGTGTGAGAGGATCTCAGTCCATAAATTTCCCCATGCCAGGGAGTGATAGGGGCCTCATCTCACGTTGCTAAATACATTTGGCTAGGCCTCAAGCATGCCAGGCCTTCCCTGGTTTCACGTTAGCTTCTAGAACACAGGCCTTTGGGGTCTTGTTTGCTCTCCTTTTTTGGCCACATGCCATTGTCAGGTCAGCACAGTGTCTCCCAGCTTACTTTGTCCTTAAGAAGGTGAGGCCACTTCAGTCTGGCCCTGCTCCCTGCAACAGCAGGCTGAAACTGCTCCCTTGGCCTAAGACCTGAGAGATTTTGCAACCCTTTGCCCTGAGTCTCATCTCCACGCTACGGGGATTTCCCTGGACTCCCCTTTCTTGGGGCCCAGCCCTCCTAGTCTCCCAATCCCATCTCAGCTGAGGCCTCACACTTCCATTCATCCATGGATCCCACTTTGCCCTTAGTAAGAGTCTCCACTGGCATGGAGAAGTCTCCCAGCTTGGACCACTGGCCCCTATTGCCTCTCTTGGCCCTTAACTTTGGGGCTGGGAGGCTGGCCTGGGCAAACATGGCTGAGTGAACATGGTTAGGAGTCATTTCACATGCACAAACTGGGGGACTGGAAAG
The DNA here is from genome assembly GCF_000001405.40 of Homo sapiens. NCBI lineage: Eukaryota > Metazoa > Chordata > Mammalia > Primates > Hominidae > Homo > Homo sapiens. Next base: position 72,314,739 of record NC_000023.11, read on the forward strand.
ATTTCCACAGATCCCCACAGCCACAGAGACTTGTCCCCCTGTGTTCCCCGCAAAGGCCTGTGCTCTAGAAGCTAAAGTGAAACCAGGAAGGCCTGGCATGCTTGAGGACAAGATCAGTGCTGAAGATGGATTGAGGATCTGGGGTATCTCAGGGGGTCAAGGTGCAGACTGCCGCCAGGCAAGCAGAGAGGACCACAGGCCTGGTTATACAAGGTAAAACTTTCCTGCCTAGATGCAGGGAGAGTGCCTCAGCTAGCACATACAGTCTGCTTGTACTAATTACAAAAAGGCACCTCCTCTGGGAGGAGCAATTAGAACCAGGTGCTGCTTCCTCTGGGCTTTGCACAACCCTCACCCCTGGGCCCACGGCTTTGCAAGAGGAACACAAGCTGAATTTCAGGGCACAACCTGCACAGACTTTGAGGCCTTGTAAAGAGATGAGTCTGGGTCACCACATGGCTTGCTTAGGTTCCTGCAGTGGCCCGGCACCCCTGAATATACCACCTCAAGGGAGAATTCTTCCTACTAGCTCTAAATAATAACATCAGTGGGAATGGTCACTGAACACTTATTAGGAGACAGATCCTCTCTGTTCCTAGTGCTCTGTGCTTATTCTCTCATTAAATCCCCCAATAACCTTAGGTGTTAGGTCAGTACTATTATTACCTCTTCCGTATTTTGCTGATAGGGAAATTGAGGCACAGAGATATTAGGCAGCTTGACAAGGTTATACACTTTGTATGTTTTGGGCCGAGAATCTTAACCAGGCTGACTGGCCCCAGAGCCTCTGCTGGTGACCACTGGGCCTCACTGTCCCCTAAGTAACGCCCATTGCCAGTAGGGACCTGCCCCTTGTAGTTCATAAAGACCTTTCCCATCCATGAGTAAAGTCAATTCTCACACAGCTTCCTCACTCCTTGGAATGTTGTCACTGTTACTATCAGGTCTTCCCTGATGACTTTTTTTTTTTTTTTTTTTTTTGTGGAGACAGAGTCTCGCTCTGTCGCCCAGGCTGGAGTGCAGTGGCACCATCTCGGCTCACTGCAACTCCGCCTCCTGGGTTCAAGCAATTCTCCTGCTCCGCCTCCCGAGTAGCTGGGATCACAGGTGCGCACCACCAATACCCGGCTAATTTTTTATATTTTTAGTAGAGATGGAGTTTCACCATGTTAGCCTGACTGGTCTTGAACTCCTGACCTCAAGTGATCCGCCCACCTCGGCCTCCCAAAGTGCTGGGATGACAGGCATGAGCCACCGCGCCCAGCTACTGATCACATCTTACAGATGAAGGGAGGAGGCTTGGAGAGGTGAGATGGCCTTGCTGAGGTCAGACAGCCAGCAAGTGAGGATGCTACCATTTGAATCTGTTCTTCCAGGTTCAATCTTTCTTTCCCCACTCTCTGACTGTGTACCCCATCTCCCTGCCTTCAGGTTCTCACCTTTCCTCAAAACTGAATGTCCGAGCTGGTAAGGACTGGAGAGATGACCTTATCTGACTTGTCACTCAGCGTTACAGAATAGAAAGTTAGCGCTCTATTGATACCTGGTTGGACTGGAGTCAGGGTAAAAAAGACAGACCTGAGCAGAAAGAAATGTATTCAATGCAGAGAGAAAGGAGAACCAATGAGAGGAAGAGAAAGATAACAATGGGTGGGGGGATGGGGTGGCGTGGAGGGAAAGAATACGCAGATGCCTGGGAAGAAAACAAGGTAAGGAAAAGAAATCAAATGAGAAAGAAAAAGGCCCAAAGTGGGGTGAAGGCATAAGTGACCAGCCATCTGGAAGCAGCACTGAGCTCGGCGGGGGCGTGTGTTTGTGAAGCAGGGGAGCTGGACCGACAGGTGCGAGGGCCCAGCTGCAGCCAGCCAGGAACTCTCCAGGCCCAGCGCCCAACCGGAAAGAAGGCATGGCCCCCGCAAGAGACTTCTCAAGGGAGATTTTGGCTGCAGGAATACGGGGAGGAAACTGCCTTCTTCTAGAGGCAGAGTAGACCCTCAGCAGGTCCAAGGTGGGGAGGCTTGCCTCTGAAGAGCTCCTGGGGTTCCAGGGGAGGAAGGTTCCCATGGCCTATCTTTGCACTTCTCTTGCATTTTTTTCAAGCCTCTCCCAAGTGTGACCTTTGGAGTCTGGAATATGGATAATGCTCTGCTATGTTTGTATCTCAGGCTGCCTTGTCCTGGCCTTGAATGGTCCGAGGGGATTAGTAAATGCCAATTCGTGCTACCAACAGCTGAAACCCAACAGGAATAGGTAGGGAGGGGAAAAGGGCTGCCAGACCCAACTGGCCACTCTCCCTCTCAGCTCCAGCTGTGGCCTAGTCTGATAGTGAGAGCACAGGGCTCCACCATCAAACTGTCCCTGGTTCAAGTCCTGAGGCTACCACTTCCTAGCTTTGTCTTTGGGCAAGTGACTTTGGCTCTTTGGGCCTCAGTTTCCTTACGTGTCAGGTAGGGGAAAATAAGAATGCCTACGTCATGAGGCTGTGCCAGGGTTGAATGACATAACGTCTATGGCTATAAACTCTCAAGTGCTGTACACATGTAAGTAATTACTCTTCCCTGATCCCTCTTCCCTGCTGCTTGGGGGATGGAGTCAGCTTTTCAATCTGAGTCCAGTTCCAAGCCTGACTTCACCTCTTTGGCCCTGTTTTCCTCATTGTCACATATAACTGTGTGGGAAGTCAGGCCTCTCTGACCCACTGGGGTGGGATCAGGGCTGGCTCTTCTTCCCACACAGTTTTTCATTCAGGCCACAAATGTAAGCTGAGCCCCTACATGGCCCTTCTTCAGTCACCGAGGCCTCAGAGGGACCAAGGCACCACCTCAACCCTCAAGGAGTTCCCAATATAGTGGGGGAGATAGAAAAGCAGACCTTAAAATGAAGTGGGAGATAGGTGACATCTGAGCTGAGGATCAGCATTCTCCAGGTATTGGGGACAGCATGGGCAAAGGTGCTGATGGGAGCTGGGAAACAGCACAGGATGGGATCTATGAGGTTGCAGGAGCCAGACTTGGATGCCACGTTAAGAAATTCAGCCTTTATATTGTGGTCACTAAAGATGATGTGGGCAGATAAGCGTGGAGTCTGGTACAGACAGTTACTCAGTAAAGCATGCTCATTGCCTTGACTTTCTCTCTCCATCTTCCATCTCCACCAGTGAGCAAGCGAGCCAGCCCTAGGCTTCCTGGAGGGCTCCCAGGTCTCTGCCCTGAATATGGCCCCATAAGGGCTCTTGAGCCCCCTGTTTCCCTGCACATTTTCCCAAACTCAGTAAATGGCACCTCTGTTCACCCAGTTTCTCAGGCCCAAAACCTTGCTTTCATCTTTTTCTTTCTCTCTCTCCCTAGATCCAACTGATGAACAAATTCTGTCGGCTGTTTCTGAAATACAGCCAGAGGCCAGGTGCAGTGGCTTACTTCTGTAATCCTAATACTTAGGGAGGCTGAGGCAGGAGGATTGCTCAAGGCCAGGAGTTGGAGACCAGCCTGGGCAATGTAGCAAGACCCGGGTTGTAAAAAATAAAAATAAAAGAATCAGCAAGGCACAGTGGCTCTTGCCTGTAGTCCTAGCTACTCAAGGGGCTGAGGAAAAAGAAACACTTGAGCCCAAGAGTTCAAGGTTACAGTGAGCTATGATCACAACACTGCACTCCAGCCTGGGTGACAGAGCGAGACCCTGTCTCTAAAAAATTTTTTTAAATGCAGCCAAAATCCAAACCACTCCTCACCACTTCTATAGCCACAACCCTGGGCTGAGTCACTCTCATCTCTTCCCTGCAGTCACCCTCTGACCAGCTCTCTAGCCTCTGGCCCCTATTCCTCACACAGCAGCCAGAGGGGTCCTGTCCCCTCTGCTCAGGAGCCTCGAATGGCTCTCCATCCCATACAGGGTAAAAGCCAAAGTTCTTACAGTGGCCCATGTCACTTGATCCTTCCTGCTTCTCTACACTCATTTTCTCCTACTCTACCCTCATTCCCTCAGCTTCATGCACATTGGCCTCACCATTTCTTGGATATGACAAGACAGTTCCTGTCTCAGGCTCTTTGCATTTGCTGTTCCCTCTGGCTGGGACACTCTTTCCCTGATGGCCACCTGGCTAGCTGTTCAGGTTTTTGCTCACTGTCACCTCCTCAAATGGGCCTTCCCTGGGCACCCTTTCTAAAATAGCCCTGTCCCACTCAACTTTTATCTTGTTTGATTTTCTCCATAGTACTTACCACTGCTTGCCATATTGTATTTATTCTCTGTCTCTCCAACTAGAGTAAACACTCCATGAGAGCAGGCATTTTGTTTTTTGAGACAGGGTCTCGCTCCATCGCCCAGGCTGGAGTGCAGTGTTGTGATCACGGCTCACCACAGCCTGACCTCCTGGGCAAAAGGATTCTCCCACCTCAGCCTCTCGAGTAGCTGGGACTACAAGCATGTGCCACCATACCTGGCTAATATATTTTAATTTTTTTTTTGTAGAGATGGGTCTTGCTATGTTGCCCAGGCTGGTCTTGAATTCCTGGGCTCAAACAATTCTCCCGTGTCGGTCTCCCAAAGTGCTGGGATTATAGGAATGAGCTACTATACACCCTATCCTTTTAAGTCTCTGGTAACCCCAGGACCGTGCTATGGGGCTAACTGGTGGGCGCCTTTGGAGGAAGCATTCCAGTCTGGCAGGAAAGCTGCAGAGTAGTGAGCGGTGCCTACCAGCCTGGGAGTGGAGTGGCCCAGAAAGGATGGCCACAGTGTGGAGGGGATTAAGGGCAGATGAAAAGTGCTGAATACAGGGCATTAGTAGGCCTAAGAAATGGCAGTACCCATCCACTGTCCCCACCAGTCTACAGCTGTGATTTTGTGGTTTCTCTTCAGCCTGTCTCCTTTCACATACATATGTGCACATTAGTACCAATCCCCAGCTCACCCCTCATTCCCACCCTTATTCTACCTTTATCTTCACTTTCAGCTTGTGCAAACCCATGCCCTCCATGCTGCCCACAGTGTGACTCCCAACAGGGAATTTTTTGTTGTTGTTGTTTTGTTTTTGAGATGGAGTCTTGCACTGTCGCCCGAGCTGGAGTGCAATGGTGTGATCTCGGCTCACTGTAGCCTCCGCCTCCCAGGTTCACACCACTCTCCTGCCTCAGCCTCCTGAGTAGCTGGGATTACAGGTGCCTGCCACCATGCCTGGCTAATGTTTTGTATTTTTAGTAGAGATGGGGTTTCACTGTGTTGGCCAGGCTGGTCTCGAACTCTTGACCTCATGATCCGCCCGCCTCGGCCTCCCAAAGTACTGGGATTACAGGCCTGAGCCACCACACCCAGCCCCCACAGGGAATTTCAAAAGGTATTTAGGTAGCTTTTGGGGGAAGATACGTTAGGATTGCACTGTATGTCTAGCACTAGCCTGAGCCTCTGGGAAAATTAGGATGGGCTCATGGTCACTGCTATTCCCTTTAATTCCTCCCAGCATTTACTGAGGTCCTACTACATGCCTGTCATGAGTGCTGGACCTGAAGAGATGGGAAAAGTCAATGAGTGTTGTCAAAGAGACAGGTAACTAAATAATAACTTACTATTAAGCATCTGAAACATGCCCAATCTCACTAATAAAACAAAAAAAATGAAAATTCAAACAATGAGATAGTTTTACTTTTTAGGTGGGAAAAGAAGTTGTAGGGAGGGTGTGGGGGCAGCCACATTCACACAGCTTTAGTGGGACTGTGAATTGGGACAACACCTCTGGGAATCAAAACCTATAATCTCTTTTGTTTGTTTTAGGTTACATGCCCTTTGATCCAGCAGTTTCACTTCTACAAATTTATCATGAGGAAATAATGCAACAAATGTGCAAGGGTATAGGTAAGAGGATCTTCGCTGCAATTTTTTTGAGGTGAATTGCGCACAATGGAAATTTAACAGTTTTACCCAATACAGAGAAAAAATAAATGTTTGAGGTGATGGATGTTCCAGTTCCCCTAATTTGATCATTACACATTGTATACAGCTATCAAAATATCACACGTACCTCCAAAATATGTACAACTTTTATATATCAATTAAAACATAAAAAAGTAAATTAACCATTTTGAAGTGAAAATTCAGTGACATTTGGTACATTCACAATGTTGTGTAATCACCATTGCTATCTGGTTCCAAAACATTTTCATTACTCCAAAACAAAACCTGTACCCTTTAAGCAGTTACTCCCAATTTTCCCCTCTGCCCAGGCCCTGGTAACAACCAATCTGCTGTCTTTATGAATTTGCTTATTCCGGGGGTTTCATGTAAATAGAACCATACAATACGTGACCTTTTATGTCTGGTTTCTTTCACTTAGCGTAATGTTTCTAAGTATTGTGTCAAGTATCAGTGCTTCATTCCCTTTTAAGGCTGAATAATATCCCTTATATGCCCATGTCACAATTGGTTTATCCATTCATCCATTGATGGGCATTTATTAGAATATTGTGGCATTTATTTCACTACCTTTTGGCTATTGTGAATAGTGCTGTGATAAACATTCATATACAAATATTTCTTTGAATACCTGTTTTCAATTCTTTTGGATATATAGCTAGGAGTGTAATTGCTGGGTCATATGGTAATTCCATGTTTCACTTGTTGAGTAGCCACCAAACTGTTTCCCACTGCGGCTGCACCATTTTACATTCCCACACCAAGGTACAAGGATTCCAGTTTTTGTACATGCTCATCAACACTTGTTATTTTCTGTCTTTGATTATAGTGATCCAAATAGGTATAAACTGACAAGTGATTGCGATTTTGATTTGCAGTTCCCAAATGACTAATGATGTTGAGCATCTTTTCGTGTGCTTCTTGCCCATTTGAATATCTTCTTTGCAGAAATGTCTAATCAAGTTCTTTGCCTTTTTTTTTTTTTTTTTTTTGAGACAGTGTCTTACTCTGTTGCCCGGGCTCTGGAGTGCAGTGGCGTGATCATGGCTCAGTACAGCCTCGACCTCCTGGGCTCAAGCGTTCCTCCTGCCTCAGCCTCCTGAGCGGCTGGGACTACAGACGCAGGCCACCAAGCCTGGCTAATTTTATTTTTTAATTTTTTTGTAGAGACAGGGTCTTGCTATGTTGACCAGGCTGATCTTGAAATCCTGGACTCAAGAGATCCTCCTGCCTTGGACTCCAGAAGTGCTGGCCTCTTTCACTTTCTCGATAATGTTCGCTGCAGCAAAAAAGTTTTTAACTTTGATGAAGTCTAATTTATCTATATTTTTCTTTTGAGACAGAGCCTCATTCTGTTGCCCAGGCTGGAGTGCAGTGACACAATCTCGGCTCACTACAACCTCTGCTTCCCAGGTTCAAGTGATTCTCCTGACTCAGCCTCCTGAGTAGCTGGGATTACAGGCGTGCACTACCACGCCTGGCTAATTTTTTGTATTTTTAGTAGAGATGGGGGGTCTCACCAGCTTGGACAGGCTGGTCTTGAACTCCTGACCTCTGGTGATCTGCCTACCTCAGCCACCAAAAGTGCTGGGATTACAGGCGTGAGCCACCACACCTGGAAGGCTAATTTACCTATTTCTCCTTTTGTTGCTTGTGCTGTTGGTGTCATAGCTAAGAATCCATTACCAAATCCAAGGTCATGATCTACCCCCATGTTTTCTTCTAAGCATTTCATAGTTTATCTCATACATTTAGGTCTTTGATCCATTTTGAACTCATTTTTGTGTATAGTATGAGATAGAGTTTCAACTTCATTCTTTTTTTTTATTTTTCCTAGATGGAGTCTCGCTCTGTCGCCCAGGCTGGAATGCAGTGGCACGATCTTGGCTCACTGCAACCTCCGCCTCCCAGATTCAAGTGATTCTCCTGCCTCAGCCTCCCGAGTAGCTGGGATTACAGGTGCATGCCACCAAGCCCGGGTAACTTCATTCTTTTGCATGTTGAAATCCAGTTGTCTCAGCAAAATTTGTTAAAGAGACTTCTTTTTCCCCATTGAATGGACTTGGCATCTCTGTCCAAAATCAATTGGCCATAGGTGTATTTCTGTACTTTCAATTCTGTTCCATTGTACCTATATGTCTGTACTTATGCCAGTAACACAATGTTTTGGTTACTATAGCTTTGTGGTAAGTTTTGAAATAGGGAATCATGAGTCCTCCAACTTTGTCCTTCTTTTTCGAGATGTTTTTACTACTTGGGGTCTCTGGAAACTCCATATGAATTTCAGGATGGATTTTTCTATGTCTGCAAAAAAGTCTTTGGGATTTTCATAGGAATTGCTTTCAACCTGTAGATCGTTTTGAGTAGTATTGACACCATACAACATGAAGTCTTTCAATCTATGAACACGTTTTTCCATTTATCTGTGCTTTGTTTAATTTCTCTCAACAACATTTTATAGTTTCAGTGTACAAGTTTTTTGCCTCCTTGGCTAAGTTTATTCCTAAATATTTTATTCTTTTGGATGTTATTGTAAATATAACTGTTTTCTTTTTCTTTCTTTTTTTTTTTTTTGAGATGGAGTCTCACTCTGTTGCCCAGGCTGGAGTGCAGTGGTGTGATCTTGGCTCACTGCAACCTCTGCCTCCTGGGTTCAAGTGATTCTCCTGCGTCAGCCTCCCGAGTAGCTGGGACTACAGGTGCGTGCCACCACGCCTGGCTAATTTTTTGTATTTTTAGTAGAGACGGGGTTTCACCTTGTTAGCCAGGATGGTCTCGATCTCCTGACCTCGTGATCTGCCCACCTCAGCCTCCCAAAGTGCTGGGATTATAGGCGTGAGCCACCGCGCCTGGCCAGAACCGTTTTTTAAATTTCCTTTTCGGATTATTCATTGTTGATGTATAGAAACACAATGGATTTTTTTTGGTTAACCTTGTACCCTGCTACTTTGCTGAATTCATTTATTAGCTCTAGTGGTTGTTGTTGTGCAGTGTTTTTATTTGTAAGGAAAATTGAGAAAATTCTGAATGTTGAGCAATAGGGGACAGGTTAAACAAATTTTGAAGCATCCATATAATAGGATCATTTCAAGCATCAGGTGTGCCTTCCTTTTTGGTATGTCTGGCATATGTTATAATGGAAGATGAATAAAGTAGCTGTTTCTAGATTGATATGGAAAGCTGTCCACGGCGTATAATTAAGTGAAAGAAAAATCAGGTTGCAGAACAGTTTCATTTCATTTACATAAAAGTCAAATGGTCATATATGCATAATGCCAGCTCCATTGAGACAGAGATCGTTGTCTGTTTGTACACAGATGTAACCCTAGTGCCTGGCACGCTGCATGGCACATAGTAGGTGCTCAATAATATTTATGGAGCAAATGAAAAAAAGTCTGGAAAGAAAAACACTAAATTGCCAATAGTGGTTATCACTGAAGTATAGGGATATGAGGGAACCATTATCTGTATTATCTGAAAGTTTTTACCTGAAGCATATATTGAGGGGAAATATTTCATTACACACACACACACACACACACACACACACACACAAACACACACACACATTCTCTTACCAAGTAAGTGGTTAGGAGAAAGGCATAGTGGGCCAAAGGAGGAAGGTGCCAGGACTCCATCTGAGGTAAACAGAGGCTTCTCACAGGCAGTCACTTTGGAGCTGGGCCTTACCAGGCTCCTTATTATTTATTTATTTTTTTGTCCACACAGTAGCCAGAGCGAGCTTTTCAGAATGCAAATCTGATCAGACCACTCCTTGGCTTAAAACTCTGATGGCGTCCTTACCTGCAGGCTCAAGCCCAGCCCCCCAACCTGGCACAGGAAGCCCTTTGTGATCTGGTCCCTGCTATCTTTACTTGCAGCAACTCACCAATATAGATTTTAATGTTTTATTATGAAAATTGAAAAACCACAAAACCAGAGAGACTATATAATCAACTCCCATATTTTCATTCAATCCACTTTAACAGTGATCAACATTTTAAAATTTTGTTTTACCCACGTCCCCCTCCCTCCCCACCCTCCATATACATTTTCCTCCTCTGGAGCATCCAGATACAGTTCATCTATAAATACTTCTCTTTATCTCTCTATAAGATGAGGATATAAAATATATGTGTATATAACCACCATGCTGTTATTGTACTTAACAAAATTATCAATAATTTCTTAACATAACCTGTCCAATGTTCCCTCATTGTTTTAATAACATCTTTTTACAGTTGGTTTGCTTGGATACCGTCAAATATCCTGTGTTCCAGCAACACCAAGCTGCTTATTGCTTCCCTAAATTTCCTGTGCCTTCTTGCCTTCATGTATTCCAGTCCCTTTGCCTGGAATGCCTCCTCCCATGCCTGGCCCAAGATTCAGCTTGAGTGTCACCGCCTGCTTGTAGCCTTCATGGTTGCCCCAGTCTAGATTGCTTGTCTCCTCCTCTGTGTTAATAATACCTAGAATAAGGCATTGCTCTGTCTTATTACATAGTTCTACCATTCTCTAAGTATGTATTGAGAGAGAGAGAGAGAGGAGACTGGGCGCGGTGGCTCACACCTGTAATCCCAGCACTTTGGGAGGCTGAGGCGGGCGGATCACGAGGTCAGGAGATCGAGACCATCCTGGCTAACATGGTGAAACCCCGTCTCTACTAAAAATACAAAAAATTAGCCGAGCGTGGTGGCGGGCGCCTGTAGTCCCAGCTACTCGGGAGGCTGAGGCAGGAGAATGGCGTGAACCTGGGGGAGGCGGAGCTTGCAGTGAGCTGAGACTGTGCCACTGCACTCCAGCCTGGGCGACAGAGTGAGACTCCATCTCAAAAAAAAAAAAAAAAAAAAAAAAAAAAGAAAGAAAAAGAGAGAGAGAGGAGGAGAGAGAAATAGATAATGATAAATGATAGATGGTATCTGGGGATTGCCAGGACAAGATGGCTACTTTAGTTAGGGTAGGGTGGTCACAGTATTATTATTATAACTTATTTATTTATTTAATTTATTTTTTTTTGAGATGGAGTCTTGCTCCCGTCGAGCAGGCTGGAGTGCAGTGGCGCGGACCTTGGCTCACTGCGACCTCCACCTCCTGGGTTCAAGCGATTCTCCTTCCTCAGCCTCCTGAGTAGCTCGGATTACAGGCATGCGCCATCACACCCAGCTAATTTTTGTATTTTTAGTAGAGACGGGGTTTCACCATGTTGGCCAGGCTGGTCTTGAACTCCTGACCTCAGGTGATCCACCTGCCTCGGCCTCCCAAAGTGCTGGGATTACAGGCATGAGCCACCGCACCCGGCTGTTTTTTTAAATTTTTTGAGACAGAGTCTCACTCTGTCACCCAGGCTGGAGTGCAGTGACACAATCTTGGCTCACTGCAACCTCCATCTCTTGGGTTCAAGCGATTTTCCTGCCTCAGTTTCCTGAGTAGCTGGGATTACAAGCATGCGCCACCAAGTCTGGCTAATTTTTTTGTATTTTTAGTAAAGACGGGGTTTTGCCATGTTGGCCAGGTTGGTCTCGAAGTCCTGACCTCAGGTGAATGGCCAACCTCTGCCTCCCAAAGTGTTGGGATTACAGGCATGAGCCGCCACACCCAGCCATATTATTATTATTATTTGAGACAGGGTCTTGCTCTGTTGCCCAGGCTGGAGTGCAGTGGTGCAATCATGGCTCACTGCTGCCTCGACCTCCAGGGCTCAAGGCATCCTCCTGCCTCAGCCTCCTGAGTAGTTGGTACTACAGGCATGTGCCACCACGCCTAGCTCATTTTTGTATTTTTAGTAGAGATGGGGTTTTGCCATGTTGGCCAGGCTGGTATGGAACTCCTGGGCTCAAGCAATCCTCCCACCTCGGCTTCTCAAAGTGTTGGGATTACTGATGTGAGCCTCCGGGCCCGGCCCTAGGGTATTTAATTGAGTCAGACAACTGAATGAGGAGAAGGAGCCAGTCTAGGGAAGATTGGGGCATTCCAAGCAGGACTAGCGTGTGCATAGATCATGAGGTGAGGGGCCCCTGTCTTAGACAGCTCTATTTATGTCTGTCTTTACCTCTACGTCTGTAGATCTCATCCTTTTTGTAATCACAAAACTCCTTTGAGTGTTGAGACTCTGATAATAGCTATGGCTCTGTGCCCCAGAAAAATGTACATATGTACAGTCACACAAATTTGCATACTATTTCCCTAATTCCTGAAGCCAGGGAACCCCAGGAAGTTTCCTTACCCACAGCGTGTTCACATTTAGGGCAAGAACAGTGTCTACTACTAATATATAACATGCGCTCTACTACATGCTTTTCTGCATTATCTCTTTGGTCCCTCGCAACCACCCCCATGAGGTAGGTACAGGTAAGTGTCGCCATTTGATAGACAATAAGACTAAGGCTCAGAGAGAGGGAGTTACTTGGCCAAGGTCACACAGCTAGTAAGTGAAGGGAGAGGCTTAAACTCAGGCAGTCTGAGGCTGAAGTGTGTTATGTTGCATGCCAAGGCACTACCGGTCAGCTTTGGGCCCAGCACTGAGCAGGAGGTTTGGGGATCTGCCCCTGGCAAATGCAGAGAAGGAGGAGCTGCAGGAGCTTTCTGTATAGGGGCTTAGAGATGTCAAAACACACTTGTTTACGTGGTTGTTTTCTTTCATTCTTCTGCTTTTCTCTTCCTCCTTCTTTTCCTTCTCCTCTTCCTCTTTTTCCTTTTTTTTTTGTTGAATGACAATATTTGATTTTCTTATAAAGAAGTCTTTCTGCCTTAGAGTCTTTTAAATATATAATTGGAAATATACTACTGCTGTCTCTGTGACAGCTAACATTGAATGCAGCAGAGGCAGATCCACCCTCCCCAAAGGAAAACTGGTGGGAATTTTCCATTGACTTAAAAACAAATGTTATGTATTAACTTTTTTGGGACCAGGTAATACATTCACATGGTTCAAAAATCAAAAGGTACAAAAAGGAACTGAGTGCAGGTCGCCCTCACTCTGCCACTTGCCATCTGGTTCCCTTGCCCAGAGGCAACTGAGGTGTCCCAGTTCCTTGTGTATTTTCCCAAAGGTGTTTTATGCACATATATGCATATCCAATATCGATATTCCTTTTTAAGTGGTTATTTTCTTACCCCTTGAGTTGGAGACATAGTCTACACTTCTTTCTTGGTCTCTTTGGCCCTTGTGAGTGCCCTGGAGACAGAGGGGGCTGGTGGGTTTCCTATAAGCACTGGGTTTTCCTCAGAGGTGAGCCTTCCCTGGACCATTTCCAAGGCAGGCCCTCCTGTCCAGAATACACGCTTTTCAAAGTGCTTCCATCTTTGGTAATTCATCAACCACTCACAATAGCCCATGAGGTGCAAGAATTATTCACCCCATTTTATGGGTATGGAAACAGACCCAGAAAGGTCAAGCAACTTGCTGAAAAGCACACAAACGAATGAATGCTACTGTGTGGTGAGGGCCCAGAAGCAGCATGTGGCTTGGTCCAGCTTGGGCTTTGGAAGCAGTAAGAAAGTTGTTTACTTCAAAGTCACAGTTTAAAAATATTCTAGTGGCACTAGTGTGGGACAGTGGAAAAAGTAAGGGAATTTGCAGTTCCAGCCGGGTTTTTCTTCCTGGCTCTGCCACTTAAAAAGGGGCATGTTACTTCATCATTCTTAGCCTCAATTTTCTAATCTATAGAGTGGGGATGATAATACCCACTAGCAGGGTGGATAGTGACGTACAAGTGAAAATGATCTGTAAAATGGGGCATATGCCAATGCTTGCTTTACCATTGTTGTTATAGTTATTGTGGCTGGTCCCTTGCAGACACAAGGGGTGGGTGGTGGCGGGGTCGGCAGCAATTTCCTAAAGGTAAGACAGGCAGGCTTATGGTGGGGACAAATTTGCCCCACCCTCAAGCCAACTGATCTAAAAAGCATCCCCCTCCCCCGCATCCCCCTCCCCGCCATCGCCCCCACTGATCGGTCTTCCAGGCAATTAGAACAGCCCCAGGGCCTGAGCACAAAGTCTTCCTCAGTGGGTGTCTTGAACTGACTTTGATCTGTAACTACCCCCTAACTCCCCGCGGATCAATTGTTTCTTTTTTTTTTTTGGGGTTTATGTATTTATTTTTTTCTATTATTAAAGTAAAATGTGCCCACTACAGAAAATTTGGAAAATACTGAAAAGTAGAAATGTGCTCCCACAGCTCTGAGCTCATGTTGATAACAGAGCTGGAAACATGTTGGGATCTGCTTCTTTTTCTCCTCCCTTGCCTTGTCTGGGAATTCCTAGACAGCCAGGATGGATGGGGCTGTGTGCTTGTCTGCCGTCCCGGTCCCAGTAGTTAGTTGAAGGAGCTTTGTAAATATTTGGTAAATAAAATTACAATATCATGACATTTAGTTGTCTCTTCCTCATCTCTCCCATTATCTCCCATCCCCATTTTTCCATGTTGCCAACTCCCCAGAGGTTGCAGTAACACCACACATTACAACTTCCTCCCCTTTTCATTATGTGCCAATTGTCTACTGGGAAGCATCCTTTCTATCCATGGAAGTGCTCCTCTTGGATCTGACATGCCAACACACCTTTTCCATCCCTAAATCACTCCCTGGACAGGGACAGCTCCTCCCCAGGGTGCCAATAAGCCCCTCTCCATGACTGCAGTGCCAGTATTCCTACCCCACCATGGACAGCCCCAGTGCAACACAGAGCTTGGCCTTCTGTCCCAAGAACTTGGGCTAGGGACACACTAGTTCCCCAGTGAGGTCAGACTCTCAAGCCGGGCCAGAGTAGAGATTGGAAGGAACAGGGTTATTCTTGACACTTCAGCGAGAAGAAAAGTTCAGAACTGTGTGTGCTGTCAGTGGCGCTTTACAATGAAGACAACGGGACAAAGAGGTAGGTTTTCAAAGATTTTATTAAAAAAACCAAAGATATATAACACTAAAACAACACCAGCGGACTTCTCCCCACCTCCCAGTCTGCTGATCAGTACCCTCTCTCCCAGGGCTCCACCTGGATGGTCCTGAGGCCCAAACCCTGCCTGTCAGCTGCCTCCTGCCCTACAAACTGGTGACTGCTCTCATCCAGCTTCTGATCTGTTTCATTTAAGATGATTAAAATACTCCCCTCCCCAATTCGCTTAAAAATAATTTTCAAAGATTAAAAATTTCATTTGTGTGTGTGTGTTTTTTTAAATAAGAACTTTAAATGTGGGATATCTCCTTCTTCCCCTAGGTCCAGTTGAGGACTCTGGGGTGCCTGCCTCTTCACCCCAGGAAGCCAGCTGCCACTTGATGCCCCTTGGAAATTTTCAGGAAGTAATTTCTTTCAAATTTTCCCTGCAGTCACAAATTCCACAAACTGCTTGCATAAACACGCTGTCTTCATTATAGGCACCACTCCTCAGCTCTGGAAACCTGATCTCTTTCTGTCAACTAGACCACATGCTTCAGATTCCCTGCAAACAGGGGAGAAAACAAAATTCAAAGTCAGGTAATGTATGTGAATTATACCCCAATAGAGCTATTTTTTAAAAAGCACTTATATTTTGGGGCTTATTCTCTGCTGCTCTTGGGAACTCTGTGACCTCGCCATAAGGAACAAGACCAGAATAGCTTGCTGGATGATGAGAAACAAATGGCCCAGAGATCCCTGTCACCCAGGCAACCACCAGCCAATTACTGGACATGTGATCGAGGCCTTTGACAGCCAGCTGACTGCAGATGCTGGGTGTATCCAGCCAGAACCAGAAGAGCCACCCAGCTGAACTCAGCTCAATTGCCAATCTATAGAGTCATGAGCTAAACAAATGGTTGTTTTAAGTCTCTCTCTCTCTCTCGTAACACTTTTCAGAGTTCATTCTTTACTAACTGCATCAAATCTCATGCTCCCCACCCCCAACTTTTCTTCCTTCCCTTAGCAAGGCACAACCCTCCTAGCATTTTCTCTTGTGAGTACCTGTGAAACACGGATTGGGGGCTTTCCTCTGATCTCAGGCCTAAGAGTCTTTGAGGGAAAAGTGATCATTTGAAATCCTACCGGACTGGGCTCTAGGAATGAAAAGTTGCTCACTTTGTCCCTCCGTAGTCTTTGCCTTGCCACACTTCCCCAAGTAGAAACACTGGGCTCCAAACCCTACTGGCCACTTCTCTGAAACAGAAACAATGCTCCCTGAGGGCAGGGCCTGGCTGTCTTACTTTTGGTTGATTTCCAAAGTCTTGCACAGTGCCTCACTCATAGTAGGTGCTCAGTAAATGGCTGAATGAATGGACGAATGAAAGGAAGGAAGGAAAGAAGAAACAAGTCAGAAACAAACTACTTGCCTATCTTTTTTTTTTTTTTTTTTTTTTTGAGATGGAGTTTTGCTCTTGTTGCCCAGGCTGTCGTACAATGGCGCGGTCTCGGCTCACTGCAATCTCCCGGGTTCAAGCAATTCTCCTGCCTCAGCCTCCCGAGTAACTATGACTACAGGTGTGTGCCACCATGCCCAGCTAATTTTTGTATTTTTAGTAGAGATGGGGTTTCACCATGCTGGCCAGGATGGTCTCGATCTCTTGATCTCGTGATCCACCCGACTCGGCCTCCCAAAGTGCTGGGATTACAGGTATGCCCGGCCTTGCCTATCTACTTTTATTTTAAATTTTATTCTGCAGTAAAATTGACATTTGTGCATGTGCAGATCTGATTTTAAACATATGTATAGATTCATGACAGAGAGGAGTTCCATAACCCCTCAAATCTCCTTGTGCTATCCTTTTGCAATCACATCTTCCTTTCTCCCCCACACCTAGCAAGCACTGATCTGTTCTCCATCACTGTAGTGTTGTCTTTTTGAGAATGCCATATAAATGCAATCAAACAGTCTGTAACCTTTTAAGATAGGCTATTTTATTTTTTTACTCAGCATAATGCCTTTGAGGTTCATGCAGATTTGTGCATGTATCAATAGAAGTTCATTCCTTTTTTGTACTGAGCTCTTACTTTTAAAATAATTATAGAATAACAGGAAGCTGCAAAAAAAAAATAGTGCAGAGAGGTTCTACACACCCTTCCCCAGGTTTCCCCACATGTTAACATCTTACATAATTACTGTTCAATATCCAAGTCAGGAAATTGACATTGGTACAATTCACAGATCTTATTAATATGTCACTAGTTTTACAAGCACTCATTTGTGTGTGTATAAGTGTATAATTCTAGGCCATTTAATCGCAAGTGTAGATTCATGTAACCTCAACCACAATCAAGATGCGAAACTATTTTATCACCACAAAGATTTCCCTCCTCTACCTCCTTTACAGTCATTCCCATCCCTCCTCCTTCACCATCCCTAAGTCCCAACAACCATTCATCTGTTATCCTTCTCTAAAATTTGGTCATTTTGAGAATGTTATAGAAATGGAACCATACAGTATATAAACTTTTGAGATAGATAGGCTTTTTTCACTCAGCATACTGCTCTTAAGATCCATCCAAGTTGTGGTGTGTATCAAGTTTGTTGCTTCTTTTTGCTGAGTAGTACTCCACAGTATGGATGTAGCACAATCTGTTTAACTACTTATCTGCTGAAGGACACCTGAGTCATTTCCAGTTTTTGGCTATAGAATCAAGCCACTATGAACATTCACATACAGGTTTTTGTGTGAACATAGTTTTCATTTTTCTGGGACAAATGCTCAACAGAATAATTGCTGGGAGGTATGGTAGTAGCATGTTTAGCTTTATAAGAAATTGCCAAACTGTTTTCCAGACTGGTGGTACCATTTTACTTTCCCTCCAGCAATGTTTGAGTCATCTGGTTTCTCAGCATTCTTGCTGGCATCTGGTGTTGGTTTTTATTTTGGCCATTCTGATAGATGTATAGTGATATCACATTGTGATCTCAATTTGCATTTTCCCAATGGCTAATGATGTTGAACATCTTTTCATGTGCTCATTTGCTGACTGTATATCCTTTTCATGTCTTGTCTTTTGCCTACTTCCTAATTGTTTTTTTTTTTTTCTGTTGAGTTTGGAAAGTTCTTTATATATATTTTTTATTTTTATTTTTTGAGACACAGTCTCACTCTGTCACCCAGGCTGGAGTGCAGTGGTGCGATCTCGGCTCACTGCAAACTCCGCCTCCTGGGTTCAAGCGATTCTCCTACCTCAGCCTCCCTAGTAGCTGGGATTACAGGCATGTGCCACCATGCTCGACTAATTTTTGTATTTTTAGTAGAGAGGGGATCTCACCATGTTGGCCAAGCTGGTCTCAAACTCCTGACCTCAAATAATCCACCCGCCTCAGCCTCCCAAAGTGCTGGGATTACAGGTGTGAGCCACTGCACCCAGCCCTTTATATATTTTAGATACAAATCTGTTGTGGGATATATGATTTGCAAATATCTTATCTCAGTATGTAACTTATCTTTTCATTCCCTTAACAGGGTCTTTTGTAAAGCAAAAGTTGATTTTGATGAGCTCCAATTCCTTATCAATTTTTTTTCTTTTTTTGGATCATGCTTTTGGTATTTCAACCCCCTAACCTCAAAAAAATCTCTGGATAATCTTTGATCCTTAATTTCTTAGTTCACGCCTTCTCCACATCTTATGAGTTGTGAAGCCTAACCTCAAGATGTCTCTCCAATCTATCCCCTTCTTTCTGTTCCACTGTCTCTGCTTTAGTCACATCTCTTGTTACTCAGGTCACTGCGACAACCTCTTATCTGGTCCTCCTGCTTCTAGAGCTATTCCCTGCACAATTGCTAGCTGTGATCACATTCCTTCTCTGCTCAAAAAGACTTCAGCAGGCTGGGCGTGGTGGCTCATGCCTGTAATCCCAGCGCTCTGGGAGGCTGAGGTGGATGCATCACCTGAGGTCAGGAGTTTGAGACCAGCCTGACCAACATGGTGAAACCTCGTCTCTACTAAAAATACAAAAAAATTAGCCAGGTGTGGTGGTGGGCGCCTGTAACCCCAGCTACTGGGGAGGCTGAGGCAGGAGAATCGCTTGAACCTGGGAGGTGGAGGTTGTAGTGAGCCGAGATGGTGCCATTGCACTCCAGCCTGGGTGACAGAGCGAGACACCATTTCAAAAAAAAAAAAAAAAAAAAGACTTTAGCAGTTCCCGACCTACCACCTATGAATGAAGTCCAACTCCTTAGCGTAAATGGGCCCCATCCATGCTTTCCTGTTTCCACACCTTCGCTTGTGTTGTTGCCTCAGCTGAGGACAACCTACAGGGGACACTGGTGTGAAGTGAGAGTCCTTCCATCTGTAAGTATAGCCAGAGCTAGGGGAATGACTGAATGCAAGGATGAACAAAATTCCATGTCAAAGCATTCCAACAAGACATGTTCGCAGGGAGGAAAGGTGGGTGCTGTACTCCTCTGCTGCTCTGCCTCACTCTCCAGTTAAATTTGGAGGCAATTAAGAAAAACAACAGAAATAATTTTCACCAAGAAGTTGATGATGAGCAATGTTGAATTGGGGTAACAATAAAAATGCAAGCTTAAATAATGCCCATTGTTTTCCCCTCACATCTAGCTTTTCCAGCAGTGGGTGGCAGCCTGAGAAAATTCTAAAGGCTAGCACAGGCTGGGGCCTAGGGAGACAAGAAGTTCAGACCACAGCGGGCAGACTCAACTGCCTAGAGAGGCCAAGAATATACTGTTTGTAAAGCAGGCTGGGGGCAAGACACAAGGGGCCCTCTTGATCCTTTTTTCATTTTCTTACTTTGAATCATGACATAAGTGTAAGAAATATTTCCCTTTTTTCTTAACTCTGCCACAGAAGAAAACAAAACCAAGACAGTGTAAATGGAAACTCACACTTGGCCTAGAGTAAGAGATACAAAAGGGACTGGTGGGGCTTGTGGCAAAGAGGAAGGTACCTGCTGGCAAAAGTGGGCAGCTGCTGCTCAGCTCCAGCCACTCACCACTGTGCAGTCCTGTCGGCCCCATGGGACCGAGTCCTTCCATTTTCCAAGAGAAGTCCAAATTTCACATTTTTATGCAGTTTCCACTGTGTTAAATTTGGGCAAATGACTGACATTTTAAAAGAATATCATATGAGGCATTAAGATGAGTGGCCAAACAGAACAATTTTGGAGGCGAGATGTAGCTTATGGACTGCCAGTTTGTGATTTCTGGTTATCTCTGAAACAGTCTTGATTTATACCTAAGGCACCCCATTTCACTCTCAAATATCCTGGTTTGGACAATAAACTATACTGTTACTCTAGCTCTGATGTACAAGAAGGAGTACTGAACTGGGACTCAGGGGGCCTGGGTTCTACTGAACCACTGGTTGACTCATTTGTTTATCAATTTATTCAATAAACATTTATGGCGTGTCTACTCTGTGCCAGGTATTTTGTTAGGTGTTGATGAACAATCTCTTTAGTCTTTCTTTTTTAAATTAATATATTTTACTTTTAGAACAGTTTTAAGTTTATAGAAAAACTGAAGAGAAAGTACAGAGAGCTCTCATATATTTCCTTCCCCTTCCCCTACAGGCAGTTTCCCCTATTATTAACATCTTGCATTAGTGTGATACATTTATTATAGTTAGTGAATGGATACTGATACATTATCATTAACTTAAGTCCACTGTTTACGTTAAGATTCGCTTTTGGTCTTGCACAGTTCTATGAGTTTTGAAAAGTATATAATGTTATGTATCCACCATTAGAGTATCATGCAGGAATAGTTTCACTGCCCTCAAAATCACCTGTGTTCCATGGACTCATCCCTCCCTTCCTTTCACTGAAGCCCGGCAACCATCATCTTTTTACAGTCATATGGTTAGAATCAAACAGTATGTAACCTTTTTGGACTGGCTTCTTTCAAGATGCATTTAAGTTTCCTCCATGTCTTTTTGTGGTTTGATAGCTCATTTTTTCTTAGTGCTGAATAATAGTCCATTGTCTGGATGTACAACGGGTTTATCCATTCACCTATTGCAAGACATCTTGGTTGCTTCCAAGTTTTGGCAATTCTGAATAAAGCTGCTATAAACATTTTTGTGCAGGGCTGGGCACAGTGGCTCATGCCTGTAATCCCAGTGTTTTGGGAGGCTGAGGCGGGAGGATCACTTGAGGCCAGGAGTTCAAGACTAGCCTGGGCAAAATAGTGAGAAACTGTCTCTACAAAATAAAAAAATTAGCTGAGTGTGATGGCACACCCCTGTAGTCCAAGCTACTCAAGAGGCTGGAGCAAGAGGATTGCTTGAACCCAGGAGGTCAAGGCTGCAGTGAGCTATGATTGTGCCACTGCACTCTGGCCTGGGTGACAGAGTGAAACACTGTCTCTAAAAAAAAAAAAAAAAATTAACAACAACAACAACAACAACAACAACCCAAACAAACAACAAAAAAGACCCCCAAACATTCATGTGCAGGTTTTCGTGTGGACATGAGTTTTTAATTCATTTGGGTAATTACTAAGGAGTGTGATTGCTAGATCATGTGGTAAGAATATGTTTATTTTTGTAAGAAAATACCAAAATGTCTTCCCAAGTGACTGTACCATATTGCATTCCTACCAGCAATGAATGAGAGTTCCTGTAGTTCTACATCCTTAACAGCATTTGGTGTTGTCACTGCCTTGGATTTTAGCCATTCTAATAGATATGTAATGGTATCTCATTTTAATTTGCAATTCCTTAGTGACCATGATATTGGGCATCTTTTCACATATAGTCTCTGACTTAAGATGTTTCAACTTTATGATGGTACAAAAGTAATAATGCATTCAGTACACTCCTCAACTTGAGATGGGGTGACATCTAGATAATCCCATCATAAGTTGAAGATACTGTAAGTTGAAAACATACTTTCCACTTATATTTTCAACTTACAATGGATTTATTGGGACATAACCCCACTGCAATAGGCAGAGGAGCATCTGCACTTACTTGCTGTCTGTATATCTTCTTTGGTGAGGTGCCTATTAATATCTTTTGTCCATTTTTATTTTTTTAAAATATTTTTAAATTTTTTGTAGAGATGGGGTCTTGCTATGCTGCCCAAGCTGGTTTTGAACTCCTGGCCTCAAGCAATCCTCCCTCCTAAGCCTCTCAAAGTTCTGGGATTACAGGCAGGAGCCACCACACCCCCAAAATGGGCTCGCTTTTGCCCATTTTAATTTTTTTATTTAATTTTTTTTTTTGAGACAGGGTCTCGCTCTGTTGCCCAGGCTGGAATGTAGTAGTGTGATCACAGCTCACTTCAGTCTTGACTTCTTGGGCTCAAGTGATCCTCCCACCTCAGCCTCCTGAGCAGCTGGGACTACAGGCACATGCTACCATGTCTGGCTAATTTTTAAATTTTTTGTGGAGACAGGGTTTCACCATGTTGCCCAGGCTGTTCTCAAACTCCTGGACTCAATCGATCTGCCCACCTTGGCCTCCCAAAGTGCTGAGATTACAGGAGTGAGCTACTGCACTCAGCCTCTTTTGCCCACTTAAAAATTGAGTGTTTTCTTATTGTTGAGTTTTAAGAGTTCTTTGTATATTTTGGATTGAACTCCTTTACTGGATATGAATTTTGCAAATATTTCTCCCAGTCTGTGGTTTGTCTTTTTATTCTCTTAATCTTTTTAATGTGGAGCAGTGCGGTCCAATAGAACTTTCTTGGATGATGTGACCATCCTACAGCTATGCTGCTCAATATGGTAGCCACTAGTCACATGTGGCTATTGAGCACTTGAAATATGTCTAGTGCAAGTGAGGAACAGAATTTTATATTTTGTTTAATTTTAATGAACTTAGCCACATGTGGCTAGTGGTGAGACTATAGTGGACAGAGCAGACATAGAACAGTCCTCTTGTGCTTTTTTTTTCCTTCATGACGTTGACTAGGGGTCATCCTTACTCCTCCTTTGTTTACAACCTTCCTTTTCAATCTATTAGCAAGTCCTGTGGATTCTACCTCCAAAATAGATTCCAAATCTACCTCTTTTTTTCCCTCCTTCACTGCTGTAACTGTACCCCAAACTATTCTTACCCTTTATGTGGATGATTCTAATAGCCTCAAGACTGGTCTCCTTGCTTCCTTCCTTGTCTCCTACAACCCTGTTCTCTATATAGCAGCCAGAGTATTTTGTTAATACTTAGGACAGACCACATCACTCCTATGCTCAAATCCCTCTAACAGCCTCCAATCACAATAAAATCTAAGTTACTCACCTGCAGGGGCCGGTCCCTTGCCTCCTGTCTCCTACCACCACCCTCCTTGCTCACTTGAGTCTTCTTTGTGTGGCTTGAGCACAGAAATCATTTTTCCCTCTTAGGGCTTCTCCTGTCTTTGAACTTGCTCTTCCTTCTTCCTGGAATGCTCTGTCCTGGCTATCCCCATTTCCAACTCTTCTCATAACCTTTGTCACCTTGAGTCGACGAGTCTCAACCCCAAAGTCACTTCTGAGAGACCTTAGGACCACCCAAGCTAAGAAGCCACCCCCTCAGTCACTCCTTTTCTGTCACATGATTCTGTTTTATTTTCTTCAATCCACTTAGCGCACAGAAAACATCTTGTGTGTTTGTTTCTTTATTTGCTCGCTGTTGGCTTCCTCTCACCAGCTCTATGAGGGCAGGGACCTTGTCTGCTGTCTTGGTCATTACTCTACTGTTAGCACCCTCAGTAGTGCCTGACACCTAGTAGGTGCTCAGTACCTATTCACTGAAGGAAAAGACATCTGTAGACTACAGGGCAGTTGATCAAGCACTTTCCCATTAAATTCCCAGAGGCTTAAAGCTTGGTCATTGCTCTTAAGGACCTTATAAGTGTGGGTAAGGTGAGCAAACACATGCTAACAAAAGGAGAACCAGGCTAGGATACATAAGTTCTGAACGCAATCAGCATCACAGCAGTTTGGAGGGATGCTGGTGTGATCTCAGGAACCCTTGGAGGTTGGGTGGCACCACAAAGGAACAGAGAAGTGAATTTAGGACTGTTGAAAAATGTTTCCAAAACTTCTGTCATATGAGTACCTCTTTTAGGAATGTTTTTATATCTACTTAACAGCTGTATTAATAGTCACCTTGATATATATATATATATTTATAAATATATATAAATATATATATACAAATATATATATATATATTTATATATATATAATTTTTTTATTTTTTTATTTTTTGGGTTATTAACTCACTTTTAAACCTTCAGGCCAAGCCCAGTGGCTCACGCCTGTAATCCCAGCACTTTGGGAGTCTGAGGCATGAGGATCCCTTGAGCCCAGGAGTTCGAGACCAGCCTGGGGAAAATAGGGAGTCCCTGTCTCTATTAATTTTTAAAAAGAAATTTTAAAAAATAAGAAAAAAACTTTAATACCTATTTTGGCCTCATCTATCATAAGCAGCAATAATAATAATAATAGACAACTTGCTTATTACATTTTAAAGCATACGTTAAAATAAATATGACTATTAAAATTAAAAATGTCTTTGTGTCACCTCAGATTGTCTCTCATATAGAGGAACATGAGGCACATCTTGAGAAAAATCATTGTAGGGATTACCCTTGGCCAGCCGGTGTCCAGGCTGTCCTGCTGCTGGCAGGCTCTGGTATCTGAGAATCTTAGATGGTATGCACCCCCGCTCTCATCCAGCTATCCAGCTCCCTCAGCCCAATCTGGTCCATTTTTCTGTCCATTTATTGCCTAAGCCTTTGCTGATGTCTACAATGGCCTAGGCCCTGTGCTGGGTGCTGGGGTCACAGAGGGGATCAAGACAGTTCTTGCCGTGAAGGAGTTCTTGGCCTCGTGAGGAAGACATATATGGAGGCAAACACATTATAGTCCACAGCAGCAAGGTGATACAATTCTAGTATGTACAGAGTGCTGTGGGCAGAAAAAGAGGGCATAAGAGGCTTCACAGAGTAGGTGGTTTATTGAAGGGCAAAGGAGGGAAGAATGTTCCAGGCAGCAGGAACAGAGCAGGATATATAAAGCCAACTGCAAAGTTTTTGAGGTCAGGATACAGGATGAAGTTCAGGGAGGGGAGCAATGCAGCTGGAGAGGTGGCCAGAGGCCATATCAAGGCCAGGGCCTTATCTGAGAGGCCATGGGGAGCCTCTGAGAGATTGTCAGGGAGCAGGGGATCTTGTGGGATCCAGGGCTAGAGCAAGATTTCCAGCTGCTGCCCCATCATGGCCAGGTTCAAGGACCTCATTTTCTACCTGGGAACAATTGCAGTACCAAGGGTTCCTATGAAGCCTTGGGCATGTGATGATATGGATGGCTGGTTTAATTTTTAGCTCTTAATTGTCAACTGCATTGCTTGCCTTGGAATGTCGATCCCTCCTGTCATCAGAGAGCCTTTAATTGACAATTAAGTAAAACTGCCAATCACCACTTGTCTGCCTCTGACCTGAATTAGAACCTGAGGTTGTGGATTAATCCCACCAGGCTTCTGACATTTACAGGACACCAGCACTTAGAGGATATTACCCTGATGGTTAGGGTGCTCTCGTCTTAGTTCTCAAGGCACTACTGCAGTCTCAAACAGAACCGAAGCAATTTCTAAAATAGCCTATGATTCATTTTTTCTCCCCTCCTGTGCCTAAATCTGCTGGCTTCATGTGGAAGGATGGGCGCAAGTAACTGTAGAGGTGACATCACAGGAGTGGGCTGCTTGCCTGCCAGCCAGCTTGTGGAGCTGGGCCCCGGCAGTTGTCTATCTGCTGGGCTGGGCAATGCCTCCCAGCCGTTTTGGAGACAGAGCTCCGAGGTTCTTTGGTCGATGTGCCTTCTCCACATTTCTTTTTCTCAGAGAAAAATTCTGGGCTGGGAAATCCAGGATAATGGGAATAGCAGTGGTAGGAGGAATAATACAGCCTTACATCTGTATAATGCTTTAGAGTTTGAAAGCTATTTGCTCTATTTTGCCCCACCCAAACACCAGTGGGAAATGGAAGCTGGGATTTTTGACTTGAACTGGAGACCAACTCTCGCTCTCTTGCACAAAAAACCTAAATGCTAATATCCCCTATTCACCTCAAGGCATATCATGATTAGGCCTTGGACGCCACCAGAAGGTCAGAGAGGCTCCCTTCAGCTTCTAGGTGCTTCCTGGAAGATAAATTCTCCAGGACAAATTGCCTGGCAGGCACAATCTATTAACTATGCCATCCTGACTGAGCCAACAAGTAATGCCAGTCTCAGCACTGCCAACTCCTTCTGCACACCCTGGTTTACAGTCCCAATGGTCCCAAAGACCTTTACTGGAGCCAAAGAAACAGTCGCTAACTGTGGAGCCCTGAAGGTAGGGTGTGTCACAAACATCTAGAAGTGCCAACAGCTGCCAGAGAGCTCAAGGGCCTGTGAAAGGAAAACCCACAATTCAAGTCACATTAGCTATCACTGTGGATCCTGAAGTGAAGGGTCACTGAGCCCAGCCGTGAACAGCTGAAGAGTGGGGTAGAGGGATTCTTTTCTTGGAGGAGCCATAAAAATGGTTCTGTGGTGGTCTCATGATTGCTCTGTGATCATTCAGCATGTGAGCCCAGCATGGCTTGGTGTCCCCAGTTCCTTATTGCCATAGTGAACATGAGAAGTCTCCTCTGGCCCAGCTCCCCTCCTGTGATCTTCCCCAGGATCATGGTCACCAGGCTGGAAGCCAAAAGAGTGGTATACTCTTGACTGGCCTTCCTGGTTTTAGATTAGATTTCAGTGTCACTAGTGTGCACGTATGTGTCAGGGGATGAGGGTGGGGGTTGGAAGCAGTGAGCCATAGATGCTCAGCAGTATTGTGAGAGCAGCAGGTGCTCCTGCTATTGTTGCTGCCATAGCTGCCACCACCACCACTATCACCAAATGAATCCAGGATGACCTTGTGTAAGACCACAGTTGCTGGTCAGTGCCATGAAAATGTCATCTATGTAAACCAAGATGCTTGTACTTGGGTAGTTCTCTGTCAGAAATTTTGGCGGGGTATAAAAGTGACCCTTTTGAAAGTTGAATCTGTAAGTCTATATGTGGAAAGTGACTGTCAGAACAGAACATCACCACCTCCAAAGCAGACAGACCTCCCAGAACTTGTTTTCCAGCTCATGGCAGAAATGTGCACCTATGAAAGTAGATTAAGAATCACCACCTCAGCCTGTTTTAGAGATGTGAATAAAAATCTTGGCTTGGGACTGCCGTCTCTCTGGTTGACTGATTTTTCAATTGATTTGTATTTATTAGCTAATGAAATTAAAGTTGTAAAAATGATAACAGAAACACAATAAATCTCTCCCACAACTGGCTGTTTCTATGTCACTATGGTGCATTCCTCACTTTGATTACTTCAAAGTCTATTATTTTGTTTTCAATTATTCTGTTTTTCTGGCACTGGAGAAAATCAATTTGTTTTATTTTCTCTTATTCATGCACTCAATTATGCTCTTCGGGCACATTTAATCACTTTGATGTTTCCATTTTATGGCCCGTCTCTAGGCACTTCAGCTGCATTGCTGCCAATGGGCAAGCAGGACTAATTTGCATGTCACAATAGACTTGAAATTCTAACTCAATTTAGAAATCTTTGTGAAATCTCCCTCCAAAATGTGCTTGGAGCTGCAAAGAGGCAGAAGAATGTTGGCAAACCAGGAGCCTGTAAAGATACTTTCCTTTCTCAAAAGACTGTGAGCTCCTTCATGACCCGACCATGGCTTGGGGAAGTCCCTGTCCAGGTACAGCAGAAAACCATGGGATGGGAGGTCTGCAGACCCTCCTCTGGAACTCTGTGGTGAGAATCCTGCAGCAGCTGCCCCTCAGTGGCAAGGCCAAGGAGGCTAGGCCCACTTACCCTGGCAGAAAATGACCCTTAGCACTGCTGGATTTGGTGGCTGTGCTCAAGACAGCACCTGAATCTCAGTTGTCTAAAGAGCCTCCAGGTAGACTGACAAAGTTGTCAACAGTTAGGCATTCCAAAACCCTGAGTGGTTTACCTTATTTTTCCTAATAATTTCCAACCTTCCTTCTACCCCTTGATCATTTTAGAACTAGAAGCTGGAGGGAAATGAGCAATACAATCGCTTTGGGCATGTACTTCGGGCACACAAGAAAAAAATGCTTAATTAAACATATTAGAGGCCTCCAACTACTCTTTGAATATTATTGGTTTGTTTATGCAACAATCAGCAGCTCTGCCAGGCAGAAGGAAAATTCCTTATTTCCTCTTCTAAGCTTTGAGTATGATCCTCAGCGTCTCAGTTGGAATCCTATCTTCCGCACTTACCTGCTGTGTGACTTTGTACAGGCTAATTAACTCCCCTAGGCCTCAGTTCCTACATCTATTAAATGGGGCTAATAATATTATATACATTAGAGACTGATCTGCTTCCTAAAGTTCTATACTGTCAAGAGTTTGGCCATATTCACATACCGCCTATGTGGACTTTTCTTATATAGACATAAAAAAACCCCAGCCTCATCCTAAGTAATATCTTTGAAACCAAAGAGTTTGATCTGATAATTATATTTCTTTTTAATACACATTGAAACATATATCTATATTGAACATACTAAATCCATTTCTCTTGGGGTCTTTGATATTGCTTGTCTCTTCATCTAGAATGTACTTCACTACCATTTTTTTTTTTTAAGACAGGGTCTCACTCTATTGCCCAAGCTGGAGTGCAGTAGTGCAATCATGGCTCACGGCAGCCTTGACCTCCTGGGCTCAATTGATCCTCACATCTCAGCCTCCCAAGTAGTTGGGACTACAGGTATATGTCATCACACCCAGCTCAGTTTTACATTTTTTTTGGTAGAGACAGGGTTTTGCCATGTTGCCCAGGCTGGTCTCCAACTCCTGGGCTCAAGTGATCTGCCTGTCTCGGCCTCTCAAAATGCTGGGATTACAGGCGTGAGCTACCATGCCCGGCCGAACTCAAATTTTGTAAATCTCCTTCCCTCATTTCATTAATCTCTGTTCCCAAATGTCACCTCCTCCGAGAGGTCTTTACTGAATAGCATCCCTCAGAATTTATCAGTAAACAACATTAAATTTTTATTTAGTTGTTTATTGTCTATCTTCCACACTAGAATGTAATCTCCATGATGGGCAAGGACTTTATTTGACCTATTTCCTTTATTATTTTAAGAGACAGGGTCTCACTATGTTGTCCAGGCTGGTCTCAAACTCCTGGGCTCAAGCGATCCTCCTTCCTCAGCTTCCTAAGTATTTGGAACTATCAGCCCACATCACTGTGCCTGGCTTATCTATTCTATTTAATTATGTATTGCCAGTGCCCAGAATAGTGCCTGGCACATATTAACACTAAATGGTTACTGTTAGGCTTCCCTTCCATTCCACCAGGGTGGTGTCAAAGAAGGCAGAGTAGAAAGTCAGGACTTTCCATCTTTGCTTAATGGCAAGGAGGCCCACCCACTGCTATGTCAGTAGAGGCCAAATGCGGAGCAATAAAAAGGTGCCGCTCCCATTTTTGGCCAGAGTGGTATCAGTGGAGGTCTATTGGAGAGCCTGAATTCTACTCCACCCAGCAATACTGAGGTGCCCTTCTTCTCCCCAGGGTGTCAATGGTGGCTGAGTAGGGAACCTAGACTTTTACTCCCCACCTGGAGGTAATAGGGTAGTGCCCTCTGCCCCTGCCAGCATGTATTACTTTTTTTTTTCCTGACTACACGTTCATGGTAGAAATTTTGAAAAATACAGAAACAGCATAAAAAAATAAAAATCATCTATAATTCTAATTCTAGATAACTACTGTTAAGGTATATTACTTTGGTAAAGTATCATCAAAGATGACTACTGTTAGCACTTAATTCTTGTGTTTTTCTGTGCATATCCCCTCTCCCAAAACACACACTAAATATAGTTACAAAATTGAGACTATATGGTAGTAAGCCACTTTGTATCCTGTTCATATTCACTTAACATTGTAATCATGAGCATATTCTCATGTCATCAAATTATCTTTTAAAATTTGCTTTTTAACTGGCTGCAACAAATTTTTTCATGTAGATACACTGTATGGAATTCATAAGACACTTCAAATTCAGTACATCAAAAGAGAACACATCAAGTATATGTTTCAGTAAAGCTATGTTCCCTCCCCCAAGAGCTTCCCATTTCAGTCGGTATCCAGGCTGGAAATCTCAGAGTCACCTTTACTTCTTCCTTTCTCCCTGATCCTCTATAAATGGCCTACCTCCCAGTGCTGGTGATGATACTCTCTTCATAACAGCTCTCAGTCATTTCTTCTATTTTACCACCACTATTCTAGTCCAGGACCTTGCAGTCTCAGTCTTGCACTACCATCACCATCCATCCCAAATATCACTGTATCATGTGGTGCTCTAATTTCAGAACCTAGAATGACTTCCACTTTACTGTGGATATGAACTAGTCAGCCTGAAATTCAAGGGAGCCTGCAATCGGCCCCCCATCCCCACCCTTCTGAATTTCCCTCACTTACAAGTGCATCCCTACTCTGATCTATTCAAATCCTCCCTAACCTAGATTTCTCAACTATTTATCAGGAGGAGGGATCATGTCTTAAACACCTCGTATATCTCCCAATGGCACCAACATGAGGGGGGTGGGGTTCAAAAATATATGTGTTGATTGCTTGAGCTGGGCTTTAAAGTGGAGACACAATCATATCTCTTAAAATTAAACTGCTTCTGAAGCTCACTTTGGGAACCTGAGCAGGGGGAGAGGGTTTACTAGGGGAAAGGTTTACTAGCGACTAGAAAAAAGCAGAGGAGATGGATGTTGAGTAGGTGTCACAGGGCAATGCTGCCACGGAGAAGAGGGCCACCAGGTCTGGGTTCAAATCTTGAGTTTACCACTTACTTCTTGCGTGATTAGGGCATGTTACACAATGTCTTCGGGTGCCAGTCTCCTACCTCATAAGGAAATTGTGAGGTTAAAAGAGATCATGTATGTGAAGTACCCAGCACAGGGTGTTGTGCTGTACCCTGTCAATATCAGTAGTTCCCACTTCACAGATTTAGGTAGAAATTCCAAGTCTTCATGAGTAATATGCCAAGGGTTTTCATGGTTTCTTAAAAGTTGCTGTCTAAGTTACTGTAACTTTGGGGAGCAGTCTCCATTTTTATTTTAGGATTAAAAAAAATTTTTTTTTGTAGATAGGGTCTGGCTCTGTCACCTAGGCTGGAGTGCAGTGGCACAGTCACAGCTCACTGCAGCCTCAACCTCCCTGGGGTTAAGCAATCCTCCCACCTCAGCTTCCAATGTAGCTGGTACTACAGGTATATACAACCACATCCGGCTAATTTTTGTATTTTTTTTGTAGAGATGGGGTTTCACCATGTTGTCCAGGCTGGTCTTGAACTCCTCGGCTCAAGCAATCCACCTGCCTCAGTCTCCCAAAGTGCTGGATTACAAGCTCGAGCCATGGCGCCCGGCCCAGAATTTTTAAAATTTTCAGCATGACATTTTTGTAACTTATTTTTCTGTTTAACAACAGCAATAACAACGATGACAAGAAGCCTTTCCATCTCTTATACTCTTTAGTGAAACAAGAAAGAGAGGAACTTGCTTGATGAAGAAGCCCAAGCTGGCAGTAGGCTCCTGGAAAGGACCACAGGGAGATGAAGAGGAATAAAGAGCCAGCAGGGGACAGGAAAGAGAGATAAAGGATGGACATCACAGAGATTTTCACCTGAAGTCATGCAAATTGGCTCAGGTATCCTCCAAAACCCTACTCTGAAGTCCTTCCAAGAAGCCCTAAAGCAAATGGTCAGTTTATCCTTGGGACCAACCCTACCTTTCAACTTATCCTCATGGCTTCTCAAGAAGAAAGAGACAGTGTGGAAGGAAGCCAAGTTTCCATGGTATAGAGTCCCACCATGCAGGAGCACTGCTTCAAGCCTGGGGCTCCAGCAGGCCTTGAATATGCGCAAACCTGAGCTCCAATTGCTAGCCCCTAGAAGGATGCCAATCCCGGATGTCAGGCTGCCAGAGGAAGTGCTGCTTATACGCAGCACAATGGTTCTCCTAAGAATATTACCAGTAGATGTGCAAAGGGTCTCAGATTGGGGCTGTGGAACTGCAAATGGCAGACTGGGTCTGGTGGCTACAGCACATTTCAGGCAGCAGGAGCTGGGTGAGCTGGCTTCTCCTACCTTCTGTCCATTTCTTTTCCTTCTCTACTAGGGAAAGGGAGCTAGAAGCTTCAGATTACACTATGGTGGGGGAGGGGGCGGGGCCTAGGGAGGGCTACAAAGCCTATGTCAGGGGCCAGAATTTCAAAGGTTGCCCAAGGCTGTCTTCTTCCCATTTCCAGGGAGTTTAGTGTTTAGGATTAGCCACATGGAAGAAGCTGGGCATGTAGTGTGAGGTAGGAGGGTTTACTAGGGGCGATCGGAAAGAGCAGACGGGATGATGAGCAGATTTGACAGAGCAATGCTGCCAAGGAGAGGAGGGAAATAAAGGTCAAACAGCCTGACTCTGAAGCTCCACTCCAGGCCTGTGTTCCAATGTCCACTCCACTGCTTATTAGCACAGTGTGTGGCACACAGTAGGTCCTCAGTAATTACCACCTGCTGAATGAATAAAGGCGATCTTGGCCAAGTCACCTATCCTCCCTGAGCCTCAGTTTCCTTATCTGTAAGATAAATAGTAGCTATTCTTCTTATTATTTCATCTGTGTTGTTTCTGTCCACACCCGTATCAGTTTGTTAGGTTGCCATCCTAAGGCTCCTTCAGTAAGGGGAAGAAAGGGCAGATGCATGCAAGGCCTTTTTCTTCCCTTGTGTCTTCTGCCTCCCCCTTCCCTCCTCCTCCTCCTTACTTCCTGACCTTGTTTGTTTCTTTTTCTCTCCCAGTCAAACCTGGGGAATAGTTCTGGGAACACAGAGCAAGTGTTGAAACCTCCAGTTACAACTGTAACACATTCTCACAAATGCACAACTCCCCCACTCCTGCTCCCCAAGAGGATTGGGCCTGGGCTGCAATGTGGAGCTCTGAGTCTCCTAGGGACCTCCACTTGATTCGAATGTCATCAGTACCAGAGACCAGAAAGCCTCCTACCTCTATCTGCATTTCCCCATGCAGAGCTAGCCAGGCTTGAGGAGCTAGCCCTCCCTGGGGATTAATCATATCAGCATTATTCCAACTCTGGAAGGTTCACCGTGAGCCAGTTCCTCTGGAGTACATTCACCAGAGGAAAGGCAACCAGCTTTAAGCAAATGAACATGGTGCAAGGATGATTTTACAATAGTAGTCATGAGCTGGACTAAGCCATCTGCTCTCTAACCTGTACTTTCTTATGAACAACGACACATGCCTTCAAGACAGCTCATTGGCACGAGAGGAGCTTTTCTCTGTGTGAAGCTAAGAGCTTGAATGGACTCTCCATGGTTTTGTGGGTCTTTTTCCTCTCAGAAAGACTAATGGGCAGTAAAGATGGGATAAGTTGAGGTCTAAATTTGCCTGTCCCTTCAGTCATCCTGTAGCATGCGGAACACATCTCTGTAAGATGAATCTTCTCAGGTTTGGTTTCCAATAGGCTACAGTCTCATCTTTTGTGCCTCTAAGGGATGTGGCAAGAAAGAGAAAAAGCCCAAGCTTAAAGGCTGAACAAATTCAACCAGATATGCTGGCTGAACTCCCACACATAGAGTGGAGCTGAATCCATTCATTCCCTCATTGCCATCTTACCTCTCCAAAGCAATCTGTGTCACATCCTACTCTTTGTTTTTCATGGGGTGAGGGGAGGTGGAGGGGAGGTACAGAGAGAAATGACCAGCTTCACTGAGGTTTTTATAAGCAAGAACAAATAACAGTCTTGTAGACAGGTTCAGGAAAATTTTTCAGAATTCAGAAAATTCAGCAGCCTTTCCACGCTGACCATTGTCATGGC
This sequence comes from Homo sapiens, assembly GCF_000001405.40. Classification (NCBI taxonomy): domain Eukaryota; kingdom Metazoa; phylum Chordata; class Mammalia; order Primates; family Hominidae; genus Homo; species Homo sapiens. The sequence continues at coordinate 72,348,440 of NC_000023.11, forward strand.
AACGCACTATCTGATGGCAGCATGCGTCACCATGCTGAAGGGGCACAGTATCAGTATAGCAGGTTAGCCTGGCCATTTTTAGCAACATTTGGACTTCTTTCTAGCCTTGTTTCTTAAAGGTTTAGCTGAATTTCTCTTTGGTTCTGAGCTTGTGTGTTCCGCTAAATTTGCATGGCTAGAAAACAAGACTTTGTCAATATGAAAGGGATGGCTAAATGGAAAGTCTGAACATTCCTAGTATTCTGTAGCCACTCCACTTGCTGTCTACCCTCTCTGGCTCCTCCTCACCCACTCTTAGCCATGTAGTTTCTCTTCTTCTCTGCCTCAATTCTTTCCTATACACGGCATCACCTCCCCACACCCAACAACTGTGACTCATCTGCCAACCCCTGCACTCTCACCATATTCTTTCTTTTTCTATTTTCTCATTGTAATATACAGCATCCTAGAATCTTAGGGTTGGAAGGAGCCTTAACAGCAATTTAGTCCAATCACCCTCCCCCAAGGAAGGGGCCCTTCTACAATATGACAGCCTAGGGATTGTCTAGCTTCTATTTGTATATCTCCAGTGACAGAGACCTCATGCCTTTCTAGGCAGTCTGTTCCACTTTGGATAGTTCTAATTGTTAGAAAATGTCTTCCTTCTATTGAATGAAAATCTGCCTTTTTAAAATATCCATCCATGGGTCCAGCTCTATGCCTTGTGGCCACATAGACCCTGTCTATGCCCTTTGCACTGTGACAGATATATGAAGTAGAGACCACATCCCCGAGGTCTTCTCCAAAAGGTTCCAGCACCTCCAACCAGACCTTTTGGAGCCTGGGCTCCAGTCCTCTCCCCAGCCTGACTGACCTCCAGGAACATGCTCCTATTTGTCTAGAGCCCTTTAAAATGAGGTCGATACTGCATTAGCATCTCTGGAGGCCACCTTGCCCTGGTGACTCATACTGAGCTCCGAGTTGACTCAAATCCCTAATTCTCTTTTAGCAAAATGCTGCTAAGCCATGTTGCCCCAGTTTGCATGCATGTAGTTGCTTTTGTAGGACCCAATTTCTGGTCCATATGTTTTCCTCCAGTTTGATTTCATTGGGTTACAATCAGAATATTGCTTTAACCTGTTAGGATCTTTAAAAAGCTTGACTTCCATGTAATTTTCATGTCCTTTGAGATCTGTTATTTTTTTCACCAACCCTCGTCCTAGCCTTTTATCTCAAATCTCTTTTTGATTTTCTGCTCTTTTAGGGTTCTTACCTTTCCTCGTTCTCTTCCCTTTGCATTACCTTCCTTATGTCTTCTCTCACTTGTCATTTCCATTTCCTCAATAGCAAGATGCCACCACTCTCTGGAGCTATGTCCCTGGGTATGTGTGCAGGGAAGCAAGGGCATACACATATCTGCACATATGGAGGTGTGAGCGAGTAGCTGCAAGGCTTGCTTGGTTTCCCTGTTTCTATTGCTTTGTCTGTGCTCTACCAGGATTTAGAGCCTGGATGGGGGAAAATGGCAGAGTTGAAGGAAGAAGGGTAAGAGAAGCCGGTCCAGGATCAGTTCTGAGGAACACAGGACATGCGTACCAGGTTTGAGGGGAGCAGGGAAAACGGGCTGGATGGCTAGTGTTCATCAAGGCTGCAACACCATGAGAAGAACTGGAGAAGGGCCAGGAGTGGAAGGATTTTGAAGGCCTTAAAAGTTGGATAAGGGAGGAGGATTTTGTTAGGAAGCAAGGACTTGTGGGGTCAGTAGCCACTGAGAGGTGAGAGGGAGTTAGCTTGAAACTATAGGGTCGCGAGAAGGCTGAGGGCTAAGGGACGCCTCAGAGGGGACAATCAGCAATGCTGTGAGAATAACCTTGAGAGTCTATGACTTCTTAGCTTAAAAACTTTTCTCTGGCTAAATGAGCTCAGGACATGAAGACTTTGCTGCTGTCATTTACTGGGCTCTGCTAGTGGATAGGGGCATTAATGTAACTCACAGCAAAGACTCTCCGAGTGTAGTGTTTCCTCAGACTAACTCCAGCATAGAACAGGCCTCCTTTTTGTGTTGGATTATATTCCAGCGAGGGACTCAAAGGTAGGAGAACTGGTGCTATCTTGGTCATTTTATGAATAAACATGAGAATTTCCCTGTCCAGGTTAGGCAAAAAGATACCCTTGGCCTCTTAACTCTGGCAAATAATTAGGATCTAAAAAATACACATATGTATATGTACATTTAATTAAACAGGAAAATGGGTGCCAAAAATACGTAATGCGAATGGTGGATAAAGTGAGTTGTGAAGAAGCAGCTGGAGTTCAGAGGGGGCGCTACTAGAATGCTGAGGACAGTGACCCCAAACAGCCAGTGGACAGTGGGATCAGGAGGGAAATGCCCTGATGGCTGCCACTTCCCCTCTACCCCGAGGCCAGAATGATTCCAGGCCAGCCTTGGGGAAGGGAAGGAGGCTAGGCCGGGAAGGAGGCTAGGCCAGCAAGGAGGCTAGGCCAGCAGCCCATCTGCAGCACTCTGGCTGAGTCCAGGTAACCCACTCCCAGGGCATCAGAATCCCTGACTACTCATTGTAGTTCCACATTCTTTCAAGGCTCTACTGGATCAAGGACTCATACATACTGGAAGAGAATGCCTGTGAGCCCCCTCCCCACCCCTGCTAAGTCTGAATTGACTTGAATTTTCCTCTTTTTTTTTTTTGGGACAGGGTCTCGCCCAGGCTGGAATGCAGTGGTGTGGGCATGGCTCACTGCAGCCTCAACCTCTTGGGCTCAAGGGATCCTCCTGCCTCAGCCTCTCAAGTATTTGGGACCACAGGCATATGCCACTATGCCTGGCTAATTTTTAAATTTTCTGTAGAGATGGAATCTCGCTGTGTTGCTCAGGTTGGTTTTGAACTCCTGGGCTCAAGCAATCCTCCCGCCTCAGCCACCCAAAGTGCTGGGATGACAGGCGTAAGCCACGGTGCCCGGCCAACTTTTCTCATCTTAAAGAGTGCTTTACTATTGGCCTTTTGAAAGAAAAAGGGTCTCAGGGAACACTTTAGAGCTGATTTTCCCCTGGCAGTGCCAAAAGCTGAACCCTTTGTCCTTCTGAGGTGACATTAGCCAGCCAAATGACAATCCCAACCAGAGTGGCCAGTGTAGAATTCCAGCTACAAGCTGTCAGGCCAAGAAGAGGTTTCCTTTCCAAGTCAGTGAAATGATTAGCTTACCAAAAGGCAAATGGTATTTAAGGAAGCCCCCACTGATGGGCCACCACAAACTGGGTGGAACAAGGAGGGCAGGCCTCGAGGGGCGGTGCTCACCTTTGATGTAGTTGAGGATTTGTTGGATTCGGTGGGGCTCATTGCGGTCTGGCCGGCAGCTTGGCGTGATTTCCAGCACATAATCAGGACCATATGCTGTGAAAAACTGTAAGGAAAAGGGAAAGGCCAAAAAACAAATTAAGCCACATAAAACCTCCAAACCAACCACATACAAACAATCAAAAGAAACTCATACTACCAACAAGGCAAGGGAGGCCTCCTTGGGCAGAACAGGATGATGCAGCAGGAAGCCCTGCCTTGGTGGTATCACTACTCCCCTTGCTCAGACCTTCAATGATATTCCCCTGTGAAATTATTTAGCTTGCTGTCCAACGGTCTCTCTGCTTAGGTCTCAACTTTTCTCTCCAACTTCAGCTCTTACTGCTTCCTTGTCCTCTGGCCACACTAGACTGCTTGGTGCTCTTCCAAATCACACCGTGCTTTCTCTTTCCTTAGGATCTTTGCCATTGCTCTTTCCTGGGGACTGCAAAGGCCCTCCCCCAGTCCCCACTGCCTGTGAAAAACCTCCCCATCCTTCCAGGCACAGCTCAAATGTCACCTCCTTCACAAAGCTGTCCCTCCTTCTCCACCAACCCCAAGAGCATTCTGTTGGTACTTCTTTCAGGGCCCTTAAATACACAGTACTTGCCTGCACATCACATGCAGGTCATTGTGCTTGTTGCAGAGGGACTATAAAGATGGATGAGACCTCCTCTGGGGTCCTCTAGGTGTTCACAGGCATATTCTGCATTGGGTAGAGATTTTTCAACAGTGACCCAATCGCCCCACACTGGACTGTCAGCTCCCCGAAGGCAGGCAGCACCTGTGTCTTATTCATTTCCTTGGTCCCCACAGACCATGGCAGCTGCTTTGTTAGTTTTGGTTGCCTTGAATTCCCTGGCCCAGGAATGGCAAAGAAGTCTAGTTTCTCTACTTTAATTTTTCTTTCTCTATAGTAGAGTTTATTTGTTTTTTAATTCAAAGAATCAAAATAAATGTTTGTGGATTCTATTTCTAGCTTGGTAGATGACTCCTTGTGACCACTGGGGAGTCACAATATCTGATTCAGCTTCTCTGGTAGGGCTGACTTGGGGAAAACCACTCCACGACAAAGGGAATCATTCAATTGGGATAAGTCTTTGAATGGGAAATATGCAAAGCTACTATTTCTGTTTAGTTTTTAACAGAAATAGTATTTGTGCACACTCTCCAGAGGGAGAGCATATGGTCCTTAACATTATGTGCTTTCAATAGTGATATTGTTAGGTGGTAAGTAAACCAGGGAAATTCAAATTCCATGAAAACAAAATGGTACAGAGGGCATGAAAAAAGGATCTTGATATACGTCATGACTTTGATGCCATTCAAAGAGCTTCTTAAAAATAATCCAGAGTTATTGCCATTGTCACCAAATTATCCTTGTTAAGAGTCTGAATGTACATCTGGCACCGTGGGAGATGTTGTGGAACAATCTCTAGGGATTCTAACAGTGTCTTTGTAGATTCCATGGAAGTAACTTGATTGGGAGATGGTTTTGCATATCCATGACAGAAAACTCTACACATTTAATTAAAAGAAAAATGGCCAAGACTGTGCCAATGTTTATAATGCCCTTTGTGTGTGTATATGTGTGTATGGACTGATCTAGAAAGAGAGAGGGGCTTAGGTCCTTCCTGCTGGAGTTATTACTCTCTGATACCTGAAGCCCTGAGTTCCAGAGATAGAAAAGGCTTTGAGTAGAGATTGGCTTTACCAAACCCATATGTGGAACAGACAAGAGAGGTTACCTGGGGGACACATCCAGAACCATTACCCCCTTTCCCCTGTATCATGGTTGAAGAAACTTGAGAGGCTTGTATTTTTAGCTAAGGAGGGCCCCTCAGTCCAAGTTTGAGGAATTTGTGGGCTTGGCTATGGAAGAGAAGGTTTTAAACAGGTGTGACACTCTCTCCTTAGGCAGCCTCTTCCCCAGAGTGTGTCAAGTGGTACACTCATTTCATGGGTATGGAAAGACAGGCTTAGATAGCGCAACAGAAGAAAGGCAGCTGCAATGAAGAAGCTCCTCTTGGAGACCTGAAGCCCTGGCATCAACGTGCTATAAAGATCAGGTGCAGGGTACCTAGCTGAGGTATAGGAGGAGGGAATGTTCTGCCTCCAGGTGCGAAGATGACACTGCTGATTCTCTGTCAGTGACACATCATGAGCTGCTTGATTAGGGCTGAGTGTTTGGAACAACACGTCCTCACTTATGTGTGCCTATTATGCACTTACCCTCACTCTCCTACTTTAGCTCCCTCTTTGACCAAGAGCATATGGTTGCAAGATGGTCAGCTGGGACCAGGACTGGCTGCTATGTGACAGAACTCAATTCTACTGGGATTAAGCCTGTTGTCCTGGTTTCATTAGCACCTGGTTTTAACTAACTGAGCGACACGGTAGGCACAGTCATACATAACCCATTCTTTGCTGAAGCAGGCTGGCTGCTGGTAATAATAGCAAAGTCTGGGTTCCTCAAGTTCTCCCCACCTTTGCCAATCAGATGTTATTCCCAGGTCCTGCTTATTTGCACTGTTCTTAGGTTAGGGGACTCAGATTGTTTAAGAAAGTCCTTGTGTTGTGAGCCAGTTCTACATGGCAGCTGGCTGGCCTGCAAAGGTAGAAACTTCTGTCATGTTCTGTTTGCATACCCTGCAGTGTCCAACTCAAGTCATCACGGGTTTCCCTTAAATGTATGTTGAATTAAATTAACTCACCAAGGGTTTAGCTAGCCATATAGCTAATTGTGTGAAATAATTCAAAGAATCAATTCATAGCATTAACAGTTTTTCTAGACTCTTGAGGCAGCATGATGAAGTGGAAAGAGCACTGGCTTTAGAGTTGGGGGAGCTAGATTTTGGTGCCTGGATTTAGCTTGTGTGTCTCAGGTAAGCTTCATTTAAAAAAAATTTTTTAAATGTCAATAGCTTTTGGGGGTACAAGTAGTTTTTGGTTACATGGATGAATTATATAGTGGTGAATTCTGAGATTTTAGTGTACCTGTCATCAGGTAAGCTTTTTAATCTCTGTTTCATCATTTCCACCTGACGATGACAAATGCTGACCTGGTTGGGCTGTTAGGAGCCAATGAGATAATATCTATAAAAGGGCCTAGCATAGGGCCCAGCACATACTAGGACTTCAATAAATGTGAATTCCCTTCTCCTGGGGCAAGAGGCCCTTGCCTAACCAAGCCTCATCCACACCCTGAAGGATGTCAGGTGAAGCGCTTAGGGCCGAGATGTAGAAAGATGAGTCTGTTCTTCCTGCCAGACCAAGCCCAGCAGCCTCAGTGTCCCTCCCCGCTTGCTTAAGCCATTAGCTTAGCCTAGGAGAAACTGACTAGCCTGTGGAGAAACTGACTTCTCTCATAGTTTTCTGCCCTATGGTCCTGCCACTTGTTACTTACTGGCGAGGTGGAAAGGAAATATGATCACGTAAGGCAAAAGAGATGTTGGAGTGGAGGGATTTGGCTAGAACTAGAAATAGCTTGAGGCCCCTCCAGCCCCGAAGAGGAAAGGAAATGGGCAAGCAGCAATCCCATTCCCAGACAGGTGGAGCAGGGGATGAAAGAGGCCAGCTGACCTTCAAGGGAAAATGCTGGCTTTGATCTCACTGAAGGAAAGAGGGAGGTGCTAACCTCTCTCCACCCCTTCCCCTTTCCCCCTCAGCACTTCTTTTGCTTTCTGGGCTTCAGTTTATGCACTTTTGAGGGGGAACATGGTACTGAAAAGGGGGCAAATGGAAAGTATGAGATGGGGCAGAGGGATGGAAGTGAAAGGTAGTGGCTATTCTAGGGTAGTTGGTCCCTTCTCAACCCTAGAGTCAATGAAGAAAGAAATGTAAATAGCTCAGCTTGAGTTCAGATCAGCCCAAGCTTGAGTTCAGTTCAGCCCACCTCAATGCTCTTTTCTTGTTCATGTCTCTCCAGGTCTTACTCACACAGTGAAAGCGGCATACAATTAGATAGTTGGTCAAAAAGATATTCAGAAGAAGCCCTAAGGTTGCTGTTATTCCTCCATAATCATGTTTGATTAGAGGAAACCAAGCAACGAACCTGAATCCACCAATCCTTTTATCCTTGCTTCAACATTTAGTAAGTATCTACTATGTGCCCAGCTAGGTTAGTCATTGGGGTACAAAGACAATAAGACACGTTTCATAGGAGGGATTATTATAGAGCAGTGTGATGAGTGGTATAATATTAACAATACTACACGTATTACAAGCTTATTATGTGTCAGGCACCTAAAGTGTCTAAGCATTTTTAATAGATTGACTAACTTAATTCTCACAACCAACCCATGCAGTAGGTACTACTATTGTTTCCATTTGAAGCTGAGGATCTGAAGCCCAGGACAGTAGGATAACTTGACAGAAGTCATGCAGCTGGTATGTGTGGAGCGGAGATTTGAACTCACGTCATTCTGAAGATCAGCACTAGCTATGGTAGCCTATACACTACCCAGAAAAAGTGACTGTGGAGTAGAGTCTGCAAAGGGGGTATAGAGGATGGGAGGGAGGCAGAGAGTATGAAACATAAGGGGCACATTTCAGGTATTGAAGTGAATTAGATATGACTAGGGGGCACGGACAAGGAGAAGAAGGACACAAGGCTAGGGAGGCAGGCATGCATTTCATGATGGGCCCTGCTAAGGCATTTGGCTTTATCCCCGACTAGAAGGTCCGTGAAGGCAGGACATTGTTTTGTTCCCTGCTGCATTGCCAGTTTCCAAAACAGTGTGTGCACCTAGTAGGTGGTAGATATTTGTGGGATAAGTGAGTAGAAGCTTGTGGGAGATACTGCAAGCTTTTTTTTTTTTGGGGATGGAGTCTCACTCTGTCGCCCAGGCTGGAGTTCAGTGTCGTGATCTCGACTCACTGCAGCTTCCACCTCCCCTCCCGGGTTCAAGTGATTCTCCTGCCTCAGCCACCCGAGTAACTGGGACTACAGGAGCACACCACCATGCCCAGCTAATTTTTGTATTTTTAGTAGAGACGGGGTTTCACCATGTTGGCCAGGATAGTCTTGATTGAATGCCTGACCTCAGGTAATCTGCCTGCCTTGGCCTCCCAGAGTGCTGGGATTAGAGGCACGAGCCACCATGCCCAGCCTTCTGCAAGCTTTTAAATGAGGGAATGAAGAGATCAGCTGTGCATTTTAGAGGGCTCAGAGGCTACAGCGTGGAGAAGGTATCGGAATTTGAGGAGAGGAATGCAAGTAGGGACACCAGTTAGAAGGCTGCTGCTGTAGCCCTGTGGAATGGTAATAGGGCTTGAACCAGGAGAGGGTGGAAGGAATAGAATGATAGAAAAACTTCAAAGATAGCATCAATAGGGTTAAACAGTAAATTGCATGTGGGGAATAAGGAAGAGGGGAATGGCAAGGATTTCTGGCTGTGTGGGAGGAGCATGAACGGGATGAAGGATACAAGCAGAGGAGAAGGTTCGGTGGTAGGGTGTACGTGTGTGAGAGGGGAGTTCAGTTAGGAGCATGTTGAGGGTCAGGATGCTGATGACAGAGTGGTCTCTTAGTTTAGGAGAGAGGTTGGGCCTACGACACAATGCATGTCATAGATTTAGGAGTTACCAGCAACGTAAAATCAAGGAATTGGACAAGATTGCCATGGTTGCTGGGGGTGGGGGGAGCTTACTACAGAGTAAGAAGAGGGGAGAGGCAAGGAAAAATCATGGGGAACAGCAATACTTCAGAGGTGGGCACAGGAGTGGAAACAGTTCTGGCGACAATTTGAAATCTTGCTGAGAGGGTAAAAAAGAGGGAGGCTGAAAGGTGTCTTCTGATTTGTCCATTGGAAAGAGACCTTTGCTGCAGCAAAGTCAGTGGAGGGTGGGCAGAGGCCTAATGGGAGTGAGGAGGCAGAGATGAGAGTGATGACGGGAATACAGTAGTCCCCACCTTATTCCCGTGGGATAGATTCTAAGACTCCCAGCGGATGCCTAAAACTGCAGATAGTACCGAGCCTGATTGCTGTCAATCAGAACAGGTTTCTCTTGTCTTCCACCCACAGATTTAATGCCTTTTCCTTCTTAACTAGGCATTTATCCTTTACTGTGGCTTAACTTTTGCAGTTTGAGGCGCGAAAGCAAACCTAGCACAGAGCACAGATTTCTTTTCTTTCTTTCTTTTTTTTTTTAGACGGAGTCTCGCTCTTTTGCCCAGGCTGGAGTGCGGTGGCATGATCTCGGATCACTGCAACCTCCACCACCCAGGTTCAGGCGATTCTCCTGCCTCAGCCTCCCGAGTAGCTGGGATTATAGGCGCGCACCACCACGTCTGGCTAATTTTTTTGTATTTTCAGTAGAGACAGGGTTTCACCATGTTGGCCAGGCTGGTCTCGCCTGGTCTCCAACTCCTGACCTTAAGTGATCCGCTCGCCTCAGCCTCCCAAATTGCTGGGATTACAGGTGTGAGCCACCATGCCCGGCTCTTCAGGATTTCATGGATAGATTTGTTCTTATTGTAGATCTTAGTAACCTCAGCATATGATTTTTTTCCTTCCTTAAGTTAAGAACTTTCACCTTTTCACTAAAGGAAGTACTTTATGGTTTCTCTTTGGCATATCCGAACTGCCTGCATCACTACTCTTGTGCTGTGGGGCCATTATTAAGCAAAATAAGGGTAATTTGAACACAAGCACTGTGATACTGTGACAGTTGGTCTGATAATCAAGACAGCTACTAAGTGACTAATGGCGGGTAGCATAGATGGCATGGATACTCTGGACAAAGGGATGATTCACATCCTGGGTGGGAGGGAGCAGGACAGTGTGAGGTTTTATCATGCTATTCGGAACAGTATGCAATTTAAAACTTGAGAATTGTTTATTTCTGGAATTTTCCATTTAATATTTTTGGACCACAGTTGACACAGCAGGTAACTGAAACTAAGAAAAGGGCGGTTAAGAAGGAGACTAGTGTATACCAGCAGTCCCCAACCTTTTTGGCATCAGGAACCGGTTTTGTGGAAGATAATTTTTCCACGGACCAGGGAGGTGGGGATGGTTTCAGGATGAAACTGTCCCACCTCAGATCATTAGGCATTAGTTAGATTTTCATAAGGAGTGCACAACCTAGATCCCTTGCACATGCAGTTCACAATAGGGTTCACACTCCTATGAGAATCTAATGCTGCCCCTGATCTGACAGGAGGTGGAGCTCAGATGGTAATGCTCACTTGCCTGCTGCTCACCTCTTGCTGTGTGTCCCGGTTCCTAACAGGCCACCAGCCCCGTGGCCCCAGGGGGGTTGGGGACCCCTGCTGTATACTGTTTTTTTTTTTTCTTTTTTTTCAGGAGTTTGATACGGGGGTAGGGCTGGGGTAGGTGGGTGTTTTAAGATGGGAGGATATTAAGTATGTTTATGGGCTGAGGGAAAAGAATCTATAGGATGGGAGTCAGGGGCAGCATAATAGGTATTTCGAGTTAGTTATGTCTGTATTTCTGGCCCATTAGACAGAGATCCACAAGGGAAGAATACTGTTTTTTTTTTTAAATCTCTATATTATCCACAGCTCCTAACATAAGGCCTGGAAAATAAAAGGCACCCAATTCATGTTTGCTGAATGAATGAAATAAAATGATTGGGATTCTGAACAGATTCACATCCAGTAGGGCGAATTAGGTTCTTGAAGGATGGGGTGATTCTAGACAGGCAGGCATGGAGTGTGTGTCGGGGGATAGTTAGAGGAGGCAAGAGAATGCAGGACAAGTTTGGGGAAGAGCAAGTGCTGTTAGTGGGCTAATGTTGGAAAAAGAGAGCACAGGAAGCCTTGATTCCCATGTTGAGGAGACAGGACATGATGTGACAGGCAATGAGGCAGGGTCAGGACTGAAGCTGTGCCTTATGGGAACTGAGAGCAGCAAATGCAAAGCTGGGTGACTGATGTAGAGGCACCTGCAATAGTACAAGGTGGGGGACAAAAAAGGCTTGAACCAGAGTGATTGCTGTGGGGATGGAGTGGATGGGAAAGAGATACTGTGATGGGGCTGAGCGTGGTGGCTCTCTCCTGTAATCCTAGCACTTTGGGAGGCTGAGGCAGGTGGATCTCATGAGGCCAGGAGTTCGAGACCAGCCTGGCCAACATGATGAACTCCCATCTCTACTAAAAATACAAAAATTAACTGGGCATGGTGGTGCATGCCTGTAGTTCCAGCTACTTGGGAGGCTGAGGCATGAGAATCCTTGAACCCAGGAGGCAGAGGTTGCAGTGAGTCAAGATTGCACCACTGCACTCTAGCCAGGGTGATACAGTGGGACCCTGTCTCAAAAAAAGAAAAAAAAAAAAAGTCTGGGCGTGGTGGCTCACGCCTGTAATCCCATCACTTTAGGAGGGTGAGGCGGGCAGGTCACGAGGTCAGGAGTTCAAGACCAGCCTGCCCAAAGTGGTGAAACCCTGTCTCTACTAAAAATACAAAAATTAGCCAGGTGTGGTGCCGCACACCTGTAATCCCAGCTCCTAGGGAGGCTGAGGCAGGAGAATCTCTTGAACCCAGGAGGCGGAGGTTGCAGTGAGCCGAGATTGCACCACTGCATTCCAATCTGGGTGACAGAGCGAGACTCCGTCAAAAAAAAAAAAGAAGAAGAAAGAAAGAGCTTCTGTCCAAATCCCTTTCTATAAAAATCCAAGCAGCTCTCACATTTTTTATTGTTAACTCACAGTCTACTTTTTCCTAAAAATTATACTTGCTTCTATCAGGGCAAGCCCAAGGTCAATGCCAATCTCTCTTGCAGACCCCTGAGGCTTTACTGTTTTTAGTTGGGGAAGTCATGCCTGTGACGGTAATGTGGGTTCTGGTCAGGAAGAGCATTTCTTGTCCTGAATCACTGTTTGAAAAGAACTCATCATGACCAGAATAACACGGCACCAGCACTTTGAACCATAACATGGTCTTGAATGATGCTTCTCAATCTTTCCTATATCACCAATTACTCCATCAAAGAACTTAGGCTCAACCATGATGGAAACAAAAAAGCCCTCTTTTTTCCCAGAAAAACATTTCTGTTTACAGGAAATTCAGTGAATACATATGGCATTTATGGTACATTTTAAGGACATAAAATTGCAGTGATATTATTGGGAGTAGATTTTATTGCCATGGCTTTACAACACAGACAAACAAAAATAATAACTCCATTAGTTGTTGAATTGAACTGGCAGGAAGCAGCACATCAAAAGCGCTTGTGAGCAGGCAGGAGGATGGGGGATTGGGAGTGTCCAGAGCACAACCAAAAGGTCAGGGAGATAGGGGCTATTGAAGATAAGATGCTACATGTGGAGGTGAAGATGGGGATGGAAAAAAAGTGAATTCTTAGTTGCTGGAATAGAAACCTGGTGTCCTGTCTAGACTACATCTGTATCCTACCTGTGGTACTCATTTTACCTCTGAACACAGAGTTGGCACTTAAGAACTGCTTGGTGGTGAGGCTTATACACCAGTGCATGGTCGTGCCAAGAATTGTTTGAGTGAATGAAGAGGGCATGGAAATGGTTTTATTTTTCAGATATTTTAATGGTTTTACCTATTGGTATAAAAAAGTTTATTAAGCAAAATAATCAAGTAAACCTGGGAAATGTTATCTTAATGGAGCACTAATTATTATAATTATTATTATTATTTAGAGGCAAGATCTCACTCTGTCACCCAGGCTGGTGTGCAGTGATGCAATCATAGCTCACTGTAACTTGAGCACTAATTACATTTAAGCAAAGAATATGCTCAATATTAACATCTTATTTCATTAGCTAAAGTACTTAGAGGCTTTCATGAACACATATATATAGCCCATTTGCATGTCATCTAATTAGTAGGTTCTTATGTTAGTCAATCCACAGTAGTGTGTGTGTGCGTGTATATGTTTGCATGTGTGCACATGAATGCATTGTACTAGGTGCTAAGCATCATTCTAGGCCCTGGGGGCAAGCTGAGTACCAAAAAAAAAAAAAAATAAGGTCTGGTGACTGCTCTCAAGGAGATGACAATCAAATAGAGAGGGAAGATATAATTATAGCAAAAGCAGAGGAATAAATCCAAGCTAAAGTATGTGGTATTGGTTAGTGTACAATAAAATGCCCTCACATGTGGGGGGCACTGGACAAATTAGGTGACTTATCCAAGATCATAACCTTAACACTATGTAATACAGTTAAGAGATATGAACTTGAACCAATGACTTTGAACTTCCCATTTTATAGGCTTCCACTATGTCATGAAGCAATACGCACAGCAGTTAAAGACTGAGATTTCTGGAGTCATATGGGATGAGCCCTACATCTTTGCTCTACACTGATGTAGTTTGGATGTGTGTCCTCTCCAAATTTCACATTGAAATGTGATCCCCAATGTTGGAGGTGGGGCCTGGTGGGATGTGTTTGGGTCATGGGTGCGGATCCTCATGAATGGCTTGGTGCTCTCCCCATGGTAATCAGTGCATTCTTGCTCTGAGAGTTCATGTCACATTTGTTGTTAAAAGAGTCAGGAACCTCCCCCGTCTCTCTCTTGCTTCCTCTCTGGCCATGTGACATGCTGGCTCCCCTTTGCCTTCCACCATGATTGAAAGTTTCCTGAGGCCTCGCCAGAAGATGTTGGTGTCATGCTTGTACAGCCTGCAAAACTGTGAGCCAATTAAGTCTTTTTTCTTTATAGATTACCCAGCCTCAGGTATTCCTTCATAGCAATGCAGATGGACTAACACAACCACCTACTAGCTGTGTGACCTTAGGCAAGTGACTTAACTGTTCTGTATTTTGGTATTCTTGTTTGTAAAATGGGAATAATAACAGAACCTACCTTTTAGGATTGTTGTGACAATAAATGAGTGAATTCATGTAAAGAACTTAGAACAGTGTGCTTGGCTTATTATAAATGCTCAGTAAATACTATTAAATGCTGAATATTATCATTCTTTTTCTTGTGCTTTATCAACTGTACAAAGAAACAGAGCTCTGAATGTAATGGGCAGTAGTAAAATTGGATTTCTTTACAAATGTCCATTTAGACTGAATGAGGGTGAATTCTTAAGAGCTTACCCTGTATCCCAAAACCCTGAAGCCAGAAAGAGTGGCAGAGAGATCAAGAAGAGAAGGATTCCAAGTGAAAATGACTATTAAGAAAGATGGAAAAGAAGAGGAGGGAATGAGAAACTTGAAGTGGTAGGAGAGAGAGGCACAGGACAGAGGTGACAGAAAGGAGTAGAAGAGATAAAAATGAGAAGGGGCTTAGATTGGGAAGGGGAAGAAGGAGGTCTAGAGGAGGAGACAGGAAAGACAAGGGCAGGGTGGCAGGGGTCTCCCTGCAGGCCAGAATTTTCCTTCAGGGTATGGTTTCAAGAGTTTTAGGGAAGAGCCCTGGCCAAGACTAATACCTTGCCCCATCACTGCTGATCCTCAAATTTCCACGATTAGAGACAATTCCTTCTTCATACTGTGTGCAGAGCCAACTCTGGTTATACCATATGTCTCTGTTAATCAAATGAATATTTTGGAAACAAGCCTACACACGAAGGTTTTTTACATCAAATTTTCCTTAAGCCAAGGGTGGGGATGGAAGAAGGAAGGGTATAGGGATATTGCTTTACCTGGCTTGTTGCTGGACAAGTACTAAGATGACTTTGAAAACTGCTTCTACTGGAGGATTAATAAGAATTGATCCTTACACTACTCCAAACAACTGCCCTCTCTCTATCCCTTCACTTCTGAACCTCTTAAAATTTCTCTTTTCTTCAACACCTTGACCTCCTCATTTCTCAGACACTTCAACTCACTGCAACCCACACCTCCAATGAACTTTTTTTTTTTCTTTTTGAGATGGAGTCTTACTCTGTCACCCATGCTGGAGTGCAATGGAGCAATCTTGGCTCACTACAACCTCCGCCTCCCAGGTTCAAGCGATTCTCCTGCCTCAGCCTCCCGAGTAGCTGGGATTACAGGCGTGGACCACCACACCCAGCTAAATTTTTTGTATTTTTAGCAGAGACAGGGTTTTACCATGTTGGCCAGGCTGGTCTTGAACTCCTGACCTCAGGTGATCCACCCGCCTTGGCCTCCCAAAGTGCTGGGATTACAGGCATGAGCCACCGTGCCCAGCCTTGAACTGTTTTTTAGAAGAGAGATGGCAAAGAGATTTCAGCTTCTTGACAACTCGGATCAATTGGTAGTAGCTGCTTGGGGTACTGTGTTGAGAAAGATTCTGAAGCTGTGCCTTGGTTCAACAGGGAAGCAGGCCATGATCAATTTGTAATGTATCCATAGGAGTACATAGACCCCGGCAGGGTGGGGTCTGAGGGCACGTAGTCATATGTGCCCTACATTTGCTATTCCTGCTTTAGGACATCAAGAGTGACCTCCTAATTGCCCAACTAAGGTCTTCTTTTCAGTTATCACTCATCCTATTTGATCTCTCTCCAGCACATGTCATCACACTATCTTCTCTCTCATAACCACTGCTCTCCCTGTTCCTTCTCAGTCTCCTTCCCTGGATCCTCTTCTTTCATCTGTCTCTGAAATGTAGGTGCCCTCAGGTTATATCCTCAGCCTCTCTTCTTTCTCTTTGCAGGAGTTCGCGCCCTCTGTTGGTGTTGTAATCACGCCTATGTGGAGATCCTACATCTCTGGGTCCTGTCAGTGTTTGTCACCAGCCTCTGACGTGCATTTATAATCATCTGCTGGACATTTCTACCTGGAAAATTTGAATTCTTGGTATTTTGCATAATGTGTTCCAAGTAGAGCTAATTGTAAGTCCTTCCAAAGAGAATGCTCATCATCTTTTTTTTGTTTACTCAAAAAGTCCCACCATACAATAAGCTCTTCAAGAAAGATTTGTACTTATGACCCTGAATGGGTTAGTGTGTTTATGCTTTGTTTAGAGGCATTGAATTTTGTGCATTCAAAATACCTGAAATAATACCATCCTGAACGTTCCTGATTTCATCAAAATACCCGAAATAATGGGTGATGGGCCCAGTAAAAGCCCAGACTTCACCACCATGCAATATATGCATATAAGAAGCCTGCACTTGTACCCTCTAAATATGTACAAAAAAAGACCCCCGAAATAATATGGTTTAGGAGATCTCTATCTCTGTGATATTCCCATTGTTTGATGAGCAATGATTTTTTTTCCTCATTACTTGTTAAACAAAGAAAACTATATCTAACCGTGTGCAAGAAGATAGAAAGAGGCATAGAGTACTCCCAAGACTGGCATTATCTCTCAGGGGAGAGCCCGATAGAAAGCACTATGCTTTGGGTATTACAGGTTGAATATCCCTTTTCCGAAATACTTGGGACCAGAAGTATTTTGTATTTTGAATTTTTTTTCAGATTTTGGACTATTTGCATTATATGTACTAGTTGAGCATGCCTAATCCCAAAATCCGAAATCTGAAATGCTCCAGTGAGCATTTCCTTTGCACACCATGTTGGTTCTCAAAAAGTTCTGGATTTTGGAGCGTTTTAAAGTTCAGATTTTCAAATTTGGGATGCTCAACCTATATTTGAAAACACTCACTGGTTATCTGCTGGGGCAGGATTCAGTGTGGTAGGTGCTGGGGAGATGATAATGACACAGATATAATCTCTGGTCTTGAGGAGCTTACAGTCTAGTAGAGAATGCAGACAAGTACAGGAATAACTATAATGAGAAGAATGTCAGAGGTAAGTCATTTCTCAAGGGAAATTCTGAAGTGGGAATTCTTAATTCTGAGTATGGGGGCTGAGTAATGAATAAGGCTTCATGGAGGAGATGGGAGGCAATTGAACTGGCCTTGAAGGATGAGCAAGATTTAAGTAAGAAGGAAGAGAAGGTATGAAATGCACAAGAAGTGGAATAAGGACAATGAAGATATACTGTAAACAAGTCATCAAAAATTAATTTGTAGAGAAAGAACAGAGTACTGGGTCAAAACCAGCACCAACACAGCTCTGTAAGCAACTTTCTTGTCTGCTTTGAATAATGCATCTTTCTTTTGTGATGGACCACGATAGAATGATGGGCTTGGCAGAGAGGGGAAAAGCCATGGATGGAATTGCTACTCCATCAGAGTAGGATTTATCTCTGATATACCCATCAGAGAGGTTACTTGGGGCAAACTGGAGTTGCACTTGCTCAGCACCTATTGATTCATTTATTCACTCATTCACATGATACCAATGTTTCTTGAGCACTCCTGTGTGCCAGGCTCTGGTCATGAAGAGATGCACAAGACTTGGCCCCTGCCCTCAAGGAGTGAATGGAGATACAGCTATGCAAATGATCAATTATAATGCACTGTGGGAAGAACCATAATAGAGGTGCAGGCAAGGAGCTCCTGCAATCCAGACGGAAGACAAAGCAAAATCCTAGTCAGCCTCTAACTGATTTCCCTGTCTCCCCTCCCTTCCTGAGCTTTCCATCAGAAATTCAGATCTGATCATGTCATTCCCTTGCTTAAAAACCATGGTCGGCTCCCCACTGACTGCAGGACTGAGTCCAAACTTGAAAGCAGGACATACAAAGGCCTTCACAGTCTGGCTCAGCTGACTTCTCCAGCCTTATCGCACACCACGACCTGGGCTACGGCCCCTAAACTGTAGCCACATTGACCTGAAGTGTCTCTCCCCACTCCTCTTTATCTGGTCAATTCTTCTGTTTCCTTTGAGCCCTTGCTAAATGTTGCCTCTCTACTGTGCCATTCCCAGCTCCCCCAGATGGAGTAAGTTCCTCCTCTGTGTTCCCACAGCTCACTGCCTCTTGATTCTATCACTTACACATTCTAGTGTAACTGTTTTTGTGCTTGTCTCCTCCACTGGGCAGTGTTCTCCTCAAGGGTGGGAACTGGGCCTTATTCTTTTCTTTGTCCCTAAGATTTGGTATGGGCCTGGCACATAGTAGGCGCTCCATACATCTTTGCTGAGTGAATGAATGACTCTGACATGTGGCCAGTCAGGCCTGGTCATTGTCAGCAGCTGGCATTACTTAACATGAGAGATGCATACAAAATGAAGGGCAGCCAGAGTAGCTGAAAAACAGGCGGCTCTAGTGACATCATGAAAAAAACAAACCAAAACTGGGGAAGGCTGAGACAACGCTTCCACTCACGCTTTAACAAATGACTCTCGTTTCTGAGCAGCCCCTTTTTGTCTGCTCTCCCATTCACTTCCCAAAACCCAGTCATTGAAATGATTCTAATTATTCATGGTCAGTGGCATATACAGGAAACACTTAGTTTACAAGCAATTAAAATACACTAAAATAGATTTATGTAGGTTGAACCTGATCCTGCTGGTAAGAAGGGAGTAAATGACATAGATCTTGGAGGGGTATTTGCTCTCCAAGGTTGCTTTTTGTCATTCTTTATCTACCTTACACTAGTTTGGTGCTAACATGGCAAGCATCCAGAGGTGTTTCTTAAGGCAAGGGTACTGTGAACATAGCGGGGAGCCTGTTCCACAGTTGTAGACTTGGTGCTTCCCGGCAGCCAGCTGTCCTGTAAATGTGTGAGTGCCTCCTCTGCCCAGGCCCACATGGCACAGGGGAAAGGCTGGCTCAGCAGCAGGCAGCACGGAGTAGTAGGAAAGGTCCCCAGCACTGCGATCAGGGGCCTGGTTTCCACCAACACTTAATTCTTCAAGGCTCTGTCGCCACGTTGGTCAAATGGGGCATGAGTTCCCACCCCACCAACCTTAAAGGGTTGTCTATGAGGCTCACAGGAAGAAATTGTGTGAAAAGGTCTGAGGCTAGATAAATGAAGGGGGTTTCATTTTCATTACAAAAACTCTAACTTATGGCTGTTGGGCCCCTCCAAGGCTCTAGATGTGGCTAATGCTCACCAACAGATTAGCAAAGGCATACTTAGGTTTGTCCCCTAATAGTTTATTTAAGAGTCCACACAAGGATGATTTATCACCTTGCCACACTCAAACCAACAGCATTTTAATGCCCCTCTAATGAAGAGAGCAGTCACAGCTAAACAAACACACCATTCAGCTGACAACAGACATGGGCGGCAAATGCCTAGCCCATGGAGTTCAGGTGTCCTCAAAGATTTTGTGCCATCCTTTCTCACAGCAGGCTCTGCTTCCTTGAGTTTGACTCTAGGGAGAAAAAGGCTTCCTTTTGCTGCTCCACAAAACCTAGAATAACATATAGCTAAGCCATTCAATGGGCCAGTGTGATTGGCACAAAATATAGAATGAACAAAATGAAATGGCATATTTCAGCATAAGCTTTTGAGCTAAATTCAGAGCTACTGCAAAAAGGCCAAAAGGCTGGCACAAAAGCGGGGCAGGGAAGCAAAGGTCATGGAAAACCAGTCAACCAGGTCTGACCTTAAATTATTAAGGCCATGAGATACATTAATGGAAACTCGTTTCCTCTTTATCTGCAAAAGGATCCTGGGTTCCTTCATGCTCTGTCACACCTGCCTGCCTTTCCGTTCACCATTCCCTTTGCAGAGAATGCCCAGCCCTCCCTTCTCAGCCTAGACCATTCCTACTCAGCTTTCAAGACCCAGCTCAAATGTAACCTCTTTGAAGTCTTTGCTAACTCCCCAAAGTCAGAGTTCCTCATTCCCTCCCGTGTGTTTCCACAAGGCTTTTTTTTTTTTTTTTTGAGATGGAGTCTCACTCTGTCGCCAGGCTGGAGTGCAGTGGCGCGATCTCGGCTCACTGCAACCTCTGACTCCCTGGCTCAAGCAATTCTTCTGCCTCAGCCTCCCGAGTAGCTGGGATTACAGGCACGCACCACCACATGCAGCTAATTTTTGTATTTTTAGTAGAGATGGGGTTTCACCATTTTGGCCAGGATGGTCTCGATCTCCTGACCTTGTGATCTGCCTGCCTCGGCCTCCCAAAGTGCTGGGATTACAGGCATAAGCCACCACGCCTGGCCATCCATAAGGCCTTTTACAGCCCTCTGGCCTACTCTGGCATCTTTGTTTACATGCTGTCCTTCCCCATTGGGCCGTGAGTGCAGCTCTTAGGAGCAAGAACTACATTAGCACAAAGATGCTTTCTTAGCACAACGCAGGGCACAAAGACGGCCCTCACTCAAGGCTGGCTGAATAAATGAGCATTTGAGCAAACATGCACTGAACTCACTTGTTAGGTCTGCACAGGACCCAGAGGAAAGGCTCATTAGGCAATGATTTGATATGTTACACATGCTTCTTCAACACTGGTTTATCTGATTCGTGACGACCTTGGTTCTGGCAAGCTGCAAGAAGTCTGCTGGCAGAGGCAGCCTGACAATGTACCAGTGAGGCAAGGTGTAGGGTGACCTCGTCCAGGCTCTCAGTTTGGTTCTCACAGCACGAAAACACGAGTTGGAAAAGTACTGCTCCCCGCCCCCACACCCCTCAACTCTCCTGTGCTTGCTTCTCAGGAAGTTGCCCAGCAGCACAGATAGCATCGTTTAGTACATTTGAAAACTGAAAATGCATCCACTACCAGAGACGAATGCCTAACGCATGGAGCCTGACCTGGCCAGGGCTCCCACAGAAGCTCTGGCTCAGCATCATAGCTTCTAGTTCTTTTTCCGGTTCTGCTAATGATGAACCCGATGACTTTGGACATATCAGCTCATTTCACATTCCCTATCATATAGGGAGAATAATGAAGATGTTGCATGGATTGAATCAATGAGAAGCTTGACTGAGATCCTGGTGGACAGGGGAAGCAGTGGTTGATGCTGGCAGAGCCTGAAGGGTTTTGTTGTTTTGTTTGTTTCTGTTGTTTGTTAAGTGCAAATCACTCTGCCTTAAGCCCAGGTGTGCAGTCCATGCAGCAGAAGGGCAGACAAGCAGGCAGGCAGGCACCTCCGAACTGGGCTGCAGCAGAGCCAGTGCAGGTGGCAGTGTACAGGACTGGATGGGACAGGATGGGATGCTCAGATGCAGGCTGGCCAACAGCTGGTCTCCTGCTCCCCAGTAGGGACCAGGAGCAACAAGCTCTAAAGGCTGTGCCTACTGGAGCAATTTAGTATTGAAATAAAATAAAACTCATGGCAAAGTCAATCTGACACATCTTTAATGATACACATAATGATTATTGTGCTGTACTGTAATTAGGCATAATGATAAGCAGCTCCAAAGAATGACTGTAATTACGATGACATTTACGCAGCTGAACCAAATATTTCTGAGGTCAGCTAGGATGGAGGTGGGGATTAGGGGTGGTTGGACAGGAGACAGACCAAAAACTTGCTTGCAAGGCATTTCTTTGGTTCTCCTTGTCTCCCCACTCCACCGCAAGGTGACAGTCCCTCCACCCCTTATTGGGGAACAGAAAAAGGATCTGATGAGGAACCTGGGGCCTGAATGGCTAGCTCCTTTCTCCAGCCAGGGAGAGGCTATCCTGAAGCTCCTAGGGTTAGGGAATCTGGGATGTCCAGAGGGGCTTCAAGCTGATTAGTCCCCACTTTTCCATAAGGCCTGAAATTTTATCAAGTAGACTTAAACCTAAAAGTATATGCCTAATGTATGGGCCTTCTTTGGAGCCTGATTTGAACAAATCCATGTAAGGGATATTTTGGGGACAACTAGGTAAAATTTAACAGAGATTGGTATTAGCTGATGTATTAGGGTTCTCTAGAGAAACAGAACTACATGGTTTTTTGAGACGAAGTTTCATTCTGTCGCTCAGGCTGGAATGCAGTGGCACGATCTCGGTTCACTGCAACCTCCACCTCCCAGGTTCAAGCCATTCTCCTGCGTCAGCCTCCTGAGTAGCTGGGACTACAGGCATGTGGCACCACACCTGGCTAATTTTTGTATTTTTAGAAGAGATGGGGTTTCACCATGTTGGCCTGGCTGGTCTCGAATTCCTGACCTCATGATCCACCTGCCTTGGGCTCCCAAAGTGCTGGGATTACAGGCGTGAGCCACTGTGCCCGGCCAAAGGGGAGTTTATTAAGTATTAACTCACATGATCACAAGGTCCCACAATAGGCTGAGGAGCAAGGAGAGCCAGTCGGAGTTCCAAAACTGAAAAACCTGGAGTCTGATGTTCGAGGGCAGGAAGCATCCAGCATGAGAGAAAGATGTAGGCTGGGACGCTAGGCCAGTCTCTCCTTTCACATTTTTCTGCCTGCTTATATTCTAGCTGCGCTGGCAGCTGATTAGATTGTGTCCACCCAGATTAAGGGTGGGTCTGCCTTTCCCAGCCCGCTGACTCAAATGTTAATCTCCTTTGGCAACACTCTCACAGACATGCCCAAGATCAATACTTTGTATGTTTCAATCCAATCAGGTTGACACTCAGTATTAACCACCACAGATGATAAGGGATTATTAATTTTGTTGAGTTTGATAATGGTATTGTGTTTATGTTAAGAAAAGGTCCTTATCTGTTAGAGATACATACTAAAATATTTATCAGCTATGAAATGGTATGATACCTGGGATCAGCTTTAAAATTCTTCAGAAAAAAAATGGGGGATAGAATAAATAGGAATAGTAATATTGGCAATTGTTGAAGCTGGGTGATGGGTACATGGGGGTTCATTATACTCTTCTCTCTGCTTTATTTATGTTTGAAAGTTCCCGTAATGAAAAGTTAAAAAAGTAATATACCCTAGATTACTCTGGAAGTGAGTCATACATTAGTGAAAATTAGTTTGAGCATGCTAACAACATCTAGTAGACTCGGACAGCTACCAGGAATGAGATTTTGGATGGGCAGAGCCAGGAAGGAGGGCAGGTGTATGTTGGAACATGAGCCACTTTTGGGAACTAGGAAGTCCTGGATGCGGTGGAGAAATATTTGTGAGGGATGGGGAATTTTGAATGGTCAGACAACAGTCTGAAAGTTCTAGGAGAGAAAGCAGGAAGTGAAAGAAGAGAGGAGACAGAGTGCAATAGGCACTCATGTTCATGTATTAGGTCTCTCGCTAAGCCTATAAGTTCCTGGAAGTTGGGTCCTGTATCTTAATCATCACTGTCTTCCCTAGAGCTCTCAGGACATTAGTTTATTGATTTTATTTCATTCATTCATTTATTTAAGAATACTTATTGAGTGCCTATGAATGCAGGCAATCCAAACATGTGTATGCAGTAGTCAAAGGAGATATAGCAGTGAACAAAACAAAGTCTCTGCCTTCAGGGAGCTCACATTTTAGTGGGAGGGGACAGATAGTAAATAAACAAGCATGTACATGTCAGATGGTGATAAGTGCTGCAGAGGAAAATAAAGTAGGGTAAGGGGTTGGGGAATGCTGGGTAATTAGTTGCTCAGGACCAAACTTGAATGGCACTTGGGCCCTTAGGAGCTTTTTCAGGTCCCCTCTGCCACCTGGCTTTTGGTCATGTTGGACTCTGTGCCGTTTGTTCCCTGGGTTTCACCAAGGGCTCCTGGGCCTTTCAGTCTATATATATATGCATATTTTAACCTAATCTTGACTTATTTCTCCCTTCCTACACCCAACTAATCCACATTCCTTTTTGGGAACATTCTCCAGGTACCACTTCCTCCAGGAAGTGTTCACAGGTCCTTCCTTCTTCCTACCTCCACACTATTCCCTGCTTGGGTCTTCTCTGCTTCCATAGCACTCTTGCATAATCTCTACTACAGCACTTTTCACTGTGGATTATAATTGTCTTCCCGACTAGACATTGAGCTCTTTCAGGATAGAGAGTATGTCTTTTTTATCTCTATATAGCACGGGGCCTAGAACACAGTAGGGATCCTGTACATGCTTGATAAATACATGAATGAACGGATGGATGAAAGAATGAACATGTTCTCTAGCAGAACATCAGAGACTTGGGAAGCATCCTCACCCTAAATCAAACACTGAGGAAGTAGAGTTGTTAGTATGTGCTTAGATACCAAAAGGAGAAAGGAGATCTGTATCCTTGGATATGTTTTAAACTCTATGATGATGATGATGATAATTGACATTCAATATTTATTGCATAGACTTATGAGCACAACTGCCTGGGTTTTAATTTTAGTTGTACCATTTGCTAGCTGTATAATTTGGGGCAAGTTACATAATTTTTTTTGTACCTTAGTTTCCTCATCTGGAAAATGAGGATGATAATAATACTATGTATTAAATGAAATAAAGTTCTGCAAAGCACTTAGAATAGTACCTGTAATACAGTAAATACTGTATAAGGATTTGCTATTATTTATTACGATGAGTCAGCGACTGTGTTAAATCCTTTAGTTATTCATTCATGTATATTGAGAGCCTGCCAGTTCTAGGCCCTGGAGATTGAGTGCCTTCATGGAGCTTACATTTGACCTAACTCCACCCTCACACAATACAAGGGAGATACTATACATATCCCCAACATATAAAAAAGTGAGGCTTAAAGCTATTAAGTGACTTGTCCAAGGTCATAGAGCTCATAAGTTGAAAATTAGGATTCTAACTCTGGTCTGTGTGACTCCAAAAATCATTGCTTTAGACCAGGAGTTGACAAACTATGGCCCATGAGCCAAATCTGTCCCTCCGCCTTTTTTTTCCTTGAGATATAATTTACCCTTTTAGAGTGCATTGTTTAGTATATTCACAAGTAGCATATTTACAAAGTTGTGCAACCACTATCTAATTCCAGAACATTTTCATCACCCATGAAGGAAACCTCATATCCACTGAGCATTCACTTCTTGTTCCCCTATCCCCTGGCAACCAGTAATCTACTTTCTGTCTTTATGGATTTTCATATTCTGGACATTTCATACAAATGGAATAATAGAATATGTGGCCTTTTGTGTCTTTCTTTCACTTAGCATAATGTTTTCAAAGTTCATCCATATTGTAGTACGTATCAGTAATTTGTTCTTTTTATGGCTGAATTCCATTGTATAGATACACATTTTGTTTATCCATTTATCAGTTGATGGACATTTGGGTTGATTCCAAGTTTTTGGCTGTTATGAATAGTGCTGCTATGAAAATCTATGTACACATTCTTGTGTGAAGATATGTGGTTATATACCTAGGAATAGAATTTCTGGGTCATTTGGCAACTCTATTTAACTTTTTAGGGAACTGCCGTGCTGTTTTCCAAAGTGGCTGCACCATTTGATATTTCCACCAGCAATGTATGAGGGTTCCAATTTCTCTGCATTGTTGCCAACATTTGCTATTATCCATCTTTTTGATTATTGTCATCCTAGTAGGAGTGAAGTGATATTTCATAGTGGTTTGGGATTTGCATTTCCCTAATGACTAATGATGTCAGGCATTTCCTCATGTATTTATTGACCAGTTGTATATCTTCTTTGGAGCAATGTCTATGTGTATCCTTTGCCCATATTAAAACTGGGTTATTTTGCTCTTGTTATTTAGAGGTAGGGTTTCACTCTGTCACCCAGGCTGGAGTGCAGTGGTACAATCATAGCTCACTGCAGCCTCAAACTGCTGGGCTCAAGCAATCCTCCCCGCCTCAGCCTCCCAAGTAACTAAAACTACAGGTGCACACCAACATGCCCACCTAATTTTTTAAAAAAGTTTTTGTAGAGATGGGGGTCTTGCTATGTTGCCCAGGCTGGTCTTGAACTCCTGGGCTCAAGTGATCCTCCTGCCTTGGCCTCCCAAAGCACTGGGATTACAGGCATGAGCCACTGCACCTGGCCTGCTAGGTGAGTACTAAGGGTTTTAAAAATGTATTCTGAGCCTGGGTGCCATGTCTCATGTCTGCAATCCCAGCACTTTGGGAGGCTGAGGTGGGTGGATCACTTAAGGTCAGGAGTTCAAGACCAACCTGGGCAACATGGTGAAACCCCATCTCTACAAAAAATACAAAAATTAGCTGGGTGCGGTAGCACACGCCTGTAGTCCCAACTACTTAGGAGACTGAGGCAGGAGAATCGCTTGAGCCCGGGAGGCAGAGGTTGCAGTGAGCTGAGATCACGTCATTGCACTACAGCCTGGGTGATGGGAGTGAAACCCTGTCTCAAAAAAAAAAAAATGTATTCTGGATACAAGTCCTTTATATATGATTTGCAAATATTTTGATTCACAAATTTTTTTTCCCCATTCTGTGAGTTGTCTTTTACTTTCTTTTGTTTTCTTTTTCTTTTCTTTCTTTCTTTCTTTTTTTTTTTTTTGGAGACAGGGTCTCACTTTGTCACCTGGGCTGGAAGCAGTGGTGTGATCACAGCTTGTTGCAGCCTTGACCTCCTGGGCTCAAACAGTTCCCATCCCACCCTCTCCACCTACTGCCTCCCAAGTAGCTGGACCACAGGCATGCACCACCACACCCAGCTAATTTTTAAATTTTTTGTAGAGACGGGGGTCCCATTAAGTTGCCCAGGTTGGTCTCAATTGAACTCCTGGGCTCAAGTGATCCTCCTGCCTTGGCCTCCCAAAGTGCTGGGATTATAGGCGTGAGCCACTGTGCCCAGCCTGTTGTGATTTCTTTATCTGGTTTTGGTATAAATGTAGAACTGGCTTCATAGTTGGGAAGTTTTATTTGTCAGGGTTCTCCAGAGAAAGAGAACAAATAGGATATCTCTCTCTCTCTCTCTCACTCTCTAGAAATATATGTAAAAATAAATATCTAGATGAATAAATCTATCATTTATCTACATAAAATAGATTTATTGTGAGGAACTGGCTCATGCACTTATGGAGGCTGAGAAGACTTTTGACCTGCCATCTGCAAACCGGAGTCCAAGGACAGCTGGTTGTATAGCTCTAGTCTGAGTCTGAGGGCTTGAGAACCAGGAGAAATGATGGTGTAAGTTCTAGTCCAAGTCCAAAGGCCTGAGAACCAGAGGGCTGATGGTGTAAATCTCAGTCCTAGGGCAGGAGAAAACTGAAATCTTAGCTCAAGCAGTCATTGAGAGACGGGAGGGGAGGATTGGGGAGGGAAGGGAAGGGAGGGAAGAGAAGGGAAGGGAGGAAGAGAGAGAGATAATTCTTCCTTCACCTTTTGTTCTATTCAGGCCCTCAACAGATTGGATGATGCCAACCCATACTAAGAAGGAAAATCTTCTTGATTTAGTCTACTAATCCAAATGGTAATCTCTTCTGGAAACACCCTCACACATACAACCAGAAATAATGTTTAACCAGGTATCTGAGCATTTCTGTGGCCCAATAAAGTTGACAAATAAAATCAACCATTATTGGTATCAATCAGTAGAATTGACTAGTGAAACCATATGTGCCTGGGGTTTTCTTTGTGGGAATTCAAAAAATTATTAATTCAATCTATTTTACTTGGTTTAGGTCTATTCAGATACTCCATTCCATTTTTTCTTGTTAGTTTTGGTATTGTGTGTCTTTCTAGGAATATTTTCATTACATCTAGGTTATAAAATTTGTTGGCATACAGTTGCTCATAGTATTCCTTTATGCTCTTTTTTTTTTTGAGACGAGGTCTCACCATGTTGCCCAGGCTAGTCTTGAACTCCTGAGCTCAAGCGATCCTCACGCCTTGGCCTCCCAAAGTTCTGGGATCACAGGCGTGAGACGCTGTGCCTGGCTCTTTATACTCCTTTTTATTTCTCTAAGGTGGGTAGTAATATCTCCACTGTCGTTCCTGATTTTCATAATTTGAGACATTTTTTTCTTAAGTCTACCTAAAGTTTTGTAATTTTGCTGAGCTTTGCAAAGAACCAACTTTCGATTTCACCAAATTTCTCTACTGTTTTTCTATTCTTTATTTCAGTTCTTCTTGCTGTAATTTTTATTTTTAGTTTATTTAGTTTTTTGAGACAGAGTCTCACTCTGTCGCCCAGAGCTGGAGTGCGGTGGCGCAATCTTGGATCACTGCAACCTCCATCTCCCAGGTTCAAGTGATTCTCCTGCCTCAGCCTCCTGAGTAGCTGGGACTACAGGAGCATGCCACCATGTCTGGCTGATTTTTGTATTTTTAGCAGAGACAGGGTTTCACCATGTTGGCCAGGCTGGTCTTGAACTCCTGACTTCAGGTGATCCACCCGCCTTGGCCTCCCAAAGTGCTGGGATTACAGGTGTGAGCCACCATGCCCCACCTAATTTTTATTATTTCTTTTCCTCTGCTTGCTTTGGGTTTAGTTTGCTCTTCTCTATTTTCTTAAGATGAAAGATTAAGTTATTAATTTGTAATCTTTCTTATTTTTAAGCAGACCTTTGCAGTTACAAATTTCCCTCTGAGTACTGCATTCATTGCACTCCATAAGTTTTGGCATGTTTTGTTTTTGTTTTCATTCATCTTGGAGTATTTTATAACTTTATTTGTGATTTCTTTTCTTTTAATTTTTTTTTCTTATTGGGAGGGGTGCACCATTTCTGGAGGTACTGCAATACCAGGTTGATGCATGGAGTGGAGGAAACTAGTCCTTATTCCATCTCCCTGCTCCAAAAATCCCTTTAATGTATTGTCCTCAGATAGAGGATGTATCAGATATTAAACTGATAAGGACAGATACTACACTTGAACTTAGCCAAAAGGCCATGAAGCAACGTGATTTCTTCTTCAACCTATTTGTATTAGGAGTGTGCTGTTTAATTTCCACATATTTATGAATTACCCAAATCTCCTTCTTTTATTGATTTCTAATTTCATTCCTTTCCATCTAATTTAATTCCAAAGTACTTTGTATGATTTCAATCCTTTTAAATTTACTGAGACTTCTTTTGTGATTTAACTTATGTTCTGTCCTAGAAAATGTTCCACGTGCACTTGAAAAGAATGTATATTCTGCTCTAGTTGGTTTATCACGTTGTCCAAATCTATTTCCTTGTTGATCTTCTCCCTAGCTGTTCTATTTATTATTGAAAATGGAGTATTGACATCTCCAACTATTATTGTTAAATTTCTTATTTCTCTTTTTCACTTCTTTAGTTTTTGTTGCATATGTTTTGGTGCTCTGTTGTTAGGTGACATATATTTATAATTTTGTCTATTAGTATAGCCACACCAGCTCTCTTTTTGTTACCGTATGCATGCTATATCTTTTGCCATCCTTTTACTTCCAACCTACGTGTGCCTTTGAATTTAAAGTATTTCTTTTATGAACAACATATAGTTGAATTATGTTTTTAAAATCCATTTGACCAATCTCTAATTTTTAATTGGAATGTTTAATCATTTACATTTAATATAATTACTGATAAGGCATAGTCTATGTATGCCACAATGCTACTTGTTCTCCATGTCTTAGGCTTTTTTGTTGCTCGATTCCTCCATTACTGCATTCTTTTTTTATTAAATAGATATCTTCCACTGTACCATTTTAATTTTCTTGTTAGTTTACATATATAAAAATGTATTATATACATGTATAAATATGTGTATATATATGTATGTGTGTGTATATATATGTATATGTATATTTTTTTTTTTAGTGGTTGCCTGAGTATTATAATTAACATCTTAACTTTTAACAATACAGTTTGGATTAATATCAACTTAATTTCAATAGTATATGTTATGGTTTGGATATGGTTTGTTCATCCCCACCAAAACTCATTTAAAACTTGATCCATAATGTGGCAGTGTTGGGAGGTGGGCCTAGTTGGAGTTGTTTGGGTCATGAGAGAAGATTCCTCATGAATGGCTTGATGCCATTCTCATGGTAGTGAGTTCTCACTCTGGCAAAACTGGATTAGTTCTTGCAGAAATGGATTAGTTCCTGCAAGAGTGGGTTGTTATAAAGCCCCTCAGATTTTGCCTCTTTGCATGTGCCTTCCTACTCTTTGACCTTTTGCCGTGTTGTGACACAGGACAAAACCCCTTACCAGAGGCCAAGTTAAAGCCAGCACCGTGCTTCTTGAACTTCCTAGCTTCCAGAACCATGAGCTAAATAAACCTCTTATTTATAAATTACCCAGCCTGAGGTATTCTGTTATAGCAACACAAAATGGCCTAAGTACATAAATACTTTTTTCCCATATAGCTCCATTTTCATGCCTCTCCTTTGTGTTGTTATTGTCACACAAATTATATCTTCACACATTGTGCACTTATCAAAGTGGATTTATTGCTTTATGCAGTTGTGTTTTAAATCATATATAGAAGAAAAGAGTTCCAAAGAAAAATATATTTGTACTTTGATATTTACTTATGTAGTGACCCTTACTGGTGGTCTTTATTTCTTTATGTGGATTCAAGTTGCTGTCTAGTATCCTTTCATTTCAGCCTGAAGGATTCCCTTCAGTACTTTTTTTTTTTTTGAGATCAGTCTTGTCGCCAAGGCTGGAGTGCAATGGTGCAATATTGGATCATTGCAACCTCCACCTCCAAGGTTCAAGCAATTCTCCTGCCTGAGCCTCCCGAGTAGCTGGGATTACAGGCACCCACCACCACGCCTGGCTAATTTTTGTATTTTTAGTAGAGACAGGGTTTCGCCATGTTGGCCAGGCTGGTTTTGAACTCCTGACCTCAGGTGATCCACCCGCCTTGGCCTCCCAAAGTGTTGTTTTTACAGGTGTGAGCCACTATGCCCGGCCACCATTTAGTTATTTTTAATATAATTTCTATTTATTGATATTTATTGATATTGGTGAGACATGTCATACATTCCTTTAAATTTTGGTACATATTTAAAATACCTAATTTAAAGTCTTTGTCTAGTAATTCCAATGTTTGGATGTCCTCAGTGACAGTTTATGTTGATTGATATTTTTTCCTATGTATTCACCTTTTCTTGTTTCTTTGTATATCTTACAACTTTTGTTAAAAATTGAACGTTTAAAATTATATCATGCGGTAACTCTGGAAAACAAATTCTCCCTCTCCCCAGAGTTTTGTTGTTGTTGCTGCTGGTGTTTATTTGTTTAGTGTTTTTTTTTTTTTTTTTTTTTTTTGGAGACGGAGTCTTACTCTGTCACCCAGGCTGGAGTGCAGTGGCGTGATCTCGGCTCATCACAACCTCCACTTTCTGGGTTCAAGTGATTCTCCTGCCTCAGCCTCCCAAGTAGCTAGGATTACAGGCATGCGCCATGACGCCCGGCTAATTTTCTTTTGTATTTTCAGTAGAGATGGGGTTTCGCCACGTTGGCTAGGCTGGTCTCAAACTCCTGACCTCAGGTGATCCACCTGCCTCGGCCTCTCAAAGTGCTGGGATTACAACCATGAGCCACCACACCTGGCCTGTTTAGTGGCTTTTCTAAATTAATTCTGCAAAGTCTGGATTCTTTGTCACGTGGGGTCACAGAAGTCTCTGCTTGGTTAGGTTAGTCGTCAGCTAATGATTGTACAGAGAATTGCTTAAATTCATGGAGCCAGTAAGTCTCCCAGTCTTTACCAAGATGCTCTGTGTGTATGTTGGGGGCAACTTTGCCTTAGCACTTCACTTGTACAGAGCTTGAAGTTCAGCCATAGGTGAGAACTTTGGCCTTTCTTAGGTGTTTTCTGAGCATGTGCACAGCCTTGGGAATGCCTATCATCCTGTGCATATGCATAGCCTTTTAGATTCCCAGGTATTTGTTGGAGGTTTTCTAAGCTCCATATGGACATCTCATTCCCCAGCATTTACTTTTAAGCTTTTTGGTTAGCTTAATGTTCACCACAACTGTTACCTATTACCATAGGCAGCTGTAAAGTTAATCATTTGTCTCTAATTATTTTTGACAAATACCCCAAGGAAAAAGTTTTTCACACTGAGCACACTCTTGAATCATGCCTAATAAAAAAAGCCTTGCAAGTGGGGTCTTTCAAGGAACCACTAGACAGGCCAAATATTAATTGTTCAGAAATGAGGCTTGGAAGGAGCTCCAACATTCTAGTCCATATTCTGTTCCCTCTGGTGGCTGCCAGGCTGCTGGTTTTCACCATGATTGTAGGCTGTTGGTTTTCAAGGCTACCATTTCTACTTGTTTTTGTAAGTAAAGTTTTATTGGAACACAACCAATACTCATTCATTTACATACTGTCTATGGCTGCTTTTGTGTACAACAGCAGAATTGAGTAGTTGGGACAGAAATCATATGGTCTGAAAAGCGTAAAATATTTATGGCCCAGCCCTTTATTCTAAAAGTTTGCTACTCCTACTCTAGACCAGTGCTGTTTAGTAGAAATATAATGTGAGCCAATATATAATTAAAAATGTTCTGAGTAGCCACAATAAAAATAAAAAAAAAACAAGTGAAATTATTTTTAAGAATGTTTTATTTAACCTAACATATTCAAAATATTATCAATTTGACATATAACCAATATAAAATTACTAATAAGATATTTCACATTTTCTTCTTACTAAGTCTTTAAAATCTGGTGTGTACTGAACATTTACAGCACATCTCAATTTGGACTAGCCACATTTCAAATGCTTACTAATCACTAGTGGCTACTGGTTACCATATTGGATAGCATAGCTCTAGATTCTTGGTGCTCAAAATGTGGTACCTGGTTTGGCAACATTATATCGTGCAGGAGCTTGCAAGAATGGCAAAATCTCAAGCTTCAGCCTGGAGGAACTGAATCAGAATTTGCATTTAACAAGCCCTAGGTAATTCATATGCATATTAAACTTTGAGAAGTAGAGCTCTATACCATTTTGCTATACTACCTGTCTTTGGGATAAAGACCCAGTATACAGAAGGCATTATTCTAATATAAAATATAACCCTCTGGTTGTCATTCTATCATAGATCTTGGTGGAATTGTTTGAAAATGAATTAACCAAGATGACAGTGTGCTAGGTGCTGTGCTAGGCACTGTGGGGTTTGCTGAGTTGAAGAGGACATGGTCTCTTCTTTCAGGGAACTCACAACTGCCCAAGGATGCCTGGAGAATAATACTCTGCATACGAAATCCAATCTTCTGCACTAAAATCCTCTAAACAACTTCTCCATCTCAAATGTAAATGTGGCAACCAGGCACTGGATTGCTCAAGCAGGCATTCAACTCAAGAGGTTCATGGGACAGAAACAAAACAGTTTCACTCCATTTGAAATTGGCTCATGGCAATGGTCTGAAGCAAACACTCAAGCTTTAGGATATGAACTCAATGGGTCATTCTGAAAGGGTAGCAACCCTGTGTTTGTATAATAGGAAAGTTATAACATTCATCATGCTCAGATTCAGGAACTGTGCACTCAAGTCAAGAGAAATCTGACAGTCTGATTTCCAGGTTCCAGTGACTTGGAATAGAAATTCCTATTTAAAGCAAAGAAAATAAGAAATGAGGAAGTGCCAGTCCTTGTTTCTCTGTGTAGGTGTTGACAAGCTATTAAATCATTAGGCTGTCCCTTGCCAGAAGCAACAGAATAAATCTTGGAAGTTGACAAATGGTCAGCAGCTCTGTGTGTGCCTGCACACTCAGAAGCACACACAAAGGGCACACTGTTTCCCTTGGTTTATCTCCTGGCTGTGTAAATATTTCATCTGACATTTGGATTGGATTCTGAGCTAGTTTCCCACCAAGCTGATGGTTTTTTAATCTGCTTTCATCAGCCTACAATAAACTGTCTAACCTGTCTGCACAGTGCAGTGTACTCTGCCCACTGGCAAACAGAACAAATGCAACCAGGAGATCCCGACATACTTTTCTCAGATGTCTGAAGACGAGGAATTGCACCCAAGCTCTGCCCAAGCCAGAAACACAAGCTATGAGGCACTTGCCTCATCCTGTTATACCAGCACCTATGAGCCCTTCCTAGACTAGACCAGTGCCACCAGGAGGTCACAACGCATAACTTGGGCCTGCCATCCTATTAAGACAGATCTTTGGCTCAGCACAAATATGCCACTGCCAAAGATGAGGGTGGCTGTAATCTCATTCACTCTAGGTTGTATTCATGCTGGCTTCCTTTCAGTTTCAGATGAGTTCCCTCAGTTGTCCAAATGTAGGAAACGCTGTGATAACCCAAACCACAAATTACTGGCTCAGAAAGCTCCTATGCGGTAATAAAAATAAAGGAAGTACTGATACATGCTGCAACATGGATGACCCTTTAAAACATTCGGTTAAATGAAAGAAGCCAGTGATAAAAGACCACATATTGCAGGATTCCATTCATATGAAATGTTCAGAATAGCAAATCTATAGAGACAGAAAGTAGATTGGTTGTTTCCAGGGGGTCGGGGGAGAGGAGATTGATTGCTAGTGAGCATGGGATTTCTTTTAGGGGGGATAATAACATACCAGAATTAGGTAGTGGTAATGGTTGCATAACTTTGTGAATATACTAAAACCCACTGAATTGCACTCTTTAAATGGGTGAATTTTGTGATATGAGAATTATATCTTGCTAAAGCTGTTTAAAAGCGATTGAGTTATTAGATGATTTTTCCCTCTCCCCCTAAAAAAGCTCCCATAGATCAATCTTCTCAGCCTTGCTATTTCGTATTCTACTTATAGGAGAAGGATGTAAAAGAAAAGCATACAAACTGGTCCTAGGAAAGCTATAGGATCAGAAGGGTCTACCCAGTCTACTGCTACAGTCCTCTATCATTCATTCACTTATTCATTCATCGAAAGTCTGCTATGTACTAGGCACTGGGGATACAGCATTAAGAAACTCTGCCCTATTAGGAGCTTATGATAATGATGTTTCTAACATTGACCTTGAGATCCCCAGATTCATGAATTCCCTTCTGAATAATCAAAGATTAAAATGTATAATTGCATTAATTGTACAGTGCTATTTGTATTCTGGTTTTTTGAAATTGGGAATTCATGGATTTATGGATGATACACCTCTCTAAAAGTTTCTATACCTGAGGTATAAACTATATTGGATAATTTACACTAATAGTAAAGCAAAATATTTAAAGAACAAGGCAGGATACAAACTTACTCTTTCCCCAAGGAAGTTTCCCCAAGATGTTGTAAGCAAGAATTCTTGACAAAAATAGCCAAACCATGTACTTTGAGGTTTCGTTCTTCACAAAGAATTGCTTTTGTGAATCCACAGGCTTTATTAACAGGTAGTTTTGGCCGGGCACGGTGGCTCACGCCTGTGATCTCAGCACTTTGGGAGGCCGAGGCGGGCGGATCACGAGGTCAGGAGATCGAGACCACCCTGGCTAACACAGTGAAACCCCGTCTCTACTAAAAACACAAAAAATTAGCCGGGCATGGTGGCGGGCACCTGTAGTTCCAGCTAGTCGGGAGGCTGAGGCAGGAGAATGGTGTGAACCCGGGAGGCGGAGCTTGCAGTGAGCCAAGATCACGCCACTGCACTCCAGCCTGGGTGACAGAGTGAGATGCCATCTCAAAAAAAAAAAAAAAAAAAAAAGAGGTAGCCTTTTCCCCTTTGTCTCAGTGTAGATAAAGACATATATCTGCTGGTGTACTTCTGGCATCAGTGTGGGGAAAGCTGGCACAAAGAAACTCAATTGTTCATTTCTTCAGGCAGTGTGTTAGATGGAGAAATATAATAACATTTGATTTTTGGAGTCAGGCAGGCCTGAGTTCAAATCCTAGCTCACATTTTAAATTCAGGCCTGCATCATCTCTTAACAGCTTCTGAGTTGCTCTTCCTATCTCCAGTCATGTCCCTCTCAAATTCATCCTTTACACAGCAGCCTAAGTAAATTCAAAAATACAAAATGGATCTTGTTACTCCCTTACTGTAAAAGTTTTAGGGACACCACAACTTTGGTAGGAGGGTCTAAGCTATTTAGCATGACTAATAAAGAGTTGGCTCCACAGCTTGGCCTCCAAACACCTCTCTAGCTGCATCTCTTACCATTTTCCACCTTACAATTTTTACACAATTGTTTGTAGTTGCACACAGACAGAAACCCACATGCATCCACTCTACTCAGGCTGTTATGCTCTGCTGGAATCACTTTCCACCCTTCTGTGCCTGGTTAACTTTTGAATCATTCTTGCATTGGGGTGGGGGGTACAACCAGCTGGTAAGAGGATAGACTCTAGAGCCAGACACCAGGGCAAACAAGGGCCCCAATTTAGCCTGCCCGCCCTAACTTTGGAGGCTAGATTAAAGGTAGTTGAGGAGATACTGACAATAATTGCAAAAAGTCTGTTACATTCTAGCATAAACTACTTTAAAACCATTGTATTGAAAAAGTTTGAGTAAGTAATATATGTATTTAGTTAAAAATTCCAAAGGCAGAAAAGGATATTTTGTAAAAGAATAAGTCCTTGCTGTGTCCTAGATACCCAGTTCCCTTACCAGTGTTTTTGTAACTCTTTCAAGAGACAGACTGCATATGTAAGCATAAAAATATCATTTTGATACAATAAGAAAACACATTGTACACGGTGTCCTGTAATTCCCTTTTCATTTAGATACCTTATCTTGGAGATTCTTTCACATGTATCATATGTTGCCAATCTTCTACTGGTAAACATTTACATTGTTTTTCAACTTTTACAAAGCTATTTCTTAGGACCTCTTTTACTATTCTTGCAGAGCTCCTGCTCACCAGAAAGAAAATTCTTTTTTTTTTTCCAAAAATCTCAGTTACTTTACATTCTTTTCCATTAAAAATTGCATTTATTGTGATTTTGTTTTTTACTTACAAAGTTAATACATTTCATTTGTAGGAAACTTGGAAAAGGCTGGGTGCAGTGGCTCATGCCTGTAATCCCAGCACTTTGGGAGGCCGAGGCAGGAGGATCACTTGAGGCCACCAGTTTTAGATCACCTGGGCACCATAGCAAGATCTTGTCTCTACAAAAAAATTAAAAAATTAACCAGGCATGGTGGTACATGCCTGTAGTCTCATCTGCTTGGGAGGCTGAGGCAAGAGGATAACTTGAGCATAGGAGGTCGAGGCTACAGTGAGCTATGATCACGCCACTGCACCCCAGCCTGTCTGCAGAGTAAGACCTCATCTCAAAACCAAAACCAAAACGAAAAAACAAGCAAACAAAAAACTTGGAAAATAAAAAAGCACAAAGAAAAAAGATCACTCCTATTTCCAACACTGGTTAACATTTTGATGAATGTCTTTCTAGTATTTTTTATATTCACATATCTACACTTTACAAAAGGTCTACTCTCAAATTTGAGGGGGAAATATGTGATAAGACATAATAAAAAAGAATAATAGCTTACCATGTTTTGCTCAGTAGCCTACCTTAAATGCATTATCCCATTTAATCCACACAACAACCCTATGAAATATATACTGTTCTCCTCATTTTACAGATAGAGAAACTGAGGCACAAAGAATTGCTGAGTCACACAGTTTGGGGAGTAACACAGCTGGGATTTGAAGTTAGATATATCAGACCTCAAGTCACACTCTTACTCACTGTACTCTACCGCCTCTGCCAGGTCCACAGTGTCTAGTAAAATTGAAAAGGCACAGACCTCATGATCCAGCAATTCCATTTGCAGGTCTGTGTTCTACAGAAACTTGCACATGTGCCCAAGGACCAAGTGTAAGAATGCTCATTGCAATGGACTGTGGTGGTAAAAAATTAGGACCAATCCAAATGTCCATAAAGATGTGGATGGTTAAATAAAACACAGAATATCCACAGGATGAGATACTATAAAGCAGTTTAATGGCCTGAAATGGATGTATGTGGGTAGATCTTAGAAACAACATTGAATGTCTCTTCACTGAATAAAACAATAAAAGGAGAAAAAATATTGAATGAAAAAAGCAGATTGCAAAACAATATGTACAGTATGGTACTATTTGTCCCAATTAAAAAAAATCATTTCCCCCAAATTCCAAATCTTGTTTATGATCATGGTGAAAATGAACTGGAAAGATACACATCAAATTTATGACAATGGATGCCTTGGGGGCATTGGGAGAGGAATAGGACTGGGAATGAAGGACACAGGATATTCAACTTATGTATGATTTTTTTTTTAAGGATTTAAAGATAAGATAAAATCTTAACACATTTTAATTCTGAATGGTGGGAATAAGTGTGTTTGTTATATTCTCTGTTACTATACTATATTTAAAAAATAGTATCAGC
The DNA here is from genome assembly GCF_000001405.40 of Homo sapiens. Lineage (NCBI taxonomy): Eukaryota > Metazoa > Chordata > Mammalia > Primates > Hominidae > Homo > Homo sapiens. Next base: position 72,386,567 of record NC_000023.11, read on the forward strand.
TAATGTTTACAGAGCACTTATGAACCCGGTACAGTTCTAAGCATTTCATGTGGATCAATTCATTAAATCCTAACAAGCATCCTATGAGGCAGGTACTATACTAGCTCCATGACAGATGAGGAACCTAACAGATAAGACACAGGTTAAATAACTTCCTTGCCTCACACAGCTAGTAAGTGGTGAAGCTGGACTCCAAACCTGGGTGTATCCGGCTTCAGGAACCCTATCTTTACCCTGTGTCATCTCTACTCTTCAGAACATTCTCAAAATCTAAACAAAACAGCACAAAGCCAAGTCCCTAAATGCTGAGGGAATGCGAAGTGGAGGAATGGACACAACTGTGCAGTTGTTGCCCTGATTGCCACCTTCTCTTTCTATTTGCTATATTAGCCTGAGGGGCTCCACTCTGGAGCTGAACTAGCTCTAGTTCAGAGTAGAACAGCAGGGACCTCTCTTTCTTGAGGGAATCAAAACCGAAAACTCTACTCTTCCTCAAAAACAAAAGAAAACAAAACAAAATCATAGGCAGAGCACAATGAGCTAGGCCCCACTGGGGATATTAGAGGGCACACACTCAATTTAAGCCTGCGTGTGAACTGGAGTTCCCATGGGTTAGCTAAGCCTAGTTCCTTGGCTACAAATGGTTGGGGCAGGGAGAAGCTGGGAGCCATGTAGGGTAGAAAAGTGAGACTTGGAGGGAAGAGGGAAATCCTTTGGCTTCCTCCAGTGGCTGCTCCTCTCCCTGCAGAAGGATGTGCTATCTCGTGCTTAAGGAGTTTAGTAGCAGGAGGAAAGGGAAAGATGGAGGCCAGCAGGGCGGGTTTCTGTAGCTCTCTTCCTGCTATAGCCTCTGGTTTTAGTAGAGTAATTCCCTCACTCCCTGCCGTCATCATCAAAGCAGCTCCCAGGCTCCAAGTAAATAACAGACAGGAAAACAGTGGGGTGGCAAGAGAGGTTGTGTAGGGTAGTGGTGAAGAGCTCAGACTCCAGAGCCACCCTGCCTGGGTCTGAATCCTAGCCCTGCCACTTACTAATTCTGTCAACTTGGGCAAGCCATCTATGAAATGGGGATAATAATAGTTGTTGTGTTGTGAGGATACAGATAAATAACGCATCTAAAGCACTTAAAACAGTGCCAGGCACATAGTAATCACTCCATGAGTGCTTGTTGTACTTCTTCTTTCTGAGTACCTGCTTGTTTCCAGGGACTGTGGTAGGAATTAGGGATGCAGGGGAGGATCAGACAGTTTTTGCCCTTGAATTTAGTATAGTTGAGGAGACAGATGAGTAAATGAATTACAATACAATATAATAAGGTCTCAAGTTAACTATGTGTGTCAGATATTATAGGATCGCAGGGAAAGGAGTGATAAACTATGGAGGGGAGGGGTGGCCAGGGAGGACTTCACAGACAGATGACATGGGGATTGGAATTTGAAGGAAGAGTAGGACTTCATCCAGCAGGCAAGTAGGAGGAAGGATATTCCTAGTAGAAGAAGTACCTTGGTCAAAGGCATAGTGGAATCAGAGTTTAGGGCAGGAGTAGGGATAGCATAGTGGGAAAAATAGATTAGGGCCCAATCTAGAACGATCTTGTGTTCTCCGCTAAGAATTTCAGACTTATAAGTTCTGGGAGGGTGTGTGTGTGTGTGTTTGTGTATTTGAAGCAGGTAGATAACATGATTAAAGTTGAACTGTTACAAAATAACTGATATGAAGGATGGATTATGGGTGGAAGACTGGAGGGATACCAGTCTAGATGCGCTGATCCCCCAAGTCCCACCCCACAACTCCTCCCTCAGTGTTCCCTTTATTAATCAACCATTCACCCACTTGCCCAAGAAAGAGCCTTGGGGTCTTTGGTAAGCCTTTGCTCTCCTTCACTCCTATATCTACTTCATCAAGTCTTGTTGGTCTACCTCCAAAATGGATCTGGAATCTAGAGGACCACAAAGGCCTCCTAACTGGCCTTTCTAGTTCTCTTGGTATCTCTCTGTAATCCTTTGTCTATACAAATGCCACAGTGATTACACACACACACACACACACACACACACACACACACACACACTGCTATGGAATGAATTGTGTGTCTTCCTACCCCAATTCACACGTTGAAGCCCTAACCCCTAATGTGGCTGCATTTGGAGCAAGGAAGTAATTAAGGTTAAATAAGGTCATGGTGAAGGGGGTAGCTGATCTGATAAAATTAGTGTCCTTATGAGTTTTCTCTCTGCAAACACACCAAGGAAAGGCCATGTGAGAATGTGGCAGGAAGGTGGCTGACTGCAAGCCATGAGGTGCACCTTCACAAGAAACTGACCATGCTGGTGCCTTGATCTTGGACTTCCAGCCTCCAGAATTGTGAGAAAATAAATTTCTGTTGTTTAAACCATCAAGTTTATGGTATTTTGTTATGGCTGCCTGAGCTGACTAATACAATTAGTTTTAGCTACATTATTAATACTTGTTTATGCACTGTCTTGTGTAATTTTTCTCTAATTGGTTGTCAGGTGCAGCTTTTGCCTTTCCACTAGTCTATAACTTCCTAGAAGTCATGGATCATGCCTCTTAAATCACCAGAAGCACCTAAACCAAGTCAGGCACACAGTGGTAGGCAATAAATGCTTATGAAAGGAATGGACACAACTGCACAGGGAGACACGCTGAGCATTCATAGCTAAAAAAGGATACTGAGTCTCTGGAGTTGGTGTTAGCTTTGTCACAGATATCCTAAGTGTCTCGAAACAAATTAGCATCTTCAGCTGTTTTGTTTCTTCCCTCCATTATGGAGTTTTGTGAGGCTTAAATATGATCCGGTATTTTCAAAGGCTTTGTGAGGAAGCAGAGAGCCTAGGTTTTGAGTCAGCAAGATCTGGGTTCAAAATATGGCTTTCTCACTTACTAGCCCTGATAAGAGCACTGACCTTATGAGAGGTGCTTTGTACACACAGAAGCATTCAATCTTCACAGCCACCCTGCAAGGTGGATAATGAGGATCGCCATTTTAGGGATGAAGAAACTGAGCTTCTGAGAGACTGGGGAAATTACTCAAGATCACACTTCTAGTTAAAGGATCAGAACCCCAAATTGTTTGGCTCAAAAGCTCATGTTCTTTTTACCCAGCCACAGGCTCCAAAAGAAAACAAAGCTTAACCTCTAGGAAGAATGACTTCCTATACTGGATTTAACAAGATCCCATGTTCTAGGGACAAAAGTTCTTGGCTTTCTTTAGGGAGACAGGAAGCTGCCACCCTAATATTTAAGTAATATAAGAACAGTCGGAATCAGATTTTCAAAAGGGACCATGATCCCAAAGGAGATTATGAGCTATTTTACCAGGCTGAGGGTACCATGGGGGGCAGGGATGTGGATGCCTTATTTTTTATTATTTTTTTAGTTGACAATAACTATACATATTTATGGGTACAGTGTGATATTTCTTTTTTCCCTTAATTTTTTTTAATTTTTAATTTTTGTGGGTATATAGCACATACACATATTTGTGGAGTACATGAGATATTTTGATACAGGCATACATGTGTAATATCACATTAGGGTAAATGGGGTATCCATCACCTCAAACATTCATCATGTCTTTGTGTTATGAACATTCCAGTTGTACTCCCTCAGTTGTTCTAAAATGTACAACAAATCATTGCTGACTATAGTCACCCTGTTGGCTAATTTGATAGCCAGATCTTATTCATTGCCTCTAACTATATTTTTGTACCCATTAACAGTGTGATATTTTGATACATGTATATAATGTATAAAGATCAAATCAGGATAATTAGCATATCCATCATATCAAACATTTATTATATTTCTTTCTGTTGGGAACATTCAAAATTCACTCTTCTAGCTATTTGAAAATATATAAGAAATTGTTGTTAATTATAGTCACCCTATAGTGTATAGCTATTTTATTTACTTCAGGCACACTGAACCTAGCATTGTGCTTGGCTCAAGGAAGCACTCAATGACTATTTGTGGAATGATAATTTCACAGTGTAGCTCAGAGGATGAAAGACATTACATTCTGTGGCCTGGTATAGTGGCCACCAGAAAAGTGTAGCTATAGAGATTAGGCCTGAAAGAGCCAGTCACATAGCTGCCAAGATTTGGAACTGAAGAAGTATATCTTTAATATGTTTTAGAGTCACAATGAAACAAGATTCCCTGATGGGAATTTTCCCAAAGACTGGATCCAGACACCCAATAAAAGGGTTACAAGTGTACTTGCATATAATTTGCAAATGGTTTATGTCTAACTGCATTCTCTGTCATCTATTCCCTGGTGATTTTCAAGGCAAAAATTTATCGTTACCCTAAAGGTTATTGCATAATTTATAAAAATAATAAAAGTTTATCTTCTCTTCCTTAAAAAAACAGAACAGGCAGTACCATATTTTGCTGTCAAGGCTGTTCAGCACAGACAACTCATATCTTTATTATTGCCATAGAAAATGTTTGATCAATCACATTTAGGCTGTACTATAAAATTTAAAATGTGAGGTGTACCTGTATTAGCCAGTATCACTAAAGTTCCTTGGACATCAACTCCTATGTCATCAACATGAGGACTGTCCCATTCAAATGGCACTTATCTGGGTTTCAGTGATGTAGAGGCCCTCCATGTAGGAATCTGTGTTACTGAGGACTCAAAGCAAGAGCAGTTTTCCCCACTTCTCAGAAACACAGTTAAGGCCCAGTGGCAGAGTCACTCTTCACAAGAGTAGGGGAGGCTGGGGTGACAGAAAGCAGAACTGTGAATACCCATTCCTAACTCACAGGCAGAAGTTTTGCTTTGTAAGCTGATCCTTGACAGTGCAGTAATTTATAAATGGAAAGAGATAGGGAACTCATCATTCAGTAAGCATTTATTGAGGGCCTGCTATATGTGCAAGGCACTAACTAGATAAAGCATCACAGCTTAATAAGGAGAGCTTTCAAATGTATCAGGCCTTTTCTTGTCATTGCCTTAAAATATCATGTCCTGTATTTAAAAATGGCAATGTAATCATGAGGAAAAAATCCAAACTCAACATTAGTACAACTTATATTTGCCCTCTCAAGTGATGGTAAAAAGAACTCTCTAAATGCTTTAATGAGCTTTTGCACACACTGTTCCCTCTGCTTGGAATTCTCTTCCCCCTCTCCTGTCTGCCTGGTGAAATTCTACCCTCTCTTTAAGAAACAGCTCAAATATCATCTCCTTTGTGAACCCTTCTGACACCTCCTGAGCGAATTAATCATTCCCCTCTATACATTCGCAAAGCTCTTTGCAAGGAACCTCTACTCTCACACTGTACCATAATTTTTTCTTTCTCACACTTTACCCTGAGCTCCATAAATCAGGGCACACCTCTGATTCATATTGGTATCCCCAGCACAATGCCTGCATATAGCGGTAGTCAGTAAATGATTGCTGAAATTCCCTGACCACTTTGAAAAAGAAATCTATTAATACATTACAGAGAACTTCACAGAAACTTAACAAGGCTTTGCACATAGTATGTGCTTAATAAAGGGCTGCTGACTCTGAATGTAGTAAAAATGGTACATCTCTTAGGTCAAGTCTATATATAGCAATTCTTGCTAGTCCCTTCATGCCACAATAGTAGGTACCAACTCTACACAGACAGACATCCCTGTGATGTTTCAGGCACTGAATATTACACTTGCCTTAAACCATCCACCCCTGCCAGCTTACCAGGTGGCACAAATGTCTCACTATTAGTCACTTCTTGGGGTTAAGGCATTAGCTACAGAAGTGCCCTACTGGACTGCTTTCAGATGGAGGAAAAAATACACCAGAAGCCACCTGAAAGACTTCACATCTTTCAGAGGACCTGGAGATCATTCATGCCCCTCTCCTTCCAACTAAAATCTGTACTCCAGAGAGAACTCAGAACACAGGAAAGGATCCCAAAGAGTCAGTGTTGAGCACAATTCAAATGGTACCCTGTATTCAGAGTCGACAGTACCTACTAGCTTAGAATTATACACTTGCTGTTTGTAAAAGTGCTGTGAGGCACAAATCTAAAGAGGGTAAAAAATGAGTAAACATTATTTATATCAAAGCACTAAAAAAATTCCAAACTTTGGCATTTAATAGTAGCCATTTGAAAAATTCTACTATCTTTTCTCTGGGTGTGGGAGAATAAAACCCTTTTTCTGTTCTGAAAAGAGATGTGTAGAAGGGAACTCATTTTGTAGTTTGAAAGTTCTACTTTTACTGGAAATACACCTATCTTGTAGTTCTTCAGCATATAATCACCAAAGACTTTAAAAAATTATTATTATTTTGGCTAACACAGGCACAAAATTGTCAATTAATACTATGTTAGCTAGAAACCAGTTGGGCAAATACCAGATTTCCTGGGCATTCTACTTAAGAGTAATGGAGATGATCTTTCCCAAATTTTCAAAATCCAGGAATGTTCTGTGACTCATTGATTGCTTAGGGAGTTCTTATTCAGCGTTGGTAGTTTAATAAATTAGGCAGAAGGTCAAAGCTAAAATCCGTTGAATTTAGCTGAAACAAAGACTAGTCTTGCTTCCAAATCATTGTTAGTATAATTTGAGCAGTAAAATACTGGAGAGCCCAGAGGTAAGCAAAGTTTCTCAGTGTAATCCTCTTCTGCCTCTGTTAGCTTGGGAGGCATGGGTGAGAGAGGGACAATGCCAACACAAACGGAATTGTACAGTGAAGAAAGAAAAGGAGGGCCAGAACAGTGGGTGAAAAGTTAACTTACTTCACTTAGACCACCATATTAAAACCAGATGTGTCTAAAATGTTGGATGAGGAAAAACTGGTGTTACTGATAGCGTGAACAAACCCTTTGTGCTTTCCTCCCAATACAGTATCATTACAGGGTGCCAGAGGTGTCATTTTCTTTCATTCCACATGTAGCACATTCTCAACTCGTTAAACCGTTTCTAATCTTATGTAATTAGATAGGTCTCGCTACGTCCCTCAGTTGAAGGATTTTATGAGCTGCCTTGTTCTGTCTCCCTTTTGTGACAGCTTCTTTGGGGCTGGAAACTAACATTTGCTAACATTTCTTCGCTTCTGGCACCTGTCAGCTGGATGGGCTTTGGGAAAAGGAGGATGGGGAGGGAAGGAATGTAACACCCCCCACTCCCCGATGCCCTGGTATTAGAGGCGTCTTTGTCTCTACTTAGGGATTACTTTGTTCTGGAAAGTGCTGTTAAGCACACACTCAAAATAAACAATGGGCAGATGGATGAATGTAATGATGAAGTTCTTGTTTTTTTATTTAATTTCATCACAAATTTCGAGTTCCTTTGTTTACTAAATGTAGAGCCTAGGGGAGGTACTAACCAGAGGTAGAAGTCCTTTAATATGGCCCAAGGTTGACCCACCCTGCAAAGTGGATGGGGCTTGGCTCTTTGATCTTCCTAGTCCAGTTACTCTGTGCAGAGCCCCGCCACTGGATACAGAGACTCCAGTATGACTGCCTTCTCCTCACTTCAGAGCAGAGTTGTGGGGAGTCATCAGATATCTGACATCAGAATCAAAGGCTATATAAACACAAGGGTTTTTACTTCAATGCAGAAATAATAATGGCATTTTGGAATTGAGAGTCTTTCCTTCAAAAGGCTTTAAAGCAATCCCCCCACCAAGAGCTTTCTTAGGGTCATTTCTTGACCATTCTATGATGTCTTTGTGAGGTCGCTGACTGGCAAATTCTCTCCATGTGTAGACGGGGAAATCCAGAATTAAGGCCGATTTATGCTTCTATCCCTTGGGACTTGTGCATGATTGATTATATGCAGGGCCTGACCTCTCACCACAAAATTCTGTGGTTTTTGTCCAATAATGGTAAAAGACAACTGAAAGAGTGCAGCGTACAATAGAAATGGGTGAGTGACAGGGCCACCTGACGTCTCCTAGTACTTTACAGTTTATAAATCGCTTTCAGAGTTGCCCTTTCATGGATAGGCAGCGTACACTCCTATTTCACCAAAGCAACTGGACTGCGGAAATAAGAGCCAGGGTGCTGGCACAGTTATGGAGCCCTGAATTTCTCACGCTGGGGGCGGGGCAGTGCGTGGGTAAGCACTTTGCCTTCCAGGAATAGTACTGCTCTGAGACGCCTCTGTAGACTGCCTGGAACGAAGATTAAGCCCAGGGTTCTCTTTGCATTCCATTTAGCAGTTTGCTCATGCTTTCACTACAGATCAGTCTCAAGAATTCCTCTGCCAGCTGAGAATCTGAATGTTGCTTTGGCTGTAAGACAGTATCTTATTTATTCTCATAAATCCCCTCCTCCTCTTGTCCTTGATTATTTTCACCATAAAATGGAAACAGGGGCAAATTATGTGAGCATTTGGGTGCTGGACTGCAGCCACCCTTGGCAATCTTTGTCAACCCTTGAGATTCTCACCAGCATCGACTAAAGAACAGTGACTCACCCAGAGTAACACATAGTCCCTCTTGCCTTTAAAAAAGGAGTTCCTCAAAAGTGCTGCTAAAAAACAAAACAAAACAACTATAGTTCAAGGGGGGAAAAAAGTGCTAAGAGCAAAAGATTAATTTTAAACAAGGTCAGAAGATTTGGAAGAAGGAAAGGGTGATTATCTGCAAGTGAAAAAGTAGTTTGTACATTTTAGATTTCCTTTCCAGTTCCAAATTTGAGGCTTAAACATCTTTTGTCTGGGGGAAGTTAGGACATAAGGAAGTTAGGTCACCTCAGCTCCAGCTTCCTATTGGAAAATGCCCAGGAGCTCTGTCTGAGCAGTTTGCTGCTCAGCACCCCTGGCCAGAGGGGTGGAAGGGAGACAAAAATTGGGAAGGAATAAAAGTGAGAGGCAGCCAGCCCAAATGCTGCCTAGCACTCTTCTCATTCTAGCCAGCTGTATAGACAGCTGTCCCTTTAATTTAACCCTTAGTCCATCTCCCAGGGACAAAGCTCATTTTGCATACTGAAGTCTCTTCTTAGCTACTGTGGCTGTTTTAAAGCACAGGGAAAATGCAGAGGTAAGGGAGGTTATGTGAGGAAAACTTGACAAGGAAAGTTTTTTCCCCCTCAAAATGCGTACGCAAGGAAGAACTCATGAGGGCTACATACAGAGAGACAGGAAGCACTGTAATCAAAGGCAGTCTGGAGGAGGAAGGACAGACTGCACAGACTTGAAGGACAGTTTTGCTTAAACTTCTATCTACATTCTCAAGGCTAATTGTGTGAATGGGAGTTTCTTATTCAAGAATGGCCATTTGTAGATGCACGTGGGTTTGTTTTTCTATACTTCCAGAGAGCCAATTCAGCAATACTTTCAAAGGCTCTGAACAATAGAGAGGAGCTTAGTTACTCACTAACTTGGAGACTAGGAGTGTAAATATGCAAACTGTTTTCCCCTTAAGCAGACTTAAAATCAGAATCCTAGGGTGTTCAGGCTGGAAATGATCTTAATGTGTGTTCTAGTTAAACCTTGAAGAGGACTGAGGAGAAATTTGAGTGTGGAGAAGGGAAGTCAATTGCCCAAGGTCACACGAGCTAGTAGAAGATGCCATTAGAAAGAAACTAGGTATCTTTCTACTAGCCCAGTGGTTTCTGCCCACCCTCTCACTTCCCACCTTCAGATACCCCAAAATTTACCCACCGTGGCAAAGTCTGTTGGTTTTTCCCCTGGCTATTTCAATTGCTATCCCATGACAATGTTGGCAGGCTCAGTGACTGAGCACACCCTTGATCATAAGAGAGGGCATGCTTTTTCCTGTACTCCTGACCTAGCTGGGGAAGAGCCATGTTGCTGTCTGCAGCCTGCCTTTGGCTCAATGGGGTGTAATGGGGAAACCAGGGAGACTGTGTCTCTAAAGGCAACACTGCTGCTGTGAAGGGTTGTATCCTCTTAAAAGAGTTTTTAAAAATTTTTTTCTTTCAAAAAAAGTTAATTATTTAAGTTGACAAAAGTGTATATATTTATGGTATATGATGTGATGTTTTAATATATACATACATTGTGAAAGGATTAAATCAAGCAAATTAACATATCCTTCAGGGCTGTGGGGAGGAGAGTGGGGAGATGTTGGTCAAAGGGAACAAAGTTCAGTTAGATGAGAGGAGTAAGTTTTGGAAATGTACTGTACAGCACAATGACTATGGTTAATTATAATGTACTGGCTGGGCATGGTGGTGTGTGCCTTTAATCCCAGCTACTTGGGAGGTTGAGGTAGGAGGATCACTTGAGCTCAGAAGTTTGAGACCAGCCTTGACAACATAGTCAGACCTTATCTCAAATAACAACAACAACAAAAACAACAACAACAATAATGTACTGTGTATGAAGCTGTTCTTGAATTGCTACAAAGAAATATCTGAGACTGGGTACTTTATAAAGAAAAGAGGTTTAATTAGCTCACAATTTTGCAGGCTGCACTGGAAGTATGGTGCCAGGCATCTGCTTGGCTTCTGATGAGGCCTCAGGAAGCTTACAATCATGGCAGAGGGCAAATGGGGGGCTGGCACATCACATGGTGAAAGCAGGAGCAAGAGTGATGGGGGGAAGTGCCACATACTTTCAAATAACCAGATCTCATGACTCACTATCACGAGGGTGGCATCAAAACATGAGGGATCTGCCCCCATGATCCAATCACCTCCTACTAGGCCCCATCTGCAACACTGGGGATTACAATTCAAACTGAGATTTGAGTGCGGACAAATATTCAAACTATATCACACTGTATACTTGAAAATTGCTGAGAGTAGATTTTAAATGTTTTCCATTATAAGAGTCTTTATCTCTTCTGCAGCTCCTACTCTGAAAGTGTCAGAGAGTATTCCTCTCCATTCTTCATTTAAAAATGATATTGATACATACAAAATTCTTAATATATGTAAATCATATTTGTATGTAATTTCTACATGTAAAATACTTAATACATACGTAAGTTATGAAGTCTAATAATAGAATAAGCACCTGTGAACTTACCATTGACCTTCAGCAATAGAACATGACCAGTGCCATTGATGCTCCCTGCACACTTCCTCCACCCTAGAGGTACCCTGCCTTTCTCCCAGAGGAAGCCACTATTGAGAGCTTCTAAAAATCACTCCCTTGCATTTCTTTAGTCTTCCCACATATACAAGTATCCTTAACAAGATACTTTTTAGTTTTGCTTGGTTTTGAACTGTAAATATTGGTATCACACTAAACTTCTTTTGAAGTTGTTTTTACACAAAATTATGTGTCTGAGAATCTTTCACATTGTTATTGGCATCAGTTCATTCATTTTAATTGTTTCATAGTATTTCACTGTGTTACCATACCACAAATATCTGTTGTTTCTAGTTTTCTTGCTATTCTGAACAATGTTGCTATAAACTTTCTTTATAGTACACCTGTGCAAGTTTCTCAAGTCTATTTATAGGGGTGGAATTAATGAGTTGTAAAGTATACACATGTTGAAAGTTATTAGATAATGCCAAATTGTTTCCCAAGTTGGTTGTTTAATATATACTCCCATCAGAAGTCTTCACTAACTGCTCCACATCATCACTAACACTTAGTGTTGTTTAAATTACATTATTTTTTTTCCAATCTGGTGGATTAAAATGGAATCTCATGTTGTTGGTTTCTTTCGTCATTTATTGTGGTTTTAATTTACATTTCCCTGATTACCAAGGAGGTTGAGCATCTTTTCATGTTTCTTGGTCATTCAGGTTTCCTCTTCTGTGAAAGGCTTGTTCATATCTTTTACTTGCTTTTCTTCTGGATTATCTTTTTTTTTGTTTGTTTTTTTGAGATGAGGTCTCCAATCTGTTGCCTAGGCTGGAGTGCAGTGGCGCAATCATAGCTCACTGCAGTTGCAAACTCCTGGGCTTAAGTGATCCTTCCACCTCAGCCTCCTGAGTAGTTGGGACTACAGGCATGAGCCACCATGTCCTGATAATTTTTTTTTTCTTTTTTTTTTTCTTAGAGATGAGGTTTCACTATGTTGACCAGGTTGGTCTCAAACTCTTGGCCTCAAGCAATCCTCCTGCCTCGACCGAGATCTCTAAGTGTTGGGATTATAGGTGTGAGCCACCACGTCTAGCGGGATTGTCTTTTTATGTATTGGTATATAGAAGTTTGTAGATTCTGAATGTGAGTTATATGAGTACTAAAGATGTTCTTCCACTTTGTGGCTTTTTCACTTTAGGGTTTTTTTTTCTTTTTTTTCTTTCTTTTTTTTTGTGAACAGAGCCACTTCATTTTAAGGTAATTGAATTTATTACTCTCTTCTTTTATAGTCGGTACTTTATGTTTTTTTTTTACAGAAATTATCCCCTATCCCAAGACTAGAGAAATTATCCTGTATCAGTATTTCTTTGTGAGTAGGGAAGTTACTAGCATTTGGGGCAGGACAAATAATATGGGGCTGGCTCTTACGTCTCAGGACACCTAGCATCCCTAGACCCTGAGTACTAAATGCCTCTAGCACTATTCCTGTCATCATAACAATCTAACATACTCTATATATTTTCAAATGTTCTGTAGATGGTGGTACTGCAAGTTGAGAACCACTGAACTATGTTTTCTTCTAAAAGTATTTAATATACCTAGAATTGAGTTTTGTGTTTGGTGTGAGGTAGGAATCTAATTTTATTTTTTCTGTATGGATAACCATTTTTCCCCAACATGATTTATTAAAGAATTCACTCTTTCCTTGACCGATCTGCAATGCTACCTGTCAGATATCAAATTTCCAAATAGGTATAGGTCTATTTTCAGGTTTTCTGTTCTGTTCCATTAGCCTATTTGTCAACCTGTGCACCAATATTACACTGTTATAAATACTATAGCTGTATGATAAATCTTAATATCTGATAAGAATAAGTTATTGTTGCTCTTCAAGAATGCCTTGGCTTTTCTTGCACTCCCATGTCAATTTTAGAACCAGCTTGTCAAATTTCATAAAAACACCCTGTGGGATTGTTATTGGAATTACAATGACTATATTGATTGATTCAGACTATATATTGATTGCAAAGGATATCTTTACAATACTGAGTCTCCCTACCTGTGAACAAGACATAGCTTCACTTTGTTGCCTAGGCTAGTATCAGATTCCTGGCTTCAAGTGATTCTCCCACCTTGGCCTCCCAAAGTGCTGGGATTATAGGCATGAAGACACTGTGCCTGGCCTCTCCATTTCAATAAAGTTTTATAATTTCTTCCTAGCACATTTTTGTTTGGTTTATTCCCAGACACTTTATATTTTTATTGTTATATTTTTAAACTGCATTTTTGATTTTTATTGCTGTTGTATAGAAATGAGACTTATCTCTTTACATTCTTTCTTAAATGTATATCAATCAGACCTTTTCACCTAGCTCCATCAAAACTGCTCTTGTCAAGGCTACCCATGACTACACTGTTGCTAAATCCAATGGTCAATTCTCAGTTCTCATCTTACTTGATTTCTCAGCAGCATATGACACAGTTGGCCACTCCCTCTTCCTTGAAACACTTTCTTCACAAGAGGACAACACACTCTTCTAATTTTCCTCTTACCTCATTGGTTATTCTCTCTCAGTCTTCTTTGCTAGTTCTTCCTCATTTCTCCAACATTTTAATGTTGGACTGTCCTAGGGATCAGTCTCTAGATATCTTCTCTTCTCTTGCTATACATACTTCTTTGGTGATCTCATCCATACTCATAGTTTTAAAGTCTACCCATATATTAACTCCCAATTTTGTAATGCTAGTCTAACTTACCATCAGGATCAATCTATCCATCCATCCACATTCATTTATCTTTTTTCCTTCTACTTACTTGACATTTCCAACTCAACATGTCCAAACTGAACTCTTTATCATCTGAAACTGCACCTCCCACAGCATTCTCTCAGTTGCTCACGCCATCATTCCAGTTGCTCAGAACAAATCTTTGAGTCCTTGTGTTCCCTCATCCCACACACAATATGTGAGAAAATCCTACTCACCTTACCTTCAAAATACATACAGATTCCTACCACTTCTCACAGTCTACACTGATATTATCCTAGTTGAAGCCACTACCATCTTTTAAAAAATAGCTTTATTGAGATATAATCTACATACCCCACAATTCACCCATTCATAGTATACAATTCAATGCCTTTTAGTACATTCATAGGGTTATGCAACTCTCAGCACAATCTAATTTTAGAATATTTTGGTTTCCCCTAAAATAGACCAATACTTATTAGCAGTCATTCTCCATTACCCACCTCTCACCCCCCTGAATGTTGCCCTCGGCAGCTACTAATCTACTTTCTGTCTCTATGGATTTGCCTATTCTAGACATTTCACATGAATGGAATAATACAATATGTGGTCTTCAGCTTCTTCACTCCTGTTTATTGCCAAATAATATTCCACTGTATGAATATAGCACATTTTATTTACATATTGATCAGTTGATGGACATTTGGGTTATTTCTACCTTTTAGCTAATATGAACAATGCTACTACGAACATTTGTGTACATGTTTTTGTGTGAACATATGTTTTCATTGGGTATATACTTAGGAGTGGAATTGCTGGGTCATAAGGTAACTCTATGTTCAACCTTTTGAGGAACTGCCAAACTGTTTTCCAAAGCAGCTGTACTTTTACATTCCCATGGGCAGTGTATGAGTGTTTCGTTTTCCCACATCTTTGTTCCACTTGTTATTTTTTTATTTTTTGAGATAGGGTCTCACTTTGTCATCCAGGCTGGACGCAGCAGTGCAATCTTGGCTCACTGCAACCTCAACCTCCTGGGTTCAAGTGATTTTCCTGCCTCCACCCCTCAAGTAGCTGGGACTACAGGTGCACACCACCATGCCCAGCTAATTTTTTTTGTAGAGATGGGGTTTTGCCATGTTGCCCAGGCTGGTCTCGAACTCCTGAGCTCAAGTGATCTGCTGCTTTGGCCTCCCAAAGTGCCAGGATTACAGGCATGAGCCACTGTGCCCGGCCACCACTTGTTATTATCTGTCATTTTGATTGTAGCCATCCTGGTGGGTGTGCAGGGGTATTTTATTGTGGTTTTGATTGTATTTCTCCAATAACTAATGATGTTGAACATCTTTTCATGCCCTTGTTGGCCATTTGTATATCTTCTTTGGAGAAATGTTCATTCAGGTTCTTTACCCATTTTAAAATTGGGTCATCTCTCTTTTGAGTTGTAACAGTTCTTTACATGTTCTAGATACAAGTCCCATATCACATATGATTTGCAAATATTATCTTCCATTCTGTTTTGGTTACTGTAGCTTTGTAGTAAGTTTTGAAATCTGTAAATAATAACAGCCTCATAGAATTATTAGGAAGTGTTCCTTCCTCTTTCATTTTTTGGAAAGAAAGTGAAAGAATTGCATTTGATTTTTCTTTAAACATTTGGTAGAATTAAGCAGTGAAGCCATCTAGTCTTGTGCCTTTCTTTGGTGGCAGGTTTTTTTTGATAACTAATCCAATTTGTTTAATTATTGTAGGTCTATTCAGATTTTCTTTTTCTTCTTGAGTCTTAAGTTTTGGTATTTAGTGTGTTTCTAGGTATTTGTCCATTTCATGCGGGTAGTGTAATTTGTTCACGTACAATTGTTCATTGCATTCTGTTATAATCCTTTCTATTTCTGTAAAATCGGTGGTAATTTTCATTTCTGATTTTAGCAATTTGAGTCTTCTCTCTTTTTTCTTAGTCAATCTACCTACAGTTTTGTTAATTTTGTTGATCTTGTCAAAGAATCAATTTTTGGTTTTATTGATTTTTCCTTACTGTATTTTCTATTTTCTAGTTCACTTATTTCTGCTCTAATCTGTTATTTCCTCCTTCTGCCTGCTTTGGGTTTAGTGTGTTCTTTTCTTTTTTTTTTTTTTTTAAGTTTCTTAAAGTAGAAAGTTATCAATTTGAGATTTTTCTTTGTTTTAACATAGGCATTTATAGCTACAAATTTCCTTCTGAGCACTGCTTTAGCTGCTTCTTGGTATGCTGCCTCTTCATTTTCATTCATCCGAAGTATTTTCTAATTTCCTTTGTGATTTATTCTTTGACCCATTAGTTATTTAGAAATGTGTAGTTTATTTTCTGCATATTTGTGAATTTCCCAAATTTCCTTCTGTTATTAATTTCTACTTTTATTCAATTCAGAGAACATATTTTATATGATTTTATTCCTGGCCTATGGTGCATTCTGGAGAATGTAATATTCTGTTTGTCTATTTCTTCCTTTTTCTGTGTCCATTCTGTCAGTTATTGCATCATGTATCTTGGGGCTCTGTTGTGAGGTGCATACATGTTTAAAATTGTTATATCTTTCTGACAGATTGACCCTTTTACCATTATGAACTGTCTGTTTCATCTCCAGTAATTAATTTTGTTATAAAGTCTATTTTTTCATATTAGTATAGCCACTCCAGATTTTTATGGTTGTTGTTTGCATGACATATCATTTTTCATTCTTTTACTTTTAACCTATTTGCATCTTTGAACATAAAGTTTGTTTTCTGTAGACAGCAGATTGTTGGATCTTGCTTTTTTAAAAAAATCTCATCTGACAATATTTACCTTTTGATTAGATTGTTTAATCTATAATCATTTAATGTTGTTATCGATATGTTTGGATTTGCACTTCCATTTTGCTTTTGTTTTCTATATGCCATATACCTTTTTTGTTTTTTGATGATCTTCTTTTGTATTAGGTGGTTATTTTTTTCTGTAACATTTTAATTCATAATTTAAAAATTACTTATTTTTGAGTTATTTTCTTAGTGGTTTCTCTAGGGGTTACAATATATATCTTAACTTACTAGTATCTACTTCAGATTTATACTGAGTTCCAGTGAAATATAGACACTTTACCTAGCTTCACTGCCTCCCTCTCTTTTTGATATTATTGTCATACATACATATACATCTATATAGGTTATGAACATAAAAATACATTGTTATAATTGTTATTTTATGTAATTTCATCTCTTTTAAAAAGGCTGAGAGAGCTAGGTGTGGTGGCTCATGCCTGTAATCCCAGCATTTTGGGAGGCTGAGGCGGGAGGATCACCTGAGGTCAGGAGTTTGAGACCAGCCTGGCAAATATGGTGAAACGCCGTCTCTACCAAAAATACAAAAATTAGTTGGTTGTGGTGGTGGGCACCTGTAATCCCAGCTACTTGGGAGGCTGAGGCAGGAGAATCGCTTGAACTCGAGAGATGGAGGTTGCAGTGAGCTGAGATTGTGCCACTGCACTCCGGCCTGGGCGACAGAGCCAGATTCTGTCTGGCTGATGTGGGAGGATCACTTGAGCCCAGGAGTTCAAGACCAGCCTGGACAACACAGTACCTGGGTTATGGGATCAATTGTACCCCAAACCTCACCATCATGCAATATATCCAGGTAACAAACCTGCACATGTACCCCTTGAATTTAAAATAAAAATTGAAATTTAAAATATAAATGAATAAATAAAATTGTTTAATGAATAAAATAAACAAAAACCTTTAAAAATATGTTTTTAAAATTTCCAAAAGTGTATTTTAAAGAAAAAGCTATATATTTAGATTTATTTATTTTTGTCCTATTTTGGGCTATATGTTCCATTTCTACCATGTTTTGCTGTGCTGTGTTTTTGCTGCTTTATTGACTTTTTTAAATTAATTAAGGTTTATTTTTCCTCATTCCATTTCCTCTCTTCTATCAGTTTGGAAGATACTCATTCTTTTTCCTATTATTTTAGGGTTGCCCTTGGAATTTTAACATGCTTACTTAATTTAATAAAGTTTAGAGTTAATATATTTGTCCCCTTTTCAAACAATATGGGGACCTTTAGAATACTGTGATTCTAATCCATGACAACATGACTTGCTATTGTAAAGCCTTTAAATTCCATGCTTTTTGTCTTTTTTTAATCCCACAAATTAGAAATTATTAATATCACCCACATGCTTAACTTTTTTTTTCTTAGCCAAAGTCTTTTCTTTCTTGTATCTCAGAACTTGCTTTTTGGATAATTTTCCTTACTTAGTGAGGAAGTATTGGTGGTAAACTCTTTAAATATTTTTTATATTAAAATGTTTTATTTTGCCTTTATTCCCCAAAGAATATATAATTTTAGGATGAAATTATTTTCTCTGAGCACTTTCAACATCATATTGTAATCTGGCTTACATCATTGCTTATTGAGAAGTCAGCTATCAGTCTAATTGTTCTTTTGTTCATGATCATTTTTTTTCTTTCTAGTTTAAGATTTCGTCTTTGTCTTTGTTGTTCTGTAGTTTGATTATAATGTGTGGAGATATTAATTTCTTTTTTATTTACCTTATCTGGAATTTCTTAGGCCTGAATCTGCAGATTGTTGTTTTCAGAAATTCTGGAGAAGATTCAGCCATGGTTTACTTTAATATTCTTCCTATTATTATTATTATTATTGTTATTTGAACTTTTAAGTTCAGGGTACAAGTGCAGGTTTGTTATTGAGGAAAACTTGTGTCATAGGGGTTTGTTGTACAGATTATTTCATAACCGAGGTAATTAAGCCTAGTACCCATTAGTTATTTTTCCTGATCCTCTCCCTCCTCCCATACTCCACCCTCCATCCTCTGATAAGCCCCAGTGTGTGTTGTTTCTCTCTATGTGTCCATGTGTTCTTATCATTTAGCTCCCACTTATAAGTGAGAACATGTGGTATTTGGCCTTCTGTTTCTGCATTAGTTTGCTAAGGATAATGGCTTCCAGCTCCATCCATGTCCCTGCAAAGGGCATGATCTCTTCTTTTTTATAGCTGCATAGTATTCCATGTACCACATTTTATTTATCCAGTCTGTCATTGCTGGGCATTTAGGTTGATTCCATGTCTTTGCTATTGTGAATAATGTTGCAGTGAATATACACGTACATGTGTCCTAGAATGATTTACATTCCTTTGGGTATATACCCAGTAATGGGATTGCTGGGTTGAATGGTATTTCTGTCTTCAGGTCTTTGAGGAATCGCCACACTGTCTACCACAATGGTTGAACTAATTTATACTTCCACCAACAGTGTATAAGCATTTCTTTTTCTCTGCAACCTCACCACCATCTGTTAATTTTTGGCTTTTTAATAATAGCCATTCTGTGTATTTTTTCTTTCTAGAATTCTAAGGAGATAAATGTTGAATCTTCTTTTTCTGTCCTCCATGTCTTTTAACCATTCTTACTTTTTTCATCTCTTTGTACCTCTGTGCTGTATTTTGTGTAATTTTTTTCAGACCTATTTTCCAGTTTACTAATTTATTTTCAACTGATGTATAAAGCTTCATTGAGGTTTTTAATGTCAATTACTGTATTTTTCATTTCTATGTATTCTGTTTAGTTATTTTTCAAATCTACCAGGTCATTTTTGATAGTCTCTTGCTCTTTGCTCTCTACCCTTATTACTTTAAACATATTTAGCATAACTGTTTTATATTCCATATATAATTTCTGTATCTAAAGTCTGGTTATATTTTGTCTTTTTTTTCCTGTTGACTTCTCCTTCCTGGTAGTTAGTTTTCTTGTGTAAATTGTGATTTTTCATTGTGAATTAATTTTTGTCAGAACCCTCTGTGGGATTTCCATGAGGTCTGGGAGGGGTACATTCTTCCATGAAAGATTTCTATTTGATTTTTCTTGGTGCTTGAGGCATTACACAACTAGGTCTACTTTATTTATTTATTAATTTTTGAGACAGGGTCTATCTCTGTTGCCCAAGTTGGAGTGCAGTGGTATGATCATGGCTCACTACAGCCTCCACCTCCTGGGCCCAAGCAATCCTCCAACCTCAGCCTCCTGAGTAGCTAGGACAATAGGCATGTGTCACTACACTGGGCTAAGTTTTGTATTTTTTTTGTAGAGATGAGGTTTTGCCATGTTGCCCAGGCTGGTCTCAAACTCCTGACCTCAAGCGACTCTCCTGCTTCAGCCTCCCAAAGTGCTGGGATTACAGGCATGAGCCACTATGCTCTGCACAACTAGGTCTACTTTAAATTAAAATTCTTGGCTTGTGGCTTTTTGGACTATTCACATAATGTATATTCAGACTCCAAACCTAGTTGCAGGCTGGTGCCACAAAATCTCAGTAATAATTTTTTTGTTTTGTTTTTAATTCTACCCAAAGCTAAAGCCAAGACAAAAACTTTCCTTGCTGTCAGTCCCCAGGCCTGTGCAGTCTAACATAGTAACCACTAGTCACATGTGGCTATTAAAGTTAATTAAAACAACATTAAAAATTCAGTTCTTTAGTTTCACTAGCCACATTTCAAGTGCTCAAAAGTCACATATGACTAGTGGCTACTGTATTGGACAGTGTAGATATGGAACAGTTCCATTATCACACAAAGTTTTACTGGATAGTGTTGCTCTAGATCATCTGAAACTACATATGCCCCCAGGGTATGTAGTGGCTTCAGAGCTAGGTTACACCCTTGAACAAAGTTCTGTCAATCTTTGTCTTAAGTCAAAATTCTACAAGGACCATGTGGTAGACAGAATAATGGCTCTCCAAAGATGTCGAAGTCCTAATCCTCAGAATTTGTGGATATGCTACTTTACATGGCAAAAAAGACTTTGTAGATGTGATGAAGTTAAGAATCTAGAGATGGGTAGGTTACCCTGGATTACTTGGGCGAGCTCAATGTAATCACAAGCGTTCTCATAATGAGACAGCCAGGTGAGAAGGGGTCCTAGAGAAACTCCAGCTGGCCTGCGCACTGGGAGGAGTGTGCACCGGGGTGAAGCCACAGAAGCTCATGCTGTTTGCAGCGGGGAGGAGCCTGGTCCCTATTCTTCCTTGGTGGAACCTGAGATTTAATCTGTGAGGCAGGAAGCCTATACTAGAAGGACTCTCACTCTGCTGAGTCCCTGTTCCCCTTTTTTTCCCTTTTGCCCAATAAATCCCATTATTCTCACCCTTCAAATTGTCTGTGAGCCTAATCTTTCATGGCCATGTGACAAAGACCCCATCTTTAGCTGAACTAAGGAAAAGTCTCACAACAATAAGGGAAATAGGGAAGCAGGAAAGACACAGAAATGCAATGCAGTGACAGAAGCCGAAGTTGGAGTGATGCAATTTGAAAATGGAGGAAGGAGCCATGAACCAAGGAATGCAAGAGTCCTCTAAAAGGCAAGGAAATAGAGCCTCCAGAAGGAATGTAGTCCGCTGACTGATTTTAGATTTCTGACCTCCAGAGCTGTAAGAGAATAAATGTGTATTGCCTTGAGCTACGAAGTTTGTGGTAATTTGTTGCAGTAGCAATAAGAAACTAATACAGACCATGAAAGGGACCAGTTAACAAAGACTCTTTTAATATATCAGAAACACATGGGTGCCCAATGGTACTGAGTTATCATTCTTATATCTTCTCATTTCCCCTTCTTATATTTTTATTTGGCTCTAAGAGTTTCAAGGCCCATGGCAAGCAGAAAGTTTAGGAGAGCAAATGATGTGAGAACCTACACTTTCATTCATTTGTTTGACCAATATAAATATATACTGAGTGTTTATCATGCTCCAAGCACTGTTCCAGGTGCTTAATATATATCAGTGAATAAGGGAGAAAAAATCCTGCCCTTTAGAATCTCACATTCTAGGGGAGGGACAGAACTGATAAATAAAAAACATAATAAGTAGGTAAATTATACAGTATGTTTAGACGCTCATTAGTGCTATAGCTGAAAAAAATTGAAAAAGAGTGATTGGGAGTGGCCAGGGAAGCGAGGATAGTCAGCTGTAGGATTAAATATGGTGGTTAGAGTAAGTCTCATTGAGAAAGCAACAACTGAGCAAAGACTTGAAGGAGGTTAGGGAGTTACTTATGTGAACATCTTGGGGAAAAGGATTCTTTCTTTCTTTATTTTTTTTTTGAGAGGAAGTCTCGTTCTGTCGCCCAGGCTGGAGTGCAATGGCACTATCTCGGCTCACTGCAACCTCTGCCTCCCGGGTTCAAGTGATTCTCTTGTCAGCCTCCCGAGTAGCTGGGATTACAGGTATGTGCTGCCACACCTGGCTAATTTTTTGTATTTTGAGTACAGATGGGGTTTCACCATGTTGGCCAGGCTGGTCTCGAACTCTTGACCTCAAGTGATCTACCCGCCTTGGCCTCCCAAAGTGCTGAGATTACAGGCGTGAGCCACTGTACCTGGCCGGGGGGAAAGCACTCTAAGCAGAGAAAACATCCAATGTAAAATATGAAAGTGGGGGTATGCCAGGTATGTTCCAGAGACAGCAAGAAGGGCCTATGTGGTTGGGAGAGAATAGTAGGAAATGAGGTTAGAAAAGTGATAGGAGCCAGATCATGTAGGGTGTTGTAGGCCACTGCAAGGACTTAAGCCTGGTATTGAGGAGGACCCCTGATTTTTAGGGCAGACAAGAGTACAATTAGCATAACACTCAGAATATAGGGAAAGAAATATAGGTATTAGAGAATGGATGAATTTCTACATGCTGAGTGGTGAGCTGACTTCCTTCTGAGAACCACACTTTCACATTCATTTGCTTTTGAACTTTTCTACGTGTATATTCGTGACTCAAACTCAAATTGCTCTAACAGAAACTAAAGTATTTTCTTTCTTCCTCTTCTGTTCTCTGTCCCAGTTAATGGTATCCTAAGTCAGAAATCTTGAGAGGCATCTCTCTGCTTTCTCTTGCTCCATCATGTCTAATTAGACTCCTAACACTGACAGTTTTACTTTATAGATGTCTTCTTCTCTCTTCCCTCTGCCTTCACGTTGGTTCAAGCTCTCATCTCTCACTGGACCATTTTAATCACCTCTGCAATCCTACAACCTGTCTACCAACTTTACTGTAACTGCCACAGGTCCAAAACAGATCGAGTTACTCCCTCTTAAAGATCTCTACAGGCTCCCTACTGCTTATAGAATCTTGTCCCAATCTCTCCCTCCAGCCTCGTTTTTCTAATAAGCTTCTCCACCTTCTCCATGCTCCAGCCATACTGAATTTATCATTGTAATTCAAACATATTCTGCCCTATCACATGTACTTGAAAAACCAACATATGCTAACTATTACTTTTATATAACAACGGGTTCCTTCTTCCAAGAATGCCCTTACTCCTTTCTTCAACTGGAAAACACTTAGACACCTTTCTAATCAATTCAAATGCCACTTCCTCTGTGAAGTCTTTCTCAATTCGCTCAATAGGATTTGTGGCTACTTTCTATGTGTACCTCCAGCATTCTGTAAGTGTACAGTCCCTGTAACACTTCATGCAATGCATTGTGATTATTTGGTTACAGGTCTGTCTCCTCCATCAGACTGTAAGCTCCTTGAGGGCAGAGACCTTGTCCTACTGATTGTTTTTCATCCCCAGTGGCTAGTACAATGCCTAGCCCAAAAGAGGTATTCAATCTTTACTTGTTGAAATAATGAATTAATAACTAAAATGATTCAGGACAAATATCTAACTGTGCTAGTCAATTAGAAAGAACAGAAGAAGACAGAATTTTAAGCACAAGGGAGCTGGCTTAAACTTTCAGAGATGGGAGGGGTAGCTCTGACTTTACTGAGCTACAAAGGCTAAAGATTGAAGGTGTGAGCTAGGTTACAATGGGAACAATGGGAGACAAGGGCAAACAGGAAGGTCTGGGTGGAGCTAGCTGAGGAAGTGCTATGAAGCCACTGTCCAAGTCTGGATTTTCATTTTAGTGAGTAGAGAGTTGCTGAAGGGTGATTGGAAACACCGTTAAAGTGAAGCCATAAAAAAATGACCTGTTCTGAGAGCTGGGAGGAGGCAATGAGGCCAGCCAGAGAGCAGTCACAATAACCCAGAGCAGACTGGGCATGGCAAGCAGAGGCAGATTTAGGGAGCTGTACAAAAGGACCAGGCTGGATGTGGCTGATGATCCCATATGGGAGAAGACACAAAGGTAGTGGGAATTTCTAAAGATTATGAAAAGTAGAGTAGGTGCAGAGAAAGAAGATGAAATCAGTGGTTGGGAAATCAGCATTCAATTATAATACAAAAATGACCTCTTATCAACCTGGCCTCTCTGTGCCTTAGTTTCCTCAGCAGTAAAACAAAGAGGTTCCACATTCAAAAGAGTCATAGATCTGTCAATTCTACTGCAAAAATGTTTCTTGAATCACTCTCACCACCTTCCTTGCCACTACCCTAGTCCAGGGCCACATCTGTTCCTATCTGGACTACTGGATTAGCCTATATAGTGGTCTCTTGTCCCAGTACAATATGGTCTCCACACAACAGTCAGCATCATCTTTGAAAAATCTCAGTTAGATTATATTACTCCTCTGCTTAAAAACTCTGGCTGCTGCTGAACTTAGAAAGTCAGAATCATGCTCTGGCCTACATGGCTCCCACATGATGAGGCTCTTGCCTACCTCTCTGACCCTTTCCCACCTCACTCTTCTCTCACTCAATATGCTCTAGTCACACTGGCATTTTTGCTTTTCCTGGAGTGTGGTCAGCTCTTTCCCACCTTTTCTTTCTTTCTTTTTTTTTTTTTTTGACAGAATCTTGCTCTGTTGCCCAGACTGGAGTGCAGTGGTGCAATCTCGGCTCACTGCAACCTCTGCCTGCTGGGTTCAAGCAATTCTCCTGCCTCAGCCTCCCAAGTAGCTGGGACTACAGGCATACACCACCATGCCTGGCTAATTTTTGTATCTTTAGTAGAGACGGGGTTTCAACCTGTTGGCCAGTCTGGTCTTGAACTCTTGACCTCGTGATCCTCCCACCTTGGCCTCCCAAAGTGCTGGGATTGCAGGCATGAGCCACCGCTCCCGGCTGCTCTTTCCCACCTTTTCATATGCTGTTCCCTCCGCCTGGAATGCAGCTCTTTGTTTGGCAAAGTTCTTTACGTCTTTCATACTTCAGACCTAGAGTTGACACCCTCAGAGGGGGAAGTTCTGACCTCTGCATCATCTGTTTATTGTCTTCTTAGCACTTATCACAATATGTAATTATTTTATTGTGTTTAGTGTTACTCTCCAATTAGATTACAAATTCTAAAAAGTAGGGACCATCTGTGTACTGTTGTACCTCTAGTATCCAGCAAATAGTGAGAGGTCAACAAACATTTATGAATAAATAAATGAATAAATGAATGAAAAGGGCAATGGATGCAGAGTCAACTAGAAATGGAGTAATGAAGAAAGAGAAGGAAAATAGATTTTAAAAAGCATTTGATTGAATTTTGAGAATAGCATATCTAGTTTCACTGAGCTTGTAGTATAAAATATTAACAGTGATTGCAGACAGTAAGAGGACTCATGCTCCAAATCAGGGAGAATCGCCAAAGCTTGGGCCAATGGAATTCAATTCAATTCATCAGACACTTGTTGAGCATTTACTATATGCTAGGCTCTATGCTGGGCACTCATTGTGGGGAATATAATGATGAATACATTTATACTTTAAGAATTTTATTCAAGAAACTAGAAATATGGGATAAGGATGTACAAATGATAATAAAAGACAGAATTTAATCTAACAAATGGCTCCAAGAAATGGCTCTGGGTGTTCAGAGGAAGAGGTTTAGGGAAGGCTTCAAGGAAAGTTATTTTGGCTCTGAAGTCAACAAATTTCAGTCCACAATGAAATAAGAGCACAGACAGTTTCTTCTGTTCTTAAATACTTCTTAAGAGTAGGACGGAAAGCAAAATATTTTTAAAGACGATTTTTGAGGTAACATGTTAGAGGGGAAACAACTAGACTTGGAAGTTTTGACTCTGTCACTCACTATTTGGGAGACCTTGGATACTTTGCTTATTTCTTATTACAAATGGTTATTGAGGGGCTACTATGTGCCAGGCTCTGTATGTATACCATTTTATTGAGTCATTTATCTTTCATAAGCTCCAATTTTCTCACTTCCCTTTGAAATGTAGCAGCCTAGATTTCTGGTTCCCAAACAATTGGTACTGGGTACAAGCTTATAGGTATTCCTTTCTGCCTTCAGGTAGCACCCACACTTCTGCACTAAAGCAACAGACTAGGTTTTGATAATATCCTACAGGCACTTTGGGTAGGGCCTTTAGGATAGTGCACTTAGAATGTACTTTGGGTATTTATGAGATGGGGAAAATGGGTGAAAAAGTTTAAGAAATGAGCCATAAATTTATTTTTGGCAATGTTGGATGAGCAAATTTTGAAATAGAGAACAATGGGTCCTGCCTGCCATGGTACCCATTATATATTGGGAAATGGAGATATTAAGGTATCAAGAAACGACCTCACTAAATTGTTACAAATGTTAAGATAAACTATGATGTGGGAAATTGTAACATGACTGTCTTGAGGTAACCCTGTACAGACAGATGCTTTAGATGATGGGCAAAGTGAGCTGTGTAGACAAAAGAAAATATGTGAGTGTGTCTTCAGGAATGACCATGGAGAGGGTTGTCTATTTCTTGATGATGGCTTCTTTACTTCTTTAGTCAGAACTATTCTTAGTATGGAGGAGAGCAAGTTTATCGGGTACCTAGGTTTGATTTTTAAAAAAATCTCTGGAGAACATCCAATTCCTTTTGTTTTAATTGTGTGCTTACCAAGCAGCCTTCTGGTCTGTGTAACTGGTTTTTTTTTTTATTATTATTATACTTTAAGTTTTAGGGTACATGTGCACAACGTGCAGGTTAGTTACATATGTATACATGTGCCATGTTGGTGTGCTGCACCCATTAACTCATCATTTAACATTAAGTATCTCTCCTAACGCTGTCCCTCCCCCCACCCCCCACCCCACAACAGGCCCCGGTGTGTGATGTTCCCCTTCCTGTGTCCATGTGTTCTCATTGTTCAATTCCCACCTATGAGTGAGAACATGCGCCACGTGGCACATATACACCATGGAATACTATGCAGCCATAAAAAATGATGAGTTCATGTCCTTTGTAGGGACATGGATGAAGCTGTGTAACTGGTTTCTTGACTGGAATGACCTGCCAGCCTGGAAGGCCTTATGCAGATAAGGAAAGCTTTGTCTTGCCAAATATATTTGATATGGTTTGGCTGTGTCTCCACCCAAATTTCATCTTGAATTGTAGTTCCCATAATCCCCACGTGTAATGGGAGGGACCTGGTGGGAGGTAATTGAATCATGGGGGCGGTTACCTCCATGCTATTCTTCTGATACTCAGTTCTCACGAGATCTGATGGCTTTATAAGGGGCTTTCTCCTACCTTTGGTCATTCTTCTCCTTCCTGCTGCTGTGTGAAGAAGGATGTGTTTGCTTCCCCTTCCACTATGACTGTAAGTTTCCTGAGGCCTCACCAGCCCTGTGGAACTGAGTCAATGAAACCTCTTTCCTTTATAAATTACCCAGTCTCAGGTATGTCCTTATAGCAGTGGGAGAATGGACTAATACGATATTGCTTACGATAAATCACCTTCTTGAGGTCTGCTTTATAAGTCAGTCTCTGTGACATTGGAAGCATGGATTCATCCCCCAGAGACTCCTCATCTCATGATGGGACTGAGAATGGGAGAGAAATGTGTAGTGGCAAAACTATAGAGTGGACTGGCCTGGGTTATCTATTGGTAAGTGCTGCTCTCCTATGAGGTCTGGCCTGAAGCAGCCACTGGTTTTACCCATTAAATTACAGCAATAATAACCCCTTACATTTGTTCAGTGCTTTTACCTTTCAAAGCACTTTCATGTATTTTATGTAATTTTATCATTTAATCTATTACATCTTCTTTGGGTCACACTGCTTGTAAAAATACATTTGTAGAGCAGTGGCAAAGAGACCAAGAGAAGCAGTAATATTGTCAGTATGTTGAAAAAAAGTCTGTCTATGATGGGGCCTTGACAAAACAACTCAAAGGAAATAAGTGTAGTCGGAGTCTAGGCTGCAGTACGGTGACCCCAGAATTTGGAGCTAGGCTTAGAATGATTGTTAGAGCGAAATAACTAATACAAAGGCATTATTGTAGATGTGTTACTGATAGAGACTTAGGAAATCTCAAATGTAATCAAGATAATCAGGGTGTATCTGTAGGATCAGAACGTACTTGAAGAAAGTTGCAATCTAATCAGCTTTACTGTAAACTGTGTGAAGAATAATGTGTTAAAGAAAGGTGGTGCATGAGTTATTTGAAAAAGAAGAATTAAGAAGTAAACATATGTTACTGTTTGTCCAACACCTCCCACCCCTAACTGTGCAGAGAGGTGGGGAGGAATGGGGGAGGGAGGTGTGTCCACTTGTGCAGTGGCTGGAGAGCAGAAGGAGCCCAGTAGACCATACACATGATGGATGCAAATATTGTGGTCCTTAAGGCTGTAGGCTCAATTATGAAGCAGATTTCTCTATGCATGGGCTTCACCATTGCACTTCCTTCACTCTGACTCCATGTTTATCAAGTAACTTTCTGATTTTCTATTTTAGTTTCCTAGGTTCCTTGATCCTGGGAAAGAAATGCATTTACATGAGCTCAGACTATTGTTCGGTTACCTTACAGGTATATCTTCCATTGTAAATTAATGTAACTGCAATATAGTTTATATGTCTTTTCCTCCCAATTGTTTTTATTTTGAAAACTTTCAAATCTATAGAAAAGCTACAAAAACAATATAATGAATTTCTACTTACTCTTAAACTAAATTTACTAATTTGCTGATAGATATCAAAATGCTTCAGTACTATTTATTGAAAAGGCTGTCTTTCCTCCATTGAATTGCTTTTGGACCTTAGTCAAAATTTAGTTGGCCGTATTTGTGTGGGTCTATTTCTGGGATCTCTCTTCTGTTCCTTTGATGTGTCTGTTTCTTTGCCAATACCACACAGTTTTGATTACTGTAGCTACATAGTCTTAAAATTGGTAGAGTGAGTCCTCCTGCTTTATCCTTTTTTTACAAAATTGTTTTAGCTATTCTAGTTTCTCTGTTTTCCCACATGAATTTTACCATAATCTTGTCTATATCTTCAAAAAATCATGTTAGGATTCTGATAGCAATTGTCTCAGACCTGTATAAATTTGGAGAGAACTGAAATCTTTACTATGTTGAGTTCCAAACTATGGCCACAGTATGTCTCTCCTTGTAGTTAGATCTTATTTGATTTCTTTGATCAGTGTTATAGTTTTCAGCATACATATCCAGTACATGTTTTGTGAGATTTACACATAAATATTTCAGTTTTTAAAATCCAATTGTGAATGGCTTTGTATTTTAAATTTTGGTTTCCATGTGTTTGTTAATAGTACATAGAAATATGTTCATTGATAGTATATAGAATTGATTTTTGTATGTTGATATTGTGACCTGCAACCTTGCTGAACTCATTTATTAGTTCTAGAAGGTTTTTGTTACATTCCTTGAGATTTTCTATGTACACAATCATGTTATTTGCAGATAAGGACAGTTTTATTTCTTCCGTTCTGTTTTTTATGCTTCTGAGATGCTGCCTGCTGTGTCTTTCAGATGTCAAAGCTGAGAGCAGAAATACGGTCTTTCTTTTTTTGGTACTATCTTTGTCTGGTTTTGGTCTCAGGATAATACTAGCTTAATAAAGTGAGTTGGGAAGTGTTTCCTCCTCTTCTATTTTCTGAAAGATTGTGTAGAATTGTTGTGAATTTTTCTTTAAATGTTTGGTAGAATTCTTCAGTGAAATCATCTAGGCTTGGAGAGTTCATTTATTGAGGAGTTTTTAAATTACAAATTCAATTTCCTTAATAGCTACGGGGCCATTCAAATTATTTCGTATTTGGTGAGTTGTGGTAGTTTGTGGCTTTTGAGGAATGAGTCCATTTAATCTAAGTGGTCAAGTTTATGTATATAGAATGCTGTATTTTGCTAGTATTGCTTTGATACCTGTGGAAGCTGTGGTAAGATCCCATTTCATTCCTGATATTGGAAATTTGTGTCTTCTCTGTTTTTTTTTTTTTTTTTTTTTTTTTTTTTTTTTTTTGGTCACTCTTACTAGAGATTTGTAAATTTTTTTCATGTTTTTGAAGAACCAACTTCTTGTTTCATTGAATTTATTATTATTCTGTTTTCAATCTCATTTGTTTCTGTTCATTATTATAACCTTCCTTCTACTTGCTTTGGTTTTATTTTGCCCTTCTTTTTCTATTTTATTAGGGTTGCAGTTTAATTATTGATCTGAGACTATCCTCTTTTTAAAATTAAGAATGTAGTGTCATAAATTTCCCTCTCAGCACTGTTTTAGGTGTGTCCTACATATTTTGACACGTTGTCTTTTCATTTTAATTGTTTAGTGTATTTTAAAAATTTTCCTTGAGATTTCCTCTTTGATCCATGTATTATTTAGAAGTGCATTCTTTAGTTTCTAAGTGTTTGGCAATTATCCTGTTATCTTTCTTTTATCGATTTCCTGTTTGATTTTATTTTGGTCAGAAAATACACACTGTATGATTTCTGTCTTTTAAATTTGATGAGGTTTATTTGATGACCCATGAAATGGCCCATCTTTATTCTTTAATTTTTAATTGTTTTAATATTATTGTAATAAAATGTATAAAACATAAACTCTACTACTGTGACCATTTTAAGTGTACAATTCAGTGACATTAGTTACAATTACAACACTGTGCAACCATCATCACTATTTATTTACAAAACTTTTCTGCTACTTCATGGGAAAAAGCTGGAAGCATTCCCCTTGAGAACCAGAACAAGACAAGGATGCTTACTCTCATCGCTCCTATTCAACGTCATACTAGAAGTCCTAGCCAGAGCAATCAGGCAAGATAAAGAAATAAGAGACATCCAAATAGGAAGAAAGGAGATCAAACTATCTCTGTTTGCAGATGATATGATTCTATACCTAGAAAATGCCACAGTCTCTGCTCAAAAGTTCCTACATCTGAAAAACAATGTCAGCAAGGCTTCAAGATACAAAAATCAGCAGCAATTCTAGACACCAACAGGTCCAAGTTGACAGCCAAATCAAAAACGCAATCCTATTCACAATAGCCACAAAAGGAATAAAATATCTAGGAATACAGCTAACCAGGGAGGTGAAAGATTTCTACAATGAGAATTATAAAACACTACTGAAAGAAATCAGAGATGACACAAACAAATGGAAAAACATTCCATGCTCAGATAGGAAGACTCAATATTTTTAAAATGGCCATACTGCCCAAAGCAATTTACTGTTTCAATGCTATTTCTATCAAATTGCCAATGTCATTTTTCACAAAATTATAAAAACACTGTTCTAAAATTCATGTAAATCCAAAAAGGAGCCCGAATAGCCAAAGCAATCCTAAGCCAAAAGAACAATGCTGAAGGCATCACATTATCCAACTTCAAACTATACTACAAGGATATAGTAACCAAAACAGCATGGTACTGGTATAAAAACAGACATATAGACCAATGAAACAGAATACAAACCCCTGAAATACAGCTGCACAACTACAACCAACTAATTTTTTACAAAGTTGACAAAAATAAACAATGGGGAAAGCATATCTTATTCAATAAGTGGTGCTGGGAAAACTACTTGCAGAAGAATAAAATTGGACCCCTATCTGTCACCATATACAAAAATTAACTCAAAATGCATTAAATATTTAAATGTAAGATTCACACTATAAAAATCCTAGAAGAGAACCTAGAAAGTAGTCTTCTAGTCATAGGCCTACACAAAGATTTCATGACAAAGATGCCAAAAGCAATTGCAATGAAAACAAAAAATTGACAAGGTGGAACCTAATTAAACCAAAGAGTTTCTGCACAGCAATAGAAACTATCAACCAAATAAACAGACAACTTACAGAATGGGAGGAAATATTTGCAAACTATGCATCTATAAGGAACTTAAACAAATAAGCAAAAAACACCCAAACCCATTAAAAAGTGGGCAGAGACATGAACAGACACTTTTCAAAAGAAGACATACTAATGGCTAACAAACATAGGAAAAAATGCTCCACATCACTAATCATTAGAGAAATGCAAATCAAAACCACAGTGAGATACCATTTTATACCAGTCAGAATAACTGTTATTAAAAAGTCAAAAAATAACAGATGCTGGCAAGGTTGTGGAGAAAAGGGAATGCTTATACACTGTTGGTGGGAATGTAAATTAGCTCAACCATTATGGAAAGCATTATGATGATTTCTCAAAGAACTTAGAACAGAACTACCATTCAACCCAGCACTCCCATTATTGGGTATATACTCAAAGGAATAGAAATCATTCTTCCATAAAGACACATGCATTCATTGTTTTCTTCTAGGATTGTTATGGTTTTAGCTCTTATATGTAGATTGTTGATTTATTGTCAGTTAATTTTTTTGTATATGGTGTGAAGTAGGGGTGCAACTTAATTCTTTTGCATGTGGATATCCTGTTGTCCAAGCACCATTTGTTGAAGAGATGATTCCTTCCCCATTGAATGGACTTGATACCCTTGTCAAAAAACAATTGGTTATAGAGGTAGAGATTTATTTTAGGATTTACGACTCTATTCCATTGGTTTATATGTCTATCCTTATGCCAACACCATGCTATTCTGATTACTATAGCTTTGTATTACGTTTTGAAATTGGATCTCCTAACTTTTGTCCTTTTTCAAGAATGTTTTGGTTATTGGGTTTCTTGCAAGTCCATATGAATTTGAGAATTGGTTTTTCCATTCGTGTCAAAAGGGCTGTTGGGATTTTGATAGGGATTGCATTGAATATGGAGGCTGCTTTGGGTAGTATTGACACCTTAATAATATTGTCTTCCAATCAATGAACATGAGATGTCTTTCCATTTATTTAGGTCTTAATTTCTTTCAGCAATGTTTTGTAGCTTTCAGTGTACTAGTCTTTCACCTCCTTGGTTGAGTTTATTCTATTAGATGTTACTATAAATGCAATTACTTAAAATTTTTCTTTTGGATTGTTCATTATTGGTAGATAAAAGCACATCTGATTTTGTGTAATGACATTGTAACCTGCAATGCTGCTGGTTACAGTGTGAACCAATGGTAAATATGACTTCAAAGTTTAAAATGTTTGTGCTATAAAAGACATATCAAGAAAACGAAAAGACAACCTACAGGATGGTTTTACTTCTTCCTTTCTAATTTGGATGCCTTTTATTCATTTTTCTTGTCTAGTTGCTCTGGATAGACCTTCCAGTACAACATAGAATAGCAGTGGTAAAAGTTAATATTCATGTCTTGATCTTAGAGGAAAAGTTTTCAGTCATTCACCATTGAGTATGACATTAGCTGTAGGTTTTTCATAAATGCCCTTTTTCATGTTGAGTAACTTCCCTTTATTCCTAATATTTTGATTGCTTATTTATTATGAAAGGGTGCTGATTTTTGTCAAATATTTTTCTGCATCTTTTGAGACAACCATGTGTTTTTTTTCTTTGTTATATTAATGTGATGCATTTCATTGATCGATTTTATTACGTTAAATGAACTTTGCATTCCTGGGATAAATCCCACCTGGTCATAGTGTATAATGACGTTAATATATGGTTAGATTTGGGTTGCTAGTATTTTACTGAAAGATTTTTGTGTCTATATTCATAAGATACATTGCACTGTAATTTTCTTGTGATTTTTTTTCTGGCTTTGGTATTATGGTAATGCTGATCTCATAGAATGAGCTGGGAAGTGTTCCTGCTTCTTCAGTTATTTGGAAGAGTTTGAGAAGGATTGGTGTTAATCTTTAAATGTCTGGTAGAATTCACCAGTGAAAGTTTCTGGTCCTTGGCTTTCCTTTGTTGGGAAGTTTTCATTACTGATTGAATCTCTTTATTTGTTATAGATCTCCTGACATTTTATATTTCTCCTGAGTCAGTTTGGGTAATTTGTTTGTTTCTAGGAATTTGTTCATTTCACCTAGGCTATCTCATTTGTAAGCATAGAATTGTTAATAGTATTGTCTTACAAACCTTTTTAAAATTTTTATCTCTGTAAGGTTGACAGTAATGTCCCCACTTTAATTTCTGATTTTAGTTATTTGCATCTTTCTTTTTTCTTTGTCAGTCTAGCTCAAGGTTTGTCAATTTCATTGATCTTTTCAAAGAAACAAATTTTGGCTTTGATTCTCTGTACTATTATTCTCTGTACCTATTATTGTACAACTATTTCTCTCTTCAATTTTTTCAGCGTTTGCTTCATATATTTTAAGGCTCTGTTGTTTGGTGTATATGTGTTTATGATTGTTATACCGTCTCAATCAATTGATCAGTACATAACGTCTGACTTTGACTTTTATAACATTTGTTGACTGAGGGTGATATTAGTAAGCCACCCCACCTCTTTTTGGTTACCACTTGAATAAAATATTTTTTCCAACTCTTTCACTTTCAACCTAATTGCACCTTTGGATCTAAACTGGGTCTCTAATAAATTGCATGTAGTTGGATTATGTTTTTTTTTTAAATTCATTCTGCCAATCTCTGCCTTTTGATTGGTCACTTTCATCTATTTACATTTAATTTGTTTACTGATAAGGATGGATTTTTGCAATTTTTCGTTTTGTTCCCTCTTTATCTTATACCTATTTGTGTCCCTCATTTCCTCCATTACTGTCTTATTTTGTATTTAGTTAATTATCTGTAGTGAACCATTTTGGATCTCTTCTCATTTCCATTGGTACATTTTAAACATATTTTTGTGGTTACCATGGGATTACAATCAATATCCTAAGCTTATTACAATCTAGTTTGAATTGATACCAACTTTTTTTTTTTAATTTTTAAAATGTTTCTTCAACTTTTATTTTAAGCTCAGGTGTACATGTGGAGGTTTGTTACACAGGTAAACGTCTGCCATGCTGGTCTGCTGCACAGGTCATCCCATCACCTAGGTGTTAAGCCTGAATCTATTAGCTTTCTTTTTGATGCTCTCCCTTCCCCAACCCCCTCCCGACAGGCTCCAGTGTGTGTTGTTCCCCTCCATGTGTCCACGTGTTGGGGAAAAAAGTGAGAACATGTGGTGTTTGGTTTTCTGTTCTTGTATTAGTAAGCTGAGGATAATGGCTTCCAACTCTACCCATGTACCAACTTTAATAGCACATGAAAACTCTGCTATTATTCAGTTCCACTGCTTTCTTTATGTTGTTGTTGTCACAGATCATATATTTATACACTGTGTGCCCAGTAACATAGATTTATAATTTTTATGTATTTGTCTTTTTAATCATGCAGAAAATAAAGAGTCAAGTTACAGACCAAAAATTAATAAGACTTGCTTTTATGTTTGCCCATGTAGATTTCTTTACTGGAGATCTTTATTCCTTCATATAGCTTCGATTTACAGTCTAGTGTCCTTTCACTTCAACCAGAAGGACTCCTTTTAGTACTTCTTCTAGGATAGGATTAGTGGTAATAGACTCCCTCAGCTTTTGTTTATCTGAGAATGTCTTACATTTTCACTCAAGTTTGAAGTGCAGTTTTGCTGGATATAGAATTCTTGTTTTACAGTGTTTTTCTTTCAGAACTTTAAATATGTCATCCCATTGTATTCTGGCCTCCATGGTCTCAGATAAGAAATCAGTTATGAACCTTATTGAGAATCCCTTGTATGTGATGAGTTGTTTCTCTCTTGCTGCTTTCAAGATTCTCTCTTTGTCTTTGTCAACAGTTTGATTATAATGTCTCTTGATGTGGGTCTATTCTACTTGGAGTTATTATTCTACTTGGAGTTCATTAAGCCTCTTGGATCCTTATGTTCAATGCTTTTCATCAAATTTGGGAAGTTTTTGGTCATTATTTATTTAAAAATTCTTTCTATCCCTTTCATAACCTCTTCTCTTTTTTCTGTTACTCCCATAATGTGTATGTTGGACCACTTGATGGTGTCCCACAGGTCCCTTAGGCTCTGCTAATTATTCTTCGTTCTTTTTTTTCCTGTCCCTCAGATTGGTTCATTTCAATTATCCTATCTTCCAAGTGCACTGATTCTGTCTTGTGCCTGAAGCCTCTAGTGAATTGCTATCCTTGAATGCCAGGAGCTAAAAAAAAAATCCAGACAAGTAAAACACCTCTCCCAGTCTTTAAGGTCCTCTCAAGTCTTTCCTGAACATGCAAGTTTCCCTGGCAATTTATTCACATATTTTTCTATATTTTCCCGTATACATGGATACTTTTGTTTGCCCTAATTTCCCAAAGAAGCTCTCCCTATGGCTTTTCTTCTCAGGCCTTAGGTTGTCTCTTGTAAGCCTCAACTGTAACCCTTTGCCTCAGGCATCTGGGTTGTTCATCCATCTTAGGGTTTTTGAGCAATGCCTGGTAATTTTCTGGCTTGGGTGAGTTCTGAGTTAGGTGCAACAGAGATAAGTTCTTTACATCTGTCATTTAGATAGCCCTCTGACAGGTTAGAGCAGACCTACACAATAATTTTTGAATAAGGTCTGCTGTGTTCCCCCTGGAACCATGGTCCAGGGTCCCACACTGCAAACACAGGCTGCTGTCTTCAATACTGTTGCTGAGCCAGAGCAGGGGCTTAATATAATGTGGATGATGAAATAATCTGTATAACAAACCCCCATGACAGAAGTTTACCTATATAACAAACCTGCACATGTACCCCTGAACTTAAAATAAAAGTTAAATTAAAAAATTATAACTTTTTTTTAAAAAGGAATCTTTTTAATTTTACCCTGAGATGCTTTTTCCTTTAACAGTTCATCCTAGTGGGCATCACACATAGGCCAGGATTACATGGTGCACCTTTAGATCTGACACTGAACTTTTATTTAATTTGAATTTTGTTCCAAGTAGTAGTTTAATAACATGCACATAGTTTACAAAGTCAAACATTAACCAAGTCTTACAATTACACACAGAAGTTCTCTACCTCACCCTTTCCTGTTTCCAATTTTTACTCCCCAGAAATAGCCACATACCACTCTTTTAGCTGCTGCTTCTAGTATTTCCCTCCATATGTTTGAATAACACAGGAAGGCTGCTAGTTGTTTTTCAATTTTTTATATGCTCTACCAACTTCCTTCTAGATTCAGTCTCACCACAATCTCCCACATCCATGCACAGTTCACCTTGTCTCATTCTCTCAATTTAATTATTCTAAAATTTTTGGCTAAATTAACATTCAATGTTTAAATTATGATGACAACAAATACTGTTCACAGCTCAGCTATGTACTGTATTATGACTACTTTTACTTCCTTGGACAATTTTTTTGAATTAATAGTTGCCTCACCTTAGAAATGTTGCTTAGCTTTCTATGTACTTATCACTAACTCATACTACATTCTTTGACAGAATTATTAGTCCTCTTAGTACTATCAACCACACCAGGCAATCTGTGAATTCCATATTCACCTGAGAGTCTTCCCTCTGGAGCCCTCCAATCTGAACTGTTTGACTTCTGGCCCTTCTACAGAGCTGGTGTCTTGGAGTTTCCTTTCACTGTCATCCTGAGAAATCTCTGCTGTTCTCTCCTGCATTGGAGCATCTGTTTCCTGTGTCCCATGTCTTTCTCTTTCCTGGCTTATTATCTTCATTCTGGTGGACATCTACTCCAAGTTTCCTGACCTTGGCATGTCTGAAAATATCTGTATTTGATCTTTCCAATTGCTTGGTAGCTTGGCTGGGTATAGAACTCAAGGTTGAAATAATTTTTCCTTTACAATGTTAAAGGAACTCCTCCAATGTCTTGAAGTATTCAATATTGTTGTGGAGAAGTCCAATGCCATTCTGATTCTTGAAGCTTTTTATGTGATCTTCAATTTTTCTCCTTACAACTGTTTACCTTTTAGGATAGCTTTTTTTCTCCTTTGTTGTAAAGTTTTATGATGATAATGTCTTTGGATCTTTTTTCCTTCATAATGTTGGGCAACCAGTGGGCCCTGTCAGTCTGGAAAGTTGTATCCTCAGGATTTGGACAGATTTTCTTTAATTATTTCTTTGATAATTTCCTAGCCATATTTTTCTTCTCTTTTCTTTTTCAGGAATTCTTATTGGCTATTGGACCTCATCTGTTGACTATAATTTTCTTGTCTTTTATCTTTCCTATTTCTCATTTCCCTATTTTCAAATTCTGTTTTCTTAGAGATTTCTTCATCTATATCTTCCAACTCCTTGTTGAAATTTTTAAAAACCATTTTAAAGTGTACAGTTCAGTGGTATTAAGTATTTTCATAACACTGCACAACCATTACCGTTATCCACTTCCAGAACTTTTTCATGATCTCAAACAGAAATTCTACACCCATTAATAAATAACTCCCCAACCCCCACTTCTCCAAGCCCCTGGTAACCTCTAAACCACTTTCTGTCTCTATGACTTTGCCTATTGTAAATATTTCATGTAGGTGAAATCATACAATATTTGTCCCTTTTCATCTGGCTTATTTTACTTAGAATAATGTTTTTGAGGTTCATTCATGTTGTTGCATGTATCAGAATATTATTCCATTTTAAGGCTGAATAATATTTCCTTATATAGCTATACAATATTTTGTCCATTCATCTGTTGATGGTTATTTGGGTTGTTTACACCTTTTGACTATTTTATTTTGCATAATGCTATAGTTAACATTGATATACCAGTACCCACTTTTGATTCTTTTGGCTATATATCTAGAAGTAGATTTGTGGGATCATATGGTAATTCTATGTTTAACTTTTTGAGGAACTGCCAACCTATTTTCCATAGCAGCTGCACCATTTTACATCCCCACCAGCAAAGCAGAGTTCCAATTTCTCCACATCCTTGACAACACTTTTTATTTTCCATTTTTTAATAATAGACAACCTAATGGGTGTGAAGTGGTATCTCATTGTGGTTTCTAATAAGTTTTAAGTTGACTTTTTTTTTGATTTGGCATTTGCTCAGTTGCTGTAAACCTTTGATTGTTTTCTAGAGTTCTGTTCTGACAAAGTTGTTTCTGACAGTTTCTGCTTATTTTCCTGTGTTTCTGTGGGGTAACAGGAGCTTGTGGTTGCCTACTCCACCATTTTCTGCTGTGGTCTATCTTGGTATGTTCCATGGGTGCTTTAAAAGAATGTGGATTCTGTTGTTATTTGGTGGAATGTTCTGTAAGTGTCAATGAGATTCTCTTGGTTGATGGTGTTGTTGAATTATTCTTTATCTTTACTGATTTTCCATCTAGTTTTTCTATCACACCCACAATAACAGATAAACTAACTACTTCCTAATAAGTGTCAGATCATTTAAGGTAGCTCAAGAAAAGATGAAAACAGAGGTTTCTATGGATTTCCAAGAGTCTGATGTCTTTCAGTTGCAGGTCAACCTCTGCTGCTTCATTTCCCCCCCATCCCCTTAGATGCCCCTACAGACATAGTAAACTATTTACAATTCTACAAGACCCTGTGTTCCCTCTAGAGCATTGCACATGCAATGTTCCTTTCTGAAATGTCCTTCCTCTTGAGTACTTTTAAAGATTTAGCTCAAATATTACCTCCTTTGTGACGTGTTCCCTGATTGTTTGAGACAACCTGCACATATCTTTCCTTAGAAGCTGATTCACCATGAAGCTAATCATAAATCTTCAAAGCCCCTCACTGGACAGATCCCTCTCAAGGTCCAGGGAGGGGTACCACCACTGGTTTTTTACAAGGTTATATTTTTCCCCTAATTTTCAAAGTAAGGTATTTAACCACATTCATTTAAGACAGCTCTCTCTTTCCAGTCTGACTTTTCCATCAGACTTCTCCCTTGTTTTGAGTGTAACTGGAATGGCGAAGAGGAAGTTGAGGTGAGGATACATTTAGTTTGGGTTTAGAGAGATACATTTATGTGGCTTGCAATCACTTATTGTGTATAGTTAACTTACTGCTAATGGTGTAGGAATGGCTTCAGGAATGGTCCTATAACCTAAGGTGTTTACTCATCCAGCATCCTTACACAAAAAGGACAGAGCCAGAGGTAGCATCATGATATAAATGTGTCCTATAGCATCTGGGGTTAGATACATTGGATAGTAGAGGAGAAACAAAATTTGAAATGTACAGAGTTCAAAGTTTGTGTAAAATTCTTCCAATGAGCATATTAAAATTTTAAGTGGAGGA
The DNA here is from genome assembly GCF_000001405.40 of Homo sapiens. NCBI lineage: Eukaryota > Metazoa > Chordata > Mammalia > Primates > Hominidae > Homo > Homo sapiens. The sequence goes on from NC_000023.11 coordinate 72,426,518, forward strand.
TTTGGTTTTTAACAATGCCTAGTCAAAATAAAATTTTCTCCTTTAAAAAACAGAGTCAATAGTGTAGCATATATGAGTATATACAAACTGTATTTTTTCTTTTTTCATAAAAGTTGTGCAAAATGGCATTTATCATAATTCCTGTTTTTGAAGGGTCCAAACCTCCTAGCAGTATTATAAACAGTGAGTATGGCTGTGTATGCAGTCACAAGTTTTATGCATCCCATCTACTAGACTGAACTGTGTTATCCCGGAATTCATATGTTGAAGCCCTAACCCCCACTGTGACTATACTTGGAGATAGAGCCTTTAGGAGGTAATTTAGACTAAATGAGGTAATGGGGGTGGGGTCCTAATTTAATAGGATGGGTGGCCTTATAAGAAGAGGAAGAGAGAGAGATTTTCTTCTCTCTCTCTGCACACATTAAGTGGAAAGGCCATGTGAAGACATACAGAGAAGGAAGCGAGCCCTCACCAGAAACTGTGAACGCTGCCAGACCTTTATCTGGTACTTCCAGTCTCCAGAATTGTGAGAAATAAATTTCTGTTGTTTAAGCCCTCCAGCCTGGGGTATTTTGTTTTGGAAGCCTGAATAGATTACTATACCACGTATCAATAATAAGAAATACATTTTGATCAAACATGCTAGGGGATCCATTGAATTATCTTTCTATTCTTTACATAGAAAATGACATTACATACCATTTGACCCAGCCATCCCATTACTGGGTATATATTCTAAGGATTATAAATCATCCTGCTATAAAGACACATGCACACGTATGTTTATTGCAGCACTATTCACAATAGCAAAGACTTGGAACCAACCCAAATGTCCAACAATGATAGACTGGATTAAGAAAATGTGGCACATATACACCATGGAATACTATGCAGCCATAAAAAATGATGAATTCATGTCCTTTGTAGGGACATGGATGAAGCTGGAAACCATCATTCTCAGCAAACTATCTCAAGGACATAAAACCAAACACCGCATGTTCTCACTCATAGGTGGGAACCGAACAGTGAGAACACATGGACACAGGAAGGGGAACATCACACTCTGGGGCCTGTTGTGGGGTGGGGGGGGGGAGGGATAGCATTAGGAGATATACCTAATGCTAAATGACGAGTTAATGTGTGCAGCACACCAACATGGCACATGTATACATATGTAACTAACCTGCACATTGTGCACATGTACCCTAAAACTTAAAGTATAATAATAATAAAATTAAAAAAAAAAGAAAATGACATTACAAAATCATGGTCAAATGAAAGGTGATTAGAGCACATGCAGCCAAAAAAATGTAGGAAAAAAGTACTATAGATGTGTCATGCATTTAAGTAATAAGACATGTTAAAATTGTTTTGAATTTTGTGAGGTTTGTAATATCTTTCAACTTGCACCTAATTTTATATTCAAAATTTTATGTTCTTTTTCTTAAATAGTTCCCTGTCCTTGCCTGTACAATTGCATAAGCTCAGGCCTACAAATCCTGGATCTGCCACTGCCCTTTGCAATAGGATTTAAACCAATGATTCCATGTCTCTGGCCCCCCTTTAGATTATGAATCCTTCTTTTTTTTTTGAGACGGAGTCTCGCTCTGTCACCCAGGCTGGAGTGCAGTGGCGCAATCTCCGCTCACTGCAACCTCCGCCTCCCAGGTTCACGCGATTCTCCTGCCTCAGCCTCCTGAGTAGCCGGGATTACAGGCATGCGCCACCACACCTGGCTAATTTTTGTATTTTCAGTAGAGACGGGGTTTCACCACGTTGGTCAGGCCGGTCTCGAACTCCTGACCTCGTGATCCGCCTGCCTCGGCCTCCCAAAGTGCTGGGATTACAGGTGTGAGCCACCGCGCCCTGCCGATTATGAATCTTTCCAAAGCAGGAATAGGGTTTTTACTTTTGCTTTCCTGGTGCCTGGCAGAATGCTGACACATAGTAGTCATTTAATACATGATTGTTGTTTGAACTAATGAACCAACAAGGGAGTAGAAAGAACAGAGGATGTATTCTAATTAATTGAGGAAGTGAGTGGTCTGAAAGATTAGCTTGGAGGATTTAAGAGAATGAGCATAGAGGTAAGAGAGGAGTACTGAAGGTGAGGAAAGAATGCTAGCCCCTTTTTAAAAATGACAATTAACCTTCCAGTCTAAGGTCACTCCAGGAATAGAAAAGCACTGCCTGCTGATACAATGAGTCTTAAAGGAAACCAGTTCTCTAGTTTCAAAATGGAAATGACAAAGATCTCCTCTCTTGTCCAAGCATCTTCACTGCTCTTCCCTTGCTCTCCTATCCTACTCACTTGGTAGCTGTGGGACCTTAGGCCAACCAGTTAACCTCTTTGAGACATAATTTTCTCTCCTATGGACGTAGATAAGTTCCTCACAAGGTTATTGTAGGATTAAATGAAATAAGTCCTGTGAAAGCAACTAGTAAAGTACCTGGTAAATAGTAGGTGCTCAATAAATGTTTGATTCCTTTCTTTCTTTCTTTCTTTTTTTTTTTTTGCTTCTTTTCCATGCATTCTGCTAATTTCCTTTGAAGAGGCAGAGTCTCCTCACCTTCCTGTGCCCTTGTCCTGTTGTACTCCTCTAAGGAAATATTATTTTCTTCCTTGCCTTGGAAGAAACCCTATTTCCTTACAGGGATACTCTTTCTCCCTTGGAGTATCTTTCCTGGTTATAAAAAAAGTTTATAAGGCCAATGGGTGACCTAGCAGGAAATATAGACATGTTTTACATTAATGGTAAAAGGACAAGAAATCCAGTTTCAATCTGTACATTTTGCTACCTTGGCATGTGCTTAGAGCATAAGCAGGAAATCAGCAATTATATGAAGGTTTCTAATATGGTTTTTAATTAATTCCTCTGATTTTATCAAATGGTGCAACTTGACGAGGTATTAGGCCTAAAGCAGCCGGTAAATTCCCAGTGCCCGAGTCTATCTTTTGCTATTGGGCTAGGCAGCGATGCTATCTCCATACCAATGCCAGAAACCCACATTTCAGAAGGTGTATTTCCTGGAGGTGCACGCCAGTGAGAAGTGACTGTGGGATATTCTCCCAGAAATGGGGAGGTGCTGGCTGCAAAGGTCAGGACAGAGAATAATGCAGCCAAATGCTACTGGGTCCTTTAAGCCAGCACAGCTGCCTTGTGGGCTGCCAATTCTATTCATCAGTGGGCAAAATTCAGGTTGGAAAATTTCTTCATAGAGTGTGTGTGTGTGGACTGGAGCAAAAGAAGATTGGAGTGGGCAAAAGAGGCTTATCTAGCAACGATTTAAGAACTCAAGGTGAAAGCAACTGAGAGGAGGTTGCTGCTCCCTGTCACAGTTGCCTGCTGCTGCAGCAATCAGAACCACCTCTTCCAGGTGCAGAAATGAGGGCTTGGAAGCTCTTTATTTCTGTTGCCTCCATTTCACCAACATTTGGCAGCTCCACCAGTTGTAGGAATCAGTTCCCTAAACAGGCTGCTCTCATTTCTTGTGAATGTATTAAGGAAATATTCTTGGTTTCTAAAAATCAAGAAAAATTGTATACAGATAAAATGCAATTTCCAGACATTGACTTCTTTCCTCCTTTTGGATGTAAATATCTATGTCTACTTTTCTTCTTTTCTTTTTTCCTCTCATTTTAGAGAAAGGGTTATTCTGCATACTATCCAGGAGCAAACCCTTGGCGTAGGCTCCGGATTTTACCTCCTCTTGCCTCCTTCTCTAGAACCTTGAACTCTTGATTATTTCCTTTTCTCTCAATCACCTTAGACATTTCTCATTTAATTATGTATTTCTTCTCCTCAGTTAACAAACCATCACAAGTCATTTTCCTTAAAACAAATAAACACCTTCTTGTGAACCTATTGCTCCTTGAAACGCCGTCTAGAAAAATAAAAGCAAAAGCTTCTTTGCTGTTCCCCTTAAAATGTTATCTGCTCATTTCCCACTAGTTTCTTTCAGCGTTAGAAACTAAAAATTGGGTTGTCAATAGCTTTACAGGAAAGCCTCCCTCACTCTCTCAGGCACTATTAGTCATACCTCTTCTGGGTTCTCATAGCACATACTGCTATTATTGTACTTAGCAACTTGAACACTAGTTTATCTGTTTATCTTGTATTGCCATTTATTTCTTTGTGTCCCTTGTGCTAAACCATGAATCACTAAAAGGAAGTAAATTGGCCTTTATCTCAGTGTCCCCAAAATAGAATGTTTCATATTAAGAGCCCAATAAATGTTGAGTGGGAGAGAAGGGGACTAACAGCTATTGAAGCTGACCATGTGTTAGTTTTTCTGTGACTCAGGTGTCATTATACTTACTTTACAGATGAAGAAACCGAAGTTCGCAGAGTTCAAAGAAGTTACCTAAAGTCACATAACTAATATTAGAGCTGTAATTCAAATTCAAATGTGTTTGATTTCAAAAGCATGTGCCCTTTCTACTTCGCTGCCTCTATTGTCTTACACTGAGTCCAAGTGCTAGTCCTACCAAGTCTCTTCACCCCACTATCTCTGCTCTTCTGACCTCGTGTAGACACCCAATCCCCTGATCCCTGCCTTCTCCCTGTTTGTCTGCTGTCTTTTGGCCTCACAACCAGCCTAGACCACATGATTACACACTTGAACCCTCTTTCTCCATCACCTTCATCACCTTTTGCCCCACCTACCTGGAAAAATCACCACTCCAAGTCAACACCACCTCCCGCAACGTGCCTTCTCTGTTCTGTCACTACTGAAGAAAACTGTATCACTGGACAGACGAGTATCATGGGCCAAAATCCATGGTTTCCAACTTCACATGCACTTGCAGGTTTCTTGTTTATCCTTTTACTTGTCTCTGGTCAGCTTCCTCTCCCATGCTGCTGAATTACTGTTCTAACATATACCACTTTCCCCAACCCTCTCTGTTGACCTGTCATCCCCTCATTCTTGGACATTTAGGACAGTTCCACTTTTTTGTTATCATAAACAAGGCTAAGGTGAACATTCTTGTACATCCTTCTTTTTTTTTTCACTTGATTGTGATTTTTTTTCTTAAACAACAAGCTTCTTGAAAAAGTTAGTCCTACCTGTTGCTGCCATTTTCTTTACCGTCTATTCACCAATCAATCTATTATTATCTGGCTTCTGCCCCTCCACTTTGTTGAAGTTCCTCTCATCAAGGTCAACAATGGCTTCCATGTTGCCAAATCTAATGAATAAGTCCTTAGCTTATTGGAACTCTTAGGTGCATCTGACACATCTCAGCATTCTCTCCATCTTTTAAACTTTTGACATCTGGTTTTCTTTCCATAAATATTAGCTAATACTTACTAAGCATTTATCAGCCACTATACTAAGGGCTTTATATGTATTACAAGTATATTTAATCCTCAAACAATCGAGGCTTAGAGAGGTGAAGGCATTTGCCCAATGTCACACGGCTGATAAGTGGCAGAGCCTGGAGGATATAAACACACACAGATTGGGTCTGAGTTCATGATATTAATCATTGTGCTGGAGTGCAGCGGCATGATCATAGCTCACTGCAGCCTCAAACTCCTGGGCTCAAGTGATTCTCCTTCCCCATCCTCTTGATTAGCTAGGACTACAGGCATGTACCACCTCACCCAATTAATTTTTTATTTTTTTTTTGTGGAGACAGGGTCTCACTATGTTACCCAGGCTAATCTCAAACTCCTGGGCTCAAGAAATCCTCTTGCCTTGACCTCCCAAAGTGTTGGGATTACAGGCATGAGCCACTATGCCTGGCTCAGAGTAGTTTTAAAACACACATCACATCCTGGTACCTCTCCTGTTAAAAGCCTTCAGTGGCTTCTGACTCTAAGAATAAGATCCCACTCTCTTCACCGTGGTCTACAGGGGCCCCTGAGGGTCTGGTCCCGGCCCATTCCATCTCTTACCTCTTATCCTTCACTCATTAGCCTTAGTCACAGTGGCCTCCTTTCAGCACCCAGAATACACTGAGCTCTTTCTTACCTCAGCATCTTTGTACATGGTTGCCTACTCTGCCTGGAACACTTGCCCTTTAGTTATTTTTTTTTTTTTCACCTGGCTGAGTCTTTCTTACCCCTGAAGTTCTGGCCTTAAATGTCACACCTTCAGAAAGGCCTTTCTTAGAGACCTGATTTAAATCCCTTTGATAGTTTCTATCTCCACTCCCCATATGCTTCCTTTATGGCACTTATTACAGGTTAAAATTCTTTTGACTTATGTTTTGCGTGTTTTTTAGTGCACCTTTCTTACTGGATTATAAGTTCCATGGCATGGGGACCACATCTACACTGTTCACCATTGTAGCCCCAGCACTTGGCAGTGTCTGGCACATTGTTAGTATTCAATAAATAGTCACTGAATGACTGAATGACTTGATAAGTCAAACATCCAATCAATAAAGCAGAGGGGCTATATAAACTTTATTTTTGGCCTTTTAGGTAACAACAATTTACATATTCAGCTAGTAATTTAATTGTTGAGACGAATTCATCTTGCTCAACCCAGTTGAGCAGTTTTGTAGGAGACTTTAATCAAGCAAGAAAAGGATATACTTCAAGAAATGTTGGTTCTTAGGCCCTTTATACTTGTGAGTGTCTCATGTGTGATGATTGTAAGTATATAAACCAGTTGTTCTCAACAGGGGCAATTTTGCCCTGCTCCCCAGAATATCTGGCAATGTCTGAAGACATTCTTGGTTGTCAAAACTGGAGAGGGGAAGTAGGGAGTGTTCTACTGGCATCTAGCGCATAGAGGCCAAGGATGCTGCTCAGCATCCTATAATGCATAGAACAGTCCCCCTACTCAACAAAAAAAGAATTATACTACCAGAAAAGCCAATAGTGCTTGTGCTGAAAAACCAAAAGAGAAACAGGAGTACTATCTACTTTGTGAAACATAATAGAATGGTCAAATATGGGTGTTAGTGTTCTAGAGGATTTTTAAAACTGAATAATGAAGGATTAATAAGCTCTCTTGTTTTCTAAGATTTACTTCTGTTCTTTAGAGCAAGTTTCTGTTTTGAACAGAGTCCATTGATGTGCTTTAAGAGATTGCTGAATGGTCTGAAATTATACCCAATATCGTGTGTATATAAGTACTTATCTGGGAGGAGGAGCTGTGAGATTCTCAAAGGGGTCCATGGCCACCCAAAAGATGAGAAACCACTTGTTTGGAGAAACCTTGTGCTTCTGGACTGTACTTTTAAAAATGTCATTTTGTGGAATGCATGTTCTGCAAAATGTTTAGAAACATGTGTCCTGGAGGTTGTCCTTTAGAATGGCCTTGCAAGGCAGCTAAGTGTGGTGAAAGCTTAGCTTGGCCTCTTCCTGGTTGTCAGGATTATACCAGTTTCATTGGGTTGTTAGGAGACCATGTAAGGTAACTTACATAAGCCTCACTGAAGTGTTAGGCACATCGCATGTGCTCAATAAATGTTAATTCTTTTCTTTCTCATAGGATTTTTGTGAGAATTGAATACAATAATGCTTTGAGAACTAAATAAACTAATGCATGTGGCACAATGTCTGGCAGCAGTAGATGTTTAATAAATGTTTACTTTTCTCTCATGTATTCCTTAAACCAAAATCCCGGACCCTGCTGAAAGTAAGGAAAAGAGGATAAGCCCAGAAATCACACAGGTTTGGGATGGAATCCTGACTCTACTACTTTACTAGTTGATCCTGGGCAAGTTACTTTCTGAGTCTTACTTTTCTCATTGGTAAATGGGGTATAATGCCTACTTCCCAGGGTTGCTGACAGACATATATGAGATAATATATGTAAAGAACCTAGCATATATACACTAGGGATATAATTGGTGCTTCATAAATGTTAAGTTCCTTTTGTATTTAAAGAGTTCCTAAATCCTACCTATATGAAGCATTTTCTACAGTAGGAAGATAGTTTGCTGAATGCCTGGTACTATGACTTTATCTAAATATAAAACTCAAATATACAATTTCTATTGTTTTTGCTCATACTCACCTTCATTCATATATGATAATATTTAATTTTGATATTTTTCAATGTTTTGTTCCATGAGCTGTCAGTATTATTAGCAAGAGCTGTGAGGCTAAAATCACATAGTACCTAATACAGCACCATACTCAGTTTCTACACTTATTAGGCACTCACTGGGTACTAAACTGTCAGCATTTAGGGACTAAGAGGTAATAGGTCCCTGGCTGTGATATTTTTACCAATATTTATTAACAATTAACAATAATATTAATGATATCTAAAATTTATTGAGTGCTTACTATATGTCAGCCACCATTCTAAACACTTTACTTAGACCAACACATTTAATACTCACATTAATCTCCATTTTATGGGTGAGAAAACTGAGGGACACTGGTTAAATGATTTGCTCAACTTGCCTAGTACATTTTGTTACTATGATCCTTCCCTAGAGCTGGTCAATAAAAGTAGGTCTGTCTGATAAATATATTTATTTCATTTTTAAAGTTTTAGTTACAAAAATGTGTTTACATTCTTTTAAGATGTCATATACACATGGTAAAAATTTCAAAAGGTACCAGAAGGAATATAATGAACAGTAAGTCTTGACTTCTGGCTTCTGGTAATGGTGGAATAATTTCTATCAGACTAACCTTTATGATAAATTGTTTAAGGGTATTGGAGAATAATCAAAATCAGGCAGAAGTAGAGGGAATTCAATCCCTGAAAGAAGGGAACCACACTGGGTGAGAGTCACATTTACGTGTATTTTGTGTGATGGCTGGTAGAGCTCAGGCAGAAAGCTATAGGCTTTTTAGCCTGAAGCGTAAGAGCACAGAGTTCAAGGTCACCAGAGTCTCAAAAGACCTAAAATCTACAGGTCCCAATAAAAATTCCTTAATTATACCAAGAATCAGAAAAATATCAATTTGAATGAGAACAGACAACAAATGTCAACACCAAGATGACACACGTTGGAATCACCTGACAAGAGCTTTAAGGCAGCCATCATGAAAGTGTTTCAATGAGCAATTATAAGCACACTAGAAACACAATGAAAAAAAGAGAAAGTATTAGCAAAGAAATAGAAAACATAATGAAAAACCAAATGAAAAATTTAGAGCTGAAAAATACAACAACCAAAATAAAAAACTCACTGGATGGGCTAAATAGAAGAATGGAGATGACACAGAAAAGATCAGTGAACCTGGCTAGGCACAGTGGCTCACACCTGTAATCCCAGCATGTTGGGAGGCTGAGGCAGGCAGATCGCTTGAGGTCAGGAGTTCAAGACCAGCATGGCCAACATGGTGAAATCCTGTCTCTACTAAAAATACAAAAATAAGCCAGGCATGGTGGCACATGCCTATAATCCCAGCTACTTGGGAGGCTGAAGCACGAGAATCACTTGAACATGGGTGGTGGAGGTTGCAGTGAGCCAAGATTGTGCCACTGCACTCCAGCCTGGGTGATGGAGTGAGACTCTGTCTCAACAAAGAAAAAAAAATTAGTGAACGTGAAAACAGAGCAACAGCAATCACCCAATCTAGACAATGGAGAGAAAAGAAACTGAAAAAAAAAATGAACAGAGTCTCAGGGTCCTGTGTGACAAGAAAAGATCAAACATATTTGTCTTCAGAGTCCCAGAATGAGAAAGAAAGTGGCACTAAAAAATATTCAAAGAAATGGCTGAAACTTCCCCAAATTTTATGAAAGACATAATCCTACAGATTCAAGAAGCTGAATGAGCCCTAAACATGATAAACCCAAGGAAATCCACTCCAATAAAAATAATAATCAAATGTCTGAAAAATAAAGACAAAGAACAAATCTGGAAAGCAGCTAGAGAGAAATGATGCATTACACATGAGAATAATAATTTAAATGACAGTGGATTTCTCATTAAAAACCATGGAGGTCAGAGGGAAGTGGCATATTTTTTAAGTGCGGAAAGAAAAGAATTGTCAGTCCAGACAATTCTATACCCAATTCTATACCCAGTGAAAATATCCTTCAGGAGTGAAAGGGAAATCAAGACATTCTCAGATGAAGGAAGACGAAAAGAACTTATCAGCAGATCTAACCTATAAGAATAGAAAAAGTAAGTTCTCTAAACAGAAAGGAAATGATAAAAGAAAAAAAAGAGCATCAGGAAGGAAGGAAGGAAGGAAGGAAGGACAACAGAAAGAGTTAAAATATGGGTAAATAAAACAGACTTTCCTTATCCTCTTAACCTTTCTAAATTATGTTTGATGATTGAAACAAAAACTATAAGACTGATGTGATTATTGATATGTGTAGAGGACACATTTAAGATGTACTATAAAGGGAGGAAGGTACAGAAACATAAAGGGAGGTAAGGTTTCTTTACTCAAAGAGGTGAAATGTTGATACTAGTAGACTGTGATAAATTATACATGTATAATCTAATACCTAAAGTAACAATTAACAAACTATACAAATTGATACACTTAAGAATACTATAGATAAATAAAAAATAAAATTCTTTAAAAATGCCCAAGTAACCCACATGAAGGCACTAGAAAAAAATAGAGGGAACAGGTAGCTGGCAAGATGGCTGAACAAGAACAGCTCTGGTCTGCAGCTCCCAGCATGATCAACGCAGAAGGTGGGTGATTTCTGCATTTCCAACTGAGGTACCTGGCTCATCTCAATGGGACTGGCTAGACAGTGGGTGCAGCCCACGGAGGGTGAGCTGAAGCAGGGTGGGGTGTTGCCTCACCTGGGAAGTGGAAGGGGTTGGGGAACTCCCTCTCCTAGCCAAGGGAAGCCATGAGGGACTGTGCCGTGAGGAATGGTGCATTATGGCCCAGATACTACACTTTTCCCATGGACTTCACAACCCACAGACCAGGAGATTCCCTCAGGTGCCTACACCACCAGGGACCTGGGTTTCAAGCACAAAACTGGGCTGCCGTTTGGGCAGACACTGAGCTAGCTTCAGGAGTTTTTTTTTTCATACTCCAGTGGCACCTGGAATGCCAGCAAGACAGAACTCTTCACTCCCCTGAAAAGGGGGCTGAAGTCAGGGAGCCAAGTGGTCTAGCTCAGTGGATCCCATCCCCACAGAGCCCAGCAATCTAAGAGCCACAAGCTTGAAATTCTCGCTGCCAGCACAGCAGTCTGAAGATGACCTCAGATGCTTGAGCTTGGTGGGGTGAGGGGTGTCCACCATTACTGAGGCTTGAGTAGGCGGTTTTCCACTCACAGTGTAAACGAAGCCTCTGGGAAGTTTGAACTGGGTGGAGACCACCACAGCTCTGCAAAGCCGCTGTACCCAGACTGCCTCTCTAGATTCCTCCTCTCTGGGCAGGGCATCTCTGAAAGAAAGGCAGCAGCCCCAGTCAGGGGCTTACGGAGAAAACTCCCATCTCCATGGGACAGAGCACCTGGGTGAAGGGGCGGCTGTGGGTGCAGCTTCAGCAGACTTAAACGTTCCTGCCTGCTGGCTCTGAACAGAGCAGTGGGTCTCCCAACACAGTGCTCGAGCTCTGCTAAGGGTCAGACTGCCTCCTCAAGTGGGTCCCTGACCCCTGTGCCTCCTGAATGGAAGATACCTCCCAGCAGGGGTCAACAGACATCTCATACAGGAGAACTCCGGCTGGCATCTGGCAGGGGCCCCTCTGGGACAAAGCTTCCAGAGGAAGGAACAAGCAACAATCTTTGCTGTTTTGCAGCCTCCGCTGGTGATACCCAGGCAAACAGCGTCTGGAGTGGACCTCCAGCAAACTCCAGCACACCTGCAGCAGAGAGGCCTGACTGTTAGAAGGAAAACTAACAAACAGAAAGGAATAGCACCAACACCAACAAAAAGGACGTCCACACATAAACCCCATCCAAAGGTCACCAACATCAAAGACCAAAGGTAGATAAATCAACGAAGATGAGGAAAAACCAGTGTAAAAAGGCTGAGAATTCAAAAAACCAGAATGCCTCTTCTCCTCCAAAGGATCACAAGAATGAGTTTGATGAATTGACAAAAGTAGGCTTCAGAAGGTGGGTAATAACAAACTCCTCCAAGCTAAAGGAGCATGTTCTAACCCAATGCAAGGAAGCTAAGAACCCTGAAAACAGGTTAGAGGAATTGCTAACTAGAATAACCAGTTTAGAGAAGAACATAAATGACCTGATGGAGCTGAAAAACACAGCACGAGAATTTCGTGAAGCATACACAAGTATCAATAGCTGAACGGATCAAGTGGAAGACAGGATATCAGAGATTGAAGATCAACTTAATGAAATGAAGTGTGAAGACAAGATTAGAGAAAAAAGATTGAAAAGGAATCAACAAAGCCTCCAAGAAATAAAGGACTATGTGAAAAGACCAAATCTATGTTTGTTTGGTGTACCTGAAAGTGACAGGGAGAATGGAACCAAGTTGGAAAACACTTTTCAGGATATTATCCAGGAGAACTTCCCCAACATAGCAAGACAGGCCAACATTCAAATTCAGGAAATACAGAGAACACCACAAAGATACTCCTCGAGAAGAGCAACCCCAAGACACATAATTGTTAGATTCACCAAGATTGAAATGAAGGAAAAATTGTTAAGGGCAGCCAGAGAGAAAGGTCGGGTTACCCACAAAGGGAAGCCCATCAGACTAACAGCAGACCTCTCTGCAAAACTCTACAAGCCAGAAGAGAGTGGGGGCCAATATTCAACATTCTTAAAGAAAAGAATTTTCAACCCAGAATTTCATATCCAGCCAAACTAAGGTTCATAAGCAAAGGAGAAATAAAATCCCTTATGGACAGGCAAATGCTGAGAGATTTTGTCACCACCAGGCATGCCTTACAAGAGCTCCTGAAGGAAGCACTAAATATGGAAAGAAAAAACCAGTACCAGCCACTGCAAAAACATACCAAATTGTAAAGACCATTGATACTATGAACAAACTGCATCAATTAATGGTCACAATAACCAGCTAGCATCATAATGACAGGATCAAATTCACACATAACAATATTAACTTTAAATGTAAGTGGGCTAAATGCCCCAATTAAAAGACAAAGACTGGCAAACTGGATAAAGAGTCAAGACCCATTGGTGTGCTGTATTCAGGAGGCCCATCTCACGTGCAAAGACACACATAGGCTCAAAATAAAGGGATGGATGAATATTTACAAGCAAATGGAAAGCAAAAAAAAAAAAAAAAAAAGCAGGGGTTGCAATCCTAGTCTCTGATAAAACAGACTTTAAACCAACAACAATCTAAAAAGACAAAGAAGGGCATTACATAATGGTAAAGGGATCAATGCAAAAAGAAGAGCTAACTATCCTAAATATATGTGCACCCAATACAGGAGCACCCAGATTCATAAAGCAAGTTCTTAGAGACCTAAAAAGAGATTTAGACTCCCACACAATAAAAGTGGGAGACTTTAACACCCCACTGTCAGTATTAGACAGATCAACAAGACAGAAAATTAACAAGGATATTCAGGACTTGAACTCAACTCTGGACCAAGTGGATCTAATAGACATCTACAGAGCTCTCCACCACAAATCAACAGAATACACATTCTTCTCAGCACCACATTGCACTTATTCCAAAATTGACCACATAATTGGAAGTAAAACACTCCTCAGCAAATGCAAAAGAACGGAAATCATAACAAACAGTCTCTCAGACTACAGCACAATCAAATTACAACTCAGGATTAAGAAACTCACTCAATACCACACAACTACATGGAAACTGAACAACCTGCTCCTGAATGACTACTGGGTACATAACAAAATGAAGGCAGAAATAAATAAGGTCTTTGAAACCAATGAGAACAAAGATACAATGTACCAGAATCTCTGGGACACAGCTAAAGCAGTGTTTAGAGGGAAATTTATAGCACTAAGTGCCCACAACAGAAAGCAGGAGAGATCTAAAATCGACACCCTAACATCACAATTAAAACAACTAGAGAAGCAAGAGTAAACAAATTCAAAAGCTAGCAGAAGACAAGAAATAACTAAGATCAGAGCAGAACTGAAGGAGATAGAGACACAAAAAACCCTTCAAAAAAAAATCAATGAATCCATGAGCTGGTTTTTTGAAAAATCAACAAAATAGATATACCGCTAGCAAGACTAATAAAGAGCGTGAGCGACGCAGAAGACGGGTGATTTCTGCATTTCTATCTGAGGTACCGGGTCCATCTCACTAGGGAGTGCCAGACAGTGGGCACAGGACAGTGGGTGAAGCACACTGTGCGTGAGCCGAAGCAGGGCGAGGCATTGCCTCACTTGGGAAGCACAAGGGGTCAGGGAGTTCCCTTTCCTACTCAAAGAAAGGGGTGACAGACAGCACCTGGAAAATCGGGTCATTCCCACCCTAATACTGCGCTTTTCCGATGGGCTTAAAAAACGGCGCACCAGGACATTATATCCCGCACCTGGCTTGGGGGGGTCCTACGCCCACGGAGTCTTGCTGATCGCTAGCACAGCAGTCTGAGTTCAAACTGCAAGGCGGCAGCGAGGCTGAGGGAGGGGCGCCCGCCATTGCCCAGGCTTGCTTAGGTAAACAAAGCAGTCGGGAAGCTCGAACTGGGTGGAGCCCACCACAGCTCAAGGAGGCCTGCCTGCCTCTGTAGGCTCCACCTCCGGGGGCAGGGCACAGACAAACAAAAAGATAGCAGTAACCTCTGCAGACTTAAATGTCCCTGTGTGACAGCTTTGAAGAGAGCAGTGGTTCTCCCAGCATGCAGCTGGAGATCTGAGAACAGGCAGACTGCCTCCTCAAGTGGGTCCCTGACCCCTGACACCCGAGCAGCCTAACTGGGAGGGACCTCCAAGTAGGGGCAGACTGACACCTCACACGGCCGGGTACTCCTCTGAGACAAAACTTCCAGAGGAACGATCAGACAGCAGCATTCGTGGTTCACGAAAATCCACTCTTCTGCAGCCACCGCTGCTGGTACCCAGGCAAACAGGGTCTGGAGTGGACCTCTAGCAAACTCCAACAGACCTGCAGCTGAGGGTCCTGTCTGTTAGGAGGAAAACTAACAAACAGAAAGGACATCCACACCAAAAACCCATCTTTACATCACCATCATCAAAGACCAAAAGTAGATAAAACCACAAAGATGGGGAAAAAACAACAGAAAAACTGGAAACTCTAAAAAGCAGAGTGCCTCTCCTCCTCCAAAGGAACACAGTTTCTCACCAGCAAAGGAACAAAGCTGGATGGAGAATGACTTTGAAGAGTTGAGAGAAGAAGGCTTCAGACGATCAAACTACTCCCAGCTACAGGAGGAAATTCAAACCAAAGGCAAAGAAGTTAAAAACTTTGAAAAAAATTTAGACGAATGTATAACTAGAATAACCAATACAGAGAAGTGTTTAAAGGAGCTGATGGAGCTGAAAGCCAAGGCTCGAGAACTATGTGAAGAATGCAGAAGCCTCAGGAGCCGATGCGATCAACTGGAAGAAAGGGTATCAGTGATGGAAGATCAAATGAATGAAATGAAGTGAGAAGGGAAGTTTAGAGAAAAAAGAATAAAAAGAAATGAAAAAAGCCTCCAAGAAATATGGGACTATGTGAAAAGACCAAATCTACGTCTGATTGGTGTACCTGAAAGTGACGGGGAGAATGGAACCAAGTTGGAAAACACTCTTCAGGATATTATCCAGGAGAACTTCCCCAATCTAGTAAGGCAGGCCAACATTCAGATTCAGGAAATACAGAGAACACCACAAAGATGCTCCTCGAGAAGAGCAACTCCAAGACACGTAATTGTCAGATTCACCAAAGTTGAAATGAAGGAAAAAATGTTAAGGGCAGCCAGAGAGAAAGGTCGGGTTACCCACAAAGGGAAGCCCATCAGACTAACAGCGGATCTCTCGGCAGAAACTCTACAAGCCAGAAGAGAGTAGGGGCCAACATTCAACATTCTTAAAGAAAAGAATTTTCAACCCAGAATTTCATATCCAGCCAAACTAAGCTTCATAAGTGAAGGAGAAACAAAATCCTTTACAGACAAGCAAATGCTGAGAGATTTTATCACCACCAGGCCTGCCCTAAAAGAGCTCCTGAAGGAAGCACTAAACATGGAAAAGAACAACTGGTGCCAGCTACTGCGAAATCATGCCAAATTGTAAAGATCATCAAGGCTAGGAAGAAACTGCATCAACTAACGAGCAAAATAACCAGCTAACATCATAATGACAGGATCAAATTCACACATAACAATATTAACTTTAAATGTAAATGGACTCAATGCTCCAATTAAAAGACACAGACTGGCAAATTGGATAAAGAATCAAGACCCATCAGTGTGCTGTATTCAGGAAACCCATCTTACATGCAGAGACACACATAGGCTCAAAATAAAAGGATGGAGGAAGATCTACCAAGCAAATGGAAAACAAAAAAAGGCAGGGGTTGCAATCCTAGTCTCTGATCAAACAGACTTTAAACCAACAAAGATCAAAAGAGACAAAGAAGGCCATTACATAATGGTAAAGGGATCAATTCAACAAGAAGAGCTAACTATCCTAAATATATATGCACCCAATACAGGAGCACCCAGATTCATAAAGCAAGTCCTGAGTGACCTACAAAGAGACTTAGACTCCCACACAATAATAATGGGAGACTTTAACACCCCACTGTCAACATTAGACAGATCAGCGAGACAGAAAGTTAACAAGGATACCCAGGAATGAACTCAGCTCTCCACCAAGCACACCTAATAGACATCTACAGAACTCTCCACCCCAAATCAACAGAATATACATTTTTTTCAGCACCACACCACACCTATTCCAAAATTGACCACATAGTTGGAAGTAAAGCTCTCCTCAGCAAATGTAAAAGAACAGAAATTATAACAAACTGTCTCTCAGACCACAATGCAATCAAACTAGAACTCAGGATTAAGAAACTCACTCAAAACCGCTCAACTACATGGAAACTGAACAACCTGCTCCTGAATGACTACTGGGTACATAACGAAATGAAGGCAGAAATAAAGATGTTCTTTGAAACCAAGGAGAACAGAGACACAACATACCAGAATCTCTGGGACACATTCAAAGCAGTGTGTAGAGGGAAATTTATAGCACTAAATGCCCACAAGAGAAAGTAGGAAAGATCCAAAATTGACACCCTAACATCACAATTAAAAGAACTAGAAAAGCAAGAGCAAACACATTCAAAAGCTAGCAGAAGGCAAGAAATAACTAAAATCAGAGCAGAACTGAAGGAAATACAGACACAAAAAACCCTTCAAAAAATTAATGAATCCAGGAGCTGGTTTTTTGAAAGGATCAACAAAATTGATAGACCGCTAGCAAGACTAATAAAGAAGAAAAGAGAGAAGAATCAAATAGATGCAATAAAAAATGATAAAGGGGATATCACCACCGATCACACAGAAATACAAACTACCATCAGAGAATACTACAAACACCTCTATGCAAATAAACTAGAAAATCTAGAAGAAATGGATAAATTCCTCAACACATACACCCTCCCAAGACTAAACCAGGAAGAAGTTGAATCTCTGAATAGACCAATAAGAGGCTCTGAAATTGTGGCAATAATCAATAGCTTACCAACCAAAAAGAGTCCAGGACCAGATGGATTCACAGCTGAATTCCACCAGAGGTACAAGGAGGAGCTGGTACCATTCCTTCTGAAACTATTCCAATCAATAGAAAAAGAGGGAATCCTCCCTAACTCATTTTATGAGGCCAGCATCATCCTGATACCAAAGCCCAGCAGAGACACAACCAAAAAAGAGAATTTTAGACCAATATCCTTGATGAACATTGATGCAAAAATCCTCAATAAAATACCGGCAAACCGAATCCAGCAGCACATCAAAAAGCTTATCCACCATGATCAAGTGGGCTTCATCCCTGGGATGCAACACTGGTTCAATATACATAAATCAATAAATGTAATCCAGCATATAAACAGAACCAAA
Organism: Homo sapiens; assembly: GCF_000001405.40. Lineage (NCBI taxonomy): Eukaryota > Metazoa > Chordata > Mammalia > Primates > Hominidae > Homo > Homo sapiens. The sequence goes on from NC_000023.11 coordinate 72,444,427, forward strand.
GACAAAAACCACATGATTATCTCAATAGATGCAGAAAAGGCCTTTGACATAATTCAACACCCTTCATGCTAAAAACTCTCAATAAATTAGGTATTGATGGGACGTATCTCAAAATAATAAGAGCTATCTATGACAAACCCACAGCCAATATCATACTGAATGGGCAAAAACTGGAAGCATTCCCTTTGAAAACTGGCACAAGACAGGGATGCCCTCTCTCACCACTCCTATTCAACATAGTGTTGGAAGTTCTGGCCAGGGCAATTAGGCAGGAGAAGGAAATAAAGGGTATTCAATTAGGAAAAGAGGAAGTCAAATTGTCCCTGTTTGCAGATGACATGATTGTATATCTAGAAAACCCCATTGTCTCAGCCCAAAATCTCCTTCAGCTGATAAGCAACTTCAGCAAAGTCTCAGGATACAAAATCAATGTGCAAAAATCACAAGCATTCTTATACACCAATAACAGACAGAGAGCCAAATCATGAGTGAACTCCCATTCACAATTGCTTCAAAGAGAATAAAATACCTAGGAATCCAACTTACAAGGGACGTGAAGGACCTCTTCAAGGAGAACTACAAACCACTGCTCAATGAAATAAAAGAGGATACAAACAAATGGAAGAACATTCCATGCTCATGGGTAGGAAGAATCAATATTGTGAAAATGGCCATACTGCCCAAGGTAATTTACAGATTCAATGCCATCCCCATCAAGCTACCAATGACTTTCCTCACAGAATTGGAAAAAACTACTTTAAAGTTCATATGGAACCAAAAAAGAGCCCGCATCACCAAGTCAATCCTAAGCCAAAAGAACAAAGCTGGAGGCATCACGCTACCTGACTTCAAACTATACTACAAGGCTACAGTAACCAAAACAGCATGGTACTGGTACCAAAACAGAGATATAGATCAATGGAACAGAACAGAGCCCTTAGAAATAATGCCGCATATCTACAACTATCTGATCTTTGACAAACCTGACAAAAACAAGCAATGGGGAAAGGATTCCCTATTTAATAAATGGTGCTGGAAAAACTGGCTAACCATATGTAGAAAGCTGAAACTGGATCCCTTCCTTACACCTTATACAAAAATTAATTCAAGATGGATTAAAGACTTAAATGTTAGAGCTAAAACCATAAAAACCCTAGAGGAAAACCTAGGCATTACCATTCAGGACATAGGCATGGGCAAGGACTTCATGTCTAAAACACCAAAAGCAATGGCAACAAAAGCCAAAATTGATAAATGGGATCTAATTAAACTAAAGAGCTTCTGCACAGCAAAAAGAAACTACCATCAGAGTGAACAGTCAACCTACAAAATGGGAGAAAATTTTCACAACCTGCTCATCTGACAAAGGGCTAATATCCAGAATCTACAATGAACTCAAACAAATTTACAAGAAAAAAATAAACAACCCCATCAAAAAGTGGGTGAAGGATATGAACAGACACTTCTCAAAAGAAGACATTTATGCAGCCAAAAAACACATGAAAAAATGCTCACCATCACTGGCCATCAGAGAAATGCAAATCAAAACCACAATGAGATACAATCTCACACCAGTTAGAATGGCGATCATTAGAAAGTCAGGAAACAACAGGTGCTGGAGAGGATGTGGAGAAATAGGAACACTTTTACACTGTTGGTGGGACTGTAAACTAGTTCAACCCTTGTGGAAGTCAGTGTGGTGATTCCCCAGGGATGTAGAACTAGAAATACCATTTGACCCAGCCATCCCATTACTGGGTATATACCCAAAGGACTATAAATCATGCTGCTATAAAGACACACGCACACGTATGTTTATTGTGGCAATATTCACAATAGCAAAGGCTTGGAACCAACCCAAATGTTCAACAATGATAGACTGGATTAAGAAAATGTGGCACATATACACCATGGAATACTATGCAGCCATAAAAAATGATGAGTTCATGTCCTTTGTAGGGACATGGATGAAATTGGAAATCATCATTCTCAGTAAACTATCGCAAGGACAAAAAACCAAACACTGCATGTTCTCACTCATAGGTGGGAATTGAACAATGAGAACACGTGGACACAGGAAGGGGAACATCACACTCTGGGGACTGTTGCGGGGTGGGGGAACGGGGGAGGGATAGCATTAGGAGATATACCTAATGCTAAATGACGAGTTAATGAGTGCAGCACACCAGCATGGCACGTGTATACATATGTAACTAACTTGCACATTGTGCACATGTACCCTAAAACTTAAAGTTTAATAAAAAAGAGACTAATAAAGAGGAAAAGAGAGGAGAATCAAATAGACACAATAAAAAATGATAAAGGGGATATCACCACTGATCCCACAGAAATACAAACTACCATCAGAGAATAATATAAACACCTCTACACGAATAAATTAGAAAATCTAGAAAAAAAATGGATAAATTCCTGGACACATACACCCTCCCAAGAGAAAACCAGGAAGAAATCGAATCCCTGAATAGACCAATAACAAGTTCTGAAATTGAGACAGTAATTAATAGCCTACCAACAAAAACAGTCCAAGACCAGATGGATTCATAGCCGAATTCTACCAGAGGTACAAAGAGGAGCTGGTACCATTCCTTCTGAAACTATTCCAAACAATAGAAAAAGAGGGACTCTGCCCTAACTCATTTTATGAGGCCAGCATCATCCTGATACCAAAACCTGGTAGAGACACAGAAAAAAAGAAAATTTCAGGCCAATATCCCTGATGAACATCTATGCAAAAATGCTCAATAAAATACTGGCAAACCAAATTCAGCAGCACATCAAAAAGCTTATCCACCAAATCAAGTTGCCTTCATCCCTGGGATGCAACGCTGGTTCAGCATAGGCAAATCAATAAACGTAATCCATCACATAAACAGAACCAACGACAAAAACCACATGATTATCTCAATAGATGCAGAAAAGGCCTCTGATAAAATTCAACACCCCTTCATGCTAAGAACTCTCGATAAACTAGATATTGATGGAACATATCTCAAAATAATAAGAGCTATTTATGACAAACCGACAGCCAATATCATATTGAATGGGCAAAAGCTGGAAGCATTCCCTTTGAAAACTGGCACAAGACAAGGATGCCCTCTCTCACCACTCCTATTCAATACAGTATTGGAATTTCTGGCCAGGGCAATCAGGCAAGAGAAAGAAATAAAGGGTATTCAAATAGGAAGAGAGGAAGTCAAATTGTCTCTGTTTTCAGAAGACATGATTGTATATTTAGAAAACCCCATCATCTCAGCCCCAAATCTCCTTCAGCTGATAAGCAACTTCAGCAAAGTCTCAGGATACAAAATCAATGTGCAAAATTCACAAGCATTCCTATACATCAACAACAGACAGAGAGCCAAATCATGAGTGAACTCCCATTCACAATTGCTACAAAGAGAATAAAATACCTAGGAATACAACTTACAAGGGATGTGGAGGACCTCTTCAAGGAGAACTACAAACCACTGCTCAAGGAAATAAGAGAGGACACAAACAAATGGAAAAACATTCCATGTTCATGGATAGGAAGGATCAATATTGTGAAAATGGCCATACTGCCCAAAGTAATTTATAGATTCAATGCTATCCCTGTCAAGCTACTATTGACTTTCTTCACAGAATTAGAAAAAACTACTTTAAATTTCATATGGAACCAAAAAAGAGCCCTTATAGCCAAGACAATCCTAAGCAAAAAGAACAAAGCTGGAGGCATTACACTACCTGACTTCAAACAATACTACAAGGCTACAGTAACCAAAACAGCATGGTACTGGTACCAAAACAGATATACAGACCAATGGAACAGAACAGAGGCCTCAGAAATAATGCTGCATATCTACAACCCTCTGATTTTTGACAAACCTGACAAAAACAAGCAATGGGGAAAGATTCCCTATTTAATAAATGGTGTTGGGAAAACTGGCTAGCCATATGCAGAAAACTGAAACTGGACCCCTTTGTTACACCTGATACAAAAATTAACTCAAGATGCATTAAAGACTTAAACATAAGACCTAAAATCATAAAAACTCTAGAAGAAAACCTAGGCAATACCATTCAGGACATAGGCATGGGCAAAGACTTCATGACTAAAATACCAAAAGCAATGGCAACAAAAGCCAAAAGTGACAAATGGGATCTAATTAAACTAAAGAGCTTCTGCACAGCAAGAGAAACTATCATCAGAGTGAACAGACAAGTTACAGAATGGGAGAAAATTTTTGCAATCTATCCATCTGATAAAAGGCTAATATCTAGAATCTACAAGGAACTTAAACAAATTTACAAGGAAAAAACAAACATCAAAAAGTAGGTGAAGGATATGAACCGACACTTCTCTAAAGAAGACATTTATGTGGCCAGCAAACATGAGAAAAAGCTCATCATCACTGTTCATTAGAGAAATGCAAATCAAAACCACAATGAGGTACCATCTCACACCAGTTAGAATGGCGATCATTAAAAAGTCAGGAAACAACAGATGCTGGAGAGGATGTGGAGAAATAGGAACGTTTTCACACTGTTGGTGGGAGTGTTCAACCATTGTGGAAGACAGTGTGGTGATTCCTCAAGGATCTAGAACCAGAAATACCATTTGACCCAGCAGTCCCATTACTGGGTATATACCCAAAGGATTATAAATCATTCTACTATAAAGACACATGAACACATAGGTTTGTAGATGTTTATTGCAGTACTATTCACAATAGGAAAGTCTTGGAACCAGTGCAAATGCCCATCAATGATAGACTGGATAAAGAAAATGTGGCACATATACCCCATGGAATACTATGCAGCCATAAAAAAGGATGAGTTCATGTCCTTTGCAGGGACATGGATGAAGCTGGAAACCATCATTCTCAGAAAACTAACATAGGAACAGAAACCAAACACCGCATGTTCTCAGTCATAAGTGGGAGTTGAACAATGAGAACACATGGACACAGGGAGGGGAACATCACACACTGGGTCCTGTTGGGGTTGGGGGCCTAGGGGAGGGAGAGCATTAGGAGAAATACCTAATGTAGATGATGAGTTGATGGGTGCGGCAACCACCATGGCACGTGTACACCTATGTAACCAACCTGCACGTTCTGCATGTCTCCCAGAACTTAAAGTATAAAAAAAAAATTAGAGGGAACAAACAGAAAACATACTGTTTAAATAAAATGGCAGACTTAAGCCCTAACATATCAATAACTACATTAAAAGTAAATCGCCTAAACACACCATTGGAAAGACAGAGATGGCAGAATAGGTTAAAAAAAAACACAATCCAATTATATCCTGTCTACAAGAAACTCACTTCAAATGTAATGATATAGGGACATTTTTTAAAGGGATGGAAAAGATAAGGTATGTAAACAGTAATTAAAAGAAAGCACTTCTTTTCTTTAGTCATTTCCTTTCTGTTTAGTTTCTTAAAAACAACACACCTATTCTTACAATATGATATAGCATTTGCATTCCTAGGCATTGTTCCCAGAGATATGAAAACTTATATCCACACAAAAACTGTATATAAGTGTTTAATTTTAATAGCCAAAATTGGAAACAACTCAAATGGAGAAATGATTAAACAACCTATGGTACATCTATACCATGGAATACCATTCATCCATAAAAAGGAATGAACTATTAATGTATGGAACAAATTGGATGGATCTCAAGGGAATTATCCTGAGGGCAAAATCCAATCTCAACAACTCACATAATGTATCATTCCACTTATATCACATTGTCTAAATGAAAAAGTCATAGAGATGAAGAAAGGTCAGTGATTGCCAAGGGTTCGTGATGGAGTAGGGGAAAAGAAGGCAGCAGTGGCTATAAAAGGGTAGCACAAGGAAGGTCTCTGTGATAATGGAACAGCGCTGTATCCTGACGACGGTAGTAGTTACATCAATCTATACATATAATAAAATTGCCTATGCACACACAGGCACACACAAATGGGCTCATGTAAAACTGGTCAAATTTAAATAAGGTCTGCTGTACCAATGTCAATTTCCTGGTTTTTTTACTGCAGTATAGTCATGTAAGAAGTTACCACTGGGGGGAACTGAGTGAAGAGTACATGGTACCTCTTTGTAGTACCTTTACAATGGTCTGTGAATCTATAATCTTTTCAAGAAAAAAGAAGCTAAGGAAATCATTGGATGAGATGAAATAAAAAAAATTCATTGGATGGAATGAATAGTAGATTGTATACTAAGGAATCAGTAAACTTGAAGACTGATCAATAGAAATCAAACAAACTGTAGCCTGGAGAGAAAAAAACTGAAAAAAATAGTAAGCTCACTTCAGTGTCTTGTAGGACAGCATCAATCAAACATATTTGTAATTAGAGTCCCAGAAGAACAGGAAAGGGAGAATAAGTTAAAAAAAAAATAAAGAAATACTGGCTGATACTTTTTCCAAATCACAGGTTGAGTATCCCTAATCTGAAAATCCAAAATCTGAAATGTTCTAAAATATGAAACTTTTTGAGTCCTGATATGATGTTCAAAGGAAATGTTCACTGGAGCATTTTAGATTTTGAATTTCCAGATTGCAAATATTACAAAATCTGAAAAAAAATCTGAAATCCAAAACATTTCTGGTCCCAAGTGTTTTAAAAAAGTGATACCCAACCTGTATATAAAAATTAGCAACCCACAAATCCAAGAAGTTAGGGAATCCCACATAGGATAAATACAAACAAATGTACACTGAGGCATATTACAGTCGATGTTCTTTCTCTCTGTTTTTTTTTTTTTCCTTTTGAGACAGAGTCTTGCATTGTTGCCCAGGCTGGAGTGCAGTGGTGTGATCTCAGCTTACTGCATACTCTGCCTCCCAGGTTCAAGTGATTCTCATGACTCAGCCACCCGAGTAGCTGGGATTACAGGCATGTGCCACCACACCGGGCTTCTTTTTGTACTTTTAGTAGAGATGGGGTTTCACCATGTTGGCCAGGCTGGTCTCAAACTCCTGGCTTCAAGTGATCTGCCTGCCTTAGCTTCCCAAAGTGTTGGGATTACAGGCATGGGCCACCGTGCCTAGCCCACAGTAAAGGTTTGAATACCAAATATAAATTTATAAAGGTAGCCAGAGGGGAAAAGATACATTATATACAGGGAAACAATAATAATAAGACTAATATCCATCAGAAACAACAGAAGCCAGAAGAAAAGAAAAACTGTAAATGTAGAATTTAAATCCTACAAAAATATTCTTCAAAAATGAAGGCAGAGAAAATGAAGGCAGATAACTAAAGGACTTCGGCTTCTGGCCATGAGGGCGAGATTACTTTCTCTCTAGAGACAACTGGAAAATTAACAAATTACAGGAAACATCTATTTTCAGAAATTGGACAATAAACAGTACAAGATACTGATTCCTGAAAGACAGAGGATACGAATGAGGTGAACCCTACTTTCACCCAGGCTTTCTACCTGGAAGTAATCCCTGGACTGTGGTGTAGGAAGGGGGAATCCAAACAGAGCCCAGCAATCTCACTGAGTAGAGGAGATGGATATTGGAGTTCAGAGAGGCCAAGGTGGTTAGAAATTGTAGAGATGGAGCTAAGCCAAAAAAAGAATACTAGAAATATACGTAGAAGTCTACTTGAGTCTTTTGAAGAATACCAGTCTGAACATGTATAGGGTACAACTTCACAAGAGTAGTCCTGAAAAACTTACAGAAAAACAATTATTGTGGTGTTGTAAGATGAACAATTCCTGGCTGGGTGCCGTGGCTCATGCCTGTAATCCCAGCACTTTGGGAGGCTGAGGCTGGCGGATCACTTGAGGTCAGGAGTTCGAGACCAGCCTGGCCAACATGGCGAAACCCCGTCTCTACTAAAAATACAAAAATTAGCTGGGCATGGTGGCACATGTCTGTAATCCCAGCTACTGGGGAAGCTGAGGCAGGAGAATTGCTTGCACCTGGGAGGCGGAGGTTGCAGTGAGCTGAGATCATGCCACTGTACTCCAGCCTGGGTGACAGAGCAAGACTCCATCTTAAACAAACAAACAAACAAAAACCAACCAAACAAAAAAAGAAGAACAATTTCTAGAGCTCACAAAGGGCCAAATTGAAGAGATCTCACTGAATACCTGGGGTAACAGTATAGGCTTCACAGGGGTAGTACATTCAAAGCAGGCTAAATTAGCCCTAGAATAAAAAGGCTAGTCAAGACCTACTCTAAATTAATTTCAAAACAAAACTGGAAAAGGATCAAACTGATCCACAATAACTTAATTATCAGGAAAAAAGTATAATCCTCTTGAAATCCAATTATTTAAAATCCAGAATTCAACAATATAAAAGTCATGACATTTGATATCCAATAAAAAATTACTAAACATGCAAAGAAGTAGGCAAATGTGACCTATAATCTGAAGAAAAATCAGTTAACAGAAACAGACCCAGAAATGACAGAAATGATGGAGTTAGTAGACAAGGACTCTAAAACAGCTATTATAAATATGCTCCATATGCTTAAGGAGGTAAAAAAAATATGAACCTAGTGAGGAGAGAAATTAAAAATATTTTTAAGAATGGAAATTCTAGAGATGAAAAACACAATATTTGAAATGGAAATTTCACTGGATGAGATTAAGAGCAGGTGTACTGCAGAATAAAAGATCAATGAACTTGAAGGCAAAGCAATGGAAACTCTTCAAAATACATCACAGGGAGAAATAAAAGACTGAAAAAAAAAAAAAATAGGCCGGGCATGGTGGCTCATGCCCATAATTCCAGCACTTTGGGAGGCTGAGGCAAGAAGATTGCTTGAGCCCAGGAGTGGCAGATCAGCCTGGACAACAGCCTGGGCAACACAGTGAGAGCTTGTCTCTACAAAATAAAACAATTAACCAGGCATGGTGGAGTGCACCTGTAGTCCTATTTACCTGGGAGGGTGAGGTGGGAGGATCGCTTGAGCCCAGGAAGTTGAGGCTGCAGTAAGCTATGACTATACCACTGCGCTCAAGCCTGGCTGACGGAGTAAGACTCTGTCTCTTAAAAATAAAGAAAGAAAGAAAGAAAGAAAGAAAGAAAGAAAGAAAGAAAGAAAGAAAGAAAGAAAAAGAAAGAAAAAGTAAAAAGGTCACAGTGAATGATGCATGAAACTTCAACATAACTGGTCTAACTAGGTTTAGCTGGAGTCTTAGAAGTAGAAGAAAGAAAGAAGTAACAGAAAAAAATAGTGGTTGAAATATTTCCAAATTTGATAAAAACTATAAACCCACAGATCCTAGCTCAATGCATCTCAGACAGGATAAATCCAAAGACAACCACATGACAGCATATTAGAATCCAGCTGCCGAAAACTAGTTATAAAGAGAAAACTTAGCAGCCAAAGAAATATGACACATATTATACAAGGGAACAAAGATGAAAATTTATCACAGACTTCTCATGAGGAAATATGTAAGCAAGAAGGCAATGAAATAATATCTTTGAAGTGCTAAAAGAAAAATTATCAACCTAGAATTCTACACCTAGTGAAAATATCTTTCCAGAATTAAGACAAAATAGAAACTTTTTCAGACAAACAAAAGCTGAGAATTTGTTGCTAGCAGACCTACGGTATAAGAAAAATGAACTGAAGTTCCTAGGCAGAATGCAGTTTGTGCCAGATGGAAACCTGGATCTACACAAAATATTGAAAAATGCTGGAATGGATGAATATAAAAGATATTTTCTTACTCATAATTTCTTTAGAAGACCATGTAGGGTCATGTTGGAATCAGCAGATCCAGTGGTGGCTGCCTATGTACTGAGCTCAAAGGACTGCCACCGAAGGCCAGAGAGGAGCAAAGCATGCTGTTACCCTGGTGGCAGACAGGAAATGGAGTAACACGGTCCAGCCAAACACAGCCCAATTAGGGATATAAGGGGTGTTGTCCAGAGCTAAAAGACTTGCTTTCTCAAACCAGGGCCACAACATCTATGTTTATAGAGCTGAAAAAGATGAAACTGAAACATCAGTAAGGGTTCTGACCCATGGAAGGAAGAACTTTACTTAAAAAAACTGGGTGAAATTGTAAATAAGAAATGAAATATGATTAAAATTATCTTTATATATGTAACGAATTTACCTTATAGTGTCTTATGCAACAGAACATTTTTGAACAGTTTCAAAATAATTCGTCATTTAAATTGTAGCATCATTTTTAGACCATTCATTCATAGTTAAGGGAAAAGGAATTGAATATATTAAGTGTAGACATGATGAACTCAAATAGCCAAGAATTGTTTGTTGCACCTTTTCAAACTAGAAATTAAAAAGTCATTGCAGCATGTTATAGGTAAGTTATTTTACTGCATTGGCTAGAGAATTCCACATTATAGCTTGGAGACCAATAAAGCCTTGGACAATTGACATTGCTCACTGCCTATTGGATGAAAAGTTAGTAAAATAGCTTACAGCATTGTCTTTTCTCAATGGCACAGTAACTTGTTTATTTAAACATTTAGCTGTAATCATGAAGACTTAGTTAGCATCTCATTTACAGAATTTATTCGCACCTTACAAACAGACAAATCTACAAATATGGCTGGGCTTACAGTTTTGCTTGTAGTCAGTCATGTGGTATCAGCACTAACTAATCTTTGAAGACGATCTTCTTTTATGTGAATGGTTGGCAACAAACATGAGTAGTGCTAAAATGTTCAAAGTGCTGAATAACTTTGAATCTCATGGTTTATGCTGGAGCAACTTTGTTTATATTTGCATGGAGGTGCAAAAGCAATGGTGGGTAAAACTGCAGATACTATGGTACAAATTAAGGCAATAGCACCAAAGTATACCAGCAGTTATTGTATTATTTACTGACATGCACTTATAGTAAAATAAAATCCAATTTGACCTAAGAATGTCCCTGATAAAGCACTAAAAAGTATTAATTTTATTAAATCCTGATGCTGGATTTAATATTCTGTGTGATGAAATTGGAGGTATACGTAAGGTGCTTCTGGTATAAACTGTGCTATGGTGGTTGTCTTGAGGAAAAGCATGTCAAGTTTTGAGCTTAACTAGCCACATTTTTCATAGAACATCATTTTTGCTTGAAAGAATGATGGATAAGGCATGATTAAATACTTGGACATTTGGCAAATATTTTCTCAAAAATGAAATAAGTTTGTCACTTCAGGGCAAACAACTGACAGCATTTCTTGCCAATGATAATATTCACATTTTTTGAGTGAAAATTAGAATTTTAGGAAACTTCATTCTGCCACTGGGAGCATAACAGCTTCTCAATACTTAAGCTTTTTTTCCAGTGAGATCGGTGGTGAGATCAATGACTGATTTTTTGATACTGCATAAAATGTGTTAGCATTTGGAATATTTGCATAACTTAGTGAACTAATATTTTCCAAATAACCAATATGTATAAGATGGGTCAAATATCCACTCAAAGAATAAGATGACCAATGAGTTTTAATGTAATAGTACATAAAAAGTTCACTGATACGGTTTCAGATTCCACACTGGATTAACCTTTAAGAAACTTTCATTTGTGAAGTTTTAGTGTAGTATCGAAGAATATCCATAATTATCTGAAAGTGTATTAAAATACATTTTCCCTTTTCCAATTACATATCTATGTGAAGCTGGATTTTCTTTATATATTTTTAAAAAAACAACATCTCAAAACACACTGAATGTAGAAGCAGGTATGAGAAGTCAGCTGTCTTCTATTAAGCCAGATGTTAAAGAAATGGGCAAAAGGGTATAACAATGACATTTTTCTTAAGAAATTTCTTTTTATCTTTGAAAATACAGTTATTTTTCATCAAAACATGTTATTTGTGCTAATATATGCTGGATTTATTCTACTTAAAATGAATTAGTAAATATTTTAAAAACTAAAAAAATTGTTCAAAGCAAAACAATAACAATGTATCAAGAGGTTTATAACATATGCAAAAGTAAAATATATGACTACAATAGCACAAAGAAAGAGAAAGGAAAAAAATGGAAGAACGCTGCTGTAAAGGTACTATATTATATGTGAAGTAATGTAATACTATTTAAAAGTTGACTCTAATAAGTTAAAAATGCATACTATAGGCTGGGCATGGTGGCTCACACCTGTAATCCCAGCACTTTGGGAGGCCAAGGCAGGCGAATTACTTGAGGTCAGGAGTTCAAGACCAGTTTGACCAACATGGTGAAACCTCATCTCTACTAAAAATACAAAAATTAGCCGGGTGTGGTGGTGCGCGCCTATAGTCTCAGCTACTGGGGAGGCTGAGGCAGGAAAATCGCGTGAACCCGAGAGGCGGAGGTTGCAGTGAGCCAAGATTGCACCACTGCACTCCAGCCTGGGCGACACAGCAAGATTCTGTCTCACAAAAAACAAAAAACGAAACAAAAACAAAAACAAACAGATGCCCAGATGTAAACCCCAGAGAAACCAAAGATCAGCATTGCCCTGATATCAAAACCAGACAAAGACACTACAAGAAAAGAAAACAACAGGCCAACATCCCTTATCAACATAGACACAAAAAAACCTTGACCAAGTTTCAGCAAAATGAATCCAGCAATACATAAAAAGGATAATATAACATGACCAAGCAGGGTTTATTCCAGGAATGCAAAGTCAGTTTAACATTAAAAAATCAGTGCAATTTACTGTACTAACAATAAAGGAGGATACCATATGATCATTTCAATAGATGAAGAAAAACATTTGACAAAATCAGTACTCATTTGTGAGAAAAAAAAAAGTCTCAGTAAATTAGGAATAGAAGGGAACTTCCTCAACCTAAAAAAGAACATTTTTGAAAAATCCTACAGCTAATATCACACTTCATAGTGAAGATTAAGCACTTTCCCCCTGTGACTGGGGACCAGATAAAGATATTCACACACCATTTCCACTCAGCATTGCACTGGAGGTCCCAACCAGTGAAAAAGGTGAGAAAAAGAAATAAAAGACATGAAGATTATACAGAAAGAAAATTCTCTTTATTCACAGATGATGTTTGCATACATGGATTATGCTAAGCAATCTACAAAAAAGTTACTAGAGCTAATAAGTAAATTTAGCAAGGTTACATTATTCAAGATCAATATGAAAAGTCAATTGTCCTTCAATATTCTGGCAACAAACTATTGGAAATTGAAATGAAAATACCATTTACATAGGATCAAAATAATGAAATACAGTACTTAGGGATAAATTCAATAATATTTGTGTAAGATGTGTTTACTGGAGAGTACAGATTATAATTTGGAATTAAAGAAGACTCAAGTAAATAGAAAGATAAATTCATGGCTTAAAAGATTAAATATTGTTATGATGTTACTCCTGCACAAATCAATCTATAGATTCAGTGCCATCTACAGGTTACAGTGCAAGAAGGCTGTTTTTTTATTAGTAACATATACTTGTATATAAATTGACCTAATTCTTTTTAATGGCTACATATGTTCCCTAATATGAATGAGGTACAGTTTAATCAGTCCATAAAAAGCAGTCTGGTTAAGTAGTGTTAATATTTTCCATTAGTAAACCTATGTGATGATACACATATACATACACACACACACACACACACCCCAGCCCTACTCTATCCTAGATAAGTCACGGGATCTAAATAGTAGTACTGGACTATAGAACATTTTTATACATAATAATCCATGTGATTGTGCTAAATTTGCCATGTACTGGTCTTTTCATGGTACCATGACACCTTTGGGCTTTCCCTATGGTAGAGATATCTGGGCCAATCATACATACAAGCTCCATTCTTCTCAGCTTTCCCAGCTGGGACTGCTTGGCTGGCCAACCTGGCTCCCCAGTGCTCTGGCTGAAACTAACTTCCTCATCACTGGCTTTATGCCATCACTGGCCTTATGGCATCACTGGCTTTATGGTATCACCGGTTTTATATTTTATGAGCGCTATACTTGAAGTCCTACCCTTATCACTTCTAATATTTGTGCTGGGCTTCTGCCTTCTGAACTCCATTCCCTGCATTGGTAATATAATGTTCTCCCATGGATACACCTGTTTCCTATAGCTGGGCTACCTGATACCTCTTGCAAAGGATGGAAAGTTGCTATTAAGGTTAAATTGGGTTCCCAGAGAAAGGCTAGATTACGCTTCCAATTCTTTCATCTTAAAAAAATAGAAGTTTCCCAATATGAATATTGAGACACTTACTCAAACACTCATTTATTCAACTAGGTGGTGGCTACTTAACACTCAGCTAAGCACTAGGGTTGGGGGCGTGGTGCAGACAACCAAAACAATGATGACCAAATGAATGGCACAGACTGTAAGTGTTATAGGTATATATTTGAATCTCTTAACAGGTCTGCGTTTCTCAAGTCTCTCCTCTTTGCAATCTATCTCTACCAACTGAGCTTTTTAAAAGTTAAAGCTCATTTGTTTTCACAGAAAAAAGTGTAAGCTCTTTAATGTAGCATTCAGGGCTCTTCATAATCTGGCCTTAACTTCCATTCAAGCCTTAATCCTTCCTACTGTCTCTCATATACCCTGTAATCTACACATAGCAAATTTTTCACTGGTCCCATGAGGCACCAGTCCCTTTCTGATCTTTGTTCCCTCTGCCTAGAATGCCTTTTTCTTCTTCTTCACCTAGCGAACTCCTAATCAGCCTCTAAGAGTCAGTTCAAAGTCTTGTTGAAACATATCCCCTATGGTCCTCATCTGTCCTGGATGTGAGCACATTGTTCTGTCACCTTTATTAGATCGTGAGATTTTGGAGGGCACTGGGATTATCTCATTAGTCTTTGTATCTCTGAATCCAGGTCTCAATAAGGCCTGGCAAATAGTAGGGGCCCAACACATAATTGTTAAATGAAACAAGGAATAAATGAACGTGAAGGAAGAGCTCAAAGGGGATTGATGTATTTAGGTAAGGGTTTTTGAAGGGCACAGGACTTGAAGCTGGACCTAGGAAGATAATAGAGAAGTAGGGAACGGGCATTTGGAGGAGGAGGATTATTACCCTAGGAGATGAAAGAACTAAAGCCCAAGACTGAGAGCGAAGAGAGTGAGGTCAGCCCGGCTGCAACTGACCACTGCATTATCTTGACCTTTTCACCTACTAGATTTCTTGATTATATTTTCAGCTCATGGAGGGCAGGGTATTTTATGTACTCCTTTGTATCCCCTTTATATTTGATGCACATCTCCACAGTCACTCTTCCTACTGTCTTATTCTTTTTCTGCTCTGTATTATAACTATCTGTGCATTTGCATGTCTCCCCAGCACTTACACCACCCTCCCTCCCTAGCTGCTTGAGGTAGGGGATGAATTTCTCTCTTTGCATCTCCTAAGACATTTAGCATGGTGTCTGGCACATAATGGGTGCTCAGCAAATATTTTTTGATCTACCATTTGTTAATCTGATTTCAGAGGACCACAAGGATATTTGTGTGCAACTGTGTATTGTGCCACAGAACTTATATGACTTCACACTGTGTAGCCTAGTTTTGGCAATTTTCATTAAAATGTTATCTTATTGTACCTGTAAGACTGTCATTTCAATTTTATTCTTTGTTCTTTCTTGCATGACTCACATCTCTTAAACCAGAAGGATATGACAGAAGGAATTCACAAAAGGTTTGGACAAATTTATGAATGACATAGTCATAAATGTCTGGGTATAAGAAGTGAGCAGCATGCAAAGAAGAAGGAGATAACTTGCATTTTTTTTTCTTTTTTTTGAGACGGAGTGTCACACTGTCACCTAGGCTGGAGTGCAATGGCATGATCTTGGCTCTCTGCAACCTCCACCTTCCGGGTTCAAGCAATTCGCTTGCCTCAGCCTCCCGAGTAGCTGGGATTACAGGCGTGCACCACCACGCCCAGCTAATTTTTTGTATCTTTAGTAGAGATGGGCTTTCACCATGTTGGCCAGGCTGGTCTCAAACTCCTGACCTCAAGTGATCTGCCTGCCTTGACCTCCCAAAGTGCTGGGATTACAGCTGTAAGCCACCATGCCCGGCCGAGAACTTGCATTTTTAAAGTGCCTATTAGATTCCAGGGAACTACGTGTTAGGCACTTGACATACATTATATCTCATTTAATCTTACAGAATATTTCAGTATAAAGACAGAACACCTATTTATGAGGCCCAGCTTACACCCATTCAGGCCCACAGCTTCTCCATGTACCAGAGGCGATATTCATCTTTATTAAAATTTTATCAATCTTTTAACACAGATGAAACTTTGGATTTGCTTTTGCTTCTCAGGAATAGAGCATTCATTCTCAGTTCAGGCTTCTACAGCTTAAAACTTGTTTCTGACATAACTTGATCAGTTTATAAAGTCCCAGAGCTTTAAATTACAATGCAATCTGAGATATTCCCACAGCAATAACAGCGATTACATTTGTTCACAGCACTTACCTTTATATTTCATTAAGCTTCCAAATACTGAATAAAGGTAAGACAAACCAAGAAAAGAGACTTCTATTAACCCTGACATCAGCAAATTGTCTCAAATTATAGTGTACCTTCTATTTGTATTCTAGACATATTGAATGGTTTTTGTGAGATACATATTGTACCTCACCTGAGGTTAGGAGAAAATTGGAAGGAAATTAGTTTAAGTTGTTTCTAATTTTTAAAAAATAATAGCAACTTTAAAAAGCATCATGCTCCCAAGTGTACAGCTACTGTATCTGGCAGAAATCATAACATTAAAACCAAAGCAGCATCCCTAATCCTTGGGAAATAGCTTGAGAAGGTGGGGCTGCATGTACTGGTTTGTTATTTTAAGTCATCTAGTCTAAGGTCCGTAGTTATACATCTTGATCTATAACATGGTTCCTACTTGCAGGGGAACTGGGGTGATAGGTAGGAACAAAGGTATGCCTTTGGATTAGGGATTATCAGCACACTCACAGGTCCCAGACAGCTTTCCATGAACTTGTTTTGGGAAAACTAGAACAGACATCTTTGCTTTGGAAAACATAAAGCCCATCTTGTATGACTAAAGAAAATGGCAAGGGCTCAAATGACGTTTCACATTTTGGATGGTCCTATTCCAGCCTCTGTGTGCCACTAATTGCTAGAAAAACATCAGCAATGGTCTTTGTAGTGCTTGTGGGTTTCTTGAATTTTACATTAGTCAAAGAAAATTGAGAGATCAGGACTACCACCAAAGAACATGTGCCACGTACCACCTATGAAACTTCTTAAAAAAAAGATGAGAATCCAGCTTACACATTTTAAAAATAGCCCCTTCCTTTTTGAGGCTAGGGGATAAAAATATGCACATATTCCAAAGAATTCTTTGTGTGAACAGGTGACCCCTTCCCACAGTCTCTGTAATTAATTGAGAAATTAAAGTTGGTTGGCCTTTGAGATCTCTTGTAAAAAAACAAAAAGGCAGAAGGTCTTGGATATTTTGGAACAAGAGTCCACTATTCTGCCAAGACAGTGTGTTATTGTTATTGAAGTGTCTCTCAACAAAACGGTATTGAGTGGTGAGGACGTGATTTTGATTAGGTGGAATGACTCAGCTCTTCCCCTTAAAGAAGAGAGGACTTGTCAGAGCCTTACTTACCTCATGATCTGGGATCTCAGAGGATAGTGTTTTCCCTAGGATGACCCCGGTCAAGTATGTCCAGCATCGAGCCGTGTTGGCAAGGTTATAGCCTCCTGTCTCCATCAAGAATTGTGAAGTTAGGAAAGAATAGTCATAAAACAGCAGGAGAGGGAAGGGGGGTAAGGAAAGAGAGAAAAATGTTTTAAGAAAAGACAACCTCAAATTGCAGAATTTCCCCTAATCCCCCCTTTGTGATATTTTTAAACCACCTAGTAGGCAGACTTTGGTGGACCAGTCAAATCATGCACAGTGTAAAACTGGGCAGTCCAAGGTCTGCAAAGATTAAATAGGCTCCCATCTCCCCAAAAATATGTACCTGAGGAATCCAAACTCCTCAGTTCCATCAAGAGCCATCAGCAAGACTCAGATCTCTGGAATCCAGATCTCTTGAGGTGATCTACCCAATGGAAAGATTTCTGTGATGAATTTTGCAACAATTCTATAAAATGACTGCTGAATGTGATTTGTATTTTTAAAACTATTGGCAGATCTAGCCC